>NC_000006.12:105070790-106320790 GCF_000001405.40 Homo sapiens | reverse complement strand
GATTGAGATTCCCCCTCAGTCTTCTGTTTGGTATGTTTCATGGTCTAGTCTCATTTTATTTACATTTATAGATTTGACATTAGAGGGATAATAATTGCTTGCATTTCCTAGCACTTACCATGTGTCCATTATTGTATCAAACACTTTATGGATTTTTTTTTTTTTCAGAACAGCCTTTTGACTTGGGTAATATTAATTCCACTTCACAAGTAAGGAAATTGAAGCTTAGTGAAGTAAAGTGACTTGCCTAAAGGTCACGTGTGATGTTAAGACAGGTTATGGTATCAGCTCTTTCATTATCTATTAATACTACTCTCAACCCAAAATTTCCTTAAAAGTTGGCATATATATTGCACCTGCCCACTTAATACCTTTATTGATGCTATTTTGGCCTGTTAGAATATTTGTCATCTTTTTGCCTGTCCATATTCTACCCATTCTTCAAGTTCCACATCTTTTAAAATTATTTGAACACTATAGGATGTATTAATATCTCCAACCCCTCCTCTTTCCCCTGCCCCATGAAAACTCTCACAGAGTAACATTTAATTATACCATGGACATAATGGATGTTTTGGAGTTGGGAGGGATGATGGCAATCAATATAGTATGATGGAAAGAATGTGAGATTAGAAACCTGAGTTAGGATGTGGCTTCTAATTTTGGCTCCGCCATTTATTAGCTACAAGATTTTAGAAAAATCATCTGACATCCTCATCTCAAATTTATCATTTGTAAAATGGGAACATATAGGCTTGTGTGTATCACATGTGAGGTAATGTAAAATGTATAGTGTTTCTGGAGTTACTTGATATTTAAAGTAGTATATAATCTACTGTTAACTAATTTTTATTATCTAATCTCACCTGCTTACCTCATTTTTTGGGATTCTGTTTGGTTCTGTAGTTTTATATTCATACACTGTCTTTCCAACAAATTCAAATTCAGTAAGCATTTTTTGAGCACCTACTGAATTCCAGATACCATTCCAAGTATCAGAGGTGAAAAGATGAATGAGATATGATCCTTCTCCCTAACGGAATCTATTACAGTCTGCTGGAGGAGACGTACAAATAAATACTATTGATAAAAACTTACAAGGGTAGAGGAAAAGTAGAGGTGCCAAGAGAAAACAAGGCGAGTTCTGCCTGAATCATGTGTAGAAGAAAGGTTATTTTGAGCTGGGTCCTAAAGCATGTTTAAGTTGAAAGATAAGGTAAAGAAGGCTGCTTTAGGGTAAGGGTACCACCAGCATGGGCAAAGGCACAGAAAGGACAGAAAGTGCATAGTATGTTTAGTAGATTTGGAGATTATACTTTGTTAATGATTGAGGTTTTTAAAAGTCCATTATTCTTCTTCTAGCACCTGCCACACAGCTAGGCATATCAAACGATTAAATATTTGACTCTAAATTGCATATTATTAGCAGTGTTTACTGCAAAATTTTTAGCTTTTTTATACCTATAATTACTACTTATGTTATATAATGCTTTTGATTATTATTAGTTTTTGAAGTCTTTAAATGTTGACTTTTAAACATTTTTGAGACATGTTCTTGTTCTGTAAATTATAATAGTAGATAACCTTTATAGTACATATTATATGATAGACATTGTTCAAGTGCTTTACATGTATTCATTTAATTCTTGTATCTAATGTGGTAAGTGCTGTTTTCCCATGTTACAGATGAGAAAACAGAAATAGAGAAGTTAAATGACTTACTTGAGGTTACACTGTAAGTGGTGGAGCTGGTTTTGGCTCCAGACAGTCTGGCTCCACATTTTACATTTCTAACTTCTACTGTATAGTGCTTCTCAAGAGTTAAATTTTGTTTTATTGCCTCTTTAAAAAAGTATTATTGAAAACTTAACATCCTTTAGTTTTATTCATGTATCCCCAATTTTTCTTACATATTTTTAAAGTTAAGTGTATTCACTGGAGACATGCTTTCTTATATAATTTATTATAGGTAAGCATTAATATTGAAAGATTAACATTTTAAGATCCTATAAATTTGGGTCTGTGTATTTTGAGGCAGTAAGCAGCCTTGTTTGCAGTTTTCATAAATCTGTTTTGCAGAGTTTGTTTGTTTTGCAACATTTGTATCAGCTCTACTACATTATACCTTTAGCTGCCTTGGCTGAGTTAGTTCTTCCCTTGAGGTCTTGCAAAAAATATACATGTAAGCAACAATGGTATATGGGAAATAAAGTACCAATTTATCTTTCACTAGTTTTTGTACTTAAAATCCTACTGTAGAACTTTGGTAAACTTTGCTGGAACGTAAGACTTTAAAACTCAAGCCTGTAGTTGGAGTCTTGAGGTGTTCTGCCTTCTAAGTCTATATTTGTATCTCTTTTGGGAAGGGACTCAGAAGCAGCATTGGTCATTCATTTTACTGTTCGTGACATGTGGAAGGGAGAAACAGAAGAGAATGTTATGGAAAGAAAGAGCAGGATGGTCAGGGTTCTCGTCTGGCAGCCTAGAGGGGAGAGAAGGGAGCCACACTCACATGCATGATGTTTTGGTTTATGATCATCCCTGCCTATTAATAAACATGTCAAGTGGTGTCCTGGAATCTGACCAATCAGATTACTATTCCTCCTTGAGAGGACAGTGCTTGAAGAGGAGGGAAGAGCAATTGTCTTGGATTATATTTTCTATCTGCTTCTTCTGAGAAGAAAAATAATATCAATAGTGACAATATAGTGACTTCAACTTTAAGCTTGTAATTAACTTTTATTAAATATTTTTAGTAGAGGAACTCTTCGTCTCAAATTATTTTTCTCTTCATCATCAAAAGGTGAATCTCAGTTGCAGCTGTTGACTAACTGGATGTATCATGGCTGCAGAAACAACTGCATACCACCTTTATATCAGATTCAATTTTAGATTTACTTATTTGTCATAACCTAGATTTCATTATTTTTTGCCACTAGTGAATTCACTTTAAAAAGAGCAAGCTATTAATGTAATCAGGACGTAGTGAGGTCTTTCCTATTTTCAGTGAGTTAATTTTGTGTCATTTGTAAACTTGGAAATTTTTTGCCAAATGCAGAAACTCAATAGTTTGAATTTGTAGCCTATCAGTGTGGAATGATATGAAGTTTACATGCATGTATATCATTCGCTTAAAGTAGTTGTTTTTATGGATATATTTTAATAAAAGTTAAAACACTAGTAGTATGCTGGAAAGAGCACTGGACTCAGTTTAATAACCAGAATTCTTGTTGCCTAGTACTTTTATGTTGGACATATTTTTTCCACCTCTTGCAGTTTACGTACCTGTAGATGACATTGCATCCAGTTGACCTCCAACTTTTTCTTTCTTTAACTAATTAATTTATACCATCTTAATGTCATTGGTCAGTGGAAGAGGAAAAAAAAGGGAAATAAGCTCCTTGAATAATTCAGTGTTAATAATTTATATTTGGCTAAACTCGTAAGATTATTTAGAGTGTTTTCATAGGCTACATTGTGATAGATTATGAATTAGCTGCCTATCAAAGATGAGAAATATTATTTGGATAAGTATATTGAATCTTAGTATCCAGGTGCCACATGTTGAGTTACTCTAAGTGTATATTATCAACAATATTTATTTCAGCATTTACTCATATCGTGTATTGTGATGTGTTATTCAGTTGCAGAATATTAGCATTGGAAGGCACTTGGATATTACAGAGGTCAAAAGCCATGTCCTTATGCCATACCTAGAATATTGTTTTGCAGATCTAGTGCTATATTTGTGGTATAGAGAATATTCTGAGAGATCCAAGTGGAAGCATTTACTGTTTCACTGGGGCCAGAGGGCTGTGAGCATGGTTTGCAGAGTAGGGATTTGAATAAGTGAGAGAGGAGCATACTAGGTAGGGGAATAGTAGGATACAGAGAAAGGTGTTCAGGGGGCCACTTTTGGTAGAGGGTTTACAAAAGGAAGTACAGTAATTAAAATGGAAGTATTGGTGGGATTAAATTGTAGAGAGGATGAAATTTAGAATGGGGAATGGGTTTATAGAAAGATTTTTTCCCCAATGTGAAAGAGATATTTTCTAAGATGGGAGAGTAGTTTTGCAGGAAGAGAGGAGAAACTATCTGGAGTAGGAAAAGGTGAATATATTGGACGGGGCAGGGGTAAATGCGAGAATGATCCTTTGGAGTTGGACTGTCAGGATTCACAGGGTATAGGTGAAGCTCCTCTTTAGGTAAGCAGTAGACTCTTCTGGGCTTGAAAGACTGATGCAGATACAGTTTCATTTTGACTGTGGTTCAGTACTTAAATATGCAATGAATATTACTGGCATATGTAATTTTGATCTGATTCCTTTACATAAGTAATAATTTTACATTTAGAATTTGTTGTACTCTTTTCTTTGAATTTATACTAAAGATTGGTGATCATCGTTTTTTTTTTTTGAAGTGGATAATCTTTATGGCATGGATTTTTTAAAATAATCTTTTGTTTTCTAGCAGGTTCATTCATCGTTGCAAGGATCTGACTAATGCTCTTCATTTTATTTTCAGTTTGGCTTTGGTTGAAATAAGAATTTAGCCTGTATGTACTGCTTTAACTCCTGGAAGAATGACAGATGACAAAGATGTGCTTCGAGATGTGTGGTTTGGACGAATTCCAACTTGTTTCACGCTATATCAGGATGAGATAACTGAAAGGGAAGCAGAACCATACTATGTAAGTACATTGATTGTGGCAAATGGGATATTTAACCTTGTCCATTTTTGTAAGAAAAAGCTGTAAGAACTTGGAGGCCATTATGTAACGTTTTAGATACAGCTAATTCATGCTTATTTTGGAAAAAAAATTAACACAGATAAGCATAAAGAAGGAAATAATCACCTCTAATGCTACCACTCAGAGGACAAAACCACTGTCAGCATGTTGTCATGATGCGTTCTGGACTTTGTTTTCCTTACATGTATGTGGGTATGTTAATGGAATCATCAGCTATGGTGCCTTCTTGACTTTCTTTTTCTTATGCATATATTCATATATAATAAATGTATGATAATGGAATAATAAGATGTGCTTTTTTAATAGGAAGAGATATTGAAAATAATAGGTTCAGATTGTATTCTTTTGTAGTTAGGAGATTCTAAGCAACTGTTTGTTAAAAGTGTTTTTATAGCTTAAAGAACATATAAACATGCACACATACACACACACGATACGTTCACTGAGCTATTGTATGTTATATGTGAGCTAATATGTAATATATATTTAATATATATTATAAATTGCACATAGACTTGCAGGTGTGAGTTAATGGATTATGTATTTTACAAACACTTTTCAAATGTCTTCTGATTTTGGTGTGCTTTGTTTCCCTTTTCTAAGTGCATGTATAATCCCAGTTTATGCCTCTGTCAGAGATGACATCCTGCCTGTTCACTGAATAGCCCATAATAGGCAAAGATATTCTCAATTGTCGTTACTGTTTTTTCTTTTTGTGTCTCAGGTATGCATTCTAGTGTTTACCTGGAGATGATGTGGAAAAGTAGAAGTGTATTTGTGATGAGGAAATGCTTCTTCTGTTTCACTTTAATGAAGTCTGCCCTTTGCTTTCCCCCTCATCTCTCTGAGAGGCAGTGCTGCTCCTCAGCCTGCTCCAGCTACGGAAAGTCAGATTACTGGAGGAAGCTACTTATTAAGGAGCCCATTCGCTCACTTTTTGGGTATAGGACTGTTTTTTTGTTTTTGTTTTCCTCTGTGCATCCTCAGCATCTGGCACAGGCTCCTCAAGTGGTACTACTCGGTGCATGAATGTTTCCCCAGGCTCATGTTGGGATTTTGTTTGAAATCATCTTTATGGGTTTTCTTACTAGAAATGATAGTTTTAGAGAAGTTCGGCAATCTTGTTACTGGTACTCAAGCTTATATACACGTGAGTAATCTTAACTTTGGAAATATCAACCGTTTTCTGTCTAGAAAAACATCCACAGTTAAAAACCAAGTATGGTCATAGTTTTATTTTTAGAAGAATTTCATTTGTTAGAGGTATTTTTTCTGTTCTTGTTCTGTAATATAGGTTAGGATACCATTTTTTTTTTCCAAACAAGTTTTTGCTGTTTTAATTACAACTTTTAACCTTCATTGGCTTTGTAATAGTATATAAGAGTATGTGAGAGTATAAGAGTATATTTGGCCAAATTGACAACAACTGAAAAATAATTTAAGTCTGTTTACTTTTATTTATTTATTTATTTATTATTTATTTTGAGACAGTCTCACCCTGTTGCCCAGGCTGGAGGGGGCAGTAGTGCCATCTCGGCTCACTGCAACCTCCCTCTCCTGGGTTCAAATGATTCTCATGCCTCAGCTTCCCAAGTAACTAGGATTATAGGCATGTGCCATCATGCTCGGTTAATTTTTAGATTTTTAGTAGAGACAGGGTTTCGCTATGTTGGCCAGGCTGGTCTCAAACTCCTGACCTTAAGTGATCTGCCCGCCTCGGCCTTCCAAAATGCCCGGATTACAGGCATGAGCTACTCCACCCAGCCTGTTTACTTTTAAATCAAACTCTAATGTTTGACATACTTCCTAAAGTTAGAGAAATTTCATGTAAAGAATACAGTATTTTTTCTTTATAGACCTGTTTAAATTGGAAAAGACTTGTGAGCACTAGAGCGTAAGTTGTTTTCTAGTGTTTCTAATCAAATTGAAAATGGCAAGAGTGTTTACAGTAACTGTAGGAGAAAGAGGATTGTCTTGTCTTATAGGTAATTGGTTTTTTCTTGAATTCTTCCTAATTCTTCACCCAGAGAAACCTCTTATACAGTCATGATTTGTGTTTTTGAAGACTGTTGGGTGACTGGCATATAATAAACATAAAACAAAAAACTGGAATTTAAAACCATATGGCACAATCCAAATTTTGCTATTTAAATATGTACATGCTTAAGTGTAAGTTAATACGTACAAGGAAGAAAATATATAAAACATCAGTGATGGCTAGTCTTAGAATTACAGATGAGGATTTTAGTGCCAATATAGCTGTAGTTCAGATAATATGTCCCTTGCTGTCAATTAAGCTTGAACATATTTTTAATATTAATAGTACATATATTCCTCTTTTCTGCATTTTGATTTGTTGCCTCTGTGCATAATCTTTCCGCCTATATCCTATATGTTTATCACTGAGCATTATGTTTTATTTTTCAGAGAATATTGGTAAGGAAATTTGTAGAAACTAGATAACTTTTCAATTTGTATTTTTTCGTTTATGTTCATTTAAACTGTTGCTTTTCATTTAGATTATCCAGTATAAAAACACATATACTCATTTGGATTGCTATTTTGTGACTTGTTTCTAGAGGAAATCATGATTGGACCCATGGTCATCAATGTCATGGACCCTTAACATTAGGCAGCGATCCGTTTATGTATCCTTAGTCAGGTGTCTGCCCTATTCCACTATGACTATGTCTCTGAGCCCTGACCTCTTCCTTCACTCTGAACAGGTGACCTCACTTCCTCTTTCATGAAGAAAAGAGAAATGATATGATAGGTGTGATAGGACCTCCCTTAACTTTCTGTCACCAAATCTGCAAAACCTATCTGCATCCCACACATTTACTTCTCTTTCCCTCCTGTTATAATGGAAGAAGTATTCTTCCTTCTAGGCAAGGCCCAGCCCTCTATCTTCTGCCTTCTCAGGAAGCTGGTGGTATCTGATCTTCTCCCACCTCCACCTCTGCCTTCTCTGTTTATTTTACTTTCAACTTCTTATCTGCTGGCTCCTTCACAGTTTTTAGTGTTGTCATAAATCCTTCCTATCCTGAAACAACAACCTTCTGTTGACCCCATCTCTCAACTTTGGCTTTTCCTCCATGGCTAGACTTCTTAAAAAGGTTGCTTATAGTCATTCTCTGCCTTCCACCTCCTACCAGTTAGTTTTCTGTAATCACATTTTCATACTATTCCAAGAAAACTGTTCTTGCCAAAGTCACTAATGGTATTTTTTTAGCCAAGCTCAGAGTCTGTTTGTTAATTTTCATTTGCTTTATCTCAGCAGTGTTTGATGTTGTTGGTTGCTTCTCCCATCTTGTGGCATTGTCCTGTTAGCCCTGCAGTGCTCAGTATCCTTGGTTTTGCTTTTGCCTGTCTGGTTTTTATGTGTGTGTGTGTGTGTGTGTGTGTGTGTGTGTGTGTAGTCTTTTTTGCCAGATCTTTCTCCTTTGTTTATTCCTTAATATTGGTATTTCTTAGGGCTCTGCTTTCTTTTTTTTCACTTCACTTTTTACCCCCTGGAGTTCTTGTCCATTTTTATGTCTTTGTCAAGCATTTATATCTTGACAATTCCCAATATTTTTCTCCAGAGCTCCAAACCTATATATTTGTCTGCTGGAGATCCTCACTTAGATGTCTTATAGGAGCTCAAACTATGTATGTTAGAAACTGGACTCATCAGCTTTCCCCCCAAAAAAATCTGGTCCTCTGCATTATTTTATTCCCTTCCTGTTTTGGCAAGAAGAACTACTCTTACTTGAAACCTGGGACTCATCGTTTGGTGCTTCCTTCCTTCTCTCTTATCCCAGATAGTCGGTAACTTACTCCAGAGACCTCAGTGTCTCTCAGACTTATCTGATCCCTTTCATCCCCCACTGCTACAGCCTAGACCAGACTACTGCTTAAAAACTGATCAGGCCAGGCACAGTGGCTCACGCCTGTAATCCCAGCACTTTGGGAGGCCAAGGTGGGTGGATCACCTGAGGTCAGGAGTTTGAGACCAGCCTGGCCAACATGGTGAAACCCATCTCTACTAAAAATACAAAAAATTAGCCCGGTGTGGTGGTGGACACCTGTAATCCCAGCTACCTGGGAGACTGAGGCAGGAGAATCACTTGAACCTGGGAGGTAGACGTTGCAGTGAGCCGAGATCTTGCCTTTGTACTCCAGCCTGGGTGAGAAGAGTGAAACTCCATCTCAAAAAAAAAAAAAAAGAAGGAGATCAAATTGCACAGTAGTAACCAGTTTCCTGCTTTTAGTTTTCCCTTCTTTCCATTTTCTAGTCTGCAGTTGGAGTGATCTTTTCAAATCACATGTCTGATCTTGTCACTTGCTTGCTTAAAACCTTTGTGGCTTTTCATCATTTTTAGGATCTTTCATTTAGTTTACAAGGTTCTCGATAATCTGGCTCCTGGCTTCCTCAGCACTATTCTGTCTTAACTCTGTACCTTCCTATCATATTCAGCATCTTAGACTTCACTCAAATGTGCCCATCTTTGTTTCTTTGTATTCATTCCATGCCTTTTGTCTTGCAGTGTCCCCTGTTTGGAAAAGGCAGAGGTATCTCCCATACCTACACACACCCAGACTTCCACACTCACCCATGTTCATTTCACTCCTATTTGTCTTTTGACTCTTTGCCTTAAGATACACTTCGTGTCAAGGCCTCCCGTGAAACTCAAGATCAGGTTAAATTCCTTTGCTACTTGCTCTTATAACATTCTTTACTTCCTCCCTGCATTAATCACATTTGTAATTTTGTTTTTTTGTATCTTTTTTGCTGTCTAACCTGTATGCTGTATAAGGGGAAGGACTCTTCTGTCTCTTTCAATGTTGTATCCTCATTGCCTAGTATGATGCTTTACACATTGGAGTGGAACAGAATTCTAGTATGTTTTACTTCTATTTTTGTCCTAGAAAGGTCTCTAATTTTAAAATTGAAAATTGTTGGACAGAATTGGACTTGGCATAAAGAATTAAAATTATGGGCAACTTTTTTGGAAACATAAGTATTCCATATAATTGCATAAAATATGTATTCTTTTAAGCTGTATAGATAAAAATGAATCACTTGTATCAGAGTCATGGAATACTTTATACTAGGGCTAAATGAGGAATAAGAGAATGATAGTTTCCATTGTAGCTGACAGTATTTCCAAATGTGGTTAATCTTATTCAAAGTAAAAGAACTAAAAGAACATTGAAGACATATGTTAAGTGAAATAAACCAGGCACTAAAGGACAAATATTATATGGTTCCACTTAAATAAGGTACCTAGAGTAGTCAAATTCATAGAGATAGAAAGTAAAATGGTGGTTACTGGGAGCTGGGGAAGCAGGGAATGGGGAGCTACTGTTTAATACGTACAGTTTCCATTTAGCATGATGAAAAAGTTCTGGAGATGGATAGTGAATGTATTTAGTATTACTAAACTGTACACTTAAAAATGGTTTAAATGGTAAATTTTATACTAGGTATATTTTACCACATTGAAAAAAAAAGAACTTAAACCAATGAAATACACCTAAGAAAAACAATGAGTAGTATATATAGTCTGCAGGTAAAAGACAAGAAGATGATGTCTTTTCATTGTTGTTTTCATTTTTATTTGTTTAAATATTTCCTAGGTAAATTGTATCTATATGTACTATAGAATAGTCATTCTTAAATCTTAGAGTGATTTCTTAGTGTTTCTATGGATATATTAGTTAAAGATTACTCCCACAGGCCAAACGGAACAGAAAATTGCAGCTACATTTCAGTGTGGATTCTGCCTTAAAAATGAGTATTCTTTTAAAATTACAGTTGTTGGCTCTGCCTCACTTAACCATTGGCATCTCTGACTCATTCAGCAAATATTTATTGTGTGCCTCCTTTAAAGCAGGCACTATTTTGGGCAGTGGAAATGTAGCATTGAACAAAACAGACAAAAATTCCTGTCTTAATTGAGGTTATAGTCTAATGTTCTTTTTTCCTTATTGTAAAAAATATTTTATTTCATAAAAATCATTTGTGAGTTCTTTAGCAATTTTGAGTGAAGCCAAGGCATGTAATACAACACTCTCCAAAATCAGGAGCTGATATATCCATACCCATTAGCTGTGGTGTTTCTTCCCTCCTACTGTCTCCATAAGTTAATATTGTTTTCTACAGAATAGATTACTATGTAATGCCCATTAATCATTTTTAAATTAAAGTTCAAGGTTTGCTAAAAGAGACCTTATTAGACTAATAGATTATACTTACATATTTTTGAAAACAGCTAGTTTGCGACGCTGTTTTGCTTTTTTAAAGAGACTTTAATGTCACATCTGTATTTGTCATTTCTGAAAGACTACACTGAATCTTTTCTCTGCCATTTATTTAAGAATAGCATGATATTGGCAAGTTATTTAAAACAGGGGCGATAATACTTCCTGTGGGGGAAAAACTGCTTTTTCTTATATTAAATAGTAAGAATTCCTTTTTCTTTCTTCACTAATCACAGTTATTTCTTTATAAAAGAATAACTTATATTCTGTTGAATGCATAATACTATTCAGCAGCTTGTTCATAGTATTTAGTTCCTTGTATTCCATACTGGAGCATGCCAACTATCTCCCTCCCATACCCCTGTATTCTGTAGCCCCTAGGATCAATGTCACGTTCTCCTACCTAGTTGGTTGGTACCTATTATCTTGGACTCCCATGATTAAATATAAATTCCTTCAACCAGAATATCTCTTTCTGTATATATTTGTCAGCTTAGTAGTTCTACTTGATTTATTAGTCAAAAGATATCACCTTGAATAAAAAGCATGAAAGATGATGCGGTTATAAAAGCAGCCAAAAGAATAACAAAGCAGTTTTATCAGCAAAAGAAATCAGACACTTAGGAAAGCAAGAAATGGCTAGAGTGTCTACTGCAAAGGAGGAAAACCATAAATTTTTGCCAAGCTCCTTCTTTTATCTACTTGTCGGTTCTTTATATAAATCATAATTGATTTTCCAAAACACTCCTGTTTTATTTTTGGGTACCTTTTCTGGGGAAAAAACACTGACCAGGTTCTTCATACTGTTTTTTTTTGAGGCTTTACCTAGCTCAGCATTCTCTCTCAGCCTTCAAAACATGATGGACTGGTTGAGAAGATTTGATTGATAAGTCAAAGTATACTTTAGAACTTGAGTTGATTATCTTCTTAGAACAGTTTAATTGACTCAGATGAATCATTTTAATTTTTAAGTTAAATTTTATAGAACCAATAAGTATCCTAAATAGTATGACATCTAATTACATTTTTATTTAGTGTTATAGGAAGATTGTAGATAGATTTGTGTTGATCATTCTGGGCATTTATGTGGTAAGCTGTGCTTAAAGTAATGGCCCCATAAGAAATATTAAAACATCTTAACCTTTAACCTTTGATCTTCTATAAAAAGCAGTAGACTTTGTGTGGGATATTCAAAATAATGCAAAGAACACGGCTGTTTTTCCTTAAAATTCAAAAACCTACTTAGTATTTTTTAAAAATAATAACTAGTAAATAAATACGGTTTTACAAATTTTCATTTCAGTTGCTTTTGCCAAGAGTAAGTTATTTGACGTTGGTAACTGACAAAGTGAAAAAGCACTTTCAGAAGGTTATGAGACAAGAAGACATTAGTGAGATATGGTTTGAATATGAAGGCACACCACTGAAATGGTGAGTGAATTTTTCTGCATTATTAAGCATTAAGTATATACTAGCTTTAAAAAGGTATAGTGCCCTGAAACAATTGTAAAAAAAGTCCTGCGAGGATAGAAGTCATTAGTCTAGCTCATACAATATGTGAAGTTTAGACTATTACTAGAATACGTTATTGAAAATATTTCTGCCTTCTGTTTGGATGCATGGATGACTGGACAGATTCATATATTTTTAGCAATAGATTTTTATATGGTACAATAAGAATATATTTGGTTATGGGCTATTTTCAGATATATTTAAAACTCCCTTATGAAAAGTCATCTCTTGACATTATTCAATTTTATTTCTGACACCAAAATATTTATAACATCTTTATATACATGATTACCTTAAGTGGCATTGTTCAAACTGATTGCCATATTTAGTTGACCACTGTGCCAGAAACACATCTTAACTAGGCTTGGTTTAGAGTATTTAAAATATATTGATTTCCTTTTTACGTGAAAAATAAATTTGATGTTTTGCATTTTTAAGAAGGGTATTGAACTGATAAGAACAGATACTACACGAATCCCAGCACTTTGGGAGGCCGAGGCTGGCGGATCACCTGGGGCCAGGAGTTCGAGACCAGCCTGACCAACATGGAGAAACCCCATCTCTACTAAAAATACAAAATTAGTTGGGCGTGGTGGCACATGCCTGTAATCCGGGCTATTTGGGAGGCTGAGGCAGGAGAAATGCTTGAACCTGGGAGGTGGAGGTTGCGGTGAGCTATCACAACATTCCACTCCAGCCTGGGCAATAAGAGTGAAACTCTGTCTCAAAAAAAAAAAAAAAAAAAAAGGGTATTGAAATCAAATCCTAAACCTGTGCTTATCCATGTACTAATGATGTTTTTTGGTGCTTCCTCTGTTATTGGGAGTTTTGTTCATTGTGCTTCCAAAAATATTTAATGAAACTGGAAATTACAGAGAGAAGAATGTAAAAAAAAAATAGTTGAAGGTATGCTGGATGTTAATGTTGAAATGCTATCATTTGGATACAGTTGAATGAAAAAAATACAGGCTAAGACAGATTTAAATGAAACATGAAAAATACAAATTGGTTAAAAATGGACTTGCTCTCTGAATCGGGGAATATTAAAATGAAGAGTTTTTGAAAGAGCTTTAGGACAGATGAAAGGAAGCTACTTAGGTGTTTAATAAATGCAGCTGATGTGAATCAAAGGACTATTTATTAGCAAGGAGAGAAATTTTGGAACTCACCTTGTGCTGATGAGATCCCAAGAATGAGTAGATTTTTCATAATGGATTACAAACATAACAAGGTTGTATTTTGGGTCCCGTCTCTAATCCTTTGAGATGGTTCTGGGAATTTATGACACAGTTGTCTTGTTATAGCATTCTTTCTTTAAATCAAAACAATACTGAGCTTCATGATCATGTATCAGACTCCTCTGATTCTTCTTGTGTAGTTCTAGACCTCACGCAGCATAGATAAGGCAATGCTTCCCATTTCTTTTTATTTCTCAGGAGAATTGGAGATTTTGGAATGGGAAGGCGACTTAAAGGAAGTGTAAACAGAGCAACAATTATTAAATAGAAGAGTAGAATGACAGGATGGACGGGGAAACAGTGTGGGAGAGTAGCAATGGGATGTATGTATGCACTTGACATTTCTAGCTATAGTTATTTACATTGTATTGCATTATATGTATTACAGATTATCTCAGAATTTTGTGTGACTAGCGGGGCTTTTCAGTTTTATTGTAAAGCAGGATTTCTCAATAGGGTCACTACTGACATTTTGAATTTGATAATTCTTTGTTGTGGTGGGCTACCCTGTACATTATAGGATGTTTAACAGCAGCTCTGGCCTCTTCCTACAAGTGCCAGTAGCACTTCCTCCAGTCTTGATTATCAAAAATGTTGCCAGATGTCCCTGAATGGAGGCAGAACCGCCCCCAGTTGAGGAACTCTGGAAAATTTGGGAAACCTCAATTTAGCTTGTAAAGTAAGTGATTGCTAAGTCATCATCTTTCAGCTGCTGTTTTATGCTGTCCCTCATGGTGGTTATTCTTGTATTCAATATGGCTTATATTTTATAGGTTTATGGGTAAATAGTGTTTGGACCCATTTCTCCTTGTCACTGCAAAACAATGATTTTGGCTTAAATATTATTATACCATGTTCTTACTTTGTCAGTATTTATCCCTTTGGAAAGTCTTTTATTAAAGAGTGGAGTTCTTTTCCCTTTTAGAGAGCTTATGTGAAAGTAATTATATTCAAGTATCTTTATGGTAGTTTTGGGGGTGTTAACTTTTTATGTGTTATATCACTTCCACAGTTATGTCATGCTGTAAGCTCATTGTAGCTATATGACTTTTGATGCATCTTTTCCTTTAGTGTTTTTAAGTACTCCATATATATGAGGCGTGAATAACTTCCAGAGCCATAAATGTAATCCAGGGCCTCTGGGCTTAGTCTTGATCTTTTCTCTCTTTGCTTCCAGTAATAGCAGTTTTCTCTCATGTTAAAAAATGTATCTTCCTGGAAATAGGCTATCAATATAAGAATATCTGGCATTTAAGTAGTGGGCTTCGCAAAATAGGATAGTTCTGTGAATTTCCATCAGTGGAGGAAAGCAGCTACCACTGAAGTGTTGGAAGACTTGGACTTTTGAGACCATACAAGTGTCTTAAGGATAGAGAAGCATTTATTTGAGTTGAATAATAACGTCCTTCCTATATTTATTCTTCGGAGTTTTAAATAAGTTCAGGTAGGAAAGGAAATTAGTCGCCAGTTGAGACAACTCATAAGTGAGGGAAGAAAGAACAGAAATTGATGTTTCTTCTCTCTTTATAACCTTGTCACTGATTCTGTCCCTGAATTCAATTAAGTTTGTCTTTTCATAAGGTGACAGTTCTCAATGACAAGAAAAAAAAACTAAAGTCCTTGACAAATCATGACTTTCATCATACTCAGTTGGGAAAAATATGACTTTATTTTCCTGTTGGTAGGACATAGATGAAGAGTACCGGGGGCTTTGTTTTTTAAACAAATGCTTGGTTTTAAAGATTTTTTAAAGAAATAGTACATATAGTAAAGTTAGTTATAGATAATAGCAGAATGGAGTATTCTTAAAACAAATTATTTTTCCTTTACTGTTAATTCTTTCTTACTATTCTTTGTTCATCTACTTGGCTAGCAGACTCTGTGTGAGAAGGGAAAAATAATCCCAAGCATATAATTAATGTGGAATAAAATTCATCTTTTTTTTTTTTTTTTGAGACGGAGTTTTGCTCTTGTCGCCCAGGCTGGAGTGCAATGGCATGATTTCGGCTCACTGCAACCTCCACCTCCCGGGTTCAAGTGATTCTCCTGCCTCAGCCTCCTGAGTAGCTGGAATTGCAGGCTTCCGCCACCACGCCAGCTAATTTTTGTATTTGTAGTAGAGACAGGGTTTCACCATATTGGCCAGGCTGGTCTTGAACTCCTGAGCTTAGGTGCTCCACCTGCCTGGGCCTCCCAAAGTGCTGGGATTACAGGTGTGAGCCACCGTGCCTGGCCAATTCATCTTTTTTGGAGTATGGTTTGAAGAGTTTTCAAACAATTGTGTACAGTTGTGTAGCTACTTACAAAATCAAGATAATAAGATATTTAATTTCACAAAATTCCCTGGTACTCCTTTACAGTTACCTCTTCCTTCCCCCAACTCACAGTAATTACTGATCTGATTTCCATCTCAGTTGTTTTACCTTTTTCAGAATGCCATATAAATGGGCTCATGTAGTATGTAGCCTTTCGTGTCTGAATTTTACCTCGAGTAATGTTTTTGAGACTCATCCTTTTTGCGTGTATCAGTGGTTTTTTCCTTTTTGTTGCTGAGTTGCTGAGTATCCCACTGTATGGTTATACCACAAATTGTTTATTCATTAACTGATGGACATTGGATTGTTTCCATTCTGGGACTATATTGAGAAAAGCTGCTGAAAACACCTAGAGGTCTTTCTGTGTCAAGCCACATATATTGTAAAAGATAAAAATTAATTTTGTTTTCTGAATGTTCCTTTATTTTTTATTTTTATAATTTAAAAAAATTTTACTGTGGAGCGCTTCACAAATTTGGGTGTCATCGTTGTGCAGGGCCATGCTAATCTCTGTATCGTTCTAATTTTAGTACATGTGCTGCCAAAACGAGCGTGAATGTTCATTTTTAGTATATGGAAAATGTTATTGATTTTTGTGTTCTGCAACCTTGCTGAACTCACACACTAGTTCTAGGTGTTTTTTTGGTAGATCCTTTGGGGTTTTCTATGTAAACAGTCTTGACATCTGCAAATAGAAATTATATAATTTTTCCAATCTGTAGGCCTTTTATTTCTTTTCTTCTTTTTTTTTTTTTCCTTATTGGAGTAGCTAGAACTTCTAGTACTGTGTTGGATAAGAGTGGTGAGAGTGGACATCTTCTGGTGTTCTTAATTTTATGGGGAATGTATTAGTCTTTCACAATTGTCATGAATAGATGTTGGATTTTGTCAGATGCCTTTTCTGTGCTAATTATATGATTGTATCACTTTTCTTCCTTAGCTGGTTGCTATAATAGATGACATTTATGGATTTTTGATGTTGGACCAACCTTGTATACATTTAATAAATCTTATTTGGTCACGGAATGTAATAAGTTTTATACATTGTTGGATTCAGTTTGCCAAATAATATTTCGTTGAGGATTTTTGTGTCTTATGTTCATAAGAGGGATTGTAGTTTTCTGTTTTTTCTATTGTCTGATTTAGCATTAGGGTTATACGGGCTTTATAAACTGAGTTCGAAAGTGTTCTGTTCTGATGTATTTTCTGGAAAAGGTCGTGTAAAAATGCTGTCAATTCTTTAAGTGTTTGATAGATATCTTTAGTGAAACCACTTGGGTCTGGAGATTTCTTTTTGGGGAGCATGTTAATTACCAATTCAATTTCTTTGATATATATAGATCTACTCAGCTTGCCTATTTCCTCTTCATTGAGTGTTGGTAGTTTATGGGTTTTGGGGAGTTGGTTTGTTTTTTCTAAGTTGTTAATTTATGAACATAGAGTTGTTTATAGTATTTCCTTGTCTGTGAATGACTTTAGGATCTGTAGTGTTGTCTTCATTTTTGTCAGCTTTGTTAGAGGTTTACCAATTTTACTTATTTTTTTGAAGAGCCAGTGTTGTGGTTCATGGATTTTTCTCTCCTTTTTAAAATTTCCAATTTTGTTGGTTTCTGTTTTTTGTTTTTAATAATCTTATTCCTTCTGCTCCTTTGGTTTTATTATTTTTTTCTAGTTTCTTGAAAAGGGACTTAGGTTATTTTTTTGAGCTCTTACCTTAATTTCTTTTTTAAATTGTAGTAAAATGCATGTAACAAAATTTACCATCTTAACCATGGTAGTGTTAATTACATTCACAATGTTGTACAAGCATTTAGTGTTACAAATATCTATTTCAGCCAGGCTTTAGTATAGACCATAAATTTTGATATGTTCTGTTTTTGTTTTCATTCGGGTCTGTGTATTTTTAAAATTTTCTTTTGAGGCTTTCTTTTGGAATCTTAGTTTTTTTTAGAAATGTGTTTAATTTCCACATTTAGTGGTTTTTCTGTTATCTTTTCATTATTGATTTCTAGTTTGATTCTATTGTAGTAAAAAAAGAGCTCACTGTAATTTTGGATCTTTTAAATTTGTTGATGTTCGTCTCCACTCTTGATTCCCTCATCATCTAGCCTCTAGATTGTGATTCTGGCTTCTAAGTATGCCTTAAACTCCCTGCTTTGTTTTTCGGGATTCAGGCCCATCTGATTTCTCACATGGATTGTTTTAGTGGCCTCTTAATTTGTCTTCCTGCTTTTAATACTATTACTTTTAGTTTATCTTCCCCAGTGCCATAATTTTTCTTTCTGAAATGCAGATCTAACATTGTTATTGTCCTCAAGAACCCTATTCTGACTTACCATCATCTACAGTATAAAGCCAAACACTAAAGCATGATGTGTGTGTAAAGGTTGTCCATGATCCCACTTCTTTCCAGGTCTTTCCAGGTGTACTAAGCTACTTGTTTTAATGAATGTGGGATAATGTTTTGGGCTTCCGTTTCTTTGCTCATCTAATTTGATAAATCTTTTTTGCTCTTTCCAGCATCCTTTGTTTTGGTTGTAATTAATTATTCATTCATATATTCCCTCCTGTAGCTCATACTTCTAACATCTAGCTTAACTATGACCTTTTTTGTGGTTCTTTTTAGCCCAAAGTGATCATTTCTACGTTTGTGCCATCTCTACACTACGTGTGTACTTCCTATATTCTTGTCATGTTATAACTGTGTATTGTAACATAATGGTTATTAAGGATGCTGACTCTGGAGTCAGAAACCAGATTTCAAATCCCAGCTTCATCACTTACTAGCGGTATAACCTTGGGCAAGTTATTTGACCTTTTTGTATCTCAGTTTTCTTGTCTGTAAAACAGCAATGATAATGGTACCTTGTACTTCGTAACTTTGTTTCAAGAATTAAGTGAGTTAATATGGGTTAAGTATCCTTTATCCAAAATGGTTGGGACCAGAGTCTTTCAGATTTCAGATTTTTTCAGATTTTGGAATGTTTGTATTATATACTTACAGTATTCCAAATCTGAAAATCTGAAATGCGAAATGCTTCAATAAGCAGCAGTTCCTTTGAGCATCATGTCAGTGTTAAAAAAGGTTCAGATTTTGGATCATTTTTCTTTGTACTTAAACCAGCAGCATATAGGAGGGGATAAGTAAATGTTTGTTCAGTGAATGAATGAATGAATGAATCTAAATTTGCCCCTTGCTTTTATTTGGAAAACCGAGACTCAAATAAGTAAGGTAACTTGTTCAAATAAGTTAGGACCCAGATTTTGAGAGTATCAGTTCAGGGCTCTTTTTACCACACCTGCTAACATTTTGTTTAAAAATTTTTCTCCCATCTTATCTGTTCTCTCTAATTGCTTATATCAATTTGTCCAAATTAGAATTAAAAAAATTTAAGAACAGTGGTATACTTATAATGAATACTCAATACATTTGTTGTTGTCGATTTGTAGAGAGCTTACAAGGAGGTTATGTCTGATTAGAGCTTTATCTTTGCATCTTTAGCTTTTAAAAATTACATGGGAAATGGAAAGTGCTGGCCTAACTCAAAATAGAGTCTCTTTCTTCAGACTGAGATGTTAGTCAGCAGAGGGTGCTCTAACATTGTATTTTAAGGGGTGAAGTTTCTTATTACCACAACTGGTGTTCACATTTTATATTTGTTAGTTTTATATTAGAATTATGTTAAGAGACCAGTTCTTGGTCCTTCCGAAGAATACTTTGTAAGTAAACCCTAATTTTGGTTTAGATCTTAGACCTTCAAGCACGAAATTTAGAACAAGCTTCTCATTTTGTCAACTGTAAAATAAATAACTTTAATGGGAAATTTTTCTCTGCAAATTGACTTTCAGGACAGGTGGTAAAAGGAAGAAGTTGAAATTACTTTTTGAATTGTAAAAAAAAATACATACTCTTGGGCTACATGATTTTGGTCAATGATGGACCGCATTTAGGATGGTGGTCCCAGAAGATGATAATCTGTATTTTTATAGTATCCTTTCTGTGTTTAGATGCATACATACTTATCATTGTGTTACAGTTGTCTAGAGTATTCAGTGTAGTAACATGATGTACAGGATTATAGCCTAGGAACATTAGGCTACACCATGTAGCCTAGGTACGTAGTAGGCTATGGCATCTAGGTTTGTGTAAGTACACTGTGATGTTTGAACAGCGAATGAAATTGCTTAACAATGCATTTCTCGGAACATATCCATGTTGTTAAATGTCCCATGGCTGTATTGATGTTGATCTTAAACATAGACATGATAGAATGACTCAGAATTTAATACTCTTTGTGATTTCAAAAGTAGATTTTAGCAAAATGCTTTAGTGAAAACCTGTGTATAATTTTTTAAAAAACATTTAACATTTTAATCATAAATGCTAACAGATTCTTCTGTCTTATTTCCAGTCTTTTTAAGGTTGTGAATTTCTGGAACTTAACCCATTTATGCAGGAGATTAAAATTTTTTGTGTGTGAAAAATCAGACCTTGTCAGTGACCTTGAACAGTTTACATAACTCCCACAAGCTTAGCGTTCCAATAATGGAAAACTAGGCATAAAGGAGTTAACAATGTATTCTGTAAACTAGATTTTTGAAATGTGACTTACATAGATTTTATATATGTGGTATCCCTTCATTATTTTTGAACTTTTTCATATATAAGAATGGGCTTAGAAAGCTGTGAAACACATTGCTACTCTATAGTTGTTTGTGTTTGTCCTACATATAGAGTAAGTCAGTATTCACAGCAATCATCAAATTACTTTGGTTTGCATTTGTAGTTACATGCTTGCAGTTACAATGAAATGTAATCCCGTTTCCAGTGAATCAGAATGCAGCAACTTTCCGAATAGGAGGCATTTATTTTAGTGACATGAACTTGGGCAGTAGTTCTCCAGTATGGGGAAAATTCTTTCAGTGCTGATTTTAGAATACTTGTATTAGTTTGCTATCTGAGTACAGATATTTATACTAGAATCATGTCCCTTCTGAGAATATCCATTATTGCTACACCATGTGCCAATGTGCACACATGCACAAACATACACACACACATAAATGGAGTAATGAATAAAAAACAAAAAGCAAAGAAATATTAAAATATATTCATTTCGAGAATTGAATATGGAAGACTAGAGCAATGTAAAGAAGAAAAAGAACAAAGTGTAAAAATAGACCTAATACTGTTCTTATGCAGTCATTTTCTATAGGGCAATACACTGAGTCTTTAGCTAGTTGGGTCCTCTTATTTACACAGAAAATACAGTTCTGGATAAGAGTTGGTGTTCTGTATCCATGGGTTCTGCATCCATGGATTCAACCAACCATGGATTGAAAATATTTGGGGGAAAAAAGCAATAACTAATAATAATACAACAATAAAAATGAAATCACAAAAAGTCCAATATGGTATAACAACTATTTACGTAGCACTTACATTGTAATAGGTATTATAAGTAATCTAGCAATAATTTAAAGTATACGGGAGAATGTGTGTAGGTTATATGCAAATACTATGCCATTTAATATAAGGGTTTAAGCATCTGCGAATTTTGGTATCCAGCTAGGTCCAGGAACCAATCCCCACACGTACCAAGGGTGGACCGTATTCCAGGTTCAAATCCTTACTACTTGCTTTTCTATTAAATTTAAGTTAGATGGTAGAAGTAGCAACATAATAGCCAATGGTTACGTTATGATTTACTTAGGGTATATGTGGTTTCTGTGTTGTGGGTTAGAAGGCTTCTCACAAAACTGTATATAATATCTGTTTAGAAGACTTGTACAAATTAGTACTTTTGAAATCCTTGATGTAAATCAGATTAAAGTGTAAGAGAAACTCAGTACCTTTAATTTTTGCCAGTTCTGTTTTCTTTTATAGATTGTGTTGAATATCAGTAGATTCATTAGAAATAAGCAATCTGGGAACCAGTGAATTCAGATAGCATATTTGTTTGGAATTAATATCTTTGCATGAAAATAATTCTAACATAAAAATTTGTATTGAACCGCATGTTAATTATGGAATTTGACAATAGAAATAAGTAAATGGTTATCTTACTCCTTCGTTTTTCTGGTTCATTTTTATTTTTAAAAAATCATAACAGGATGATTATTCATTTTTATAATATTTAGAATGTTTTTATGTTAATACTTTATTTATTTTTTTTATGGAGATGGAGTCTCCCTCTGTCGCCCAGGCTGGAGTGCAGTCGCACTATCTTGGCTCACTGCAACCTCCGCCTCCCGGGTTCAAGCAATTCTCCCACTTCAGCCTCCCAAGTAGCTGGGACTACAGGTGCATGCCACCACGCCCAGCTAATTTAAATTTAAATATAATTTTAAGGAAGCATATGTTTAAATTTATCTCCTAATTCTTAATATGCCAAGACAAAGGAGTTGTCGTCATTTACCATCTGGGACCAATGAAATTTAAAAAAAAATTTTAAGATTTTGACAGGCTAGCGCTGGGTGCAGTGGCCCATGACTGTAATCCCAGCACTTTGGGAGGCCGAGGCGGACAGATCATGAGGTCAGAAGTTCAAGACTAGCCTGGCCAACAGAAACCCCATCTCTACTAAAAATACAAACATTAGCCAGGTGTGGTGGTACGCGCCTGTAATCCCAGCTACTCGGGAGGCTGAGGCAGGAGAATCGCTTGAACCTGGGAGGCAGAGGTTGTAGTGAGCCAAGATCGCACAACTGCATTCCATCCTGGGCGACAGAACGAGACTCTGTCTCAAAAAAAAAAAAAAAAATAGATTTTGACAGGGTCTCCCTCTGTTGAGTACAGATCATGCCTGGCTAATTTTTTTTGTAGAGACAGGGTTTTGCCATGTTGCTCAGGCTAGTGTCGAACTCCTGGGCTCAAGCAATCCACCTGCCTCAGCCTTCCATAGTGCTAGGATTACAGGCATAAGCCACCATGCCCAGCCCCAATGAACTTTAAAATATATATGTGTGTGTGTGTGTGTGTGTGTGTGTGTGTGTGTGTGTGTGTGTGTGTTTAAGTCATTTTGCAAATAATTTAGAGAATTTAGAATAAAGGAATAGTGTATAACAACTTTATTAGAAATTTTAATACAGGTTTAAGTACAGCAAATTTACATTTTCATTTCATATTTTTCTAGTTTTAAAGGTATCTAAAATGGTCAACATCCCCTGAATGCAACTAATTGCTCATTAATTTTTATACATTCAAATATACCTCTGAGAGGTTCTAGTTTATTACTTCTGGCCCTTCTTGCATCTAATAGTGTTAATAATACTTGAAGAAATCTATAAACCCTTTGCCAGCTCATGATTTCATTATGAAATATTTTCTTTTTTATGTGAATCAACACCAATTAGACTGAGCAGCCCAGTACTTTTTTTCATTTCTATGTGATCTAATTCCTTCAGTCTTCTTTTTATATAAATAGAACTTTTGCATTTGCCTACTATCAAATAAATTTGTGTAAATAGCATAAAAGATGAAATAATATTGTCACATGTTCTTTTAGTAAAAAGAAATGGTCCAGGTTTTTGTCATAAAATATCATGTAATGAAGTTTTTTCTGTTGATGACTAAGCTGTTAAGATTACCATGTGTTCCTTTTTGTCTTTAGAAATATATTGTTCTTCTATTAGTTCTTGAGCTATGGAAAATTTAAGATATCATCTAAAGACTCAGAGTTTGAGATTTCACTTAAATGATCAATTTCACTATTGTCATTAAAGTCTAGAGTACTGCTGTCTCTCTTTGTATTTTGTCCTGATTTGTCTAATAATTGTGAAACATCTTCCTCTGTCAGTTTTTTTCTCTGCCATTGTTGGTAGAAAATGAGAAACTTGGAATTTTCAACTGTGTTAATGATAGCTAAAAACTGATTCCAGAATGGAGTCTGCTTGCTTTTTTCTTTTTTCTGAGACCAAGTCTCCCTCTGTTGCCTAGGCTGGAGTGCAGTGTTGCAGTCTTGGCTCACTGCAACCTCCACCTCCCAGGTTCAAGTAATTCACCTGTCTCAGCCTCCCGAGTAGCTAGGACTACAGACACATGCGACCACGCCCAGCTAATTTTTGTATTGTTAGTAGAGATGGGGTTTCACCTTATTGGTCAGCCTGGTCTTGAATTCCTAACCTCAGGTGAACCACCCGCCTCAGCCTCCCAAAGTGCTGGGATTACAGGCGTGAGCCACCACGCCCAGCCTGCATGCTTATTTTACACTTTATTGAAAGATGTTTCAATACTTTAGGCAACACATAAGAAAATGAAAGAAGGGTACATTCTTCTATCATCCTTCTAGGCATCATGTTATTTTTTCAAATTCTTACTGTTTTAGTGTCTTATTGGGAATAATTGACAAATAATGATGAAATAAGTTCTAGAGTGATGAAATAGTAAAATGTTTTGATACATAGGAAACAATAAGATCATTAAGACCCTAAAATATATCTTAGATTTATAAAAGTGTCCAGTAGCTCCATGTGGTAATTACTACATGGAGTAAGTTTTATCTTTTTTTTTTTAAAGTGAGTTTTTTCTGTTCTTTGGAATACCTTTAAGAATGAATAAAAGTCATGAAGTGTCAATCATTAAAATAGTTGGAACTGCTCAAAAAAGAAACTCAGAACCTAAAATTGGCTCCATTAGATCTTTATGTTGTACCTAGGGTTAGTCTGTGGACTTCTTCGATTTATGCATTCAGCAGTTGTTTATTATGTACTTTGTTCAAGCTTCTGTGTATTTATAATTTTCTCATTTTTAAAATATTTATAGTTTTCTCGTTTTTTAAATATTGAGGGTTAAAAAAATAATTTATGATTGAGTCTTATGTTTAACTTGTATTCTGATCCAGATATTTCCTTAAAGAGTTATTTGGGCTGGACATAGTGGCTCATGCCTATAATCTCATTACTTTGGGTGGCCAAGGTGGGAGTATTGCTTGAGTCCAGAAGTTTGAGACCAGCCTGGGCAACATAGTTGGACACTATCTCTATAAAAAATAAAATAATTAGCTGGGCATAGTGGCACATGTCTGTAGTCCCAGCCACTCAGGAGGCTGAGGTGGGAGGATCGCTTGAGCCCAGGAGGTCAAGATTGTAGTGAGCTCTGACTGCACCACTGCACTCCAGCCTAGGTTACAGAGTAAGACCCTGTCTCAAAAAAAAAAAAAAAAATTACTTGATTTTATATTATAGATTGCTTTAAGATATATTTGTTTTAGAATTTGCTTACAAATTCACAAAAGTGTTTCACACATTTGTTAATGGCAGGGAATATGTAAAACACTGGATTGCTAGTAATTTTATGTGATCTCGAGTGAATCTTATCTAATAGATTAGACTATTTTGCCTAGCGGAGTTCTTTGTGTTTTCAG
Source organism: Homo sapiens (assembly GCF_000001405.40). Lineage (NCBI taxonomy): Eukaryota > Metazoa > Chordata > Mammalia > Primates > Hominidae > Homo > Homo sapiens. The sequence goes on along the minus strand of NC_000006.12, from coordinate 106,295,364 downwards.
TGCTGTTTAGAATTTGGAAAGCAATATGGTGTCACTTTTGAAATGTTAAGTCTTTTTAATGAAATCCAAGTGAATAAAACTTTAATTAAGTGCCTACATTCATCTTTAACCCTGTTGCAGATACCTAAGAGAGATATTCTAAAAAATAAATTGAAGACGTTAAAAGGTCTGTTTTGTAAAAGTATAAGGTATTATTTAGAGCTTGTTCAATTTTAATACTTTAGAGAGAAGGATCAGAATTGGATTAAATCTATAACTTGTCTATAGTACTATATATGTGTGTATATGTGTGTGTGTGTGTATGTATATTTTTTTTTAATTTTAGGTTTTGACTGAGGCGAGAGTTTTTCCTGGTTCCAGAATTTTCTTCAGTATTAGTTTCTGGATATGAAAGGATTGATTAGAGAGAAATTTAAGGGATATTATTAAGAGATATAATGCATATAAGACTAAAAGTACCCCCACTGCTTTATTTTTACCGACCGGGCGTTCATCCTAAATTCTTTTTTTTTTTTTTTTCTTGAGAAAAGGTCTCACTCTGTCGTCCAGGCTGGAGTGCAGTGGCACAGTCTTGGCTCACTGCAGCCTCTGCCTCTCGGGCTCAAGAGAGTCTCCCGCCTCAGCCTCCTGAGTAGCTAGGGCTGCAGGTGTGTGCCATCATGCCCAGCTAATTTTTTTTTTTTTTGTATTTTTGGGTAGAGACAGAGTTTCACCATGTCAGTCTCAGGTACTGGAACTGGTCTCGAACTCCTGACTTCAAGTCAAGTGATCCACCCACCTTGGCCCCCCAAAGTGTTGGGATTACAGGCTTGAGTTACAGTACCCAGCCCATCCTAAATTCCTACCAAATAAATACATGATCTCTAGAAACTGATGACTTTTCCATAATTCTATACAAGTAAGCAAGCATAAATTATATATACAATTATATATATAAACATATATCTATGTTTATATATATAAGCAAATGTGTACTGCTCCTTGCAGTGCAGGGCTATCCCATAAGCATCGTGCCCAGAGTAGCACAAGCATAAATAATATTAACTGATATTTGAATCTTGGTCAGAGTTACTCATTTTGAGATAAATTTGATGTGTTTTCAAATTTTGCAGCTCTTAAATCTAGGAGTAACTCATTAATAGATTATACAGATAAAGACAGGACTGTGTATAACACCAAGTAGTCTTCTTTTTGCCCTTGTTGTGAGTACAGGGTGAGCATCCCAAATCCCACAATTTGAAATCCAGAATCTAAGACTACAAAATCCAAAACATTTTGAGCACTGACGTGACACTCAAAGGAAGTGCTCATTCCAGCATTTCAGATTTTCAGATTTGTGATGCTCAAATGGTAAGAATATGATGCAAATATTCCAAAATTTGAAGAAAAAAAAAAAAGCTGAAATCTGAAACACTTCTCTAATCCCAAGCATTTTGGAAATGGGATACTCAACCTGTATTATTTAATTCTGATTAACCAAGTAAGCTAATTTACTTTAGATTTTTTAAAAGGATGACTTAAGGTTTGTCCATTGAAATCTACAACATTTGTATTAGTCATGTTTATTTATTGCTAAGTTATTTACTTCACTGTGGGTAATGGTTATATTAGGAAATGTTCTCTTATTTTGGAACTTATTTTTTTAAATTTAGAATTAGGTTTCAGAAGAATATTCAGTGGCTTGGGAAAATGTTGACATTATATTATGTGAAAAAAGTTATAGTACAGTTTGTAAAGGATAGTCCTAATCTGTATTTAGATATGTATGTGTAGGTAGAAGACTGGAAATGTATATGCTATAATGTTAATGGTAATAACCACAGAATAGGTGATTTGCATGCGTTTTAGTTGCTCATCTTGGTTCTTACAGTTTTTTAAAATTTTAAGTTCTAAAAGTAAAAAACATATTTAAATAAATTTACAAAAATCAACTGTCCTTTATGAATACAGGGATGACAATTAGATGCAACAGTACTGTGACATAACAGTTCACATGGCTGATAAAGAATGCCTTTGCCCACAATCCTATTGTGCATATTGAGGTTTCTATGGGAATGGAGTGGTTAGAAGGAAACCACCTGATGCCTGGAAAGTAGATCATACTAGCCTAGGCACGTAACTGTAGAATGTAGTCTTCCTGTGATTTGTGATTAAAGCCCCTGACATTTGGTGTTAAAATATGTGTTGGAAATTTATTTTGGCCTTGTAGTTATAACTTTAAATATTTATTTTCTCAAAATATACTGTTTCATTTTTAGGCATTATCCAATTGGTTTGCTATTTGATCTTCTTGCATCAAGTTCAGCTCTTCCTTGGAACATCACAGTACATTTTAAGGTATAGTAAATTGCATTTCTCCTTCGTCCCATTTGTGATACATAATAAATAGACTTCGAGTAGAATTTTCTTTTTAAGTGAAGTTATTTATTGCTTTTCCCCTGACACTGTTTTAGTTGCTAAGCTTCGATTAGTATTTGTCTATAAGATACTTTTCAATTTTTTCCTAACTCTTGGCAGAAACACTTAAACTTTTAATATATGAACTGCTTTTCTTTATTAGTGCTGAATACACTTTTTAAAATTTACGAGTTTTTGGGCCAGCCTTGGTGGCTCACGCCTGTAATCCCAGCACTTTGGGAGGCCGAGGTGAGCCCAGGATTTCAAGACCAGCCTGGGCAATGTAGTGAGACCCTGCCTCTATAAAAAATAAAATTTAAAGTTTTGAAAGTTGGTGTTAATTTTTAAAAGTCGGCTAGAAAAAACAAAAATCTTGCATGTAGATGTGGATATGGAAGTACAGAGGGGACAACCTAATACTGTTGAGTAATTCTAAGGCTATTTTGAATGAATTAAGAGAAGGGTTAGGAGATAGAATTCCAAAGATTTGATCTACCTCTGTTTTGAAAAATGTTCATTCCTGTAGTTTTTAAGACCAGACTGAATTTAGTGTGACCTAATTTTGTCTCATTATTTTATGAAGTGCTGGTCCCTCATTCCCTTAGCCACCTTGCTTCTGCTCTGTTCCCCTCCCCCAATTCACAAACACCATTTGGTTTTTGTGATTGGAAACACTTATATTAATTGATTACGAACAGTAATTCATTCTCAAATAGCAATGATTCCACCATGTCGGTCTCTTATATTAGTTGATCACGAACAGTGATTCATTCTCAAATAGCAATGATTTCACCATGTTGGTCTCAGGTGCTTGAACTGGTCTTGAACTCCTGACCTCAAGTCAAGTGATCCACCTGCCTTGGCCTCTCTCCAATACATTATTGGAGAGAGGCATGTAGAGTTTGAAAAAGTCATTTAGGTGTCTGAGTTTCTTTCCCATCGGGGTGTCCATTCATAGTTACTGCCCAAAGGTTGCTCATTCATTCTTCATGTGATGCTTTTCCTTCCTGTTTTACTGAATTTGAGTTTGTGGGTCATTAGAGCTTATTTCCGTGTACATTTATTATAATGTGCTTTGCACAATACCATGTTATTAAACACGTTAGTTACCAAAGAACAGTACAGATAGAGCACATAGTGTTGGTATGCATGAATTTCATTTACCATGTTACATGCAAAGCAAGGAATGCTTGCATATACAACAATTTAAGTTTAGAGAGGTGTGGAGATAAAACTACTTCAAACATATTAAGGGTAGGGGTGCTATATTGCCTAACGAGTCTTTTCTGTTAATGTTGGAAGGTAATTCCAATAATTAGATTTTTTTGTGTGTGAAAAATAAGCTCTAAAATACTTTGAAATCTAGATTAAAATATAGCTGTCTCCTTGTTTATTTATTCACTCATTCATTCATTCAACAAATATGGAGATCCTTCTGTGTGTCGGGTTCCTGAAACCCTTTCAATGGATTCATCAGGTCAAATCTGTTTCCATGATATAATAATATCAGGATGTTATTGGCCCTTCCCGTTGTGTTAACATTTACACTGATAATGCAACAACAATGGTGGTTAAAACTGTGGGTGCCTTAGCACAAAGCAGGGCATTGTACCTCACTGTACTAGTTGTCATTGTTTTCTTTATAACCACACACTTAGAGTAAAAAGAACACCAGTTTAAGACTTTTCTGGATGTAGTAGTACAAAGTATTAATTATTATTAATTTTGACTCTTAAGTACATGTCTTTTTAGTATCCTGTATGATGGAATGGGAAGTACACATAAAGCTCCTCTGTTGCATGCCAAATATGGTTGTCTTGAGGAAAAGCACTTGCGTAATTTTTTGGTTGCCAGCTGAACTGGCCACTTATTTTTATGAAACACCATTATTTTACTTGAAAGAATGATTGACAGACAAACTGTGGTTGTTGAGACTTTGTTATTTGTTAGACATTTTCTTGAAAAAGAATAAAGTGAACCTCTCACTGCAGGGAAAACAAGTGATAGTATTTGTTGTCAGTGGTAAAATTTCAACTTTTTAGTGAAAATTTGAATTTTGGAAAACATGATGCCACTGTAAACTTGAAAGCTTTATTCTTAAATAATTTTCTGATGAGATCGGTGGTTATTTTAACATCTGATGTTTTAAAAGTTTCATAGTGAAAGGGTCAACATTTGGAATGCGTAAATCAGTGAACATTTCCAGATGACCAGTGCTTGATGTTACAAGATCATGCATGTGTAAAAAGATCCATTCAAAGTGCAACATTAGAATAAGAAATCTTAATGTAACAGAGTAGAAAATGTTCACTGGTAATGTTTCAGATTCCACATTATTATTACAATAAACTGGATGGGCATGATACCTCACACCTGCAGTCCTGGCACATTGGGAGGCTGAGGCAGGAGGATTGCTTGAGCCCAGAAGTTTGAGACCAGCCTGGGCAACGTAGACCCCATCTCTACAAAAAGTTTAAAAATTAGCTGGGCGCAGTGGTGTGCACCTGTAGTCCTAGCTACTTGGGAGGCTGAGGCAGGAGGATCGCTTTAGCCCAGGAATTCGAGGCTGGAGTGAGCCATGATCAGACAACCGCACTTCATCCTGGGTGACAGGGCAAAACTCTCTCTAAAAATAAATGAACGAATGAAAGAATGAATGACAGGGCAGACTCTGTATCTAAAAATAAAATAAAATAAAATAAAATAAATAAAATAAAATAAAATAGATAAATAAAATAAAATATATAAAATAAATAAAATAAAATAAAATAAAATAAGCCAAGTATGGTGGCATGCACCTCTAGTCCCAGCTACTTGGGAAGCTGAAGTGGAAGGATCACTTGAGCCCAGGAGTTTGAGGTTACATTGAGCTGTACCACTCACAGTGATTGCACTCTATCCTGGGTGACAGAGTGAAACTCTGTCTCAAAATAATAATAATATAATAAACTGAACTTGTTAAATTTGGTGTAGTATTGAAGAATATCCACAAAGCCAAAAAGGCTATTAAAATACTTCTTTTAAACTACATATCTTTGTGAGCCTGAATTTTCTTTATATACTTCAACCAAAACAACATATTGTAGAATATTGAACATAGAAGCAAGTTTAAGGTAATCCATTGGTTGTCTATTAAGGCATTAAAGTTATTTGCAAAAATACAAATTAGTGCCAGTGTTCCTGTTTTTTTTGTTGTTGTTGTTCTGGGAAACATAGTTGATTTTTGTGGAAATACAATTTTAGTGTTAATGTATAGTGGTTTTATTCTTGGTATTTTTAAGTGAATTAATGTTTTTTTTAAATGTTTCAGCTCTAATTTCTAGTGTAAATATCAGTAATATAATCCACATAAATATAAACTCTTTGGGATCCTTAGTAGGTCATACATTTTCTTCCCAGTAGAAAAGTTTATTAGCAAATAGAAAAAAGAATCTTACAGTTAATAAGGAAATTACAGAGAACATTTAGAGTTTGTTCAAGCTATCAGTGTGTTTCTTTCAGCTGTTCTTACTTATTCTTATCCTGGCCTGTTAGAGGAAAGTTATTGCCCAGATTTTTTTTTTTTCTGTATATACTAAGTTCCATTCATTTAGGGGAGCATCAGGACCTAGGTTACTTCAAAGGTTGTCTTCACATGTTTAATTGATAGCTTGTACTGATTGATGTAGGCCTGCCTCTATTGTACTGCCTTATAGATTTTTGATTGATTATAATGAAACTGGGTAAGTGTTAATTTTCAGGCAGAAAATCAATGCTTTTAGTGAGGAAGTGGTTTTTAAAGTTTGTAGAAAATAGTTTATACATTCAACAGATTGGATGTATTGAGTAACAATTTTGTGTCACTTGGTGTCTCTGCATTTATCTTCTGTGGTGTTGTATTGAGTATGCCAGATAATGTTGATGTTTTAACCAGACTTCTTAGAATTTCTTTTACAATTGTTTTCAAAGGTTGTAATAGATTTTGATTAGATTTTTTTGTGCAATATCAAAGCTTCTAAGAGATCCTGTTGCCTCTGCCACACACACACACACATTTGGATCAGTAGTTCAGACTAAACTCTTCAAAAAAACACTGTTAAACAGTTTTCAAACAGACATATTTCCTCTAATTTTTAACTGACTTTGATGTTTGTGATTTGTATAGGTTTATAATGTTTATAATAAATGCATTTTAATGTCTACAATAGTGATTTTCAAACTTTAATGTGCTTTCAAGTTACCTGTGTCTCTTACTAAAGTGCAGTTTCTGATTCTGCAGCATTGGGTTGGATTCAGAGAGATTCTGCATTTCTTACAAGTGCATAGGTAATGCTATGATATTGTTCCACCAGACCACATGTTGATTAACAAGAGTTAGAGAACAATGAAGATCTAAAAGTTAATGGTAATTGTCTGTAGAACCAAAAGCTTTTAAGGGTGAATCAGAAAATTAATATTTTTATAGGCATTTTTGTATTTTCTATTTTCTGGGAGATAAATATAATTGTAGAGTGTTAATTGCTTTATAACATATAGATTTGGATGTATGTTTTGTTTACCAAAACAATGAAAATGGTACCTTCTTCAAGCTTTTCTCATTGGTTTTTAAGGACATTTTGATTCCTAAACTTGGTGAGACTACCAAGAAAATTATCTCATTTCTGTGTCCCCAGTTTTTTATATTAAAAAATTTAAACATATATTAGAAAAATTAATTGTGCGGCAGGGCAGTGACTCATGCCTGTAATCCCAGCACCTTGGGAGGTGAGGCAGGTGGATCTCTTGAGGTCAGGAGTTTGAGGCCTGCCTGGCCAACATGGTGAAACCCTGTCTCTACTAAAAATACAAAAATTAGCTGGGCATGGTGGTAGGTGCCTGTAATCTCAGCTTCTCGGGAGGCTGAGGCAGGAGAATCGCTTGAACCTGGGGGGCGGAGGTTGCAGTGAGCCGAGACCATGCCACTGCACTCCAGCCTGGGCAACAGAGTAGACTCCATCTAAAAAAAAAAAAAAAAGTTAATTGTGGTCCAGTGAATACTCATAATACCTTTCACTTGGATTTGCTGCTTTTTAACATTTTGCCACCTTTGCGTTTTCTCTCTGTATTTTTTTTCATTAATTCTATAGGCATGCTGCTTGCAAAGCGACATTACAGTTAAAAGATTACTTACAGTATGTAGATTTTTTAAAATTAAAAAAATTTTTTCTCTCTTTGTCCATGTTGAGAACAGTGCATGGAATTTTTAAAAAAGGAGTTAATGTGATTCAAAAGTTTAATGACATCAGGTGAAAATAGTGGGGTCTTTAAAATGCCCAGTTCTGTTGCAAATCCTAAATAAAGTTTAATAGAGTAAACAAATCCTATAAAACCTTGGTGTTTTTCTTTCTTCCTCTTGGTAACATGGTGCTGATTTGGTGCGTTTTGGTTTTGAGGAGAGGAGACATTTTAATTTTGAATGTTGACAGCAATGATTAAGGGTAAGAGCTCACATTTGTTAAGTAAAATAAGATCAACATTCAGATAAGTGCTTATGTGCTGAACTCTGCTGAATGCCAGAGATAACACAAGTTAGGTTTTTGAACCAACTGTCTTTCAAGCACAGCAGGCAAATCCTGTTTTGCTTACCATGCTTGAAAAAGCCCTGCATTGGTCCTGACTGTTCCTTGAGTATTTTTGTGTGACTGAGCAAGCTTCTTTTCTGATGGACAAGTTTTTTCTTGCTAGGCCAAGAGCCACTGTGTTTCTTTGAAGGAATTTATCATGTCCCTCCTCCTGTTATGTGTTGTTGACATAGGTCTGTGGTAGCTTTTCTTTCCTGAAGTTCTTGAGTGTATTTCATGGTCTCTCCTTTGCTTCTATCACTGCCTGCACTTCCCAGCTATAAATGTTGGTAGCTGTTTTATAGTATCTATCAATAGTATGTTGTATTAGTTATCTACTATTGTCTGACAAATTACCACCAGCTTAAAACAACATTTGTTCTCTGACAGTTTCTGTGGGTCAGGATTCTGGGCATAGCTTATACCTGGATCTTCTGCCTAGGTTATGAGGGTGCCATCAGGGTGTTGGCTGGGCTGCGTTCTTAACTGGAAGTTCAACTGAGGGAGAATCCACTTGTAGACTTAGTTTGCTGGCAGAATTCATATCCTATGGTTGTAGGATTGAGGGGCCTATCTTCTTGTTGGCTGTCAGTAATAAGCTGCATTGACCACCTAAAGACCATGTGAAGTTCTTGTCATGTGGACTTTCCCAACATGCCTACTTGCTTCAGGGCAACAAAGAAAGTCTAGAGGTAGTCTGGTAGTAAGACAGAATCTTACTGTATAACATGACTTAATCACTGGGGTAACATCCCATCACCTTTGCCGCATTCTTTGAGTTAGAAGCAAGTCACAGGTTCTGCCCACATGCAAGGGGGAAGGGATTATAGAAAGATAGGAATACCAGGTGGTGGAAATCATGGAGGGTCATGCAAACTTAGAACTTTATGAAGTAAGGCTTGTTTAGTCATTTATTCATCAGATATTTATTGATGTTAACATATACTTTTAGCCGTGACAGAGTAACTGGTATTTGAGTTTTCCTCTAGTCATCAACAATTAGAAAACAGGACCAAAAATATGAAATAGAGCTGTTTTTAGCACTGAACCTTAGAAAGGGAACAAACAAGGTGAGCCCCATGTGCTTTGGAACGGTTGCCTGACGGTGGTACGGAGAGTGGAGCTCAAGCAGAGCAAAGAAGTTCAGTTGAGCTGAGGATGCACAAATTGGAGTTCTGGGCTGCTGAAGTGGTTGGAACTTGCTAGGCAGGGTATCAGAGAAGGAGGAGCCAAAGTGTACGTGTATGTTCTCCCTGGGTGCTTGGCTGAGGCCTGGGTTGCACATGCATAGCTGATACTCTGCAAGGTCTAGTAGATAGTGGATGTTGTAGGGTTAAGAGTGGACAAAAGATACTGAACGTCTTATGATGCTGGGAAATGTTGGATTCCAGCTCATTCAAAGTGGAGAGACATCTGGCTACATACTAGGCAGTTACTTGAGATGCCAGAAAGGCCATGATTTTGGAGTAAGGATCATACATCAGAGCAGGAGTTGGCAAATGTGGTCCACTGACTGTTTTTGCATGGCCTGTGATATAAGAGTAGTTTTTACATTTTTAAGTGGTTAGAAAAAAATTTAAAAAAATATTTTGTGACGTGAAAATTGCATGAAATACAGATTTAGTGATGACCATAAATAAAGTTGCATTGAAATGCATCCACTCATGGAAATTCATATACATATTGTCTATGACTGCTTTGCGGCTACAACAGCCTAGTTGAGTATTTGGGATAGAGACTGTATGACCTGCACAGTGTTAAATATTTACTGTCTAATCCTTTACAGAAAGTTTGCCAATCTCTATTGCCAGTCTTTAACCCTAGAGTAAGAGTTGCTCTGGACCTGCCTTTTTAGGATTAAGGAGAGCTGCCAGTAAGTTAACTGCCAGCCAGAACAAAACTTAGCATCTTAAAGGAAGACAGTATAATCTAGAATCCTTACAACATATTCACAGTGTCCACCATACAATCAACAACTACTTGACTTGCAAATAAGCAAGAAAATATGGTCCATATCAAATAAAAAAAAATTTTACTCTCAATAGAAACTGACCTAAGAGAATCCACATCTTGGTACTACCGGAAAAATGAATTAAAGCAACTATTATAAATTCAGTAACTTAAAAAAACCACAAAATTGTAGAACTGCTTAGAAAAATATCTGAAATGAGGAATTTACTACATGGGCTTAACAGCAAATTAAAGATGGCAGAAGTAAGGTTCTTTGAACTCAAAGACAGATCGATAGAAGTTACCCAGTTTGGAGAATAGAGAGATGGAAATTGGTATAGAGGAAAAACAGAGCCTCTGGGATAATATCAGGCAGTCTGCATGTAATTGGATTCAAGGAGAGGAGAGAGAATGGGTCAGAAGAAATATTTTTAAGAAATAATGGTTACACTCCTCAGTGTCAAAGCTATAATAATCAAGACTGTGTGTGGGTTGCCTACAGAAAGGGAGAAAATATTTGCAAATCATATACTATCTAATAACAGTTTAATATACGGAATATGGAAATAACTTGATAATAAAAAGAAACCCAATTAAAAATTAGTCAAAGGATTCGAATAGACATTTCTGTAAAGTTCTATAAATGGCCAGTAAACACATGAAAAGATGTTCAGCATAACTGGTTTTTAGGGAAAAGCAAAAAAAAAAAACAAAAAAAACCCCACACAACGAGTTACCCCTTCACGCCCTCTAGATTGGTTATCATCAAAAAGATGATGTACAAGGCTGGGTGTGGTGGCTCATGCCTATAATCCCAGCACTTTGTGGGGATGAGGCAGTTGTATCACTTGAGCTCAGGATTTTGAGACCAGTGTGGTCAACATAACGAGAACTCATCTCTACTAAAATAATATTTTAAAAAATAGCCTGGTGTGGTGGCATGTGCCTATAGTCCCAGCTATTTGGAAGGCTGAGGTGTGAGGATCTCTTGAGCCTGGGAGGAGCAGTGATTCCTGATGGCATGTCTGCAACCCAGCCTGGGTGACAAGAGTGCAACCCTGTCTCCAAAAAAAAACAACAAAATACAGAAAACAGTAACACATGATGGAGAGGGTATAGGTTAATTAGACCCTTCACACGTTGCTGATGAGAATGTAAAATGGTGTAGCCTTTTTGGAAAGCAGTTTGGTATGTCATCAAATGATATACTTACCACATTACACAGCAGTTCTATTCCTAGTAATATTCCCAAGAGAACTGAATATGTAATTCTGATATGCAAAATAGGGAAATAACTTGCGTCCACACAAAAGCTTATACATGAATGTTCATAATAGGCAAAGTGGAAATAACCCAATGTCCATCAGCTGATGAATAAACAAAATACTGTATGTATCCTTACAATGGAGTATAATTTGGTCATGAAAAGGAGTGAATTACTGATAATATGCTACAACCTTGAAAATACCATGTTAAGTGAAAGAAGACACAAAAGACTGCACATTATATAATGCATTTATATTAATTGAATAAATAACTTTGTGCCAATAAATTTGACAGATGGACAAATTCAATGAAAACACAAGTCACCAAAACCGACATAAGAAATAACAGAAATGAATAGCTGTTGATAAGTAACTTTGATTTGTAATTTTAAAAGCCTCAGAGAGTAAAACACCCTGCACAGATCGTTTCATTGGTGAAGTCTATAAAATACCTAAGAACTAGTCGGGCGCGGTGGCACATGCCTGTTGTCCCAGCTACTCAGAAGACTGAGGTGGGAGGAACGCTTGAGCCCAGGAGTTCTGGGCCGTAGTGTGCTATGCCGATTGAATTTCCACACTAAGTTCAGCATCAATACGGTGACCTCCTGGGAGCAAGAGACCACCAGGTTACCTAAGGAAAGGTGAAACAGCCCAGGTCAGAAATGGAGCAGGTCAAAACTCCCGTGCTGATTAGTACTGGGAGTGCACCTGTGAGTAGCCACTGCACTCCAGCCTGGGCAGCATAATGAGACCCTGTCTCTAAAAATAAAAATAAAATAAAATATTTAAGAAATAATATTACAAACTTTACAAGCTTTGTTACTCTGTACAAACTTTTTCCAGAAATGAGACACTTGCCAACTTGTGTTAGAGGCCAGAATAACCCTGATACTGAAACCTGATAAAGACATTAAAAGAAAATTATAAGCCAGTATATTTCATGATCATGGATGCAAGAGCCTTCAACAGAGTACTAGCAAATTGAATCTCGTAATAATTAAAAAGGATGGTACACACCATGACTGAGTTGAGTTTATCCTAGGAGTACAAAATTGATTCAACATTCAAATCTCAATCCGTGTAGGCCAGGTGCAGTGGCTCATGCCCGTAATCCCAGTACTTTGGGAGGCTGAACCAGGAGGATTACTTGAACCCAGAAGTTCAAGACCAGCCTGGGCGACATAGGGAGACCTCATCTCTACAAAAAAAAATTAAAAAAATTAGCTGAGTGTGGTGGTGTACACCTGTGGTTCCAGCTACTCAGGAGGCTGAATTGGGAGGATCGCTTGGGCCCCAGAGGTTGAGGCTGCAATAAGGTGTGATTGTGCCACTGTGCTCCAGCCTGGGTGGCACAGTGAGACCCTCTCAAAATAAAAAAATCTCAATCCATGTAAATCACAGAATAAAATAGAAAAATCAATAGATACAGAAAAAGTCATTCATGGACAGAATTTAATACGTGTTTGTCATCAAAACTTATAGCAAGCTTAGGAATAGAAGGGAATTTACTTAATTTGACAAAGGATAGATATGAAAAGCCTACAGTTAAAGTCATGCTACATGATGGTTTATCGAATGTTTTACCAAACTAAGATCAGGAAAAAGGCAAGAATGTCTGCTCAGTGTAAGCACTTCCATAATGCATCGTATGTGTTCTTAACTTTGCTATTAAAAATTGTACAGTAAAAACCACAGGACTTTTGGAGGAAAGGGTTACTTCTGGGGCAAAGGGTTAGGGGCACAACATCCACAAACTTACACTGATAAAAAAACAGGAACCTAGTAAAAACCATACCACAGTTTTACACAGGTAAAATGTATGAGAAATGCATAAATACTACAATAAATATGGCATTTCATGTTGCAAAGACTGGAACTTTGCTTGCAGAAATGGACATAGAAGACTTGCGCCGTGACAGGTGAAGTGAAAGGAGGATTTTCTGGAATCGGACAAGAAATTGTAGCACCTGATGTAGATGAGTACAGCTCATAACATGAATTGAAGTAGCTGGTCCATTTTGGAGGTGTGCACATGTGTGCATTGTATGTTTTCCTAGCTGATTGGTTTAGCTAGGTGAAATTTTCTGTTCACCTAGCAATTCTTGTGAACAGTATTTACATATGCAACCATAAAATTCACATTATACTCAACTTGTTCTCTATTAGTTGCTTTTAAACAAATGCAAAAAAACTTAGTTCACAGAACATATATGAATTTACCAACAAACATGAAAAGGCACTCAACATCTTTAGTCATCATGGAAATGTAAATTAAAACCACAAAGAGACATTACATTACACTCACTAGAATGACTAAAATGAAAAAGATTGACAGTAGCAAGTTTGAGGACACGGAGTAACCAGAACTCTTATACATTGCTAGTGGGAGTGTAAAATTGTACATCATGTTGAAAAATAGTTTGGCAGTTTTTAAGTAAAGTTAGAACATACACTTACTCTATGACCCAGCATTTCTTTTTCCAGCTGTATACCCAAGAAAGATGAAGACGTGTCTATAAAAGACTTGTGTATTAATGTTCATAGCAGCTTTTTAAATAATAGCCAGTATCTAGAAACAATCCCAGTGTCTATTAACAAGTTTTTAGATAAACAGATTGTGGTGTATTCATTAAATGGCCTGCTACTCAGCAACAAAAAGGAATTAATTACTGATATGTGTAGTAACAGGAATGAATCTCAAAAATATGCTAAGTGAAAGATACTAAGTTACATAATACTGCAATTCTGTTTATATGAGATTTTATTACAGGCAAAACTAATCTGGTGTTATGTCATTATCAGTAATTCCTTGGGAAGGGAATGAGGGAACTGACTGCAAAGGGCACAGAGGAACTTTTGTGGGTGATGGTAATGCTGTATACTTGGGCTGACAGTTACTCATTGTCAAAACTCATTTAATTGTACTCTTGATTTCTGCATTTCACTGTATGTGAATCATAAGTTTGACTTTTAAAAAAGTTTATTGAGAGAGATGAGGAATGGTATCTTTAATCACTTTCAATTAATTCCTGCTTTCCATCAGTGTTTCATAGTCACTCAGGAGCTTCTTTCTTTATCTTTTCATTTCATTCTTTTTATGAAGGCTCCATGACAGGGTTAATTGAATGTTGTTTGTGAATACAGTAACCGGAGTAGGCTATAACTAAATGCTGTTTTTTTGCCATTTTTAGCTCCTTTTAAATTTATTAAAGGACATATAGGATAATAACTTTGTAAAATAATGTTTGAATATAATGATTATCTTAAATATTTAAGTCTTTGGAGGAAGTGATATTGTACAGTGGTTAAAATGTAGGACTTGAGTCAAATTAGCCTTAAATCCTAGCCCCATGACTATCAAGCTGAATGACACTTGCGACTTGAGACATTCCCTAAGCTTTAATTTTTTTATCTGTAAAATAGCAATAATAATAATGTTTACCTCAAGTGTTGTTAGGATTAAATAAGATAATCCATATAAAAAGTTTTAATACGGTGTCACAGTAAGTGTTCAGTAACTGTTAGCTGTTATTATCTTTTTTTCAGTGAAAAGTGCATCAGTCGTCTCATTTACCTAACTCCCTATATGTCCAATGATCATTGCTTTAGCTGCCTAAAAGAATCAGTGAAGTTATAGAATGTAAATTTAGCTATTTGACTTTAAAATCTACTTTTTTAACAGCTTTATTGAGGTCTAATTGACTTATAGTAAGCTTAACCTAGTCAAAGTGAATAAGTTTATGCCACAATTTATATGTTCATTTACCTGTTGATATTTAGATTTGTTTTCTGTTTGGGGCTGTTACAAATAAAACTATTGTGAACATTCATGTAGCAAGTCCTTAAATGGACATATGGACATAATACTTTTTTCTTTTCTTTCTTTTTTTTTTTTTTTTGACATAATACTTTCATTTCTCTTAGGTAAATGCCTAGTTGTGGAATGGCTGGGTCAGATGGTAGGTGTCTGTTTACTCTTCTTAAGAAACTACCAGACTTTTCCAAAGTGGTTATACTATTTTACATTTCTGTTAGTAGTGTGTGAGGGCTCCATTCCACATCTTTGCCAATATTGGTATGGTCAGTTGAAAAGCTATTTTTCAGATTATTACCCTTTGATGCCTTTTTTTCATGTTGTTATAAAACACATAAGAATTATTTGGGAAAAGTACAAAATGGGCCAAATAGCTAAAGATTTTTAAGTTAAATTTTAAAGTATTTTGGGTTATTTCAGTGCTAAGAGATAGTTTACTAGAAATATTGAAAAACTGGGGGATATAGTTCTCTTTTAAGAGGTTAATTTTGTAATGTGTGTATCCTGTTTTATATGTATATTTTTTCCTTTGATAGAGTTTTCCAGAAAAAGACCTTCTGCACTGTCCATCTAAGGATGCAATTGAAGCTCATTTTATGTCATGTATGAAAGAAGCTGATGCTTTAAAACATAAAAGTCAAGTAATCAATGAAATGCAGAAAAAAGATCACAAGCAACTCTGGATGGGATTGCAAAATGGTAAGTATAATAGTGTTTAATTTTAGAATACCACTTTATAAAATATGATACAGCCATAACCCTGTGAGTAGTTGATACATTTTAGAATTGGTGGTACAAGTTTAAATTGTAGCCTCTGTGCCCAGATTTGCACAGAAGCTACTTTTAGTCATCCCTTACATTCTGCTCTTTTGGTGTCCTCTGTTCATGGATTCTCTAGCATTAGACTGATTGCTCAGCCCCTAACATATGGCATATGTCATATAAACTTGGGTATAGCTTCTGAAGGAAATGCCATTACTCTAAGGATGTGGTCTTTATTCCTTAGTCATGACCCTTCTGTGGTCACAGTGGAAAATTCTGGGTATGTACAAAGATACCTCCACGTGTGGGGATTGAACTCCAACCTCTGCTTTCTCAGGACAGTAGACTTGCTTTGTGCTTCAATTCCCTTTCTCCTTGCTGTGGTTTAGAAAATACTCCCAAGGAAAAAGCTAAGTGGAATGTGGTGCTCATCTCTGTATCCCTCATATTTTGGAGAATGTAAATAACTCTGTGATCTTGCCTGCATTGATCACCCTCTAGTGCCTTCAAACAGTTATTTTATGTACAGATAGTCCTCCCTTTCCATGGTTCCAGTATGCATGAATTTCAGTTATCATGGTTTAGTTAAGTAACACCAGGTCCCCAACTGTATGGTTCAAATTTCAATTACTGTGGTATATTAACCGCAGATAATTACATAAAATGCAAACTTTATTGCTAGTTTAGTCCAGGAATCATTACATAACAACAGATGAGCTTATGATCGGTGATAAATTATGTCACTTCTTTCCATGTCTGTCAGTGATTGGCCTCTCTATGTCTGTTATTCATTTTACCCACAGATAGCAAAGCACATAGTCGTGTTGCCTCCTTGTCTCCAGCAATAAGCCCATGTAACATTTTATAAAAATGGATAATTGAAAAAAGGGAATTGGCCAAGAGAGATGTAAATCCAACAAAGAAACAAACTGATAATGTTGGGAATGAAATTTGAATAGAAAGAAATGGAGTTATGGAAGCAATAGCTGACTTTGGAAATGTTGACATGGCTGCCCTTCAAGAGACTAGATTATGCAGCCAGGGGAACTTACTGAGGAACTTATATGCAGTAAAGGTGAACTTATTGACATAAATAAGGAAAGTAGTTGTGACAAAAGGATGAAGATGTCCCAAAGGAAGTGATGCTATAAAAAATTTCATATTAAAGGAACTCTCAGATATTTTATGACATTGAAATACAAATAATAAAATATTAGAAGTTGATTAAAATGTAGAAAAATGACTTCAGTTCACCAAGGCATGGGAAAGATGCTTGCCCATAAGTTATATGTTGAGAAAGCAAGCACTCTTCAAACTATAGTTCTTAAGTTTTTACAAAGAAATAAAACATTTTTGGCTGGGTGTGGTGGCTCATTCCTGTAATCCCAGCATTCTTTAGGAGGCCCAACTGGGAGGATCACTTGAGGCTAGGAGTTGGAGACCAGCCTGGGCAACATAGCAAGACCTCATCACTGCAAAAAAATCTAAACATTAGCCAGGGCATGGTCGCATGTGCCGACAGTCCTAGGCAGGCTGAGGCAGGAGGATTGCTTGAGCCCAAGGAGTTCAAGGTTACAGTGAGCCATGATTGTGCCACCACACTCCACTCTGAGTGACAGAGTGAGACCCTGTCTCTAAAAAAAAATAATTAATAAAATTTAAAAATAAAACAGTTCTCAGTGTTTCTAATGTGTTAAATTATAAGTACTAAATAAATATTAGGATTTCTTTTAACTTGTTATTGTTCAGTATACATTTATTGTGGTGTTTTGTTTTGTTTTGTTGAGACGAAGTTTCACTCTGTCACCCAGGCTGGAATGCAGTGGCACAATCTCAGCTCACTGCATCCTTTGCCTTCCAGGTTCAAGCGATTATCATGTCTCAGCCTTCTGAGTAGCTGGGATTACAAGCATGTGCCAACATGCACAGCTAATTTTGTGTTTTTAGTAGAAACAGGGTTTTGCCATGTTGGCCAGGCTGGTCTCGAATTCCTGGCCTCAAGTGATCTGCCCGCCTTGGCCTCCCAAAGTGCTGGGATTATAGGCATGAGCTACCATGCTCAGCCTCTAGTGTATATTTATAACCAACGGTAAGAGTTTTTAATGTTTTGACAAAATTTTTTAAAGATTGTGGAACAATCGTAATTGTCCCCATTAGTTATTAAGATCACTTTGCTTAGTTTTAACTTGCATGATTACTTCTGCAGTCCCATCCTATGATGCAAAGTGAGGGCATGTCCTGTAATTCCTGTGTCTTCAACAGTGTTTTTGGCCAGGGAGTTAGTCCAGTAGATGTTCTTTCATGGCAATGACTAGAATAAAACAGAAGAAAACCTTCACCTGCCATAATTTTTAAAAACTGTGATCTAGTTTTAACTTTTGGACTATGCTATTACCACATCAAATGGGTGTTTGTAGGTATTTAGTATTTGTTAAACTTTCCTTTTACAAAATTAGGGCATTTCTGTGGTATCAAGAGCAAGTAAGGCATGCATTTTATGACAGTGTATACTGTAAATTACATTTTTTCATTTCTCATTTCTTTGTTTTAAAATTTTTAGATTTTACCTAGGTTACATGGAGTCACTCCTTAGTTTCATATTTATACATCTGGCATTTCTCAACTAGGTTATAAGCTTTGCAAAGTTAAGCACTAGGCCCCGTACCACATTTTTATTACTGAGTTCACAAATTCTTATTAAATGATTACAATAATTTACACCTCCTTAAGAAGGTGTAGTGCCTTGTTTCTTGCTGGTGATTTGAAGATTAAATGATATTTTAGGAGACTTGTAAATAAGAAGATAGCCTAAATAGAAAAAGATGAGGATCGTGTAAAGAGAGAAGGATTTGAGTTAACTTCACAATTGAAGTTAATAATTTAATTAGACAGTTAAGTAGGTGTTCTTAGAGTCTATTGTGAATGGCTGAGTCTGTTAAAAAGAACTCAGGGGTTCAGCAGAGGATTCTAAAACTGATTTAAATGTTTTATTTGGGGCATTGGAAGATTGGGTATGGAGGATAATGATTAAGTGTTAGAAGAACAACAAAGGCCTGGTTTTTAGTTTCAGGTCTTAGTAGTCCTTAGGTCAAGTCAACTGCTTTGAGCTTCAGTTTCTTTTTTTTTTTTTTTTGGAGACAGAGTCTCGCTCTGTCGCCCAGGCTGGAGTGCAGTGGCATGATCTCGGCTCACTGCAAGCTCCGCTTCCCGGGTTCACGCCATTCTCCTGCCTCAGCCTCCCGAATAGCTGGGACTACAGGTGGCTGCCACCGTGCCTGGCTAATTTTTTGTATTTTTAGTAGAGACGGGGTTTCACCATGTTAGCCAGGATGGTCTCGATCTCCTGACCTCGTGATCCACCCGCCTCGGCCTCCCAAAGTGCTGGGATTACAGGCGTGAGCCACCGCGCCCGGCCCAGTTTCTTAATCTATAAAACAAGAGAATATCTGTTAGGTTTGCTTCATTGATATCTGTAGAGGCCTTATGAAACACTAATACAGTTTGTGTGAAAGTATTTGAAAGGGAGTAAAGCGGTCTTGATGAAAAGAGTTAGTGAGAAGTCACTTTTAGATTCCAGGAGAGGGCTGGCAAATACGATCATGGGCCAGCCATCTGCTTTTGTAAATAAAGATTTACTGGAACCCGGCCACACTCATTCACTTATGTATTGTCGTTGGCTACTTTCGGTAGCAGAGTTAAATCATTATGAGGAGACTATGTGGCCCACAAGCCTAACATATTTATTGTCTGGCCTTTTAAGAAAATGCTTGTCAGCCCATAAAAGGTTGGTTAACCAAGCTACAGCTCATGTTTATCTTTGACCTGAAGTCTGACTCAAAATGTTACACATTCAGAACTGGGTATAACATAATGTAGCTGACTTAGTCTAATAACTGCATTTATTACAATTTTTTGGGGCATAAAATTACTTTTTTTCTATTTCTGCCTTGGCTCATATTGTTTCTTATGTGACTGTTGTAAAGTTTTCTTTATTAAATTTTATTAAATTAATTTTAAAGTGACGTTTGATTAAATCCAACTTAATAATGTTTGGTTAAAATATACTTTATTCCATTTTGTTTTTGGTTATAAATTATTTTTGTAGCTATTATGTTTGGTTTTATTTGTGATGATTATGAATAAGCTTACACTACTGTAATTGAGCTAACATACTTCTAAGACTGAGTAGTCTTGTGAGAGATCTCCACAGCAAAGTCTAATGAGAGGTATGCTGTGGATACTGGAGTCCTTGGTACTTTATTTTCTGTTTATTCAGAATGAGAATATTCATTTCGGAAATCTTTAGCTTGGTAAATGTTGCTTGTAGAAAATATATTTTGGAGTAAAATGCTGAATGTTAATTAATGTAAATGGGTAAAAGGTGGATGTTTTCTATTCTGTTTCTTTTATCAGGAATACTTTTTTCCCTTTAACTCCTACTGATGCTTTAATGCTCATCTCAGTTGTCACTTTCTATAAGAAGCTTTCCTTCTTTTATTGTTTTAGTCAACAGATATTTATTGAGCACCTTGTGTATATCTGACATTATGCTAGGGGCTAGTGATCATCCAGCACTGATGGGACAAACATGGCTCCTGTCTTCACAGAGCTTTATAGAAAAGTGGAGGCAGAACTGTTAATGCTTTCAACTTTCATGACCTTTTGTCCATTTAGGCATTTTTTTCTCTTGTATTTTATCACACTCTGGTATAGTTATATGGTTTATGTATTTTGCTGGCCTATCAGTTAGCCTGGTTGGGGTACATCTTACATTTTTGTATCCCCAGCACCTAGTG
The DNA here is from genome assembly GCF_000001405.40 of Homo sapiens. Taxonomy (NCBI): domain Eukaryota; kingdom Metazoa; phylum Chordata; class Mammalia; order Primates; family Hominidae; genus Homo; species Homo sapiens. The sequence continues at coordinate 106,274,801 of NC_000006.12, read as the reverse complement.
TGGTCTTTGGCAGAGAGTAGAGAAACTAAATATTAACTGCATGACTTCTTTATTTTATTCCTTTCTAATACTAACAGGAAATAATATTAACAATTTTTCATAAGTAGTTTCCTATTAAACTAAAGGAAGTGTCTTGTTTGAATTTATTTATGGAATTGGATTTTATGTAGAGTTTTTTCTTCCAAAAGAAGTTTTTATTAATTTGTGAAGTCAGAGATATTAAACCTTTCTGTTAGTGCAATTGTAAATTTCTCAATATTGTGACATAATAGATGGCACATTTATTTCATTTAGAACTGCACTTGTAGATTATAACAGCTAAACAACAGTTTAAACAATTTTTGAATACTTTCAAATGCTAATTTTAATTTCTCAGAACTCTGTGAAAGAGAAATAAGAAAAGCTTATGAAACCAAGAAAACTCATTTAGGACATACTGTGCCTTTCAGTGTTTTTTTTATGAGTTTTCATTTTATATATAAAAATATTTAACCTCTCTGTGAAATAAAGTTAATGGCCACAAGAAATAAAAGAAAGTAGCATTTTTATTTATGAGCAGTTGTTACTGCAAGTGCAGGCTATTACCTATTTAATATCAAGTTGTTTTTCTTATAAGCTAGTGATTTGAGGAAATCTATAAAAAATGTTTTTACCATGACTTAGTTTCTTGCTTTTCGGAGTATACAATCCCAAAAAGGCGGGGAGGGTTGGCATTAGATACGTTCTGTAGACCTGCAAATAAACGCAAGGTTTAACTGCTAATATGTTAAAAGTGTACAGTGTTTCTAAAATGTGGTTAGGCTTTTTCAACTAATTAATATTTTAGAGACAATAATTATTTGATAGTGTGCCATTTTAACTTAAAACTGGTTTTTAAGAGGAGATGGTGATTAGCTAATGGTAATTTTATAACAAGTCACGACATTTGGAAAATACTTTTGTTTGGTAGGTAACATAAAAGTTAAATGCAGCCGTTCCAGCTCTTTGGAGGTTTGTGTGATATAGACTGGTGGGTTGTCATTGCATTGCCTTGTTTTTACTACTTCTGCTTATAGTAGAATAAGTAGACTGAGAAATTATTGTTTTGAGATGGAGCACCAGACCTGATCTATTTATTTATTGCTGTGTCTCTTATCAGTTGTATGATCATGGCAGGTCACTTTTCTCTCTAAGCTGGACTTTTCTTTCTTTTCTTTTCTACCCCTTCCCCAATTCCCTTCCCTTCCCCTAGGTGATGTCTGTAAAGCTGGAGTTTTATTACAAATACGAAGGTGGTAATGCCTCATAAGACTCAAATTCAAGGATTGTAAAGCAATAATCACATACACCTTAATTCTGATGATAGATGTTTTCAGTTCATTTCAAAAGGACTTCCTGGGTGAATAATATTTATTGTTCTCCCATCCCCCTCCTTCTCGGTCTTTTTAAGCAGGACTTACTAGGTAGAAGGAAATAGATAACTTTCCAGAAATAACTGTGGTAACATAGAAAAACTACTAAAACAGAAACAAGAGTTTTTAGACTTGATGCAGCTACTACCTGTGTATCTATTTTGAGTCTTTAATTTCTGTGTTTTTTGTTACAGTGTCAGGTTCTGTTGTAGTTGCAGGTGGTGTAAAAGTAGATTCCTAAGTAGAACTGTAGGAGGCATAACTACTCTTCTTGAACCTTTTTTCTCATTGAAAGACTGATATTGGATAAGCTTCCTTTTTTACAGTCTTTAGCAAAATTCAGATTTTTATCAGTCTTTGGAACACTGAGATTACATTGTATAAATAAGAGCAAAGAAAATAGTAGAATGAATCTATATCGGTCACTCAGTCTCATCTGTTACCAGTATATGGCCAGCCTTGTTTCATCTATTATTTTTCATTCCTTGTCTGTGTGAGTTTTTGGAAATTTTTCTTTCTTCCATTGCCACAAATATTTCTCACAGATTTTATACTCTCATGTTTAATCAAGTCTTGGAAACAACATTCATTGTCTTTGATCTTCATGGCTGCAAATTCAGTCTTCATTATAGGAGAATCATGCCCGGACCGTAGTAGTGTGGATTAGCTAGCCAGTATAAGAACCTACTATGTGCCAGCCTCTGTGCTAAGCACAGGGGACGCTGGGGTAAATATGACAGGCACGATCCCTTCCCTCTGAATGTGTAGGGTAGCAGAGGAGCCAGGCATTAAACAGATCACTTTTACGTAATTGTTACATTTATAACTGGAGTTGTAGAGGAAGGAGGAAGGGCTAGAGAGAGTGGTGTGGTTGTGATGAAAGTTGTTTCAGGCTGAGGGAATGATCTGGGCTAGGTTCAGAAGCAAAGAGCCTACTAAGTTCTGAGAACTGACTAGAATGTGGTGATCAAGATCGAGAGTGGTAAGGAGGTCAAACTGGAAGTCAGGCAGAGACGCTGCCTGTTCAGGGCTTTGTAGGCCATTTTAACAATATTGAACTTAATCCCTGGCAGGAGGAACAGAGAGTGGGATGGTAGGAGACCAGTGAAACATTTTAAGCAGACCTATAACAGAATCAGATTTCCCTTTTTAAGACATCCCTTTGGCTGCAGTATGGTTAATGAATTAGAAAGAAGCAAATGGGAATTGAAAAGGACCAAGTGGGAGTCTATACCAGTGGTCATATCAGACCAGTGGTCTATACCAGTGGTGATATGTATTATGTGTCCTATGATGATGAGTGCCATGAGAGAAAAAGCAAAGGAAGATGAGAAAGGACTTTGTTGGGAAAGGGCGTTGTTATTTTAAATAGGATGGTCAGGGAAGTCCTCACTGATTGGATGACATTAAATGAAGACCTGAAGCAGTTTAGGAGATCATGCATATTTATCTGGGATTAAAAACTTCCTAGGCAGAGGGAACAGCAAGAGCAAAGGCACTAAAGTGGGAATATTCTAGGCACTTCCAGAGAACTAATCCTATGCATAGCTTTTAAAAGTGTAGATAAACACAGGTTTTTCTTCAAGGATACCCTTCTCTATTTCCCACCATTTTTTTTTTTAAAGCATTCTGTGTAGCAAAAATGGCACTTGTCTATATCTAGTTCTTGTGGGATGCAAAGCATTTTTTTGGCAGTTGGTTTTATGCTGTTTGCCATTAGCAATTATCATGTCTTGGATGAACCTCATTGGTTATGATATTGCCAGTACACAAAGCTTCGTTTATACTATTTTGAAAGCAATAAAGTGCTGAGAATATTGACCAATTAGAATTGGACCTGTTTACATTAAGGTGATTAGGGAAGACGTCTGATTATTTTCACAATCTAGCGGCTAGAGAGTCCAAGAGGAAGGTGCCTGCAATTCAGTGTCTGATGAGGGCCCTCTTCCTGATTCATAGCTATCTTCTCTTTGTGTCCTCACAGACTAAAACAGAGCTTTCTCTGGGGTCTGTTTTCTAAGGACAGTAATTCCATTTATGAGGACTCCGCCCTTATGACCTAATCAGCTCCCAAATGCCCCACCACTTTATCTATCATGTTGGAGGTTAGGATTTCAACATGAATTATAGGGGGATGTAAACATTCAGTCCACAATAGGTATGTTTTGAGAAGTCAAAAGAAGATAAGCATGTCTTAGGTGTAGTGACTGAGGAGGAAGTGTGGCCCGAGATGAGTTTGGAGAGATGAGAAAGAACCAAATTATCTAAGGCCTTGTAGGCCAAGGAAAACAATTTGGATTTTAAGCTATTGGAGGACTTTTAAGCAGGGGAGTGATGAGATGTAGAATATGATATAAGAGCTGTTCAATGTAGAATGGAATAGGAGTCCAGAATGAAAGTGGCTCTAGTAATAGTCTTAGGTATAAGAATATGGTGATATTTAGGGTGATGTTGGGAGAGATGGAGAAAAGTCAGTAAATTTGGGGCTTATTTTAGAGGTAGATTGGCAGAGCCTGTTGTTAGGCTGGATGTAGAGGATGGGTTAAAAACAAGGAAGGAATTATTCCTGGGTTATGATTTGGGCAGCTGCATGGAGAGTGGTGCTTTATACTGAGATATGAAATATTAGATAATGAGATGGGAAGTAAAGCCTATTTGAGAGGCCATCTTGGAGGCTAAAAGTTTGAGATGTCTAATGAGGCATTCATGTAGAGATACACTGAATTAGATTTTGCTAAAATTAAATATTGTGAGTGTGGGACAGCAGATGGAGAATGCATAATAGACTAGAATCTAATGCTGCAGCTTCTAGTTTCGTACTGTGTTTACTTTGCAAATTAGTATAGGAATTTTAGCTTCAGGAATATGGCAGTGAATGTGTCACAGTCATACAAAGCAATGAAATATGGAGCCACCTCATTTATGTTTGCTTTTTTTGTACATATAGCTGAGCTAATTAGGTCATTTTTGTTATTATTATTATTTGCCTGTAGTACGTTTTGCAGGAAGGTGAATAATTCCAACCTGAAACTCTGTGTGTGGCATTTAAGAATCTACAACTTCGTGAGAAAGTTGCTTAAAGCAAATTTGTAACCTGCTTGAGCATTCAATTAAGTTTTACTATGGAACAAACAAGCATTTTACTATATATATTATATATTTTAAATCAGTCTCTTGGTGTTCTTTCTGTAATTAAAAATAATGGTGAGATTTTTAGAGTTCATGCATTTGCATTTTAATATAAAGCAGTAAAAAATTTGCTAAGCTTCTGGAGAAGGATTGCTCCTGAAATTACTTGATTTAAGTGAATAAATTAACTTTGTAATAATTTGGACTATAGCCTTCTACAGTGTTTTGGGTAGACTTGGCAGTGAGTATCATGGATAATAAAACTTGGTGAAACATTTAGGCAGTTATTTCGCAGTGCAATACAGATTATACTAATGAGAGGTGACAGCGTGCTGGCAGTCCTCACAGCCCTTGCTCGCTCTCGGCGTCTCCTCTGCCTGGGCTCCTACTTTGGGGGCACTTGAGCCCTTCAGCCCACCGCTGCACTGTGGGAGCCCCTTTCTGGGCTGGCCAAGGCTGGAGCCGGCTCCCTCAGCATGCAGGGAGGTGTGGAGGGAGAGGCGCGAGCGGGAACCGGGGATGTGCGCGGCGCTTGCGGGCCAGCTGGAGTTCCGGGTGGGTGTGGGCTTGGCGGACCCCGCACTCGGAGCAGCCGGCCGGCCCTGCCGGCCCCGGGCAATGAGGGGCTTAGCACCCGGGCCAGCGGCTGCGGAGGGTGTACTGGGTCCCCCAGCAGTGACGGCCCACCGGCGCTGCACTCGATTTCTCACCTGGCCTTAGCTGCCTTCCCGCGGGGCAGGGCTCGGGACCTGCAGCCCGCCATGCCTGAGCCTCCCACCCCTTCCATGGGCTCCTGTGCGGCCAAGCCTCCCTGACGAGTGCCGCCCTCTGCTCCACGGCGCCCAGTCCCATCGACCACCCAAGGGCTGAGGAGTGCGGGGCACGGCGCGGGACTGGCAGGCAGCTCCACCAGCAGCCCCGGTGAAGCCAGCTGGGCTCCTGAGTCTGGTGGGGACGTGGAGAACCTTTATGTCTAGCTCAGGGGTTGTAAATACACCAATCAGCACTCTGTATCTAGCTCAAGGTTTGTAAACACACCAATCAGCACCCTGTGTCTAGCTCAGGGTTTGTGAATGCACCAATCGACACTCTGTAACTAGCTACTCTGGTGGGGACTTGGAGAACCTTTGTGTCGACACTTTGTATCTAGCTAATCTAGTGGGGATGTGGAGAACCTTTGTGTCTAGCTCAGGGATTGTAAACGCACCAATCAGAGAATGGAAAACTTTTATTTTATTTTACTTTAAGTTCTAGGATACATGTGCAGAAGGTGCAGGTTTGTTACATAGGTATGCATGTGCCATGGTGGTTTGCTGCACCTATCAACCCGTCATCTATGTTTTAAGCCTTGCATACATTAGGTATTTGTCCTAATGTTCCCCCTCTGCTTGCCCCCAACCCACCGACAGGCCCCCGTGTGTGTGATGTTCCTCTCCCTGTGTCCCATGTGTTCTTGTTGTTCAGCTCCCACTAATGAGTGAGAACATGTGGTGTTTGGTTTTCTGTTCCTGTGTTAGTTTGCCGAGGATAATGGCTTCTAGCTTCATTCATGTCTCTGCAGAGGATACAAAATCATTCTTTTTTATGGCTGCGTAGTATTCCATGGTATATATGTGACACATTTTCTCTATCCAGTCTAACATTGATGGGCATTTGGGTTGGTTCCAAGTCTTTGCTATTGTAAATAGTGCTGCAGTAAACATACATTTGCATGTGTCTTTATAGTAGAATGATTTATAATCCTTTGGGAATATACTCAGTAATGGGATTGCTGGGTCAAATGGTATTTCTGGCTGTAGATCCTTGAGGAATTGCCACACTGTTCCACAATGGTTGAACTAATTTACACTCGCACCAACAGTGTAAAAGTGTTCCTATTTCTCCACAACCTTGCCAGCATCTGTTGTTTCCTGACTTTTTAATAATCCCCATTCTAACTGGTGTAAGATAGTATCTCATTGTGGTTTTGATTTGCATTTCTCTAATGATCAGTGAAGATGAGCTTTTTTTCATGTTTGTTTGCCACATAAATGTCTTCTTTTGAGAAGTGCCTGCTCATATCCTTCGCCCACTTTTTGATGGGTTTCTTTTTTTCTTGTAAATTTGTTTAAGTTCCTTGTAGATTCTAGATATTAGACCTTTGTCTGATAGGTAGATTGCAGAAATTTTCTCCCATTCTGTAGGTTGCCTCTTCACTCTGATGATAGTTTCTTTTGCTGTGCAGAAGCTGTTTAGTCACTCTGATGATAGTTTCTTTTGCTGTGCAGAAGCTGTTTAGTTTGATTACATCCCATTTGTCAATTTTGGTTTTTGTTCCCATTGCTTTTGGTGTTTTAGTCATGAAGTCTTTTCCCATGCCTATGTCCTGAATGGTATTACCTATGTTTTCTTGTAGGGTTTTTATGGTTTTGGGCTTGACATTTAAGTCTTTTTATCCACCTTGAGTTCATTTTTGTATAAGGTGTAAGGAATAGGTCCAATTCCTGTTTTCTGCATATGGCTAGCCAGTTTTCCCAGAACCATTTATTAAATAGGAATCCTTTCCCCATTGCTTGTTTTTGTCTGGTTTGTCGAAGATCAGATGGTTGTAGATTTGTGGTGGTATTTCTGAGGTCTCTGTTCTGTTCCATTGGTCTATATATCTGTTTTGGTACCAGTACCATGCTGTTTTGGTTACTGTGGCCTTGTAATATAGTTTGAAGTCAGGTAGCATGATGCCTCCAGCTTCGTTCTTTTTGCTTAGGATTGTCTTGGCTATACAGGCTCTTTTTTGGTTCCATATGAAATTTAAAGTAGTTTTTTTGTAATTCTGCAAAGAAAGTCAATGGTAGCTTGATGGGAATAGCGTTGAATCTGTAAATTACTTTGGGCAGTATGGCCATTTTCATGATACTGATTCTTCCTATCCATGAGCATGGAATGTTTTTCCATTTGTTTGTGTCCTCTCATTTCCTTGAGCAGTGGTTTGTAGTTCTTGAAGAGGTCCTTCATGTCACTTGTAAGTTGGATTCCTAGGTATTTCATTGTCTTTGTAGCAATTGTGAATGGGAGTTCACTCATGATTTGACTCTCTGCTTCTTTGCTGTTGGTGTATAGGAATGCTTGTGATTTTTGCAAATAGATTTTGTATGCTGAGACTTTGCTGAAGTTTATTAACAGCTTAAGGAGTTTTTGGGCTGAGACGATGGGGTTTTCTAAGTATACAATCATGTCATCTGCAAACAGAGACAATTAGACTTCCTATTTGAATACCCTTTATTTTTTCTCTTGCCTGATTGCCCTGGCCAGAACTTCCAGTACTATGTTGAATAGGAGTGGTGAGAGAGGGCATCCTTGTCTTGTGGCCGTTTTCAAAGGGAATGCTTCCAGCTTTTGCCCATTCCGTATGATATTGACTATGGGTTTGTCATAAATAGCTCTTACTATTTTGAGATATGTTCCATCAATACCTAGCTTATTGAGAGTTTTTAGCATGAAGGGATGTTGAATTTTACCTAAGGCCTTTTCTGCATCTATTGAGAGAATCATGTGGTTTTTGTCATTGGTTCTGTTTATGTGATGGATTACATTTATTGATTTGTGTGTGTTGAATCAGCCTTGCATCCCAGGGATGAAGCCAACATGATCGTGGTGGATAAGCTTTTTGATGTGCTGCTGGATTCGGTTTGCCAGAATTTTCTTGAGGATTTTCACATTGATGTTCATCAGGGATATTGGCCTGAAATTTTCTTTTTTTGTTGTGTCTCTGCCAGGTTTTGGTATCATAAAATGAGTTAGGGCCTCATAAAATGAGTTAGGGAGGAGTCCCTCTTTTTCTATTGTTTGGAATAGTTTCAGAAGGAATGGTGGTACCAGTTCCTCTTTGTACCTGTGGTAGAATTCAGCTGTGAATCCGTCTGGTCCTGGACTTTTTTGGTTGGTAGGCTATTAATTACTGCCTCAATTTCAGAACTTGTTATTGTTCTAGTCAGGGATTCAACTTCTTCTGGTTTAGTCTTGGCAGTGTGTATGTGTCCAATAATTTATCCATTTCTTCTAGAATGTCTAGTTTATTTACATAGAGGTGTTTATAATATTCTCTGATGGTGGTTTGTATTTTTGTGAGATCAGTGATGATATCCCCTTTATCATTTTTTATTGTGTCTATTTGATTCTTCTCTCTTTTCTTCTTTATTAGTCTAGCTAGTGGTCTATTTTGTTAATCTTTTCAAAAAACCAGCTGCTGGATTCATTGATTTTTTTTTTTTGAGGGTTTTTCATGTCTCCATCTCCTTCAATTCTGCTCTGATCTTAATTATTCTTGTCTTGTGCTAGCTTTTGAATTTGTTTGCTCTTGCTTCTCTAATTCTTTTGATTGTGATGTTAGGGTGTCGATTTTAGATCTTTCGAGCTTTCTGATGTGGGCATTTAGTGCTATAAATTTCCCTCTTAGCACTGCTTTAGCTGTGTCTCAGAGATTCTGGTACGTTGTCTCTTTTTTCTCATTGATTTCAAAGCACTTCTTTATTTCTGCCTTAATTTCGTTATTTACCAAGTAGTTATTTAGGAGCGGTTTTCATGTAGTTGTACAGTTTTGAGTTAGTTTCTTCATCTTGAGTTCTAATTTGATTGCACTGTGGTCTGTGAGAGTGTTTATTATGATTTCCATTATTTTGCACTTGCAGAGGAGTGTTTTACTTTCAATTATGTGGTCGATTTTAGAATACACATGCTATGTGGTGCTGAGAAGAATGTGTATTCTGTTGATTTGGGATGGAGAGTTCTGTTGATGTCTATTAGGTCCACTTGGTCCAGAGCTGAGTTCAAGTCCTGAATATCCTTGTTAATTTTATGTCTCGTTGATCTGTGTAATATTGACAGTGGGGGGTTAAAATCCCCCACTATTATTGTGTGGGAGTTCAAGTCTCTTCGTAGATCTTGAAGAACTTGTTTTATGAATCTGGATGCTCCTGTATTGGGTGCACATATATTTAGGATAGTTAGCTCTTGTTGTTGCATTGATCCCTTTACCATTATGTCATGCCCTTCTTTGTCTTTTTTGATCTTTGTTGGTTTAAAGTCTGTTTTATCAGGGACTAGGATTGCAACCCCTGCTTTTTTTTTTTTTTTTTTTGCTTTCCATTTGCTTGGTAAATATTCCTCAATCTCTTTATTTTGAACCTATGTGTGTCTTTGCATGTGAGATGGGTCTCCTGAATACAGCACACTGATGGGTCTTGACGCTTTATCCAGTTTGCCAGTCTGTGTCTTTTAATTGGAGCATTTATCCCATTTACATTTAAGGTTAATATTGTTATGTGTGAATTTGATCCTGCCATCATGATACTAGCTGGTTTTTTTGCCCATTAGTTGATGCAGTTTTTTCATAGTGTTGGTCTTTATATTTTGGTGTGTTTTTTGCAGTGGCTGGTACTGGTTTTTCCTTTCTATATGTAGTGCTTCCTTCAGGAGCTCTTGTAGGGCAGGCCTGGTGATGACAAAATCCCTTAGCATTTGCTTGTCTCTAAAGGATTCTATTTCTCCTTCGCTTATGAAGCTTAGTTTGGCTGGATATGAAATTCTGGGTTGAAAATTCTTTTCTTTAAGAATGTTGAATATATTGGCTCCCACTGTCTTCTGGCTTGTAGGGTTTCTGCAGAGAGATCCGCTGTTAGTCTGATGGGCTTCCCCTTGTAGGAAACCTAACCTTTCTCTCTGGCTGCCCTTAACATTTTTTCCTTCATTTCAACCTTAGAGAATCTGATGATTATGTGTCTTGGGGTTGCTCTTCTTTAGGAGTATCTTAGTGGTGTTCTCTGTATTTCCTGAATTTGAATGTTGGCCTGTCTTGCTTGGTGGGGGAAGTTCTCCTGGATAATACCCCGAAGTGTGTTTTCCAACTTGGTTCCATTTTCCCCATCATTTTCAGGTACACCGATTGTAAGTTTGGTCTTTTCACATAGTCCCATATTTCTTGGAGGCTTCATTCGTTCCTTTTTATTCTTTTTTCTCTAATCTTGTGTTCATACTTTTTTTCAGTAAGTTGATCTTCAATCTCTGATATCCTTTCTTCCACTTGATCAGTTTGGCTATTGATACTTGTATATGCTTCACAAAGTTCTTGTGCTGTGTTTTTCAGCTCCATCAGGTCATTTGTGTTCCTCTCAAAACGGGTTATTCTAGTTAGCATTTCCTATAACCTTTTATCAAGATTCTTAGCTTCCTTGCATTGGGTTAGAACATGCTCCTTTAGCTCAGAAGAGTTTGTTATTACCCACCTTCTGAAGCCTTCTTCTGTCAATTCATCAACTTCATTCTTCATCCAGTTTTGTGCCCTTGCTGGAGAGGAATTGAGATCATTTGGAGAAGAGGCATTCTGGTTTTTTGAATCTTCAGCATTTTTGTGCTGTTTTTTTTTTTTTTTCCATCTTTGTGGATTTATCTACCTTTGATCTTGGAGGCTAATGACCTTTGGATGGAGTTTTTTTGTGGGGGTCCTTTATGTTGATGTTGATGTTGTATTTTCTTTTTGTTAGGGCCCCTCTTCTGCAGGTCTGCTGCAGTTTGCTGGAAGTCCACTCTAGACCCTGTTCGCCTGGGTATCACCAGTGGAGGCTGTAGAACAGCAAAGATTGCTGCCTGCTACTTCCTCTGGAAGCTTCGTCCCAGAGGGGCACCGGCCTGATGCCAGCCAGAGCTCTCTTGTTTGAGGTGTCTGCTGACCCCTGTTGGGAGGTCTCTCCCAGTCAGGAGGCATGGGGATCAGAGACCCACTTGAGGCAGTCGGTCCCTTAGCAGAGCTGGTGTTCTGTGCTGGGAGAATCCGTCTTGTCAGGATCAGCTCCTCTCTTCAGAGTCAGCAGGCAGGAATGATTAAATCCGCTGGAGCTGCACCCACAGCCGCCCCTTCCCCCAGGTGCTGTGTCCCAGGGAGATGGGGGTTTTGTCTGTTAGCCCATGAGTGGGGCCATTACCTTTCCTTCAGAGATGCCCTGCCCAATGAGGAGGAATCTAGAGAAGGACTCTGGCCACAGCCACTTTGTTGGACTGTGGTGAATTCCGCTCAGTCCAGACCTCCCAGACTCCTTAGCACTGTCAGAGGAAAACTGCCTAGTAAAGCCTCAGTAATGTCAGATGCCCCTCCCCGCACCAAGCTTGATCATTCCAGGTCGACTTTAGACTGCTGTGCTGGCAGTGAGAGTTTCAAGCCAGTGGTTCTTAGCTTGCTGGGCTCCGTAGGAGTGGGACCCACTGAGCGAGACCACTTGACTCTGTGGCTTCAGCACCCTTTCCAGGGGAATGAATGGTTCTGTCTCTCTGGGGTTCCAGGCGCCACTGAAGTACGAAAAAGACTCCTGCAGCTAGCTCGGTGTCTGCCCAAATGGCTGCCCAGTTTTGTGCTTGAAACCCAGGGCCCTGGTGGTGTAGGCTACATGAGGGAATCTCCTGATCTGCAGATTGCAGAAACCATGGGAAAAGTGTAGTAACCCAGCCGGGTAGCACAGTACCTCATGGCTTCCCTTGGCTGGGGGAGGGAGGCTCCCTGGCTTCTTGCACATCCTGGGTGAAGGAATGCCCCACCCTGCTTCTGGTCACCCTCCATGGGTTGGATCCACTGCCTAACCGGTCCCAACAAGATGACCTGGGTACCTCAGTTGGAAATGCAGAAATCACCTGCCGCCTTCTGTGTTTGTCTCGCTGGGAGCTGCAGACCGGAACTTTTCCTATTCAGCCATCTTATCAACTCGAGAATGGAAAACTTTTTAAGAACTTTATGATTTTCTTTAAGAGAATGGAAAACTTTAGATGTACTTACTTTTCTAATCCTTTTTTGTTTTGTCTGTTAGCTTCTTACCACCTTTCTGTAGATCAGTGTTTCCCAAAGTGTGCCAAAAGCATTAGTGTTACTTGGGAACTGATTAGAAATATACCCTAGACCGGCCGGGTGCAGTGGCTCATGCCTGTAATCCCAGCACTTTGGGAGGCCGAGGTGAGTGGATCACAAGGTCAGGAGTTCAAGACCAGCCTGACCAACGTGGTGAAACCCCATCTCTACTAAAAATATAAAAATTAGGCATGGCACACGCCTCTAATCCGAGCTACTCAGGAGGCTGAGGCAGGAGAATCACTTGAACCTGGGAGGCGGAGGTTGAAGTGAGTCGAGATGGTGCCACTGCACTCCAGCCTGGGTGACAGAGCGAGACTCTGCCCTAGATCAGCTGAATCAGAAACTCTGGGTAAGTCCCAGCAGCCTGTTTCAGCAAGTCTTCCAGAAGGTTTTGACTCACTAAAGTTTGGGAACCACTCCTGTGGAGCAGGGTTTCCCAACCTCTGCACTGTTGACTTTTTTGGACTGGATAATTCTTTGATGTGGCTGTGAGGGTTGGGGCTGTCCTGTGCATTGTGTAATCTTTAGCAGCACTTCTGGCCTCTACAGACTAGATGCCAGTAGCACACTGCCCGCTCCCCCGGTAATAATTGTTTCATTTTTTTCAACCCAACTTCTACATCCAGCCTAACAATAGGCTCTGTCAATACTACCTCCAAAATAAACCCCTATTTATTGACTTTTCATCTCTACCATTATCACCCTAATTACCACCATACTCTTAGGAGAACCACTACTCTAGAGGGAAATGATGTGGAGTTAATAGGTAAAACTGCTTCTCATTTAAAGTAGCAGTGACCACTTGTTGAGTGCATTTTAACTCATTCCAAGTTCTGTTCTGGGTACTTCACGTGAATTATCACTGCCATCACAACAGCTGTGCCAGATATGTTTCAAAGTTCACAGTGTGGGCTAACCCATTTATGAAGTTTCTCATCTATTCCAGCAATTCTTCCCTTGAGAACTAGTATGTCCTGTTGTCATAATGACTTATTTGGCTGCATGTGTAACTATATTCTTTTTTAAACAAAGGGATTTAGCTGGGATTGTAGGTGTGAACTGTTTTGCCTGGTGAACTATGTAAACTTCTCATTGCAAACTTAACCATAACTGTTTCTGGATGATGGTGATTATTTACTTTTTCTGAGGTGACTACTAAATGACAAATGAATCAATAGTATGCTGTCGTTGCAGTAAGACATTCTGCTTACATTTTTTGAAATAATGTGTGTTCTGTGTATTTTCCTTTCAGCTCTAGCTCACTTGATCTATCTCTGCATATTTTAACAACTCTTCTTTCCCACTCTTTAACTCTAATTTAAACTTGCCTAGTCTCTGTTCCATTCCTTTATTACCTTTCTAGGGTATGGATGGCTAGATACACATTTTAACTCAACAATCAGTAGTTAATGCTGGTTCATGTATTACGCATTTCCAGGTGTCACATGCTTTTAAACAAAAGCCTAGAAATCATTTGTATTGAGAATGTCAAGCCCCCACACCTGACCCCTGTGACATTTTATGTTCTTGAACTTGGCCTGTATAGACCAGTTCTGATTAGTGGCTATAGTGATGAATTCTGGCTGTTAAAATTCTGTATATTAATAATGTCATCTCCTGAATCAAGAAAGTCAGTGCAGTTCTGTTGCAGTGCTAGTTTCTTGTTACTCATTGGATACTGTTTCTCTTTTACTACTTTAGAAGCTATGTAACGTTCAGAATCCTTTTATGTGAAAATCACATTTAAGACTAAAACTATCTGTGCCACTGGTATTTTAATTAGCATTCAGAGAATTGCAAGGTTTTTACCCAAACACTGGAAAAAATAAGCAACTTATGAAAAAGAGGGGTAAAATGAACACGTTTGTTCATCTAAAATAAAGCATGTTTAGTCCTGATTATCGTCTTCAAAGTGCTTTTCTACTTAAGAAGCATTTCTTCGCACAGTATCCCTTTAGTATCCAGACTATGCTTAAGTTCCTGGAGCTCTTTTACATTTAGTGTATTTCTCTCTTTCCCGTTAGAAGGATATAAAAGTATCCCAAACAGCATTTCAAATTGGAGTTAATTTTCATAATTCTAATTGTAGTTAAATTTCAAATTCCAAGCCACACTCAGAATGTCAAGATTTTGTGGCTATTTTTTCTTTTTTAAAAAATTATACTTTAAGTTCTAGGGTACATGTGCACAACGTGCAGGTTTGTTACATAAGTATACATGTGCCATGTTGGTTTGCTGCACCCATAAACTTGTCATTTACATTGGATATTTCTCCTAATGCTATCCCTTCCCCCAGGCCCCCACCCACCGACAGGCCTCAGTGTGTGATGTTCCCTGCCCTGTGTCCAAGTGTCTGATTTTTCAGTTCCCCCCTATGAGTGAGAACATGCAGTGTCTGGTTTTCTGTGCTTGTGATAGTTTGCTGAGAATGATGGTTTCCAGCTTCATCCATGTCCCTGCAAAGGACATGAACACATCCTTTTTATGGCTGCATAGTATTCCATGGTTTATATGTGCCACATTGTCTTAATCCAGTCTATCATTGATAGACATTTGGGTTCCAACTCTTTGCTACCGTGAATAGTGCTTTTGCAACTATTTTTTCTTAAACTATCTTCTTGTTTTTGTTAATGCTTAGATTTTGTCCCACAGGTATTTTAACCTGCATGTACTTTTCATGTATTTAAAAGTCATTATTTTTATGTAAGATTTAAAAAACTCTATAACTCTTTTACATATTTTTTGAAAGATGAAAAAGGATTAATATTTGTCTACCTAGAATGTAAGAAAGGAGCAGAAGAGACAAGGTGATGAAGGGAAATATAGGAAGTGAGAAGAGAAGGAAAACAACTTCATGGACTTGTTGAAAGGGGAAATGCTTTACAATTATAATACAGCTCATTCTCACCAGTATTTTTAGCATTATTTATTTTCAGGTGTTAGTACTCAGTAGAGTAATGCAATTCAGATATCTGAGCTGTAAATGAAAAAATTTGAGAAACACTGGGAGGATAATTTCAAATTTTAATAACTTTATTCTTATTTTTACTGTTAGGATTCCTGGAAATCCTGATTGAAGTTTTGGACCTAACAGGATACACTATGTATATCACGTATCCCTAAAAGTTATGGGATACATTTAAAACAATAATATTTAGTCCACAATAAGCCAATTATAGGTAATAAAGTATAATTTGTAAAATTCTGGGTGGGCCATATGTTTTGAGAAATATATATAATTTTCAGCCAACTTGTTTTGCAGTGAATTAGTTGTTATATAACAGTTTTGAGGAAAATACTTCTTGAACAGTCCAGTAGCTAAAAGTTGAACTAAGATGAGATTTTTCAGTTTCACTCATTATTGTCCTTGTCTTCTTTTAAAGAATAGTTACTGAGTAATATTTTCAATTGATTATCACAATGCCTTTCTTCATGTACTCATTGAAGAATTATGGCTTAATGAACATGTTGAAACAAGTAATATTTATTTCTGTAGTAGCAGCTACTGCTAGCTGTGCTGTTCTGTCATCTCTAAATACTACAGGAGATGAGATTTGTTGAATTACTATACCAGATGTTACCATAATTTTTGAAGCATAGAACCCTGGAATTTTTGATAATATGAACATGCCATTCATTAATAGTTTCCCAGATCTCAGTCATAAGTTATCCTGAATTGGCTGAACATTGAATGTTAGCAAACAAGCTGTTTTATTTATAGAAATGTAACTAAAAATCTTCTGTGTCATGGTATCACCCACTAGCAGCTACTAGCCTGATGACCCTGGGCATGTCATGTAGCTGCTTTGAGCTGCAATTTTCTCCTCTCTACAATGAGGAGAGCTATATCAGTAAGTTGTGTGAAAATTAAACAATATAAAATCCTAGGGTTTTTTAAATTGCTAAATTCTTTACAAGTGTATAAGTTATTGATAAAAGTCATCACTGGTCCCACTGTAATGAGAACCAACAGCTTTTCCCTATTTCTCACTCTAGTATTGTTTGTTTTTAATAGCACTTTTGACTAGCCTTTTTTTTTTATTCAGGGCCTCCTTGCTCTGTCACCCAGGCTAAGATGCAGTGGTAAGGTCATGGCTCACTGCAGCCTTGACCTCCTGGGTTCAGGCAATCAGTCTTCCCATATCAGTCTCCCAAGTAGCTGGTACTACTGGCATACACCACCAATGCTTGGCTAATTTTTTTTTTTTGTTAGAGACGGGATCTACCTATGTTGTATTACTTGGTCATCTCTGCCGTTTGAGGAGATGGGGAGTGGGGGTGGGTGGGAAGGACTTGAGCCATCAAGCATTACAAGTGCAAAATAAAGGATTCATCAGACTTATTAGAAATTGTGATAACTTGTGTCAATTTGGCTTCCCCAACTACATGTTAAGTGAAAGGAACAATCTCTTGTGTACTTGTTTTATTTTGGTTTTTGCTTTTTAATTCTCTACAGCTCCTGTTACTCAATTAAGTGCATAATGGGAGCAAGGGGTTTGATAGATTTCACTCTACACAGGTCCTACAAAATAAAAACTTGTTTGAGCATGCTGTTTTTTCTATCTCCTGTTTTAATTAAACTCCAGATTCACAATATGAACTGTTTGCAAATTGGGAACTTCTTTATAGAGGTATTTTCCATGTAGCTACCATGTACAGATTAGGTAGATTTGAAATAGAATGGAGGAGCTTATTAGGCTTACTAAATTCCTGTGATATCCCAGGCCTAGAGTGATTCCTCACAAGAATTAGATAAATATTACCATCTTTGCAAATGAGGAAATGAGTTCACAGAACTACCAAGAGGTGGAACCAGAATTTGAACCTAGATCCCTGATTCTGAAGTGAATGTACAATCATGCTCTGCATTATGATGTTTCAGTCAACAGTGGACTGCATGTATGATAGTGGTCCCTTAAGATTATAATGGAACTGAAAAATTCTTATGGCCTAGTAACCTGATAGCCCTTGTACCATCATAGCACAATGCATTACTCATAGATTTGTGGTGATACTGTCATAAACAAATGTGCTGCCAGTTGGATAAATGTCTAGCACATATAATTATGTACAGTAATTGATAATGATAAACGACTATGTTACTATTTACTTTTTTCATTATTTTAGAGTGTTCACCTTCTACTTATTAGAAAAAGTTAGCTGTAAAATAGGAAGGTCCTTCAAGAGGTATTCTGGAAGGCATCGTTTTCATTGGAGATGACAGCTTCACTCATGTTATTGCCCCTAAAGACTTTGCAGTGGGACAAGATGTGGAGGTGGAAGACAGTGATATTGATGATCCTCCCACTTTGTAGGCCTAGGCTAATGTGTGTATTTGTGTCTTAGTTTTTAACAAAAAGTCTTAAGTTAAAAAAATAAATTTTTAAATAAGTTTCATAGAATAAGGATATAAAAAATGTTTTTATGCGGCTGTACGTGTTTGTTTTAAGCTAAGTGTTATTACAAAAGACTCAAAAGTTGAAAATGTTTATAAAGTGAAAAAGCTATAGTAAGCTTAAGTTAATTTTTAAATAAATTCAATGTAACTTAAATGTACAGTGTTTACAAAGTCTACAGTAGAGTATAGTAATGTCCTAGGCCTTCACATTCACTCATCACTCACTTGTTGACTCACCCAGAGTCAGCCCTGCAAGCTCCATTGATGGTACGTGCACTATACAGGGGTGCCTTTTAAAAATATTTTATATGGTATTTTTACTGTACCTTTTCCTGGTTTGCACATACCATATAGGTTTATAGCCTAGGAGCAATAGGTTATACCATATAGCCTAGTTGTGTAGTAATCTGTACTCTCTAGGTTTTCTAAGTACATTCTATGATGTTCGCATGATGAAATTGCCTGATGCATTTCTCAGAATCTATCCTCATCGTTAAATGAAGCATGACTATGTTTTTTGTTACATCTGGAGGTTGTTAACGCTGGCTATATATTAGAATCATCTGGGGAGCTTTCAAAAGTACAGATGCCAGGGAAATCAGGTAATTGGTCTGGAGTGGGTCCTGCACATTAGTATTTTTTAAAAGCTCTTCAGATGATCCTATCCTGGTGAGAAGCAAAAGTTAAGAAATGTTGCATTGCATACTGCATCTCCAGTGACCATTGGTGGCCCCTTTGTTTTGAAAGCTTGTGTTATTTGTCAGTGGATAATCATTAACAGATTAATAGTGTTTTCTACTTTACACTTTCTCTCCAGAAGCATAAAGGATTTGTATTAAAGAGAGAATTACCTACATAATAAATGTTGGAAAGATTACAGTGAACATAATGGGGGTATCTTTTTGTCAGTCTTTCAAAAATTAAAATATTTTTGTTTTTACCTTATGACTTTGGCTTGCTTTCTGAGTGAAGTAAAAATGAACTCAATTGCATATTAAATTTGTTTCTGGCCCTCTGCATCTAGGAAAGTAATAAACTAATTTCGGCCAAGAGAAATAACATTTTCTTAATATACAGTAGTTTTAAAAAGTAATAGAACAGGAGGTTATTGGTTATAAATCTATAGATGATTGTAACAGGAATACATTTAGATAATTAGTCCTGGCCTACCACTGTGCTGTAGCTCTGTAAATCTCTTTTTGACAAGCTGCTTTAAAGATTGTCATGGATGAAGGGAAAATGGGAGTATAGTTGAAGATCATTATTATTAGAAATTTTAATATAAGCACATAGAACAACAGAATAATTTGTTTTTTACATTATGAAATTTTTGAGTTTTGAATCTTTTTTATTACCTGGCTTAAAAATACATTTGAAATAAATTATTCTTAATTGGTTAGAATACGATAATTGAATCCTGTCTACTTAAAAATGAAGGCAGTTACTGGGATTGACTCTTGGAATACGTTTAAAGATGTTGTAACTTACAGTCATGGTTTATTGGCTGGTGATGTTGAAATTGGAATTTACAGTCTGCTTTTCTCAATACTTAATAAGATTAATTTTCTTTAAATTTCCAAGCAGTAGTTTTTAACGATTTACAGAGTTTTCATGAGGTAGCTAGTTTTTACTGACTCCATTTATAAAGCTATGCTGTAATAAGGTGTAGCAATTGTGAACCTCTCATCTTTTCAGATTAACAAGAACCCCTTCCCCCATCATGCTTATGTCCTCTCCCCTACTATATTAAGACATGTTAGAAGAAGAAGGGGTTGGAAAGGAATGGTTATCTAGGTCTTAAGCGATAGAGTTGGAACTCAGACTTGCTTGTCAAGACTGGAGGACTCCTCAGATGTTGGCCCAGATGTTCTTGGACCACCATTCTTATTCCCACCGTTACATGATATGGCTGGAGATGAATGCAGTGAAATTGATGGGAGGTAAATGGCAACTAAATTGTGCCCACAGGGTGAGAAGATAGAACCTTATATGGTGGTTGAAAAAGTTGGAGGAAGCAAAAGGGACATAGAGGGTATTTGGTTGTAAATATTGCAGCTATACTGTGTTAGGGCTTTTATTCTCCCAATTATGGCTAGCAAAGGCTGCTCAATTGCATAACTCCAACAGGCAACATTCACATAGAATTTGATGTGAGTGATGCAGACTCCCTGGCTCTGAGCCAGACTGAACAGTCCAGCAGTTCTGTAATGATGGGGTTTTGGCAGGGCCACTTTTCCATACTGGTCCTGACACTTCTTACCTGGTAGAATCTAGAAGCTCAGTGCCTTCTCTTGTTGAATCTGAGGCAGCCTAAAAGATAATGATAATAGGAAACACTTATGTAGCACTTAATTTGTGTCAGGCACAGTAAGTGTCTTGCTAAAACTCACACAACTATTAAATAAATGACAAAGCTGGGAAACAAACCCAGGCAGTGTGGCTCCAGACTGTCTACTTTTTCCACTATGCCACACTTTGTTTGCTATTCCCTTGTTTTTATTGTCTCCATTGCCTAGTCATTCATTTAGCTATTAGTGATTAACAAACATTCGTTGAGTATGTACTATGTGCATACTCATAGTACATTAACTTTCTAGGGCTGAAGTACGTAGAACTTTCTAGGGCTGAAGATAAAGTCTTTGCCCTCATGGGACTTACATTTTGGTTGAGGGAGAGCGACAGTACATACTTAAACATGTAAATTGCATAATTTGAAGTAACGATAAGTATTTAGAATAAAATAGAGTGATGGTATAGGGAATGATTGGAAAGTGGGACTGTCTTACCTAGGATTATGAAAGAAATCTTTCTGAGGGGGTAACACTATTGAGACTTGAATGATGAGAAGCAGTTATGTAAAGATTAGGAAAGTGGGGATTCTAGGCTGCTAAAACTGAAATGGGAGCAAGTTTGGTATTTACTAGGGACCGAAAAGAAAAATAGCATGACTTAGAGCTTAGTAAGTAAGGTAGGTAGTAACTTAGTAAGTTAGTAAGGTAGACAGTGAGATCTCAGAGAAATGCAGCAATAACTTTCCAAGGGGGTGGAATGGGCCTGGTAGGAATCTGCTTCTAGGGGAAGAGGTATTTTGTTACTCACATTATTTATGGTTGCCTGCATGTAGAGTTTGGTCAGGGAGCAGTCTGCCCCAGATGCAGGCAGTAAGGAGATGCAGTGGGTTGCATATTTTTAAAAATGATTTTAGTATATAACTTAAAATAACCATATCATTAATGTGCATCATAAAGCATTATGTTTTATGGCCCATTAGAAAATATTTGAAAATTTACTCGTTGATGATTTATACTTTAAAAGAGCTTTCTGGATGCTGTGCACAGGGGATAAACATAGGACAGTGACCAAGTAGGAGGCTATTGTGTTGGCTCAGAGAGGTGAAAGTGGTAGTGGTGAACACGGAGAGAAGTAATTGCAGTCTAAATATATATTGATTACTGTTCTTGATGCCAATTTTCTAAGACTGTGGCACTTACTTTGTAGGGTAAAGGAGTAAATGTCTTCTCTCAGTTAATTTTCAGACAGTTACTGTCCAGGTCACAATTGTCCAGGAATTTGGATTTTATTGCTTTTGTGATTCACTGAAACCACAGATTTCCCTGGGTAGAAACCTTCTGCCAAGATGTGTGTTTATGGACAGGATGAAGGATGAACTTCCTCCAGGACTGGCACTGCTCAGCCCTGACGCAGAGGCTAGCCCACTGGGCCCACCTACTTCTGTGTTCATGATGAATTTTCAAGGGCTGATTCTCTTAATTTGACCTGGCTCATAAGGCAGATGAGTTTGAAGATACAGGTCACTTACTGAAAACCTGCTTTTGGCAGCCTACCAGTAATTACTACTTGTTCATTTTTATTTTTCTCCTGTTTTGTCTTACAGAGATGTTTAACATATTACGTATGAAGAAATTAATTCATATGGGTCTATATTTGAATGTGTTTTCTGTTACATACCTTGAAAGCCTCTGATTAAAACAATACAATTATTACATGATCACTTGTAGTACTGATTTGAATAATACTGTTGACAGATGGAAAATTTTGTGAAGAGTGGGTTCCCTTCTGTAGTGATTTTCAGCCATTTGCTTTTCCTTCCAAAGACAAGCTTACAGTCTGTCTTCTATGTGCTGTCACAATCCGACATTTATTTGAAATGCTGTAACTCTGCTCTCCCTTGGCTTCTTAGATGTTAAAGACCAGGAGGTGAATAGTGTATGCATGTGGAGACCATTTCATCGGTTTCCTGCATGAGGGTCCTAGCCAGCTGAATTGAGCCTGAGTAGCAATCCCTACACTCTCCTTATATGTCCTCCATGTCTCCCGTGGGGGATTTTAGACATGTTATTTGTGGCATAAGAATTATTTTGCCTTGAGTTTTTACCTCTCGTAAAGCTTAAGTGGAAGAATAGGTAAATCCTTTAAAGTTATCACTTTTTCCTGCAGTTTGTCCATGTGAGTAACAAAGAATACAAATTAACTTGGTATCTTATGCATTTTAGAGAGCTCTGAAATTAAAAAAAAAATAACATTTTTTCCAGGTGTTTTAAAATTTGCAAGACCAATATAAAAGCTTAATTCAGCAGAGAGAGAGAGGAAAAATGGATGACCATCAGGATTTTTGAGGAATGGTATTTTTCATCTTTTTTTTTTTTAATTGATTGAATATTTCTGTAGAACAGTCCTTCAGTTTTATGCTTTTGATTTGATAGCCTTCTTAAATGTTAAGTTTTATAAAAAGAAACTAACATCAGTAATATTGCTTGTAGCTCTGGCGAGAAGTATATATATTATCTTCCTCCCAATGTGAATAAGCTAAGTGACTGCTAGTTTTAATTTTCTCCTACTTAGTCTTTGTTTTGTTTGGCTCTGCACGGTGGCTCATGCCTGTAATCCAGCACTTTGGGAGGCCAAGGCAGATGGATCACTTGAGGTCAGAAGTCCAAGACCAGCCTGGCCAACATGGTGAAATCCCGTCTCTACTAAAAATACAAAAATTAGCCGGGCGTGATGATGCATGCCTATAACCCCAGCTACTTGGGAGGCTGAGGTGGGAGAACCTCTTGAACCTGGGAGGTGGAGGTTGCAGTGAGCAGAGATCTCGCCACTGCACTCCAGCTGGGGTGACAGAGCGAGACTCTGTCTCTTTTTAAAAGGAACAAAAAAATCCATTGTGAAAGACACTTGGTTATTCCTTCAATCTCAACACTGATTTTCTCTCCTCCTTTTCTTTTCTTCTTTTCTTTTTCTTTCTTTCTTTTCTTTCTTTCTTTCTCTTTCTCTTTCTTTCTTTCTTTTTCTCTTTCTTTTTCTGTCTTTCTTTCTCTCCCCCTCCCCCTCCCTTCCTCCCTCCCTCCCTCTCTCTCTCTCTGATTAGGGTGTTTTTAGCTATTGCTGGGAAAATACCTTTTTAATATAAGAATATAGCGTTTCTATAAGAAGATTAAAGTTAATATCAATTAATACAGATTTTTTTTTTATCGTGTCTTCCTTTTAAACATAGTTGTATTTGGGCCTAATCAGTGGGTTAAGCAGGCTAAGTTTTATGTGAAGAATTAATAAACTCTGATAAAAGAGTGTCTATAAAATATAAGAAAACTATATATTTTACCTTAGGGCTGAGAGAGGAAGACCAAACTTGTAAGGGGTCCCACCTGCAAAGGCTAGGGCTCAGACTTCACTGGAGGAGGTATATTCAGCTCATTGAATTAGTAGAAAAGTTCCCTCTTCCCGCCAGGCCAGAGTTGGTATGTAGTACATTGGCAGTCAGGGCAACCTGGAATGCAGGTGATCAACAACATGTGGCATGGTTGTGCAGAGGGAGTGGCAGCTGGGTGGGAAACCACAGATGGGCAGCCCATGCAGGCCTCCAGAGCAAGCAAATTGAGATGTTGATAAGGGCAAGCGCCCATTAGTGTGCCTATGCAAGCAGGAAGCCTTTGGAGTGCTAGATTCTGTCTTGAGGGCTGGTTAACCCTGGGCCAGGCTCCTGCTGCCACCTTGCTGAGAGACTTGCGTATCTGGACATTGGGCAGAACCGTTTCTCCTACAACTTCTTTTAGCATTTTCTGCTGAGAAATCTTAAGATAGTTGTTGCAGTAGAGATGCTTAAAGGATTTGTGACCATATAGCGATGCATATATTGAAGGGTGAATTTGGAGAAGAGAGTCATACAATTGATAACTGGCACAATCATGTTTCTTTTTCCAGTTTACTTTTATGAGAAATTATGTTCATAGTGTTCTATCCATTCTTTGATTCAAGAGCACATACTATGCATGCACCATGCTAGGTGCTTGAGATTTCATGACAAGGCAGCAAAGTAAAATTTTAAGTATGCATGAAGAATCATTATATTTAGCTGTCACATTCTTGCTTGATACTTGATGGTAGAAAGACACTTTTTTAAGCATTGACAGAATAATTGCTTCATATGTGAGAGGACTATGTCAAAGTAGTATTCTTCACATTAAGATAAAGTTTCGTGGCAGCAACTGTTGAAGCAATTGGGGACTTTGAATCGGAAGACCAAGATTCTGGTCTTGGTTATTAATTAAACATATAATAATCTGGGCCTTAGTTATCATCTGTGAAATTGTGCTGGACTTACTGGATTCAGAATTTTCTCTCACACCATTTCTAATATACTGCGAGTCTTCCTTCACATTGGAGTTGAAGATTAGAGTAAGGAAGGCCTAAAGCCTGTCACAGTCTTTTAGGACAGGGGTGTAAGAAGAAATTTTTTAAAAATATACAGTTAGGATGGTTTAAGCAGAATCAATAGATTGCCAGTAGATTGGATTCAAACAGGTCTAGTAATAGAAAAATACCAAGCTGAACTGTAATTCTGGATGTATTTCCTTGCTTTATAGAGATAAGATTTTGATACAAATTTCTGAATATAAAATATTTTATTATAAGGTGGGATTCTGGGTGAGTTAAAAAAAAAGGAGTTGCTTAAAAAACAATGTACAGAACGGGAGAAAATATGTGAGTCATAGATAAGGGGTTTGTATTCAGAATTTATAAAGAACTCTTATAACTCAACAATAAAAAGACAACTGGTTTAAAAGGGAAAGTGATTTGATAGGCATTTCTGCAAAGATGCACAAATGGCCATTGAGCACATGAGAAGATGCTCAGCATAGTCATTAAGGAAATGCAAATCAAAACCACAATGAGATACTTCTTGATGCCTGCCAGAATGATTATAATTAAAAAGACCAGTAGTAGCAAGCATTGGCAAGGATGTGGACTAATTGGAATCCAAATACATTGCTGGTGGAAATGTAAGGTAGTACACTCACTTTGGAAAACAGTATGGCAGTTCCTCAAAACACAGTTACCATGTATCAGTTAAATAGAGTTACCTAATGACCCAGTAGTTCTACTCCTAGGTACATACCCAAGAGAACTGAAAACATATGTCCACACGAAAATGTGTTTACAAATGTTCATAGTAGCATTATTTATAATAGATAAAAAGCGGAAACTACTTAAATGTCAGTCAACTGAGAGAACAAAAATCTGGTAACTCCACATAATGGAATATTATTCAGCCGTAAAAGCAAATGAAGTTCTGATACATACTACAACATGAATGGACACCAAAAATATTATGCCAAGCGAAAAACCCAGATGCAAAAGAACCACATATTATATTACTTCATTTATATGAAATGTCTGGAATAGGCAAACTATAGAGATAGAAAGTAGTGATTTTTCAGGGGCTGGGGCAAGGGGGAGTGGGAAGTGACTATTAATAGTTACAGGTTTCTTTTTGGGATGCTGAAAATGTTCTGAACTCTGAATATACTGAAAACCACTAAGTTGTATACTTTAAAAGGGGTGAATTTTATGGTATGCAAATTATATCTCAAGTTGTTTATTTAAAAAATTTGAAATTGAAAAGTTTTTAAAAAGAGCTTAATTGGTCTGAGATTAAGCTGCAGTTGGCACTTCATAAGTGCCAGTTCCATGTTTCTTTCAAAGCTTTTTTAAAAAAATCTTTGGTATTTAATGTTTACTGTGTTCAGTATTTTGACTTTATTTTTATTTTTATTTTTGAGACGGAGTTTCGCTCTTGTTGCCCAGGCTGGAGTGCAATGGCGTGATCTCGGCTCACCACAACCTCTGTCTCCCAGGTTCAAGCAATTCTCCTGCCTCAGCCTCCCAAGTAGCTGGGAATACAGGCATGCACCACCACGCCTGGCTAATTTTGTATTTTTAATAGAGACGGGGTTTCTCCATGTTGGTCAGGCTGGTCAGGAACGCCTGACCTCAGGTGATCTGCCCGCCTCAGCCTCCTCCTAAAGTGCTGTGATTACAGGCGTGGGCCACTGCACCCTGCGACTTTATTTCTTTACACAACTTCTAGTTAACATTTAGGCTACTTGAAGCTGTACCTTTGTAGCTCAGCAATTAGAAGTAGTACCAGGAGAGTCAAGACATCTATCCTCTACCTGGTGTGTTTTTTGCCTTGATAACACAAGTAGTCGTATGTTTATATGTTTACAGTTTTTCTTATGAGAAAAAAATGGCTGTGCGAATATCTAGGGAGAGGATGCAATAATGTAGAAAAAAATTAATTTTATATTTGCTTTATGTTTATGGAAAGATAAGTTTAATAAAAATAAGAAAATATATGTGATGTCCTTTCAGAAACTTCTAGAGGGATATTTAAAACTTTCATCTCTTCATGTGAGGTATTCCATTATAATGTTGTTCATTTTTAATAACAAATAATTTATATCATTACAGACAGATTTGACCAGTTTTGGGCCATCAATCGGAAACTCATGGAATATCCTGCAGAAGAAAATGGATTTCGTTATATCCCCTTTAGAATATATCAGGTAGGAAATAACATTTTAAAAAACATCCATTTATGAAAGCCTCAGACATCTTAATTGAAGCACTCTAGTGTAGAACTCTTTGTCTGCATAGTAACTAAACGGTATTTATTAGGGGTTTTCCAAACTGTGTCTTTCAGTGGCAATCAAGTCAGATACCGCACTGAAATATTTGACTCATATGCATTTGGTACTCATTATTTGTAGATTTCATATTGGCAGATTCACATGCTTACTAAAATTTATGTGTAACCCCAAAGTCAGTACTTGGAGCACTTTTACGGTCATTCAGAGTGGTGAAAAATTGATTCACCTGATGCTCATTTCCCAGCAGAGGTTGATCAAAGCGAGGCTCTACCTTCTTGTCTCAGCTGTCATACTATAAACAAGCCTTCTTGTCACAGTGTATGTAGTGCCATGCTTTTACATTTTTGTGCTTTTTATTAGTGATTTTGCTGTTTAAAACAGACTCCAAATGTAGCACTGAAGTGCTCTTTTTAAACAGAAACACACATAGAACAAGGTTATGTATTGATCAGTTAATGAACATGTTGTGACCGAGGGCTCACGGAAACATAACCTTGTATTCCCCCAGGAGCGATGATTTCAGTGTTTGTGGTAACCTTATAGAACAGAACTACTGCAAATCACAAGAATTTACTAAGTCTGTTTGTTTTGGATGGTGAGTCTTCAGTGTTGTACCACAAAGTAGGCAATAGGCTCTTAAGTCTTTCTCACAGCATATTTGCATGAGGTAAAGAAACTCCATGTTTCTGTACTTTAAAAGTGCTGGCATAAATATTGACATTTAGCAAATATTAAATATTTTTTTAATGAATGGCATTCCAGGAAGTAAGTTACATACTATTAATGAGAAAAGCATTTAAGAACAAGAACCAGAAGCATAATGTCACAGGCTTAGACTCTAATCTAGTAGGACTTCCATTCAAACTCA
This sequence comes from Homo sapiens, assembly GCF_000001405.40. Lineage (NCBI taxonomy): Eukaryota > Metazoa > Chordata > Mammalia > Primates > Hominidae > Homo > Homo sapiens. Next base: position 106,247,197 of record NC_000006.12, on the reverse strand, counting down.
GAGGTTTTGTCATAACTTTCTTTGTAGCCATTTTTAGTATCCCACAGTCTTTACCAATAGTTCCTTCTATAGTTATTTTAAAATCTTTTATAGAGCCATCACATAACTATGTGTTCAGAGAGGAAAGCAAATTGTCTAATTGAAAGTAAACATCTCAATATACTGGAAGAATGAAGAATATTTATTTAGTGTTGCAGGTATAATTTTCAAATAGTCCATATTTTTCATGAAGGCGGGGTTATTGTTAGGTTCATGCTTTGTGTCCAGGTTCTAGAAAAGTGCCCGGCATTTGAATTTCTAATTTATTAAATCATTTATCATTTGTCAATTTTATTTTAATTATTTATATTCTTTCTATTTTACCATGAGCTCCACAGTAACATGCCGTAAGGCATTCCCACAGCCCAGCAAAATATCTTACTTGTATAATTTAGTTGAAGAAAATATATCGCAGACTCTGAAGACATTTCACAAAGAGTCCGGAAACTGTTTTGAGATTTATACCTCTCAGCACTTATTTGGGTCAAGTTCTGGCATATATATTTATACAAGAGATTCTTTACTGTAACTTCTTTAAACTCCTGTAGGGAAAATGTATTATACTTAATTTAGGAATTATTATTGTCAGAATATAGTGCATGTGTACAGAGGAAAGGTTTTCCTTTTTGAATTTATTCTGTTTTAGGGGAAAATTGTCAGATTAATCCATACCTAGTGTTGTGTTATTATAATACAGATAAGTTTCAGAGAGAGAGAGAGAGAAAGGGTGTGTGTGTGTGTGTGTGTGTGTGTGTGTGTGTGTGTGAGAGAGAGAGAGAGAGAGAGACAGAGACAGAGAGAGAATGGTTTTTATAAAGTGCTATAATTAGATAGAAAGTGGGAGGGTAGAGAATTCTCAAAATTTGCTTGACAAAACCTGGCTGCCAGATGGGGACTCTCGGCAGAACCTCCTGCTTGATCTTTAATGTGTCAAGGCACTTGGGCAGTTTTTCCTTAAACAGAAAGCAACAAAGAGCCTAAGGACAATATAGGTTCTCATTTGACCTACATAACTTTCCTTTTGGCTTTATCTCAGTTCCATTTTGGTTTTTATTTGAATTTAATTAAAGTTTTAGAAGTGAGATATGAAAATGAATATAAAAATTAAGGAGTCCAGTTTTTGCTAATTTGCCATTTCCTGGCTTTTCCTATTTCCCTATTTGGTATTCAGTCTTCAACCATGGCCTTGACCAAAGGAGGATGGAACTCTATTTTTGTTTGCCTAATTGTGTGATCTAAAGGCAACATCAGATTTCTGTTGCTGACTTCTTTATATCTGATTAGTTTGTATGGTTGTGATATTCTGTTTGTTAAATGTAGCATTTATTTGTGCAGCATTTTGATTAACACCTTTCATTTCTTTAAAATACTAGATACAAATCTCTATAATATTTGAGCCCTTAAGTTACTAAGTAAATTTAAGGAAAATCTGAAAATCTAGATTCATTAATAAAGGGCATAATTTTTACTGAAATATTTATTTTACTTTGCAGAATCCTAATAGAATTTCTGCATAACCGGAGAGAGAGAGACAGAGTACTGAGCATGCTTGAGTGAGGCCCATCTTATCTTGTTGAAGCCTCAAAACCATCTTAGGAATAGGAATCATTATCTGATTTTACATGTGAGGAAACTGAGGCTAGGGAATTTTAAGTCACTTGCCTCAGTGAACAAATGAAAAATGGAAGAACTAGAATCCAGACCTAGGCCTGATTTATGAGCAAACTATGACTTTTGTTTGTAATCATTAAGTTTGTAGAATTTTCAGAACATAATTATCATGAAAAGTGAAGTCTGCCCTGACCAAATAAGTTGATAGGAGCCTAGAATACCTGTGACTGGTGGTATTCTTTGAAGATAAACTTTTGTAAAGATTGTCATCAAACTATTTATTTTTCATCTGTAATTCATTTATCATGAGCTCAAAATGACTATAGTCAGGTGACCGATTTTTAGTGGTAAAAGTTGAATTGGTCCAAAAGCCATCTAGAGATGTTGCAGACCAAAATGTGTCATTTCTGTCATTTACATAACAGTTTAGTTTGGTGTGTTAGTTTCAGGTTTGTGTTCCTGAAGTCCAGGTGCTTCATATTAGCCAGTATTCTAGAGATGACATTAAGTGCAGGAAATGTTACAGAATGTAACCAAAATGTTATTTAGCACTTGTAAACAGGTGGTGATTAATGAAGGCATTTGTCAAAAAGATTTGTAAAATGACTGTGAATTCCTTAGGCATTGGTATTTGAGATGTAAAATGAAAATTAAGCACATCATATCTGTTTTTCAAGAAGCAATAGATTGATAAATGTTATCCTGCCATTATACTTTGGGTAAGAAAAGTGTGTCTCATTGATTCATTCAACAAGTTTATTTACACACATATTTGCCTGCCATGCCCTGTGCTATGCACAAGGGATACAACTGATGATCGATATTATGTGTGACCCCTTAGAAGGTTATAGTCTAAAGGTGGAAAGAAACAAATCAACTAAGAATACAAATATAACATTGGAACTGTGATTGCTGTGAAGAAGAGACATACAGTGCAATAAAAACCTAATGCCCCAGGAAGAATTTGTTCTAGTTTGGGAGGAGAGAAGGCTACCTTGAGGAAATGTTGCATTCCCAGAGATTTGACAGATAGGTGAACTTAAGATAGGCAAAGAGTCATGAGAAGAGCTTTGTAGGCAAAGGGGGACGTTGTAAGTATAAGGACAACCTGTTTGTCTTGACCACAGAGTTTGGATAAGGCTGCAAAGGTAAAAGTCAGGCCATATTAACGAGTTTTCTCTGTATCCTGTAAAGAATGGGAGATCTTAAGAGATTTTTAATTATTTGAATATCCATTCATATTTATTCAACAAAGATCATTCAGTCATCTACTTTGTTCTACATGTTATTCTTAAGGTTATAAATAAATTTAGAGAATCTTCATAGAAACAACCTAGCAGTGTTATTTTTAGTTTTAAAAAAACAAGAAGCTGATAAAACAATGCTTGTTTTCTAATAAAGTTAAAATGAGACCAGCCTGGATACAACATAGTGAGACCCCACCTCTACAAAAAAATTTTTTTAAATGAGCCGGATGGGGTGGTAAGCACCTGTAGTCCCAGCTACTTGGGAGGCTGAGGTAGGAGAGTCACTTGTATTTGAGAGGTCAAGGTTGCAGTGAGCCATGATCATGCCACTACACTCAAGCCTGGGCATCAGAAACAGACCCTATCTTTAAAAAAAAAAAAAAAAAAAAAAAAAAAGGATGGTTCCTACTTATCTTTGTTTTATTTTTATATATTTTTTAATTTTATTTACTTACTTATTTATTTATTTTGAGATGAAGTCTTGCTCTGTCGCCCAGGCTGGAGTGCACTAGTGCAATCTCGGCTCACTGAAACCTCCGCCTCTTGGGTTCAGGCGATTTTCCTGCCTCAGCCTCCCGAGTAGCTAGGATTACAATTGCCCACCACCATGCCTGGCTAATTTTTGTATTTTTAGTAGAGACAGGGTTTCACCATATTGGTCAGGCTGGTCTAGAACTCCTGACCTCAGGTGAACCACCTGCCTCAGCCTCCCAAAGTGCTGGAATTACAAGTGTGAGCCACTGCGCCCAGCCTATTTTTTTTTTTTTTTTCCCCAGAGAGGGTCTTGCTCTGTCACCCAGGCTTGAGTGCAGTGATGTGATCTCAGCTCACTACAGCCTCTGCCTTCCCGGCTCAAGCGATCCACCCACTTCAGCCTTCCAAGTAACCAGGACTACAGGCATGTGCCATGCCTGGCTAATTTTTGTATTTCCTACTTGTCTTTGGAAGAAGTTGTTCATTAGTTACAAAAAAGTAAAATAAAGTAGAATTTGAACTTCGTTTTGTTTACTTTCATAATCCTCAGAATTCTGCTTCCTTTCCCATTGACGATTGAATGTAAAGTTGTTCATTTGTATCATTAAAGCGCCATTAATATTTTAATTCTTTTGGGAGGTTTACTGGCTATTTTGGTTAAGCAAATCTATTTAACTTCTATGTGCTAAAAATATTTAAGAATCTAGATACCGGTTTGGGGAGAGAAAAAGTACATTTTTGAAAATGGAAACTAGGATGTCAGGGATTAACTTGGCACCTTCTAAACTGAAGAAGGAGCCAAATTTTAGACTCTGTTTTGTTTCCAGAAATGTTGATTTCTGGATTTTGAAAAGTGAGGACAGTAGAAATATGTGGCAAATTATGGCCATGTTTGTTAGGATTCTTCCCCTCCAGGGTTTTAGCGATGTTGATAAGAAATTATAATTTTGCCTTTTCAGTTGTTTTCCATTTTAGTAGATATCTTGCAATAACATCTTACAGAAAAGTCAGGAACCATGAAAGAAGGACTTACTGGTTAGTAAACTGAATATTATTGCTTTTAATTTAGTTTTTCAGTCATTTCAAAAAGATACACAACATCATTTGTAATAAATTTTGAACTGCAGATATATCTCTAGCAGAATAGGATGTATTCTGTTTCCCAGGTGAATGTAAGTTGCTTGAGGTGTTTTTTTTGTTGTTGTTATTTATAGTATTTTTCCTTAATATTATTTTGTTTTAATTTTTAATCATGGTAAAATAAATGTAACATAAAATTTATAATCTTAACCATTTTCAGTAGTGTTAATTATGTTCACACTGTTGTACATTCATTCTCCAAAACTCTTTTCTTCTTGCAAAACAAACTCTATACCCATTAAACAACTCTCTGTTTCCCCATTCTACTTTATGGATTTGACATCCATAGGTACCTCATACAAGAGGAATCATACACTAATTGCCTTTTTGTGACAGGCTTATTTCGCATATCATGATGTCCTCATTGTTTATCTATATTGTATTATGTGTCAGAATGTCCTTTTTTTGGCTGGGTGTGGTGGCTCACACATGTAATCTCAGCACTTTGGGAAGCTGAGGCAGGCGGTTTGCTTGAGCCCAGGAGTTCGAGACCAGCCTTGACAACATGGTGAAACCCTGTCTTCTATAAATGTGTGTGTGTGTGTGTGAGTATGTGTGTATAGATATAGATAGATATAATTTCCACTTTTTAAAGGCTTAATAATATTCCATTGTATATACATACCACATTTTGCTTCTCCATTCATCTGCTGGAGTTGCTTCCACCTTTTGGCTATTGTGAATAATGCTGCCATGAACAGGGGTGTATTAGCATTCTCCAGAGAAACAGAACCATCATGGTGGTGGTGGTAGTGTGTGTGTGTGTTTGTGTAGAGAGAGATTTATTTTAATGAATTGGCTTTCCTGGTTTTGGCAGCTCTTCCTTGAGTCTGCAGCCTACCTCATCAGACCCTGGACTCACCAAGCCAGGGTGATGGGATGGGCTGTTGACTCAAGGAAGAGTTGCAGTTGAGTCCAAAGGCAGTCTGTTGCCTGAATTCTTTCTTGCTCAAGGGAGGTCAGTCTTTTTCTGTAAGACCTTCAACTGAGTAGATGAGGCCCACCTACATTGTGGATGGTAATCTGCTGTACTCAGAATCCACCAATTTAAATGTTAACCTCAGCCAAAAAACATATATATAGAAGCATCCAGAAGAATATTTGAACAAATATCTGGGTATTCTGGCCCAGTTGAATTGACATGTAAATGTTGAAATGGGTGTACACCCTGTTTTCAGTTATTTGGGGTATTTACCCAGAAATGCATATTCCTATCATAAGATAATTTTATTTTTATTTTCTTGAGGAATGGCCATACTGTTTTCCGTAGTAGCTGTACCACTTTACATTCCCACCAACAGTGCACAAAGGTTTCTGTTTTTCAGATCTTCACCAATATTTATTATTTTCTGTTCTTCATACTAGCCATCCTAATGCATGTGGGATGTAATCACTAATGAATAGTGCTCTGCATCTTTTCATGTGCTTGTTTATCATCCTTGAAGAAATGTCTATTCAAGTCCTTTGCCCATTTTTGAATTGGGTTTGGGTATTTTTGTTGATGAGTTGTAGGGTTTAATTTGTTCTTTTTGTTGAGACAGAGTCTCGTTCTGTCACCTGGACTGGAATGCTGTGGCATGATCTTGGCTCACTGCAATCTCTGTCTCCCAGGCTCAAGTGATTCTCCTGCCTCAGCCTCCTGAGTAGCTGGGACTACAGGTGCCCACCACCATGCCCGACTAATTTTTGTATTTTTTGTAGAGCCAGGGTTTTGCCATGTTGGCCAGGCTGGTCTCGAACTCCTGGCCTCAAGTGATCCGCCTGCTTTGGCCTCCCAAAGTGCTGGGATTACGGGCATGAGCCACCGCACCCAGCCTAATTTATTCTTTTTTAATGGCTGCATTATGTTTAATCTGTAGATGCACTGTAATTTGTTCAGTATTCACTATCAAGTTTTCTTTTTTTCTAGTTTTTACCATTATAAACAGTACTACAGTAAGCATATGTATTTTTTTTAAGGTATGGAATAGGTACCCAAAAATGAGTTTTTGCATCAAAAGGTAGAGATTAAAAAAAAAATTGCCAGCTTACTTTTCAAAAATGTATTAGTTTAAATTTTCACTAACAGTATATGAGAGCATGCTTCTCCCCTTACATCTCCACCAGCAATAGGGCATTATAACTCTGATTTTTAGTAGTATTGTGGGTATAGAGAGATATTTTTACTTTAACTAATAATTCTCTCACACTTAGTGAGTTTATAAATCTGTTTTATCTTTGTTGACCATTTGGACTTGGTTTTCTGTAAATTGCACTGTATTTTGTTTTGCCTATCTTTTCTTCTTAACTTTTTATTTTATAAAATAATTTTATAGATATTTTATATTATAATATCTATAAATATATTAAAGATATTTTATAAAATAATTTTTATAGATATTAAACTTTTACCGTCAAACACATTGCAAAATATAACTGTATAATTCATCTTGATTTTTATGATATCTATATAAAAAATATAAATATATATCAAATATGCCCTTCTTTTTCTTAGTAGTATGTGGATTTCTTTCTCTGTTAAAAAGGCCCCTTAGCCAGGCGTAGTGGCACACATCTCTCCCAGCTGTTTGGGATTCTGTGGTGGGAGCATTACTTGAACCTGGGAGGTTGAGGCTGCAGTGAGCCATGATCATGCCACTACAGTCCAGCCTGGTCAACAGAGCAAGACCCCGTCTCAAAAAAAAAAGAAGGTCCTTTCCCACAATGTGTTGTGTGAGATAGGTGTCTATGAGATAGCTGATCTTTTATTATATAAACTAAGGTTTGGCAAACTTTCTTCAAGGGCCAGATAGTAGATATTTTCAGCTTTGTAGACAAGATGGTCTCTGTTGAAACTGTGTGATTCTGTAACATGAAAATATTTATAGACAATTTGCAAATGATAGGCTTGGCTTTGTCCCAGTAAAACTTTATTTGCAAAAATAGGCAGAGGCCACAATTTGGCCAGTGGGCCATAGTTTACTCACTTCTTACTGTCCTTTTCCCACTGGATGAATATGCCACCCCTGGTTTATAGTAAAGTAGTTTGACTTACTGGAATCTAATTCTGGATTCTTTATTCATTACATCAGTATATGTATTTTCTTATCCTAGTAGTATTTTTATTTAATTTTAGCGTTCTGATATCTGTTGGAGCAATTCATTTGTCTCCTTTTTTCATACTTTTCATGGTTATTCTCAGTTATTAATTTTCCATGACTTTTAAAATCACTTATTCAGTTCCCCATAGTGTCCTGTCTGATTAGAGATGGAAATACATTAAATTTCGATTTAAATTTTGATATAATTCACTTTCTTATGATATTAAGTCTTCCCAGACAAGAACATGATATTTCTTTTTATTCAGATTTTGTTTTATGTTCTGCATAGATTTTAAGGTTTTCTTCAAATAGACCATTTTTCTTTTTATTTCCAGGTGTTTTGTAGATTTTGTTTTTCTTTATTTTGTTTCCATTTCTAGTTATTTATGGCATTGGAAAAACAAAAATCTCATCCTATTGTGTTTTTACAAACTTTTTTTTTTCTTGCTTTATTGCATTGCTATTATAGTATTGCATTACCAAGACTGTGCTGAATAATGATGGTTCTAGTAGACTTTTCTGTGTTTGTTTTCTGGTATTAATTGATACAGTTTAAGTGTTTCATCAGTTAGAATTATAGCCTAGTCTTTATCAGATCTAAGTGATTTCCTTCTAGCGTTTCTAATTAGAAATGATACTAAGTTATTTGCTAGTTTGATGAAGTTATTGGGTTCCCCCCCTCCACTTTTTTTTATGCTTTTAAATTTGGTACCTCTGTGTTTTCATTCCATAACGTTGACCTTCCCTTTTCCTAAAGCTCATTATCAGGTTATTAAAAAATACTACCCATTTTACTCATCAAGACCCTTTATTCTTTTACCCCTATTTCAAAGATACTTATTTAGCATTTGTATTTCATATCCCAGATATTTTCTCAGTATCAAAGGTATCAATACCTGGCAGGGCTCTTGGTCGAAGTCTCTTTGTTCCCTGGTCTTCTCTCTGTCTGCCTCAGGAATAGAAAGGATTCAGCCTTTTATTCAGCTTTTTCTGTTCGTATGCCTGCTAGTTCCTCCCAGAGAGGAAAACACTGTAGAGGTTCTAGCTTTCTCCATGTACACCCTTCCCCAACCCCAGGAGCTGCTTAGCTCAGGAGAGCTGGTGTGTTAATAGGAGATGGAATTTGGAGGAAAGGGGAGAGAGGGATGGGTTAGCTCCCAGAATCCCATCCAAGTATAGTTGTTAATATGTTCTTTTTCATTTAGAGATATATGTTACAGTAATATTTGGGGTAAGCTGTCTTTAATACTTAATTCACACCCTAGTTATGGCAGTAGCATGCTAGGATACATGTTGAGAATCTGTGCTTAAAAGTATGATTTGTTCACTTGAACCCTGGGAAGTGGAGGTGGAGATTGTGGTGAGCCAAGATCATGCCACTGTACTCCAGCCTGGGCTACAGAGCAAGACTCCGTCTCTAAAAAATAAAAGTAAATAAAAGTTTTAAAAATATGATTTGTATCTCATATGTAAAGACAAGAAAGTATAGAATGGATGCTTAGTGCTTAAAAGGACTTCACTTCTGATTCAAGTAAATATAACAGTTATAAGATAAATACTGGTATGTTAAAGACAGATCACTCAGGCATCTTTTTGTAATGATAGTAATCTAAGGTCAGTCTATGAAGTTAATTTCATTTCTTCCCAGAATACTTTAAATATTGATTAAATACCCAAGAAGAAGTCTTCTTTAGTAAATGTAGAGAAGCTAAGGCTCTGTACTGTGCTTATGTCTTTATGCTCCTCACAATGCCTCTCACAAAATAGGGACTGCATAAATATATAAACTATATGAACAAACTAAGGAAATCCTAACCAACTATATAAGCAGTGATTATTTGGGGCTCGTAATATGATGTACTATAATGTTCATATCATACATTTTATGGAATTCGGGACTGGATTTTCAATTAGGCAATAATTGTTATTTTCTACTATTGCTCTAAAATTGTACAACAAAGTATTATGGGATGTAGAGTGATTTTTAAAATCTGTATTATAGCACTTTATATCTTGTAAAATACCTTTATGCTACCTTGTTTGACTTTCATAACACTTCTGTGGGGTAGACAAGGCAAGTATTATTTTTTAAGTTGGAGGTCAATGACCAGACAAAGGACAGCCAGCCGGTAAGCAATGGAACAAGGACTAAAGTACAAATCTGCCTCAAAATAGTATATACTGCATGTGCATATTATAAAGAAATATCTTTTTTGCAAGAAGATGAATATGTTTATTGAGGTTTTAGCAGTTGCATATGAGATCTTTCATGGGCATAGTTTGGTTCAGTTAATGAAGATTTCATTGGAGCATTGTGTGATTTGAATTTTAAAGGATTAAAGAAATACAGCCCAACTTTCTTTCCTCTTATTGGGTTTAGTTTTGCTTTTATTTAAAATTTTCTTTTTATGTAATGTATTTCATTGTTAACTTTCAAATTATATTTTAAAATTAGTTGGAATCTTAATTATTTAAAAAATTAAATTTGCCTGATTTACCAAAGTAGAACAGTAGGGCTATTTCAGGTACAGTGGATGTGGAGTGGAACATAAAGATATGTTAATAATTTGAGAATTCTTCAAACCAGAGGCTCAAGAATTAGTTTTCTTAGATTTGTGGGTCTAAAAATTAATATATGTTTATATGTGTGTATAGATGTACATGCATGTAGATGTATGTGCATGCATACACATTAACATATTTATTGAGTTCATGCTTTGGGCAAGCACAGTTCTATGTGCTAGTGATACTCATTAGTGAAATAAGCACTGTGTTTGCTTTCATGGGGCATATAATAATAGACTAAGCAAACCAGACATACACAGAGTAAAACAACTTATACAAAAAATGTCTCCACTGTGTTTAATTTTTCATTCCAAGACTGTAGTTTATTCACTTGAGGGAAATAGGCTTACTACCTGAAACTCAGGAAAGCACCTTTAGTTACAAATTTAAGTTAACTATTTCACAAAAGATATAGGAATGGCTAATAAGCACATGAAAAGATACACGATATTGTTACTCATCAGGAAAATGAAAATAACAGTGAGATACTACTTCACGTTCCCTAGATTGGATAAATTAAAAAGGTTGACAGTACTAAAAAGATTAACAAAGTAGTAAAAAGGCTGTGGAGCAAATATAACTCTCATACATTATTAGTAGGAGTGTAAAATGGTACAAATCACTTTAGACAAGAGTTTACCAGTTTCTTTCAAAATTCAACATATGCTTACTTTCTGATCCAACAGTTCTAACAGCTCCACTCAAGAAAAATGAAAATATATGTCCGAGAAAACATTGTACAGAAGTGTTCATAGCAGAATTATTCATAATATCCATCATAATAGCTCAGATATCTGTCAACAGGTAAATGAATAAACAATTGCATTATATTCCTAAAACAGCATACTATTCAGGATTAAAAGGAATAATACATGCAATAATATGGATAAATGTCACAGAACATTACATTGAGTAAAAAGAACCAATACAAAGAGAACATACTCTATGATTCTGTTTTTAAGAAGTTCTAGAACAGACAAAACTAATATGTAGTGACAAAAAAATGATTCTTCTGAGGCCAAGGTCTGGGCCAGGTCAGGAGGGTGTAGTAGAGATGGACCCAACCAGTAAGGGACAAGAAGGAACTTTTAGGGCATGATGGAAATGCCCAATATCTTGTTGAAGGGGTCCTCTTGAAACTGTAACACTGTTACAGTTTGAACTGTATACTTAAAATGTATTCCTTTTATTGTATTAATTTATTCTTCAATTAAGCTATTTTTTTTTTGCAGTTGCAATATTTAATAGAGTGAAGACAGAGAGAGCTCCCATACAAAGGGAGGGGACCCAAAGAAGGTAGCCGTTGCCGGCTTGAATGCCTGGGTTTATATCCCGATCATTGTCCTTCCCGCTGTGCTCTCAGGCGATAGATGATTGGCTATTTTTTTACCTCCTGTTTTTGTCTAATTAGCATTTTAGTGAGCTCTCTTTACTACCTGATTGGTCGGGTGTGAGCTAAGTTGCAAGCCCAGTGTTTAAAGGTGGATGTGGTCACCTTCCCAGCTAGGCTTTGGGATTCTTAGTCGGCCTAGGAAATCCAGCTAATCCTGTCTCTCAGTCCCCCCACTCAACAGGAAAACCCAAGTGCTGTTGGGGAGGTTGGCTGACGACCAGTCTAACTGCTTCCTGCGGAATTGGGGCATAGTAGGGGTTGTGCAGTTGAGATTTCCTCGGGAGGGGTGCGTTCGATATCATTACAATTGGAGCATGGGCTAGTAGGCCGGTCCAGGGGTCCACGGTAGATCTTAGTCATGGACTTCATCTGGGGTTCCATTTGAAGAACGATTTGTAGCTTTACAACTTTGATTCTGGAAGAGACAAACTTAACAAGGAGGTTAAAGATACAGGGTCCAAAGAGGAGTATCAATATTAGAGCTGCTAGAGATCCTAAGAAGGGGAGAATCCAGGGCATCCATTGGCTGAGGAGGCCCCAGGGTCTGGTGTTTTTGAAGCTCCTCTGTTCTACGTTGTATTCAATCTCGAATTTCTTCAACTTTCTCTGTGACAATTCAGGATTGATTAACATAATAACAACATTCTTCCGCTAAAATAACATAATAACAACATTCTTCCCCTAAAAATAAACAGCTTCCCCCTCTTTCAGAGGTTAGCAAGTCTAAAGCTCTTCAATTTTGAAGGACTACTGATGCTAGGAAGTTAAGTTGATCTTGCAAGGTGACCAGGGAGTCGGCAACCCATTCCATGTCACCATTGAGTTCTTGAGATAGTTTGTAGTAGAACTGAGTAGAGGTTGTGGTACCGCCAATGCCAGAACCTAGTCCACCTAGCACTCCTGCTCCGATAACAAAAGGAAGAATGAGTACTCTTTTGTTGTGGGGCTTAGGTACAACATAATTGTATAAATCTTGTTCAGTGTAAATGGTCATGGGGGCACTAAGAATGAGAGGAAGCACATAGATTCTGAAGAGCCATTCAAACAACGATAGGCTAAGGTACCACAGACAAAAAATATTCCTGAGGGTAGGCAGACTATTCGTGTGGGAGGAGTTACCCACCTGATGCATTGGGAGTTGGTTGTGTCTACAGTATTGCTAAATTTTACACAGGTGAGGTTTGAGGTATGGGTTATTTCCAGATTGGAAACAAGAGGTCCTACTAAAACGGAAGTGGTGTTTATTTCTGTGCTGTAGTTGTTCCATTGTTCAGGTACAGGGATTGAAATGCATGGCCTGAAATACAGGGGGAGGCACATCCAACAGTTAGTAGGGTTTTGGGCCGAGACCTCATGGAGCCCAGTGAGGGTGGTATTAAATAGGCTTACCAGGCAAGTATGGGTATGGAGGGTTTCATGTAGTTTTAAGAGATCTAGTCCTTTGTAGGGGCTAGGGGTGCTATGTACCCGGGTCAGTTGGGAGGTTACTTCCTTTACATGTTTTTCTCTTGCCTGATCTTGAACTCCACCCCCCTCAGACATACCAGTATGGGTGAAGTAAGTCCGACAGACAGTGGCTCCAAGTCTTCCAGGACAACTAGGATTAATCATTTTCCCTGTCCAATAATGAGTATTTGCATGCATGCAAAGAGTGGCAGAGTTATAGCAGTTGTGGGGCATATGGGTGTGGGCAGTGAAGGTGGAGTTTCCTTTAGGTAAACTCCTATTTGATGGGGCATCAATATTTCTGGGAAGCCGCATTCTTCATAGAAACTCTTGGTAAGGGGAGCTGCTGGTTGTACAGCAGCATGGAGGGGGTGCAGTGAGAGTGAAAGGGGGTAAGAGAACAGTAAAGAGAAAAATATGATAAGGGAGGGCCATGGGGATTTACGATTTTAGTTACTTTCCTCACGGTTGTCTGACAGCCACAAGTCTCCTTTAGCAGTGAGTATGCCGTTCACGTTATGAGATGTCTACACAGATCTCTTCCTTGTATTATTTTAACTGCTTCAGATACTAAGACTGCTACTGCCGCCACTACCCATAAACAATGAGGCCAACCCTTTGCCACTACATCAATTTCCTTACTCAGGTATGCCATGGGTTGCAAGCTCATCGACCTGTGTAAGGACTCCTAGAGCTATTTCTGTTTTTTTCTGTGACATGTAAAGAAAAGTCTTGCCCCGTTGGCAAGCTAAACACTGGGGCTTGGGTTAGGGCCTTCTTTAGGGCCTGGAAAGCCGCTTCTGCTTCAGGTGTCCATCTTACTAAATGGGTATTGGCTTTCTGAGTTTCCTTAATTAGTGTATATAATGGTCTGGCTATTTCGCCGTACCTGGGAATCCATATTTGGCAGAAACCTGTTATGTCAAGGAATCCTCTTAGTTGCTTTAGGGTTTTGGGATGAGGATAAGCCAGAATAGGCACTGAGGGCCCTGGTGCCTTTGGATAATTTTAGCCCTAAGTATTTAACCTGCTGTGAGCAGAGCTGAGCCTTTGGTTTGGAAACCTTGTAGCCACAGGTAGCGAGAAAATTTAAGAGCACTTGGGTGACTTGATGGCACAAGGTTTCTGAACTGGCGGCTAAAAGTAAAAATCATCCACATACCAAAGGACAAGAGTGCCCAGGTATGAGAACCGGCTCAAGTCTTGGGCTAATGCCTGGCCAAATAGATGGGGGCTATCCCTGAACCCTTGGGGTGAAACAGTCCAGGTGAGTTGAGACATTGGGTTTGAAGGATCTTCAAAGGCAAATAAGAATTGAGAGTCAGGATGTACAGGGATGCAGAAAAAGGCATCCTTAAGGTCCAGGTCTGTAAACCACTCTGCTTCCTCTGGTATTTGGGAAAGCAGAATATAAGGGTTAGGTACAGCTAGGTATAGAGGGACAGTGACCTCATTGATAATCCTGAGATCTTGCACTAACCTCCACTGTCCACTGGGTTTCTGTACTCCTAAAGTTGGATTATTGTAGGGGCTATTGCATGCTTTTACTAGGCCTTGGGCTTTTAGGTCCTTAATCTTTTGGAGTCCTTGTTGAGCCTCGGGTCTAAGGGGGTACTGCCTTTGGTGGGGAAAGGAGGCAGAATCCTTTAGTTTAACTTGAACAGGACGGGCATTCTTTGCTCGTCCATATTGTCCTTCTGTTGCCCAGTCTTCAAGATTAATTCCTTCCTCAAGCAGGGGACAACAAACGGGTGTTCTCCTATGTTCAGGTGTATAATGGCCCCTGCTTTTGCTAGAATGTCTCTCCCTAACAAGGGAGTTGGGCTTTCAGGCATAATTAGAAAAGCATGTGAAAAGAGTGAAGTTCCCCAGTCACAACTTAGTGGCTGGGAGAAGTATCTAGTGACTGGCTGTCCTAGGACCCCTTGGATAGTGACAGCTCTGGAGGACCGTTGTCTGGGACAGGAAAATAAGACTGAGAAGGCCACACCAGTGTCCAGGAGACAGTTAGCCTCCTGGCCGTCAATGGTCAAGCATACCCAGGGCTCTGTGAGGGTGATGGCATGGGCTGGTGCTTGCCCCGGGCACTCTCAGTCCTGCTGCTGGATCATCTGGTTAGTGGCTTCTGACTCAGAGGACCTACGTCCCCTGGGGCAGTGGGCCTTACAGTGATTCCCTTGACACGAGGTGCATGGACGAGGGGGCGGCTTATTTCTATTTGGACAATCTTTTTTAAAGTGTCCTTGTAGACCGCACTGGAAGCAAACCCTATTAGGCATTTGATTTGCCTAGCTTTTCCCTTTTCCAGTGCCTCCAAAGTCCGCTTGCCTGAGGGCCATGACTAAAGCGGTGGCCTTTTTTTTATCCCATTTGTCCCATTCTGCCTGCTCATCCTGATCTCTATTATAAAAAACTGAGGTTGCCAAGTTCAATAGGGTTTCTAAGTTTTGTTCCGGGCCTAAGGCAGACTTTTGAAGTTTTTTCCTAATGTCTGTAGCTGACTGAGTGATAAACTTATCCTTTAAGATTAGTTGGCCTTCAGTAGAGTCAGTTGACAGAGAGAGGTATGCTTCCTCAATGCCTCCGTTAGTCACTCCAGAAAGGCGGTAGGATTTTCTTCCTTTCCCTGTGTTATAGTGGACATCATTGAATAACTCACAGGCTTCTTTCTAGTTTTCCTTAGTCCTTCTAGCACGCAAGTTAGCAAATGTCTGCGGCACCAATCTCCATGTTCTGATTCTGTGTCCCAGTGAGGGTCTACACTGGGAACTGCCTGCTGGCCTGTGGGGAATCGTTCTCTTTCCTCTGTTGTCGACCTATCATTGACCTGACTGAGATACCAGAGATCGCCAAACTCTCAGGCTGCAGTTACGGCGACACTTCTGTCATTTGGGGTTAGTGTCTGATTTAGCAGTAACATTATATCTCTCCATATCAGATCAAAGGATTGTCCTAAACCTTGTAAAACATCAATATAGCCATTAGGGTTATCTGAGAATTTACCTAGGTCTATTTTAATTTAAAGTCTGAGAGAGAAAAAGGTACGTGCACTCTGGCTGGGCCGAATTCTCCTCCCACCGCTTGGAGGGGGCATAATCGGGGAATATTGGCATTCTTTGGTTAGTTGTTTACCCCTTTGTCTATCTCCTTTTGGACCGTTTGGGTTGAAGGGGGGTCCTTATTATTTGGGGAAGGAGTCTGGGGGATGCTGGGGTAGGGAGGTAGACTCTGAGGGCTTCCTGTAGGGCATAAATCACACTTTTTACATAATTGCGAGTTGTCTCTTAATGAAAAGAAAGTTTGTACGTATGACACTTCACACCATTTGCCTTCTTTTCTACAAAAGAGGTCTAGCTGTAAGATGGTGTTATAATTTATGCTTCCCTCAGGATGCCAGGTTTCTCCCCCTTAAAGAGTATATCGTTGCCAGGCGGTACTGCAGAAGAATATGTCTTTTTTTTCTTAGCATCTGAGAGTCAAATTGGTCCCAATTCTCCAGAATACATCTTAGGGGTGTTTTTGCCTTGAGGGGAACGTTTCCTATCTGAAAAAAGAACATAGGGATGCCAGCACCACTAGTCATTTTCCGATGAGCATTAGTCCTAGAGCGTCCTCTATGGTCCTAATGCTTATTCCTTTCCGGGGTGTGTAACCACCCATGGACCTCTGCTTATCGGATTAGTTATGCTCACTGATGTAGCAGCCCTCACCCCTTTTCCCGCCTTTCTTGATCACAAAGAAAGGGGTCCGGGCTGCTGGATTCTAGTGGTCCTTTACCAGCGTGCCCAACATTGCCTTTGTGCTCAGGGGTGAGTCCTAGAGCTAGGCTGAGTTCCTGAGTATTTCATAACAACCCAGCTGCTCCATCAAGATGCATTCCCATAAACAACAGTTCTTAGGCAAATTCGTTTCAGAGAGGGTATAAGTAAGCTTTTGAGTCAGGATTGAGATAGTCTTTTTGATTCGGTAAGTACGTTAAGGCTTGGCTGAGTGCAAACAGCTCTGACATTTGAGGAGACCAATTATTAGGCAATTTTTCTAACTCTGCTTCCACAAGAGTCTCCCTATCAATTACTGAATACCCATTGTGGTTTTTTCCTCAGTCATTTGGGAGGAACCATCTATCATCCTGTCCTGAAGGGAGTTCCTCCTAGGTCTGGTCGGACCTTTGTATGGTAATTAAGATTTAAATCCCCTGTAAGGAAATCTGCAGGGTTAAGGGAATTATCAGTGGTTAGTGTTAAATTACCTTTTTCTGACAGAATAGCCCCATACTTTAATATTTTTGAGTTAATAAGCTACCTTTTTGCTTTTTTGACTTAGAATAATTCTGAACCGGTGAGGTGTGCTCACAATGAGGTTTCCTCTAAAAGTTACTTTTCTACTTTTTTCTGTTAGCAAAGCAGTTGCCGCTACAGATTGAATGCATTTGGGCCATCCGCAGGTCACTGGATGTTAAGGATTTTTGATAGGAAGGCTATGGGTTGTCAGTGGTCTTAGTGTTTTCAGGCTACGCCCTTGTTTACGCTGACAACAAGGTAGTATTGGAGTGTTATAGGGTCGCGGAGAAGACCTTCAATTATCAATTATAGGTTTTACATTTACCCTGGCTTTTAAAGGAATAGGGCACACTGTTTTTTTTTACTATTTCTATCTTTGTCTTTCTTTCTCTGACTCCCTGTTTGTCTCTCTGCCTCTTTCTCCTCTTTGTCTCTCTCCCTCTCCTCTCTGTCTCTCTCCCTGTCCTCCCTGTCTCTCTCTCTCTCCTCTCTGTCTCTCTCTCTCTCTGTCTCTGTCTGTCTCTCACTGTCTCTTTCTCTCTGTCTCTCTCTGTTTCCTCTCTTAGCCATTTACAAACTTGGGGCCCTGGCAAGGGTGGTGGGGAACAGGTCCCACATAACTGCCCATGTCTAGAGCTGTATACCTAAATCAGGAGGGACACCAGGGACAAGACTCCCTGGGTTTATAGCCTAGATGCCTAAGGGCGCAGCATAGAGCTTCCTTAGATCCCTTTGGAGATACAACTTGCTAGAGGAAATGAAAGTCTCAACCATTAGTACCTAGGAGGCAGGGATCAGAGGAAGTAGATTCAGAGGTAAGGAGAATTTTGGGGCTACACTTTCAAGAAAGTCGTGGTTGGGACCCAGGAGGTGTGGGACAGAAGGGAAGGTAGGAGCGCACGCATGGGCGACTGTTGAGTAGAGACTTCTGGCTGCGACATGATCTCAACCGGCTAATGCCGGGAGTTCGGGACGACAGCTTTCTGCCTCTAGTCAGCCCTTGGCTTCCCCAGGAAAATTGAAAGTGGAAGCTGGCTCCAGGCAGACCAAGGTTCCCAACCCAGAAGGGTTGAGGGTTGTTAGAAAGCCCTTCCCCAGATAGCCTCATACCTGAGTCTAAAGTCTGGCGGCCATGCTAATCGTTTTTAACCGGCCGACAGGTGCCCAGTATTTTCCTCCAATTCTAAGGGATAGGCCAGAGTAGCAAGCAAAAGTGGTCCAATATTACCGCTTTGGAGATCCCTTCATGGTTGCGGGTTCAGGTCCCTTTGTGGTCGCCAAATTGTTACCAGGGGGTCCTTGCTCCCAGAACTCCGAAGATGGTGGCGGGCTGCTTCTAAGATGATGGCAAGCCTCGTGTTCTCTGACCTGGGGTTCTTGGCCTCATGGATTCCAATAAATGGAATCTTGGGCCACGCGGTGAGTGTTATAGCTCTATTAGAAGCCACGGGTCACAGAAGAGAACCGTGGAACCCAGTGACTAGTGTTCAGCTCAATTAGGATGAACCCGGGCACTTAGCCGCGTAGGAACAATGGCAAGTCTTTAGCCCAGTCGGGATCGGCAATGGGCGTCTCACTGGATCAGGAGCACAACGGACACCCTGCTAGATCCAGAGGGATGGAAGTCAGTGGCAGGCCTGCGATGGCGGCAAACAGCAGTGGTGGATGGAGAGTGAAAGCTCAGCTCGAGCCGTAACAAACACGGACCAGAAGAGTGCAGTTGCAAGATTTAATAGAGTGAAAACAGAGCTCCCATACAAAGGGAGGGGACCCAAAGAGGGTAGCCCAATAAAGCTATTTTCTAATAACCAAATAGTTTATGGACTGGTGAAACTCCTGAAAGTTTTTTGTGGGATAATTGCACCCAAGCTGTAAAATAATCAGTTTAAGCCCCTCCTTGTTAGATTAGGTTCTTACGATATGCTTAGGTTCTGAGTTGTTTTATTTCCCTGTTTGTTTTACCTTAAGCTTTTTTACAATTCATTGCTGCCTGGTTTGAGTTGGTTCCTTATTCCTTCTCCTTCAAGTTGAATTACAACTAGTAATTGCTTGCCTAACTTTACCTGATAAGATTTTATATCCTGTTCTGTATTCTGTATTTCAGTCATCAGTTTGTGCTCATAGCTTGACAATAACCAGAACAGTGCAAGAACAGTTACAGTATTATGTGTAGTTATCAAACAAGGCTGTCTTAATTTTCTTACATTCCTAAATACTAAATTATTTTCTATGGTATTGATCTACAGTCTTAAGCACCTTCAGAGCTTCAAGGTACTGATCATTTCTTGAAGTGCAGTTTTTCTGCATGTAGTTTTTGGTTGACATTTTTTCTTTATAGAGACAGGGTCTCCACTGCAAGAGTGCAGTGGCACAGTCATAGCTCACTGCAGCCTCCAACTCCTGGGCTCAAGCGATCTTTCCACCTTAGCCGCCTGAGTAGCTGGGACTACAGGTCCACACCACCACATTCAGCCAATCTTTTTATTCTTTGTAGAGACAGAGCCTCTTTCTGCTGCCCAGGCTGGTCTTCAACTCCTTGCCTCAAGTGATCCTCCCACCTTGGCCACCCAAAATACTGAGATTACAGGTGTCCACCAGCATTCCAGGTCCCAGACATTCTACTTCTTTCAGTGCTTTGATTATGTCATCTGATTGCCTATTGACAACATCATTTCTGATGAGAAATTTGTTATTAATCTGAAGATGTTTTGTACATAAGTCCCTTGCCTGTTTTGAGAGTCTCTCTTTATATTTCAGTCATTTGATTATGATGTACCTAGGTGTGGATCGCTTTGATTTTATTCTTTTTAGTTTGTTTATCTTCTTGGATGTGTAGATTAATTTTTGGGGTCAAGTTCGGGAAGTTTAGGGCCATTATTTTTTCAGATACTCTGACCCTTTTTCTGCATCTTCTTCTGGGCCTCTCATTATATGTATATTGGTATGCCTGATGGTGTCTCTTGGGTCTCTGAGCCTCCTTTCCTTCCTTCCTTCCTTCTTCCCTCTCTTTCTCGCAATTGACCTATCTTTAGATTTGCTGATTCATTCTTCTGGCTGCCCAAATCAGCTGTTGAGCCCCTCAAGTTAATTCAGTTTTTGTGCTTTTCAACTCCAGAATTTTTGTTTGGTACTTTTTTGTAACTCCTATTTATCTCTATAATTTCTATTTCTGTTTGGGAATGATACATGCAACAACATGGATAAATCTCACACAACATTGTGTTGAGTAAAAAGAGCTGATATAAAGAGAATATACTCTATGATTCTGTTTTTAAGAAGTTCTAGACCAGACAGAACTAATCTGTAGTGACAAAAAGTGGTTCTTCTGAAGGATCAGAAATATTGTTCTGATACTTTCCTGTAGTTCTTTAGATAAACTTTTTTTTAGTTCTTTGCGCATATTTAAAATAACTCTCTTAAAGTCTTTGTCCAGTAAGTCCAGCATCTGGTCTTTTTCAGGGCCAGTTTCTGCTGCTTTTTCCCCCCAGTTTGTGGCTTATACTTGTTTCTTTGCATGTCTTTGTAATTTTGTTGTTGTTGAGACCTGAATATTTTATATAGTATAACAGAATAACTCTGGAAACCAGATGCTTCCCCCCTTTCCCAAGGTCTGTTTTTGTTGTTGCTGTTGCTTGTTTAGTTTCTTTCCTGAACTAATTCTTTCAGGTTTTTATTTTTTATCACACAGGCCCCTAAAGTTACTGCTTGGTGAGTTTAGTGATCATCTGATGATTAGAAGAGATTTTCTTGAATGCCTAGAACTAGAGTATCTTCCAATCTTTGCCAGGGGCCTATGTGTGAATGTTGGGGCATTGCCTTCAATGATACGGCAAGCAATTTATAACTGGATTTTACTTTCTTCTTGTACAGAGCCTCAGGGTTTCCCATAGGTGAGAGTTTAGGGCCTTCGTAGATGTTTTTTGAGCGTGTACACAGCTCTATACATGTGTATGGCTTTCTGGATTATCAGAAATATGTTAGAACTTTTCAGACCCCCTTTGGATTTCTTATTTCCCAGGTTTTTCTTTTAATTTTTTGGTTAGCTTGTTTGTCCCATCTGTTATTGCTATCTCATGGCAGATGTGATGTTTAACAATTGCCACTGATTTTCCACAAACTCTCCTGGTGATAAAATTGTTTGCACTGAGTGAGCTCTGAGTCAAGTCAAATAATGTCCTATGAGGGAGGTTTTTCTAGGGAACTGGCAGATCAAATAATGACAGTTTTCTGAGAGTGGGGCTTTTGAAAGATTTCAGAAAAAGTTCATTTTGAGAATTTTTGTGTTCTTGTTGCTTTTATGGAGGAGAGTATATTCAGGGTCCTCACTCTGCTATTACTGATGATATCACCACTTTAATGATTCAACCTCAAGTTTGGATAAATGGATTTTGTTGAAATTTGGGGAAGAGAATAAAAACTGAGGTGTTTTTTAAAGTTTTAAAAAATGTATTCTTTCTAATTATTTATAAAATATAAAAATTTCAACTCAGTATATTGCTTAAGAACATGAGTATTGCAATAGATGATCAGTGATTGCTTTCTGTAAAAGTTACATATCCTTGATTATTTTGGAAATTTTTATCTACATAGGTTTTCCGATAACCTTGAAAAATCTGAATGAATTGAATCTTTGACATGCATCAGTATAGCATGTGGTTAAGATTGAGAGCTTTTGATTTAGGCAGTTCTGAGTTTATATTCCAGGTAACTAGGTGATTTGGCTCGTTCACCTTACATCTCTGGGCCTCCATTTTATAATCTGTAAAATAGGGTTATTGTGAAAATTAGAGGTAATACCTTTAATAAACTATTGTGCCTGGCACATAATAAATTAAATTGCACACTATAGCTGGAATTATTAGATGTTATTGACTTAAATCATTATAATTTTGCTGTGAGTTATTTTAACAGCAATGATGATGGCTTGTCATGCCTCCTGTATTCTTTTGTTTTATGACCAGTGGAACATATCTGGTGAATAGCTCACTTTTTTAATTGATGTATTTCTGTGTTTTGTTTTGTTTTGTTTGTTTGTTTTTTGAGACAAGAGTTTCGCTCTTTTTGCCCAGCCTGGAGTGCAATGGTGCGATCTCAGCTCACTGCAACCTCCGCCTCCCGGGTTCAAGCGATTCTCCTACCTCAGCCTCCTGAGTAGCTGGGATTACAGGCATGCACCACCACACCTGGCTAATTTTGTATTAGTACAGACAGGGGAGACAGGGTTTCTCCATCTTTGTCAGGCTGGTCTTGAACTCCTGACCTCAGGTGATCCGCCCACCCAGGCCTCCCAAAGTGCTGGGATTACAGGCATGAGCCACCGCACCTGGCCGTATTTCTGGTCTTAACATAGTTCTTCTCTGTGAGGTTCTAACTGGTCCCACCAATCTACTTCCATTCACTACCAAATACATAATCTACTTCTTCTGTTTCAGTGTCCAGTTTCCTCTTTCTTTACTTTTCTTCAAGTTACCAGGTCAATACTTTGGAATAACTCTTTTGATCACTTTTGTTGAGTTGCAGTTCTAATGGACCAGAACTGTCTTCATTTATTCCCTTCTTGCCATTTGCACTGATTTAGCTCATGGGTCCTTTATCTTCTAGATGAACTATTTTAGTGGTTCTTAGATTTTTCTACCTGCTTTTTCTCCCTCCATTCTGTTGAGTTTTATACTGATATTAATTTGATGTTTCCTAAAATATAGCTAGACTGCAACCAAATAACACTGCATGCTATTCCCCTAAACATCTTTGATCTTTTATTATCTGACTCTGTTAACTCCTGGGAATAGCCTTGGCTCCCAGAGTGCTTCTAAAGTTACTTCAGATGTCACCTTCCTCAAGAAGTCTTCCTTGATTTCTTCACATATGCCCCAGCCCTTCATATCATATAGATGTTCTTTCTGCGAAGTCTGTTTTTGAAACATTTCCTTCTACCTTTTGTTTTGACAAATGTAACTGTGGAATATTAGAGCCATAGAGGCTGGAAGAATTAACTAATTTAACCTCCTCATTTTGGGAATAAGACAGCTTCCCCAAAACTGACTTGTACATTGTTTAGCTTATTGTTTGATGGCAGAGCCAACAGTAGAACTTGGATCTTAGATCTTCAGCCTTGTTCTTTTTCTATAGCAAACATAATATCATAGAGGATATCATGAGCTATTTTTAAATATTTCACCATGTATGTAGTTTCTCTGTAAGCAGTAAACTATTAATTCCTCAAGGACAAGGATTGTTTCATTTCTCTCTGTATCTCTATAGATGGTTCTCAGAGACTGTTTCCTCCTATAGTGAATGCGTGAATGATAATCATCTGCTTTAGCATTAATATTGTTAATGTAAAACTTGAATCATATTTCCTACTTACACACCTTTTAAAAGAAATAGGTAAATTGAGTCCTGTAGGGGGCAGCCCAACACAGCAAGTTTTGATTGCCCTAAGCTATCTACTACGCTGAGATTGAGACTTAGGCAATTTAGGCTTAAATTGCTTCCTATGTGGATTTTTGAAAACTGAAAACAACTATTAATTATAAGCTTATTTGGCAGATATGTTTTTCCCCTTCCTCCTCCAGCTTTATTGGAATAGTTTAAAATTACATTTCTATTTTCTAGGACTTCAGTTGCTTTTTCCAGCAGATATATTTTAAAACAATTGTCATGTTATAAGAGTAGGAACTATTTGATGCAGATGATTTGCCATTTTGTTTTTAAAACATAAGATGAGAGCAAAAGTTATGTATTAGAACTTTTTTAGGAAATGCTTTATTTGTTAACTTCAAAATAACAGATCATCTGATGGCAAATTATTTGAGTTATTTATAGCTGGGGAAATTAAAATATGCAAAGTGTTATCCCAAACTACTAAAGTTATTATTAAATGAAATCAACATTTTCTCATTATGAATTTATTTACTAAGCTAGGTCATTGTTTTATTCAATATTTTTAAGATTAAAAAATATTGCTGGTAATGAAAGTAAAGTTTAGATGAATAATAATAGCAGCTAACATTTATTGCGCTTTATTGAATACCAGGTACTGTTTTAAATTATTTTACATGTATTTATTTAATCCTTATTGTCCTCTGGGTTAAATGCTGTTACTGTCCCCTTTATATACCTGAGGTAATTGAGAAAAAGATTGGTCATTGAAACTTGCTCAGGGTTACCTACCTAGTAATTAGAAGAGCCAGGATTTGAATCCAGGGAGTCCAGTCTGGCTTTATAGCCTATGCTCTTAATCATTATTACCTTTCATATATTAAGTTCATTACTTTTATTTTTTATGCCTCTTCTGTCATAACTTTTTATGATTTGAGACTGTTCTCCAGTTTTCACACACATCAGGCTTCTTATTACTCTTCCTTTTCGGTTGCTTACTGCCCTCAGTCCATTTTCTTCTAATAAAGAAAGTGCATGCACAGAAAGTAAAAACATAATGTTCTCCCCTTAATATGAAGAGATTGAAACAGCTAAAATTCTGGAATTTTACAGAAAGTTATTTTCCTAATCATCAATTAGGAAATTTTTAGTGATCACATTAAAACATGAAGTCTCAAACTTAGGAATAAAATAACTTCAATTCCCATGCTCATGCATGTAGTATATGGGGTAATTTTAGAAGCCAAAATAGTTAATACCTCATTTTGAAAGATAGATTGTGAATGATGCAGTTTTAATTATTTCACTAAAAATGAGTTTTCTTTACCTCTCTCCACAAATAAATTCTTGGTTATAATAAGACACTTTAGGCCAGACGCAGTGGCTCACGCATGTAATCCTAGCACTTTGGGAGTTTGAGACCATCCTGGCCAAACTCATGGTTTAACGTGGTGAAACCCTGTCTCTACTGAAAATACAAAAATTAGCTGGGCAGGGTGACGCACACCTGTAATCCCAGCTACTCAGGAGGCTGAGGCACAAGGATTGCTTGAACCTGGAAGGCAGACATTGCAGTAAGCCATGATTGCACCACTGCACTCCAGCCTGGGCAACAGAGCAAGACTCTGTCTCAAAAAAAAATAATAATAAGACACTCATATTTTTATTATGCTAGCCTAATATATGTAAAAATTGACCTTACTGACTTACTATTTTCTTTCTCATCCTCACCTTTTTATGATTTCATCTCTCCTTAAGATGTCTTTGGGAATATAAGTAGATATAGTAAACATAAGTTGGACCTCAAGTGATCAGTTTTGATTTTTTTTTCTTTCTTTCTTTTTTTTTTTTTTTTTGAGACAGGGTCTCACTCTGTCACCCAGGGTGGAGTGCAGTGGCACGATCTCAGCTCACTGCAGCTTTGATCTCCCAGGCCCTGGTGATTCTCCTCCCTCAGCCTCTCTAGTAGCTGGGACTACAGGCGCACACCACCAGGCGCAGCTAATTTTTGTATTTTTTATAGAGATGGGGTTTCACCATGTTGCCCAGGTTGGTCTCGAATTCCTGGGCTCAAGTGATCCGCCCATCTTGGCCTCCCAAAGTGCTGGGACTACAGGTGTTAGCCACCGTACCCGGCCTCAGTTTTGACATTTGATAAAAGTTTAGGTTAAATGTGAGATGGCTTAAAATGTTATAACTGTTGAAAATAGAGCTGTTCTATAGCTAATTATTTGATAGTATTTATATCACAAATAAAATCTTAATGTACAGCTCTTAGAAGAAAATATTACAAAATGTAAGTCTACTGCCTGGTTTATATTATTTTTTAAAGGACCTCAGATTACAGTTGATGTTAGAATTTCTTGGAAGAATTGTCAACTCTGATAATATACGCCAGAGGTAGCCTATACCTTAGAATAGTTAGAACCTTGCTGCTGCTTTAATGATTGATTTCAGTCCTCCCATTTTTCATTGGTTGACATGGGCTTTAGTTTCCTAATTTACTGCTGGCATAATACATTCTTGGTAGTTGCAAACTTCAGCTTAGTTCCTGTCCAAAGAATGTTTATTTCTTCAACTTTACTATTGGATATTGGTTTCTTTATGTCATTAGTGCATTTTACTTTCAGTCCCTTTCCATCATAGAGAATGTCGGCATCCAGAATGATGCCCCTTAGGGTGATTATTGAGTCTGCTGACAATTTCATGGTGTAAGAAAATCTGCTTAATCACTTACCTATTTCCATAGTGAAAACTACCTTCTAATTTTTTTTTCTGTTCTTCTCATAAGTGATTTTCATGTAACATGCCAGAATACACAACACCTGTCTGTTAAGAACAGAATTACTAGGCTTTGATTCTTGGTAGTGGTTCCTTCTTTTGGGTAAATATGAGAGTTGCTTTTGGTCTAATTACTCATACTTTTAAAATAACTATTTGCTAATAATTTTAAGTAGGTAATATATAGGGTTATCATTAAGGAATATTAGAAGAAAAAATCAATTTAAAAATACAAAGACTAATGTCCTATCTTTATTTCTAACCTGAGCCTGGGTAATTTTGTTTGACATTTCATATCAGGATATCATACTCATTAATGAAGTATACGCCTCAGTTCTTGTGTGTGATGCCTGTTTTTTGGTTTTATTAAATTTTCAAGGTTTTTTGGGATTTTATATTATACTTTTGCTTTGCAGTGCATGCAGATTGTTTGTAATAATTAGTGCTAAGGAGATGATATAAGTACAGTTACGTATTGTTGTGTGCATTGATTATATTGATATTACATATTGATACAGATATTGACATATGCATACTTGAAACTCCTGAAATCTTTAGGCAAGTTGCTTCTTTTGCAGATTGCTTATGGTATATTAAAATGTAATTCTCAGCTTAGAAATATAATCTAGCATAAACATTCAGTTGTATCATCTGACTTTGATATCTTGGGAGCATTTTACAGAATATGTTCTGTCTTCAACAGTATGTACTTCTCAATGGTTAGCTTTTTAAAAAAAGGCTATCAATTTAAAGGAGGGTCAATATTGGTTCAGAGAACCACTGTTATATTGCTTGGAGGGGATAAGCAGGTTGGTAGAGGTCGCTTATCAATGGAATGGTGAGTTTGATTATAATTAAACAAGATTGGATACACATTTGGAAACCGTATTTGAGTAGACCATATGTCTATCTTGGGTGTAATCTTTTCATGAAAGTCACCTGTCTGCATGTATATGTTGTGACACAATTATGTGAACAACATAAAATTATACTAGTTGTGAAATAATGTGAATCCTGAATTCACTGAGTGATTTATATATAGCCATCTGTCGATACCTCTGGGTGATTAGTTCCAGGACCTCCCTGGGTTACCAAATTCTACTGATGTTTGAGAGTCTGATATAAAATGGTGTAGTATTTGCATATAACCTATGCATACCCTCTTGTATACTTTAAATTATCTGTAGATTACTTATAATATTTCATACACATGTACACACTGTGAAAATAGTTGTTATACTGTAGTTAGGGAATGATAACAAGAAAAAAAGCCTGTACATGTTTGGTACAAAAACATTTTCGACCCATGGTTAGTTGAATCTGCAGATGCAGAACCCCTGGATAGGGAGGGCTGACTGTGTTAGATGTGTGGCTGAGTTAATGTGCATGAAATTTGGAATAGCCAAACTAATGTATGTTATACTTATTTTTGAACTTCATTTAACCATGTTTTACATCATATTGAACTTTATAACATTTGCAAATAGAAATGACATGAAATATAGAAAATTGACGTATGTTAAGAAACAGCTTGTTTTCAGAGCTGAAGACCCGGAAATCCAATGTAGTACTTACTCTTAACATTTTGTCTAAATTTTCCAAGCATAGATAAGAGGAACATAGATTATTTCATAGTTATAAAACAAAAGAATTTATTCTGCTCGTTTAAAATTTGAAAGAAATAATATATTTCAATAGGCCTTTCTGTCCTTGTGTTCTTTCCTCCTTTTCTCTTTTCTTTCCTTCTTCCTTTTTTTCTTTACATTTTTCTCCCACTTTTCCTCCCTCATAGAATCCTTCCTTTTCTTTGCTTCAGTAATCTAAAAAGTATTTTTACTACATAGTAGAGCATTTCCTATTTTAATTTAAGTTTTGAAGTTTTCTTTTAAAAGCAAAGCTTTGCTAAAGGGAAAATACCTGTATTAACTTACATTTAAAGTTTTTTTCATTATGCCAAAGGTAATTATCTGTTACTTCTAAGAAGTAAGTCATATTCTGACTCTGCATACATGTTTAAAGTAACTTAGAATCAGCTTGGGACAATTCTGACGTCTGCTTATGTATTGCAGCATTCATACTCTTCACTAGGTGTTCATTTTAGCTGCGGATGCTTCATATAAAACAGGGTAGAGTGGCTTTCAAAGGATCTACACATCAAAGTGTAACTTGAACTCTGATTTTTACACTGCTTGAGGAATGCTTAATGGAGTAGAACTAACAAATTTACTTTTGGCCCAACCATTATTAGAGTTTTTAGTCCTTTTTACCTACATGCCTTTCTAAGCCATATCACATACAATTGAATAGTTTTGTTGCTTTAGAGTGTTTTTAAAATGTTCACGTTAAATATTGTGATTCATTTTTCCTTTAGTAAGGAAGATTTCATTTAACTATGATTTCTGGGGAATGAGGCTGCTGCTTTTGGAGCCTTAAATAAAATTATTTGAATAAAACACCATATTTTAAGTTAGAACACCACACTCTTGCACTCTTTTCTATAGTTTGGTTGATAGTTATTCATGAGGCCATGTTTATCATCTTTTAAGACCTGGTTCTGAAGAGGGATTTAAAATAAGTACAGTGATTATAGCTTGTAACTACAGTATACCCTCTTTTGCTAGTGAATTCTTTGACACAGAATGCTCCTTACTCAACCCCTTACCAAAGTCTCTTTTGCATTTCTCAGATGGATAAATTGTCACCTAAATTATACAAGAAGCACATTAATATTTGATGTATACTATTTTCTTAGAACCCTGTTTAATAATCATAAGTTAAGCCTGCTATATATTAAAATGTTTATACTATTTTAAAACTTCCATTGTGGAAAATAAGCATATAATTTGACTTGATGAATTGGTGGTATTATTATTATCTCAATCTGAAATACTGTTGGGATGTATCAGCCTACTTTGGATTCAATAGACCATTCTCTCTTCAGATATTGTATTCCAAAATTTTGAATTTTTTTGTGGAAATAGGTACTTACATTGTAAATAATAGTTAAGTTCCTAGGACAAGCCATATAAGTAATAGTGAAATAGAACTATAAACTCTGACCTGGATTTATAACATTGTTCTTTTGTAATGCCAGATTCTAATTCAGAAATCTATAAAAGGAAGAGTTCCCTTACTATGGCGTTTCTCTTCCCCATTCAGGTCACAGCAGTGTGGGTGGGAATCCAGAGGTTCCAAGCTAGTGAGGAAGAAAGTGAAGATGAGGAGTTCTTGGCTACCCTAACTGGTGGCGAGCGTTCTGGAAAAGCTCGCAAACAGTGGACGCAGTGAGTCCACAATGTGGGTAGCAATTTGTTAGTAAGGACATTTTTAATGGTCCCATATTTGATACTTTTATTTCATATTACTCCTTATAATGAAATTATGTATTTTAGTAAACCTTTTTAAACTAGCATATTGTAATTTCAAAACTTTTCAGCTTCATTTTCAGTATCAGAACATGAATATTAAATGAGTTTTGGTGAACAGTTAAGACAAAGTTATTTAAATTCCTACAGGTAACTTAAAATCACCATGATGCTATACAATTTTTAAGAAAAAAACTTGTAATTTTTCTGAATTGATAAGGTAGAAATGTATCTCTGATCTTTGTTGTTTTGGGGTTCTTGACTTTAATTTTTTTAAAATTTGTTTTTATGAAATATAATTTTTTTAAAAAACCCACAAAATGCATAAAACAAACATAAGGTATGATGCATAGGTATAAATCAAATACTGATGAAGTTAGCCATCATCCCAGAATGATTTCCCCTGCCACCCATATGATAACTTTTTTTTTTTTAATAACAGCTTACTTGAAGTATAATCTCAATACTACAGAGGTCACCCTTTTATTTATTTATTTGTTTATTTATTTAGAGACATGGTCTGTGTTGCCCAGGCTGGTGTGTATGGTGGCTATTTACAGGTATGATCATAGTGCAGTACAGCCTGGAACTCCTGGCTCAAGTGATCCTCTTGCCTCAGCTTCCCAAGTAGCTAGGACTATAGCCACTATGCTCAGCAAAGGTCACCTTTTAAAGCATGCTATTCATTGGTTTTAGGAGTCACTGAATTCTAAGTTACACAGAGTTGTGCAACCATTCCCGTGATAAAATTTCAGAACATTTTCATCACCCTAAAAAGAAACCCCATGCCCATTGGCAGTCACTTATATCATTCCCCCTCCCTCCAGCCCTTGGCAACTACTAATTTATTTCTCCCTTCTGGACATTTTATGTAATTAGCATCATGTAATATATGGCCTTTTGTGTCTGGTTTCTTTTGCTTGCATATTGTTTTTAAGGTTCATTCATTTTGTAGCATGTATCAATACATCATTCTTTTTATGGCCCAGTAATAGTTGTATGAAGATACCACATTTTGTTTATCAATTCACCAATTGATAGACATGTGGATTGTCTCCACTTTTTGGCTATTATGAATAAAAGCTGCAGTTAATATTTATGTACAAATGTTTTGGTGAACATATATTTTCATTTCTCTTGGGTAGATACTTAGGAGTAGAATTGCTGGGTTGCATGGTAATTCCACGTTTAAACCTTTGGGGTATTGTCAGACTGTTTTCCAAAGCATCTGCACCATTTTACATTTCTACCATCAGTGTATGAGGAGGGTTCCAATTTGTCCACATCCTTGCCAACGCTTATTTTCTATAGTTTTAATTACAGCAGTCTTAGTGGGTATGAAGGAGTATATCATTTTGGTTTTTGCTCTTTCCTAATGACCAGTGATGCTAAACATCTTTTCATGCATTTAACTAGCCATTCGTATTTCTTAGGAGAATTGTCTTCAGATCCTTTGCTCATTTTAAAATTGACTTCTTTAACTTTTTATTTATAAGTTTTACAAATTCTTTACATATTCTGAATAGTGGTCTCTTATCAGATATGGTTTGCAAATATTTTGTCCCATTCTGTGGGATTTATTTTCTTGATGATGTCATTTGAAGAACAAAAGTTTTTAACTTTGATGAAGTCCAGTTTGTCTGTTTTTTTCTTTGGTTGCTTGTATTTTTAGGTTGCCGTATGTAAGAAACCATTTCCTAATCCAAGGTCACGAAGGTTTCCTCTTATATTTTTTTTAAAGAATTTTATAGTTTTACTATGTTACCTTTTTAATATATTTTTAATAGTATTCAAGTGCTATGTTTTTAAAATTTGTTGATCAGATTACGTAAGTGGTGAAATCTGTAAAATATTTATCACTTGCCTTTATTTGCTACTTCTAAAAATTTCAAAAGAATTTTTATGAAATTTCCCTTTGATGTTACTTTAGTAGAATAAATTTTTAAAAATTATTTGTGTTAGAAACAAAATAATAAATATTCCCATGTTATAAACTTTAGCGTTCACCACAGAACCCATAGACCATTCCTTGAGGGGTGAGGGTAGGTGAGACTGTTTGAAGAGCTCCACTAGCTCCTAGCCCAGGTTTAGAATCACTTTTCCCTGGGTTAGACACTTAACTGGGCATCAAGAGAACAGAATTTCACTTTTGAGGTCAGCACAGCTGCTTTTACTCAGACATTTCTTCTTGCTATTTTGATTTCTTTGTTTATACTAATTAAAAGTGTTTCTTAATTATTTTATGTAAGTACACCAAAAGGATAAAACATGTTCATATGCAGAAGTGCCCTTTGATTCTTCAGAGGAAAATAGTTTATTAATTACATTCTTTTTGTATTAGTCTTTTTAGTGTGGCTTTGGGTAGAATTAGCAAAGATATTTTAAAGCTATTATATATAATGAAATTTAAACTATACTTCCCTTGGTATGATTTTTCAGATCTTTTGGGAGAAAATTTTAGAGAATTTACCTAATTATTACTAAGAATATCAATCCTAGCACTTTTATATGAAGCTTCTTTTTTGGCTAGTCTACTGATAAGTTCATATAAAAATTTAAAAGCAATACCATTTGTTCTGTAAATGGGCTTATAACAAGCATCAAATTGATCTCGATCCCAAGAAAGGGAAGTATTACTTCTCTGTACCACACGTTATTCAGTCAAAGGATACGAAGAGGAAACAAAGTGTTGCGCTTATTTGAAGAAAATTTGCCTCAAGTGTTTGTATGACAAAGTACATTTGGCACTGTCTAGACAGAATTATAATAAGTATAACAATTTAAATAAGACAAAACATAAACTCCAAACCAGATTGTGGATATAATTCTGATGGATGCTTTTATTTAATCATAGTATCAATTAAGAAACTTCTCCTTTGGAGATTAAGTGTCCCTGACTATAATAATGACAGCTTTTCAAATGTTAATTATTATTTTTTAGTGTTGTCAAGACTATTAAAAGTGGGCTTCAGACTCTCAACATAAGTACAGAAAGTGCTTATTTTCAACTCTCCTATTTCTCTACATAAAGGATAAAAGTAGTCTGATAAGTGCTACAGACTCCCACCCACTCCCCTCTCTGTTCCCCCTCTTTCTACCACCAAAAGACTGTTTACTGTAAAGCTCTAAAAGCATTCATTTGGAAATGGTCTGTTCTTTTTATTTAATGAGGTATTGTATATTGTGTACATTCTTAAGCTAATTTTAATGAATCTTCTTTTGAAAACCATGTGATGTAAAATTTGATATGCATGAATATATCTTAAGCCAAATATGCATGGGACAGTTGAAGCAGATATCATGTGTCATTGTTGGTAAAGTCTGGCAGCATATCCTGTGTAAACCCCTGTTTTCTTTTTCTTTGTGCCACATAATATTTATTCTCATTAACAAGACTTCAAAGGAAACTGAAGTTAGAATACCAGTTATTTTTTATTCTCTCTTAATGGGTTCTGTAACAACTAAATACTGTTACCTTTCTTGGTTCTACGTTTCACAATGGTTCAAGAGAGGAATGAAAAGAACTAGTCATTGTTAAGCACTTGTTACATTAGATATTTCATATATCTCATTTAATTATCACATCAATTGTTCAAAGATAAGTTTTCCTCATTTTTCAGATTCAGAAACAGTACTCCCAAAGGTTGATGTAATTTGCTCTAGATACACAGTACGTTGTTGGGAGTTGGGATTCCAACCAAACCTTTGTTATTTCCACTACATTTGACATTCCAAGCTCTATATGCTATGGCCTTTAGTCCACTTTTCTCTCCTTATCCACTGATTTCTCAGAAGTACCATTATATTCAGTCTGCCCTCTGAATACTCAAATGACTTTATCTCTTTCTCTATTTAAAAAAAAATATGTATTTCAAGCTGGAAGCTTGAAGACCTTCTATATTCCCTCCATTATTTTTATCTTCTTTTGAAATTCTCTACTGTTGTAATATTTTACTTTCTACCACAATTAGCATATTTTACTTTGTACCTACTGATATAGCTTCCAACTCTTAGAAAATGAAATTAACCAGTTAGGATTGTTTTGGTTTTGCTCTAAATGCCAGTAAGTCCAGAGTTAAAATTTGTGCTCAAGCTTTGTAATTTTTTTCATAGTGCTTTGTACATATTTCTGTTATCACATAACACTGTATTACAGTTGTTTGCATGTTATTTATCTTTGTATCCATTAGCATAGTGATACCCTGGTAAATGCATAGTAAATATGTAATGAATGAAGATTTCTGATAAAATTTATTCCTGCCTTCTGATCATTACTTAGAGATCCTGCACTTGGGTACTACTATTAAGATAATTCTATCCAGGCTACTTATATGTTAGTAGTAGTAGTCGTTGTTGTACCTATGCTTTTGTTAAACATAGGTAAAACCAAAGCTTTTTTAAAACATGGACAGGAAATAAAAACAATATTCTTTGTTGTAATTTGTTTATATCATTGTAGTGCCTATTACCACTATTACTCAACTAGCAGCTACTTGATTCTCTAAAGTAATGTACCATAGTATGCTTGGGGTTTTTTTGTTTTTGCTAAAGATCTATAAGAAAAGTTTTATTGCTATTCATCTTTGTCACCATTTCAGCAATGAAGCTTCACTAATATTTATTATGTAATATTTTCAAAAATAGTAAGTTCGGTTCATTATCTCAAAATTGTGTGTCAAGTGAAAATATACTGATTTGATGGCCCTAGTAATTGCCAATAGGGTTTTTTGAGTTTTGTTTTGTTTTGTTTAATATACGGAGTCTCGCTCTGGGCTCTCGCCCAGGCTGGAGTGCAGTGGGACGGTGTCAGCTCACTGCAACCTCCGCCTCACAGGATCAAGTGATTCTCCTGCCTCAGCCTCCCGAGTAGCTGGGATTACAAGCACCCGCCACAGCGCCCGGCTAATTTTTGTATTTTTGTTAGAGACGGGTTCACCATATTGGCCAGGCTGATCTCGAACTCCTGACCTCAGGTGATCCGCCCGCCTTGGCCTCCCAAAGTGCTGGAATTACAGGCATGAGCCTCTGCACCCAGCCATCCAATAGGGTTTTTAATTTTGGAAGGTAGCTTTTGGGCATGAACAAGCACACTCATAGTTAGTTGTGTTTTATTAGAGTTATAAATTGTAAAATCTAGTTTTTCTAAAATGCCTTTTCAGTTCAATTAATGCTACTTAGAAATTTAGTAATTGTTGTACAAAAATGAGAGCAGTCTTTTTCACTTCTTGATATTTCCAGAGTCCATCCCTTTTCTAGATTTAATTCTTAAATAACACATAGTACTACTTATATAGTTAGGCAAATCTAATTATATTCTTGATTAATCAATAAATGAACTTTGCTAATTCCAGTTATAGTTTAGTATAGCTGATTTTTTAAGCACCTGCAAATATAACAAGTGAAATCCTGTGATACACTTAAGCAACCCTTGTAAATCAAATAAATTTTACTTATAAATGTAGTAAATCACCATCCTGTTTCAAAAGACTTAAAAACAAAGCACACACACAAAGTAGCTGATGAATAAAAACTTGTTGCTATACCTTGAAAAATACAACATACATAAATTATCAATATAATATTTGTTTCTTCAGCTCAACCAAGAAGACTAGAATGTCCATCTAAGCCTCACTGGAGCAAATGATATTATGCATTCAGTTTACAGGGATTTGGGTCTTTGGGAGATCCTGAGCAGTCTCACTCTGTTGCCCAGGCTGGAGTGCAGTGACATGATCTCAGCTCACTGCAACCTTTGCCTCCCAGGTTCAAGTGATTCTCCTGCCTCAGCCTCCTGAGTAGCTGGGACTACAGATGCACGCCACCACTCCCGGCTAATTTTTTTTATTTTTAGTAGAGATGAGGTTTCGCCATGTTGGCCAGGCTGGCCTCGAACTCCCGACCTCATGATCCACCCGCCTCAGCCTCCCAAAGTGCTGGGATTACAGGCGTGAGCCACCACGCCCGGCCTGTCCAATCTCTTTTTAAATAAACTTGAGCCCCTTGTCATTGTTACATTCTGCCTGCTGTGTCCGTAGGAGACTCCCCCAGCACCTCCATCCGTGCTTGGCTTTTAATTAAGGCCATTTTAAGTTTTACAACCCAGTGCATTGTGCATCTACTGGGCATCTGTTAAGTTTCACCCCTTTGGTTATTTTATGTTTTTCTCTTTCATAGCTTTTTATCACTTTGTTTCAGTGAATAGAATCTCCTTTTACTCTGATGGCATTCTTCCTCCTCTTTATGGACATTGACTCCACAGTCAGTGAGCCAGATATATACCC
Organism: Homo sapiens; assembly: GCF_000001405.40. Taxonomy (NCBI): domain Eukaryota; kingdom Metazoa; phylum Chordata; class Mammalia; order Primates; family Hominidae; genus Homo; species Homo sapiens. The sequence goes on along the minus strand of NC_000006.12, from coordinate 106,211,114 downwards.
TTCTAGCCATAAATGGTCATTTTTAATAAACCAACATTTCTAATAATTCTTAATGTATGTAAAACAATATGTATGACCAAAACAACAAAACTGACACTAGTAATAACATAGTAACAGGGTTGACTACAAGAATAGTATATGTTATTATAATCCTTATTTTTTTTGACAGCTCAATACAGAATACATATTAGAATTCAGTAGAGTTCTGTTGAGAGTCAAGTCACATTTAAAAAGAACAATTATAACACTCATTGAGAATTCACTGTGCTAGACATTGTTCTAAATACTTTATATGAATTAATTGTATAACCTTCACAAAAAAATCTATGAGGTATATACTGTTAATATCCTCATTTTATAGATGATACAATTGACACACAAGTAACACAAGAAGGTTTAAGTATTTGACTAGGGTCATATAGGTACTAATTGACAGAGCTGGGATTGGAACCATAAGCTGAATCCATCGTCATCAAGTGCCATCCAGAGCTAGAATATGTGTCTTCTGACTGGCTTTAAATATCATGCTCTTATTACTGTACCAGGCCATAAATTATTTGAAATACGAAGGGTCAGTTTTGGAAATAGATGTTTGTGACTAGGAAGTATGAAGAGTAAAAGACTCTAGAGCTTTTCTCACTATAACTGCCATTATTAGTATTTACTTAGACTACATTCATTTTTATACTTTTTAAAGGATTTTCATTATGTGCTTAGTGATTTTAATTCTGATTTTGGTTCTTATAAGATTTATACATTGTAATAATTACCTTTGCTCTGTTATAGTATATATTATCTGCCTTTTAAAGATCTCCAGTATTATAAACATTACTTTTGTTTTGAGCCTTAATTGACTGTTCTGGGTTTTTCAGCCAGGATGGAGAAAACATTTCATCAGGATCACCTAAGGGGCTTTTCCTGCTACCTGAGTCTTGAGTCCCCACCTTTCCTCACTCATTTGTGTTGAGAGTCACTGTCCAACCGAGCAACTGTTATTGATGTGAATTTTGTTATGGCCTTCAAGTGTGTTAGAGTAGGTTGAAAGGTTAAAAGTCATTGTTGTAGACTAGTGCTTCTCAAACTTTAAACATGAATCACTTGGAAATCTTGTTAAAATGCGGATTCCAATTCAGGAATTCCAATATGCAGCCTGAGAATCTACATTTTAATAAGATCCAGGTGATAACCAAAATGCTACAGGTCCTCAGAGAAAACTTTGATTAACAAAGCTCTAGACTAGTTGTTTTGAAATTTTGAAAAAAATTTTTATTTTGAGATAATTACAGATTCACATGCAATTGTAAGAAATAATACAGAAAGATCTACATACCCTTCATCTAGTTTCCCCCAATTCTAACATCTTGCATAATTACAGTACAGTATCACAACCAGGAAATTGTATTAATATAATCCACAAACCTTACTCAGATTTCCTTAGTTTTACATATACTGTGTGTGTGTATTTAGTTCTATGCAATCTTTATCACATATGTAAATTCACCCTATATTCAAAATATACCCGTTTCAACAGAAGGATCTCTTAGGCTACCCTTTTATAGCCACAGCCACCTACCTTACTGCATTTCTTCCCTAACCTCTGACAACTACTAATTTGTTTTCCATTTCTAAAATTTTTGTCATTTCACTAATGTTATATCAGTGGAGTCATGCAGTGTGTAACCTTTTGAGATTGACTTTTTTCACATAACATAACTCCCTTGAGATCTATCCAAGTTGTTGCATATACCAGTAGTTTGTTCCTTTTTATTGCTGAGTAGTATTCCGTGGGACAGACCTATTACAGTCAGTTTATAAGCATTCACCTGTTTTAATGGGTAGCCCTGGGATTGCTTTCTGTTTTTGACTCTCACGAATAAAACAGCTATGAACGTTCATGTATAAGTTTTTTGGAGAAGACATTTTTACTTCTGGGAATATTCAAGAGTATAATTACTTGGTCATATGGTAAGTGCATGTTTAGTTTTGTAAGAAACTGCCATACTCCTTTCCTGAGGGACTGTACTGTTTTGCATTTGTACCATCAGTGTGTGAAGGACTATTTTTCCACATGCGCACCAGCATTTGGTGTTACCACTAATTTTTATTTTGGATATTTTGGTAGGTGTGTAATGATATCACATTGTGGTTTTAATTTGCATTTCTTTAATGGCTAATGATGTGTGAGATATGTTTTCATATGCTTATTTGCCACCTATATATTCTCTTTGGTAAAATGTCTGTTCATGTCTTTTGCCCATTTTCTAATTGGATTATTTGCTTTTTTTAAAAACTGTTGAATTTTGGGAGTTCTTATATATTATAGACACAAGACCTTTCTCGGAAATATGGTTTGCAAATATTTTCTCCCAGCCTGCGGCTTATGTTTTCATTCTCTTCACAGGATCTTTTGCAGAACAAAAGCTTAGCTGTTGTTGTTGTTGTTTAATTTTAATTAAGTCTATTTATTAGTATTCCCTTTTATGGGTCATGCCTTTAGTGTTAAGTTCTAGGCTGATTTTGAAAGTAGTGTTAAAATGACTTTGCCCTTTTTTTTTTCCTTGCCATATAGAAAAACATTAAAACGTAAACTTCTGAATTTCATGATTCTGGACTTTTTAGCTTACAAACAACTGAAGAGTAAATGAATGAAATTAAAAGGAAATAAAACCTTGAGTGAACACAGTTTGCATAGTATTAAATTAGACTATGCATTACAGTGTTCTAAAACTAGTGGCCCTGGTGATGGTATGTTTTAAGTTACAAATTGTTATGTGTCAGAATTGTGTTGTGCATTTTATTATCTCAGAAACTATAATGTAGGTATTATCTCCATTTATACATATACATATGTGTTTACACAGATGTATATATACACATATGTGTTTACACAGATGTATATATACACATATGTATATATTCCTGTTTTGCAGTTGAAAAAACTGAGGTTCAGGAAAGATAGGTAGTTGTGTCCATGGTTCCATAATAAATGACAGAAACAGGACTTGAATCTAATACTCTTTTTTGAGACAGAGTCTTGCTCTGTTGCCCAGGCTAGAGTGCAGTGGCGCGATTTCGGCTCACTGCAACCTCCGCCCCCTGGGTTCAAGCAATTCTCCTGCCTCAGCCTCCCGAGTAGCTGGGATTACAGGCACGTGCCACCATGCCTGACTAGTTTTTGTATTTTTAGTAGAGATCAGGTTTCACTATATTGGCCAGGCTGGTCTCGGACTCCCGACCTCGTGATCCTCCCTCCTCGGCCTCCCAAAGTGCTGGAATTACAGGCATGAGCCACCACCCCCAGCCGAATCTAATACTCTTTAACAACTGGCTGGCATCTTTTGTTGCATCATGTAACTGTATATAACTCATAGGACTCAAACCTGATTTAAGTTTGTGATGATCGTGCCTGTTACTCTTAAAGTCCATACATTGTCTGATTTTCAGCTTATAGTAAATCATCATTTCTTGTTTTATCAACGTTAATGTTAATATTGGTTAACCTATTGGCTCTACTGGCTACATTTGAAATAGAGACTTTTTCTTTGCATTTCATTTCTTTCTTTCTTTCTTTTTTTTTTAAGAGATGAGGTCTCTCTGTGTTGCCCGGGTGAGTCTCAAACTCATGGGCTCAAGCTCTCCTCCCACCTCGGTCTCCTGAAGTGCTGGGATTACAGGCATGAGCCACCATTTACAATATAGCTGTAACACACATTATTTATAAGAATTCTAAGTTTTACACTTGAACTATTTAAGAAAATACATAAGGTTTCCTAAAATGTTTATAAGTTTCGTTTTTCTGCTTTTCTTCAATATATCTCTGAGCTATATCAACACTGTAAATTTCCCATATAAGAAAAAATGATTGCTGTATTGGTGAAGGCACATGAGTAGAGGAGAGATGGGAGCAGCCAGCCATTACCACCTCAGTTTTTCATTTCATTTGGTGTTAAGAAATGACTAACATACATTTGAAAAAGTAACAAGGACAGTTTCAAAGGTGACTTACATCATGTTATTTCTCATGAGAGTAATACTGTTTCTTGGAAGTTATTGAAATACTTTGCATATTTACAAATATGTGGCAAGATCAGGTATTGTGGTATATTCCTGTTTGCAGTGGCTTTCTTGTCTGTCAACCTAAGATTTAGATTGCATTGGATATTGTTAGTCTTGTCTAATTTTATATATACTAAATCAACGTTTACAGCATTCCTATTTGTGGAGATTTAAAAATATTTCTCAGTATAATTTAGTCTTCTTTGCAGAGCTCTAACATCGGGCTAATGAGAGCTGTTGAAAAGTTTGCAGGAATATGTCCTCCATTCCCATTGCCCTTAAGAACCTCTGTACTTGAATGCATGATCTCTCTATGGGAGCTTTTATTTTAAGGGTAATTGTCTTAGTCCATTCCATTTGGGCTGCTATACCAAAATATGTTAGAGTGTGTACTTTTTTTTTTTTTTTTTGAGACAGTTTCCCTCTTGTTGCCCAGGCTGGAGTTCAATGGCATGATCTTGATTCACTGCAACCTCTGCCTTCTGGGTTCAAGTGATTCTCCTGCCTCAGCCTCCTGAGTAGCTGGGATTACAGGCGCCCACAACTATGCCCAGCTAATTTTCTGTATTTTTAGTAGAGATGGGGTTTCACCATATTGGCCAGGCTGGTCTTGAACTCCTGACCTCAGGTGATCCACCACGCCCAGCCTAGACTGGGTAATTTATAAACAACAGAAAATTATTTCTCACAGTTCTGGAGGCTGGGAAGTCAGAGATCAAGGCTTCAACAGATTCGGTTTCTGGTGAGGGCTGCTCTCTGCTTCAGAGTTAGCACTGGTTGCTGCGCCCCCACCCCCACCCCCCCAACATGGCAGAAGGGGCAAAAGCCTTACAAGCTCCCTGGGGCCTCTTTTATAAGAGCATTGATCCCATTCTTGAGGACTCTGCCCTCATGACCTAATTACCTCTCAAAGGCTTCACCTCTTAATACTGCCATGATGAGGAATAGGTTTCAGCATGAATTTTGGAGGGACGCATTCAGATGATAGAAGTAACTAACTCCCCAAATTGAGTATTTTTTTGTCGTCCTGATTGACTTAGGTACTTAATTGCTATTTGCTAGCACACTAAATTTTTAAGAATAAGAATATTACGTTTTTAAAGGTACTGTATAATAAATATTAAACAGAAAATGTTCATCAGATTTTTGGTTGGGGTATATTGAGTTTTTGTGTTTTAAAATAAGATTTTCATTAAATGAGAAACAACACTTTGCTGAGCATTTTCTTGTTTTTACCATTCTACAGCGTTTAGCTACACTATGTAATAGCACTGGGGCTTTGTCCCCAGTAAGCAAATACCTCATCATAAAAGATTGTTGAAGGTTATACCTTTATAATACTTGCTCAGATTTGGGAAAGGGTGAAAAAAAAGATATATAAAAATAACAGGATATTTCTCCAATAGTGAGGTTAGAGAAGAATTTCTGTTTTTTAATATGTAACCAAGACTAGTTGGCCTTTCCTGTTTAGCATTTTTTTTCAGGTAATTTTTAATCTTTTAGTTTTAATTATTATGGATACATAATAGTTGCAATTATTTATGGGGTACATGTAATCTTTTGCTATAAGCATGCAATGTGTAATGATCAAATGAGGATATTCACCACCTCAAGCATTTATTATTTCTTTGTGTTAGAAATATTCCAGGTAATTTCATTATAGCAAAGCCACCTCACATTTCATACACTAATTAGGATATGAATGAGAGCTCCAAATTCTTGAAAAGATTCCTTTGACTTTGTTGTTTTCAGGTTGGACTGCGGGAGGTACCTTCTGACTTTTTTCTTTGAGTTGTGGGTACAGTCCTGCTGTCTTCCTTTTCCACTGCACCAGCTCCAGTTGTCTTCACATAAGCTTGCTGTATTCAGTCAGCCTCTCACCAGTCATTCTGGTTTTGGTTCATAACCAAGTCACCATACATAGCACTGCTTTCCATTAGTCGTCAGAAAAAGCCTTTCACCAACATTACTTCCTTTGCTAAAAAGCATTAAAAGCTTCTTCATGGCCTGAAGATCAAAAACCCTGAGTGAGGGATGGCTATTTTAAATTATCACTACAGTTCCCTATTCATTTCTTTTCTTCTCTGAACTCCTCAACCTTATTATCTTTACACAGTTAATCACTTGATTATGCATGATATTGTTCTTGGTTTCAACTTGTATGAGAAAGTATGGCTTTTTAAATTGAAGAATGTATTAGTCTGTTTTCACTCTGCTTTAAAGAAATATCTGAGACTGGATAATTTATAAAGGCAAAAGGTTTAATTGACTCACAGTTCCGTATGGCTTGTGGGGGCCTCAGGAAACTTAAAATCATGGCAGAAAGGGAAGCAGGCACCTTCACAAGCCAGCAGGAAAGAGAGATGAGAGTGCAGGAAAAACTGCCACTTTTAAAACCATCAGATCTCATGAGAATTCACTCAGTATCACGAGAACAACATGAGGAAAACCACCCCTATGACCCAATCACCTCCCTCCCTCGACACATGGGGATTACAGTCCCTCCCTAGACGGGTGGGGATTACAATTTGAGATGAGATTTGGATGGAAACACAGAGCCAAAACATATCAAAGGATATCAATCATATTTTTAAAAATAATCCCTAAAGAGTTCAAATAGTGAAGTGAATTAAATCATATTCAATGCATATTATCAAGATTTTTTAAAAATTACAATTTTCATACTTGTCACAAACACTCAAATATATTATTGGATTACTATTTTAAAATACTATGTATTCAGTGAATACATAAACATAGAATTAGGAAAGGCAGCTCACATGCTTACATGTTTATTTTTTCTACTTATTTTTATTTATTTTTTCATTTTGTATTATACTTTAAGTTCTGGAATACATGTGCAGAATGTGCAGGTTTGTTACATAGATATGCATGTGCCATGGTGGTTTGCTGCACCCATCAGCCCCTCATCTACGTTAGGTATTTCTCCTAATGCTATCCCTCCCCTAGCCCCCTACTCCCCGACAGGCCTTGGTGTGTGATGTTCCCCTGCCTGTGTCCATGTGTTCTCGTTGTTCAGCTCCCAGTTGTGAGTGAGAACATGAGGTGTTTGGTTTTCTGTTCCTGTGTTAGTTTGCTGAGAATGATAGTTTCCAGCTTCATCCATGTCTATTTCTTTTTAAACCAAATCTCTAACAGTTGTGTCAAATATGTTGAGGTATACCTCTGTCATTAAAAGACAAAAACAAAACCTTGTCGCTAATGCCTAAGTGTTTGAAGTCATATTCTTATAAAATATGAGGCAGCCTGGGCAACATAGTGAGACCCCCTTCTACAAAAAAGTAAAAAAATTAGCTGAGCATGGTGGCTCACACCTGTAGTCCCAGCTACTCTGGAGGCTTAGGTGGAGGATTGCAACTTGGGGGTTGCACCACTGCAATTCAACCTGGGTGACAGAGTGAAACCTTGTCTCAGGAAACAAGCAAACAAAAAATATGTATGTATGGCATTTCTCTGTTCTTGTTAAGTTTTAATGATTTTTCATCTCAGAAAGCTTAAAATTTACCATCTTAAAGTGAAATAACCGTTAAGAGGGAGAGAGGAGGTAAAAATGCTTTTATTCTCTTTAACATTTATTTATTTACTCTGTGGTTGGCAAAGTTGCTCATTTATTTCCACAACAAACTCAAGAGATATGGAATGTCCCAAATTAACAGATAAAGGAAACTGGGTACAAGATCATAGATCTTGCAAACAGTGGTGCTCTTCATAGACACTGGCTCATTTCAGAGCCTCTGTACTCTGTCATGATAAAGCCTCCATCATCACTAAGGAAATTTAGTAAATGAAACAATTTTAAGAGTAAAACAATGAGATTATTAGCAATAAATTACGATGTAGTGCTGCTAACAGTTTTTGTCAGATGAAATGGCTGGATCTGCTGTTTTGGAAATTGTGAAACCTATCGAAAAGTTGAAATAATGAAACTACTAAAATCATACACCCTCTACCTAGAATCACCATTAGTTAATATTTTTTTATTTTTGCTTTGTCTTCACACACACACACATTCTCTGTCTCTCTCTTTCTCTCTCTCTCTGTCTCTCTCTCAACCATTAGATGGTTAAGTTTTGGGGCCAGGAGCGGTTGGCTCACGCCTGTAACCCTAACACTCTGGGAGGCCGAAGCCGGCAGATTGCCTGAGCTCAGGAGTTTGAGACCAGCCTGGGCAACATGGTGAAACCCCATCTCTAGTAAAAATACAAAAAGTTAGCTGGACATGGTGGCGCACTCCTGTAGTCCCAGCTACTTGGGAGGCTGAGCCATGAGAATCACTTGAACCTGGAAAGTAGAGGTTGCAGTGAGCTGAGATCGCGCCACTGCACTCCAGCCGGGGTGGCAGAGCGAGACTCTGTCTCCAAAAAAAGAGAAAGAAGATTAAGTTTTGGATATCATGGCACTTCTTTCCTAAACACTTGAACAATGAATTTCTTAAAAATAAGGATTGTCCTTATTGTACCTAAGAAATTTGACATTAACTCAATAATATTATCAGTTGTCCATTCTGTATTTCCCCATTTATCCCAAAACTGTGTTTCATAGTTGGATTTCTAAAAAATGTCCTTCTTCAATTTAGTATTCAGCCATGGTTTATGTTTTGTATTTGCTTTGTTAGTCTCTTTAAGAGATACTGAGAAAAAATGCTTTTGTTGATATCTTTTTGTGTTGTTTGCTTTTTAATGTCTTTAAGTTTTTGAAGGGTCCCAGCCAATTATCTTTAGAATGTCCCACCCAACTTTGGATTTGTCTGTTTCCTCAGAATTAGATTTACCTGAATTTATCATGTTAAACATTTTTCACAGTGATACCACATCTGTGATGTTGTGTAATTATGCTAACACCGTATCAAAAGGCACCTAATGCCAACATAAAGTTTATGATATATAAATTTGTAATTGGCAGCAACAAAGACTTAATTGCTTGAATCATTTTTTCCTTTTTCAAATAGACAACGACTGAAAGACCTTTCATTCAGAAGCTGTTTCGTCCTGTGGCTGCAGATGGACAGTTGCACACACTAGGAGATCTCCTCAAAGAAGTTTGTCCTTCTGCTATTGATCCTGAAGGTAATACAATCAGCAACATTAAAACATTTCTTTCATTTTCTGTTACTGAAGTAAAATAAGCATTCCACATTTATAAACAACAGGTTATTTCAGGAAGATATTTTCATATCTTACAGCGAAAAGTCTTTTCAAACAGAAGCACCTAATATTTAATATATTATTTTGTAAATTATTGACTAACAAAATGATGACTCGACTGGCGAAATAAAATACAGTTTTTAAATCATCCTCTTAGTATATCTCTGGTACTCTGGTTTTTAATTTATGGATTCAGTTCTGATAAATACTACTTTTAATCTTGCATTTTGTTTATTAACTTTAAAGAAGTCAGAAATGGTAAAAATAATTTTCTCATTTTTGATATTTGAAAGTTGATAATACTGAAAAATGGATGAGTATTTTATTTGAATTTTCTACTACTTTCTACTTTTTCAGTTAACCTTTTTCTTTTAGGCTTTGACAATCTACAAGTTCGTTCAAAAACTTGACCTGTTTCATGGCGCTAATTTTGTAACTTAGGTTAAGGCTGTTTTCCTGCAAGCAAGGGACAAATTTTAAAATTTCTGAATTCTGTTTTTCTTTATTACAACATAAAGAACACCAAGAAAATGCAGAAAACAATAAAACTGCCCATAATCCATTAACTGATAGAGACCACTGTTGAGACACACACACACACACACACACACACACACATATACACTTGAATACTTGAGATATACATATGTGTATAATACATACACATTGGCCCTTCATATCCATGGGCTCCCCATCATGCCCACAGCAGATAAAAAACATTTGGGAAAGAAAATGGATGATTGTGTCTGTACTGAAGATAAACAGACTTTTTTTTCTTGTTATTATTCCCTAAGAATACAGTATAAGTATTTATATAGATTTACATTGCATTAAATATTACAAGTAATCTAGAGATGAATGATTTAAAGCACACATGTGCATAGGTTATATGCAAATATTATGCCATTCTATATAAGCGACTTGAGCCTGGGTGGATTTTGGTATCCTCAGGGATCCTTGAACCAATCCTTCATGAATACCAAGTGACCACATTGTGTGTGTGTGTGTGTAAAATGTCCTGCTGCTCTTGAATCCCAGCCCTATTAATGCTTACTAAACTATAGGGGAAATTTTCAGTGGCATATTACTGTATTGACATAAAAATTGCATAGAGTTGGTCGGGTGTGGTGGCTCACGCGTAATCCTAGCACTTTGGGAGGCCAAGGCGGGTGGATCACGAGGTCAGGAGATCGAGACCATCCTGGCTAACATGGTGAAACCCTGTCTCTACTAAAAAACACACAAAAAAAATCAGCTGGGCGTGGTGGCGGGGCGCCTGTAGTTCCAGCTACTTGGGAGGCTGAGGTAGGAGAATGACGTGAACCCACAAGGCGGAGCTTGCAGTGAGCCAAGATCATGCCACTGCACTCCAGCCTTGGTGACAGAGTGAGACTCCGTCTCAAAAAAAAAAAAAAATTGCAGAGTTGTATTTATTATATAATAGAAATTTTTTTTAAAAAACTTTAAATCCATGAAGGAAACAGGTAATGCATTAGTATATATGAAGGTAATACTTTAACAGATAATGCTTGTTTCTTACGAATGTATTCTGAATTGGAGGAATGCAGGATTACTTGCATGACATATACCACACAGTTCATGAAGCATTTTGCATCTAAGGAAATAGTTTGCCTAAGTAGTAGAATTAGGAACAGTGGGTTTGGTGGTAATGTTGTGGTATTCCAGCCTAAATGACTAAGCAAAGAATATGGAGCCCAAAATATGTGTCATTCAGCCTGAGAATATTGCAATTTTCCTTAGTCAAGTATGCTTGCTTATACTAGCATTCCTACATGTATGTAATGCTTTAAAAATGAACAGAGGTTCATTAGGAAGGGGAAGGGCACCTACAATAATACTGTCAGAACCAATGCCAGAAAGGATTGAAGGAAGAGACCACTGACTACCCAAATTATTAAAACTGAACAGGATTTAAGAGGTTATAAATACATTTTATAAAGTCTTCCTTGAACTTTACTAGCCTTTATAGTAAGGTTTCTGATGATGTCTTACACACATCCATGTATCTCTAGTGCTAGGGTAAATGTTTGCCAAACAATCCAGTTACTGAATTCTTTCTATCATTACCATGAAACATATTATTTACGATCATTAAATCTTGGAGCAATTAACATTAAGTTGATTATAATACTATCTTAGACTCCTAATCCATCTTTACTACTGTGTAATTTTAGCTTTCAATAAGAGTTTTAGTTAAATAATTTTTTTATAATTTAATGATTTTTTAGTAAATTTATAGAGTTGTGCAACCATCACCACAATTTGGTTTTTAGAACATTTCCATCTCCTTGTACTTACTTGTAGCTAATCTCTGCTCCACTGCCAGCTATAAACAACCACTGGTCTGTTTTCTGTCTCTATAATTTGCCTATTATATTTCACATAAATTGAACCATACAGCATATAGTCTTGTGCAACTGTTTTTTTCCACTTAACATTATGTATTTGAGTTGCATCCGTATTGAAGCAAGTGTCCATAGTTTGATTGGTGAATAATACTCCATTGGGTAGATACATCACATTTTGGTTCTCCCTGTACCAGCTGATGGGTGTTTGGACTGTTTCCAGCCTTTCACCTTTATAAACAGAGCTGCTAGGAACATTCAAATATGGGTCTTTCTGTGGACATTTGTTTTCATTTTTCTTGGGTAGCTTCCTAGGGGTGGAATGACAAGGTCATATAGTAAGTTTATTTTTTATTTTAAAAGAAACTACTGAGCTTTCCCAAAGTGGCTGTACCATTTTACAGTCTCACCAGCGGTGTATAAGGATTCCAGTTTCTCCACATCCTCAGTCACATGTATTGCCATCCTAGTGGTATCTCATGATGATTTTAATTCTCATTTTTCTAATGGCTAATGGTATTGAACATGTTTTCATGTGCTTATTATAATTTGTAGATCTCTTTGATGAAGTGTCTATTCAAATCCTTGTTTTTTTTCATGGATTGTTTCCTTATTACTCAGTTTTTAGCATTATTTATATATTCTGGATACAAGTTCTTTATCAGATACACAATTTGCAGATATTTTCTCCTAGTCTGTGACTTGCCTTCATTTTCTTTCTCTCTTTCTCACTCTCTCTCTTTTTTTTTTCCCAGACAGGGTCTCGCTCTGTCACCCAGGTTGGAGCGCAGTGGTGCAATCTTGGCTAACTGCAACCTCCACCTCCGGGTTCAAGTGATTCTCGTGACTCAGCCTCCCTAGTAGCTGGGATTACAGGTGCCTGCCACCATGCCTGGCTAATATTTGTGTTTTTAGTAGAGACAGGGTTTCACTGTGTTGGCCAGACTGGTCTCAAACTCCTGACCACAGGGGATTCATCCGCCTCAGCCTCCCAAAGTGCTGGCATTACAAGTGTGAGCTACCATGCCCAGCCTTGTCTTCATTTTCTTTTGAAGGATAAAAGCATTTAATTTTGGTGAATTCCTGTCTATCAAGTTTTTTTTAATGGATTGTGTTCAGTTAAATAACTAAAACTTTTTTTCTTATAGGCAATACATTTACATATTTTAAAAATCAAAGCATATATAAAGGAATTTAGTAAAAAGTCTCTTTCCTAACTACCTGTTCACCAAACTCTAACCTGGTTCCCCTTTCTAGAGACAACCAGTGTTGCCATTTTCCTGTATATCTTTAGAGATAGTTAAGTAAACTTTTTATTTTTGAACTCAGGCTACAGAAATTTTGCCTTAGTAACTCATAACTTCTGAGAAATTCCCAGAAATTCAAGAATAAGCTTACTTTTTTAGTTCATTTTCTCTGTTATAAGGGTGTTTGTTTTTGATCTATTTAATATCTATTTTTGTTTTTGAGGATTTTGGAATATAGATGAGTTATTTTCATTTGAAGTGTAATGAAGAGGTTAATCGTTTTTATTGCTGATAGAGATAAACCCCATAAACCTCTTACCTGTCCGTGGCAGCACTGGCTTTCAGTTACTCATTTCTCTGTATTGTGTTTTTTTCCCTTTTTGAGTACTTTGTAGTAGTACTTTAAAGAACATTAAAAACTAGATGCTGTGTTAGTCTGTTTGTGTTGCTATAAAGAAACACCTGAGGTTGGGTAATTTATAAAGAAAAAAGGTTTATTTAACTCACAGCTCTACTGCCTGGAGATTGGGCATCTCATGAGACCCTCAGGCTGCTTCTGCTCATGGTGGAAGCTGAAGGGAAGTTGGTGTGTGCGGTGGTCACATGGTGAGAGAGGAAGCCAGAGAGAGCAGGGTGGTGCCAGGCTTTTTATAATAACCAGCTCTTGTGGGAACTAAAACAGTGAGAACTCACTCCTCCACACCCAGGGAGGGCATGAATCTATTCATGAGGGATCCACCCCCGCCCCCCCCACCCCAACCCAAATACCTCCCATTAGGCCCCATTTCCAACTTTGGTGATAAAATTTCAACACGAGGTTTGGCGGGGACAAGCAACCACACTATAACAAATGATTTTATCAATTAGGAGTAAATGAAATTTAAGCCAGAGTTTAATATTTGAATAACTACCTTTTTTGAAAACAAAAGGCAGGGTCTCACTGTGTTGCCCAGGCTGGTCTTACATTTCTCACTCAAGTGATACTCCCACTTTAGCTTCACAAAGTACTGAGATTATAGGCATGAGCTACTGCACCCAGCCTCAAATGACTACCTTATTGCACTTTTCCTAGATTTTTTTCGACAATCTACTTTTTAAAATATGTTGTTTTAAACTTCCTTTTTTATAACATCCTTGACTATAGAATGAGAACACTGCAATGAAACCCAAAACTTTGGAAGTAATGTGTTCTGTAATGATCTGTCCCCTAACAGCAGCACAATTGTCACAGACACAAAATGATCCATATTTGCTAGTCCCAAGTTTATATAAGTGGGGGGTCTCCCTTGATACATTTGTGTTTTATCTGTAAAAACTAAAGTTAACAGTTGCTTTTTAATCCAGGAAAGAGGGCTTACTTGAAATTTTATATTGTTTATTTTGTTAATGGATTCATTTGTTCAATTCATTTTTATTTCATGGTTGCCAATTTCTAGTTTGTGGGTGTGGTTAAGGAGTGCCTAGAGTGGGAAGAAATTAGTTGGGTGTTAATACTGTATTTTACTTCTTTAAAGAATTGTATAACTGTAGAACTTTCAATCTACTTTTTTTTTTTTTTGAGACTGATTCTCACTCTGTTGCTCAGGCTGGAGTGCAGTGATGCCATCTCAGCTCACTGCAACCCCTGCCTCCCAGGTTCAAGCAATCTTGTGCTTCGGTCACGCAAGTAGCTGGGATTACAGGCATGTGCCACCATGCCTGGCTAATTTTTGTATATTTGGTAGAGACGGGGTTTCACCATGTTGGCCAGGCTGGTCTTGAACTCCTGGCCTCAAGTGATTCACCCACCTTGGCCTCCCAAAGTTCACTCTCTTAATTTTTGCATGATTGTGCCAAACGTCTCTTAACCACTTAATTGCAGAAATAGGTTTAGAACACAGGTCTCCATCTCCTGGTGGTCTTTTGGTTTTTCCACTTTACTATGCTGCCATTTGTTTTTGTTTTCTTTCTTTTTAACTTTTTGGTTTAGTTTAAAATAACATTCTGAAATACTTGCTTTTTCCTTACTCTTTATTTTACTTTCACAAATCTTAGTCTTCAATTTGTGTTTAGTATCTAATCTGCCTACATGCTCTTCTCTCTTAATAATATTTCTGATATGATCTTAGGAACCTGAGTGTCTACTGTTTTTATTTTGTTTGTTTTGTTATTTTAGTGTTCCTATATATAATCCTGACCACTCTTGTTGAATTTTTTAAATGGTGATTATGAACATCAGACACGTAAATGAAAAGCATTCAAGTGCTTTGAACTGACACTCTCAGAATACACCTTTATTCTGCTCTTATACCCAGGTTACAAGACAAGATTAACGTGACCCTACACAAGAAAGGCACACAAATTTGTGAAGCTGTTCTTTTAAAAGAGATTCTTTGTTCTGTTAAATTTCTAGGCTGCTCTACGTGTACATCCTTTTCTAGGGGATACACAGTGTGACTTCCCTTGTGGTTTTTTTTTTTTTTTTTTTTTTTTAGAGGGGAGCAGTGAGGCAGCGCAGCCACACAACCTAATCCACAAACCTTCCTTTTAGGTGATTTCAGGTGCTGTAGGTGAGTACATCTGTGTGACAGACTTCTCCCCATGCAAACTGTCAAATGCTTCTCTTGACTGCAGAACACACACTTCATTGAAATGACATAGATAATGCCTATTCTTTTCAGGTATTTTTGATGGTATCTTTCATACCAGGAGGAAGCCACATCTCTAACACATCTCAGTATCTTTTCTTTAGAAAAAAACTTTTATCTTTGCTTCTTCTTTTTATTACGTATTAAAAAAAATTGTCATTTAAAAATCTATGTAGAGTATCCAAAACATCGAGTCACTGTTTCAGTAAAAAACTGTTTACTGCCTGGTTCAGTTCACCTGTAGTATTGTCAGATGTGTCAAACATGAAGCATTTTGACACACCTGCATTCAACTTAAGTTGAAAGCGAAAGACTTTAAGATTGGGTGTGTATGGATAAGAACTTGCTGTCATCACATGATGAAAAGAGAAAGTACTTCATAAAAGTTATGTGGCACCATTGTCTTCTACTCCCTACAAGTGATTCAGTGATGAAAGAATTTTGTCTGATTTCATCATATGAAAGTCAAATGTACTAGTATTTATGAATACGTGCTTTAGGTCATTGTTCTTGTGGAGTAACTAATGATGAGCTGCTGCTTGTGGAGTAACTAATGATGAGCTCTTTTGTGTGTTCCTTTCTTTTTTTGTAAATGGCTAAGGGAATTAGTCAAGTTGGAGGTAACAGGAAATGACCAAAGGTGAGCTCAGGTAAATTGTTTTTGTCGTTTCAGCTGTAGTTAAAATGACTCAGAGATCTAAGCTTCTGTGCCAGACCTGAGTGAAATATTTTTTTCTTTGTACATTAAAAATAACACATCAAGAACATTTATTTTTACCTTGGAGAATACAAAACACCTATAAGCTTTACCCAATTATACTTCATTTCCCAGTCTTCTAATGTAATGTATAACAACGTGGTAAGCTAGGCGGGTGGATCACCTGAGGTCAGGAGTTAGAGACCAGCCTGACCAACATGGTGAAACCCCGTCTCTACTAAAAGTACAAAATTAGCTAGGCGTGGTGGTGCATGCCTGTAATCCCAGCTACTTGGGAGGCTGAGGCAGGAGAATTGGTTGAACCCAGGAGCCAGAGGTTGCAGTGACCTGGAATGCGCCATTGCAGTCTAGCCTGGGCACCAAGAGTGAAACTCCATCTCAAAAAAAAAAGAAAAAGAAAAAGAAAAGAAAAAATGGTATATTCACATTTTTTTCTCCTTTGCTGTATATGATTAGATTATGTTAATAAAGTGAATTAGTTGACAAGATAAATTTTTTTCAGACATGAAGCAGTTAGAAAAAGAAACATATAAATCTCATGCTGACCGTATAAAGCAGATACTTTTAAGTATTTGGACAAAATTGAAGCTTGTTAGTATCTCGTGATTTGAGATAATATTTGAGCAATAATCACATTTGTCAGTGTGATGGCACTGCCCCCGGAAGAATAGGCACTCAGTTTGCAAACTCATGCCACAGGAATAAAAAAAACTCCAATTCCCAAACCTCATCAGATTGCGGGTTTTACAATTTCAGTAATTCTTTAGATATTCATTTAGAATTTGAATTAGAAGGAACTAGTATCTCTGTACCTTCACGCTATTTGATTTGGGCAATAATAATGCTGATTATTTTCATTCTCCACTACTGGAAATGATGACATTACTGGACTGACAGAAGATGCTTCTGGTTTCTCCTTCTGAATTATTGTTATCTTAATCTCAAGAAGTTAAATGAATTAACCTGACTGTTCCCAAAATGAGAAACACACACTTGCACAACTATTTCATCTTTAGCACTAGAAAACAAAATTCTCTTACCAAAATAATAGTATATGCAGACAGTTAAAAACAAGTTATCTTTTCATTGAAACAGGTACTATGGGGCTTCATTCTGACCATATGTAAACAGTACAATTATTGTCTATATTTTAAATAAAGCAAGTAAGTTGAGCTATTCTGTAGTTCATACTTGACAAATATTAATGGACCCTATTACACCCAACTAGAATTACTGGGTCATTTTATGAAAGCAGATAAAATAATATTGTTTTCAAAGTTTATTTATGTATTTATTAATGAACAAGGTTTAATTTTTAACTTTTACCACATTTTTATCTTATTGTCAGGAAGCTTTTAATCAGTTTTAAAATGGCCTTACAATCACTTAATTTAATACACTTTGCTTTTTATAATTACAACTGATCATATGGGATTTTTTATATTATTTAAATTTTAGTTTATGTCCTCCTTACTAAGAAATACAGAGATTATAAGCAAAAGTCAATGAAAGAATTAATATGGACATGTTTTTAAATTGTTTAAAATGTTAAGAGTCAAAGCTCTGAAAATATAATAAAGATATAAAATGTATACATGGAAAGAGATATGTGGTATATCTGGTATTTGGTATATACTATGATATTGCATGTTCATTAAGACCTGTACTGCTAAGTGAGTATGCATCCGGAAGAAGTTAATGTAAGTATTTTTAAATGGGTTTGTATTTTTCTGATAAACAGCACTCTCCTTCTGTTTGTGATCATAGGATAAAAGCCCTGTAAGCTTGTATATGTTCATTTTTACTGCTACATCATGTAGTGTGCTCTTAAGATTGAGATCTCATTCCCCAGGAAGCATTTCTGTCCAAGATTAATTGCCCTTTTAAAATCAGCGTTTGATGTATTTCTTTGGCTATATCCTGGCTTGGTTTAACCCTCTTTGACCTGACCTCGCTGACTATTACCTCCGTGGCTGAGACAAAATCCTTCAGCATGATGTATGCACTTCACATTTCAGCCTGTGGTTTTTCATGTCGATGGATTCAATTAGTTGGTGTTTTACTAATGAACATATCAGAGGTTAAAGAATTTGTCAGACAGAACAAAATTGTTCAGGCTAGTGGTAATCAGAAAGCTCGTCGCTCTATTTTTTAAAACTTCTAGGCAGTATTAAGTATTTTTCAGAAATTTTACCTTCAGTATTACACATTCCAAGATAGCAAATCAAGTCATTTTCTGCTGAATTATAAAATATAAATATGAAGCTACAAAGCTGAACACAATGGTTATATCATTTGATCTTAGACTTCTACTCCATATTTAAAGTATGAGCTTTTAAAAAATTAATTAAACTGAAATTTTCTTGTTAAAAACATGTATGAATTTCCCTTAAAGATACATCATCCATTTCTTTAAGCCTCCTTTAAATATTAATAGTAAGAAGGAAACTCAAGCATCTCACTAGAATCTCAAGTCACCTGTTTTTAAAGACATTTATAGATCATATTCCTTGTTGAAATTGGCTTAGTTGAATAAGACCTAAAACCCAGATTGGGATGAGAAAGGTAATTAGTAGCCATTAGTAATAGAAATCTTTAGAACTCAAATTTATCACACAGTGCAAGTTCTCAAATGATATACTTAAAATGTATAACATAAAGATTTTGAAAGGTTTTTTTTTTTTACCTGAATGTTTTCATCTTTTTTAAAAAAAATAACCTTACCTAAAGTCTATTAAATGATATATCTGTAGTACACTAGGGCTCATTTGACTTATAGGTGATGTGCTCCACTTGAATATATGTGTTGAGAGCACTATTAAATAAACGTGAAGGTTTCTAATACTTAAGAATTTTTCTTAATGTCATTTAATTTGCATAATCATCGAGTCTGGGTTTTTGTTGTCTTTTAAAAAATACATTTATTAAAATTATATGCCATACTGCATAAAAATGGAACTGAATAATTCAGGAGGTATTACCATGAGGCCAAATTCTTACAGCCCTTTGTATGCCAATCACATAATTGAATCCATGGTTTTTATATATCTTTTGATATATCTAGTACTAAAAAAATGAACTTATTCTTATAACGTGTGTAGGAAGAGAATTACAATCGCTCTTTACTTTTTGTTACTAAATCATGACCTTTTTAAAATGATCTTCTGTCCTCACATACTTTATCAGTTACATTTTTGACACCATTATTTTTTATTAGAGAGTGAGCAGGAGAGAGGGGTGGAGAAGAGTCACTCGTGTTATTGAGTACCCTGTGTCCAAGTCCTGTGCTAGGGTCGCTGCTGAGTACTTTGCTTGGATATCCCATTTAATCCTTCATGTAACTGGAGATTAGAATTCTTTGTTCACACTGTAAGATGAGGAAACAGAAGTTTGAGTGAATTGCTTGAGAATTCAAAACTAATAAATTATGATGGTTTACACTCTGAAAGAAATATTTTGCTGTTTAGACGTAAAAGACCCAGATACTGGAACTGGGAGACGTGTTAGTGATCCTCTACTCTGGACCAGTTTGCAAACTGACCCACAGAGTTAAATGAGAAGCTATCATGGGTTATAAATCAGCAAGCAGAACTTAGGAGATGGTCTCAATCCCACATTAGCAAAAGCTGCCATATCTTTACCTGTGTTGTATATTGGGTTTCTACATAAAATTTTGTTTGTAGAAAAATTCTACACTGGTATGATCATAAGATTCATTCTAGGGAACATTTTTAAAAAAAGACTTTACCCCAGAAATTGATTCAGAAAGTCTGGAGAGGAGCTCAGCTCATATATATGTATATATTCTTTTAATTTCCCACATGATTCTAATGGTCAGCTAGATTTTCAAACCATACATCTATATAGGCATCTTCATTTTATATATAAAGAAACAGCTTCAAAGTGACGTGAGACCTGCTCAGAGCCCTTTGTTGCCAGAACTGGAATTCAAGTTGCCTAACCCCCAATTTGTCTTTCATTAGTACCTTGCTAACTAGTGGTGCATAATTGGCCCTCTCTCCTTTATGTCTCATTTATATTATTGTATATTGATAACAGTCATTGTATCTATGTCTATATGTAAGCATCATTTTTTAATATATACATAAGAAGTTACCATTATTTTAACTTTGTGATTTCCATTAATGACTTGTGTGGTTAATGTGATTTTTATTTTTTCTTCTTATTTTTTTTCTATATGTAATTCTTACCATTCTAATCATATAACCAAAATCTACTTGAATATGTTTTTCTTAAAACGTAACTTTTTTTTTATGTTCACTTTTAAGTAGATGCTGGTTTCTAAAAGTGCTTTGTGGACATTATACAAAATAATGAGATGTACTCTTCAAAATTGTAAAGGTTAAGAAATGTAGAAAAGGCTAAAAAACGGTTGCAGATTAAAAGAGAGTAGAGAGACATAAAAATTAAATGCAATATGTGCATCCTTGACATGACCTGAATGTATCCCCCAGAATTCACATGTTAGAAGCTTAATCCCCAATGCAGCAGTGTTGGGAGGTGAGGCTTTTTGGGGGGTGTTTAAGTCATGAGGGCTCTGCCCTCATGAATGGGTTAATGCTGGTATGAAAAGGATTTGCAAGAGTGGGTTCACTGTCTCTCACACTTCCACGTTCTTCCATATGAGAACACAGCAAGAAGCTCATACCAGGTGCCAGCACTTTGATCTTGGATTTTCCAGCCTCCAGAACTGTGAGAAATAAATGTTTGTCCTTTATAAATTATCCAATTATAGCATCACAGACAGACTAAGACAGTCCTGGACTGAATCCTAGATTGAAGAAAAATACATTATTGGGATAGTTGATAAATTTGAATATGGACTACAATGAATATTTTATTATTTTATATATCATGGTATATCAGTATTTTTTATTGTGATAACTATACTGTAGTTATGTAAAAGAATATCTTATATTAGAAATGGTACACTGTAAGTTTGAAATCATAACAAAAATTACTCTCTAAAAAGTGCCCTATATAAAGAAGTTCATATAGAACTAGTTCACTTGATTTTTCTCATATGTTTGCCTAACTTAAAGCTTCAAGCTAGCTTTTTTTAAAAACCTGAGTGGGAGAGGCATACAGTAACATTTTTCTCCTGAGTCATTTTCTTTGTAGTGACATTTCTCATTCTAAGTATTAAGGTCTAGATTCCCATTTTGAAACAAAAAGACATGTTTACCAAAAATATTGTTTACTTTAACAGTATCAGGTGTTTCCTTTGTACTGTAAGAAAAAGACATCTACTGATTTTTTTTTTTTTTTACTGTTTTATTATTAATTTTTTGTTTTTACACAGGGTCTCACTTGTTACCCATGCTGTAGTGCAGTGGTGCCATCACGGCTCACTGTAGCCTTGACCTCCTGGGCTCAGGCAATCCTCCCACCTCAGCCTCCCAAGTAGCTGGAACTACAGGCATGCACCACCACGCCCAGCTAAAGCTAATCTTTGTTTGGTTGAGTTTTTTTATTTTTTGTAGAGATGGGGTCTGTTGCCCAGGCTGGTCTCAAATTCCTGGGCTCAAGCGATCCTCCCACCTTGACCTCCCAAAGTGCTGGGATTACAGACATGAGCCACCACACCTGGCCTGTTTTCTTTTATTGGTTTTGATATTGCTAAAATGTCCTTCATACTTTGTTGTTATTTATGGTACCATGAATTAAGGATAGCATATACATTTGGCTTATCTGGAAACATTTTTTACTTTGTTGTTTTAATAACCAAAACAGTCTTTACGGGTAGAGTTATTCTCCATGGTAGGGCTAGCTATCAGAAAGCATTCCAAAAACATTAATTTTGACAGTATAATTCTACCAGCAACAATATTATGCCAGCTATGAGAATATTTATTATCTAATTACTGTATATGTCAGGTACCATGCTAGGCACTGGGGACAGAGTAACAAATAAGAGAGAAACTTCGGTTTGAAGTTTCTGCTGCCCTATTCTAAGAATCCCTCTGTTTAAAATTGTGTTATTGAGGCAAGTCAGAAAATAAACAAAATACATAAATGCCGGTGAGATATTTGGACATATGTAGGCAGTGACAAAATAATATATTTAAAACCTTAAACTGTTCTGTTGAGGGATATGACAGTCTTAGATTCTTTCCTTAGTTACTTAAATTTAGTTAGTGATGCTTTTATGTTAAAAATTAAAAGTGGCCCCAGCTTCTAAACCAGAGAATCAGTGCTACTTATTCAGGGTTTGGGTAAGGGGATTTATTAGGCTTGTTACACAGTGTTTGAATAGTGCTTTTGTCCTCCAGCTTCTGTTGTACAACTCATAAACTCCAGCAATCCTTTTGTAACATGGTTGGTCTTTTGCCTTTCAGATACACTGTGCATCATCAGTGGATTGTTTACCATATTGTATTTGCTCCCATGTTTAAATATTGCTTTAGATACAGTACTTTGGATATTGAGTTGTGACTTGTTTCTTCTGCTGTTTCATAGTATACAAAGGTGACTGGCTTAAGGAAAAACTTTAGAGATAAGGAACTTTTACTCTTACACCACTATTCTTTCATTTTTTGACTCAGTGCTAAGTAGGAGGAAGATTCTGAGAATATTAAAATATTTCAAAGAAATATAAGAATATGAAGAGAATTATACCGGAAATGTTTTCAAATATTCTAAGAAAGATTTAATACAGTAAAGCTTTAGCAAACTGGAACTTATAAGCAATGAATCATTCCAGATAGCTGAGGGTTTCTCCATTTCAATACCAATGTTTAAAAAATCTTCCCAAAGTACTGGTACTATGCTTTCTATAGTATTCTGTATATAGCTTAATATTTCATTATGAAAACAAATCATTATATTAACACTATGGTCACAACTGTGTCAAATTATGTATAGGTGCAACAAAGAAAAAATAAAGCATTTTTTTAGGTTAGTAGTATTATAAAGTGATACCTTTTTTCAAAATTGTTTTAAGCTATGGCACAGTGATTTGGGAGTTTGGAATGTTTTATTTGGTTATCTTTGGAATTGTTAGTATGTTAAAGTTTTTATTTTTCACATTCTTTTATCAACTGTAGTATTTTGTGTCCTCTGTTGACTGTCACCTGGGACTGTGCTGCCTCTAACAGGAAGTCTAAATATTTCTTTAAAAGGGTCTCTTGTTTCAGGTGCCAGCCAAGTCATTATCACCATACATCATCAGCTCATTTTGCCCAGACCTTAGAGCACTTACAGATTCAAAAGTCATTTTGAACAGAGCAGAAAGGAAAACGTAGGGTATTTCTCCTTTATAGAGTTGCTTGATTCCCTGTTTCCTTGTTGTCTTCTGTCACCAGGAAGCTGAGAGGTTTAGACATTGTATTTTGAAGAGAAGGTAAAGGAGACAAACCCAGAATTGTGCTAAAGGAATAACACAAAGTTTCTTGATGGTTCTATTTTTTTTTTCTTTTTCATTAGAGGAGTTTGGCTTTGCTTTCTTTGTTTTTCTATGACAAAAATCTTTATATTTACTTTAAAAGTTGTCAGTACAACACACCAAAATCATGAAAAACACAAAATCTTAAGTTTAATTTGGAATACAATTGAATTTAAAAGAAAGGTGTAAATTTCAGCCCCCTTTTAATTAGCAAGTGGATGTTAACAAAAATCAGTCAGGCTTTATGACTCTAAAACAGGAATCCCTGAGTCAGATTTGTAATCCCTTCTCATTAAAATTTTAACTGTTATTCAAATAGTATCTCTAAGACATTTTGATACATACTTGAATGCTTTACTGAAAACAACTAAAGCTCACCTGTGTCTTACTAAACATCTCAAATACTGATCTGATTCTTGATTTCTAGTCACATTTCTATTTTACATTTTCAAAATATGTATGGACCGACTTCATGTACTTGTCATTTTTAATAACCATATATTACAGTTTTTAATGTATAACTAAAATAAATTTTGGTCATTGGTACAATGGGCTGTTTTTGCCACTACAGTTTCATTAACGTCAATCTTAAGTAAGCACAGTAATTAAGAAAGAAGTAATACTTTCACATACAGCAACAGAATTTTTATCAGAATATATTGTAACCCTCAGGTTTCTGTTTTGGGTGATACATACTGCAACATTTGAACTTTCTCCATGTCCACATTTCCTGTTCAGGGGACAAAACATGTTTAAAATCCATTTAATGCACTAAGGATTCTCAAAAGGCACCAGATTATTTTTTCTTCAACTGTTTTGACTTTTATTGTTGTTGGGTTTCTTTCTTGGAATAGATGGGGAAAAAAAGAATCAAGTGATGATTCATGGAATTGAGCCAATGTTGGAAACACCTCTGCAGTGGCTGAGTGAACATCTGAGCTACCCGGATAATTTTCTTCATATTAGTATCATCCCACAGCCAACAGATTGAAGGATCAACTATTTGCCTGAACAGAATCATCCTTAAATGGGATTTATCAGAGCATGTCACCCTTTTGCTTCAATCAGGTTTGGTGGAGGCAACCTGACCAGAAACACTTCGCTGCTGCAAGCCAGACAGGAAAAAGATTCCATGTCAGATAAGGCAACTGGGCTGGTCTTACTTTGCATCACCTCTGCTTTCCTCCACTGCCATCATTAAACCTCAGCTGTGACATGAAAGACTTACCGGACCACTGAAGGTCTTCTGTAAAATATAATGAAGCTGAAACCTTTGGCCTAAGAAGAAAATGGAAGTATGTGCCACTCGATTTGTATTTCTGATTAACAAATAAACAGGGGTATTTCCTAAGGTGACCATGGTTGAACTTTAGCTCATGAAAGTGGAAACATTGGTTTAATTTTCAAGAGAATTAAGAAAGTAAAAGAGAAATTCTGTTATCAATAACTTGCAAGTAATTTTTTGTAAAAGATTGAATTACAGTAAACCCATCTTTCCTTAACGAAAATTTCCTATGTTTACAGTCTGTCTATTGGTATGCAATCTTGTAACTTTGATAATGAACAGTGAGAGATTTTTAAATAAAGCCTCTAAATATGTTTTGTCATTTAATAACATACAGTTTTGTCACTTTTCAAGTACTTTCTGACTCACATACAGTAGATCACTTTTTACTCTGTGTTACCATTTTGACTGGTCGTCATTGGCATGGGGTGGATATAGGGCATAGGATTACTTGTCTCAGAAGCTGTCATAGAATTTCTTGCTGCCAATTAAAAAACCTGTGTTCTTTACACACTACACGTATAAATATTGTAACTGTTCATCTTTGTTGTTTTATCACTGTAAGCCTGTCAAATCATAGTATCCTAAGCATCTGTAAATGCTAATTTTGCATTTTTGGAAAAACCCATTCCTTCCAAGCTAGTGTTTTTCATTGGCTCCAGGTCTAATTTTTCACTGTGGTCCCTGGCAGCCAGTCTTTTGAAGTTTAAAGATTACCTGTCTCTTGACTGCAGTACCTTTTCTTTAATTTTTACCAAAAATATCCAGAGGTTACTGGAGTTCTTATTCAATATAAGGAAAGTTTGCTGCACTTTATTACCAAGCCTCTGGGATTTTACCAGTCAAACATATTTGTGCATTACATTTCATTTCTTGTGAGCTAGCTGGCTGTCCATATTGAATGTTGACCCATTTGAGTACGCTAAAAGGCTTACAGTATCAGACACGATCATGGTTTTAGATCCCATAATAAAAATGAATGTTTTTCTTATAAAAAATTATACAAATGCTGAAGTGAGATTCTACTATTGTTCATTGCTTCCTTTTCTTTTTCCTTTTGCGATTTTCACTGATTAATAGCACATTTCTTCACAAAATTAGATAAAGTTGGTCAAAGACCAGATATTCTGGAATGGAAATTGTAAAGCTTAATCAAAAAGAATAGCCAGTACAGCATACAATCTCAGAAACTTAGAAGCAAGTAGAAAATAATTGGTTGATGTAAACGAAAGTGCCATTTTAGTAAAGGCAGGAAAAAAATAGCAATATTTGAGTTATGTAAGGATAAAAAATCCACTGACTTGTATTTTTGCACAAGAGGCTGGTCTGAATATGATTGTTCACATTAAGAGTGTTTATTCGTCGGTTCATTTTGGGGATTTTCCCCCTTGATGTTTTGACAGATTGAAGTGAGCTTTAGTGAGCAAAAGGATCAGAATGCAGGGAACACTAAGCTGTGATGAAGAAAGTGTGGTAAAAAGCCAGAGTAGTTTTATACAGACAAAACCAGTGTCAGGCCTTTGCAGTAGGCTTGAGTGAACTTCTGATCTAGATTTGAAAGTAAATTTTATGAAGACATTGCCCATTTTTACTTCCTCATTCATTATTGTACCAGCATCATAGCTTTATTACTCTAATCCCAGGTAAGTCAAGCCTACAATGCCCTAGAGGAAGAGTAAAACCAGAAATTCATGCTGGCTTAAATAATCTATTTTTGTTTCTTTTCATTTGAATATTTAAATTTTATGGTTTATTAAAAAATTAAATAAATGTTGTGTCCGTCTTTATTTAAAACAAGTTACCTGTTGATAAAATCATTAAAATTTCCTTAGTCACAAACTGTCATAAAAGTTTCTTGGAGAAATAGGATGGAGGGATATAGAAGAGAATATAAAAGAAAATTGGAGAAGACCCCCAATATGCCTATTTGACTAATAGTAAATAGTGACCTCCTAGGAAAATACAAATACATTTTTAAATATTGGCATTGTTAACTAGGAACGAGTAAATTCAGATTAAAGTAAGTCATTGTCCTTTATAATGTTGATTTTCATTCGGATGACCTAAATTATGACCATGGAATTCAACTCTAATTGCCATTTTAATAAAGGCAGAAAAAAATAGCAATATTTGAGTTATGTAAGGATAAAAAAATCCACTGACTTATATTTTTGCACAAGAGGCTGGTCTGAATATGATTGTTCACATTAAGAGTGTTTATTCTTCGTTTCAGTTTGGGGAGTTGAACTGATAAGCACCAGGATTTTCTTACAGATTTAGGGACCCGAAGTAACTTGTTTATAGTTTAAGTTGACTTATCAGTCTTTATAGGATGATGAGGTATAAACCGTATTCCAATCTGAGTGTGAGGTGAATTCGTTTAGTGTACTAGTCTTGTTACATTTAACACTGGAAACAAGCTAGGAGTTGATCATTATCTGAGAAAACAATATATAAGCTTTGACATTGTGTGACAGTAGTTTTTAATGGTTATCTTTCTACAGTATTTTTTAATAGGCTATTTGAGGTAACCTTTTCTTCAGTTTTTAGAAATTTGGTTTATGTGGGTCATGCCAGAGAATGACAGTCTCACTTTTATTTATCATACTATTGATATTTAGGTCTGAGGTAAGTTGGGTTTCCTGTTACATGTGCCAGCATGGTTGAAATACAAATGTAAAACCTTGGGGTATGATAGGAAAATCAAGTGTGACCATATTTAGGAATATTTGAACCTATTCATTGTCGATCAATGGATGGAGTCCATCAAAATACCTACTTGCCTGAGTTCTGTCATCCTCTTGTTTCCTAAATATATTTATCTCCTGGTCTGAAAATATTAAAAATTACAGTGATGGTAGAGAGGAAAGAAGAGAGGCATGCCTCTTTTCAGATCATTTGAGATTAAGCGAAAACTTGGACATTATAAAAATTTATTTACTATGTAGCTTTATTTGACAAAAGCATCTTTCACATTATCAATCATGAATTATAAATTTGATTCTTCATGCTTACGAGCAGATATAGTACTACTGTAAAATCTAGTAGGAACAATATAGTAACCATGGAGTGAAAGACTCAATTTTTAGGTCCTTTAGGTAGCTCTTTAAGTACTTAGGTTTTTAAGTGCAAAATCATTTTTATTAACTATGTTACTGTATTAGAATGATATATAGTGAGATAAAGACAAATTTGAAGATTGAGGGATGTCAGTACGCTTTGACGTATAAGTTGACTCCTATGAAAGTGATTAGTTTGGCTTTCCCTCTGTAGCTTTCTCACCTCCACATCTCAAGGATAAATAAAGTACAACCAGGCGTTTTCCATTTTTTCCCCCAGTTCTCAGTGGAGTATATAGCACACAGTTGGTGTTTAGCAAGTGTGGAAAAAAGGATTACTTAATAACTTTATAATGAGTGTTATATTTTTCTGGTAAGAATACCAGCTATAAAAATAGAACCTTGTCATTTAGAAATCAGTATACAAAGTGCACTTGGTTCGGCCTGGCATTAGTGATGAAGACTTGCTTACTCAAATCGACTACTTTCGGTAGGAACCACTGTGGACCAGATCCTTGCGTCAGTCCACATTCATTTTAGTTGCAGTGTAGACCGCAGCACATATCTTGTGTTTCAACATCACTCTAATTTAAGCAGCCCCTAAAGCTGGAGCTATTCTCACCAAGCATCTGGAGGTATTTGTTAATTCTGACCTTTTCATAAATGAGTGATTTGTGTCTTGCTTTTGCTTAGAACTTTACTTCTGAAAATAAGAGCTATTTAATTCAACATTTCCCAAACTTCCTTGACCATAGAATTTTTTTTTCTTTCCTAGTATCACAGCTTCCTATTGAACTCTAGCATGGGAAATACTACATTAAATCATTAGCTCATAATGACCTAGAGTTTATAGCATAAATCTTACTTTTCCCTTTCTGACAACTCTTTAGCTATTTGAAAGAAGCTCTCAAGCGTCTGACTCATCTCCAAACAAAATAGCTCTAGTCTGTTCATTCCTTCCTCCAAATATCTCCCATTTTGTCAGTGTCATTCTTGAAATTCATCTGCCAAGTATATACTGTGTACTGAGTAATACATGCCAAGTCATGTGCTGTCCTCAGGGGATGGAGTAGTTTAGGTTTTCATAATGCCAATATTGGATGCATAGTCTGGCTGCTCCGTAGTGCCATAATCTGACAGATCACATCCAGGGTGAGATTTAGTGAAAGGGCTGGGAATTAACCATAAGTTCTGTTTATGAAACATCCATCCAAATATAAAAACTCAGGCAAATTGTCAATGGATTGGAGAAAACCTCAATTCATAGGTATGAGTAAGTAGGAATTCAAGGGGAATATTTGCTCTCAGGGAGTTGCCATAAAACTAGCCAAGAGAGCCATGGAGCTGAAATATGGTATTCTGTTATCAGTCACCAAGATCCCCAGATAGAATGCGGCTGAGGTCAAGCAGAGAGGGACTGGCCTCACAAATGGGTGGTTTTCTGTGGTACTGGCACATACAGCAGGTATTTCTGATCTCTAGCTGTACTTGTTTGGGACTTGATGACTTTGTCTTTTTGTGTTGCCTAGTGCATATTTTCCAAGTAAGGTACGCTGTAGAAAGCTCACATCTGTAAGGTGGGTTTTGATACTCTTGTTACTCAAAACTGTTAGTTTTTAGCTTTCTTTTACAAAGACAGTCACTCATTGACCTAGAAACTGTCTGACCCCAACGATTTTGTAAAAGCCAAGAGAAATTTGTTATCTCCTGACTACCAGTCTTTTTTCTGCATATGCCATCTCAACCATGTCTTCCTGAAGAGTTTGGTCATGCTCACTACCTGTATTTCCATGGCTCCTTTTGTCATTGTTTTGAAATTCATTATAATGTAATATGAAATGTCAACTTACCCTGATGTTTCTTGTACTGTATCGATGCTGATATTCAGTGAAGTATGACAGAGCAAGTTATTGATGACATCTGAAGGTATCACCAGGTCTTGGAGCCAACTTTAAAAAGTGAGGGAGCAATTAAGTAAAAACTAAGTAATTTTTGTTTCTTATTTATTTTTTTTTTGAGACTGAGTGTCACACTGTCGCCCAGGCTGGAGTGCAGTTGCGCAATCTTGACTCACTGCAATCTCTACCTCCCTGGTTCAAGCGATTCTCCTGCCTCAGCCTCCCTAGTAGCTGGGATTACAGGCACCCCCTACATCCAGCTAATTATTTTATTTTATTTTTAGTAGAGGCAAGTTTTCACCATGTTGGCCAGGCTGGTCTCGAACTCCTGACCTTGTAATCTGCCTGCCTCAGCCTCCCAAAGTGCTGGGATTACAGGCATGAGCCACGGCACCCGGCCAAAACTAAGTAATTTGTGGACTGGATAGTGCATGCGATATTGGAGCAAAAAAATAGAAATGCCTGATGGGTTGCGATTGTCAGTAATCCAACTCAGATATACGGTGGACATCTTTAATTCTGGGCAGAACATTTAGAACATCTCAATAAAACCAGCTCTAACTGCTAATTCTATGATAGGCATATTGTCCTAGATTTTATAGAATTCCACGATTCATCTGTTTATTCAAACATTTGTTGAGCAAATAGAGTAGTGGAAGTTCTAGGAAGAACAAGACATGGTCTGTTGATCTTAAGGGACCTTCTCTTCTTACTAGAGAAGACAAAAATAACTGTACAACATAATACTTGGAAATTGCAATGAGAAAGGCGCAAATAAAGCACTATGAGGAAATAGAGCCGAGAGACCTGTTTACTTTGAGTTACCTTTGATACCTTGCTTGGCCTCTCAGCAGCATTTGACATTTGATCACACCTTGTTTCACTCTTGAAACACTTTCTTCACTGGGCACCACACCCTTCTGGTTTTCCTCCTAACTCAGCACCTTTCTCAGTTTCCTTCGATTCTTCTCTACTTTGACTCCTAATGTTGAAATATCTCAGGGCTCAGCCTTTGGTTCCGTTTCTGCAGCTACACTCAGTATATGAGCACATCCCATGGCTTTTAACACCATCCCTGTGTTAACTCCAGTATTTACCTCTCTCCTGAGCTCCAAACTTAATACCCAACCACCTACTTGTCATCCATCTCAGATAGTAATAGTTCACCTTTTTTGAGTGGGGGTAGGGGGTCAAAGTAGAACTCTTGCTTCTCCCCCAAACCTATACCTCTCCCTTTCTATTCCATCTGAATAGATGCGACCTAGTCATTCGGTCCCAAAATGTAGGAGTCCTAATTTAATTTCCCTTCTTTTCTCACCTATACCATAGCCATCAGTGAGTCCTGATGAACCTGCCTTAAAATATACTCTGAACCTATCTACTGACCACCTTCACTGCTACCATGTAAGTCTAAGCAACCAACCATCATCTCTCACCTGGACTACTACAGTAGCCTCTTATCTGGCCTCCCTGCTTCTTTTCTGCTCCCCTTCAGTCTTCTAAGTATAATGTGTTTCTTCAAACAAATGACATCGTGGCTGTTCCTTGATCAAAACATTTCAGCATCTTTCCATTCCACCCAAAATGTATCTAAGCTCCTTACCAAGTTCTGCTTCATCCGGTCTCTGCATCTGACATCTGTCACGCTGCCTTGGCTACTTCAGTGTATCTACACTTGCCCATCTTATGCCTTGAATATGTCAAGAACATTCTCCCTCCAGGGACTCTGCACCTGATGTCATCTCTACCTGGAATTTTGTTTGCCTGACTTGCCTCCTCCATCTGTGTATCTGCTTATATGTCACCCTTTCTTATAGGCCTTTCCTGACCACCTGATCTAAAATTATACCCCAAGCCCACTTCCAGACCCACCTCACTCTTATCACTTTATATTTCTTCATCACATTATATCTCCTCTTCATAGTATATCTCACTCTGAAATTATGTATTTGTTTGTGGCTTTATAGTTAACAGTTATGGAATGTTTACAGTGTCCCACACACTGTTCTAGGTGCTTTTCGAATATTAACTCATTTAATTGCAGAGCTATATGAGATCATCACTAGTATTGTCCCCACAGGGAAACTGAGATACAGGACAAGGAACTTTCTCAGCATCATGATAGAGTTGGATTGAAGCCCAGCAGAATGGGTCCAGAGACCACACTCTTACCCACTTCCTGAATTGCCTTGCCTTATTTTTGATCTCACAACAGACAATAAGTTTGAGGGCAAGGACAACTTCTCTTTATCCCCACACTTCTGGCATATCACAGGGGGTTATTAAGTATTTATTGAATGAATACGTTTTGATAACATTCGAGTAGGTTAGGAAAAGCTTCATTGAAGAAGTGGCTTTTGAGTTAGAACTTGAGGAAAGGGTAAAATTGGAGAAAGCGGGAAGAAAAGTGTGTGATGACAAGCTAGGTGGAACCACAGGAACAAAAACTCAGAGGGATGGTTGTACAATTGGGCTGCACCTAAGTCACTTGTAGGAGACAGGGCAAGATAAAACAGGAAAGGTATATTCTGACAAGATTATGAAAAGCCTTGAGTATCAGGCCAGGGAGATGAGATTTTATTTGAGGTGCAATAAGAGCCACTGAATATTTTTAGTAGTTAGATCATGTGCTCACAGCTACCTTTTAAGATGCTGACTCTGGTGGCAGTGTGCAGGGAGGTTTAGAGTTAAGTCTGTTCTAAACCTGGGAGAACAATGACAAAGCTACTGTTACTTGCTGAGCCAGTGGTTTTCCAGCCTTTTTTCAGCAGGAAAGTGTTCTTCAGTAAAACCTTGCTCAAATATCCAGTAGGTCAAAGAGGAGCTTCTCTGGTTGAAGCGGGGTGGCTGGCCCAGAAGCTGACCTGCCAGC
The DNA here is from genome assembly GCF_000001405.40 of Homo sapiens. NCBI lineage: Eukaryota > Metazoa > Chordata > Mammalia > Primates > Hominidae > Homo > Homo sapiens. Next base: position 106,178,416 of record NC_000006.12, on the reverse strand, counting down.
ACCCTCTTGCCTGTTATGCCAGCCTTTTGGGAACCTGTTCAGGATCTCTGTGCCCCTCAGACAACAGATTGAACAGCTCTTGCCTGGCCCTGTTGATTATAATAAAGTCTGATGACCAAAAGCAATAATGTCAAGAGTGGAAAGGGACATGGAAGAGAAAATAGAGGAAGAATCAACTGAACAATATGGGAGACCTGGAAGGAAGAAGTCAGTGGTGATAAAAAATCTTATGAAATGGGAGATTAGTTACCCACAAAAGAATTTAGTTGGGAAAAACAGATGATGTGTTTAGTTTTGAACCAGGATTAAGTACTCAGACTTGAGGTGTTAAGACAGACAGGGGTTCTCAGTGTTGCCTGCCCTTCCCGATTACTTGTGGAGCTGTTATCAAAACTACACATTCTGTACTCCACCCCCTCTCTTGCAGCTGGTTGAATCAGTTTGGGCAGGCACTAGGTCTCAAGATTTGTGTAACACTTCACTAGTGATTCTTATATGCACTACTAAAATGTTGTTGGCATAGAATCATCAGTGAGCATTGTAAATGTGCAGCTGCGGCTCCTGAGATCAGGGCTGGAAATCATCACCCACCTGGAAGGGAGGGTTGGAGCCAAGAGTTTGGCATGGAATTGAATCAGTCACACTTGCCAATGGCTTTCACATCTTTCCCCCTCTCCCCATCCTCGCTGCAGATTCATTCAAGCCACTAACATCTCTTCCCTGTTACAGTGGCCTCAGAACTACAGTCCCTATGCCCCTTTAATTCCTTTCTCCTTCTGGCAGCCAGAAAGAGCATTTACAAATTCAACTTAGGTCCACTTTTTCTTTCTTTTTTTTTTTTTTAGATGGAGTCTCGCTCTTGCCAGGCTGGCGTGCAGTTGCACGATCTTGGCTCACTGCAAGCTCCGCCTCCCAGGTTCAAGCGATTCTCCTGCCTCAGCTTCACGAGTAGCTGGGACTGTAGGCAAGCACCACCACGCCCAGCTAATTTTTGTATTTTTAGTAGAAATGGGATTTCACCATGTTGATCAGGATGGTCACGATCTCTTGACCTTGTGATCCGCCCGCCTCAGCCTTCCAAAGTGCTGGGATTACAGGCGTGAGCCACCGCACCCGGCCAAGGTCCACTTTTTCTCTGCTGTTTGAAATCTTTAGATGGATTCCTTTTGCCATTAGTATGAAATCCAAAATCCTTACCATGATAAAAAGCTTTGCAAGCTCTGGATCCTCCCCACTAGATGTTTTTTTCTCCAATTCTCTTCCTCTTCTTCATGATCCAGCACACCACGCCTCTTTCAGAGTGTCAAACACAATACTGTCCCTCGTTCCAAACTCTTGCCTCTACTGTTTCCTCCCTTGAATGTCTCTCCACTTCCTTTTGCTTACTAATTTCTAATCATTTTTTCCCTCAATTCCCCTGGACTTTCCAACTGGCCAACTCCTTCCTGGTAGGGTTGCCACAACATAGCAGATAAAAATACAAGACACCCAGGTGAAGTTGAATTTCAGATAAACTAGAAGTAACTTTAGTGTAAGTATATCCTGTGCAATATTTGGTACATATTCGTACTAAAAAGAATTTGTTGTTTTTCTGAAATTCAGCTTCAACTGAGTATTCTGTATTTTCTCTGGAAACCCTACTTCCTGAACTAGATTTGGTTAGAACTAGATTTGAGCTAGATTTGAGCTAGAATGACCTAGCTCCCCTAGCTCATTCCCATTTGTATTAATTGCCCCATATCTGTGTTTTGTGGTATGCTGTAAGTTCTGTGAGGACAGGGACTTGGTCTGCTGTGTTTTCACCAATGCTTAACACAGTGCAATGGCATGTCACAAGCCTTTATTAAATGAATGAACACAATGAGAGGCTTGGAGTTCCAGTGAAAAGGACAGGGCTGAAGATTCTGTCTGGGAAGTTTTCTGCCTGGAGGTGACCTTTGAAGTGGGAGGGGTGGCACATAATAAAAGTATAGAGTAGAAAGAGAAGAGGAGCCCTTGGACTGACCTGAGGGGACTACCTATGCTTGGGGGACAGAAAGAGGAAGAAGGGCAGATCTTTGAGACAATCATGCTAAAGAAAGAATTCACAAACTACAAGAGGATCCAGGGAAATAGTAGACCAGGTCTTTGGATTTGGCAGTTTGGGACCTTCGAGAGAACTGTTCTGAGTCTGATAGCTGTCAGGTTGCTGATGACTCTTAAGAAATTTAGTAATGGGACAAAAAAAAGATAAGACTGTAGCCCAGCTGTTAACATGGTGGAGAGAAGGGAGACCTGCCTCATTGTATTGGTGAAAGGGAAGGGATCAGTGGACAGAGAGGGTGATTGTCCTGGGGAAAGGGTCATGGACAGTCTGGGAAGAAGTAGAGAAGATAGATTAAGAAAAGAGGCCGAGGCAGGTGGATCACTTGAGGTCAAGAGTTCGAGACCAGCCTGGCCAACATGGCAAAACCCTGTCTCTACTAAAAATACAAAAGTTAGCTGGGTGTGGTGGCAGGCGCCTGTAATCCTAGCAACTTGGGAGGCTGAGGCAGGAGAATCACTTGAACCTGGGAGACAGAGGTTGTAGTAAGCCAAGATCACGCCACTCCACTCCAGCCTGGGCGATAAGAGTGAAACTCCATCTCAAAAAACAAAAAGAAAGAAAAAAAAGAGGAAGAATGTTTCACAAGTAAGAAGGAGGATGTAAACGATTATTACAGTCATTCTTGATAAGTTGGTGTCCAAAAAATCACACCGTTCTTATTACTAAAGATTATATACAAGGTTCACTAAGAATATAACCTGAATTTGAACATAGTAAAGGTTTCTTAGCCCGGAGATTCTCGAACTTTTTTTTGAGAGAGAGTCTTGCTCTGTCGCCAGGCTGGAGTGCAGTGGCGTGATCTCAGCTCACTGCAGTCATCCATGATCTCAGCTCTCAGCTCACTGCAATCTCCGCCTCCCAGGTTCAAGCAATTCTCCTGCCTCAGCCTCCTGAGTAGCTGGGATTAACAGGCATGTGTCACCACACCCAGCTAATTTTTTTTGTATTTTTAGTAGAGACAGGGCTTCACCATGTTGGCCAGGCTGGTCTCGATCTCCTGACCTCGTGATCCACCCGCCTCCGCCTCCGAAAGTGCTGGGATTACAGGTGTGAGCCACCGCGCCCAGCCTGAGATTCTCAAGCCTTAACAGACATTGGAATTAGCACTTGCAAGATTTTGATTAATTAGGTGGGTCAGGGCCTAAAATCATTTCCTACAAACACCCAAGCTGCGGGTCTTAGATTTTTTTCATTCTTACATCCATTAAACTTTTTTTTTCCCCTCCTTTTTAAATTGGCAACTGAATATAAATGTTTTACATTTGGCTTAACCTTGTAGTGAAATCCGTAAGAAAAATTGAACATCTTTTCTCCTGAAGTTAGATGAAATGTGATCAAAATACATCTCACAAATGCATTCTAGTTTTAAATAACAAAACACTTATGTGAGCCAGGTGCAGTGGTGCATGCCAGCAGTCCCAGATACTCTGGGGGCCGAGGTGGGAGGATCCCTTAAGCCCAGGAGTTCGAGGTGAGCCTGGGCAACATAGCAAGACCCTGTCTCTAAAAAGTTAAAATTAAAAATGCTTAATGTTTATCTCAAGCATTCATTCCCTCAATACTAAGCAAGAAGGAGTTTTCTTTGGCATTTGAAACTGTATTGTTTTTGGAATGTGAGAAAATAGAAAATTGCTTAAATGCATAATATGATATTGATGAAATACTTATCTGTAGTTAATTACTAATCATTTATTTGAGAGATCTATTTTTGTTGATAATTACTTATTTGAGAGATCTATGTTGATTCAAAAGGAATTTTAAAAAGAAATATTTTCTTAAAATATTTTGTGGGTGTTAGTATGATTCATTACTAATGGTTTAGAGATGATTTTAAAATATTTACATTAAACAAAGTAATGCTTAACAGAAAAGCACCATATAGTCACGTGTCAGTTAATGAGGATACGTTCTGAGAAATGCATCATGAGGCGATTTCGTCGTGTGAGCATCATAGAATGAACATACACAAACATAGATGGTATAGCCTACTACACACCTGAGATACCTGGTCTAGCCCATGGCTCCTAGGCTACAAACCTGTGCAGCATGTTACTGTACTGAATATTGTAGGCAATGGTAACACAGTGGTAAGTATTTTTGTATCTAAACATAGAAAGGTACAGTAAAAATATAGTAGTATAATCTTATGGGATCACTGTCATGCATGCAGTTTGTCATTGACCCAAGTGTTATTATGTAGCCCATGACTGTGTTATGCAAGTGTGCTATTTACAGCGTAACTGTAGGATTTATCTCTTTAATGAATTCCTAGTTTAGAATTTATTAATCATGATTTCAGTCGTAGTGCATTTCTGGCACTTCATCTAAAACCTCATTCGAAGACGATATTAAAATGAGCTCTTCACAGGCTCATTGGCCTACCTATCAAACCATGTGCTAGATCTCACAGAAAGCAAAAGGCTCAAAGAGAATTCAAGCATAAATCAAAAGAAAGAGTTTCCTGTAACCTGTAGCCAAAATTCAAAGTTTTCTTCCTTTGGAATCATTCTTTTTAATTTATGTTTTAGTTTCAAATAGGTAGTACATGTGCAAAATTCAAAAGTGAAAGTCTCTCTCTCTCTCTCTCTCTCCCTCCCTCCATCCTGTCCCTTCTTCTCAGAACTCCCTTGTGTTAACCAGTTTCTTGTATATTTTTCAGAGAGCTGCTAGGCATTGTGACATGTGTTTATGCATGTGCGCATGTGCACAGACAGGATAGTTACATACTATACTCACTGTTCTAGAAATTCTTTTTTTCACTTTGTATATTTTAGATATTATTTCATATTGGTGCACATAATTTACCCTGTTATTGTTGATAGCTGCATAACTGGGCATGGTTCTTCAAAATTTTTCCAACATTTGAATATTTTTTATAAAGTTATATGTAAGTGAATATGTTTAGCATTTAGGACCATTAAGGAGGAATGTCTGGATGCCTGCAGGGCAATTCAGCGTCCCTCTAAACTGTCTCCTTACATTTCCAGAGACCATCTGGAAAGCTTTGAAGCCTCTGCTAACTCCATCCCATGGTGCTGAGTCCCTGCTGGTTTTCACAGAACACTAGAACACAGCTGGGAGAAGATGCCAGTCACTTCTGCTTGTCAGCAGACCTACCCATTAACACCATCAAGAAGTGCTTCAGGGAACTAAGTTTATGTCCTAGGACTTTCATACCTGTGGTTGAACATTAGGGCCATTCAAAAGCAGTGCTAACATTTGCATGCTTTCTAATGATGCAAACATAATTACTGTGTACAAAAATGCAAATCCAGCAGGCATCTGAGAGACCTAACATAAAAAAATTGGCTCTGAGGTTCAAGTGGGGCTTCCAGTAGGCACTCCTTATCCATTTCTCCAGTCACTCATCTAGTCAACACATATTTTTAAACATTTACTATGTTCCAGGTACAGTTCTAGGTACTAGTGATATGATGATTAAAGATAGACAAGGTTCCTGCCTTCGTGGAGCTTACATTCAGTGGGGAATATCAGACTCCACCTTACAAAACCAACTAGTCTGTCTCTTTCTCATTCTTGTCATCACTTTCTCTCATACTCCTTTCTCTCTCTCTCTCTGTCTCTCTGCTCGCCCTCTGCCCCCGCAACCTGTAAAGCCCTGTGCTTTGCTCATGATTTTCACCACCCAAGATGTCTTTCCTTGTCTAAATTCATCTATGCATCTTCCAAGTGTTTTTAAGTATCTTTGTGCCCAGCAGGATTTGTAGTGCTTTGTGGGTGCTCCATAAAACCAACTGAATGAAGGTCCTGCTCTTGTTAATAAGGCTCAACTTTTTTTAAGTGAACTTTTTTTTTTTTTTTTGAGACAGGGTCTCACTTTGTCACCCAGGCTGGAGTGCAGTGGCGCAAACACAGCTCATTGCAGCCTCAACCTCCTGGGCTCAGGCGAACCTCGCACCTCAGCCTCCTGAATAGCTGAGACTGCAGGTGTGCACCAACATGCCTGGCTAATTGTTTTCCATTTTTCGTAGAGATGGGGTCTTGCCATGTTGCTCAGGCTGGTCTCAAACTCCTGGGCTAAAGCGATCCTCCCACTTCGTTCACCTGTAGTGCTGGGATTACAGGCACGAGACATTGCACCTCATCAAACTTTTAATTTTAGAACAGTTTTATATTTACAGAAAAGTTTCAAAGATAGTAAGAGAGTTCACACATACCTCTTACCCAGCTCTCCCTTTTGCTAGGATCTAACGTTAGTACATTTGTCACAGTTAATGCACTAGTACTGATACATTATTAATAACTAAAGTCCATATTTTATTCTGATTTCCTTAGTTTCTTCACTAATTTCCTTTTTCTGTCCAGAGTTCCATCTAGGACACCACATTGTGTGTAGTTGTCATGTCTTCTTAATCTCTGTCTTCTTTGACGGGTTCTAGTTATTTTTAATGAAGCTTTGACAGATGTGAGGAGTACTCGTCAGGTATTTTGTAGAATGTCCCTCTATTTGAGTTTGATGCTTGTTTCATGTCACACTGGGTTTATGGGTTATTGAGAGGAAGACCACAGAGGTGAAATGCCCTGCTCATCACATCACATTGTCAGGACATGGTATCACATGAACATCACTAGGGAAGTCCACCTTGAACGCCTGGCCAAGGTACTGTTTGCCAGGTTCCCCCACTGTTTCCCTACTCCATTGTTCAGAAGGAAATCGCTAAGTGCAGTACTTCCTCCCCTCAAGAGGGTAGGGTGGGATGGGGAGAATAAGCTATATCTCCTTGAGGGTAGTAAAGGTTGTGTATCCCTTATCCAAAATGCTTAGGACTAGAAGTGCTTCAGATTTCAGATTTGTTTGGATTTTGGAATATTTGCACATACATGATGAGATATATTGGGGCTGGGACCCAAGTCTAAACCCAAAATTCATTTGTGTTTTGTGTACATCTTATACACATTCCCTGACAGTAATTTTATACAGTATTTTACATAATTTTGTGAATGAAACAAAGTTTCGAGTGCATTTGACTGCGACTTGTCACATGAGGTCAGGTGTGGAATTTTCCATTTGTGATATCACTCAAAAAGTTTCAGATTTGGCAGCATTTTGGATTTTGGGTTTTCAGATTAGGGATGCACAACCTGTATCTGCATTAATTATTTGAAATTCTTCTGTAAAGAAGATTTATCTCTTCCATTATTTAGCAAACCATTTGTTTCTATCAATATGAACTTTCATGAATAATGTTTGGGGTTATAATCTGATTGTAGGTTGGTTATTTGTTGCTCAGATTGTTCTGGCTTTGGCCATTGGGAGCTTTCAGCTTGGCTCCTGTGCCTTTCACATGCCCCCTTCCTTTTGTTTTCTGAGCACTTCCTTACTTTCTAGCACTACTTGTATATTTCTTGCTCCAGCCTTAGAATTGGCCATTTCTCCAAGAGACTGATTCTTTTTACTGGGGAGTCTTATTTTTAAATCCAGGCCTCAGCATCACATACCCACTCACTAACTCAGTCAGTCAATGAATATTTGTATCCTACTCTGATGCTAATTATTGAACCCATGCTGGATATACAATGGGGAACAAAGCAGATAAAGTCCCTGCCTTCAAAAGCCAACCATGTAAGGTAGACAAAGAGCAAATCTCAACAATGAAATATTTCATTACAACTCTAATACATTCCCTAAAGAGAAGGGACAAGGGGCTGAGAATAAAAATAACCCCAGTCAGGCGCCTGGTTTAGATCAGGTGGTTGGAGAAAGCCCCTGTAAGTGGCTGACATTTAGGTAGAAAGCTGAAAGATGAGAAAGAACCAGCCTTTTAAAGAACAGAGGAAGGAGTGTTTCCAAATTGCAGTCAGTGGGTCATGACTACCTTTTCTAAAAAAAAGGAATAGAAAATATCAGAAGTATTATAAAACACTTTTTCCTTTTATGTATAGGTATGTGTTGATGTATTTACTGGTTCATTATATAAAATATATTTCTTAATGGGAATTATGGCCCCCAAAAGTTTGAAATCTACTGTTTTAGGCAGAAATAAAAGCAGATTGAAAGCTCTGAAAAGAAAATAACCTTGCACATGCTTAAGGATCTGAAAGGAGGCGCTTGTGAGGTATGAACATGGGATGTGAAAAGAGGCCAAAGACGCAGGAGGCACGCAGCTGCCCAGCAGGGCTAGGAGGATGCAGAGTATTTCGCTTAAGGAGTGATGGGAAGCCATTTAACAAGGAAGTGGTGATGGTTTGAAAAGACCCTTTAGGCTACAAAGTGGAGAATAGGGGGAGACAGGAAAAGAGGAAGCAGGGGGCATTCAGTAGGAAGGCACTTATGTTGGTCCAAGCAAGAAGAGTCCCTAGAATGTGCAGCTCACATCCCATTGTCAATCTGGTTCTCCCAGCCACTGGAACAATGTGGGGAACACTGTAGACCTTCAACATACACATTGATGGAGTGAATAAGTTACACGATTCTAGTAAACATATAGATAGATGAGTTAAGACACATTTGGAAAATGGCCTCGCTGATAGATTGAATATGGGGGAAATGGAGAGGGAAACAGGGACCCCCTTTACACATCTAGCCCCACCATATTTATTTATGTTTTCTTTCTCACATCAGACTACAGAGGGTAGTAACAGGGCTCTTTCAACTCTTTAGGCTGTGTTTCCACCTCGGTGCTTAGTCATATTGGCCAGAAGTGGAAATAACAGAATTTTCCTAGAGAAACTGAGATTGAGTAGAATCGCAAAAACCAGTTTTTATTACAGATTCTCAATTCTATATGACTTTATAATCTTTGATGCCAAATCTCTGAACCTTTGGGAGAATCGGCCAACAGCAAATAGAGATCTTCAGAATGGTCCCAACACTTTTGGGATTCAGCATTCTGATAGAGAGCTGGTGAGGTAATCGTGTATGTAGCTAATGTGTTCCAAAGAACTTTCTCCCACCTGGTTTTACATTCTATTAAATATATATTGTGTGAGGCTGGGCACAGTGGCGCACACCTGTAATCTCAACACTTTGGGAGGCCAAGGCAGACATTGCTTGCCTGGAGTTTGAGACCAGCCTGGGCAACATGGTGAGACCCTGTCTCTGCTACAAAATACAAAAATTAGCTGGGCATAGTGGTGCAGGCCTGTAGTCCTAGCTACTTGGGAAGCTGAGGGGGAAGGATCACTGGAGCCCGGGAGGTCGAGGCTGTAGTGAGCTGTGATTGTGCCATTGCACTCTAGCCTGGGTGGCAGAGGGAGACCCTGTCTCAAAAACAAACAAAAATATATTGTGGCCAAACCCTTTCTTGGCACTGCTTTTCTCGTCAGGCTGATGCTGGCATCTGTAGCTGGCTGCCCGTGCTCCTGCTTGTTTCCTCAGCAGAGTGCAGCTGTCACTTGTCACTGGTGGAACCCGGAGGAGAAATGACCTAGACTGAGCTATACCAGAGCAGAAAACCGAAGAAGCCAGACCTCAGGAATAGAAAAACGAGGGTCCTGTCTGGAAAGTCAGGTGGGCATCAGAGATGGCTGTGCTCCAGAAATGCTGATGAATTTTGGAGGATTAGTCATTTTTGTCAAATGGGTTTTATGCTATTGATTGAGAAACCAAAGCAACAATCAGATGTTACTGGGAGCGGCACCAACAGTGTTCATACTGGTTAAGGATTTCCACGCGACAGAAAATCAAACGCAAGCCAGCTTAAGCCAACCAAGGGATTGCATTGGCTCACAGCCTGAAAACTCCACAGCTTGATCTGGAATTTACACCCTCTTCATGATCCCAGCGCCAGGTCTGTTTTGTTCATAAGGGCTGCCTCTTCTGTGTGCTGGCTTCTTGCTCAGGCTGGCACTTCTCTTGGTGGGACAAATGGCTGAGGGATTTTGGGCTTTCTGTGTTCTCCAATACATCAGCCAGGAAAAGAGGGATTGTCTCCCCTGTGTTACAACAGAGGACTGAGGAAGCTTTTTCCCAGAAGCGCAAGTGAACGTTTCCTCAAACCTCATTGGCCTGAATCAGCCCATATGCCCACCCCTGAGCCAATCACCCGGCCAGATGATGGGTGCTCTGATTGACCGAAGCGCAGGAGGACCCACCCCTAGGAGCTGGCTGTATCCACCTGCCAGAGAAGGGGGAGGCAGTGCGGAGGAGAGGGTTGCCTCCAGGTAATATCTGGGTGCTGTGGCAGGAGAAGGGGCAGTGGATGTGGCGGGAGGCAACTTACGAATGTTTGCTACCTCAACATCATTATTATTGTGATGCAGGCCAAATTCGAGGTGGTGCAGATACAGATAAGAACACTTTTGTTCAGAAGCCCAGCTCTGCCTGCTTCTAGCTAAGTTACTTAGTTAGGTCTTTAAGTCTCAGTTTCTTCATCTGAAAAAACGTGGATGATAATACCTCAGGGAAGGCCAAATTCATATATTAGAGGATACGTCATATGTATCAAAATATATAAGGTTACGTATTTGAAAAAAATAATAATTGAATATGAGGTACTTTTCTTAAAGTGCCAAATACAGTCAGCATTGTCGAAGCCAAGATTGAGCCCCCGTTTCCACTTTAGCAGGGCAGCAGATGGAAAGAAGATGTCCCCAGCCACCATGAGTGTTGGGCAAGTCAGGGCCCATCCCATGTCTTCATGACAAGATAGTTTCACTGGTTCAGAACCAACTTAAGCAGCAGGTGTTCAGGGCTAGGGTGTTGAAGTTTCAGCTTTGATTTTTCTATGAAATTGTTCGGGTTATTAAAATATTGGCCCTATTCTCTCGCTTAAGAACTGGTTTCATTTCTAATGACACAGCACCATCATGCCATTCCTTGATTTAGTCACGAGAACCAAAACTAATGTGTGGCTAGTTTCATGTCGTTTTTATAGCAGTTAGTACAGAGAACAACAGGCTCTTGTGAAAACAGATGTATTCGCTATCTATTTCTCTATCTGCTGCCTCCCAGATTCAAAACCCCATTTCTGAGGTGGCTTGGTCCTCCGGTTTGGCCCTTGTGGAAGAGGCTCTTGTAAGGACAAGAGCCTAGCTATTATTCTCAGTGGGGAACCATTTTATAAGAAAGAAGTGTGCCATCCCCCAAACCTTGAAAGAATTGCAAGAGGGTGTCAGAAAGAGACCTTTCTTCTTTTGAGAGAGGATTCCTTTGGCATTATTGTCTATTGTGAGCACACAGGAGGGTTCTTTAGTTGATGAGCCTCTGTAAACTTCTTAAAGGCCTTGTGGTATTGCATGAGAATGTGAGCATCTATTTAGTATTTCTGGAAAAAGCATTGCCTTATAATAATGCTAACACTCTCATAATGACAACACAGTCAGTCTCTTCACAAAGGTTTAATCATCAGCAATGTCTCTTATATAGGCAGGTTAGAGGACAGATGTTTACAGCTAAAGAAAGAGACATTAAATTTTTCATGACTTCAGAGAGAGTTGTAGAGTTTAATGTTAGAGTCCTGGGCTAATTTCTGGGTAATTGTTTGATCTCTCTCTGCTTGGATTTCTTTCTGTATAAAAGGCAAATAATAATGAGAATAATAATAATAATAATAGACCAGCCATGGCGGCTTACAACTGTAATCCCAGCACTTTGGGAGGCCAAGGCAGGAGGATCGCTTGAGTCCAGGAGTTCAAGACCAGCCTGGATAACATAGTGAGACCACCATCTCTACAAAAAATTAAAAAATCAGCTGGGCATGGTGGCATGCAACTTTATTTGGGAGGCTGAGGTAGGAGGTTTGCTTAAGTCAGGGAGGTTGAGGTTGCAATGAGCTATGCTTGCTCCACTATACTCCAGTCTGGGCAGCAGAGTGAGACTGTGTCTCGAAATAATAATAATAATACTTCAGGGAGTGGTAGTGAAGATTATATAAACTAATATATGTAAAGTGCTTAGAACATCACCTGGCACACAGTTTGCACTCAAATGTTAGTTGTTGTAATCATCATCTTCACTATCAATTTTTCCTCTTTATTTTCTTTTTAGAGATAGTGGATAGTGGGAATAGGTGGGAACGAGCAATCCTCCCACCTCAGCCTCCAGAATAGCTAGGACTACAGGCACATGCCGCCATGCCTGGCTGATTTTTTACTTTTATTTTTAGAGATGGAGTCTCACCATGTTAACCAGGCTAGTCTTGAACTTCTGACCTCAAGAGATTGTCCCACCTCAGCCTCCCAAAGTGCTGGGGTTACAGGCGTGAGCCACAATGCCCAGCCCCCCTATTCATTTTTCTCAATTGAAAGTTGAATGCCCTTGCCTCTTTGACACACACATATACAACCACTCTCCTCTTGCATCTGGCCTCCTGCCAATCTAGGTTACTCACCTGATCTTTGCTCTTCAGTGGTCTTCCAACATCTGTCTCTGTCCAAACCAGCAGCCTCAGGAAAGCCTTGCTTCCATGCTAGCAAACTGGCCTCCTCTAGGGCCATCTAACCAGTCTTTCCTTGTTGCCTTTTATATACTAAATATGATTCCTAGGGGGTAAATTTTTTTTAAGGTGTTAAATACCATGTCTAGGCAGATTCAGCTCACCCAGAAGACTAGAATTGGCAGCTATGCCTCCTGCTCTCTGCTTTGATTCAGAACCTGTGCTATGCTATTGTCAAGCCTGGGTATTGTACCTTCTTGGTCCATTTTTGAATTTTTCATCCATTTTGACCAACACTGTTTAATTCCTGCTTTTTTTTTTTTTTTTTTTTTTGAGACGGAGTTTCATGCTTGTGGCCCAAGGTGGAGTGCAATGGTACGATCTCAACTCACTGCAACCTCCACCTCCCAGGTTCAAGCGATTCTCCCGCTTCAGCCTCCCAAGTAGCTGGGATTACAGATGGCCACCACCATGCCTGGCTAATTTTTGTATTTTTTTGTAGGGACTGGGTTTCACCATGTTGGCCAGGCTGGTCTGGAACTCCTGACCTCAGGTGATACACCTGCCTTGGCCTCCCAAAGTGCTGGGATTATAGGTGTCAGCCACCGCGTCTGACCAATTCCTGCATTTTTTAAAATGACAAATGACATGGTCAAGAAAGCCTTTCTGCATTTCCTTTCTTTGGTCTTCATTTATTCATTCAACCAGTATTCTGTTACTGTGTCCTCTGAACAGTCTCAATAAAATTGTTGCTGCTTGGTGCTTTGTGTATGTGCACCTGTTCCCTCTCCTAGGTTATGAGAACAAAAGCCAAAGATCCTATTTTAAAATTTTTATTTATTTTCTTAATTTTTTGCATCACCCACAAGACCACAGGCAAAGCCTGCTTGGGAATGAACTCGTGAAGAGCTGTGAAGCACAGATGGGTCTCTCTGGTCTTTTCCCTCTACTTCCATCCCCCTTTCTATTCTTCTAAGAGTCTCACAGACCCTTTCCATCTGAATTTAGTTAGGCCTCCAGCAAGCAGAGACACAGATTTCACAGTCAGGTGCTGCTCCATGCTGTACTGGGGTGATGCCCCAAAGGTGTTCTTGGCCCCGGCCTTCAACACCCTGTGTTGATGTACTTGGTGGCAGATTCCCTGCCATCTCCCCAAATGATCGTGTCTTCTCTTCACATCTCATTATGTTTTCCTTGGCCTGATTCCTTTCCTCCTACCCAGTCTGATTCGTCTGCCTTTTCCTGACTCCCTTCCAGGCCACCCCTTCCCCTGGCCTCTCTTCGTACCTTGGCCGTTAGTCTTGCTTGATGCCTCTGTATGCCTCACTTTGGTTTCTGTTCCCCCTTATTCTTTTTCTTTCACTTTCCCCCACCCACCCGTCGTTTTTAACAGTGTCATCATGACTTACAGTGTGGGAACATGATGCTTGCTGTCTCCCACATTACATAGCCGCCCCTGGATTTCATGTGACCAACATTCCTTCCCCTAACCCCTTGGGCAGGATAGAAACTCCCCCACTGCCAGAAGCCGGGGCCTAGCCCTCATCGCGAGTCCCGCTTCCTGCCCACCTCAGGAAGCAAGGGCAGGGCAGAAGATGGAGGCCAGGGCCACAGAGTTCACCCCAGACCTCGTGTCAGATTCTGTGGGGCAGTGTGAGCTGGGTGTGACTCAAGGCACCACTCACAGCAGCTTTACTCTGTGAAAGCACGAAACAGGGAGGGTCCTCATAAAGGAATGGCAGGGGCTGTGGGGAAGAGGTGGGGTAGCACATATGACTGAGGCCAGGGAGGTTTCTAGTGCTGACATGACTTGGCCTCCTCATCCACAAAACTCACTTGAAACACCAGAGCTTGATGAATAACAGCGTCCCAGTCATAAGCAGAAAGAGCTCTTCCCTTTTTCTTCCGTCAGCCCTCACACATACCGCTTGTGCAATCTGTTCTTATGTGAAGGTTTGCAAAATCGTCCAAGTGGAGGATGGGTCTGGGATTTCTTGGACACATATCCATCCTGGAGGGCCAGACATCAGCCAGGGCAGCTGGAACAACCTGGACTGTCACAGTAGGAGGGGACGGGGGGTGTCAAGGCTGCTGGGAATGGGGCCTTCTAGCACTCGGTTTCAGAGAGCAATAAATGGAGTTCTTATTTCAAACGTGCAAACCGGATTTGGTCAAATACTCTCCCTGTGAGGCAGCTGCCCTTTGAGGCTGTGGACCAGAGTGGAAATAAAGCTCCTGTCTGACAAAGGATAGGTTTCCTTGACCCTTTCTGCTGACTATTCCACTTCCTGCTGGTTTGCTGCGTTGATCCTTGGGCAGCAGCCCCAGGGGTGCTTGCTGCAGCAGAGTGAAAGTGATTGCCAGCCTGAGCTCTACAGGCTGACTTTGGGCTCTGCAGGCACGTTCTTCCCCTTGCTTATTTTCCACTGCTGTTTGTGAGTCAAGCTCAAGGGCCACGCTGAACAGGCTGCTGGAGGAAAGGAGTGAGCCAGGTCTCTTGATATCTTCTAAAGTCTCAGAAAGGAAGTACAGACCTAATTCAGTGCCCTCTCCTTTTCTCTTCAAGTGCAGGTGGTTAAAGTCCCCCTGATATGGTTTGACTATGTCCCCTAAAAAGCATGTATTGGAAAATTAATCCCCATTGTAACAGAGTTCGGGGGTGGGGCCTGATGAGAGATGATCAGGCCATGAGGGCAGAGTGAATGAATTAATGCCGTTACTGCAGGAGTAGGTTGGTTATAAAAAGGGAGTTTGGCCCTCTTTTACACACACGCACTCTCTCTCTCTCCCTCTCTCGCTGTCTCGCTCTCTCACTCTCTTGCTCTCTCACTCTCTTGCTCTCTTGCCATGGGATGATGTAGCCACCAGGTGCCAGCTCCTCAGTCTTGGGCTTCCCAGCCTCCAGAACTGTGAGCCAAGACATTTCTATTAATTGTAAATCACTCAGTCTGTGGTATTCTGTTATTACAGCACAAAATGGACTAAGACATCACCCCTGGGTGCATCCCACTCATGACACAGGCAGGAAAGCAAAGATAGCTAAACTCAGGATAGGCATTTGTATTCAGAGGGTTTTTTTGTTTTTTTGGGTTTTTTTTGCATTTTTCCACATTGCCTAGTATATAGCACTGAGAATGCGTTTTAAGATTTATGGACAGTTTTGACATTTAAATAAGGTATGACCAAGGTAAAGGGAGAAAATTGTGGGAATTTTGTCAAATAGGACCAAGGAATGCAATTTTTTTTCAAACACTATTTTTAAAGGACTCTTTTTGTAGAACCTTAGCTTTATTTGGTATCAGCCAAGTGTACCAATCTCCTGTTTCTGATTTGAGAACAAAATGTGTACTGTTACCCGTACCAAGTATCTCAGATACCTTTTCCAACCAATTTTGAAAGTTCACAGAACTGGTCTTCCTGAGTCCTTTGGCCTTAGATGTGTAGATACACAGATGATCCATTGGTGTGCAAGAAGAAAATATCTTAACTTCTATTTCTATCTGTGTTTCAATCTAAACAACAAATAAATTAAGCTTTACTGTTACTAATAAATATGATTAATGCTACATGTATTCACAAGTGTACACATATAAAATTTATAGATAAATATAAATATGATGGGGATGCAGGCCCAATTTTAAAAATTAGATTGTATGATCAAAAATTGGTGGAGGCCAGACATGGTGGCTCATGCCTGTAATCCCAGCACTTTCAGAGGCTGAGGCAGGAGGATCACTTGAGCCCAGGAGTTTGAGACCAGGCTGAGCAACAGAGCAAGACCCCATCTCTACAAAATAAAAAATTAACTGAGCATGGTGGCACATGCCTGTAGTCCCAGCTATATAGGAGGCTGAGGTGGGAGGATCTCTTGAGCCCAGGAAATTGAGGCTGCAGTGAGCCGGGCTCGTGCCATTGTGCTCCAGCCTGGGCAATGGAGCAAGACCCTGTCTCAAAAAAAAAAAAAAGTTTGCTAGGACTTCTGCTGCTGGCCAATATGGAGTCATGGAGACCAAATTTACCTTCCTGCCTGAAACAACCCCTACACACACACACACACACACACACACAAAACAGACAAAATATATGAAACAACAGTTTCCAAGACACTGGACATCAGGCAATGAAGAGAAGTGATCCCTAGAATCAGGAAACAATGAGGTGGCCCTTCAACTGTCACAGCTTACTCCACTGAGTTCACACTGTTTAGTAAAGTTATATATGTCTTTTTTTCTTAATTTGAATTTTTACTTTCCTCCTCCTTGAGGACAGTAGCCACATCTCGTTCACGGTGTATCCTCAGGACTTAGCACAGGAGTTGCTGAATAAGCATTTGTTGAATGAATAACTGAAGCTCTACAGGGAAGCCTCAGAATGGTAGGATCATAGATGAACGGATGTTGGAGCCCAAAAGCACCTTAGAGATCATCTAGCCCAGTTTCCTCATTATACTGATGAGGAAATTGAGGTCCCAAGCAGTGCTATGACTGCCCCAAAGTCTCATGGCCCCTTAGTGGTGGAGTTTGTGGGAGTATTCCTCCCTAAAAAGCAACCCTGGAATTAAGCAAGTTGGTAAATTGCTGCAGCTCACAAAGCAGGGGCATCATAGAATTCTAGAGGCTAAGATGGTGTGTTTAGGGACAAAAATATAGGAACCAAGAATTACTGTGGGCAAAGCCATCCAGGGTTGAAGATACAGCCAGACTCTGCTCAATTCTAGAAAGATGCTGAAAGAGCCTTCCAGGTTGAGCAGAGAGACCACAGGAAGAGCATTTTGAACGTGTGCCCTGGTGGACCCAGAGACTTCTGCAGAATGCAGGAGTCCTGGGGCTCTGGATGAAGACAAGCCTGTCCACCTGGAAACCCAGAAGACTCTCAGCCTGTTCCAGGCCACCCTGAGAGTGATCACAGGGCTCCAAGGCCCATCCTCAGCCCATCACCATGCCCCAGAATAGCTCCGCAGGCCCTATCTCTGTCCTGGCAGTGGGGGCAAGGTGGACCCACTAAGAGCAGCCCCGCATTGCACTTTACCCTGCTGCCCAACTGCGTGGCCTGACTGTGTTCCAGGACCCCACATGGAGAAGATCCAGTCCCTAGACGATGCTTGTCCATTAGTGGAGCACCTTCAGGCCACAAGACATGTCCTGGCACAGAAGGACCTTCCTGCTCAGGATGCAAGGAGCTCCTGATACTGTGTCCTCATGAGGTTGGAACAAAAGCCTAAGGGTTGGTTTTGACTCCTCTCTGAGGTTTGGTACATCGTAAGGCAGCCCCAGCTACATCAATTCTCTGCCAGGGTTTGTCCTGGCTTCTGCTGGGACCTAGAAGCTGGCATCAAACCCCTTTCCTTTGAGCTTCTTCTCAGTTCAAATCACTGCTCACTTCTTAAAGTCCTTGATAAAGCAGCCCACCTCTTTCTAAGCACCTTGTTGGGATCTGGAAAGTTCTAGGATATGTCAACAACGGCCCAATATTGTCTTGAGAGTTTTTAGACTTGATCTAGGCCCAGAGAGGAAATGGACTTACACCTGCCTACAGATTCCTACAACCATCACCCAAAGTACATCTGTGGGATCTACGGAATGTGAGCGAATGCTTGGCTCTTGTTTCAAAGCTTTATAGTAGGCTCACCATTTGGTAAGTTTTCAACAGTGACACCTGGGCTTTGCCTAACAAAATGAATGATGGAGTGAAAGTGAAGGGTGAGTTACATGTGACTTGGGGAAACTTCTTCACTTGGAATCCCCAAGAAAATTCCTTCAAGGAAGGAATCTAGCAGGAGGTTATGTATCACAAAGTGGTCTCCTAAACAAGAATTGCTGTTTGACTTACACACAGTTTGGATGTGACTCTCCTGAGGCCCAGGGTCCAGCTAGGGAAGGGGTCTCCGAACCAGCCTGACCCAGGGCTGGGCCGCAACAGGCTACACTGCACCTGTGTTGTGTTCTTCCCCAGCAGCGAATGGTTAGTTCAGGTTACAGGTGGAGCCACAGTGCAGAGCCCACGAAAAGGCAGAGGCATATTCCTGGCAGCTAGTGACTGCAAAGTGTTCTCTATGTGCTATTTAGACTGAGCAGTGGCAGAATTATTGTTAGTCTCCATTTTATAGATGAGGAAACAAAGGCAGTGAGAGGCCAAGTAAGGTGCCTGTAGTCACAGGGTGAGTCAGCAGCTAACTTTGTGGCCCATGGGCCAGCACTTGGCACTGCCTTGGGCTCTGTGGTCTCTTGGAAAATGTTTCCTCCTTTATTCATAGCCAAGAGTTCTTTGCTAGACATTCTTCTGGGAAATCTCACCCTCATGGTAGCCCAGCAGCCAAAGCCCCTGCCTTCCTTAGTCTCCCTCCACGACAGCTGGCAGACTTCCTGCAGGCCACGCAGCTCTCCTCGGCCTCCCATAGACTTGTCTCAGCAGGACCCTCCACTCGCTCCAGCACATCCACTGAGGTGATCCCCTCTGCCGTGGGCCTCGGCCATACCAGCACCTTCCCCACACTGCAGATCAGAATCACAGCCCTGACTCGGGGCTCCCAGATGAGTTTCCTTCCCTGCTGCTTTGCTACCCATGCCAGTCTCTGGTTCCTTCAGCGTCAGCACTCCCACCCACTCCCTGCACATCTCATCCACTCCCTGAGCCCCCTTCCTCATCTCCATTTTTTAACCGGGAAAACCCACCCCTCCACACCATCAAGTTACTTTCAGAAATTCCAGGACCCTCCCAACTTTCCAAGAACTCCTAAGCTTTCCCTTCTCTTGGACATCTTTCTAGACTCATTAAAGAAACACAGTGGCCTCCCCAGCTACCATTGTCCAAAAGTGGATTTGTCCTCAGCTCACCAGTGCCTCACATTTATATTTAAGGTGATGTGGTGGGCAGGATTCTAAGATGCACCCAGGATTTCCTGCATCCTCCTTTGTGTATACACCCTGAGAATACCATGGATTTTATTCCCATGATTAGCTGCTATTTTATGACATAGGTGACCTTAAGAAAGAAAAAATGATCCCAGTGGGCCTGATTCCATGATACGGAGGACTTCAGTCTTATGACCACAGAGAGCAGAATTCTATCAACAGGAAAAAGCTACAAGTGGATTATTTCCTCATCACCTCCAGAGAAAAACTCAGGCCAACACCTAGATTTCAACCTTGTGATGCCCTAAGCAGAGGACCCAGCCACACCGTTCCAGACTTCTGACTTAGAGAACTGTGTACTAATAAGTGGGTATTGTATGAAGCCACTAAATTGCTGGTAATTTGCAATATAGCAGAAAATAAACATAGGTGAGTATTTAATGTGTTGAAGTTTTGGGTTTTTCCATGTCGATTCTGGTACCAGGTCTCAGATAAGGGGCTGCAGCTATGCCAGTGTGGACTGCTAAACTGCAGACTCCTAGCAGGAGGAGCACTGGTTGCCTGGTTCACCCTGAATATAATTTAGCAGCAAGCAAAGATGAATGTGACCTTCCTGACCTCAGGGGCTTCTAATCAGGTAGTTAGACCAGCACGTAAAGAGTCTAATACAAAAGGCAGAGCAGAACGCTGAGTAAAAATCAAAAGAAGGTGGCTTGGCATGGTGGCTTACGCCTGTAATCCTAGCACTTTATGAGGCCAAGGCAGGCAGATTGCTTGAGCCCAGGAGTTTGAGACCAGCCTGGGCAACATAGCAAGACTCCTTCTCTACAAAAATTAAAACTTACCTCGGCATGGTGGCACACACCTGTAGTCCCAGCTACTTGGGAGCCTGAGGTGGGAGGATCACTTGAGCCTGGAAGCCAAGGCTGCAGTGAGCCGTGATAGTACCACTGCACTCCAGCCTGGTGACAAAGTGAGAACTTGTCTCGAAAAAAAAAAAAAAATCAGAAGAAAGGAAATCATATCCAACTGGTGAAATAAAAAACTTCACGGAAGAATTGGTATTTGACATATAAAGTCTGAGTAGGGTTTTACTGAGGGATGAAAGTAGGAAAATAAGAGCAAGTTAGGCAGTGTGCTGCTCGATTGCACAGGCTGTGAGACAATCGATACATAAGGGATAGTATGAGTTAGGGTGAAAACATCTTCTGGGTCCACAGTGTGAAGGCTCTTAAATCATAGTGTTATTTGGCAAGGAATGAGGGGTCCCAGAGAGTTTGGAGGCTGGGGCAGGATAGAATCAGGGTGAACTGAATGTGTAGGATGGATTAAAGGCAGGTAGAAGAAGAGGATTATTCACAGACCCTGAGAGTAGAATAGGCAAAAATTAATCAGCACCTGCACCATGGCTCTGGCAGTGGGGAGAAGAAAAGGAGGCAAATGTTGCAGTCACTGGGGAATATAGAATTTTGAGCAACAGGATAAACACAGCATCTGGCACAGGCCCATTCATTGGTCCAGCCTCCCCCCAGGCATCCCATTATTGAAGATGTGTATTGTGTCTGCTATCTCCAATAATCTGTGCCAGGTACTGTCAAAAAGGCAAAAGTCACTGCATTGGCAGAGGTGGAATGACTGTGATACATGGCTAAAAACTACAGGATCTGGAGGGAGAGACATGGCACTGAACGGCAGCTGCAGGGTCTTCAGGAAAGAATGATACTGACATTGTTTAGCTTACAGGTGGCAAATTTTAAAAAGAAAAGAGCTCTCATTTCTCCTCTAAACCACCAGTAAAACTTCACCTTATCCCAGTACACACACACACACACAGACTCTTTCTCACACACACACACTCACACTCACTCACACTCAGCTACAGCCTGCTGACTCCAGCTCAAATGACTTTCACAATGACAGAGAGAAACAGTTATTCCTGTGAATGCTTCATTGAGTTGTTCTTGAAGACAACTTGGTAGCCATAAAATAGTCCTTTGGGCTATTCCTTAGACACTGGCTTCCTTTGCCTCCCTCCCTGACTGACTGCCCAAGCTATGGCTGTTCCTTCCTAATCAGGATTTTATAGGGCAAGAGGCATACAACGTCGTCTTTGTTCAACCACCACCAGACTAGTCAAGGGCAGACTAGGCCAACAGGGCTGTTCCTCCTTCCCCTTCGGTTCTGGGTAAGCACACATCTTCCACCCTTACTTTAAAGGCAGACAATTTGTTTTTAATCATTTGCCAACACAGCTGAGGATGATTATTAATTAATCAAAAACACTGACTTTTAACTTCCCACGCTCTCTCCAGAGATGCTCCAGTGACAGCTTGCATCTGGACTTCAGAGCGGTTTAGACAGAAGTGGGCACCATGCAGCAAAGACTTGTTTTTTTCTCGTTTATTGTTTTTCGAACACAACTCTAGCTTAATCCCATTTAGTCAGTAAACTTGATTTTAAGGTGGTCTCATTTTGTGGGGTTTCTGTTGGTCTTTTTATACAGCTTCCTTTGAAATCAGAAATGCTGTGTCAGGATTTCACAAAAAGGAAAATAAGTTCAGAGCACATTTTCTGTTCATCAAAACTTGAACCAAAGCACAGCAACAGTATGTTTCCATGAATAATGAGACACCATTGTCTTCCTCTGCTGGCAAGCTTATGTTCTGGTATTACCCTCCAAATTCAAGGTCTCAGCAGTGCATACCTAACAGTTTCTGAGAGCAAGTTTGAAATGTTACATTTGAAAGAGCTCAACAAAAGATTATCTGATTCAGTTGGCTGCAGTTTAGCAACTGAATGTTCAACCCTTTCCAAAGATGGCACGGCTGGACAAGCATCCTCACCTCTGCACTCATTTTTGTGGCCATACAGTAGTTCCCAACGCAAAAAGGGGAGGCAGAAGACAGCTCACCACAAGTTACACTTCAAAGCTGAATGGCTACTCTCTAAAGTGAGAGGAGGGCCAGGTGTGGTGGCTCACACCTGTAATTCTAACACTTTGGGAGGCCAAGGTGAGTGGTTCAACTGAGGTCAGGAGTTTGAGACCAGCCTGCCAGCATGGTGAAACCCGGTCTCTACTAGAAATACAAAAAAAAGTAGCCAGGCATGGTGGCCCACACCTGTAGTCCCAGCTGCTCGAGGCTGAGGCAGGAGAATCGCTTGAACCTGGGAGGCGGAGGTTGCGGTGAGCCAAGATCACGCCAAGCACTCCAGCCTGGGTGACAGAGTGAGACTCTGTCTCAAAAAAAAAAAAAAAAAAAAAAAAAGTGTGATGGGGCATTTGGGGCTGGCTCCACCACTTAGCAGAGGCTAGAATAAAAAATCCACTGCCTTGAGGGGCTGCGTGTGCTGATAAAAGAGAGCAAAACCAATCTTAGGAGGAAAGTGCACTTGCATTTAACGAGGGCCGCATCTTCAGAACCGAAAGTACTTGGAAGGAATATGTTGTCTCCTAAATGCAGCCATCTGAACTTTGGAAAAGCATGTTGTGAAATGTGGAGCAAGACCACAAGGCATTGTCACGCTTGGGTGTCCCGTTTCTCTTCCCCATCTTTCGGTGATATATGTTCTCAGAGCCCTCCAACTTCTTCCAACTCCTGGAGCTGTTTCGCTAATGCTCAAAGCATCCAGGCTTCTGTCTCTTCTCTTTGCCCTCCTGCCACCTGTCTTTTCTTCCTTGTCATTGCTCATTAGCCTTCTCCACTGGAGGTGTGGAAGGGAAGTAAAAGGAGATAAAAACTCCGCTTGTCACAGTCCATTTGCCTCTTGTCAACGGCTCTGGTAAAAGGCCGAAGAGGAAGCTATTGGCGAAGATAAGAGTTTAGATAAGGTTTGGGGATTATCTGTAAAATTCATTTATTCATGGTTACCCTCCCAGTCACCTGAGGATAATGGGGAGTTATCTTTATCTTGCATTTTTGTAGGAAGTTAAGAGCAAAATACAGCCATTTCTAAGAGCTGGTCAAAATAACTCCATGAGATAAAACAAGTATAGTTGCCTTATACCCAGGTGACATAAAACTGGCATTAGCAGCTCAAAACAGTTAAGTATTCACTCCATTGTTTAACTCTCTGAAGCCAACTGCCTCTGGAAATGGAGAATTTCCTCTCTCTAGTGAGGTAGGGAAAGAATTTAACTCATTCTTGGGTTTATAGGTGTCCCTGGACAGCTCTGCATTTCTTCTGAATGAGTGGGAGGAAGAAAATTGGACAGATAAGAGTCTTTGATTACAAGTAATAGAAAACAACTGAAATTAATTGAAGCCAGAAAGTTCAATTATGAGAGACCCAGCAGGTGGGTCTCCTGGGACCAAGGGTGGACGGAGGCCTGGAAGGCTTTTAGGGCTCTTTCCCCACACCTGCTCTTAAAAAAAAAATTCTATCCATCCTATTCAGTCCCCTCATTCACATACCAGCAACCCCCTCAACCCCATCCTCCCTTTCCCCTCCATGCACAGCATAAGGGAGACACAGCAGAACCAGAGCCCCAAATATCTGCTTTTACAGGGCCAAGCACAAAGAAACAGAGCTGTATCTCTTTAGAGTTTAAAATCCTCAAGAGAGTGCGTCTGATTGGCCCACCTTGAGTCAAGTATCTGCCTCTGGTCCAATCAGCTCTGACGGGAGGGTCGGACAGGGGCGGAGACACGGCAGCCGGGTCCACTAGGCGGTGCTTAGAACAAGCGGCCCAGGATGTGGTAGGATCACTCCAGGCTTGTTAAGCCAACAAAAGAAGAGATACTTGGTACCTGTTCCCCTCTTGTTCACAATCTGGAGACAAAACCTACACATGTAGGGAGACAGGCAATTAAAACTATTTAGCATCAATTACTGTGAGAGAAAAACCCTGGTTAGAATGAACTCTTACGGGAACACATTCTACTTTGTGGAATGAAGTGTTGCCAGATTCTAGAATCACAAATAAAGCCAATGAAGATCCTTTAAAAAAAAAAAAAAAAAGAACTCTTAGGAAATACTGAAATGGCCCATCTTTAGTAGAATAGGTCAATACATTTAGAATATGCATAAAATGGAACCCACAGCACAGCAGTGAACATGAAGGAATTACAGCTACACAGTTCAGTATGGATAAATCTCCAAAGTATAATGACGCATGAAAAAGCAGGTCACAGAAAAACACATATCAGATGATTTTACTAAAACATGCAAAATTAGACAATATACTACTTAGGCATACATATATATGATATAGCTATAAAGAAAAACAAGAGTGGCTAGGCGTGGTGGCCCACGCCTGTAATCCCAGCACTTTGGAATGCCGAGGTGGGCAGATTACCTGAGGTCAGGAGGTCATCAAGATCAGCCTGGCCAACAAGGTGAAAACCCATCTCTACTAAAGATACCAAAATTAGCCCGGCATGCTGGCATGTGCCTGTAATCCCAGCTACTTGGGAGGCTGAGGCAGGAGAATCGCTTGAACCCAGGAGACGGAGGTTGAAGTGAGCTGAGATCGTACCACTGCACTCCAGCCTGGGCGACAGAGTGAGACTCCGTCTCAAAAAAAAAAGAAGAAGAAAAGAAAAACAAGAGTATAATAGACTACATTCTGGATAGTGGTTACATGTGAGGTAGGGAAGGAGAAGGTGATCAGAAAGGGGTAAATGCCTTCAAACATGTTGTAAAGGTCTATTTCTTAAGCTGATTGGTAGATTTGGCAGCATTAATTTTTTGTTATTAAATCTATACTTATGTATTCTTTTTGTTTATATGATATATTCTGTAAATTAAAAAAATAAGTGAACGGTTTTAAGCAAGAATTCAGTCTAATGAAACTATTCCCCTGTCCTGGGTGATGGCTGTGTTATGCTGTCTTGGTCAGGGGATAATAGTGAATAATTCTGTTTGTCAAATGATTTTCTGGTTTTCGTCCACCTAACAATCATTGTGACAAAGAAAGTGTCCAGGGTGGCCTGTCAGCACCGTGGGCAGAAGAATGCCTGAGGTCTAACCATGCTTTTTCTCTGGTTCTTTGGCCTGATTCAAGCTGCAGCGTTATTCATCTCTACTCCCAGCTCAAACATCCCAACCATCTCCACCCAAGAAAGTTGACTAACAGCTCAGCATGTTCCTCAAAACATGATTACAAACTGTTTGGCGCTTTCCTAAAAGGTTAAACAGAGAACTACCATGTGACCCAGCAATTCTGCTCCCATATGTATATCCAAGAAAATTGGAAGTGGAGACTCGAACAGATTCTCGTATACCATTGTTCATAGCAGCATTATTCAAAACAGCCAAAAGATGGAAGCAACCTGTATTTTCATGCTGCTGATAAAGACATACCTGAGACTGGATAATTTATAAAGAAAAAGAGGCTTAATGGACTCACAGTTCCACGTGGCTGGGGAGGCCTCACAGTCATGGTGGAAGGTGAAAACCATGTCTTACATGGCGGCAGGTAAGACAGAATGACAGCCAAGTGAAAGGGGAAGCCCCTTATCAAACCATCAGCTCTCATGAGACTTATTCACTACCATGAGAACAGTATGGGGGAAACCACCTCCATGATTCAATTATCTCCCACCAGATCCCTCCCACAACACATGGAAATTATAGAAAATACAATTCAATTCAAGATGAGATTTAGGTGGTGACACAGCCAAACCATATCATTCTGCCCCTCGCCCTTCCCAAATCTCATGTCCTCACATTTCAAAACCAGTCGTGCCTTCCCAACAGTCCCCCAAAGTCTTAACTCATTTCAACATTAATTCAAAAGTCCACAGTCCAAAGTTCATCTGAGACAAGGCAAGTCCCTTCTGTCTATGAGCCTGTAAAATCAAAAGCAAGATAGTTAACTTCCTAGGTACAATGGGAGTACAGGCATTCGGCAAATACACCCATTCCAAATGGGAGAAGTTGGCCAAACATAGGGGCTAAAGGCCCCATGCAAGTCAGAAATCCAGCAGGGCAGTCAAATCTTAAAGCTCCAAAATGATCACCTTTGACTCCGTGTCTCACATCCAGGTCACACTGATGCCACCGCCTGTTACCCAGTTCCAAATTTGCTTCCACGTTTTTGGGTATCTTTACAGCAGTGCTGCACTCTACCAGTATCAATTTACTGTATTAGTCTGTTTTTACGCTGCTGATAAAGACATACCTGAGACTGGGTAATTTATGAAGAAAAAGAAGCTTAATGGATTCACAGTTCCACGTGGCTGGGGAGGCCTCACAATCATGGCAGAAGGCGAAAGGCACACCTAGCATGGTGGGCAGATAAGAGAGAACAAGAGTCAAGCGAGAGGGTTTCCCCTTATAAAACCCATCAGATCTCCTGATACTTATTGACTACCAAGAGAACAGTATAGGGGAAACCACTCCCATGATTCAACTATCTCCCACTGGGTCCCTCCCACAACACATGAGAATTATGGGAGCTACAATTCAAGATGAGATTTGGGTGAGGACACAGCCAAACCATATCATAACCCAAGTGACCATTAGCAGATGAATGGAGACCAAAATATGGTATATTCATACAGTGCAATATTATCCACCTATATAAAAGAGTCGAATTCTGATATGTGCTACAACATGGATACATTTTGGAAGCGTTATGCTTAGTGAAGTAAGCCAGACACAAAAAGACAGATATTGTATGATTTCACTTATACAAGGTACATGGAATAGGCAAATTCATACAGACAGAAAGTATAACAGAGACAGAAAGTAGAATGGGTTACCAAGGGATGGTGGAATGGGGAAGGGAGAGTTATTGTTGTTGAATATGTGCAGAGTTTTTGTTGGAGATGATGAAAATGTTTTGGGTATAATGTAATAATTGTATAGCATTGTGATATATATGATGGAGTCTCCCCCTGTTGCCCGGGCTGGAGTACAGTGGCATGATCTCAGCCCACTGCAGCCTCTGCCTACCAGGTTCAAGCACTTCTCCCACCTCAGCCTCCAAAGTAGCTGGGATTGCTAGCGTGGGCCACCATATCCAGCTAATTTTTATATTTTTAGTAGAGAAGGGATTTTGCCATGTTGGCCAGGCTGATCCCCAACTTGTGACCTCAAGTGATCCCCTCACCTCAGCCTCCCAAAGTGCTGGGATTACATTCCTGAGCCACCACGCCCGGACTGTTTTCTTTAGTTTGCTTAGACCAGTGGGTTGCTTCTGGCATGGAGAATGTCCTGTCTTTGTTTAAATGGGAAAAGAACATCCCCAGATCCACAGAACCGATGGGAGGAAAGTATCATGACTGGGTAGTTTAGGAGTTTGGGTTGTTCCAGTGCACAGCTGGAGCTGGCTGAGGCCAGAAAGAGATCCCTTGCGGCTGGGAGCGATGGCTCACGCCTGTAATCCCAGCACTTTGGGAGGCCAAGGCAGGAGAATCACAAGGCCAGGAGTTTGACACCAGCCTGGCCAACATGGTGAAACCCTATCTCTACTAAATATACAAAAAAATTAGCTGGGCGTAGTAGCAGGTGCCTCTAATCCCAGCTACTTGGGAGGCTGAGGCAGGAGAATCGCTTGAACCTGGGACGTGGAGGTTGCAGTGAGCCGAGATTGCTCCATGTACTCCAACCCTGGCAACAGAGTGAGACTCTGTTTAAAAAAAAAAAAAAAGAAAGAAAGAGATCCCTTGCAGGAGCTGAGGCATGCATGTAGCCGGGCCTTACGCGGGGCCAGAGCCACCTTATGACCTTCAATGGCACTCATGACTATTGCCTCCGTAGGTTCCTCCCACCACCATAATCTCACTATAAAAATTATTTTTATATAACTTTAAATACTTCAACTTTTTTTTTTCTTAGCCAAAATGTAATTTATTTTTGTAGGCCCTAAACATTTTCTTTCTTTTTTTTAGAGATGGGATCTCATTATGTTGCCCAAGGAGGTTTCAAACTCCTGGCCTCAGGCAATCCTCCTGCCTTAGCCTCCCAAAGTTCTGGGATTACAGGCATGAGCCACCACTCCCTGCCCTTTTTCTGATGTGAGACAAAAATTAAAACAGTGTGTAGGCCCCTATAAGTATCATGGGCTCTAGGCACTGTGCCAACATATATAATGGGTATGTTGGCTCTGGGAGGAACTGGACACACTGTCTTATATTCTACCTCTACAGCTCATTCTCCTGGGGCAGTAAGGGAGTTTGAAATCATCTTGTGCTACCTCTCATGTGAGCAGGAATCCCACCAAGGCCTCTTTGACATGGAGTCATATCATCTCTGCCCCCAGGGGTGGGATCTGAGCAAGTTCTTAGTAGCAAGCTATTGGCCTAAAGTCTGCATCCCCCTAACTTTCACCAACTGCTACAAATCCTGCCCAACATGGAAAAACACAGTGCAAGTTTTAAGTCTTTGAACTATCTGAGGAACTATTATGTGTCATCACCACCACCACCTCAACACAAGTTCTCTGCTCCAGATTAAGCACCCAAGGCCTTGTGATGGGGGATTTGTACACCCCTCATCTTGCCAAATGCCCGCCTCTGGACAAGAGCAAATGAACCCCTGGATGTGGTCTGATGTGACCACAACTGTTACCTCTGCTGTGACATCATCATCCTTCTACTGCTTTCATTTATCAGTAGATAGATCACATGCTCAGCATACACTAGCTCTGTGATCAGTTAAACCCCATAGTTCTTTTTTCCCCCCAAACTAAAGTGAAGCCAGCCTCTCTCAATCTCTACCCACCATTGGTTTTGTTCAGCATGGAGACTCTTCACTTCCCTCCTCACAATCATGTCAAGGTCCTTGTTCATTCAGGATAAAGGTTGTCCTTTCTGTGCTTGGCCATCTACAGACTTGACAAGCATGCATTCTTTGCCTTCATTCTGCAGTGTCAGAAACCGTACATCCATTTTCAAAGTTGCCTGTCATTTTATTTTGTTGTTGTTTTCCTGTTACTGAAAGTTGAGTCCGTGCCCTGATATGGTTGAAATTGAGAAACTTCCATTTTTGACTTGTGATTGATTTTGGCATTCTAGGGAAGAAGGAAATTAACGATTGGAGTTTATTTGTCCTTTTATTCTGGAAAGAACTCCTTTGATGAGAGGTTTCTTTTCTTTTATTTTCTAAGTCACCAGGTGTAAGGCTAGATGGGATGAGACAACCTTCCAGGAGAGAAGACCTATCCTAGCCACACAGCAGTAGACCAGTGCTTCCGTGAGGGGTAGCTAGGAAAAGGTAGTGGTGATGAGGAGGACCAGCAGTAGCTTGTAGGGAATCTGATATCTACTTCAACTTTCTTTTTCTGTTCTACGATTCTCACATGTTCTGTTGGAACTGAGTTAGTTTACATTCTTAAAAGTGGTATTGTCACTCTTCAATAGTATTGAGGGCCAAACCAAAGTTTTACGAGTAGGAATGAAGACAGCATTTAGAAGAATATTCTGTTAATGCATATGGTAAAATGTTGACTTTTAAATTCCTGCACTTGCAGTAGTAGATATCTGCTGCTTTTACTTGCCTTTAATCCTTTCCTGTCTTTTGCAAACATACTCCAGTTTTCTTTTGGGGAACCATTTCTCCAGCATACTTGATTCCAGTGGTTGGGGGGGCACCCCCATACCCTGCCTTTACTGGCCAGTATGCATCCTAAACCTAGAAAACAAGAGGGATACATCCTCCTTTCACAGTGACCTCAGAGAGGGGCATGAGGTCCCTTGGGACAGCCCATCACTTCCAGGACTTCTTGCTTGTGCTATCAGTAAAGAAGGGCTCTATACCTGCTGGGTGTTGCTCTGCTGGAGGAAGTCAGCCTGAACTTAAGTATCCACCTTCACCCCAACACAGGAGCCCTGACTGAGGCCAATGCCAGATCAAGATGGAGAGACTCGGGTGCAAATGACATCGTTTGCTCACAGCTATACTGAAGCTACTTTGGAATTCGCCATCTAATTCAGTTTGAATGGAGTTTCTGTCACTGACAACAAAAAGAGGCTAGAATAAGGTTATCCTTTTTAAGAACTGCACTAAAAATTGTCTTCCTGGAAAAAATAATTGACTTGGCAATTGTATTTTATTTTACGCTGGAATTTATGAATTATTAGATATATTAGAATATGAGTGTGATAGTTCAAGTGAAGCTGTTTTAAATGAGTGTACAAGCAATATTTGGAGATTTAAGTTAATGCAAGTGTCTTAATACTCAAACAACAATTGGACAAGGTAAACACAGGCAAGCTGATTGCTATGTAGTATTTGAGACGTGGGGAAAACATCTTCAGTTCTTAGTGTGTAAATAGTTTGGACAGTAAACTAGTCCTACCAGCTCCTTAGATCAAACCACAAAAATGAAAGAGGCAAAGAAATGAAGGAAGCAGGCTGATTACATTTACATTTAAATTGCAGTTATTAGGAATATTTTATTTGCCACATAGATAAGACACAGCACTGCCAATTCGTGTCTGGTTTAGAGTTTGCCCACTAGCAGTGGGTGATTGGCTTGGTCTGGACTGGGAGGCCAATGCCACACCTCACCTATCACTTTTTCCTGAACTCCTGCAGAAATGTCTTTTGTGGTGAGTGTGCATAACTTTGTTGTTGTTCTTAAGTCGTTGTTGTTCTTAAGTCTTTGTTGACAGACAGATGTGATCCAAGTCTCAGATCAGAAGGCAGGGAAGCCCAGATTTTAATTTCAGGTATAATACTGAGTCCCTGTGTGGCCTTTACAAGTCAGTTAACCTCCTGGCCTCAGTTTCCCTGTCTGCAAAACAAGACTCATAATCCAAACTTAGATGTCTCAGTGGGCCACTGTGTACATTAATTATTGTTTATAGCGCAAGTGGAAGTTGAGCTGTGTTAATTATTATTATCATTCCTGGGTCTTCCAGCCAAGTTTAAACCAAGCCCTCCTCTTGCTTTTAGTTCCTGAGATCTGACAGATACAGCCATGAGGAGGGCCATACATCAAGGTGACTCAGCAGAGGGTGCATGCCTCACCCGGAGAAGGCAACTGGCTCCAAAGCCTTGGCTCTGGGGATGTGGGGCAGCCCAGGTACCTATGGCTTTGTTAGAACCTCATGCTAACAGAGCAAGAGTTCTGAAGCTGCTGCCACACTCCTGTCCCTCACCTCTTTGTGTACCTGCCATTTAATTTACCCAAGAAGCCTGGAGATCAATAAGAGGAACTCACCCTGTCATTAGACAGGGCCCTAAATTGCAAGTTGCAGCTGGAGAAGCTTCAGAGGCATTGTGAT
This sequence comes from Homo sapiens, assembly GCF_000001405.40. Classification (NCBI taxonomy): domain Eukaryota; kingdom Metazoa; phylum Chordata; class Mammalia; order Primates; family Hominidae; genus Homo; species Homo sapiens. The sequence goes on along the minus strand of NC_000006.12, from coordinate 106,146,966 downwards.
CACTCATGAAGAAAGATGACTAATCGCTTTCTTCTGGTCACTTATTTGGCTTATGACTTTGGTTTCTCTACTCTCTAAGTACAATAGCTATCAGATTTCCATGTAACTAGGTAGTGACAATCAGTATGTCCAGTTTCATTTAATACACTTGTTTGTGGGCTCTGCTACCTCACCTAGGCCAAATTGCTTAGTTGTATTGTATCCTGCCATTTTAAAGCTTGGGAGACAGGCGAAGGAGGGAAAGCTCACCTCAGTTGACCAATCGCCATCTCCATCAGCATCAGCATCAGCATCAACATCACTAGTGAGTGTCCAGGAGACATCGTGTGTTTAACCCTTTGCAGTGAATTTAATCTCTATGTATCCAGTGCAAGTTAGACAAACAGTTCCAACAGGTTTGGATCTCAGCCGTGTGCAGAACCCTATAGTTTAGAAAAACAGCACCAAAAATACACCAGCATTCCAAAGAGCAGGGGAATTTATCTTCTACCATGGTTTGAAGCCAGCTGTTCAGGGCACAGTTGCAACCAATGTCCTATATTACTTTTCTAGGCAGGGACCAGAGCAGTCAGTTTTTACGGGAATGCTAAGCCCCCTGTAAGGCAGCATCCTTACCCACTCAGAATGGAAGCCAGCTCTCCAAAGGTTGACCAGGTCCCTGCCTGTGTGCCTGACATCCTTTCTCAAGGAACATGCACACCCATGTCTATTGGCACGGACTTGTAACTATCTCCTTCCGAATTTGGTCCTTGATGTTAATACTGACTCCCCTCCCCACACACCCCAGCCTTCACTTTCCCCCAGCTCTGCAATCCCCGGGCAGACAGGCAGGTCCCACCGGGCTCTTTTGTCTGCTCAGCACAGCAGGCAGACGTCGGGGTGGTGGTGCATGCTAGTTAACTAATTAATGATTGTAAAGCACTTTGAAAACATAAAGAACCAGATAAATGCCAAGTATTATTGTTATTAATGATGAGGAGGCTGTTTAGTCATCCTCAGCCCTGAACTCGGCTCACTGCTCCCACTGTGGCTGCAGGCTGATTTGAGAACCAGGATGAGAACTCCCCTCCTCCCTGCAGGCGCTGTTTCACACTGAGTCAGTGACCAAGGTGAAGGGCCAGGAAACCTTCTCTCCTCATCTCCCACCTGCTGTCAAAGCACTGCCTACTTTGTGGCTGTAAGGCTAACATTTACCGAAAGCCAGGGTTTGAAACTGCCTCTCTATTTCCCATTCACCTGTTTAGTAAGTTCACTGATGTTTACTTGAGTGCTCGCTGATGGTGATAAGACTGCCATCTCTGTCTGAGGACAGCATGCAACCTGAAATGAAGCCCCACTTTTCATTTAGTAAAATTCCATGAGGATGGATTCACTTCTGCAAGGATCTCTTTTACATGTTTTGGGGGCTTGATATTTTCTTATAGATGCCTCTATGTATATTTGTTCCTTTGATATAGCAACTCTGTCAGCTGGGGAAGGCAGATGTTATTTTCCCCATTTTGCAGATGGGAAACCTGAGGGTCAGGGACATGATGAGCCTTGTATAAGGCCCCAGGGGCTCTAGAATCTAGTGGCAAGGCCAGAGTTCACTCCAGCTCGCCCGAGCCCCGGGCTGAACAGTGCCCTCTGACATATGAGGTGACTGCAACAGACTCCAGACACCTGGCAGGATGTGCAAAGATACGTTAAACAGCTTCTTAATATGTTCTAGCAAAGCAGACACTTTCAGAAACCCCATGGTCTCTGCATGGACATCTGACCTGAAGCTCCTTTAGCCACTGGCTAGCATTGAGGAGTTCTCCATGTCTTGTTTCAGGCTTGTTATCCTGGAATCTGACACTCTCTCAAATGCTTGGGCCGATAAGACCCTAGAATCCGTCTGTGTAATATCCCCCCTCCACAGATGATGAAACTGTGGGCCAGAAAAGTCCAATTACTGGTCATTGATGCCAGAGCCAGTAAAGGGGTGAGGCTTGCTGCATGCTTCTCCCACCCTCCTGCAGGGCTTCTGGCTCAACAGCCAGCCACCATTCAGCCTCTGGATCTCTACTGCTAGATGGGAAGGTTCCAGGGGGTTTCACGTCTTTTGTGCTTTTCTGTATTTTCCAAATTTTCTTCATTGAATGTTTTCCAAATTTTCTTCTGAAATAAATTATAGAAGGAATCAGAAAACGGGTCCGGGTGCAGTGGCTCACGCCTGTAATCCTAGCACTTTGGGAGGCCGAGGCAGGGAGATCACCTGAGGTCAGGAGCTTGAGACCAGCCTGGCCACCATGGCAAAACCTCATCTCTACTAAAAATACGAAAATTTTCTGGGCGTGGTGGCAAACACCTGTAATCTCAGCTACTCGGGAGGCTGAGGCAGGAGAATCACTTGAACCCAGGAGGCAGAGGTTGCAGTGAGCTGAGATCACGCCACTGCACTCCAGCCTGGGCAACAGACCCTGTCTCAAAAAAAAAAAGAAGTAATCAGAAAATAAATCATTATTATATATATATATATATATATATATACACACACACACACACACAGAGAGCTATCTACCAATCTGCCTATCTGAGGCTCACATGTACATATAACATGTGAGCATTTATATAAGTATGGGGCACTGCATTTCTCTTCCCAAAACTCTCTCTTGGATCGATAGTCTTTCACTGGGGACTCACTTGAAGGTTTAGACATTGCTGGTTGTCTTCTCCCATTTTAGTCCCCAAAAAGGAATATTTCAACAGATCTACAATTTTGTTCTAGGTCTAAACCCCTAAGAGTGAAGCTGTGGGGCCTGGGGGTGGGAGGGATGGTTGGCCTGAGCCTACAGCCAGGGGGATGGGAGGGTGGGGGAACAGCCTCTCTTGGTGGGGGACCACTGCTGCTGTGAGGACAACCTTCATTGCCTCAGAACCCATTTCAAGGGCTTCTCAGTGACCATGAAATCTTGCCGTGTCCCTGCTAACACCACACACTGTGCATTCTTTTGACTAAGATCTGCGGCCTAGTGCTGTGGCCTAGGTGCTGTGAGATTTCTTTTTTTAAGTAGTAAGTTTATGGTGTGGTTACATTTGAAAATTGCAGCTTCAAAATACATCAAAGTTCAAACGCGCATCCACAATGCTACCGTGGCCTGGAGTGGAACCCTGCAGCAGAGCAGCCCCAGGCACGGCCCCGCGTTCCGCCCTCTCTTACCCCTCCCAGGCAGTTCAGAGCAGCCCCTGGGGCTCCCACTGCTGCGCTGGCACAGTGGGGCCACCGCCCGGCTCACAGGGGCAAGGTGAGGTAGCAGAGCCAGGAAATTTGATTCTTTTCACTTTCTTGTGAGGAGATACTTTATTCCTGAAGAATTCTAGGGTGTAGAGAAAGCAGAGGAAAGACAGCATCCGGGGTGAAATACCACCAGCCAGGCGGACCCAGCCAGATGTGCCAGACCCACTGGTCGAGGGGAAAGTGAACCGGGTGTGCTCCAGCACAGCCAAAACCCTCTTTGGGGTTTTCTGGCATGGGGATAGCATAATTCACATGGCGCAGCGATTTAAAAAAGAAAAGAAAATTAGCCTCCCCAGACTAGAATCCTCACCTGTCACCTACCTCCCACTCTGCCTTTCTCAGCATAGCTAATGTGAATTGTGTGCTTTCTGTGCCAGGCCCTATTACATACAGTCTCTCATTTCACTCTTATATCCACATAGGAGCTCAATTTTACAGAAGAGGAAACTAAGGCACAGAGAGGTTAAGTGGCTTGTCCAAGGACACACAGCTAGAGCACGATAGGCCTGGGATTTGAATGGTCTTCCTGGCTCCAAAGCTCATGCTTCCCACCTCTGGTATTTAGGGACCATAATCCCATTGGAATCTCTCTAATGGCATCAACCCTCTCAGTCAGTCAGAGGGCCAAATGGAAACAGAAAATATTTCAGGATCTCTTGTAAGCCTGAAAGAATTGCTTAAGAGATGTTAGGAAGGCAGGAGTGCTGGTGCTGCTTTTCTGCATTTTGAGTTCTGGTTGGGCATTTGTTGCCAGGGACAGTCCCCTTGGTGCAAGAAAGGAAGCACCCAGAGGAGATTTGCTGCTGGAAGGGCAGGATGTATGTGCGTGTCTGTGTGTGACCCTGCCACCCCCAGCTCAGGATGGAGAAAGCCAGGGATTCTTAGCAGGCAGAGAGACTGGTTTAGTTGCTTTAGCTGCCCGTAATTTGAACTCCTCAACACCATTTCCACTTCCATCCAAATCCACTTACACATGCTGCTTGAGTCCTTCTAACTTTATAAGCATAAAGGCATAGATGCTGGAACAAAAGGCTTTCTGCAACCCTTCCCACCCACAGGAAAGGTCTGGTGTGGGCAATTGTGCCTTTGTTTGGCTTCACCTTGCTGTGCCTCCAAGGACCCCACCAACTACGCATTGAACTTGCACTTCCTATTCACAGAGAGTGCAGCTCTCAGTAATCCACATTAAGGCTTTTGGACTCAGTTCTGCATATTGTTCCTATTTTACATCCTACCTCATCAACGTGAGGCCATTCCTCTCCCCTGAGGAGTGACTTTGGAAGAGTGTGACTGGCAGGGAAGCTGAGAGCTGAAGAGTCATGCCCAGGATGGAACTTAGCTATAGAAAGCCTTTCATCTGGCCGTCTCTCAAAGCCCTGAGGGCTATAATTAATCCTCACAACACCTCTGCCTGGTAGGTAAGTGTGATCGCCTCATTTTTATAGATTGGACAGGGAGGCATGGTACTATTAAGTGACTTTCTTCAAGGCAGCACCTCCCTCAAAGAGCTGGGACTTGATCATGGGGTGATTCTACTTCTGAAGTGGGGGGAAGAGCAGACAGTGATACCAGGCTGAGTGAGCAGGTCAGGCCCTTGTCACCTGACCACCCTTCCCTCCTCAGTACACCAGCACACCCTAAATGTGGCTACTAGTAGGGGGTTTCAAAAGCGTCTCAAAGACTTAAGAAGTCAAAGGGAGGGTGAGGAGTAGAAGAGAAAGAGAATGAAAAGCAATAAATAGCCCAGGCAGAGGTTAGAGGTTCTCTCTGACTTCCTGTAAAGTATAATCCGACCAGCCACATGTGAGAGAAACCAAATGTCATGCAAAGCAGTGAAATTGTCACCCTCAGGATGCGGGGCGGGGGGCCCCTGAGACGAAAGGTCAGAATAATCCCTTCTCTAGCAAAGCTGAAGTCCCAGCACTATTTTTAGAAGCTCCTAGAATTTGCAACCTATTTTTAGGAACTCCTAGAATTTGCCACCTGCTAAGATATAAGAAGAGCCAAAGAATTAGAGTTCATCACCCTGGAGTGTACAGTCAGCTCTCTCCACCTTAGCCGATGGGCTTCTGAGAAGGGTACGTAGAACAGATGTTAGTTAAGTGAATCACCTTGAACACACTCCCAATGGTTAAAGGACTTGGGTGGAGAGCCAAGGTGAAGAGCCAGTCATCGCCCTGCCTGTGCAGCTTAAGTTTAGTCTAGTGGTTAGGAGTAGAGCCTTTGAAGTCATGCAGACCCGAGCTCTGACCTCAGCCCCACCTCCCACCGTAGCCATGTTGCCTGGAAAAGTGGCTTGACCTCTTTGAGCCTTAGTTTCTTCATCCATTAATTAGGGCTTGCCATGCCCTCCCTCTCAGGGTGATTGTAAGAGTTCCTTATGATCATACTAGTTCCTGGTAAGCATTCAATGAACAGCAGCTATTATTACACTCTTAAGTTTTATGTGTTGTTTTTTTTTCTTTATTAAAAGGATATCTTTTTTATTTATTTATTTTTTTGAGACAGAGTCTCGCTCTGTTGCCCAGGCTGGAGTGTGGCACAATCTCGGCTCACTGCAACTCCGCCTCCCTGGTTCCAGCGACTCTCCTGCCTCAGCCTCCCAAGTAGCTGGGACTACAAGCACATGCCACTACACCTGGCTAATTTTTGTATTTTTTAGTAGAGACAGGGTTTCACCATATTGGCCAGGCTGGTCTTGAACTCCGGACCTTGTGATCGACCTCCCAAAGTGCTGGGATTACAGGCGTGAGCCACCGCACCCTGCCAAAAGTGTATCTTTCCTAGCTGACTGAAGTGATGATTGGAGAACTCAATTTCCCTAGGATTCTAAAACATACCATTCCTCTGAGCTGGTTTAGAGCGCCCTCTAAATCCAAATCTATGAAACACGATTGATTTTGCTTGGCCTAGAAGTGCCCTTGCTCATGTCCCTGGGGAAAAGCACAGATCAAGATGGCAGCCTACATTGTTTCTGGGCTGATCCAGACAGTCACTGAGCTGAGCCCACTCCCTTGGTTTCTCAAGAGGACCAGCACTATTTGTCTCATAATAGAAGTTCTGAAGTAATGGTTGAACATTTTTCAGTTACCCCCTTGAGAATTTGATAAATATTATAGCTCTCTCTCTCTCTCAAAAAATGCCTGTGTACACAAAGTTTGTGCCGTTGCTTCTCATTATTCGTGGTGGTTATTCTATAAACTCACTTGGGACACTGAATTAACAAATTCTGAACCATCACTCCAGGGAAACATATGGTTAAGTTCCTGAGAGCCCTGGTCACAACATTTTCATCAACTGATCAATATATAACCTTGTGCCATGTGTGTTTCTGTTTAAAGATCCCTAATTTTATACATATTGTTGATTTTGTTAACATAGAACTCACAGCCAACAGCACCATTCATGCCCGAAGGAAGCTTATCTAGCCCATGGATTTTCTCCACAAGGTATATCACAGCCTTCTTGCACTTAGGAACATGAGATGCACCTCCGCACTACACTCGGAGGTCATTGTAAATGGTGAAATCACTAACAAAATACATAAAGAGGAAAAAAACATGGCTTTGAATAGACTGCGGAAAGTCACTTGTTTACAGCATGAGTGCTGCGACAAGAAGGCAAAGTGTCACCTTGTTCAACCTCAGCTGGGAATGTGCATATTAGGTGACTCGAATGTGCTGCTCTGCATCTGTGCATGTCTGCAGATGACTGCAAATGCTTCATGAGTGTTGATTTGGGGGTTATAAAGTTTAGTGAGTAGATAAATTTGCAAATACAAAATCTGCAAATAATGAGAGTTGACTGTATATAGTTTGGGTATTCGAAGCCCATGAAAGCCAATTCTATGGGAGTTGGGACAAAGGGAAGCATTTTATTTTTTGCAACCCATGGGAACCTATTTAAAGTAGGAACGAGTAGATGTCTTTCTGTAAAGGTATAGGCATCCTTTACCAGGCATTTCTATTCTTTTTTTTTCCCCTGATATTTTATACCTCTGAATTTTTCTCAAGACCTGGTAATTAAAATCAGGCATCTGAAAAAAGAAACATATTATTATAAAAACTAAGAATATTTGGTGCTTTCTTACATTTATTATTATTGGACTTAGCAGTAAAAATGTTTTTCTTAAGCAAGCCTGATTATCACTCGTGAAAAATATGCATATATAGGCTGGGCACGGTGGCTCACACCTGTAATCCCAGCACTTAGGGAGGCCGAGGGGGGGGCGGATCAAGAGGTCAGGAGTTCAAGACCAGCCTGGCTAACATGGTGAAACCCTGTCTGTACTAAAATTACAAAAATTAGCTGAACATGGTGGCATGCACCTGTAATCCCAGCTACTCGGGAGGCTGAAGCAGGAGAATTGCTTGAACCTGGGAGGTGGAGGTTGCAGTGAGCCGAGATCATGCCACTGCACTCCAGCCTGGGCGACAGAGTGACACTCTGTCTCGGAAAAAGAAAAAAAAAAATGTGTGTGTGTGTGTATATATATATATTTTTAAATATATATTTCTATATATAAATATATTTATAAATATATAAAATATGTATACAAATGTATACATATATGTATGTATATATACACACATATATACACACAGATACAGAAAGATGGGAAAGAAACAGGAAAAAAATGAATAGTGTTAGGGTGGTAGAATATGAAATCTTTTTTTCTTTCATAATGTGCTCCTCAGTGTTTATGTTATGTGATCTCAGACATAAATTAACAACAAAAAACTTCAATGAAAACAATATGTCTGGAAGTAGAAAAAGACTAATGAAAATATATTCAAACACAGGAAAATTAATAATCTTTAATCATTTATTCCTTGGAAATCCATCCACATTGGCAAAAAAAAAGATTGAGCTCCGTCTCACCGATTGCTTCTGTTTTGCATGATTCTCTGAGGGCCATGTTATTCATTTCCAGAGTGGACTTCAACATTCTAAGCCCTTTAGGGGCTTTCATTCTGGCAGACACATGATGCTAAGACAGAAAATAGACAACCATAATACTGCAGTCAAGAAGCAAACGGCCCAGATAACTAGTACATCACCAGGGTGGCTTTGGGAACATGTGATTTTAGGAAAATTACCAAGGAGAAGGTCCAGAGAGAAATCGCCAGCAAGAGTGCATGTAAAGTAGTCTATAATGAGACAGGTTGGACACAGGCGTGGCCTATAGCCTTTGAGCACCTGTTGTGCAATTCACATGCCCAAGTGCTTTTGTAAAATTCCCGCTGAAGGCCTCAGCAATCAGCCAGTCCAGGTTTTAGTGAGCACATTCTATATGCCAGTCTGGACTACATGTGGCCGATACCTAGACTGGCTTCAAGTCACTCTCTGCTTGGGAAGTCCCGATTCAGTCATCAGAGAAGCACCCACTATGCAAGAGAACTGTAAGAAGCAAGACCCTGAGCTCCTACTGGTGCCAGCCCATGGTCTAGGCTCTAGGGACAGGCTGCTGAACAAGAGGAAGTTCCTATCTTCGGGGGCTCAGACATTGTCTGTGGCAGAGAAGGACGATGAACATGAAACTGAGTAAATAAACAGGATCCCTTCAGACAGAGATGAAGTGCTGTGAAGGAAATAAACAGCAACATGATGGAGAATGCTTGGCCTCTGCAGGGGTAGCATTTGAGCGCTGGATGCTGGAAAGTGAGCCAGCTGTGGCAATATCTGGAGGGAGAGTTCCACTGGCAGAGGGTCTGTGGTGTATGTGGCAGATCAGGAGGAAAGCAGTCCACAGGGAGAGAAAGACACCAATAAGAAAGGCATCCTCTAGGGAGGTAGAGGAGGTGAAGTAATGCTGGACTTTGTGCTATAGGCTGCAGTTGCTGCTACTTTACCTGTGCTCCTGTAAAGACATTGCTAATCTAACCTTGCCTTCTCTGCCACCAGGCCCAGTGGCACCTCTCAGGCAGGCACTACCAATCAACTGGAGTTGATGAGTGAGGTAAAGACTGTTTCTCATTGTACTATAAACGTTAGGAAGCCTTTCAGGATTTTGAGCAAGGGACTGTCACAATAAAGGCAGTGTTTTAAGAAAGATTAATCTGACCATGGTATGCAATATAACTCGGAGGGAACTGAAGTGGATGTTCCTGAGGCCACTTAAAAGAAAATAGTAATTGCAGACATTATTTAAGCACCTACTACATGCTGATCCTTTATTTATTTTCATCAACCTCAAACGGTAGATATTGTTATCCCTTTTGAGCAGATAAAGAAACTGAGGCACAAAGAAGGTGTCATTTGCCTAAGTGGAGAAACCAAGAGTTAAACCTGAGTCATCGGTTCCAAACCCGCTTGCTATTTCTCTATGCAGAGCTGATATTCTAAGTTTAAGGTGATAAGAATTTGGGGTGGGGTCTAAAAAGATTGGACAGACATGAAAAACATAAAGGAAAAATTAGTGGGAGTTGATGACTGGATATTAGAAGGAAGGCAAGAGTAAGGCCAAAGATAATAACAAGAAAATATGTCTTGGTTAGTGCGTAGAAAAAAGTCTTTAATCGTACACATCAAACTGTTAACAGTGATTGCTCCTGAGGAGTGAGATGGAGAGTTGCAGCGGGGAGGGGAAGACATTTTTACTTGTTACTCTATAAGCTTCTGCCTTTTTTCAATAATTATTTTTAAATAATTTAATAAATAATTTTTAAATTAAATTTATTTAAAAATAATTCGGAGGGTTTTTTTCCTCCTGAGTGACTGAGAGATGCCACTGATGGAATTGAACAGATACCAAGCTTTGGCTTGGGGGTAAAGACAATGCATTTGGTCTCAGACACTGAGTTGAATGAGGTGATGGTGGGAGAGCTGCGGGGCCATGACCCACAGGGTTTTCTTTTTTTTTTTTTTTTTGAGACAGAGTCTCACTCTGTCACCCAGGCTGGAGTGCAGTGGCACGATCTCGGCTCACTGCAACCTCCACCTCCTGGGTTCACGCCATTCTCCTGCCTCAGCCTCCCGAGTAGCTGGGACTACAGGTGCCCGCCACCACGCCTGGCTAATTTTTTTTTTTTTTTTGTATTTTTAGTAGAGATGGGGGTTTCACTGTGTTAGTCAGGATGGTCTCGATCTCCTGACCTCGTGATCCACCCACCTCAGCCTCCCAAAGTGCTGGGATTACAGGCGTGAGCCACCGCACCCGGCCTGACCCACAGGGTTTTCATTGCAAGTTAAGATTCAGGCACATTCGTGGTTCCCAGTGCTGACTCTTCATTTCGGGATGCAGCTAACCCAAGCCATCGTGCCTGTCACTAGAATCCCCACTCGGCAGACCCCTAAAGTTAAGAGCACCAAGGACCCATGGCAGAACTTCAGCACCAGCTCGGCCTGGTGCATGGGAGCAGGGCTGGCCTCGCTCTGGGCGTGTCGTTCCTGTGTGTTTGCTCACTCACTGTGCCCCATACTGGTCCTGGTAAGATGGCTGGGGAGGGGGAGGAGAGGAACACCTCTGACATCCCTGGCCCTTGGAGGGACCTTATGGGAGTGCTTGACCTCTCTGTGCCCTATATGGGTATCTACCTCATATCTCTTTATCTCAAAGCAATGGGATTGTGAGCAATGACAAATAAAAAGAGCTATTTAACAACTAGCAGTTTACGTAATCACAATCATAGCAAAAACAACGATAGTAATAATATGTCCAGGAAAAACAACAGTTCTCTGAAAATTTCAGAGTAGATTCCTGAGGCGGGAATAAGATGCCCCCGTAATCATCTTACTCAAGATGCTTTTTAATAGAAGGTAATAACCAGAAATGAAACCATCAACATAACGTATGCCAGGTCATAAAAAATAATTGTCGGGTCAACCAGGTTTCCCGAAGTAAGGCTTCCCAAGCCTGCTCTTTCCTTGCCAGCTTCAGACTTCATTTTTCACCCCCTGGAAGGGGCGACCTGTTTTCCGGGTTTGGGCTTTTGGAATCAGAGCAGAGAGAGCCCACTAAGCCCCTACATATTGTCTCAACTTCCGGGACTTTGGGAAGCTTTGAACTCCAGGAGTGGGCTGTTTCCTCTGTGGGAGGGAAATGAGTGGGGCAGACCCAGGAGGAACACATTTCTCTCCTGTTTGTTTACCATATGTGTGGCTTCCAAGCAATCTGGTCTGGGCAGGGTAAGTCACTAACATGTCCCTGGTGAGCCCTTGTACGAGACCCCCAGCCCTGCATGACTCGAGGGACTCCATCAGGTCCTGAAGAAGTCGGTCGCGTGGTCACTTTCCAGCCCCACTATCTAGAACTTTCTTTAGAAATTGGCCTGAAAACAAACGTCCCAGCTGTCCGAGCGTGCTACTTGTCCCACTGGCACTGGGAGAACCTGATGAGTCATGCCCTGCCAGGCCCGCACCGTGTGTCATCTTGACAGTTTATGGCCTCACATTTGACCCGCAGTCTCTCTGTCCCCCGGTCAACGCCTCCTGACCCTGGAACTCTACTTTCATTTTAAAAGGCATAATTCTAAAGCATCCTTCCACACTTATCACCTCTGACAGGGAGATTACCCCCAAGCAGCAGAAGGCAAATCTTGTGGTTGCTGGGTGTGATTCGACACTTTACCTGTGTCAGGATCCCTGGCTGAACCGGTGACATTTGGGAAAGATCCCAGGTCTCTGTAAGAAACAGCAGCCTGAGTGTGGTGGCCGTGCCCGGCATTACTCAGAGTCTCTCCGTTGATTCATTTCAGTGATACTGAGAATTGGGGAATCAGGCAGCCACCCTGGTGACATACCTCTTTGTCACATTTAATCACTTAGAATCATCTGACATAATTTAGACTGTTTTACATTGTGTTATTTCAAAGTTTATGAAAGCTGGAGGGTGGACTGGGCCCTCCACGGGGGCCTGGTCACTGGAGAGAGGGCGCTGGGACTCTGACGGCGAGTGGGCTTGTTCATGTCGCATCCTCGTGCCTCCGAAGCCCCTAGTGTCGTGCACTCCTCCCCTAGGGTTGTCCTGTGGCATTCCGTTCCTTTCATCTCTCAGATGAATCTCCCAGTGCGGGTGGCGGCTCCTTCCTTCCTTGGCAAGCCTGTTGAGCCGAAGGGATCGTCTCTGAGGAAGCCCTGCAGTCGTCAGTCCCTCCCCGCCAGGCCAGACCGGGTGGAGCAAATCCCCTCACCTGCCTCATTTCCTCTTCCTCTCCTGGTTCTGCCTGGGCTTGTTGCTTCTCTTCCTTGACTGCCCGGAGTCCTAAGAGCATGACTTAGATGAGTGACATCTTACAGGATCTATGACTCTCAGAACCCTTACAGGACTTTCAATGCTTTCCTTTCCTCTCTCCATCCCAACACTTCCATGGCTGCTGTGGCGCTCGTCTACAAGAAGGGCATTTACCCCACTTAGCAGGCACCAGGAGTGGTGGGGACTGGCCTTTCTCCCTTGTTTTGCTTCCCAGTACTCCAGTCCTGTGGTCACTGCCTCCTTGGGTAGCTGGTCCGTGAGTGTGCCCGGTGAGTGACACACCAGCACCTTCCCAGAGCAGCTCACCCTGTGCTGTCAGCTGTGGCAGCCGAGAGCCCCGTGTGCAGTTCTGCAGCTACTTGCTGAGATGGAAGATACACGCCAGATTTCTAAAACCTGAAACAGTGACAACAAAGAGAATCTCAAATATCCCATAAACAATTTTATTTTAAAAAAAATTGTTTTTTGAGACAGAGTTTCACTCTTGTTGCCCAGGCTGGCGTGCAGTGGTGCGATCTCAGCTCACCAGGTTCAAGCGATTCTCCTGCCCCAGCCTCCCGAGTAGCTGGGATTACAGGTGTGTGCCACCACACCTGGCTAATTTTTGTATTTTTAGCAGAGATGGGGTTTCACCATGTTGGCCAGGCTGGTATCGAACTGCTGACCTCAGGTGATCCACCTGCCTCGGCCCCACAAAGTGCTGGGATTACAGGCATGAGCCACCTCGCCCAGCCCCATTAACAATTTTTATGTGAATTATATGTCAAAATAATAATATTTGGAATACATAGGGTTAACTAAAATATATTTAAAAGACTACTTCACCTGTTTCTTTTTAGTTTTTTGGTTTTTTCTTTTTTTCTTTTTTTTGAGATGGAGTCTTGCTCTGTCGCCCAGGCCGGAGTGCAATGGCCCAGTCTCCGCTCACTGCAACCTCTGCCTCCCGGGTTCAAGCCATTCTCCCTGCCTCAGCCTCCTGAGTAGCTGGGATTACAGGCATGGGACACCACACCCAGCTAATTTTTGTATTTTTAGTAGAGATGGGGTCTCATCATGTTGGCCAGGCTGGTCTTGAACTCCCGACCTCAGGTGATCCACCCGTCTCGGCCTCCCCAAGTGCTGGGATTACAGGCGTGAGCCACCGGCCTCTTTTTAGTTTTTTTAATGTGGCTACCAGAAAATTTGAAGTTACATCTGTGGTTCTCATTATTTCTATTGGAAGGGCTGGTCTAGGGTGAAATGCCAGCCATTACTTGGCAGGGCTCCAGGGACTACAATGCCACCCCTTAGCCTGTTTGAAATCGCTCCAGATCATGGCCTTGAGGCTCATCTCTCAAGTGGTGATTTCCACCCACACAATAAAGATGGGATTAAGGGGGGAAAGTTTTAAAAAATTCCTTTCTAACTGCTTGATTAGCTTGTATTACAGATCCCTGGGGACTATGTTCTTTTAGGCTTCAATTGCTATCAATGTGGTGGCCCCCAAGAAACATGTTTATGACTACTGCTATTATTAGAACCAACATTAATAATAACTGTAATAATCATCTGTTGAGCCAGAGCAACTAAATTATTCCAGGAGACTAAGATGCGCGCCCATGAACTTAGGGCGCTGCTGGAGTGTGTGTCTGGAAAATAAGCTCTTCCAGGAGCTAAATGATGCCTTGAAGTCCTGAAAGAGTTACCAGGAAGGAATATATGGCCAGACAATGTTTTCCTTAACTCCAGGTGGACGTGCATAGACACTCATGGATGTACATAAACATTGCTCAAATCTGTCTGTGCGACCCTATTTCTTTGACTATATTATAAACAGCTCCAGTATGTTATGCTTTCAAATGCTGAATGGCCAAACCCCCACCTGTATGGCTCACAGCTCCATGACAGTTCCTTGGGAGGGTCGGGCAGGAGCTCCAGGTCTCGACCTTTGCTACTGGAGTAGCTTCCCACGGGCCACCTTGTGTCAGATTTCCCTGTTTCCCATCCCTCAGCCTCACTGCACATTCCTCTTCCAGAAACGTGGAAGGCTCCATGTGACTGCCCTGGTTAGAAACTTTCAATGAGCCTTTGTGGTCTGAAGGATAGATCCCAAACTCCTGGGACTCGGCCCTCGTCAGGCTGGCCCGGTTCCTTCTCTTTCTTTTATCTCATCATTCCATACGTTGTTCAAGCCAGCCGATGGGCCATCGTTCATTCCACAGACATGGAATGAAGGCTGAGGTGTCCTGCACTTTCCTAGGCCTTGGGGCTACAAGCAGACACCTTTCCTACCCTCAGGAGTCTACTGTCTGGTGAGAAAATAATTAAACAATCACTGTTTCCATGGTAACTAGGATGAAGGCTTACAGGGGCTGGAGAAGTCCTGTCCTTAGGTCTCCACGAACCCTTGTTCTCCACCTCGAGTGATGCTCCTTGATGACAGAGTTGTCACCTCCCTGGAGGACCCACCACACGGCTCAGCACAGCGAACATGCCCAGGGAATTCTTGGCAGAGATGATTGGTGACAAAATATCAGAAGTGGATGGGCTCTTCCAAGCTGTGTGATCAGTGGTTCTTCAACTTCGTGCCCAGCAGTTCAGGGCTCAGAAGCACCTGGTGAGGAAGGGCTGGAGGACAGTGCCTGGGTGTGGGGCCTGAGGCCATCCCTGAAGGCTTCACGAGAGGCCTTCACTGCAGGACCCTGCCTATGAATTTTACCTGATACCATAGACCATGCACCAACCTGCTGGGTCAGGTGCATTTTCACAAAATGCTTTTTTATTTTACTTATTGATTGATTGAGACAGGGTCTTGCTCTGTTGCTCAGGCTGGAGCACAGTGGGTGCAATCACAGCTCACTGCAGCCTTGAGCTTCCACGCTCAAGTGATCCTCCCACCTCAGTCTTCCAAGTAGCTGGGACTATAGTTGTGCACCACCAGCCTTGGCTAATTTTTCAGTTTTTTGTACAGATGGGTGTCTCACTGTGTTGCCCAGGCTGGTTGCAAACTCCTGGGTTCAAGCAATCCTCCCAACTTGGCCTCCCAAAGTGCTGGGATTATAGGCGCAAGCCACCGCGCCCAGCCAAATTCTGAAATGCTTTCTATCAGCTGACCTTAGTCGGGTCCACATTGGTCCATCAAGGATGCTCTTATAATATTGGACCTCAAGAATAGCAAACAACAGCTCCATCTCCTTCCTCGGGCAGTTCTGCGCCTGTGCCCACTCCCTGCTGCAGGGACTTCCCAACATATGGAGAAGAACCACATGTGTTAAGCCAAAAAAAAAAAAAAAAAAAAAAAGTCCTGGTATACTCTTCTCTTCTTACAGAATGTAAGTGAGAAGTGCCACTCAAATTATTCTTTCTAAGCTGAGGGACCAGTGTCACAGCTGCTAAAAGAATGTTGGCTGGCAACTGTTGAATGACATCTTATCAACAGAAAAGTAAAAACTAGGTTGGGCACGGTGGCTCACGCCTGTAATCCCAGCACTTTGGGAGGCCGAGGCGGGCAGATCACCTGAGGTCAGGAGTTCGACACCAGCCTGGCCAAGATGGTGAAACCCCGTGTCTGCTAAAAATACAAAAATTAGCCAGGTGTGGTGGCCTGCACCTGTAATGCCAACTACATGGGAGGCTGAGACAGGAGAATCGCTTGAACCTGGGAGACCGAGATTGCAGTGAGCCGATTCCAGCCTGGGTGATAAGAGTGAGACTCCGTCTCAAAAAAAAAAAAAAAAAAAAAAAGAAAGAAAGAAAGAAAAAAAGAAAAGTAAAAAATAAAGTAAAACTCTTTCTAACCAGCCATCCTACTTCCTGTTGTTACATAATTGAATTCCAAAATATATTCTCACTGCTGAAACATAATGTGGACTTAAGCTATTTTAAAAAATATGGTAAAGGGGCTTTCTACCTCATCCTTTCTAAGACTCCCAAATCCTGATTACTGAAATAAAAATGTTCCAAATGTAATTTTTTTCTCAGACAGTCTCTTACAGGAATTACTACCAGGGCTAAGCCAAAACAACACTGTGTATTTGGCTTTCCTATCTCACATCACACTGTTCCCTTTCTCCCTCCAGGGCCCTGTTCATCCCCAGGATACAAGGATGCTAGGCTGTCCCTCCAAAGTCTCCTGTTCTAGAACAAAATCATTTGATAAAAACCAACTCTTAACAAGGTTTTAGGAATTTCAGTAATGCCCCCTCAGCAGGAGCATTTGTGTTTTCAGAGAGAGTATGAGAAACAGAGAGAGAGAACCAAGAATATATCACTCCTCGTGGCACGCATCATCTGTGGGGTGAAGAGCCTTTGAAATCTTTCTAATCATACCTCATGGTTGGAGGCCTGGCTGCCCAAATATTTCCAGCCTTCTGGATAATTAAAATACAGGGAATTTCATTTAGGCACACTAAGGCATACTGTTTAAGACTGACAAAATATTGATAACAGCTGAAGCTGAAGGTTGGGTACCTGGAAGTTCATTATGCTATTGTCTACTTTTGTGGATGCTTAGAAATGTCCACCATAGGAAGTTAAAAAGTGCTCTTTAACCAACACCTGGGGTGGTAATTATGTTGGAATTTGGGATGTACGTAGATTGGTAGAGTGAATAAAAAGATTCTGTTGAGTTTGAAATATATTGCTTCATTTGGTCAGCTTATAACTGACAGTTTCATTTTGAACATGAGGAATTAACTTAAATCATTGGACAAATATGCGCCACAAATCCAGTTCCTTTCTCTCTAGTAAAATAATATCTTTATAATCCAGGAAGTAAAGTACCATTATGCAAAAAGGGAGGGATCTTTGTACACAGTCCAGGCCCTTCAAAGAGATTACCAAGCTTTTCGTGTATGCAAAATAACCACAGTCCCAGGCTGACTCCAGCTCTTGCCAGAATTGGTGGTGAAACCTGCACTAGCAGACATGCAGGGTCCGCTGAGATAGTCATACATGCTTTACAGACTCATGAAGCTAAGGCTAATTATTGTTTCATAATCTAAGAAACCTGTCACTTGATGATCTAAAATTATGGTCATTGGAGACTAGTTTAATAGATGACAGTGTGCCTTATCTCTAGGATAACTTGCATGCAAATACACAAAGCAAAACTAGGCTATCCTGAAATCTTAGGGAATGAGTCACTTTTTGCTCTTGATGTTACTGATATCCTTCAGGAAATAAAACTTGAACCATTACATATAGAGATTCCTTAAAAAAGTTATGAACCTCTTCATCATGCTGCAGTTGATCGTGGTCTGTCCCTGTCTTGGTGGCTTCAGGACGTGCTGATGAGCACGGCTACTGTCTTTCTCGATGTCAGGGAGCTGTGGATGGGGCTGTCATCTCTGACATGAATCGGTCTGACATTTGGGCGTCTGCAAAGCTCCTCTTCCAGCTGCTTGGATATCAGTTCCCTCCACTACCCTCTCTCAGGGTGCTGGTTTCCAGCACTGTCCCCCTGGCTCTGCCTTTTCATTTGTCTTTCTAGTCTTCTGTGGACTGGAAAGCAGATCCCCTACCCTTTTAGATTTGTGCATGAAGTCGGAGTAAATAGAGTCTAAAAGAGTCTGAATGAGGGGCTCACCTAAAAAGCCACGAGCTGAGCTTTATCACTGAATCTTATGAAATTCTTTCTGGTGGATCAGAGGCCAGTGTTCTTTTTTTAATTAATTAATTAATTTATTTTTGAGATGGAGTCTCGCTTTGTTGTCCAGGCTGCAGTGTAGTGGCACAATCTTTGCTCACTGTAACCTCTGCCTCTCAGGTTCAAGCGATTCTCCTGCCTCAGCCTCCCGAGTAGTTGGGATTACATGTGTGTGCCACCACGCCCAGCTAATTTTAGTATTTTTAGTAGAGATGGGGTTTCACCATGTTAGCCAGGCTGGTCATGAACTCCTGACCTCAGGTGATCCGCCTGCCTCGGCCTCCCAAAGTGCTGGGATTACAGGCATGAGCCACCGTGCCCAGCCGTGCAGAGGCCAGTGTTCTAAAAGGACAAGGTCTTATCATCAAAATAACTTATATGATCCTCATAAGCATGACATTTCTGTGTTATATTTTGAACTCCATGTTGCTTTTCTTATTTGTCAACATTATAGTGTTTTCCATGCCAGACTTCACCACAGCAAACAATAAATAGCCAGACTCAAAGACATCAAATTATTATTTTTATTTTACTTTTTTATTTTTTTTATTTTTTGAGATGGAGTTTCTCTGTTGTCACTCAGGCTGGAGTACAATGGCGCAATCTCAGCTCACTGCAACCTCCGCTTCCTGGGTTCAAGCAATTATCCTGCCTCAGCCTCCCAAGTAGCTGGGACTACAGGCACGCACCACCACACCTGGCTAATTTTTGTATTTTTAGTAGAGACGGGGTTTCACCATGTTGGCCAGGCTTGTCTCTAACTCCTGACCTCAGGTGATCCACCCGCTTCAGCCTCCCAAAGTGCTGGAATTACAGGCGTGAGCCACGGCATACGGCCAGCGTCACATTATTGAGGAAGTTAATGTCCACGGATCCAAATTATATAGATGAATTATTTTTAAATATTTCAAATATGTTTAAGGTTGTGCACCTGTGTTTTAATTGCTCAAGAGGTGATTAGATGGCGTAGAGGTGGTGAGAGACAGGACAGCATAGTACTAAGAGCCAGACCATCTCCTTGTTGAAAGGAGGACAAGATATGTTTGCTGGGTGTTATATGAGTGTGTTTGTAAAGCATTTGGGAAGCATTAACTCTTATTTTTAGGCAGGGAGAAGAATGAACTGGAACTAAAGATTGGTTCCGGATCAGAACAAGAGTAAATCTCCCCCTACCCTTTCTCTCTGCCTCAGGAAAAGGAGAAAAAAAGAAATAGTATAGTAAATATGGACAATTTTACTATATAATAATTTCTTTCTTATTAAACACCTAAAAATATTTTTATTATGTTAAAATGCTTTCTTTTTTTCTTTTGAGACAGAGTCTCTCTCTGTCCCCCAGGCTAGAATGCAGTGGCGTGATCTCAGCTCACTGCAACCTCTGCTTCCCAGGTTCAAGCGATTCTCCTGCCTCAGCCTCCCGAGTAGCTGAGATTACAGGCATGTGCCACCACACCCGGCTAATTTTTGTATTTCTAGTAGAGACAGGGTTTCACCATGTTGCCCAGGCTGGTCTCAAACTCCTGACCTCAAGTGATCTGCCAGCCTCGGCCTCTCCAAATGCTGAGATTACACGTGTGAGCCACCGTGCCTGGCCAAATGCTTTTTTGTTTTTAACTAAATAATGATAATTTATGACTAACAATTTTACTAAATAATAGTATAGTAAACATGGAGAAGGAGGAAAGAAGCCGTGGGGATACTTTGAAGCTACTTGTGTCTATTTGTAAAATAACCATTGCCTAAAACAGAACTCTGACTTAAATACTGATGGCAACTCAATAATCTGCCAACATCTGACAAGAAAAATGCAGAAAAAAGAAAGAAAGAGGGAAAGGGTAGTGAAAATAGTCAAGATAATAGAAACAAGAAAGCACTTCAAAGGTGCCTTAAGCAGCAGTGAGACCCCACTGCCCCTTCTGGGATATGTCATGAATGTACATAGAGAATTCCTACCGAGGAATAAGAAGTGAAATAATTGGGTTCAGAAATGAGGACTTCTTGAGGGAGCAGTGAGGTTGGCTGACTTTTTCTTTAGTTTCATCGTCTCATGAAATGCAAACTCACTGCAAGGAAGTACAATCTTATGTTGTTCATTAAATACCGACTTGGTAAATGAAAGGACAAAGCCTAAAGATGTGGCATCATTAATTTTTTTCACTCCCAACTGTTGGTTGAGTCATTTCCAAAGACAGACTGCAAACCCCTTGAGCTGTGGCTGGAAATGAGGAATGAAGATCAGCTTAGGTGCTGAGAATTTTTATCCATCAAGACCTGGGGTGCTGGACACAGGGTAGAACTTTTGAAGCATTCACTGAAAGCCAAACAGTAGTCAAGAAAAGTTAAGACATAAGAAGACCCCTGTCTTCTACGCAGGAATGGGGAGGTCCTCTCCCTGCAGCTCAGCTTCTGGGCCATCAAAACATGAAGAAACAAGATGGTTGGTGGTTTTGTGTTGTAAACATTCAGCTCCAACACACACCTCAGTTCGTTAAGCGGTGAGGCGGGGAGGATGATCCATTTTGACTCATGCTGCCGAGGTGGCGGAAATCCTCCTGAAGACAGCAGGAGGGATGCAGTGAGACCAAATTACCCACGCATCTGTGGAAATGGGTGGGGAGAGAAAGTGATTCATGTCAGGACTAAGATAGCCTGATTCGTGTCTTTATGAACTCCAAGTGGTCCAGAGTCCATTTTCCAAAGTCATCATGAAAGAGGAAGTTTATTTTAGTAAATAGAAAGTAAAACATGTTGGAGCTGCACACACAGATGAGACTCAGGTGAGGAAGGTGCTGGGACTCCATGCCCAGGAGAAGTGAGGGGGCTGCCAGCGCAGCCAGTGGGCTCGGTGCCCAGAGACCTACTTGATCACACACCTCAGAGGGCTCACTTGATCACACACCTCAGCGGGACTCATGTGCATAGCAAAAAGAGAAAGGGGGTGACAAAATTCGGGGGACTTTGGCCTTTGGCCTTTGTTACATTTCTTTTTTTTTTTTTAGACAGACTCTCACTCTGTTGCCCAAGGGAGTGCAGTAGCACAACCTCACCTCACTGCAACCTCCATCTCCCCAGTTCAAGCCTCAACCTCCCGAGTAGCTGGGACTACGGGCGCACACCACCATGCCCGGCTAATTTCTGGATTTTTAGTAGAGATGGGGTTTCGCCATGTTGGTCAGGCTGGCGTTGAACTCCTGATCTCAGGTGATTCGCCTGCCTCACCCTCCCAAAGTGCTGGGATTATAAGCATGAGGCACTGTGCCCAGCCCTTTGTTATATTTTTAAAAATTAATTCAATTACTGAGGTGTTTTTTTTCCCACATAAAAAAGGGCAAAAGTTATCCATTTTTCTGACTGCTTTACTCCTATTATATGGTTTCCAGATCTGAGATTGTAGGAGGTTTTATACAACCCCTCACAGATAAAAATTGATATGAGATCCATTTTGGTGTGGAGTGTCAATGCTGAAGCATCTAGCTTGGACTGGACCCATGGTGGGGAGGTTTGGGTGCCCCGAAGGCTGCCTGCCCTGGCTGTTTGCTGGAAAGTCTGTATGATCACCCACCTTCTCTTGAGCAATAGAGAGAACCTCCTAGTTCTCCACCCCCACCCCAAAACTGTCTCAGCAGCCTGGTCTCAGGAAAGCCCCAAGCCTGAGTTGTTGAACTTGCTCTCACAGTGTTCGATCGGTTTGAGGAAAATAACTGTCATGTCCTTAGCATTGCCTCTGCTGAAAACCCAAGGGGACTGTGACCATGTGGCAGTGATATAGAAAGAGCACTGCATGTAGAGTTAAAAGACCGAGGGTGTAGTCCCAGCTTTGCAGCTGATGCTTGATGTGTCCATGGGCAGGTCGCTTGTCCCCAGTCTCCTGCTTGTAAGATGAGGAAGTTGAGCAAAATCTCCAGGGTCCCTCCTCCCTATGAGATTCTTCGAGTCTATGAAGTCCAGACTCTCTGGTAATGTGCCAGGAAGAACTTAGAACCTTTCTTATGACAGGAGCCAGGGCTGCTCAGTCCCCTCCTTGGCCACATGTGTCCAGGTGACAGAGAACACCCATGAGTGTGACAACACAGGTTCTCAGGGAAGGAGGAATCTTCCGGCTTTCTCTCCTGCGTTTCCCAAATCCTCTCCCTTTTGAATAAACATGTTGAGATGGTGACCTAAAACCCCATGTCATGTAGTATTAGGTTATTGAAACCCCTCCTTGTGTCTCGCTCTCCATGTCAGAAGCATTGGATTGGAACTGACTTGAAGGAGACAGAGCAGTAACTCCCACGCCTTCCTCCAACAGAACTATTTTAAAACCTTTTGCAGAGAATCCACTCCATGGTTCAGACCTCTGTGAAAAAGTTCTCTACTTGTCCCTCATTTAATGTTTGCCAGCCCTCAATGTTGAGCTGGCCAGAGGATTAGGACACATTTTAAATATTATTTAATAATTGGATAATATATGTACCTGGTACAAAATTCAAAAGATACAAAAGAATATTCAAGGTAAAGCAAATCTCTCTCCCAGCCCATACTCCAGCCATCTCTTCCCTAGAGGCATCCACGTTCTGCAGGTTGTTATGTAGCTGTTCAAGATATTCCATGCATATGTAAGACTTTGTGTCTATATTCCTATTTTTTTCTTTTCACTAATGGCAGCACAGTACTCACGGCTACACACTTCCTTTTTTCTTTTAAAGCTGTATTTGAGAGCTCTTCCATTTTAGTACATGTAGATCTGCCTCATTCTCCTTTAATGTCTGGGTAGTATTCAATTATATAGACGATCATAATTTGTTTAACCCTTCTTCTGTTAATGGACCTTTAGATGTTTTCCAAAATGTTGTTAAACAAACGATGCTGCAATGAATATCCTTGTACACGCAACATTGTCTTACCATGTGCTACCTGACAGTGTGAGTTTTATTTTCCTGTGTAAATGTTTATCTTCTCAGTTAGTTTGTAACTGCTTACAGAACAGGCACAGACATTCAAAAACAAAACACAGTATTATGCACATAGTATGGCTTTCATAAAATATTGGGTGAATGAATTAAAGCTCCTCAATCATGCCAGTGGTATGGAGAAGCAAATGGTATTTCAAAGGTTAAATGAATTGCCTAAATCAGAGAACCAGACAATCAAAGGAAACACCAATAAAATAAAATAAAACTGATAAAAATAAAAGCAGATATTTAGAATATACTTCCCAAAAGTTGAATATTTTTCCGACATTTACATTCACACTTAGAAGAGATAACTCCATTGGCTAGCCCAGCAAGGAGAGTAAACAGTCCTCTGGAAAAATCGGTCACTTTGGGGGGCAGGCAGATGGCTCCAGCTATTGGAATGCCATTTATTAAGTGTTGACTTCAGTTCACAAAACAGTGGCCCAGTGACCTGGAAAAGTTAAGCATCACCAAGAGGGCCTCCACTGGTCGGGAGGGTGACAGTTCCTCCCATGAGGGGATCTAGTGCAGTTCAAAGGAAGATGAAAATGGAAAAGGAAGAGAAGAAGGGAAAAAAACACTCTGACCACACAACAGCTCTGGAATCAATCAGGAAAAAGGGAGAATGAGTAGATGACTTTAATTGTCCTGCATCAGCTGTCACCAATGATACAGGAAGAGAATGCCCTTTGTTAAAAAACAAGGAGGGTGTTGTTATCATGATGTTTAATGAACACTCATTATAACCTGGTACTACAAAATGTGTGGTCTGATTGGTTGATCTCAAAACAATTATGTCGACATCTCATAACTTAAAGATCATACAGCTTTGTAATTTCGCAACGCATTACTTCTTAAAAACAAGAATAGTTTTTTTCCCATATGCATACGTGTTCTATTAATCTTTATAACCTTTCCAAGATTTCTAAGACCCTTACTTAGAGTGACTCTAGGGTGACACCAGTGTATTCACAGGTGGTATATTTCCTTTGCCCTCAAGGGGAAGGGGAGGGGAAGAGCGTTGGATTGCTTGTTTTCTTTCTCTCTTTCTCTCTTTACTCTTTAGTGACCTGCAGGAGCAGACCCATTTAGTCTAGAGAGAATATCCCAGTTCACCCTTCTACCCACTCCTTAACCAGTAAAAGCCTTGTCATCAGGTTTATGGGCTGGAAAACAACAAGCCAACTCCACAGCAGCAGGGAATGGGAAGTGTGGATGCCACACGGCACTGAAATAAGAGAGTAATTTGAGGAGCATAATTATCCAAGGTGGCAGTTTGATGAGGGGATGGAGGTTGACACTCCTAAGCTTGAGTCAAGTGCCCTGGAATCTGAGTGGCTGTTGAAATGGTCCACATTTCAAGTTCCTGCCTCACGCCAAAGTGCTGGCAGTTCCCTCATAACAAGGCCCACCTGAGCACCTGCAGGCCTGACCCACAGGGCAGAGGGCCTCGTGCTGAGTCACTGAAACCTCCCAAAGTTCTGAGCCAAGAGCTACAAGGCAACACTCCCGTTTCCCTTCGCCACCACGACCAAAACACCATGCTGGGCAGAGGTTAGAAGAGAGAGCCACCACCAAATGTTTCAACAATATTTTTAATGTTCATACAGCTTTATTAAAATGAGCAATAAGCTTTACATTCCTTGGTTTGTAGAAATGGACTCAAGAGGTCATTTGGGTTAACTGCTACATTTAACAGATGTGGAAACACGCAGGGAGGTTACATGTCTTGCTAAAGTCACCCAGGCAGCCAAACCAGGATTAAACTCAGGTCTCTTGATCACCTGTCCCACCAGTATCCCCCAGAGTATCTTGCTTGTTCCATTTCATGACACTGATGCTCCCCTTACCCGCCTCCCCAGTATTGCTATGGTTCTGGGAATGCACTCTTTTGATATAAAATAATGGCTAGCCTGAAATGGTTTTGTGCATCCTCATGAGATGCTAGGATGGTTGAATGCAAAGCCTAAGACATCTCAGCAGAGAGTGTTTTATACAATGTTAAAAAAAAAAAAAACTTAGAGTTTTTTTGGTTTGTGATCTCATCCAGAAACTCATGTTTCTGAAGATGTACCTGAAAATGATACTGTAGTTCTATTGCAAGGAACAGACAATCTACTCCTAAACTCTCATTGATTGGTTGAATGATATTTTTTTGAGACAGAGTCATGCTCTGTTACCCAGGCTGGAGTGCAGTGGTGTGATCTCAGCTCATTGCAACCTCTGTCTCTGGGGTTCAGGTGATTCTCCTGCCTCCGTCTCTTGAGTAGCTGGGACTACGGGTGTGCACCACCATGCCCAGCTAATTTTTGTATTTTTAGTAGAGACGGGGTTTTGTCATGTTGGCCAGGCAGGTCTCGAACTCCTGACCTCAAGTGATCTGCCCACCTCAGCCTCCCAAAGTGTTGGGATTATAGGCGTGAGCCACTGTGCCCAGCCCTCACTGATTTATAATAACTCGTATTTTCATTGTGGGGCATAGTCATGTTCAACAATGATTTTTGTTGTTGAAACTCCGTTCTGGCAATGCTCTTGGGGGCTAGTACAAATATAATAAGTAGAATGTGAGTTTTCTATTAGATATCGGAACTCAAATATTGTCAGTATACACTGCTGTTACTTAAATAACCTTATTAAACCAAAGGTGAATATATGTGAAGGATCCCCAAACACTCATCAAATTAAATGCTACAAAATAAAGGCTGGGTATTAGTATTTCTAATTCAGTGATCCATCTTAGCAGATATTAATAGAACCAATTTATTTAAAAGAGACCAATAACATTAATCAGATTGTACATTGCTCTCTCCTTCATGAAGCAAGTATTTCTTTGAGGTCAAGGTCCTGGTCATATTTGGACCTGGCCTTCAGGCCCAGCTTGGCCCATGTTTGAAGTATAATAGGCAGGTAATAAATGTTCATAGAATGAATGAATGAATCAGTAAAAATGCAGGACTTACCTTTCATGAATACAATGGAAAACCTACAACTTGAGAACAAAAAATGTTAAAAATCTCAGGATTCATGTATTGACTCAACCTATTTGATGAAAGGGATTTAAAAGTAAGAGGGACAGTAGGAAGGATTTTGTAAGCACTTTTTTCTTGTAAGGAATGGGTCAAAAGAACACAAGACTATGGGAATTACGTTTCGTGAATCCTCCACAAACCTACCTTCATAGCTAGTACATAATAAGCTGTAGGTTGCAGAATAGGTTTAAAACCATATTTCTCTTTAAATATCTGTGTATTTTATGGCCTAAGGCTGCTCTGCTGAGGTGGAGTGAGTATTGACCACAGCATATGAAGGTCACAGTCCTCATCACAGTTCCTACGTGTGTGATGTCAAGCAAGTTCCTTAAAGATGTTAACTGTGGATTATTTTGTATGAGCACTGGGTTAAGGTTTTTTCCTGCATTATCTAATTTATTTGACCTCGCAGGGCCTCAGTTTTCTTGTATACGAAATGGAAATAATAAAGTTATCTCGGAGGGTATTTGTGAGGATAAAATGAGACAGTGACCAACAGACCATAGTAACTTATACAGCATAAATCAAATGAGAAGCATTATTTTCATAATTATTGCTGTATTACAGAAATAGCAAAAGCAGTATTTAATGTTCATTTTAACTTTCTGTTTCTTCTACTGGAACAATGAATTTTCAATGAACACTATAGAGAAAAAATAGACATGACTCACGAATCACATGTTCTTTGGAACCTCAATCTCTTGCGCTCTTCATTTATCTCATGAAGGAAATGAACCAAAGAAGGAAAAGTCAAGACAAGGGTGAGAGAAGACAAAAATTGCTTTAAGAAGAGCCCAGCTAATTTCCAGAAAGCTGCTTATTTGCAAATAGTATGGTCAAATTGTTCTATGTGTTTTAAAGGGCCTGTAAGATGACTGGAGTGTGATTTGTAGTCTATTCCTGTATTTTATCTCCCTAGCATTTCTATTCTCTTAGGAGTTTCAGAGTAAGAAGTACATTGTAAAAGCCTGGAAGCTTTGTTTTGGGCGGGACTATGATCTATTGAAAAGCAAACCAACTTCATTCTAGGCCTTGAAGCTTGACAGTGTCATTTACAGAGTGACACAGTCACGCTATAAATGACCAGAGACATTCCAGAGTTCATGACTGTTGTTTAACAACAACACTTCAAGGGTGGCTGCAGGCACGAGGCACAACACGCCCGCCCTAGTGCGGTGAATGTGGGGGAACCACTCCCCACTGGAATGTGGCATTGCTCAAAGGCAGCTGGGCCTTCCTCTCTATCCCCACCGACCTGGACAGACTGGAGGGACGACTCTATTTTCAGGGAATGACAAATTGATTGTGCTGATTGGGTGAGAGTACTTACCTGCCTCCTGCTCTGCTTCCAAGGACAACCTGCGGGGAAGGTTTGTTTTCAAGTGACTTGTATAAGGAAGCATTGCAGAGCAATGAGAACCCAAACACCTTGCTACCAAAGAGGACTTCAGCCAAGCCTTGACTAGACAATTCAGGTTGAGGAGCCTTCTATTCCCCATGTTCCTAAAGCCAACAAGTTACTGGAGGGGACATTCCATTCCACTGACAGAAAGAAGGAGACAAGATGGCAGCTCTAAATTACATGTGCAATAGCCCAGGAGGCTTGTAAACATTTAAGGAGTTGATTGTTATTTTCATTCCTGACTGGTTTGGTGGTGCAAATAACAACTCCATAAATTGCTGAAGCCCAGCCAGAGTGCTGAGGACATGCATTTGTGATCATGACCCATAGTGAGTGATGAATATTCATGGCAGAGTGAATCTGAACTGCTCCTGAAGCAGGTCAGCTGGTGTGTGAACTCAAAACAGGTCTTGGTATGGAAATCAAGTTTGTAGACTTAACCGAAGAAAAGTACTCATGGTTAACAGCACGATCAAGAAATGTCACTACCCAGGAGCTGAGGGGGAGGGGAGCAGGGAGCTGTTGTTCCATGGGTATACAGTTTCAGTTTTGCAAGATGAAAAAGCTCTAGAGATCTGTTGCACAATGTGCCTATAGCTAATACTACCATACACTATCTGCACAGTGATTCCGATGGTAAATGTAGGTTCTATCTTTTATCACAATAAAAAAGAGAATAGAATGTCTCTATAGCATCTACTCTAAAAGAGCTCAAACCGAATATATAGCTGTGTTCCTATTCCCTACTTCTGCTTCCAATCCACCTCCAGGTAATTTCTGTGCCAGGAAGGCAGGTAAAAGCTATTCTCAGGCCACACAGAGGTCACTGTGGCCACTCTTTGGGCTTTCCAGAAACTCGGAGCTCTTGAAGTAAATTGTTTTCTTTTGTTTAATGATCTGTTCCAAGCTTGTCCAACTTGTGACCCGCAGGCCACATGCAGCCCAGGATGGCTTTGAAGGTGCCCAACACAAATTCGTAAACTTTCTTAAAACATTATGATTTTTTTTTTTTGAGACAGAGTCTTGCTCTGTTGCCCAGGCTAGTGTGCAGTGGTGTGATCTCGGCTCACTGCAGACTCTGCCACCCGGGTTCAAGCGATTGTTCTGCCTCAGCCTCCCAAGTAGCTGCGATTACAGGCGCCTGCCACTGCGCCCGGCTAATTTTTGTATTTTTTAGTAGAGATGGGGTTTCACCATCTTGGCCAGGCTGGTCTTGAACTCCTGACATCATGATCCACCCACCTTGGCCCCCCAAAGTGCTGGGATTATAGGCATGAGCCACCACGCCCAGCCAACTTTATGAGATTTTTTTGCGACTATTTTTTAAGCGCGTCAGCTGTCGTTAGTGTTGGTGTATTTTATGTGTGGCCCAGGACAATTCTCCTCCTTCCCTTGTGGCCCAGGGTAGCCAAAAGATTGGAGACCCCTAGCTATTCCCTCAGCAACCCAACATAACCAGGGACATAGTGAATAACCAAAAAGATATACTTTGCCACTCTGAGGATTGGAAAGTCTAGCCGGGGTGGGTATATTGCCTGGGCCAGAAAGGCAAGCTTGATGACCTCTCCTCTCTTCTTCCCTCTCCACCCGGACCCCCTGCTGGCTCCCAACACCTTCTACCCCCATAGGCACCATCCAAAGGGACTTTCCCTCTCTAACCACCAGGGTCTCCAGTGGTGAGCAAAGATGATGACAAAAGACATGATGTGGTTTCTGCTAAGTTAGAAGCACAAGAAGAACTTTCAAACGGCCCTTAGAAGGGAGAAAAACCCAAGTGCGGAAGGAAGTCTGTCAACCTTCAGCTACAGACTTTACCCTGCCTTTTTTTTTTTTTAATCTTGCAGACGTACATGACTCTCTTTAGGAGAAGCCCGCCACGTGCCCAGTGGCCCTCAGCAGAACTCACAGAGAGAAGGGGTTGAAAGTCCCTACTAGCAAAGTTCATTTCCAGCCCATCACCTTGAAATGCTCACGTCTCCGATGTGAACAAGATTCAGATCTGAATTTAAGGGACGCTTCTCTCATTTCTAAGTTATATAGTTAGTTTTAGAAGATTCCTGTCTTCCTTCCTTTTCTTTCTTTTCAGCCAATCCTTTTAAGAGCACATAATTCTTCAGGCTATAGATGAGCTATAATATATTATGTTATTACCCTCCATTTGGAGGAAGGGTTGAAACAGCTGTAATCTATCTAAGATGGGCTGAATGGTTTGCTTTGGATAATGTAATTTTCAGTCTGGAATCCACGTGTAGGTCAAAACTAGAGGAGACAAAAATGACCAATTTGAAGCAATCAGACTATAAATCTTCCAGAGTTTCTGTTGGTTGCAAAAGCTGTTTAACAGGTGGGCATATTGAAAATTTTCAGATAATTCTTAGAGGAATTGTGCCTTGTGGGATTACATTGCCTTGGAACACAAAGGTAGACCTGACTGTTCTTTTTCAGCTTTCATCTCTGCCTCCAGGTACATTGGTTAACTATGCATGGGCAATATTTAAAACAAAGAACATACCTCCTTAAGCTCAGAAGCAACACAGGTTTTTTTGTGTGCACTTGAAGTAGAAAATATGTCCATTTATACATTTCCTTTCCTTTGCAGAAAACACAACCCTCCATGTCTTTAAAGTGGAATGAACTTTAAAGCCGGTTTATCCAAAATAGCATGTGAATTTTTGCAACTGCTCAATGCCCCCCTACCTGAGGATCACGGTGCTCTCTAGGTGCAGTTACCAGGACTCTGAGGCACACTCTGATGGGATAGGGTTAGTTCTGTGCCTCAGTTTCCTCTTTGGAACACTGTTGGCCTGAGGCTGCTGGAGAACTGCTGACGCCTGACACCCACCTTTCTGCTAAAGCACCGGAAATGTCACCTTACTCTGGCACTTCACAGGGGAACTGGCCACCCCCAGAGAGATGGAAACCTTTTAGTAAAGTGGGTATCTGGAATGAGCTCAGCTTTAGAGACAGGAACGGTTCTGTGGAGTTAGAAGTGAGATGGATTCAGAGTAATGGTAGGCCATAGTAAGCCATGATTCTCCAAGACTCCTTATCGCCTCCTTCCTTACTGAAATGTCTGCAGAACTAGTTAAGAGTCAAGCTCCTGACAAGGCAGAAGACAGTCATTTAATGCTGTAAGACTCTGCTGCTTTGGCAAGCTTGCCCTACACACAAACAATGCCAGTGGCTCACTTGGCCCCTGCCCAGCTCAGCAATAGGAGCATTGTCTAATCTGCCAGAGTCAGGAAGCCGGGATGTAGTTTCCAGTTCCAGCATGAACTTGTTAGGTGGCTTGGGCATATTCCTTGACTTTCCATACCTGAATTTTCTTATTTCTGGGATGGAGATACTCAAAGACCAATCTTTTCTACCTCTTTTATGAACAAACTCAAGGAGGAAAGCACGTTGCCTTAAACCTTCCCATCAGCACAAGGCCAGGGACCTCTTGTAGCAACAGCAAGAAAAGATACCAAGATCCGGCCGGGCACAGTGGCTCAGGCCTGTAATCCCAGCACTTTGGGAGGCCGAGGTAGGCGGATCACTAGATCAAGAGGTCGAGACCATCCTGGCCAACATGGTGAAACCCCGTCTCTACTAAAAATACAAAAATTAGCTGGAGGTGGTAGTGGGCGCCTGTAGTCCCAGCCACTCGAGAGGCTGAGGCAGGAGAATTGCTTGAACCCAGGAGGCGGGGTTTGCAGTGAGCCGATATCGTGCCACTGCATTCCAGCCTGGTGACAGAGTGAGATTCCATCTCAAAAAAAAAAAAAAAAAAGATACCAAGATCTGCATGGCCCTTTGAGGAAAACCTCAGCCGCCTTGGCCAGATGTACAGAACTATAGTCTTACCCTGGTTATTAAAAATGAAACAGATTTATCAAAATTGGACCTCGTTCTTTGATTATGCATCCAGCTGTGTGCATGAGTTAACTGCTTTCTGGGTCATCGGGGTCAAATGTTCCCTTGGCCTGGCTTCCCCAACCTTAGAACCCTGGAGGACCACCTGCCTGCCTGCATCTGTCACCGAGAAGAGGGTGTGCTCAGGGAGGGTGAATGCTTACCAATAAAGTGCCCAGGAAGCACTCCCACACAAATTACTGGGAATCTGTGGCCACCCATTTCCCGCCTCTTTTCCGTTGAAGCATATAACCAAAAGCTAGCTGCTTGGGGGCAGTTCTAATATAAAAGTGGGTTTTGCACTTGCAATGAGAAGGACAGCAAGCCTGCAGCTTTGGAAACAGCGTGTGCCATTTGGTACCAGCCATTCTTCATGAGGATTGACTTCTCTTACGGCAGGTGTCCGGCACTTCCACTATTCAGCCTCTTCCTGAAGGAGGAGGAAGTCGGTCACACTGGTGGAACTGGTCCACTTCCTAGGGCTCCCCGTGCTTCCCCAAGTATGCCAAGGGGTGGAGGGAAGCTTGCTATGGTTGGCGTCTCATTTGCTAAGCCTGAGCCCGGATGTGTTCCTAAGAAGGGCAATCTGTTGGCTCTCAGCACGGAAGAGACTTGTCCAACGGGCCATACCATGTCCCTGTGGGAACGCACCTCCAGGAATGACCAGGGGCACTGAGTGTGAAATCACACTGTCATTTTCAGGAAAAAGCAGGGGCAGGCAGAGGCTTCTCCTTCTCTCAGGTTTGCTTGCCTTCCCCTCGCCCTTACCCCTTGGTCTCTGTGTGTCCTCTGGAGGATATCACCTGCTTTGGAGTGTCAGCAGGCTAGAGAGATGACCAAGTCAGGTTTTTTGTGTTCAAGGCGGTAAAATGGCCCACATGCGACGGTGATGGAGGGTAATCACAATGAAACTGAACACTCAAGTAGAAAACGGTGTCCGCCCACAGGAACTGCAGTGTACCAACTGCTGCGATGTAGGTTAGTGTGGAGTTGCTGCTGGGGTCAGCCTCTGTCTTCCACGAGCTTGTGATTCAGTAATAACTGGAAGCACAATTGCTTTTTCACTCACTATTTTTCAACGGTTTATTCATAAAGCAATTTTTCACTTTTCACTTACTTTCAGCCCCTTTCACATCTATCTGCTCACAGTTTCTGTCTTGGCTTAACCTTTCCCTCTCTCCTCCCTCTCTCAGTTTAATTTTTCTTTATTCCCTTTTTTAAACTTTGAGCCGTTAAAACAGTATCAGGGCCTTGATTACTTTCTAACTGAAACGTTTCCTTTCAACGTCTTCTTAGGGTCTCTTGACTGGGTTCTCATTCTTTTCTTTAGCTGCCCATATTTTTGTCCCCCTTTCCTTTTTGTGGCAAGGGGCTTAAATCTTTCTCAGTCATCTTACATGTAGGCCTTTGCTTTAAAAAAAAAAAAAAAAGAAAAGAGAAAGAAGACGAAGAAAAAAAACAAAAACCCACTAAACATCCTAGAATTCATGGTACTTAAGCAGAAGTTTGATTTAAGCATAAGCCATTATGTCCATTAAAAGAATCTTGATTCCTTTCAGATGAGCATATTAATTCCTGGGGAAAGTTCATGGTTCTTACAAATTAGCAGGACCTTTGCAAGCCCACTCACTTTTGCCAAAAGAAGCCACAATAGTTGTTTCCATACAGACTTGCCCCTCATTTTCATTTTCTCCGACATCTGCTCTCTAAATTACAAATATCTGCCTATAGCAACAACCGGAGTTCCAAGGAAAACAAATCAAAAGGAAATAAGAGAAAACAGTGGAATCTGAGCATGTTAGGAGATGTAAGAACATCTTCCAAAGAACAGGAAGACAACCCAGGAAATGACTCCTTCCTTTTAAGGACCAGGAAACTGTGGCCCAGCGAGGTTCCCGGACTTTCTTGGGAGCACACGCTTAACCAGGGGCTGAATCAGGACTAGAACCAAGCTCCCTAAACTCCTGATATGCCGCTTTTTCCGTGATGGTAG
The DNA here is from genome assembly GCF_000001405.40 of Homo sapiens. Classification (NCBI taxonomy): domain Eukaryota; kingdom Metazoa; phylum Chordata; class Mammalia; order Primates; family Hominidae; genus Homo; species Homo sapiens. The sequence continues at coordinate 106,113,630 of NC_000006.12, read as the reverse complement.
GAGCTCATCAACTCAGTTCCCATCTTGGGTGTATTTTTAAACTCTGGCCCTGAGAGCCATGGAAGAAAGAGTAAGTGACCCCATTAATGATCCACAGTTGGTTGATCTCACAGCAAATCACTGTCAGGTCGCTTGTACTAAAAACTGGAGAGGCAAGATAGGGTTATGTGGAAGGGGACTGCGGTGTGTCTCATTTCCTTTGCCTGTGGATAGGAAACAGTACTCAAGGGAAATAGTGCTGATGAGTGGAGAGAACACAGAGATGGTCCCTTCTCTTCTTAAGTGATAACTGCGCTGAAAGGCTGCTAGCCTGGAGGTTGCTTTACAGAGTGCCACATGTAATGCAGGTGACAGTGGCACCATGCCTCATTTTCAATTTCAGACCCTTCCAGAAGCCCTGGGAATTCAAACATTGAATATCTCTTAAAATATTTTACAGAATATACAGCAAAATTAATTTCATGATATCATAGACTCTTCCTCAGAATCAGACGGGCTCTCCAGATCTGCCTAAATACACAGCATTTCCAAGGAAGCCTCAGGAACATTAAAGAACATGAAACACTAAAGACCTAGGAAAAGCTCACCAGAGCATCTTGTTCATCCTGTGCTTTCAAACACACGGATTCCTCTCTAAGCCCTGCAAGGATGGGGACTGCTCCCTCCCATGGGAAGGAATCCATTGTGTTACAAACCCTAAATGTAGGTGTTCGTCTTGGTGACTTAAACCAAAGTCCCCTCTGCAACGCTTTAATTTCATTTCCTTTGTTCTGCTCCTTACCCACAATGGGGAAGAGCTGGTTGCCATCATCCACAGGTGAATCCTTAAGACACCTGAAGTTGGGGAACTTTGCCACAATTCCATGAGAACCCCCTTTGTTAACATATTGAAGAATTTCTTACCAAGATTAGCCATTGCTATTTATCTGTCATTTCTCCTTTCTTTTATGACGGGGGTAGGGGAAAACCACAAGATGACTACATTCATGTTTATGCTGAATAAAACCTATCGAAAATTCAGAGAGAAGGAAAAGTGCACACAGCCAACCCTGGTTCATTACTTGTCAAACCTGGAAGGAAGAGCAAACTAGGAGAGGGTTTGTTAGTTTATAGTATGCTGTAAAACTGGGAAAGGGAGAGTGACTATTTGCATAAATTCAGTTAAAAATAACTTTTTGGAATCTTGCTGCATTTTTGCCTGAATTACACGATTAAGACTGTATTGAGATTAAAATCACTTTTCACTTATTTAAGGAGCAGCTGTCAGCAGCACTTTGAGCAAATGAACTTGGGTTCTGAGGACTTGAAGCTTGAAAAATGATGTTAGGGAAGCTTATCCACCAATCCTAAAACATTTCTTGTAGCCACTTCATACCCAGAAGTAGATTTGATGGCCACTGTTCATAATGATCTGATTTCTTCTGGCCAGAAGCTGAGAATGAAATGACATGTTATGGACAAAGAACTCCATGATCTCTGAAAGGAAACAGAAGTGCCTTCTGGACTGGTTCAATGATCACATTCTATCTAACTCTTCTGTTCATCAATTCTTTCAGCTGCTGCCTTCTGTGGTACAGCCTTCCTTTCTAGACCAGATTATCCTGGAGGCCTGGTTTTGCATTAGAAATTATCTGCCATGTGCCTCTAATTACTTTCATTCCTCTGTTCTGGCCTTTTCTCATTATCTCCTTTTAGAGAAGGCATCTCTCTCTCTCTCTCTCTCTCTCTCTCTCTCTCTCTCTCTCTCTCACACACACACACACACACACACACACACAGAGGAAGGAATGAGCTCATTTATACCAACTTACGGATCCTAAATTGATTTCATTTCCCCCAAGGAAAAAATATCTAGAAATGTGCCTATAGACTCCCACGGTGCTGTATATTCTATATATTGCCTCATGGTAGGGAATTAAATGCATCATTTCTGCACAGAGTTTTTATTTTGTTGAAGGTAAACTCAGAAAAAGGTGGCTTCTTCAGTCTTACTTTGTCCTACAAACAGCTGGATGAAGTCTTGATCCAACAGTATGGACTTTGGCTGGGTGGACTTGGGCTCATTAGTGAATATTATCTTTTTATGTAATGTTTCATTAAACAGCTAAGTCCATAAGTGTTCCCAAGATATATAACTCTCAAGAAAAAAAAAGAAAGAAATGATTTGCCAAGTAAAGAACTATGATTTATGGTAGTTAGCTGTTACTCTCAGGATCCTATTGGGCTTTGTTTTGAAAAATTATTACCACAATGGTTCTGTAGAATTTAGGAATATAACCAGCGCCGTTTGGCACGTTTATGACAATAGGGTTCTGGTTTTCTTAACTCCACAGTTACATGTTGGCAGAATTTCAAATTCTGGGCACAGATGTTTAAGTGAATTTAAAGAAGAAACATTAAAAACAAAGCATCAGGCAGTTTTGAGTGTCCAAATGTAAGCAGGAGCATTATTTTCTTAACATGCAGTCAGCATGCGCATAAAACCATAAATTTGCTAATAGATGAAATGGGAAGCATGAAAACCACTTGCAAAGGGCTTTTAGATTTTCTTTTCACTGAATGAACTATCACTTTTCTAGAAGCATCTCCTACTTACATCTATCAAATGAGACTCGAATTTATGTGAGCCTTTTCTCTGGACACAGGTTAGTTTCTGGAGCGTGAATGGCTAAGCACATAGACTTGTTCCCATCACATAGGGCCACATGGCCATACCACCAAGATACCTGGCTCTCACACTAACAACGCTCAGATTCTGGGAAAGCAGCTTTCTGGAAACTTTTTAAATGCACAAGTAGGCTAGGTGCGGTGGCTCATGCATGTAATACCAGCACTTCGGGAGGCCAAAGCAGGAGGATTGCTTGAGTCTAGGAGTTGGAGACCAGTCTGGGCAACATAGTGAGACTGTCTCTACCAAAAACAAACAAAATTAGCTGGGCCTGGGGGCACGCATCTGTAGTCCCAGCTACTCGGGAGGATGAGGTGGGAGGATGGCTTGAGCCTGGGAGATAAAGGCTGCAGTAAGACATCATCGTTCCACTGCATTCCAGCCTGGGTGGCAGAGCAAAAACTGGTCTCAAAAAAAAAAAAAAGAAAAAAAAAAAAAAGGACAAGTAGCAAATAGCAAACGTGCTTACATGTGAAGGAGTAAACATGGGTTGTAGGGCACTCCCCATGGCCTGCCCAGAGGAAGCTACTGAAGCCGCTGTCACCAATGGGCAAAGTGTTCCCTGACCCAGCTTCCCAGGGCCCCACACCCATAAGTGTGCTGAGTCTCCACACACGCACACAGACTGGCACAAGCTAGCAGGGCATTTCTGGAAGTGATCCAAGTCCTCCTTATCTGCTCACCACCCCATGTCCATTGACGAAATAAAATGTAAAAGTTCACAAAGCAAACAAATCGTCTCCCACTTACTGGCTGATGCTTGAAATGCTTCCTTTAGAGAACATTTTTATAGTTCATAAAGAAAAATCTTAGTTATGAGAGACAAATCAATGCTGTCAGATCACGCACAAATATACTCCTGGAAGGAGCCGGGGGAGATCAGGGCACCCCAGAGGGTGCTGCAGAAGAACAGGGGTGGGGGCAGGGGAGAGACAAATTGCATTGTGTTCAAAATTTGTTCTGGTGCCATCTGTACAGTATGGAGATGTCGCTCACTGACCCTTCACTCAAGACACTAGACAAATTTTGGTAAAGCATGAACATTTATATTTAATTTACATTTTGACAATTTGCACATAAATAACATTGTAAACCAGTATGTAAACATAAGATAGTTTGTTGTTCTAGCAAAGTAAAAAGCCAGTAACTTTGGTCAGTTTTAACTTTGAGTAGAGGAAAAAATAAAACCACTGTTGATTGTGGGCTCAACATTCACATGTAAGAGGCAGAAAAGAGAAGGATGGATGGTGAGAGAAGCAAGAAGTCTTTATAAAAATTCTCACTATGGGAAAGCACAAAAGGAGAAAAAGAACAAACGAGTAGTTGGGAATCAAAAGTATTTGGTCTAATGTCAACGTGATGCTTTGGTTTACCTTCAGTTAAGGACTGTGTTTATCAAACACTGATACATAAAAAGCTGTCAGTCTTGGAAGTTACAGAAGACCAGTAAGGCTCTTGGGTTTCCCTGGATTATTCGAAATTTGTTCTCTTCTACAGGTGAACATTAGTTGATGTGAACAAAATGTCAAATATAATTATAAAATAGATTGGAGTAATGTATCAGTATTTAGTAAGGAGGAAAACAGAAAAATTGCAGCGGTAAAGTCAGTTTTTTATTTCTGTGACTTGGGTGTGACCACATAATCATAAAGTGGCAAAAAAAAAATAGAGCTGTCTTAGATGGTCCTTAATACTAAAAAATGATGTATCTCTTCCTCCCTGGTTGTTTTGTGGTCCCCACCACTGCACCAAGGTTTTAGGGTCTCTTACAGTAGGCAAGGGTGCCCAATCATACCGACGTGATTGTGAGGTCACCAAGTATTAAGCAAAGTCTCAGAAAGGAGTGTTCTTTTTTTTTTTTTTTTTTTTTTGCCCTTAGAAAAAGTAGATCTTTTACATGGCTTGGCTCACAATTTAAGTGGTTATAAATATATATACATATGATATAGTGGTATAAATAGATTTATAAATATACATCATTTTTTGCTACACTTTGAACACCAACATGTAATCTTTGGGCTTAGCAGAATAAAAGATAGAATAACACAAAGTCTATCTTGCTGGAGCACATTTACTCGGTTTCTCCTCTAGAGAAGCAAATCATTAGATAAGACATCATTTCCTGCACTACTGGACACACTCAATGAGGTAACTGTTGTTGAACAACTTTGCAATGCCCTTTCATCTTCCATTAAATTAACCATAAAATGTAAAAACACAAATACTGAGGAAAATCTGAGTTTTACAGAAAAAATACAATTGATGTGTTGGGGATAGGAATGTTCATTACCCGCTTTTACCCCAAGATGACTAGAATACCCGTTTTTTGTTGTTTGTGTGTTTGTTTTTAAAGTGTGGCCTGAGCCTATCTACCTCGAATCCTTCCTGGTAGAGCACCATGTTTGTGCAATTTTGACATTAAAAAAAAAAAAAAAAAAAAAGCAACAAAAACCAACAACAAAACACCACCCAGACTCAAGCCCCCAAATCGCACACACACAAAGCCACCTATGCTTTGGGGAAATTTTCGCAGTGGTTTTAAAACATGGCATTTTTTTCTTCTTCACATTTTCTGATAATACAATGGATGCAAAAGTCATGTGGCCGCTCTGAATGGCCACAGGACTCGGTGGGGAGGGCAGGGCGGTGGGAGGATTCTGCTCTTTTGGAGGGAGAGACAGGTTGGTAAAGCCTTCCTGTCACCCTTCCGGTAAAATTGTGGCTGGGGGAAAAACATGAACTATCAACAAAAATATACAAGATTCCCTTTCTTGTTTCTTCTACTTAAGTTATTCTTGGGTAATCCTGCACACATACCCCCAAGTTATGTACAATGCTGTTCAAATGATAGGATCCCAGGAATGAACACATCAACTGTCCAACATTGGCAATTACCCAAACCTCATTTTCAAACCATTATTAGAGAGAGAGGTTGACTGAAGTCATATATTTGTTTAACTAAATCTTAGGTACTTATACAGATGTGCAGAAATTATCTACAAAGAATGGCCACAAGACAAAAATACATTTATACTCAAATTACAAGGAATCTTTCCAGTCATTGTAAACTTTTTTAATTATTGCTTTCTGAATGATAAATTGTATAATAAATTATGAAGGATTATCATTGAAAAAATAATTATGACTAGGTAATAGTCTTAGTAATGGGAAGGCTATGCAAACATGTCCACACAAATATTCAAAATACACAGGGGCAAATATATAGACACAGGTGTAAATAAGTATATATAATATGTATACAGATATATATATATATATATATATGGCCTTTGCCTTGTTCATGCCCTGAGATTTCAGTAACTTTGGAGTTCCTTCTTTAATTCCAGAGGTGAGGGGAAACCATTTGCTGTCGAGAGAGCTTTGCAGAGCTGGGATTATGTACAAGCCACTTCCTACAGGCACCCTGACTCACCAAGTCATAACTTAAGAAACAAAATAAGTGTTTTCTGAAAATCTTAAGGATCCATTGGTTCAACTGTTTCTTGTTTGACCTTTACAGGTACCAGAGGTAGTGGGTTGCTGGGAGGCAACTTCATGAGGGGTAGATCTGATGACTCATAAAGGCTGCACCCTGAGGAGAGGAGTCCATTCCCCATGTTTCTTTGCAAAGACACTTTCAGGCCAGTTTCTTCTTTCTCTTTTCTGACCACGGCCAGAATTTCCTTCTCCACTACAGAGATCACACTGATGTCATCCTCCACGTCCTCGAGCCGGTCAGCATTGTCACTGATGTCAAACTTCTCGATTTCTTCATTGATTCGGGTCAGATCTTCCAAGGGCAGCCCAGGCGCCGGGGCCGCAGCGCAGTTCCCTTTCAGGTGAACCTTGAGGCTACAGAGATGGATGTAGTTCTTGTGGCACTGGGAGCACTTGTGGGGCCGCTCCCGGGTGTGCAGACGCTTGTGCAGTTTCAGGTGCACAAACTGGGTGAACTTGGCAGGGCACACCTTGCATTGGTATGGTTTCTCTCCAGAATGGAGTCGCAGGTGGGTCTTGAGATTGCTGGTGCTGCTAAATCTCTTGTGGCAGACCTACAGTGTAGGGGAGAGAGACAGCAGGGAAGGGAGACAGGAAGGCCAGAAGATTAAGAGTTGCCAACGGGAGGGGCAGGCTTACCGGCCAACGCCCAGCAACCTAGGAGGTGAGAAGCCTCCTTGTGGCACCTCCAGTGTGGTATTAAGCAAACGGGGGGATGTGGGCACACAGCACACGAGGGGCTGTTTATTTCCCCTACCATTTTCCCACCCACTGGAAGCTGGCTGTGCCATCTCAAGTCATCAGCAGATACAAAGTACTGGGAAGGACCATAGTGCCATCAGTCCAGGATGGGACAACGCAGAATCTGGTGTTGGCTTTAACTACGGGCTATATAGGACATGGGAGGGTGACTCACAGACATTTTCTACAAAGGTCAGAAGGTCTACCCAGAAAATACTGCGCACCTGGCATTCATGTGGCTTTTCTCCCGTGTGTACCAGGTAGTGTTTCTGCAGGTGGGCGAGCTGAGTAAAGCCCTTGTTGCAAGTCTGACATTTGAAAGGCCGTTCTCCACTGTGCACTCTCAGGTGGACCTGGGAAGAAGCCACATGTGTTAGCTCTGCTCTCAAGCTGGCTCTGAGACCTAACATTTCTGCTCCAAGACTCAAGTGTTGATGCAAATATCTTAAGAAAAGCATCAAGACAGTCTTAAAAAGAAGAAATCTTCATGTTTTCAGAATGGTGTTTTTCTTAAAAGCACAAAAATCACAGGCTAGCAGGGAGTTTCACCTAATCTTCTAGTCCAAACCCCTAATTTTTTTATTATTCAGAAGAAAATCAGGAGAAGGGAAGTCACTTGTCCAAAGTCAAAGAGCTAGAAGTGGCAAAAGCCAGGCGGAATCCATACCCACTATCCCCAACCGGGGGCTCATACTACTGCAAATGCAATCGATACCCCATGGAAAGCAAGCTAAATACAAACACAAGCATGCACTCACAGCCCCTTGGACTGCTCTCTCTCAAGGCCTACCTTCAGATTGGAGAGCTGGCCGAAAGTCTTGGCGCAAACGTTGCATTCGTACTTGATCTTGCCGTTCTGCTTCTTCAGCGGGTAGGGAAGGGTCTTGTAGCCGGTCATGTTTCTTTTGTTTTTAATGAGATTCATGGCTTCGTCGCTGCTGGGGGCTGCCATCGCTGCTGAGGTAGCTTTGGGCTGCACCACATGTTCTGCCGTGGCGGCTGTTCCCGCCGTGGGAGACCCGCTTGTGGGGCTACAGGCCTTGTCCTTCATGCTGGCGGCGGCCCCGGTAAAGGAGAAGGCACTGTGGGGCGCCGGGACAAGCACCTCCCTGGGATGCTCCGGCTGGAGCAACCTCCGGGCTCCATCTGAGGGCAGCGAGCTCGGGAGAGAAGTGGGGTTGAGCATGGGGTGGGGCAGGCTGCCCCCACCGAGGAGATTGCTGTAGACAGGGCACAGCCTCGGGAAGAGGCCAAAGTTGTTGATGCCATTCATGCTGCTCACAGCGCTCAGGCCATTACAATTCATGCCGTAGGGGGGCAAGAGGAACTTGGGGTAGTGAGCGTTGTACGAGGGGATGAAAGCTGGCGGGAGGTGGGGCAGGGGTGCGTAGCCAGGGTAGGAGCCCAAACCTTCCGTGCCGTAGGACGCGTTCAAGTAAGCGTAGGAGTCCCGGTGCTCTTGAGAGCCGGGGCCCACAGGGGACACCGTATTCCCAGGGCTGCTGTGAGGGCTGGAGCTCTTGAGGCTTTGGTCGGGGCTGCTTCTTGCAGAGGGGCTTGGAGTGGTGGAGGATGGAATGGGGGAGCGAGTGATGTACGTGGGTCTCTCGATCCCGTAGGCCAGGGAAGCTTTCAAAAAGTCTTCTGGCAGAGGGGCCCGGATGGGGTAAACGACCCGAGGGTAGAAGGGCATTTCGGGGCTCCCACGTCTTCTAAAGTCATCGAGGTCCTTTTCTGATGTGAGGGGTGAAATGTTAGAACGGTAGAGGTCCTTTCCTTTGGAGGGGTTGGAGTCCAATTTTAGGATTTCTTTCACGCTGTACTCTCTCTTTGGGACATTCTTTGGGCAGAGTTCATTTTTCTCAGTGCTCGGTTGCTTTAGACTGCTCTGTGTTTGTGCTGAAATAAAGAAAAAGGGGCGATTACACAGAGGGCTAGAGAGAACTGAAGCAAAACTGCCAAAGTTGCTCCTCCTTCTTGAGAAAACCTGAGTAACAGCTGGCGACACAATCGCCACATATCTGGCTTCCAACGCACTCTCATTCTAGAAGGCTCTGGGCCACTCACTCAAAAGTGCAGTTCCGTTTCCTCCTCAGCAAAATGCGGACAATGGCAGCACAGACAGAACAAACAGCAGCCTTGGGTGATTCTGTTTTCATTAGTACAGACCTTATGATAGAAAATTGCTGTTTAGGCTGGAGTAAGATAGCCTAAGCTGGATGCAGTGGCTCTTGCCTGTAATCCCAGCACTTTGGGAGGCCGAGGTGGGCGGATCACCTGAGGTCGGAAGTTCGAGACCAGCCTGACCAACATGGAGAAACCCCATCTCTACTAAAAATACAAAATTAGCTGGGCGTGGTGGCGCACACCTGTAATCCCAGCTACTTGGGAGGCTGAGGCAGAAGAATCGCTTGAATCTGGGAGGTGGAGGTTGTGGTGAGCCGAGATTGTGCCATTGCACTCCAGACTGGGCAACAAGAGCAAAACTCTGTCTCAAAAAAGAAAAAAAAAAAAAAAACTTCCATTTTAATGGAGTGGAAAAATACTGGGGTGGGGACCCTGTCATAGGTTAATAAAAGTCTTTCTGATGTTCATGGTTTACCTAAAGGAAATCAGCATACCCTGAGAACTAAATGTGAAAGATTAAGACTCATTTCAAGTAATACACAGTCATCAATTTTCGCTTCTACTCTTGTTGAATACGAATTTGATAAAGCCCTGTTCAAACTGCCTATGCCAAGGAGCTTAGCGAAGTGAATACCACCTTCCTCGCGATGTGCAGACAGCCTAAGCACTTCACCAAGGCTCTGTCTGGTCTAGCCAGGATCCCAGCAGTGCTGGCCCCTGGAGTCACAAGGCGTGACAGTCACCTCTGCCAAACCACAATAGGTACTTCCTGAGCCAGTTCAATTACTTAGCGCACCCAAGAAAACAGAACAGGCTAAGAGGAAAGCACTTATTCCCAAAGACGGCACGTTATTACTTGGTAAAGATACTATTTAGGAACAGCAGCAATGAGGACAGTTCTAGACTATCCCTGCCACAGCCAGCCCTGTCTCCTCGCTACACAATAAATGATGCCTTCAGGAAAAAACACCCATCTGGGCAGGGAAAACTGAAAATTCCCTGCTCAGCCTTGCCTGGAAACCAAAAGTAAAACATACGATGTTTAGTTTGAGCTCTGATTATTGGAGGACAGTCACTCAAGCCAGGACACCTGCCCTAGGAACGCACTGAAGGCATTGGCTGTCAATGTGTGGAGATGCCTTCAGAGGCAGCAGGTTTGGGGGATCATGCTGAAGCCTTTGTGCAAATATCCTTCATCGTCTAAAAAATGTCTCTGCTTGAATTTAGTTGAGAAAGAACTCCACACTTGCTATCTGATAGGTCTAGAAATGAACTCTGTGAAACTCCAGAACTGAACCCTTTAAATGTATTCTCTAGGCTGACTGGCTTGAGGGATTCGATTCCAATTTGAGAGCCCCTTAGAGAATGTTATCTCCTGCCAGCGGTTATCAGTTCCTCCTGGGCGAGCCTGAAGCCCCAGAATAAACACAGAGAAGAACGCTATCAGGGAAGATGCTGACGGGGGGGCCGTGATGGAAAGCTTGCTGAGGGAGAGGGATTTCTGAAGCCACTAAAACAAAATAAATATCTCCTTATCAGGCCAATATCGGTCTTTCAGTGAGGCCCAGCAGGCAGGAAGTTCTAATTGTCACTTTTGTTTTTTAAAGCTAAAATGGTAAAGGATGAGAAAGACAACTAAGCTTGAAAACTGATAGGCAAGGCATCTCACAGCCACAGGAAGGAATTTTATGAAGGTGAAAAAGAATTATTTGGAAACATCTATATAGGGTCAAATTCATAATGATTTTTAAAAACGATGCCGCTCGAATAAAATGGAAATACAAAAAACTTTACCCTCATGACTTTGAGCCATTTTTACTCAAATTATGTATCTAAGTCTCATATTTTTTCCAGTGGCTTCCACACTCCCTTGGTTCTATAATTCAACAAATAATAATAGCATAAATGTGCAATAAGCATAAAGTTTCAGTCCATCTGTGGCACTGCCCCTCACATTTAGCCAGGGATTCTTCTTAAGTACCTTAATATAATTTGAATGTTGAACTGATATGAAACTTATGATTGGGCCAACAAAAAAGCCAGAATTTTAAACTTTCTATGCAAAACACTTAGCACAGTGCCTAGTATATAGTAAACTCACAATAAATGTTTGCTATCTCTAATGCCTTCAGAAAAATAGATTTGCATCTTATTCTAAAAGAACATCCAGAGTGACATGTTAGCCTCCCTAAGATGCTCTACAGGTGGAAATTAGGAAGTCCATATACAGTAAAGGTGCATTTTAAAAAATCATCCTTCAGCAGCTGAGTAATCAGTGGAGCTGGTGTCATTTCTGACTCTCCCACTCAGCAACAGCTTGAGTTAACATGAAAAAGAAAATCAAGATCTGTTTTTGTTCTGAAATCTTAAATGGCTGTAGGCGGACGGAGTCATTTCAAGAGTGAACTGCTTCTGAAGACTCCGAATGGCTTAATTATGCCGACTCACATTTTCGATCTATAATAAGAACCCCAAGACTATAAGAAAGAACCTAGAAGTTCTGCAGTAGGCAAAACAAAGTCTCTTTTCAACTGAAACTGAGAAAGCAGATTAACATTTAGAAGTCTATAATTTGGTCAACTGTTTTCTAGATGGGTTAGTTAGATAGATAGAAAAAAAATACCTCCCCCCCTGCCAAATTTGGGAGGGGTAGGGGTTTCAAACTTATTAGTTCTTTTATTCCTTTTCCTTTGTTTTTAGAAAAATGCCATTTTGTGATTTCTGGCTACTTACTTTTCTTTCCTTTGGTTTGTTTCAAATCCCTTCTTCTCCAAACTCTACCGCCTGAACCATCACTGCCATTTAAGCCCTCATGGAGATTCTTGCACCACCTCTATTGTGCTTTAAGCATGGAAACCCAACACAGTTCATTTGGAGACACAATCTACCTATTAGGCCTGATGAAATAGTGGAAATTTTCCTGATCACAGTCTCAATCATCAGCTGCCACGCCTAAGACAACCGGTTTCACAACTGGCAGCAGGAATCTTGTTTTAATGTGACTGGTTATTGTTAACTCTCATTCTTTACTATGAATATTGGACAATGAAATGTGCTTGAAAATGTTAAACCACCATTTAGAAAAAATTCTGCCAAAATAAAAGGGGACATACTGCATAAATAAAAAGGGATAAATAAAAGGTGTCATTTCACAGTATATATGACAGTTGCTTCTGAACACAAAGTAGAAGCACTTGAACCTTAAAATACTGTGCAAAACCTTTCTTTGAGGAATAAAAACGCCAGGCCTTTAAACCCTTCCCTTGATTGGCACAGGGTGCGGGAAGCATGCAAAAAAGTTTCTTGGTGGTTGGTGCAAAGTCACTGGGGTAGGTCACCTCAAATGAACTGTTTAAAGAAAAGCAAAAATCAAAAGACTTTCCTCTGAATCCATGAATGATTAAACTCAAGGAATGTAAGGAGACCCTTAAGTGGAAGTGGCTCACTATGTTAAGAAAGCCAGGAGGGAGCTGTGCGCTTCTTCTGAGACGCACAGCTGGAATACGAGTTCCACAAAAATGCCACTGTGCCTGTGCATTTGTCGTTTGTTACTAGGTCCTCAGCACTGGGCATGGCATACACAGATGCCACAACAGCCGAATGGTTCCTGGGAGGCTCAGCCCTAGGGATATGACAGAGTCTCCAGAGTCTCGGGGAGCGCTGAAGAGACATGAGGGAAAAGAACTGCCACCTTTTTGGTCAGGACCTAATTAGACCCATTAAGCTGGAACTGGGGAACTGAGAGCCAGTTCTTTTCCTGAAGCTCAAGGGTAACCTGTTGTGTAAGGACCCCAAACACACGACCTCCCCTACGGGGGAGGTCCTGATGCTTTTATAGCCCCAGATTTTCAGAAAAACTGCAAACACAATCTTGCAATCTTAAGGGAGATCAAGTAAAATGAAGTGTGGAATGAATACCAAATAACCATACAGTTGGATTATATATGACTAGGGTAAGTACTTGGCTTGTTCATTGGTCCTAAAATCAAAGTCAAAATTCCAATTTATGTTAACATTGATATTTATTCCAAATGTCTCAAAGGTGAAAATGAGAACTAAAACAAGTTAGCCTTCTGGTAAAGCAAATGGATATACTTATCAATAACTGGTAAACCTGGGTAAAGGGTAAGTGGAAATTCTTTGTCCTTTTCTTCAAATGTTTTCTTAAGTTTGAAATGATATCAAAACCAAAAGTTACAAAAACTTCAGCATTTAGTCTTAACTTCTAAACCAAAAGGAATAATTTTTAAAACTGCTAATAAGATTTAGTGGTCTAACCAAGAACACACAACCATAGTTACAGCAGAGGTTAGAATCTTATGGCAATTCTTAAATTGCTCAAAGAGATCACTTGAGAATGACCAAAATGATGCAGCCCTCTGCAGAGAGAGGTCATGACAGCAATTTTAATCAAATAAAAGAAGTAAAAGCACATAAACCTAAGGAATTGAGAATTTGTTAAGATAAAGTGATAGGTGGCTACTATAATACTGATCAAGAGATCAGATAGTTTTTTTACTGTAAGGAAGGAAGCTAAGATGTAAAATCTTTACGGTTATTCACTTAGAATAATATTGAAAAATTATGACAAAGTTTTTCTAGCAATGATCTTACAATGTTCCACATCAGATCCTAACTGTACACTCAAATGTACATCTATAAATATTTTGATGCAGTCTAAGCCCTGCCAAAGTACCACAGATGAGGGCTATACCTTGCATACGCAGCATGTCTGGACCAATCCCTGTAATTCTCCCAACTGCTTTTGGATAAATTAGAATTGGACATATATTTCTTCCTGTAACATCCTGAATTCAAAACTCAAGGTAGCTCCTCATATATATATATACTTTTAAATGATCAAGTTTCCTAATAGTTAATAGGGACTCAAAAAATGTTTTTCCTCTTCCTAGTCCCTAGCTTAAGCCACCTACTTCATCCAACACATGACAAAGCCGTATAATTAAACAACATGTTATTAGTTCAAAGGGGCAGAACCGACATTACTGGCATTTTTTATTTTTTTGTTCTGTAATCCACTTACTGAGATTCATCATTGTCAGCTCTCCGGGATAAGGGTAGTGAAGCCTTTCTGCAAAGTCCCGACAATACCACACAAGAAGTTCCTGGTTGGCAGGGATGGGCTTAATGGTGTAGAAGTAGATGTTCATCCCGTTCTGACACGCAGCCAGGTTTTGCTCCCGGGGAGAGTGTGCTGGATTCACATAGCGCATCCAGTTGCTTTTCTCTTCATTAAAGCCGTCAATGAAGTGGTGAAGCTCCCCTCTGGAATAGATCTGTCCAAAAGAGAAGACAGGCATGTAAAAGGAAGTCAGACCCAAAGCTCCCCAGCACCTCTCAGAATAAACACAGCCGGTACCGTGTGTGATTTCTGATCCCCTACTGCCTAGTTAGAAAAAGAATCCAATCAGTTTAGCCAGAATAGTCTTGAATCAGCAGAAATCAGGGCGGAAACAGGTAAGGCACACTTTTGTCAGTTACCTTTTCCATTTCAGTTTTATCGTCTTTTCATGTTCGGGAAAATAACAGAAAAATGAAACACAAATGTTCATTTAAGGAGCTGCCTCAAACCGATTAACCCACCACAGAGTACTACTTTTGCTACTGCAGTGAATGGCAAATGGGCGATGCTACTGACTTCAGTTCCGATTATGCTGACTTTTAGTGCTTTGAGTCACTGGGTAGAAGACCAAGCCGGCTGACGACGTCAAACTGAGTCTTAGCTTTTTCTATGGCCTCTGTACTCGCCGTTTCCTACACCCCCGCCCAAGGCTTCAACTATGCAAACATCCTCCACCCCCAACCCTCCAAGTCCTAAAGTAACACTTGTTCATATGAATACTTGGAACCTTGCCTTTTTGTGGAAACACTGGGTGGGGCAAAGGTGAACTTCACCTGCCATAACAAAGCGAACACTCGGGCAGCAGCCCGAATTTGACAGTCTATTACTGAGAAGTCACTTTTCCTCTTGATAAACATGTCCAGACTTGCACTTTCCTTTCAATGCAAAGGAGGGAAGGGAACCCCTTATCTGGGAGGAGGCTGGCTAAAACACCACACACAGAGCCATAGGCGTGTGTTTTTGGAAAAAGAACAGGAAGAAAGTATGTTGTTCCTTAAAGGCAACGCAGAATGAAGAATTTGAAGTTTGTCCTAGAGTAATACTACTTCTGGATAACAGATGCACTCAGGCTACTTGGCAAAGAGGCAGAGGAAGAAGAAAAATTAAAACGTACACTCTTACTGAAACTATAAACACACTCCTTATCCTTCCACACAAAGTTTTCTCTCTTCCCCTCTTTTTAGGAGGTACCACCTTTACTTTAGACTTTAAGAAATTTCCTTATACAATCAGTCAATACCTAGTGTGATCTGCGACTTGCAGTCTCCAAGCAGCAGTAAGGCACTGTTCGTAGCAGGAATTTTGTGCTCACCGGACAGCAGGTTATTGCTTTTCCTTACTCACGTACCGACTATGCTAGTCTACAGATAGTTTCTGTATTTCGCTCAAACGTTATCAGAAATAAAAAGGAACTCTGTCCCTTTAACACAGGCGGTAAACACCAGAATCACTTTCTTTTAAGAGTAACTTCCTGTAAATTGTGAAGGGGGAAATACATGTGGCTTCATCAAAGCAGCTTGTGAGAGCTTTTGCGGTGTGTTTTGTTAAGAGAAAATGGAACAAGGCTGGGTGAATTCTGCTATCAAGAGGGGTTTTCAAGTTTGTTTACTCTGATGTGCAAACTTCCAGGAACATGGGGTTCCATCGCTCTTGTACTCTTCGCTGGTGCGGAAACTGCTTTCTAAAGCTACGGGTATGTTGATTCCAGTTAGCCTTCCTCGGACTGCAATTTACTGTATCCTCATTTAAAAACAGCAATGTCGGTGCCATGAAGTCACTCACACAGAATAAAATAACGCATATGTAAAATGAACACCGTTTCCTACCACCTTCCTGCACTTCCATATATTATCTAGAAGATTAAAATGCGCTGATTCATAGTACAGTTACAAGAAATGTCACTGGTTTCTCAACTTGAACATCCCTTCTTTGGCAGTGTAATTTGCATGAAACTTTTTCTTTCCTCACAACAGATGTTCATATTCCTGCCAGCAAAAACGAGATGTTCTACAATATCCTTTGCATGTGAAAGACTGATTCAAATAAATCCTCCCAAGGAAAGCCTTTCAGTTACTTACAGTGAATCTTTAAATGAAACAGGGAACTGGACAGTGAGGGGGAGATTCTTAGGTACTTCTTGCCTTTTCTCAAAATAATCACACATTAATGAGACTTATGCTGGATTGTCTTAATTCAGACCTTTAACTCCAAGAACTATGCACCTTTGTGGCTCACTTCTGAGAAGACGTTATTGACAATAAAGGCAAAAATGCACTCATGGTTCCACCATTGTAAGTCAGGTGATTAATATATTTTAAGGAGGAATAATTATTAAATAAAAATTGTGAGCACATGATTCTTAGTGAATCTGTAACTACCCTCTTTTGCTTGGGAAATAGTAAGATAAATTTCTAAAAATGAAAAACTTCCTGGATTAAAAATATTGTTTCTTAGGAATAGCTTCTTGTCCGAACGATATAATCGTTCTAGGCAAAAATACCAGCTAAAGCAAGCATAACACAATTTTTGTTATCATGCAGCTGTTTCTTTTTAAAGAATTCAAATAATGTACATTTCATGTAAGTATGCACAAAAAAACGCTTACTAAATTCTTTATCTTCTGAGGAAACTAAATATCCCTGAGACATCTATGGGAAGAAGGAAAGCAATCTGACTTTTTTCTGTTCACTGCTAATCCAGTGTTTTATTCAAGGATTCCATCTAATTGGTTCACCTCTGGGGGCCTTTCTAACCCTAATATAGCAAAGGAAATTGTACTGGCTAGATCTTTTGGTTGGATGCTATAGGAAAGCTTATCATCTTGCATATGACTGTTAAGCATTTTCCTTATGCTATGAGATAATTAACCTATTGTCAAATGGAATCATTTTACCATGCACATGTATTTAAATAGGACTAGTTCTGTGGTCCTCCATTCCCCTCAACCCATCTTCCAGCTATCCTTCCTTAATGGCATTTACTTATAAGGTAATTCATTTGTCATTCCTGGCTGGGCGCGGTGGCTCTTGCCTGTAATTCCAGCACTTTGGGAGGCCAAGGTGGGCGGATCACGAGGTCCAGAGATCGAGACCATCATGGCCAACATAGTGGAACCCCGTCTCTACTAAAAATACAAAAATTAACTGGGCATGGTGGCGCGCACCTTAGTCCCAGCTACTCGGGAGGCTGAGGCAGGACAATTGCTTGAACCTGGGAGGCGGAGGTTGCAGTGAGCCGAGATCATGCCATTGCACTCCAGCCTGGTGACAGAGTGAGACTCCATCTCAAAAAAAAAAAAACCAAAAAGATAATTCATTTGTGATAACTCTTCCATTCAATTAAAGTTAAGTCAGCAAGAAATCAAAAAGGGGTGAAATCTAAGGCTTGGTAACTCATTACTACTTCCTTGCGGAGAAATGCAAATGAACCTATCCTTAAAGCAAGCAACAAACTGTTTCCTTTCATTACAAAGCTCTAATGAATTGCAAAAATCAAGATTCACATATAGCCCGTATCTCCATCACTAACCACCTACAGGCCAGACATTTCATCGGTTTCATCACATTTGTTCAGAATTCCCTGTGTCCATGGGGATGCTGGATACTTATGGGTGAGCCCCAGCATTTCTCAGCACAGGATGAGAAAGGTGAGCCACCCAGCTCTTTTAGCTCCATTTTTTCCTAACATTTAATGGGTCTGAAGAAATTTCCCTTACTTACCCTCCAAAAATATTTCCTGTTGGCGTTCTTAGGAACTGTGTCATTGGTGTAGATTTCACCTATTAGGGGTCCAAAACGTGTGCCCTTTGGTATGTATTCTTTACTCATCACTCCAATAACCTAAACAGGAAAAAACACAGGAAACAATTACTTTGACTATAAAATGTTAACCAATCTTTTCAATTAAATAAATTGGACTGTCAAGTAGTAATACAACTAACAATGATAAAATTTTGATAAGTAAACAGACATTAATGATGCCTACATAATTAACAAGCTTCACCATAGGGGGAGACCATCTTTTAAAGTCTGAGATCATAAGCAAATACTCAACCAAGCATTAAAACAGTCTAGGGGATTATTGTCTGGTAATACGGGATCTTTTATTTTTATCATTACTTTTTATGCTAGAACAGCGAATATAACCATTCTCTTTTAGAATGAGAATAAGACACTGCAGAATTAGATGGTCAAGATTAGACCATTTCAGCCTGTTCCTAGTTTCCTATTTCTCATTCTCCCTCAAACCATAAGCATAGTGTGCTTGAGGGGAATAAAATAGTTCTGACCTCAGAAACCAAAATAATGTTCTTTGGTTGTTCCATAACAGCCTAAGGAACCAGAAACCAAATGCATTATGTTTTTTTCATTCCAGATGAGGTTTGTGTGTGTGTGTGTGTTTTTTTTTTTTCATAGCTTGTACATTCTCTTTAATAAGAGATCTTTCAAGTAACTTTGTTCTTCTCTGGCCTTCTACTTTGTTCTTCTCGAGTCTTCTACTCAAGAGTGGTCAAAGGCCCTCGTGTGTGTGTGTGTGTGTGTGTGTGTTTTAAAGACAAGGTCTCCCACTATCACTCAGGCTGGAATGCAGTGGCTTGATCTTAGCTCATTGCAGCCTTGACCTCCTGGGATCAAGAGATCCTCCCACCTCAGCCTCCTGAGTAGCTGGGACTACAGGCATGCACCATCACGCCCAGCTAATTTTTGTTGTTATTGTTGAGAAGGGGTCTCACCATGTTGCCCAGCCTTGTCTCAAACTCCTGGACTCAAGCGATCCTCCCACCTCGGCCTCCCAAAGTGCTGAGATTACAGGCTGAGCCACCATGCCTGGCCAAAAGCCCTCCTTTGAAATTAAGTTTATACGGAGGAAAGCTGTAGGTTCTAAGATCTGAGGAAATGACCTCAGACTGGATGCATCACACATTTTAACTTTGTGGGGCCTTGCTAAAGAAACATGTTAACTATACCAGTTCCTCCTTAATAATAAATTTCTCTTTGAAGGGGTAAAAAAATCACCAACCGTGAATCAGGAAGCAATTCGTCACTATTCAATAGAACTCCTCTGTGAGTAGTCCTTTACAACAGTTTGCAGTTACAGTTTTGTTTTGGTTTTTATTCTCTCACTTTCCTAGTTTTATTTTCTTCTCATTCAAGATAGCCTACCTATCACTTTACTGAATTCTTTACTAAAATGGACCAAGGAGGAGGGAGTGGTAATAGATGATAATGTTTATTTTCCAGTTTTTATATTCCCAGTAGCTCCTGTACATTCATGTACCTGAAATGGTAGACTCAAATATGTGAATCGATCCATGCACAGATTGTTCACAGTGGAATCTACAATTTTGGTTACAATATACACCAGTTCCTCATTAAGTCTCATCAATAATTTAAACCTCTATTTAAATAGATATGGCACACCTACATGCCTGTGACAGACTAGCTTTTCTCATTTAAGTGTCTTATCAGCCAATGATTTTTTTTTCTAAAACAATTTAGTATTCAATATACAAATCAATGAAGCATACTCAGACTGGAAAGAGAAAAAAAGAAAATTTTCCTACACCTAACATAAGTTGAAACAAGAGTGTTATTTTTGGTCCTTTAAGAATTTCTGTCAGAGAGCTGAAAAAAGCAGATGTTCATTTCATCCTCCTCCTCTGCCTTCATTTACATCTATCTGCCCTTTTAATCACCGTTTGTCATTATTGGTATTTGTTGGCAGTAAAACTACTGGGGACAAGAGTATCTCAGAGCAGTCTTGAGATATAAATATATATATTTAAAGCTTTAGTAGACTTATTCAGAGGCTCATTGTTTTGGACATATTATTATTGAATCTAATTAATTTGGAAAATTAATGGAATTGAATTCTATGACATGCAAATCATTTAACATTCATATTTCAGTGATTATTCCATAATATTAGAATGACAAACAGGAAAAACAAATCATGCCATTTGTTGGTGAGCCAATAATTAGCAGTTGATATTTTCAACATATCTACTTTACAACAGTAATTTTAAGAAAGGCACTCAACTGGTTCATCAACTTTGTTTTAAATTATAGTCTCTTACAGATGGTGTCTTGGGAGTCAGAGCTTGATTACCAAAACGGAGCACTGCACTGAGGTCGTGGTTCTTCTTCCAAATTGCCATTCTTTTACAGAATGGGCCTCTAGGTTTTCAGTTATCCATCTTACACACATTTTCTTGTGCCCAAAAAGAAGTCAACTAGAAAGCATAAGCTACCCAATACCTATTTGAGCACAACTATAGACTCATCACTAGTAAGCTATAAAGCAGCACCGGAAGTAGCTCTTGCCATCTCTAACCTTACAAATTCAATTCAACAGGCAAGACAGGAGAACAATTAAAAAGAGAAGGCTCTGTGGTAGAAGAGAGGTCTATGATAATCCTCAAACCCCAGACAAATTAAAGAGCTTCAATATTAGCTTATCATTAGGAAAGGGACAGAGCGCCCTAATATTTTAAATTTCAATTACATACAGTGCTATAGGGCACATATAAACTCACACCTATAGATAAAGATACAAAATCATAAAATTTCAAAACTGGAAGGCACTTACAAACCACCTATATCCATTCTAAGTCTAGCGTTCTAATATACAGTAAACATCTTCATCTCAAATGCACGTCTGAGACACAGACGCCATAAAAGCTGAAACTCTAAGACTATGGTGCTTGTCCAGGTAACTTTGGAGGGGGAACAGGAACCAGGATTGTTTTTAAAGGGAAGTGAAAAAACCAAGTACTAAGTCTCCCTCTGGTCCTAGAAAGATCCAGAATGTGCATCTTAGACTACCCATCTCCCTGACCCATAGTTTGTAACAGTTTATCTTTGAACCAAGCAAATACTAAGGAGGAACTTGGTGTGTAGCTTAAACTTCACAGTGCTAAAAAGACAAAGAATGTGTTCACCTAACTCAAGAAGGAAACTTCACTGGAACTGACCAGGGTCCTAAAGAATTACTGCTGGGGACAGGCCGCTCTGTGCCTTCTATAAACTCAACAGCAAGAGGACACCCGGCTTCAATACCTCCTTGCTTCACCTGCTCCCACAGAAGCTCTTTATGTGCGGTGCAGACCCCTCCACCACTTGAGCAGATTTGTTTCTGTCTGTGGCCTCAGTTACAGAACACACCCCGCCGTCCACAGTTTCCACAGCTTCCGGACAAAACACAGGGCTTCTTTTCAATTTTACACAATGAAGGAGATTTGACAGCTTAGGATGGGTTGAGTTGGAGCGCTTAATGGAAGGCTGATAACAAGGACAATATAGGTTTGTTTTTTTTTTTTTTTTTCAAATTCCTTCTTTAGAGAGTATGCAAACAGACACACACAGCGTGGGTTTGAAGCAGAAACTATATCCAAGTCTAAATGTCATCTGATCATCCTCTCCCCAAATTACATTAAGATCATTTAAATTACTAGCTATCTGTTTTCCCTCCCCGAATCCCACTCTATAAGAATGACTCGTTAGATTATAATTCTGTTTTGACCATATGAATATTTGTCTTGAGAGAACTAGAACTCAGTAGTGACCAAGACCTTCAGCCTGCAATCACCTCATTTTTATTTTATTTTATTTATTTAGAAACAGGGTTTTGCTCTTGTTGCCTGGGCTGGAGTGCAATGGCATTTATTTACTTATTTATTTTGAAACAGAGTTTCACTCTCGTTGCCTGGGCTGGAGTGCAATGGCACGATCTCGGCTCACTCCACCTCCCAGGTTCAAGCGATTCTCCTACCTCAGCCTCTCAGGTAGCTGGGATTACAGGCGCCCACCACCACGCCCGGCTAATTTTTGTATTTTTAGTAGAGATGGGGTTTCACCATGTTGGCTAGGCTGGTCTTGAACTCCTGACCTCAGGTGATCTGCTGTCCTCAGCCTCCCAAAGTGCTGGGATTACAGGCGTGAGCCACCGCGCCCGGCAATCACCCCATTTTTAAAAGGAGTGAAGTGAACAAAGTTGTTTGGAGAAGGTTTCCTTCTTCATTATCTTTCTATTAAAGGAGACATGGTGATGCCTTGGTACATCATTTCTCAAATAAAAGGCAACATGAAGAGAGAATTGCATGTTATGGTGAGATACTTTTTACAGATGGCTTGAGTTAATAATGGATTTCGATCAGAATGGACACCAAAGGAGTCCTCACAATCTGTCTGATGTTTATCAGCCACGATACAGGGAGGTGAGACTCACAGAGCCACAGTGCCTCTTGAGTGCAAGCAGTCTCAACCGACGGCAGAAACTCTACAGGGTAACGCTTCTAAAATATAAATGCTTGAACTGATTTTTCTGTAGTCAAGTAGTCATAAGAGATTATTTCAGGAGGACAAGGGGAAAACCCCCATAAAAGAATAACCCATCAGTTTAAAACATTTTCAAAGTTTTGAATAGTAGGTCTATATTTGATTTCAGTTCTGGAAATAGGAAGTAAGAACAGTTTTTCATTAAAGGTGCAGAATGATTCTAAACCCAATCTAAAAATGAGGGTCAAGATCAGAAATATGATTTGTATGTTTTGTTTTAACCAAAAAAAAAAAAAAGGTGCTGACACATGGTACAAATTCATAATGAAAAATGGTCTTGTAAAAAAAAAATTCCCCGGTATGTCAGCACAATAGTACATATTGTAACATCTTTTGCTATTTAAACGAAAACATTTAAAGAAGGGCAAGATTAATAAGTCAGATAAAAAGTACATGTAGAAAGACTCTTCCTATTTCAATGGCTCATGGAACTTAAAGAACTAACTGAATAAAGATAATGTAAACATTTCATCAATCCTTAATGTTGCTGTCCCGGAACTAGTTTGCAGCTATCCTACCCTTAATGGCTCAACTCCACCATCCTCTTTCACCTTCTAAAGGAAGCTGTCCTTTCCCAAAGTTCAAAAACAAAGGAGAGAAACAGAAAAACAGGTACAAATTCCAGAGTAAGCTTAAGACAGTATTACATTCAAGTTTACTCCTTGCTTGACTTTATGATTAGGGTTTAAAGACATACTATCCTCTATTCAAGCGCTTCAGTTAAATGCAAGATAGGGAAATAGGATAAGAGAACCCTCACCTCTTAGGTTAGTTTCGAAGGACCTTCTTCAGGAACACAGGCATTGTCTGTTTTTTGGTTGCTTAATATATTGAAATAGGAAGTTATACATTCAGAGGGAAAAAAACACAAAATAGCTTAAGGATTGGTCTGAAATATATTAAGATGATAACTAAAACCACAGTGACACCAAGAGGGGCCAGTGTAGCATAATCGAGAAGCACTCATTGGAGAAGTCAGAAAAGCTTTGCTTCAAGTCCCCGGTCTGGCTTTACCTATATGCCTTTGGGTAAGTGACTGTCTTTCTGAACCTTGAACTAAATGATCTAAGAGCATTACTTGACTTAGCTATGATTTTAAAGGAGAATGACGGAAATTGAAAAACTTAAGCTAAGAGCTGAACTGACGATAAGAACATTATAGAATTAAAAGGCAAAGATGACCCACAGAATGGAGATTTTTACTTCAGTCCCAAAGGACTGGACAGGGCAACACAGCACAAACGAAGCTTGGGAACAGACGAATATTTGGTCAAACTTGATATGGGGAAAAAACACACTACACTTTTTAAAGCCATAGTCAAACCTCATATACCCAAACAAATCCTACATTCATTCCAAGGGCCACATATTGAGAGACTTTCTATAAGAAGAGCATTACTTTCAGGAAGAGGTATAATTAAGGCTGACCTCTGGGGTTAAATTTTTTGGTAACATTCAACTACAACTAGAATTTAAATTTTATTTTTTATAAAATCTGCCTCCATTCACGCAGCAGTGGGGGAAAAAAGAAAGACTGAGCATCGTTGTTCTATTTAATTTTAGACAGCTGTGTCTCCCCCTCACCAAAAACACTGGACTCAGACACACAAACAGGAAAGAGACAAAGCATTTCCTAGTCTCCCGGATTCCTTCAAATACTGTTCCTTAGGGAAGGGGGAAAGTGATTTGACACGGCTGTAAGGAATAGTCCCAGTAGCAAATTCTGGATTTCTACGGCCAACCATCCCCTTTCCCTACTTTCTGAAGGAAGTAATAGAATTGACAGTGCTCTGTGCTAATGGTGGTATGGGAAGTCTGCTGAGGGGTCCTTTCATTCAACTCAACCCAGTAGTAGACTAGTAAGTGCAACTACAGTAAGCCAAATTCTGAAAACAAGAGGTGGTTCTGCAAGTTATTTCACAGCTAAACATCACGCCTAGCTATAATCTTTATATTAAAGGTAAACACAAATCAGTTGCTCATTCCAAGTTTGGGTTTTCATCCCCTTTGAAACAACAAAGAGTGTACCCACTTCAGAGGCCAGTAAGGAATTGGCCTGCCAGCCCAGCCCCAGCAAAGGAGCTGCTGCAGATAAACAGTGGTTAGCTCTGAAGTCATCCAGACAGAGGACACTTTTACATGACCCCCTTTCTCGGCTTATACCATCACTTCACTTCATAAACACGTCAAAGTTTTGAGGATAGTTTTAGAAACCCAGCTAATAAAGCTGGCTTGTTAAAAAGAGTAAAGCCAACTAATTACCAAAGACAGACAAAAGAAATATTAAAACTTTTTTTTCCAAGAAAAAGTTTTCTCCCTTAAGAGATATTGTACAACAGGGACACTAGGGCCAGTGGGCCCAGAGCTTTCTTGAAGTTCACTGACAATTTCACCCACCCTATGCTGCAAGTTGCTTTTCTAAGACATGCCAATTTGCCAAAATATTTAACTGTTTACTAATTAGTGAGGAACAGTTGAAGGCTGGAAGAAATGAGAAGGAAATGGTTTAGGGAAAGAGAAAGCAATGCAAGAATTGAATAGAGCAATCAATTATTTACTGATACTTACAGATTCTCAGAGGTTTTCAGAGATATACAAGGCCTCAAGGGCAAGTAGGGAGATTTGGCACCAGGTCCCCAATCTTCTTGTCAATAAACCAGAGGCTTACCTCTTCACTGTTGGTGGCATACTTGAAAAGCAGATTCCTTGGTAAGGATGCCTCCGCCTGAACCGAAGTACCGCCATCAGCACCAGAATCCCAGGGGTGGTCGTTCACAATGTATGTACACTTCTCTTCAAACTCAGCCTCTGTCCACAGAGTCATATCCGCATCCTCCATGTCCATTTTCATGGTCCCCTTGGTCCCCTCTGCCAATCCCTGAAACCTCACAGTGCTGGAGTTACACTTGGGGGCAGCCTGGAAGAGAAAGGAAAGGCCTTTAATCCCCATTGTCCCGCCGTTCCTGTGGCTCCTTCTGAGAGGCTATGACTAATACAGTAGTCTGAAGACTTTAAAAGCAGATGCAGAGTGCTTGGTACAGTTGAGAAAGAGCCAAGAAGCCGTATAAAGTAAACTGCCTTGAAAAGAAGCAAGGTTTTTAAATGCTACTCTTAGTTAAAAAAAAAAAAAAAAAAAAGAATGTGGCAACCTCACTGTGGGGAAAAGGAAAAAAAAAAAAAGAATCACCTCTGAACAATCCCTGGCTTTACCTCTCATGGCAGAAAAATGTTCTGGGCACACAGTCCAGTGTCCCAGAATGCCTGGGGTCATGGCCGCCAGACCCTCGGCACTGTGGAAAAGCTGCCTCAGAAAAGTGTCACAAACAAGGAGAGGAAGAGGAAGGAGCTCTGTCTGCCTCTGAATGAAGCTAAAAATGGAAAGCGCGTGTGGTGCAGGAGCGGAACCCAGCCTGCCTTTTCCAAATGGGGAAGACCGAACTTTCCCACCAGCTCCCAACGCAAAACAACTTTCAAAACAACTGCCTCCTCCCTCTGCTGCGAGCTCTCTTTCATCCTCTCACATGGAAGACTGAAAAGGGTTGCATCCTGCCAGCATCACTGAGCTACGGCCTCTTAGAAATCACTTGGACCACAGGAAAAGAGGAGGAAAAATGGGTGAAGGGGAAAACAGCCTGCAGTGTCTTCTGACTTGCAAGCATCTCATACCAAATTGAAAAGGCAAAAACAAAACATAAAACCGTTTAATAAAATTCCCTGGAGAGAATTCCTTTAGGAGTCCTCAGCTACAAATAGCACTTTCCATTTAAATCTGAAAGTGTATGAATTCCCAGAAGTCACTGATGTACTACAGTTTACTGTAACTAAAGTTATAACAAATTTAGAAGACTTGGAGGACAAGCTCTGCTTCCACTTGTACATTGATGAGGATATTCCCCCAAAATCCTCCCTCACACTCAGAAAAAAACTGTTTTCCAAAGGCAAAAAAAGGTAAACAACTTCTGTAAGGGTTTTCTCATATAGACATGTTTGATAAAAATGAGGAATATGGGTATCATTTCCATGTAAGAATGTGTGTTTGTTCAAATGTAAACATAACATTCTGTGGAAGTCCTTCAAGGAGGTTTTTACATTCTTCCACTTCTCTAAATAGGATGCTCTTAAAAAAAAAAAAGTTGGATGCAAAGTTGTTTTTCCCTCAGTTATGATTTAAGCAAACCTGCTTATTTTTATTTAGTTCCAACATGTAGAGTCATGACGCCAAACACATGTTAAAAATAAAATAAAATAGAAAACTTCAGCCAACCCGGAATAGTTTGACGAGTGTGAGCTGGAACCACTACTGAAATTTCAATGAATTGGCAATTATGTCTAGAACTGAAAGGGTTAATGATTCATAAGGAAAGTCTCACAAATGTTTGACAGCACTAAGTGCACTAAAGCAGAAGCATGTTTCTACTGCGACATTAGCCAAAAAAAATTAATAATAATAACAATAAAGGAAAAGAAAATAAAGTTTTCAGATCAATTTCAGAATTAAAAAAAAAAAATTCAAGTTCCTTACCAAGGTCGTACCCACACGTTTTTCCAAGCAAATATCCAACATCTGAGAAAAGTCTCGTTCATCTCTACCCAGTCCACATTCTCCCCGCGTCCCCCGCCAGGCTGAGCCGCACAGACGCGCACCTCGGCGGTCCCTCCTCGCTTCGTCCGGCCGCCCGGGCGCCCGCGTCCCAGCTCCGGGCGGACAGGTGCCGCGGTCGCTGCTCTTGCCTCTCCGCAACACTGGAGGGCCGAGTGTCACGGCAGCACTTTGTCTGTGTTAACCGTCTGGCTTCCCCTCCCTGCTTAAGATTTCCTTAGCCACTCGGCTGCGCGAAGTGGGGGCGTGGCCAACGTGGCCAACACCACCTGGCCGAGCCCAGGGCTTTCCCCCAGATTGCTAGCACAGCCGCCGAGAGCTTCCTCTCTTCGCATGTGTATTTCAACATTGACTTGGAATCTTCTTACTTCCCTTTGAAGGCACTTAACCTCAACGCTTACTTGGGCTCTATTGTATTCTAAACACTCCAGATCGCCCTCCTTCCTGGCGCGGCAGAATTAGGGGGCGCACGTTCCTTAAATTAAGGAAACTTAAAATTTACCTACACAGTTTCTGATTTCTCAGCTCAAATCCCCAGGTACAAAAGACACAAATCTTACTTCAAAAGAGCAAGTTAAATTGTTTTTGCAGCTAGTGTAATACAGTGGAGCTGTCTGGTCCTCAAGCTGTTGTGTATGTAACGCACGTTTCCCCGCCCCCCGCCCCAAAAGTTGTAACATTCCGTTTCTCCTGCTAACGTTCAAACTTGGCAGAACTAACTTTCCTCTTTTAACTATTTAGTAAATAGGGAAATAGGCAAAAGTTATAATTCTACAGATTGTTTGTTTTCCTTTCCTCTCCTCCCAGAACCCACAGGCTGACTTCCCAGGAGTGTAAGTAAAATGTAGAGCATTAGTCGTTTCACAGTTCAGAGGAATATTGAACTGATCACTGCAAGTGGAAAGCGGTCGGAGGCAGTAATTAGTGGGGCTTATTCTGAGCCCCGGCCAGCTTTTCCTCCAGCCCAGTCAGTCCTCTGTTGAAGGAAGGACATCCTGTGATGATGGCATACAATGTCCTGTTTGTTTATTATTAAGAGCGTGGACCTTGCATTCCTGCTTCTCATTACAAAACAAACCAGATGCTTTACTTCCTTCAATGGTCTTGTGCCTTCAGCAAGGAATCCTTTAATTCAGAGAAACAATGTTTATAGCAAACACCCCATTTCAATTATTATTTAGATCATTGAAATCCAGGTCTTCCATTTTTCCTGCTTGCCTTACCATAGGTAGGTTTTTTTAAAATCATTTCTCCTTCGACCTGCAATGTCTTTTCTAACATTTTAAATACACGTGTGCACACACATCCACCCACACACACACCCACATACACACACCCAGTTCCAACCTAATGATACCAACTTAGTCATACAATGAAATGGACATCTGAGTATTTGTTTACAGGAAGAAATGAAACAAAGCAAAACAAAAGCCCAACTCAATCCTAAAAAATATGTCTGTTTATCTTTAAAATTTCTTTTCTCACTTTTAGAAAACTTTTCTAGAATTTTTTTTAGGGGAGAGGGGGAGAGGCAAAAGATTATTTGCCAGGAAATGGTGTCTAAAGTCTTGCTGCAATCTCTCTCTCAGTACAGAACAATTAAATTCCCACTAGGGGACATGATTAGCACACACTCGCTGCTTGCTGCGTGGCCCACCTGTGATTGCATGTTATGCCAGAGGGGACGCTAGCACCAAGAGGAAGCAGGACTTTTAGAAGGCAGATCTGCTGGGGGTGGAAAACTGAATGAACAATTCCTAAGAGTCCTCAGAAAGCTCCAAGCTGATAATTAAACAAGAGAAATCCAGCCTGCTCAAGAGGGTTTATTAACTGATGCTGAGTCAGCACCACAATGGACAGAAAAACAATGTAGTCATACTGAAGGCTGGCCTGCTGTTCAAACAGTCTCACTTGCAGATGTTAAAGAGTATTTCACTTCCCTTTTAGAATCAAACTCTGTTCTTAGGCCACATACACCATCATGCAACTGCTGGTGAGTCAACCATGATAGAGTAAGGGAATAGGCAAAAAGTTTGATATTTGAGGTGGGAAGAAGGCTATTTTAAGCCAAATATTTGCTTTAATGACTGGAAGATGCCAGTGAATCAACTCACTGTTAATTAATATCAGCCTGCACTCACCTTCAGAGGTGGTGAAATGGGCTTGAGTCTAGGGAGGACGCAAACTTCAAATACCAGTGTGGGGCTTAGCCAGGCAACCCTAAAATTAGTTCCAGGTGTCCCAGCTGAGCTGGACAAGGCCACGGGTAGAACTTTAAGGAAAGTAAATTTTCAGACACAGAGTGTTGGAATGTAAAGTCCTTCACATGTTTGCTTCTTGTCTCAAAGTGATTGGGAAAAAAAAAACCTCCAAACCAACTTTTGACTATGATTATAGTAGTCAATGATGGATATCATCATTTAAAATGAAAGCTACCAAAAAGGAAGAAGAAATAAAAGAAAGGAAGCTTGCTCCATAATAGGAAAAAACATGTCCATATTGTAATATTTAGGTATTGTCCAGCACAAAACCATTAAGGGGGAATAAAAGGGACTGACCTCTGAACTTCACTCGGTCCTCCCAGAGGGCCTGAGCAGTGCACCTTTTTACTGCTGACTAAAGCTGGGAGACCCTGGCAGCAGTACAGCTGTGCAGAGAGAGCTATCAGAGGCTGCCACTGTCTGGAATCTTATGTCTCAAAGGGTTTGTTTCTAAGTAATAACTTGGTGCATTTTTAGTCACTATATTATTTCCCCCCAAGTTAGAACACCGAAAAGAACCTCAGTTATCTTTATTAATCAGCATTTCTCAGGCAGAGCTCTCACATTAAAAGTGTTCACAATGGCAGCAAATCATGAATGAGCCAAATAGTTCTGTTCTCAGAAATTCTCATCTATTCCCGTGGATGGCATCATCACAACAGTTCCATCAGCCAATTTTAATTCGGTTTCAGCTACTGGGCCAGTTTTTTTCCTCTCCCAGTTCCTGGGTGGATTGGGAATTGCAATGTTGGTGGCCAGATGACTCTATAGGGAAAGGACTATTGTAGAATGAAGGGAAATTGAGCACCAAATCTGGAGACCTGAACTCCACTTGGGGAAAAAAAATTTTTTTTTTCGAAAGGAACTTTTTTTTCCTAAGGTAAAAAAAAGGGATGAAATGTACCCAAGATGAAACATGTTTTCATTTTCTCATTCAACTCCTGCCATACCCAAACAAGGTCAATGACAGGCTAACCACATCAAGAGAATAACCCCCCCACCCTCTTCTTCCTACTCCCTACCACCCACCCACCCTCACCCCCCACACCCATTTCCCGCTTCCTGTAAGTTAGGCATCTTCATGCTGGTAAACATTTGGGGACCAACTGTAAGCCTGAGCCTGAGAGAGGGGCACTGAGGCTTTGAAGCCCTCCCACATGTCTCAAAGCCAGGCTGAGAACTAGAGGGACACTTGGTTTTTAAACTTTAACAGCCTTTTCAACTCAAATCACTGGGCTTGGCCTTCTGGCTGCCTTCCTTTTTAAAAGCCGGACAAGAAGAGCGAGTATGTGTGTATGAGTGAGAGAGAATATATGTATGACACATGCTATGTTACAATGCAGCCTGTGTGTGTCATTGGTGTGATATGTGTACGATATGTTTCGATGATGAGTTGAATCAATTTAAAAATAGCACAAGCTTCCTTCTCATGACACAGCTCACCTCCCAAAAACTTTTGACAAACATATTCAGGGCCTAAACATTGGGACGGTGACCTTCAGGGGCTGTTGGATGTTTTGGAATGAGGTCAGTGTTTTGACTTCCTACATAAGGGAAACAAAAATTAAGTAAATTCAAGAACACAAGTAGAGCTCCCTTCCCACCCTAGGAATGAAGATGTAAGTGTTCTCCAGAGGACTTTATAAAACCCACAGGATGTCCAAGGTCTCAGAGTATTTATAGAACCACCTGTATCATTACATCTAAGTATTAATATCTTTTTTAGCCCTCCCTTCAGAAAGACAGTTGTATTCTCATCTAATCATTTATATATGATTTTAAAATTATTTTTTAAACTATTCCTTTAGTTCAGCATCTACCAACTTAATAAATGATAATAGCAATACTAATCATTTCCAGATGACTTGTGGGGAAACCAAGGTTTGGGGTTTCCAAAATTTGCTTTCCCTTCTAATTATATTTTTATCATAGTGAATATTCAGACAGAAGAATTTTAATTTCTGAGAAGTCTGTGGGAAAGAACAGGAGAAGGAAGATTATTTCAGAACTCAGAAGACACTTCCTAACCTTACAGCTGGTGGGAAAAAAGGAATAATCCTAAAATTAAACTAACAGAAGGCAAAACCTGAACTGTTAACAAGGGAGAAAAAGAGCAATAGGAAAGGTGTCCACTCTGAAACTCATCTCTTGTCTTTATTTGGAGAACCGGAAGAGTAGCTTCCACACAAATGAGAGAGCAAGACTGTGGGTCAAATGTTTGCTTCTCTCACCTTTCAGTGGGAGGAGAAGCCATTCTGGAAGAGGGGAGGACTCAAGGTGGAAATAAAGGGAAGGTCGCCAAGAATAAGATTAGGGAGGACCAGTTGGCTTAAAAATGAAGGTGAAAGGCTTCTATGGAGGATGAGCAGGAACAGCAGCAGAAGACCCAGTGCAGGGAGGAGCAGTCCCCTTGGAAGAGGAAAAGGGACCCTACAGTTGTACCTGCCACCGTGTGCTTCCCTGAAATCACAGAATATTAACCAAAGGACACAGGTGATTTTATTTAAAATGGGACTGACGATTTCTTCTCATCCTTTCTAAGGGAAGAACAAGACTGTAGAGGCTTGACTTTCTTCACGCCAAGGTAAGTTAGGATAGAAGAGACAGAATCATAAAGGTTAATAGTGAAATCATTTGACCACCCCCAGCCCCCAACTCCCATTCTGCTCCAAAGGGGATTTAGTATCCAATCTAAGTCGAAGACCATATATCCCCTTCTACACTTCATTTTCCTGCTGAGGAAACTGAGGACCAGAGGTCAGGAAGCAGAAAGGGCATCTCTCCCAGACTCTTTTTTGGTAACTGGATCTTAACATAGAACTGTGAACCTGGGAAATGCCAGCCCACAGGCAGGGCTGCAGCTCAGGGAGCAAAATCAGAACTTGGTTCTCAGATTTCCAGCCAAGCTCAGGGTTCTGTAATGGATCCTAAGCACTTACTGGACCTAAGGTACACATGGACTTAAAAATGAGGAGGAGGGGGCTGCGCTTATTGGAGAACCTTTTAAATGTTAAACCGGTGGTGACACCAGAAGAAGTTCAACCCGCCTAAACCAAATTCGTGTCTGAGTTTGGAAGAAGGCATGACTGTCCTTCACCTCCACCCACCTGAGAGGTGGAGAGGGGAGGGAGGAAAGAGAAGGCAAAGGCAAGACAATAACAAACCTCATTTAATAGACACCTTATCTTTTGAACAACTCTCTAATGTTGACTAAGGAAAAGCTGGGAAACCTTTTAACCTGAAGATAGCCTGGAGATCCAGAAGCCATCAGCCCTGGCTTATCTGTTCTCCATCTACAGCCCATTGTTTCCTTCAAGCAGGCACCCCGGGGAAGCAGGGCAAAGGAGTTATTGTTCAGTAGGCATCCGCCCCCTTAAGGTGCACCTCTGGAGGACTGAAGGGCAACCCTGCTTTACCCTAGAATGGGACCAAACACAGGGAAGGAGCGGTTTGGTGCTTTTCAGGCAGGATCCCCACAACTCCTTTGAAGAGAACAGGCACTGCCTTTAGGAGAGATAATCCCACAATGGATGTCCATTAAAAGTATTAGGATGTGTACTGCCACCATGATCCCTGGGAGGAGAGCTCTGTCCTGACAATAGACAATTAAAGCTGATAAATCCAAGCTACTTGTTGCTGTTCTAATTCCTTCTAATTGTATGCTACTTGTGCCTGGCTCTCGCATTCAGGGATGAAGCAAGCTAATCTCCAAAGTACCTGACCTACTTCCTACAGGATCTTTTCAGCATTCTTTTCTTCCCATCTGGACCTTTTCTCCTCTTCTCCTTCTCCTTTCTTCCTCATAGATTGAGGGGAGGAGAAGGAAGGATGCTGGGGGCTGCGGTGGGGGGCGTGGAACAGAAGGCTGAGTCCAAATCAATGACTCTGGGGCCTCAGACAGTTCACTAATCGGTTAACAGCTAATCATGCTCACGGGCACATCAGTGATTAAACTGCACTTTGCATTAGGCTCAACAAGTGGCACGAGGCACACTTAGGATCCAACTGCTAGATCACTGCTAGCTGCCAAATCTGCATGTGCTTATGTGTGGGGAGTGCATGCCTCACTGATTCATTTGTAGCTGACATCTCACTAATTACGCTGCCACCACCAGCTAGGCAGAGTAAAGCCTTCATTCTCACCCAACACCCCAAAGGATGTAATTCTATCTAAACAACAGAGCTTTAAATGCCAATTTGGCGCCTACCTGCATGTGCTCTCCTTCCAGAATCTCCTAGAATCCAAGAAAGGAGCAAAATCATCTTTGCAATTCAATCTTGGCCCCTGGGTGTGTTTTTAATGCTGAAAAATCTTTATAGAGCTATCTCTTCCCACTCTTCCCTGCTCAATAGCCTAAAGAGTGGTTAATAACCTGTCCTTTTAAAATACAATACTGGAATTAACAATTCCAACCATCATGAATCACGTGTTGGGTTTTTTTTGTTGTTTGTTTGTTTTGAGAAAGAGTTTTGCTCTGTCACCCAGGCTAGAGTGCAATGGCATGATCTTGGCTGGCTGCAACCTTCACCTCCTGGCTTCAAGCAATTCTTGTGCCTCAGCCTCCAGAGTAGCTGGGATTAAAGGCACGTGCCACCACACTTGGCTAATTTTTGTATTTTTAGTAGAGACAGGGTTTTACCATGTTGGCCACGCTGGTCTTGAACCCCTGGCCTCAAGTGATCTGCCTGCCTCAGCTTCCCAAAGTGCTGGGATTACAGGTGTGAGCCACTGCACCCTGCTGTGTTGATTTTCTTTTAAAATAAATCTTTGTGTTACAGAAATACAAGATACAATATTCATCAATGAAATTATATGCTTTTTGGCCTTTGCCTCAAAATCATTGGGTGGGGTTGGGATAGATGAAACAACCCAGGTCTTAAGTTGGTAATTGTTGAACTGGGTACTGGGTGCATTATACCATTCTCTTCAGTTATTTTTTTTTCCCTCACTGATCCTTGTTTTAACAGTTTTTTTAAATGTTAAAAATAATAGACCAGGCGCGGTGGCTCACCCCTGTAATCCCAGCACTTTGGGAGGCCAAGGTGGGTGGATCACCTGAAGTCAGGAGTTTGAGACCAGCCTGGCCAACATGGTGAAACCCCGTCTCTACTAAAAATACAAAAATTAGCCAGGCCCACGTGGTGGCGGGCACCTGTAGTCCCAGCTACTCGGGAGGCTGAGACACGAGAATCGCTTGAACCCGAGAGGCAGAGGTTGCAGTAAGCTGAGATCGCGCCACTGCACTCCAGCCTGGGCGACAGAGTAAGACTCTGTCTGAAAATAATAATAATAATAATGATAATAATAATAATTTTTTTAAAATAAAACTTTAAATTCCAGAGACCCCAAATGATCTACTCAAGGCCCTCACGCTGTTTTATTTTTTATTTTATTTCTTTTCTGAGACAGGGCCTCCCTCTGTCACACAAGCTGGAGTGCAGTGGCACAATCATGGCTCACCGTAGCCTCCCA
The DNA here is from genome assembly GCF_000001405.40 of Homo sapiens. NCBI lineage: Eukaryota > Metazoa > Chordata > Mammalia > Primates > Hominidae > Homo > Homo sapiens. The sequence continues at coordinate 106,078,783 of NC_000006.12, read as the reverse complement.
GGTTCAGATGATCCTCCTGAGTAGCTAGGACTAGAGGCACCCACTACCACACCCAGCTAATTTTTGTATTTTTTGATAGAGACAGGGTTTCGCCATGTTGCCCAGGCTGGTCTTAAATTCTTGGGCTCAAGCGATCTGCCTGCCTCGGCCTGCCACAGTGTTGGGATTACAGGCGTGAGCCACTGCGCCCAGCCATGCTGTTTAACTTAAGTTTATTCCCTTTGCATGAATATAAATGAATGTTAAATTCAAAAGCACTGATATAACACAAAGAAGGCATCTGGCTGCTATCCTGCTCCATCAAAAGCAGCAGTCTCTGCGATTGCAGTCATTTTGGGGGACATGTTTTTTCAGTGTTCCCCAAATGTAAGGCACTTTCAGGGTGTCAAAGATATGACAGCAGTCACCCTTTAATTTTGCCCTTCTGAGGAAATTCTAAACTGGGTCTCATTTTATTCCATTTTACAGAGATCCCACCAGGAGAAGATTAAGAGCTTATTTTGGACTGAAAATTTATGTCTTCCAGGAGGTAAAACTTGCAGCCATCTGAATCTGTTCCTGCGCGATGCACCCTCCTCTAGACAGAGGGACTAGAAATACAAATTTACCGTACTCACTTTTTCTCTACAGTAGTCTGAGCAAGCCTCTGGCAGCACCCAGCAGGGACTCAGCTGATAAATGGTGTCAAACACAAACCATTTGTCAACTCCCAAGAGAGGAGAACAAGCTGAAAGATGGACGCAGGAAGTAGATTTATCTGGAGCAACACATTAACTAGTATAAATACCAGTGAAAAAAGTAAACACATTTACCGAGCAAGAAAGATCTCATCACAGTTACCTCACTGCTTAACTCAATGTTCTCCCAAAGCCTTCTCCTCCTCAGACAAGGGACACCCATTTGTCTTGATGTTCTGTGCAGAAGATATTTAAACAAATCAAAGATTTATTTCCTTATTGACCTCTGTTTCATTAACAACTAGTTTACATTAATAGAAGAAGGTTCTGCCAGACAAAGAAAAGGTTTCTCCAGTGATGATATTCCCCCATTCTTTAGAAGACAGAAGGTTTTCCAAAATGCCATTAGGAATGAAAACACAGCATGTGAAATTATCCTTCAAACTGTTATGTATATTAAACATTCATTCATATGACTTCAGACATTCGTGGAAACATTTTTAATTTCAGAAGTCCCAAAAAGCAAAGATACAGCCAAGAAGTCCACATGCAGTCCTGGTTTATTGAAGTACATGTATTGCTACAGAGTTGCTGGGTGATGGTGACAGTGCTAGGCATGGCCCCAGACACCTGGCTTCCAGTTCAGGCAGTGTCTATGGAAAACAGGGAGCCTTGGGCTCCATTTCCTCATGTATACCACTTTTTTGCTCATGCTCTAACTGTGATTCATCCTCCTGGACAATGATCTGTCTCTGTGGTCTTCTACCTACCAGGCTATACATAATCATCGGTATCTGAAAACCCAGCCCTTAGCACAGTGCCTGGTGGTGTGATCGATGGTTGATTAATGTGTGCCGAATGAATCAATTAAAATGGTTCTCAGCTCCCATCTGTGAAGGGAGCACTGTAGTGGGCTCTGAATGTACTTTCTGTTTTTCTAGAGAAAATAAGACTGCTGCTCAGCCTTTGTTTATGGGACTTCAAAAAACATGTTCCAGGGCAGGAGCCACAGACATTAAGATGTTCATGTTTATGGGAATGGGAAGAACTTACCTCTGACAACAGCATTTGAAAATAAGTTCATCCACTAAAAACAAATGTAATAGATTTTCCAAGTGAAAGTGACTTACACAGTTCTTGTGGGGTCTGCTTTTGTCCACTCAGCCATCTGCACTCCTGGCACTGGACTTCTTCCTAAAATTTTCTCCTGCCAGTCTTAGGGCCTTCCTCCCTTTCACGGAAAGCCACTCCACCCACAGTAATTAGGTTTAACTAGAGCAATTAACAAAACAAACTCCTTGTTGCTTAGTGGGCTGATACAATTCTGATTGCAAAATTGTTTTAGGATGTGCAGAGTAGTTTAAAACAAAGATAAATAAGTTATGCAACCATTTTGCATATAATCCATTTGTTTGTGTGTAGGAAACAGTTGTACATCTTAAGTAATATAGTCTAAAATTGCATTTTACTAAGCAGTATGCCTTCCTCATATAATATTAATTCAGATCTAATAAATTTAAACTGGGATTATTTTTTCTAGTGCTACATAGTTTTAAATTATTCAGAGAAAAATGCTTCATTTTTTTCTACTAATAAAGTAACAGCTTACATGTTTTTTAAAAGACTGATGTAACATAATCAACACCATCCAATTCCCCAAAAGCCTTCTCCACAAAATACTACGATTTCAAATCTAGTTTTTACAGGCACTATCACTCTAAATTCTTTCTGTATACAAAATTTAGTACAATTCCATTATTTTGCTGATTCTTCAATATTAGTGCCACCTAAGACTTCAATCATGTATTTAGAGTTTTACATACTTTAATTTGATTTTACCAGGCTGGGTGCAGTGGTTCACGCCTGTAATGCCAGCACTTTGGGATGTCGCACTTTGGGAGGCAAAGGTGGGAGGATCCCTTGAGTCCAGGAGTTTGAGACCAGCCTGGGCAACATGGCAAAACCCCATCTCTACAAAAATATAAAAATTAGCCAAGTGTAGTGGCGCATACCTGTAGTCCCAGCTACTCGGGAGGCTGAGGTTGGAGGATGGCTTGAGCATGGGAAGTGGAGGTTACAGTGAGCAGAGATCGTGCCACTGCACTCCAGGCTGGGCAACAGAGCCAGACTCTGTCTCAAAAAAAAAAAAAATTTTTTTTTTTAATTTTCCCTGTAGTGATTTTTATTATGGTCTTATACCAACTTCCTTGATTTTGGAATAAGAGTATGGTGATGAAAAATAATCTTACTAGCTGTGCGCAGTGTCGCATGCCTGTAGTACCAGCTACTCTGGAGACTGAGGCAGGAGGATCACTTGAGCCCAGGAATTCAAGACCAGCCTGAGGAACATAGCAAGACCCCAGCTCTTAAAAAAGAAGAGAAAGAAAAAGAAGCTTGCTGCAACTTTACCTGAAAAGGGAAAGTCTACACTCTATTAAAAGTATAGTTTTCTTTCAACTAGAAATCCTAATAAGCATCTGATGGTGATAGATTCTCACTATGTGAAAAAATGAGGGTGATCCTACAGGAAAACAAACACAATAGCCCCTGAGGGCCAGGGAAGAGATGATCAGAACCAAGGACATTTTATGGTTAATACAAGGCTATGTAAAGCTTTTTGAAAATGTCTTGCATTTCTCAAGAAGCTACTGTTGCTGCATATTAATGTTCTTATTCTGAATGCCATAGATCACCAGAATAAAAATACAATTGTCTCAAAATATATAGAATTAGTTAAGAATCAGAACTAAAACCATGGCTAAAATATTACTTCAGCTCCCAGAAATCTAATTTAATATAGGAAAATGAGGATTTTTGAAAATTGTTTGTTTTGGAAATGAAGCCACTGAAAATAATAGACTGTCCTTACTTTAAATACGGCTCAATTCATAAAAACACAGTCTTAGAGAAAATTTCAAAATATAAGGTATGCTGATATATTAAGAAATATTGATAACACAAATCAAGTTGTGTTATGATAATAAAAAAAAATTCCCCCCTAATTTGGTCAATAATCAACATGGTTGATGCTTTCTTATCCAATGCAATTGGGACCAATAGTTTTTAAACTATACAAACAGTTAAGTTAGAGCTTCTTTAAAATGATGACTATTAACCTTAAACATTATACAGTATTGGAAACAATATGTCAACTCTCCCATCTTTGATGCAGGACCAAGGCCTCGGATCACTGCAATCTCTGCCTCCCAGGTTCAAGCGATTCTCATGCCTCAGCCTCTTGAGTAGCTGGGAACACAGGCGCGTGCCACTATGCCTGGCTAATTTTGTATTTTTAGTAGAGATGGGGTTTCGCCACGTTGACCAGGCTGGTCTTGAACTCCTGGCCTCAAGCGATCCGCCCGCCTTGGCCTCCCAAAGTGCTGGGATCACAGATGTGAGCCAAGGCACCAGGCCTCTCCGATATTTATATCCCCCCTCGTCCCCCAACCCAATATTCTATAGTTGTTTCATCTATTTCAATTACAGGATTTTTCAGCCAGTATTTACCAAGCCTCTCCAAAGAGTTCTACTTGGTTTTAATGGAAACAACTCTTAATACTTATATGTCATTGATTTATATAATATTTAATTAAGTTACGTAATTATAACTAGCATTATCTAGTTTGGGAACAAATACAAACAACCCTTGGGGAGCATGCAAATCAGAAAATGCAATGATCAAACATACATGAGTAATGTATTTTAAAATTATTATACAACATGCTGTGAGGAACTGGCAACTTGAGTGGGAAGTCCACAAGTGTTTGGTACGTGGGAAATTACAATCCCTAGAGACTGGATTTCTTAATTTCATAAAGGAAGAAATTGACTCTCAGGGAAAGTAATTTTCTTTTGGTCACTCAGTTATGCGTATAGGCCTACAACATTTCATCTGCAATAACAAAATCCAAAAAGCTCTGGAAATGGAATGTTGTTTCACTTTTTATTCTCACTACCATAGATCAATTTTAACCACTAAGATGCTATAGTGGCCTTGTAATTACCTTCTCCATTTTCAGTTTTACTCCTTTGCAATTTTCATCAGCACCACTGCCACCAGAATTATCACTCTGAATTACAGCCTTCCCATGGTCCTTCCCTCCCCCCAAATTTTGCATGGCTCCCACGGATGCTGACCAGAGGCTGTCTGTAGTCTTTGTCTCCACTCATGTGGATCATGTTTTCTACTGCAGAAACCCTAACATTTGAATAAGAACACCTCACTGAGGGTATATGCTTCAATATCACCTCTCTAACATTTGAAAAATTCTGAATCCAAAGTCACATCTGGCCTCTAAGGAATGCAGATGAGGATGTGGGACCTGCATTTGTGTCAATACTATAGCCAGGCCTCCCTCCTCATGGGTCACTGGGCCTGGGATTCCATGTACAGTGACTGATCATGATTCCAACAAATATACTTCTTGAAATCACTTACTAAGTTGTGATCTTTTCTCTTTTCACATAAATTTTAAAAATCACAAATAACATTTAAATAATAAAATACTTAGCCACACATTACCTAGGCAAAGCAATAAATAAAAATAAGAGTTCCTTAACGCTGTCCAGCTGACCAGAGAACATAGACAGTAAATGGCTTAATCATTATTCAGAACATTTTTTAAATTGAAGAAATAATATGATATATGATGATACAGTATTGCCCTTAATACCTAATCAAAAGGAAATTGAGGCCGGGTGCTGTGGCTCATGTCTGTAATCCCAGCACTTTGGGAGGCCAAGGTGAGTGGATCACCTGAGGTCAGGAGTTGGAAATCAGCCTAGCCAACATAGTGAAACCTTGTCTCTACCAGAAATACAAAAATTAGCTGGGCATGAGAGTGGGCGCCTGTAATCCCAGCTACTCGGGAGGCCGAGGCAGAAGAATCGCTTGAACCCAGGAGGTGGAGGTTGCAGTGGGCCGAGATTGCGCCATTGCACTCCAGCCTGGGCGACAGAGTGAGACTCTGTCTCAAAAACAAACAAAAAAAAAAAAAAAAAGAAAAGAGGAAATTGAGAGATACTCTGGGTTTAGAGTGATATATATGCACACAGGCAAACAAATTTATTTGTCACCAGGATTTGGACATTTGTCTCCTGTTAATTGCCACATGGTGAAGAGCAGAGCCGGCAGCCACTTCTCATCCCTTCTACTACTCCCTTGTAACATCATTACTTCCCCTTCCTCAGCCCACCAGAGTCAAATCTGTACACAACATAGGCTACGTCTTCCAGGGAAGCTCAAAGGCCTACTGGCGTAAGGTTCCCTTCAAAGCACCCCTGGAAGCTGTGTGGGATGAGGAGTATTGAAACCATCCTCTTTCCAGAGAACAGCTCAATCCACCACGTCATGTTTCTGTTCTCATTTACCCGGGGCTCATGATGTAGATGGTTAGAAGGTTGCCCTGCAGCTCCCCAACACAAGGGGCACCGCAGACAGCAGGAGAAGCCACACACACATCCGGGCAGAGCCCCCCAAAGTGATGCTGAAATCCAGCTATCCGGGTCTTGAGTTTTATTAGGACTGGGTTATAGAGAAAAGACTGTGGGACTAACTGTGGGAAGGAAGAGGGAATTGTTCTCTCTATATATATTCTTCCCTTCTTCTATTCCTCCCCCTTCTATAACAGAAAATAGAAGAGTTGTGCTTGGGGAATATGAGATACTTTAGTCTCAGGTGAGGCACACCCAATTGCATGCTGCACTTCAGTGGAGAGAGGACAGGGAAGGTCACGATTCCCAGAGCTACCTCATTTGCGATCTGGAATTCTGCTTAAGACCTACATATTACACCCCAAAATAGCCCTAAAAAACAATGTCCAGATTCAATTAGTTGTTGCTGTCTTTTAGAATGTGAATTTTTTCCTTACTTCTCTTCTCTTTTCCTGCCCCCAGTGAAACAGCTAAGAAGTATGAAGGACATCTTTTCCTCACCATAGGCGAAGAAGATAAATGTCTATGAGTTGGTGTAAACACAACTGCAAAAGCCCAGCCAAGGGCATCAGAAAATGGAACACATTGATAGTAGGTCATTAAAATATGCCCCATAAAATCTTTCAGTAGTCCCCAAACTTTGCTGCACAGTAGAATACCCTGGGAAACTTTAAAATATCCTGATGTCCAAGTTGCATCTCAAATCAATTAATGAACCTTGAGAATGCTGGGGTGGGAGCCAGGCACCAGTATTTTTCAAAGTTCCTCAAGTGGTTCCAATGTGCTGTCAAGTTTGGGAACCACTGCCTTACTTAATCAGATGCCAACCTTTTAGATGATATCTACACTTAAAACACTTCCTTAACTCTCACCCACCCTCCCTTCCAAGCAAAGAAAATATACTGTGGTTGTGGAACATTCCCAGGAATGGCATCTGAATATATGGCTTGGACTGATACCACATAACAGACAATCCACCTCTGAGATTAACAAAGAACTGGGATAATGAGGCCAAGGACCTGAGTTCTGTACTCAGAGGGGTCACTTAGGCTGGCTTGGGTCTGTGGCCACACAAATTGTGCCCCTAATTCCAGTTATGAGTGAATACTGTGGCTTGGAAAGGAGACCACCAGCAAGTGTATGGATGGGTACAGCAATGCAATATCCAGTACCAGAAAATCAATGCAAAATCGATGGGAAGTGGATCAGCATTGTTATCTTCCTGTATTAATTTTTATTGGAGATACCTGTATGTATGTATGTATGTGTGTGTGTGTGTATATATATATATACACACGTGACTTACATATACATACATACATATATAACATATACATATAATTCTCCTCATTCTCTGAATTAGAACATGAATGGGTGGCATAATAAGATGCATTCTTTTTTTTGAGCCAGTCTCACTCTGTCCCCCTGGCTGGAGTACAGTGGTGTGATCTTGGCTCACTGCAACCTCCCCTTCTCAGGTTCAAGCAATTCTCCTGCCTCAGCCCCCACAAGTAGCTGGGATTACAGGTGCCCACCACCACGCCTGGCTAATTTTTTGTATTTTTAGTAGAGACAGGGTTTCACCATGTTGGCCAGGCTGGTCTTGAACTCCTGACCTCAAATGATCCATCTGCCTTGGCCTCCGAAAGTGCTGCTATTACAGGCATGAGCTACTGCATCAGGCCAATAAGATGCATTCTTAATGTAGATGGTTCAAACATGTCATTACAAATCATGGTTGTTCAAAGAAACATGGTTGTTCAAATCTGGAAGATTGCCTTCAGAATAAATATTTGAAAGTAGCAAAGCCAATCTTTGGGGTATGGCATGATGCCTAGCACACAGTCAGAGCCCAATATGTTTGTCAAATGCACAAAAGATAGAAGCACTATGCCATAGGGTTACTATTCAAATATTAACAATATTACCAATATTTACACAGAGGAAAATATAAAGAGATGGAAAGTCTTGAAATTTTAGGTTAAATTTAAATGTCTAAATATTTACAAACTATACTTTGTTGGTATAACTTTTCTGAAAAGAAATTTACCTATATATACCAAGAGCCTTAGAGATTTATAACCTTTGACCAAATGATTATACTTATAGAAATATATCCACAGGGAAATAATTTGAGCAAAGTTATATAAGCATATTAGTTACAATGTTATGTACAATTATGACACACTAGAAACAACCTGAATATTCAAATTTACAGAAATTATTAAATAGATTGTGGTAAGGCAAATATAATATAAGTATTATTCAGGCATTTAAAAAGTTTAAAATGTGATATGAAAGAATGCTTGAGGTAAGTCCCTGGATTAAAAAAGCAGATACAAAAGTGTACCATAATTTCATTTGTATTCTTGCAATGACTAAAAATGTGCTACCATTTATGGAAAAGAAAAACATCTAAAACAATTAGAAGGGGGTATCTGAAATGTTGATTCCAAATTCTATTCCTCTAATTAGTCTTAATGAAGTCAGCAGTTTTGTCATAAATTTCAATTAACTATAATCCCCATCTGACACAAACCCACTAGTCCATATGTTAGGTCTCTCATTTGACCAAATGTAACAGCCTTTGAAGATTGATTTAGCTAAAAAACATGCAACAGACACAAATGACAGCCACTGAGGAAATCTGAAAAGATAACCACCAAAAAAAAATTGAGGGAGAAGTGGTGGATGCGGAGAGGGAAGAATTGCATTAAATCTATTTCCCAATTTTCTCCTTCCTTCTAGCATCAGTTAACACAGTCACAGGCCACAAATAATGTAGAGACCTTTTTTTAAGGTGAAAAATGCACACACAGGGTGTTGGAGACCAACTCCTCATTTCCCATTCTCCTCACCGAAGCAACCTCTTCCACTAAAGTCAGGCAACCAGTTTACAGTGGAGCACACGAGAGTGCATTTTTTATCCAGCAGAAATATTTAGCTTGGCTGACTGCCAGGGAATGCTGGAAGAACAGACTGTATTAGGGGATTTACCTTCCACGTGTTTGGCACGTGTCATTTGGAGTATCTGAGAAGCTCGTCCCTCTTTCTCCACGGTATCTGAGCAGTGGAGAGGGCTGCCAAACCATAGAAGAGTGAGGCGATGCCGTCATCTAAATCTTCAAATCCAGCACCTTTCTCAGATTCCAGTTTGCTTTCTCTCCATGATTGTTACAACTATAAAAGGACATTCCAGGTATCTATTGCTGTTGAAAGGAAAAAGCCCATATATCTTCCCTAAGTGCTAAAGATGCTTTCATTTATTAACACTTAACGCCACTTTGGAGTTGCATGAGTCTACAAACAATTTTGATAACTTTGATTTTTTTTTTTAAAGCTCTGTGTCATCAGGCAGTTTTAGCATCTTCGTTTATGGCTTTATCAAGAACTGCTATTTTATTTATTTTAAACCTAGACATTATTGGGAGTCATATATAATCAAGTTACAAAATTTGTTCTCAACTGTATGTGTTTTAAGTTTTTGTAATTGATTGGACCCTGTGCTAAGCTACTAAACACTTTGTAAACTCTAGATGCCAGAAGGGTCCCTATAGAAGCCCTTTATTTTACAGGAGAGGCAAAGTGACCATCCAAAGGCAATGGCTAGTGGTAGTCAAGCTGATGGCCAATCCGAAGTCTATCCCCACAACCTGGTGTGCTTTCTGCAACCCCACACCACTAGATAGACCATCAGGCACAAAGATGGGTGAATGATAGGAAGTCACCTGCAGCTGAAGAAGGCTCTGCCCCTTGCTGACCTAACAGTGGCCACAGATGGGGGATGTACCATAGCCTCCAAACAGAGAATGTTCACAGCCCAAATTCCTAAAAAAGTTGCCTCTCTTCAACAAATTAGGGAGGGTAACATAATTTCCTTATGTGGGGAAAGAAAAATGCCTGTATGTCCTCTTTTCTTTGCAGATGACATGATGCTGTCACTGTTTGTAGAGTTGAAAATGTCCCTTCTGAAGAGTGCACTGTGTGTTCAGGCAAGGATGCCCATCTCTTGACCCAGAACCCCAGCTCAGTACAGCTTGTGGTAACAACGTTCCCATGTATGACTGTGGATGGTAGAAGGAGAATTTAACCATGCTTTTGGAAAGTGCAGGAGTTACAGTGGGAGAGGTTTCTATAAATACAAATTTAAATGAATGGTTTACAAGATACTATAACTTATGTGAAAAGGAAGGAAGGAGAATATACATATTGCACACAGACAAACATATGTAAGGCTACACAAGAAGCTGAGAACAGTTGCTACTCTGAGGAGAACAGGGTGGGCCAGGCACGGTGGCTTATACCTGTAATCCCAGCACTTTGGGAGGCCAAGGCAGGTGGATCACCTGAGGTCAGGAGTTCGAAACCAGCCTGACCAACATGGTGAAACCCTGTCTCTACTAAAAATACAAAAATTGGCTGGGCGTCGTGGCATCCGCCTGTAATCCCAGCTACCAGGGAGACTGAGGCAGGAGAATCGCTTGAACTCAGGAGGCAGAGGTTGCAGTGAGCCGAGATCACACCATTGCACTTCAGCCTGGGCAACAAGAGCAAAACTCCATCTCAAAAAAAAAAAAGAACAGGGTGGCTGGAGTGTGTGTAGACTTTTCACTGTATACTGTATACCTGTTGGTACCTTTACAATTCTGAACAATGTGAGTATATTTACCTATGCAAAATAAATATAGATAAGTTATATATAAATTGCTTTGAATTTTTTAAAATAATAAGTTGTTGCTGAAGATATTCTAAATTTTTACCAAATGTACATTTTTTTATTGTGGTTTAAAATATATAAAACAGAAATTTACCATTTTAATCATTTTAGAGCATACGACTCAGTAGTATTAATTACATTTACACTGTTATGCAACCATCACCACTATTCCCAAAACTTTTTCATCACTCAAAACAGAAACTCTGATCCTATTAAGCAATAACTCCCCATTCCTCCCTTTCCCCGGCCCCTGGTAACCTCTATTTTACCTTGTGTCTCTGATTCTGCCCTTTCTAGGTACCTCATAGAAGTGGAATCATACAGTATTTGAACTTTCGTGTCTGGCTTATTTTACTTAGCACAATGTCTTCAGGGTTCATCCACATGTAGCATATATCAGCACTTCAGTCCTTTTTATGTCTTATATTGCATCTTGATTCTCCATTCTTCTGTTGAGGGACACATGGGTTGCTTCCACTATTGTGAATAATGCTGCTATGAACACTGGCATATAAGTATCTGAGTCCTTGTCAATTCTTTTGGGTGTATATCTAGTAGTAGAATTGCTGGGTAATATGGTAATTCTATATTTAGCTTTTTGAGGAAACCCAACATCATACATTTAAACATAGATATTACATTTACAGGAATTTATTCTAGGGAAGTAATGGAATGCAACCAGAGAATTATCCACTAAGTTTTTGACCATAAGCACTGTTTATAATATTGAAAAACTGGAAACAAGCCAAATGATTAACAATGTGGAATCGGTTAAATGTCTTATTTATGCAAGCAAATTCTATGAGGCTGTTTGTAATGGTGGTGAAGAGAATTGGCTCTGAGGTCATCCTGCCTGGGTTAAGATCTTGGCTCTACTATTTACATGCTGTCTGACTTTAGCCAAGTTAATTACCTTCCCTACATCTCTCATTCTTCATCAGCAAAATGGAGATAATAATAGCACTAAGTTCACTGGGAGATTGTGAAGACTAAATCACTTAATACACATGAAGCATCCGGAAAAGGGCCTGGCACACTATGTCCACAGGTATGGTTCAAATACTTTACCATAAGCAATATCATAATTTTATAATAAAGAACAGTGTTGCAGTAGATATGTAATGATGAAGAAAATACTCGGATCCATAACTGACATTACTTACTGTAAAGCATTTTTGGTGGAAAATGTGTATATATGTATACCCACAGGAAAAAAAGACTAGAAACACATACACAAAATATTAATCAATTAGAACCAGGTGGTAGAAATGCTATTGATTTCTTTTCTGTATTTTTTCAAATCTTTAAGAATGAATATTACTTTTATAATTAGGAAAAAAGTTAGACAGGAAAGGAACAGAAGAATGCCCTTTCTGAATGTCTATTGTATTTTAAATTTGGATGCAAGAATCTTAAACATATTTTGTTGTACTATCTTTTGAAATGCTGGATTCTAAAATCCAACCTGCTCTGTGGGAGAATCATGAAGCAGAAAATTCTCCTTCACAAAACTGCCTACTTGATTAAAATCTTATTTTAAAAATCTTTATTAAAATCTGATAATCGTCTTTGAGGGTAAAGTTCTAAGACTGACGTGACCGAGCCCTCCTCACAGCTCACCCCGCTTCCATTTAAACATGATCAGCTAGCTCCTGTCCACCAGCATGATGAATTAAATGTATGACAGTTATGACAGGTGAGGAGTACATGGAGGGGCTTAACCAGCAGGGATAAGATAAAGCCCCCATTTAAGAACAAAGCCCCCACCAAAGCTTGCCTATTAATGACCACGCACAGAATCTCTTTATTTGTCCCATTTGGAAGGAGCAAGCGGAAACCATAGACAATGGGTGGTTAGGCAGGGCGGCTGTTTCTCCAAGGGCCTCCCAACCAACTAATTGAAAATCCTTGATTTTCTGCTAAACACATCTGAAAGACAGGCTCAGCTTCCATGGGCAAGGGCAAGGCTGCCTTTCAATGTTGTATTAATACAATAGACTTAAATTTACAGCTGGACTAAGTGGAATTACTGTATGTAAACCATAATATCTATCTGCAGGGATCCAGCTAAGCCCTAGAGAGACAAGTACAGCAGGACAAATCCAAGGAATTTTGGAAGTCAATCCATTAGGATTATGGGGCAGACCCCTGATTTTGGAAGTCATGGGTTCAATCCATGGAAGCAGGGAAGTCTCAATCTTCTTTTATCCTAACCTCTTATCTGAAGGCCTGCTGACCCAGTTTTTATTTAAAATAAACTGAGAAACTACAAATAACATAATCATTTTCTATATTTATATATTATTGGGCAGCCAGCCTAGTCCTGTATTACCTTTTGTGCAGTAATTAAAAACATACTAGTGTGCCAAAAGTGTAGCCCTTTTAATATATAATTACGATAACCTGAACATTACTGATACATGATAATGATACACATAAGAAAAAGTGAACTGTTGATTACACTTTCCTCCTTCCAGACTTTTAACCAGTGTACATTTCAGCTTATTAACAACACGAGACGCTATAAAAGAGCTAAATTATAGGATGCTCTCTGAAAATATACTGTCACCTAGGGCCTGGCTCTTATGGATTGGTTTGTGTAGGGGCAGGTCTAATCATAGTAGGTACTCAAGAAGTATTTGTTGAATAAATAATATATAAGATTGTGTGGTGGCACATGTCTGTAGTCCCAGCTACTTGGGAGGCTGAGGCAGGAGGATTGCTTGAGCCCAGGGGTTTGAGTCCAGCACCCGGGCAACATAGCAAGACCTGGTCTGTTTAAAAAAACAAAAAACTTGACAAAAAGAAACACTTGTTCAATAAATACATAAGATCAACAAAAAGACTAAAGCCACAGACCTCCTCTAGCCATCAAAACAGCCTCCAACTACCCCAGAGATCAGAATAAACCCATCCATGGCAGACCTCAGCCATTCCAGCAGTCTGTGCACAGTTAGTCACATGGACAACCAGTGTGGCTGGCAGAGGTCCTACTGAAGACCAGATAGACTAACAGCAGAGAGCATCATCTCTCTTCTACAGAAGAGGAAACGGTGATTCAGTTAAGCAACTGCCCCAAATTCAAAAAGCAATTCAGTGGCTGGGCTGAAAACCCCTCCAGAATCTGCAAGCCTCTCAAGGCTCTTTCCAAGGCTCTGTGCTGTTCTCTGCTCCCACCCTATCCCCAGAAAGTCTCCTGATCAATGCTAGCTTTAATTCAGCATCTGTAAGGACTTTGGCCAAGCATACATTCTTTCCTTCTCACCAAGGAGAACCAGCTCTGGAAACATCTGAAACATAAGGACCCAACTTATGCCTATACAGCCAGGAAAATCAGAGAGAAGATTTTCCTGCTATTAGAGGTCAAGATAAATTGAGGCTGGGCCGCACGCCCTCAGACGACAAGTACTCATTCTTGCACTGCTTCCCATCTCCCCTTTCACATAGGAGTAGAATTATTCTGGTGGTCCTCAAAACATCAGGTTTGAGTCATTTGGCAAATCCTCTTCAAGGCTCTTTTACTCATTGCAAAAACATCCACCTGTGTTTTAAACTGCCCAACAGTTTCCCCGCTGGCTAAGCATCTCACTGATCCTGAGTGATCACTGTGACTGCCCTGTGAACAGGCCTGGATTTCGTCTGTCCACAGCTCAACACCCAGAGAGGATATTTTACAGAAAAGCCAAATAGACATCGAGGCTAACTGCTTTTGGGCCTTATCTGAATGACAGTACTTAACTTTCACCACCTGGGCCAGGCCTTTGCAGAGGAAACAGTCACACTCAATTACTGTCTCTTTCTTCTAGACAACTACTGTTTAATCCTACCTCCAGCTGATATAAACTGGTGGAAAATACAATGCTATTTTTAGATGGGACAGTGATTTCTCCCTTTCATCTATGAAAAATGTACTTCCTCTTGCAATCGGGTCCATCCCAGATGCCGGATTTGGGGTAAAAATTTAATACTAGGGCATTATTACCCTTTGCAGAATGAGTGAGCTTTGAACTCTCTAAGCTAGTTTTAAATTCAAAGCTATTCTCTATTCTGCACTCTGTTAAAACATGTAAGTAAACAGAATATAGGCTAAATCCCTACAAGCCACACTGACACAATGAAGATGAATAATTTGCTTTAAATAAGACTCGCATACAAGGGGAAATTAACCAAAATAACATTGCAAAAGCTTCTTGACACATTTCTGCCTTCTACCCTCCATGTCAGCTGTTCTCCTTGCCCCATCTTTTTAATCTCAAGCTAACAAATGATTTGGTCAAGAACTTGATTCAGCATGTCGTAAACTTAACATGGAATTTCCAGAATTGACTAATAAATATTTTGGGGATTGATCATAATGTATTTCTTTCCTATTTTTTTTAGAAATTATTTTTAAAGGAACTAGGAATTACTAAATTGACTCACTCTCTTTATATATGAAGAGATGCCCCAGAGAAAATATGTATCACACAGGGCAGGGAGTCACACCTAATTCCTGAATACCTGAAAATGAGGAGAAAACTTAGCCTGACATGTCAGCAATTCACGTTTTTGCTTTAAAATGTGACTTTTCATTATTTGGTAGGAGGAGGGGTGTGAGACATTTATAGGCAGGATACAATTAAGACCAAGAAAACTCTACTTGTGAAACCAGCATTAGACCATACTAGTTGGTGCTGAGATTATCTGCTCTACAGCCAAAATACAAAAGACTCCCAGTGCACATACTTGGTGTAGAAAGCAGCCTTTGAAAATCCAAGCTCATTATTTCCCCTGGTCTTTCTTGCCATTTGAAGAAGGATCTGGAAAGGAGGTGTTGAGTTAGTTTACATTGACCTTCGCGTGACCTGAAGGTAGAAGTTTTAAGAGCTGAGCAGTGGTCACAGTCAGGAAGCCCCAGGAAAACAACACAACGAAAGGACTAAATCTGCGGGGACCCACGAATCACCCCGCCATTCCTATTGCAGATAGAGGGCATCCCCTTCGCCCTTTGCTGGTAAGGGAATCCATCTATCTTCATTTAGGCGTTTTTGGGGGGTGGGAGGTGAAATGAGAGGGGACTGCCATTTCCTTTGACTCTTAAAAACAGAAACCAGCACTGATTATTCATTTACACTCCCATTCCTTCCCAACAAACCCTCCTATCAGCAACCAGAAGAGAACCACTATTCTCTGAACACATTAGTAGTCCTCCCGTTTAGTAACCAACTGTTGCAGGCTGAGCAGCAGCAAGCCAAAACTTAGTCAAAACCTATGATTCAAAATGGTGTGTGTGTTGGAGGAGGGGTAGGGAGTTATGTTGGAAAACGCTTTGAAAGCTATTCAAAACCTTTTCTATACAGGAATAACTCTTGTTAGAGCAATTTGCTATAAAGGACATTTCACTCTTAGAAAGGGCCAGGTGCAGCCAATATTTTTTGTATACATCCCACTAAAATTACTTTAGTAAGAGCCAGCTTCCTCCACATTCCCATCAACAACTGTGCAGAGGCATCTGGAGCACTGGAAATACATCTCAAATTATTCTGTATAAATCAGTGGAAAATCACTTTCAAGATATGAATTTTCATGTTATGGATTAGCCTCATGAAGGGATTACACATTTTCTTTCCCTATGAGAAGAAAAATTAAAATTTCACTTTTCCAAAGGACAAATAGAAAATTACCCTTAATACTTAGATCTTGAAGAATAAAAAGAAATACTGCACATGACAAAGATCTGTTCCCGTATAGTAAAAATGTATTTTTAAGATTCTATAGGCAGTTCCAAATTTGAAATGATCAAGAACCTCTATAAATATCCTAAAAGAATTATCAAAACAAGCCATGTAGACAGTGGGGTCTAAAAGATTTTTTTACAATTTTAAATAGATACATCCCACTTGCTCTGCAACACTGATGAATGTATTCACAACCTCACTGACAGCTGTTTTTCCCCCACCCTTGCCTATACTGGCATTTTTCAGCTATTTTCATCTTTGCCAATCTGATAATCAAAATGGATCAACAGAATTAACTTTAGGATAGATCCTCTCCTGAATATATCTTGTAATGGTGCTTTAAAGTCTGTCACTTCACTTCTAGGCCTCCTGGATAGGTCTAAATTCTAACTCCATTAACTAAAGTAGAAATGATCATGGATGGGCCAGAGCTGAATTTGCCAGTTGGATATCATCAAAATCTCCCAATGCCTTGAAAATGCATGAAGACCTCTGCCCCTAATTAGCTGAAAGCCTTAAGCCCATCACTCAATGTCTCTAAGCTTCAATTTCCGTATTAAGACATTCAACTCAAATAAGAAATCACATGTCCTTACACTACAGTACTTGTTGCTGGGGTATAAGAGCCAAATTTGTTGAGGGTGGCCAAAATGAAGTAGAGGAACTCAGAATCTAATCACATACTGGAAAATATGTTTGAGATAACAATGAGCTATGGGACGTGATTATCATGCCCACTGCAGATGAATTCAGCCAGAAGGAAAACCAGGGACATCCTGGCAGGCATGTAACTCTTTAGCCAGGTGTTTAAGGACAAGGCAGAGCTGAACTGCTGGAAGGCACTCAGTCCGGATCAGTGGAACCATCTAACTGCTGAACTGCTGGAAGGCACTCAGTCCGGATCAGTGGAACCATCTAACTGCTGAACTGCTGGAAGGCACTCAGTCCGGATCAGTGGAACCATCTAACTGCTGAACTGCTGGAAGGCACTCAGTCCGGATCAGTGGAACCATCTAACTGCTGAACTGCTGGAAGGCACTCAGTCCGGATCAGTGGAACCATCTAACTGCTGAACTGCTGGAAGGCACTCAGTCCGGATCAGTGGAACCATCTAACTGCCATGGCTAAATCCAGGGACACCGGCTAAAAACCGGAAAGAGAAGCAGGGGACTTGGCATTGAGGTTGGGGTTCTCCTTGCTTCTCTGACTGCTTCCAGATCATTTCCCCCAATCCCAATCCCAGTTCTTTTGAAGCACATGACATCAGGTGTCTGCTACACCTCTGCTTGTTGCCATCATCCCCAGATCTCCTGGTCTATCCCCCTTGATGACGGAAGACTTTCACATCTGGCTCACTGTCATCCTCCCTACCATTAGTTCTTGTTACCTCTGTCATCATCTGATTGTTTTCTCCCCCTTTATCCCCATCCCAGCCACCCACTCCCAGTTCACTTAATGGCCATCATGCCATGAAGCACATGTCCTCCAAAGCCTCTGTCTCTAACCTCCTCCTATTTAGTCTTCCCAGCACGTTTTTACTGCTTTGACTCCAGAAATTCCTCAAATTACATCAGCTCTTCCAATCCAATGAACAACTGCCCTACTTTTTCATTCTCCAGTATTTACCACTTGTTCTCACTTCCCTTATCACCCAGCTTCAAGTCTATGATCCATCCTTCCTTGTATATAATTTTCTATTATATAGTTCCTCCTCTTTCATTACTTATGCCAATCCCTAGTACTCGAGTGAGTTATCTATGTCTACAGCCTCCACTTCCTCTCATCTCAGTCTCTCCCCAATGCTCTGCAATCAAGCTTTCTCACCCATGATTGCACTAAAATCACCTTTCACACTGCTCACCAGTGACTTCCAAGTTACCAAATGAATGGGCAATTTTCTGTTTTCGGCTTGTTTATCTCTGAGCAGCACTTGACACAATCGTGCTCTCCTTCTTGAGAAAATTCTTCACATGACTTTGGACTATTCCACTCTCCTGTTTTCCTCCTTCCTCACTGGCCACTACATCTAGTGTCCTTTGCTGGATCCTCATTTTCCTTTTTGAAAAGATAGCATGACTTGGAGTTCAACTACTTCATCTAATATTTGAATTTAAATAACTGTCTGGATTGAATACATTAACTACATGCTGACAACTCCTGATTTTCATCTCCAGCCTGGAACACTCCCCTGAGCATCAGATTCCTATAAACAGCTTCCTACTTGCCAACTTTATTTGGACATTTTATGGACATATCAATCTTAATCCAAAACAGAACTGATTCTCTCTTTCCAAAGCTACTCTTCTCCATATCTTCCAATCTCAGTGATTGGCACCTCCATCCACCAAAATCGAACTTAGGAATCATCAGTTATTTATGATTCTCCCTATCTCCGTCCCCACCACCTATATCCAATCCATCAGCAAGTCTTACTTGCTTTATCTTCCAAATATTTGCCAAATCCTCCAAACATATCTCACCATCTCTACCACTCCTATCTTAGCCAAGGCTCTGTCATCATTTGCCTAGACTGTTGAATGAATGAGTCTACTAAGTGATCTTCCTCTTCCCTTCTTGTCCTCTACCATGTATTCTTCATCTACATTCAGAAATCTGTGAAAGCATAAATCACATCATGTCACTCCAATGGTAAAACTTGCCAAGGGCTTTCCATCATCCTCAGAATGAAATTAAAGCTCCTTACTTGCCAAGGTATGCAAACCAGGCCCTTCCATGTTCTACCTATCTCTTGGGTCTCATCTCCTTTCATTCTCCCACTTGTTCTCTAGGCTCCAGACACGGTTTTTGTTTTGTTTGTTTCCTTTTCTATTTCTTTGACAAACAAGCACATTCCCACCTTTGAATTTCTACCACACGTGACACAGATCACTCATTCATTTCATTAGTCTCTACTCAAATGCCACCTCCTCAGAGAGTCTTTTTTGGTCTACAGAGCTCTATCTAAAATAGTGTCCTAGCCTGTTTCTCTATTCCCTTACACTGTTTTATTTCTACTATCATAATCACTCTTTTTTATCTTACCTGAAATTGAATTAATTAATGTGCTTGTTTATTGATTTATCTGTCTCTCCCTCTAGAATGTAACCCCTATTGGGGTTACAGAATAACAGGGGTCTTGTGGTGTTTTGTCTGTGTTGTTTTTACTGCTGTATCTTCAGCACTTAGGACAATGCTTGATACATGTAGGTACTCAAGAAATATTTGTAGGATGAAAAGAATTACTGACTAGATGGATGGCAACTCTGAATGCTATAAATTTAAATTTGGTTCATCGAGTGATCTTTAAGAACCATGAGTTCTTGAACAGGACACTGACATTATGAAGATGAAGTTAAAGAAATATGCTGGTGGCCAGGCGCAGTGGCTCAAGCTTATAATCCCAGCATTTTGAAAAGCTGAGGCAGGCGGATCACCTGAGGTCGGGAGTTCAAGACCAGCCTGACCAACATGGAGAAACCGCCTCTACTAAAAATACAAAATTAGCCTGGCATGGTGGCGCATGCCTGTAATCCCAGATACTCAGGAGGCTGAGGTAGGAGAATCACTTGAACCCAGGAGGCAGAGGTTGCGGTGAGCCGAGATTGCGCCACTGCACTCCATCCTGGGCAACAACAGTGACACTCTATCTTTAAAAAAGAAAGAAAGAAAGAAATATGCTGGCTAGTGGGAATGCCAAAGTGGAAGCACATGGAGGCCAGAATCAATTGTCTTGAGGCTGCAATGGACTGAATGTTTGTGTCCCCCCAAAATTCACATGCTGAACTCCTAAGCCCTCAATATGATATATTAGGAGGCAGGATCTTTGGGAGGTAATGTGGCAATGAGGGTGGAGCTCTTGTGTATGGGATTAGTGCCTTATAAAAGAAATCTCAGAGAGTTCTCTCACTCTGATTGTATCCACATGAGGATACAACAAGTGAGAAGTTGTCTGCAACTTGGAAGAGGGCCTTCACCAGAACCCAACTTGGCTGGACCCTGATCTTGGACTTCTCAGCCTCCAGAACTCTGAGAAATAAACTTCTTTTGTTTACAAGCTGCCCACTCTGTGGTACTTTGTATAGCAGCTCAAACTGACTTAGAGGCTGTCCCAAGAGTCATTTGAGAGTTGAAAATAACTTTTGCCAAATATTGGTGCAGGGTGGTATGTAATGTAAGAATAGGCCAAGGAGGTGAAGAGTTACAAAGCATTTCAAAATTGTAAACCTATACAATCAAGTGGTGCCCCTGCCCAAATGGGAAAGTTAGGAGAAACCGGCACAAATTCACTTGCATCAAGTTCTATCTACTTTTTACAGCAAAAGTTGAATTATGATTTTCAGAATATACCTCTCATTTTCTGTCTTACCTATACTTGTATAATTAAAAAGGAAAATGAATTATCTAAGGTTTAAGGCACATTTTCTGGGAGTAAGAGAGGTATAGGAATAAAAACTGAGTTTCATATAGAGCAAAGACTAAGTGATGATTACATCCAATATCATTTTAAAAGATGATTTATGGTTCTGTTAGGAATCCTCTGTCACTCCAAATGATTTAAAAATGGCTCTTTGACATGCTTTCCTTTGAAACAGTGAATTTAGCATTCTCTGCATAGACATATGTAAGGTTGATTTACTGAGAAGAAAAAAATCAATATTGTGCAGTAAACCAGTAGATTATCCTACAAATTCAGAAGGAAAAAAAATACCCCAACAAATATATTCCTATCTACTTATACTCCATTCAGTATGCATTCCAAACCAAAAATTATAGTGAAAAAGTAAGGACCACTGCCTCTTCTCAGGGTCCATAAAAGAAGGCTACAGATATGTGAATATATCTGGCAGGTGGATGAAGCAAAAGGCTTCTTTTCACATTTCTATATAAATACAACTTTAACACCAGTTCTTGAATATGCTTTTCTCTAAACCACTCATAAAAATTCTTGAGGTTCTTAACCTTACTGGAAAAGAAAACCTCAGATGACTATAAAGTAAATACACAGCATATTCTCAATATCATGGCCATCTTCAAGCAATTTCTCACACTTATAATGCATTTATTTTATATAAAGCAGATGCATGTCTTTGGGGCAAACCATGCCTTTTATTCTTATGTTGTGAAAGTCCCTTCTAATTAAAACAGGAAATACAAATTTCCTTGTCTAGTTCTAAGGATAAATCCTACGTAGTACAAGCAGCTGTCTGCAATTTCTGATGAACCCTTTCTGGCTATTCAAAATGTATAGTGCTGAAGTCATATTCCTTGAGCACTTGTGAATCCACATTCTGAAAACAAAAGCCACACCCATTGTCCCTGCATTCTCACCTGCCAGGGCCTTGTACAACTTGGGCACCTTCCCAAGCCAAATAACAAACACAAGCAGTGCTAGAGCTTCAAAACCTTATTCAGAACTGAGGAGGCTGAATATGTTCTGAAGGAAGGGTTAAGGAAAAAGTGGAAAATGAGAAGTCATTCAAAGAAAAGGTTAGGGGTTGAATGCAGGAGAGAATGTAAATGAATTTATTTTAAAAAGTCATTCTTTAAATGCTTTGTGTTATAGCTCAAACTGCAATTAAGAAAAATCTGGTCCCACCCTTCTAATTAAAAAGCACAAGTAGTTCCTTTACTGACCACAACAAAGGGCAAATAGACTCAAACCTACTTCCTTCGCAGGAGCTTCTCTTGCTGTTTCTGAGTCGGTTGTGTGTGGCTGATAAACAGGCTTTTGGGTCTGAAGGCATTAAAGTCCAAGCAAGTTGATACATACTGGAGCAGATCAGATATGCTGTCTGAAGAGTGGGGCAGTTTTTCCACCTTTATAAAGGCTAGATTAATATTCCTACTAATTACATTCTAGGAATGGCCAATTCATTCAATTCAAATCACTTGCAAAGGCGGTGAGGGATGAGAAGGCCAGAAACTGTCCTTATCCTCTTAGGGATCTGTGGGTGAGTGCAGACTCTCCGTGCTTCTCCCATTTCGCTGCTGAGGGCTCACTTGCAGGACAACAGAGTGGGAAGGCCAGTAGCCCAAGTCCTGCTGGGCTATACCACAAAGACTGGGTAAGGGAAGTTTGTGCTTACATTATGACAGAAAACTGCTTTGTAGCTTCATCTGTAAGGAATTATGAGATGGAAATTCTTAACCTGAAAGGATTTACTTTTAATTTTAAATATCTCAGTTCCTACCTTTATATCTGAAACAATGTGTTTTTCCTTGAGTTAAAAAAAATTGTTCTTAAGAATGAGCCTTTCTCCCAATCCCCTCCCACACACAGCTTTAATTTGATTTGGACTCTCAGTCAAAAGCATCTTGTTACTTAATTCATATTTGCAAGTTCAGTAAAGTGATGGTTGTGCCTTGAAGTAACAACAGGCACGTTTGCAAGCAAAGTGTCAATAGTGACTCTGAGCTCTAAAAATCTAGAGTCGGGGACCAGAGCTGTACCCATGACTCTCCAGAACCATGGCAAGAAAGTTAGTTAATAAACACCAACTAGCTTTTTTCAACGGCAGCAATAAAATGTTCAATTGGTGAAATGTCCACAAGTTCTGCTCAAAGCATCTTGTGAACTGTTTAATTAGCAAACTCTTGCAACACTCAACAAATAGATATTGGCAAGTTAGGGAGACACAAGGTCCCTTACGTATTAACTGTGCTGATAATCTAATCTGCAGGCTTTTCAAGGGGACACATACTCCATTCTTTTTTCCTCTAAGGATTCAGATACTCAAATGACAAGCATTTTCCATTTAAAGTGTTCTAACAAGTAAATAAACCATAAGAGATGTAAAGACAACTAGTTATAATAGTGAACCAGGCTACTAATCACATGCTAGGCCCTGATCCGATTAATAATATCTCTCATGTATATAATAATGCAAGACATGTATGTATCTTCCCAAAGTAATGATCAGATTTTGTTCACATAAATATAACTAAATCCAAGAAAAAAATTCCCGTAAAAGCCAACTCTACTTTTTGCTTCATCAAACTGCAAAGTATTATCAGATACACATTTAAGGACCCTGCCCAGTATCCTAACAGCCAAAATGCTAGGAAGGTTCAATTAGCAGTGATTTTTAACTAGTCATGCTTCGTGAGAATTATTTCCTTCCTTGGCTCAGATAATCCAGGACAGGCCACACTGAGAAGTCCTAGTTAGCTGATGAAACCCAGATCACAGGTCCAATAGCAGTATGGGTCATTTCAATATATTTTGTTCCAAATTATAAACAAATTGCCAGTATTCATGCTAGAGATGTCTTCAGTAAAATGATGTGTATGAAATGTCAAAATCCTATTCTCGCTATGAATTCAGAATATGTATCCACTCTGTCAAAGGATCAGTAGTATGTTTTTGCTTATGAAAGAACACATATACACTATTCTCATAAAGATCAAAGAAATATATACCTTTTATGGCATAGAAAAATTTGAAAAGCATTACATTAAGCATCTTCTTTCTCCTTAAAAAGTATAGCTATTGTTCATTCCAATCACCATTAAATAATTGATTAAACTGCCTGTAGCTATTCTTAGTTCTACCTGAAGAAGTAAAATGCACATGGTCCTTATCTTCTTAAAGCTTATACATTAATCTGACACTGATCTTCTTAGGCTGAAATATCCAAGTCTTTCATAAATTCATTTGTAAAGCACAAAAGAAAACACATGGAAGTTATTGTTTTAGCAGAAGAGCCATGCTTTTTAATTCATCTAATGGTCTTTAGAATACTTGACATATTCTTAAAAGAAAATCTTGAAAAAAAGCCAAATACTGAAGACACCATCTGCCCCTGCCCAATTCAGAATTAGTTTTAAGTGAGAGAGAGATAGACAGAAAGGAACAAGTAGCAATCTGATTTTCA
This sequence comes from Homo sapiens, assembly GCF_000001405.40. Lineage (NCBI taxonomy): Eukaryota > Metazoa > Chordata > Mammalia > Primates > Hominidae > Homo > Homo sapiens. The sequence goes on along the minus strand of NC_000006.12, from coordinate 106,054,365 downwards.
GTTTTATACAAATACACCAGGTATACACACAAAAGATTTTTAAATGCTTTAAAGAAGGATTAAGAGGCAAATCATTTACTTCAGAGTCAAAAAGCATTTAAAATTCATTTTGTAAAATACCTGAGTTTGTATCTTCCTTCAGTTTTCTTTATACATACGTGTTTCTGTAAAAATGTTGAGATGATCTTGTTTTCTATTTCCCTGCTGCAATGAAATAATGACAGCTACCTCATGACACCATCAGTCTTTGGTCAACCCCTTAACCAAGCAATAGGCAGACTGATCCTTTACACAGATGACCTATGATCTACGAATCTAGTCTCCATGAAAAAAAAAAGAGACCAACACAATGATCCTGCTCTGCAAGGAAACCCCAGAGGGGCTTTTATTCTGTGACTTTTTACAAGTGGTTCATAACCTTTGTACTCTAGACACTCATTCAAAAGATCTCACCACTCTGTAAACTAGGGGATAAGGATGCTCTAAGGCATGAACTTTCTACCCAGAGTATTGTATACATTGTGGGGGGTGGAGGGCTGGGGGGTGGTGGGCACACTGTGCTACTGGTAAAATAAACCACGAAAAAGGACATTAGCCAAGACACTTGTATTCAGGGAGCCTCGCCAACCAGGGAACTCAGTTTTGGCTTCAACCCTGTTACTCAATAACTAGGTCCCAAGGAGAGCAAGTGAGCCTCCTTAGAGTGTTGGCATTTTAAAGTTTCCTAAGAGTCCTTGGGTGCCAATAAGTGTATTTCAAGAATTAAAACAAACAGGATACAATACAATACTTATGTATTCTATTAGAATACATAATGGATACAATAGAATACTTATGTATTCTATTAGAATACATAATAGATACAATAGAATACTTATGTATTTCTAAATTGGGGTCTCAACTGTGTTTTTTCTTTTTAAAACTATAAATACAACAGGAAAAAAACATATAAAGGGGAGAAGGCTACTTACAAAAGATTACTTATGACAACATTTCTGGTTGCTTTAATTTTAATTTCCAACTGGGTTACAATTTTCACTAAGAGGTCTTCTGTCTGATTCAAAAACGACTTGATTAGAAATTCAAATTAAATTATTTGCAACAAGGCTTTTTCTTCTTTGGGGACAGGGAGATAGTAGAGAAGAAGAGGGTCACCATAGGCAAAGCTCCTAAACCAGTGTAAATAAAAATTATCGGATGAAGGCAGAAATGAAATTGAGTCCAGTTTCCCTAAACTGAATAAAATCTAAAAATCAATTCATTCTAAAATAAAAATGCAATTAAAATAAAATTCTACTCCAAAAATTAGGAAGTAAATTTGTGAAAAATAATATTTAATATTTGAGGGTTTTTTTAGGTTTTAATTTCCTCTAAATAGTGACCATAACTTTTTTTTTTTGAGATAGAGTCTCACTCTGTTGTACAGGCTGGAGTGCAGTGGCGTGATCTCAGCTCACTGCAACCTCAGTCTTCCCAGTTCAATGATTCTCCTGCCTCAGCCTCCTGAGTAATTAGGACTACAGGTGTGCACCATGCCTGGCTAATTTTTGTATTTTTAGTAGAGATGGGGTTTTACCATGTTGGCCAGGATGGTCTCGATCTCCTGACTTCGTGATCCATCTACCTTGGCCTCCCAAAGTGCTGGGATTACAGGTGTGAGCCACCCCACGCCCGGCATGACCATGAATTTTTAAAGTGATGTATTTTTACTCATCTAGTTGAGACGTATTCGGGTGTAAATCTGCCATCCTACCCAATGCATCATCAAGGAGACAGTCTGTCTTCCAACAGAGGATCCAAAACAATTGTTAATTTAATACGCTAGATATTTTCCTATGCCACAATCGGATAAGGTAAGATATACATTATTAACAGCAAGTTGATAGTTATTTTTTACATTGTTAGTTAAATGTAAACATGAAGCGTAAAAAAACATTAAAGGCATCAATAACCAGAAATTCAAGACGACCATACCTTTAAAACAAAGAATGTGAAAATCTTCCATAGAGTAAAAAAAATCTTGCCAAAATATTCAGTCTACTTAAGAAAAAACAAACAAAAAATCTTGCTATGTCTTAATCATGTTAGCCTTCTAGGCCCTGGACCAAGTTGTTACAGGTTTCCTTTGGTATATCTTATGACAAATATGTCTTTGAATATTTCTTTATTGTGGTAAAATATACATGGCATAAAACTTACCATTTTAACCACTTTTAAGTGTACAGCTCAGTGGCATTAAGTAGATTCACACTGTGGGGCAACCATCATCAGTATCCATCTCCAGAACTTTCATCCTCCCCAAACCTATTAAACAATAACTCCCTATTCATTCCTCCCTACCCCTAGTCCCTGGTAACCTCTATTCTACTTTCTGTGTCTATGAACTTGACACAGATACCACAAATAAGTGGACTTATATAATATTTGTCTTTTTAAATGTGGTTTATTTCAATTAGCATAACATTAATTTTTTCGTGTAAATTCTGATTCTCCAATTTACACATGGAAAAATTAAGAAAACAAACTGGTTACCTGGAAAATATACAGGCAACACCATTCCCCAAATACTTCATAGGCCATCCACTCACCTTTTCAAAAATAATTTTGCCTTCTATAAAGAAAATTCAGACTTCGGCATCATTTCCCCCTTCAAGGGCTCAGACTCCAGAATCTTCCTAACCAAGCCTTGTTGTGGCCTACTCTTTGCCCCTCTTTTTTCCAGACGGAAAGGAAAGTTATGCCAGCTATCCTAAGCAATCCTTTGCGGCACCACACACCTGCTCAGACAACGGGTCAGTTAAACAAGCAAAATAACAGCTGAGAAAGTCAGGTCAGCTACCCTGTGATCTTAAAGACATTTACAGAACCAGTCCCCCTTCTCTGCCTTCTTTATGTGAAAATAGCAGTTTAAGTAACATGATTCCTTCCCTTCCTGTTTGAAGAGACAGTGAAAGCCCTCCTGCTGTGAGTCCACTCTCCTAGTTTGGGGAAGAGGCCTCCTTGGTCTACAAGCTTAGTCCCTAAGACTGGGTCTGCGGGGGCAGAAGACCTAGCCCACTGAGGTTATGTTTGCTTAAGGAGCCAGGTCCAACTCAAAGAGTTAACAATTAACAAGGAACCTTATTACATGTCAGATATTCTTGTTACCATGATTTTCATTCCTAGGTACAATTAAGGAAACTGGCTTTGTGATCCTTCTTAAGTTTCTCTTCAGTCGGGCTCAATGCTCTGAATGAAAAAAATACACAAACTGGATGGATAACATTGTGGATATATTATAACAGGTGAAACCTGACTTTTCTAGTAATTTTTTTTATTTTAATGGATACAACACTACAGGTATAGTGACAAAACCAACCCATCAGGCATAAAGATTTTCTGGATGTACCTTTTCCAAATATATTTTTATATATTTCTTTCTAAGCACAATTTATCACTAAATTTTAAATACAAAAAGTAAACACTTTTTTTCATTAAGGATATGCCTTTTTAAGAAGTTTTGCTTTACTTGTAACTTTTGAATAGTGTTTCTCTGAATTCCTTAGATGTGGGTATATTGGTTTGCTTTATTTTAACTCAGAGAAGAAAAGAGAAAGAATATGAATGGCCAAAATCCACCTAAGTACTGACTGTTACAAAATACGTGTTTGAAGGTGTAACTGTGTAAGACATCTAGCATACAAAACTACCCAGTCCCCAAACAGCCTTCTGTGGTGAGGGAAGTTTTCTCTTGGCAGGTAAGATGGATGAAGGGAGAGAACCTAGCACGCGCAGAAAGCTGACAGCTTAGGAATATACATTCTTCAGAAACGAGCTCATCTGTTTTTGTGAAAGAATAAAAAGTAAATGTTAAAAAAATCTCAATACTTTATATCCAAAAGTACCATAAGCAACTGCAAAACTAAACAAAAAAAACAATTCCTAAGTGTAATAATTCTTGTAGGTTTTCATTTTAATTTTAGTAAAGCTCTTCTCATGATGTCTTCAAATCACACTAGTTTAGAATTCCATGAAGAACCTTAGAGATAATATAGTAGAGTATAACTTATCCAAGATTTTATCTTAGTAATGGAACCACTACTGTTTATCTTTTTTACTTCTATTAAGCCTACTGAAATCTTAGAGTAACACTAACAAACAGAGTAGATAAAACCAGAAATCTGGTTGTGGAAGCAGCCTATGGATCCAAGGCACATATCTGAGAAGGACTGTCAGTCCAACCCTCTCATTTTATGGAAATAGAAGCAGAGGCCCAGTAAGATGAGGTGACTTTTCCAAGTTCACATCACACCAGCATTGGAGTTCAGACTAGCATTCAAGCTCCTTACTCAGTGTCATCTCCTATGCTACTCTGCACCAAATATGAATATTTTGCATTTGTAGGAGAACTAAAAAAGTGGTCAGCAGGTTAGAATGAGGGTGAAAGTGTGGGTATGAAATTCTCAATGGCCTAAATTCAGGTTCTCAAGGCCAAAAAGACAAGAAATAAAGAGAAACGGACAATCGAGAGAACAAGGAACCAATCTAATTTAAAGGTAAAGGCAGCCATTTATCATTCTTTCCTATATTCATTTGCTCAGTGGGTAGTTAATTACAGACATGGTGCCAGGCACGGAGAAGGCACAAGTTTCCAGTCTGGCATAGTACAATGCACCTGTGTGTTTGTGTGTGTGTGTGTGTGGCCATGTGCATGTGCACGCAATTCAGGGAAGGAAATGATAGATGCCACAGAAGCAGCCCAGGAGAGGAAGACAGGGAGGGAGGACAGGGGAACCAGGGCAGGTGGTGGAGAAGGTGTCATCGGAGCTGAGCCTTGGATGGCATCCCAGCAGCCACAGCTGGACAAGCAAAGCTGTGAGGGGAGGCAAGAGCTCAGGCCATCCTCCCATCCACACTGGCCAAAATGAAGGACTCACAGAACTGTGGGAAGTATGGCTGGAGAAGTGACTTTGGAAGTGTCTGTTTACTAAAGGGATGCATGGAAAGCACATTCATATAGACATAAAATGTACACGACTTGGTCAGTCACCTGAGGCTTGTTGGTGAAAGGAAGTTACAGATTTCAACATTTGCTGTCAAGCTCCTCTATTATAGAAATAGGAGAGGTAACATAATTGGCTTTGGGAGCTGCAAGTAGTTTGCTTTCCAGTAACAGCATCTGTTCTCTCTGTTCTCTCTCTCATACTCACCATACTATCGTGCCCACATTCTCTGCTGCCTCCAAAAGTGCTAATATAAAATTGGAAATGGGGCCAGGCGCAGTGGTCCATGCCTGTAATCCCAGCACTTGGGGAGGCCGAGGTGGATGGATCACTTGAGGCCAGGAGTTCGAGACCAGCCTGAACAACATGACAAAACCCCATCTCTACTAAAGATACAAAAATTAGCTGAGTGTGGTGGCACATGCCTGTAATCCCAGCTACTCAGGAGAATTGCTGGAACCCAGGAGGCAGAGATTGCAGTGAGCCGAGATCACGCCACTGTACGCCAGCCTGGGGGACAGAGCAAGACTCTGTCTCAGAAAGAAAAAAAAAAATGGAAGGCATTTACTTCACATTTAGAGAAAAGAGCTCTAAAATACTAAGAAGTGGAAAAGGTTAAATCTGAAGCAGGACAAAATAACAAGGAAAAAGAGAAAAGCCTTCCCCTACCTTTCTGGCCTTCAGTATTCCATAAAACACATTTCTCTCCTGATAAGACCCTGTGCTGACCAGGCAACCCCACTTTACTGCAGGTTCACTAACTGAACTCAGCTGTCTTTTTCAAGGATATCAGTGCAACCAGGAGAGTCATAAAATTGTGAAATTGTAGGAAAGGGGGGCTAAGTCAAACATAGGCTCAGCGGTCTGATCAGAACAGGTATGGACAGAACTAAGCTGTTGACATCACAATAATGCAGCGTGGTCAGTTCTGAGTGCCTGAGTCCTGCCCATAACTACACACTCATATTGCTTTTTCTAGAGATGTTTCCTATTTTTTTTTTGAGACACTGTCTCTGTTGCCCAGGCTGGAGTGCAGTAGCATGATCACAGCTTACTGCAGCCTCAGACTCCTGGGCTCCAGCAATCCTCTCACCTCAGCCACCTGAGTAGCTAGGACTATGAGTATGCACCACCATGTCTGGCTAATTTTTTTTTTTTTTTTTTTTTGGTAGAGATGGGGTCTCCCTACGTTGTCCGGGCTAGTCTTGAGCTCCTAGCTTCAAGCAATCCTCCTGCCTTGGCCTCCCAAAGTGCAAGATATTGTTTTTGACAGACACAGGGCCCATGCTATTAGAGGTCTAGAAAAGGAAAAGGAACTTTTCCCATTTCTAGTCATTCATACCAAATAAAGCAGAAACAAAGGCATACACTCATTTACTTATTACCACTACATTTTAGAATCTGGCACAAGCCGTTTAAGAACTGCCAAATATGCAGTTTCACAGCTAGAAAATGGAGTATGCTTCTACTTTGAATTTATTCATTTAAATGTCCCAGGTGTTTAGATCTGTGCACTTTTCCAGCCCAGCCCCTGCATTAGCTTTGAAGAGACTGAGGGTAGGAGTATAGGATTTGCTCTCACTTGGCTAACCATAGTAAAAACTGACAACTATCAAAGGTTCTCAACTCCTAGTTCCTACTCTCTTTGTCACCAGAAATGGTTTTCTTACTTTCTTACTAAAGTTTTAGTGAAAGCCCTTGTAATTCTTATTCCTTTGGTGCAACCACTATAAGAAATGGTAGCAAAATGTGATAAGGAAGATAAGGATGACAGAAGAGGGCATTGCAGTGGTGATCCTAATACACATTTTCCCCTGGTTAGGTCCTACTAACTTCCTACAACAAAGATTTAGCTTTTTACATCCTATTCTTGTGTTATTAGCTAAACCATACACAATGAAAAGAAGCTATGCAATTCTCAACTTACAGTTTGGCCCACAATTCATGTGTCTGTCCATCTTTCTACAGGCATTTCCATCAAAGACCTACCCCACTGTTAAAGACAATTTTTAAGGTGTACTATGCTAGCAAAACCCAAATTAATTACTTCTCTGACTGTTTTCAAAAACTCAAGAAATTGTATAAACTTAATTGCTAGGCTGTGACTAAAAATGCTGTGTACAACTACATGTAGCACTTACAACTGAGGAAAAAAGCTGAAACTCCAAATTCTTTCAATATCTCCATTCTTCCTTTTTCTTTCCTAGTTATTTCTGATATTGGTGTTAGCAGAAAAATCAAAATGGGTACAATATGACTACAGTATCATGAAGACCCAGGATACTTAGTCCTGTTTGTTAAGAAGCAAGGAAAGATCATATAAAATCACTTCAGGTGGTTAGCACCAATCTCTTAAGTGAGTCTTGCTTTTTAAACTTCTATATCAGTAAAGAAGTGATAAAGACCTGCAATGACCTTCTCTGAACTTCAGAATAACTGTTATTAAGAGAAATGTCATTTTACCCCTCCAGGAAAGAATATATCTCAGGACATGATTAGAAGCTCAGAGAATTTCTTAACCCCGAATTTACTTGTCCTTTCTTCTTCCATTTGGCTAGACTAAGACTCTCGCACTGGTGATGAAATACTCACTTTTCCACTCAAGCCGCCTGGAAACTTCCTCGGGACCTCTGAAAGGGCTGCCCCTGAGCAGAACTCTCCCTCTCCCCAGCGCAGAGCCCTGCCGGGCAGAGGCCACTGGCTGCTCTCCCACCCCAGAATGTGGATCTTCACAAGAGGCCTGTGTCAACAGCCCTATCAGGAAGATCACATGACACAGCCTTTGTCTCCTTCCTGCCGGTGTGTCGGTGGTCATGACCAATGACTGCAACAGGGGACTGCCAGGGGAGGAAAAATGCTTCATCTATATTCTAGCTGTCAAAGAGGAAGACAAGACACCTCCCCAGCTGCCTTCCACCACAGCCCAGAAAGGCCCTGCTTCTCCTACCTGAATGGTTCGGTGCGGGAGAACAACTAGAGACACAGGAAACTAGGTCTCCAGCCAGGAGCCCACTGTCCTCCCTCCATGGAAATGAAAGACAAGTTGCTTTGATCACCTTGGAGACCAACCACCTCCTTCTTCTGAAAGCTAACCCCACCTTAGCAGCAGCTGCCTCCCCTCCCCCCAGGAGCCCCACTCCCTCCACTCGGCTTGAGTATCAGGCTAATCAGTTTGATCTGACAGATTTTAATTACATTAATTAGGGCTTTTCTGAATAGGCCTGATTAGCATCCTACCAAGGGTTCTTTGGTGGTGGTTTTTTTTGTTTGTTTTGGTTTTGTTTTTTTTTCCCTTCTTCTCTAAAGCAGCTCTGCTAGCATCAGGACTAATACTTTCATTTCTTCAAACAATGGTGACATTTTTGTCTTGCTCAAGGTAAATAATCAGATATTTGGAGGCGCCAAGTGTGACAGTGTATTTTATAATAATATCACCCATGAGGATACGGAGTAGGCTCTGCATCTATCTCATGAACCTTGGTGGGGAAGAAGAGATTGTTTAGGACATTTCTCTAGAACATAGGCATTGGTTTTGTTTAGCTTTTGCCTAAGGAAAACTCTACATTGAGTTTTAAAGATCCAACCTCTTCCAGATCTTCCCCCGCACCCCCAATCAGACTGAAGCACAAAGATATTCTTACCTCTCTGTATCATTTTGTTGACCCCGTTTTAGAGAGAATCAGTGATAGTCACAGAAAAGCAAACAGAGATTTAGCCTTTGTCTCTCCATTGTTTCTTAAAATAAAAATACCTTGAGTGTCAACAAGGTTTTTACTGAAAATATTTAACTACTTTCAGCCACTAATAAAAGAGAACAACGTTGATTTCTCAAAATACTGTACAAAGATTAGCATGGCACATATATTTGCCTTTGTTGATCATCTGTGCTATAATTACTGCTTTAAAATATGCTGTTTTGAATAAGCCACAATAAATGAGGGCGTAGTTCCAGACACCAGGAAGAAAATCTACCAAACTAAATAAAGTCTGTTTGCTTTTTTAAACAGTCTAATATGAAACTATTTTTTTTTTTTACCACATATCTCAAGGAAAGCAGTAAAAGTGTGGACTTGCAACCCTTAATTCAAGTTTTGCATTCTACAGACACCCAATCTGCCCTCTGCGACTTGTGCAATAGCCACTTCTCTGGGGATTAACACTGTTATTCCCACTCACCTGAACAATGTCATAACAATGATGGTGTTTTATTGGGATAGTTCCTGAATTAGCTAGAACCTTGGAAAGATGGATGAGAAATTGCATTTTCTAGCCACAGTAGCTTACCAGAAAGATAAAAGTTGAAAAAATCACTTAAACATGTATTCTAATACCATATGCATCTCCCTTTTTCTTAAGAGACTGGGTCTCGTTCTGTCACCCAGGCTGCCTTGAACTCCTGGGCTCAAGTGGCAGTCATCTTATCTTTAAGGGTTATCTTACATTTAATATTTCTAGCCCTTTGTTTTCTCTAGTCACTTTAAAGGGAAAGTGAACTTTCCAAAAGTGTCTACGTATTAACTCAATGAAAATGACGTTCACTGCCTTTTTCTTATCACCTAAGTCTCACTGGAAATCAGAGTGAAACTTTCTTGCTTTCCCTTGTCTTATCTAGGTGGATAGGATGTCTTTAGAAGGAACCTGACTTAATTCTGTCTTTGATAACTACCATGCTTACATCTGAGCTTAACAATCACAAGGATAGTGATGATCCATTCACCTGCATGGGAAGTAATGAAAGCCTAAACTTGTAGTGCTAGGTCTTTGATCCACTTTGGATCAGAAAATAAAGAATTTCCAGGAAGCACTGGTAAAAGACTGGAGAAACTGAAGGGCGGAAAGAGGTGATACGATTTGAGGCCAGATACTGAACAGTACTGCTGCTCCTCTCATACCCAAATGTTTGCCCTGGGTTCAATACTATCTATTTTACACTCTGCAATGATGATTTACTTCTGGCTTCCCTTGGCAAAAAGTACTAAGTGATTTATTAACAACAAAATAAACCAACTGACTCACAATACCTAGTGCCAAAATTTACCTAGTATTCCATTTAGTTACTTAATTATAACTTTAAATTCTTCTAAACAGTTCAAGAAAGAGAAATGGAATTAAGAGTCTTGTCAGCCAGACTCATAGAATGTTAGCAACAGAATTTAGTCATGAGCAGGAACAGAAAAAAAAAAAAAAAAGAAAGAAAAAAAGGAAAGAACAAAAAGTGATTAGTGGCAGAAAAAAAGAGTGTAAAGCTTTTGCTTTCCAAAGAAATTGAGAATTGTAAAGCCAGTAGTAACTTTAACAATATAGATTGAGATATACAAGTACATATTCACACATATAGTGGGGTTAAGGAGGTAGGGCATAAAACTAAAACAGAAAAAAAATTAAAGTAAGAAAAAACTAAATGGAAAAAGATTCCCTAGCTTTTAAAATATTCACTCCTGTGTAGAATAAGAGGATCACAACCCATTTCATAAGATTAAGATACAATGATGGTCACTGAGCAATCTTGATACCACTGACAGTTAATTCGATTAAAAATATTAAAATCTGGGCCAGATGTGGTGGCTCATGCCTGTAATCCCAGTACTTTGGGAGTCTGAGGCGGGCGGATCACTGGAGGTCAGGAGTTCGAGACCAGCTTGACCAACAGGGAGAAACGCCGTCTCTACTAAAAATACAAAATTAGCTGGGTGTGGTGGTGCATGCTGTAATCCCAGCTACTCGGGAGGCTGAGGCAGGAGAATCGCTTGAACCCGGGAGAGGCGGAGGTTGCGGGGAGCCAAGATCGTGCCATTGCACTCCAGCCTGGGCAACAAGAGTGAAACTCCATCTCAAAAAAATAATAATAATAAATAAAATAAAATATGAATATAAGCTCTCCAAACATATTTTTGTAATAATTAGATCTATGTCTTATGAGAACATGATAGCTCTTATTCATTCATTCATTCAGTTAGCCAACGATTATTTACTGAGCTCCCTCTACATGCCAGGCACTGTGCTAAGCAGTGGGTATATGATATTCAGCAAAACTGACATAGTCTTTGCCCTCCATGGAGCTTATAATTAAGCGAGAGAAAACAACAATAAACAAGTTAATGTAAAAATAAATACCAATTATGGCAATTGTTTGTGTTGTGTGAGAGAAAATAACAGTGAAGGGAAACTGGGTGTTCAGAGAAGACCACTCTGTGAGGTGACTTTTAAGCTAAGGCTTAAAAGTGTCAGCCTTGGGCCAGTTGTGGTGGCTCATGCCTGTAATCCCAGCACTTTGGGAGGCCAAGGTGAGCAGATCAGCTAAGGTCAGGAGTTCAAGACCAGCCTGGCCAACATGGTGAAACCCTGTCTCTACTAAAAATACAAAAATTAGCCGGGCGTGGTGGCACATGCCTATAATCCCAGCTACTCGGGAGGCTGAGGCAGGAGAATCTCTTGAATACGGGAGGTGGAGATTGCGGTGAGCCGAGAATGCGCCATTGCATTCCAGCCTAGGTGACAAGAGTGAAACTCCATCCTCCCCCCAAAATGTGTTAGCCTTGTAGAATGGGGAGAGAGGGGCAGTATGATAGTGAAGTAACGTTGGATGAAGAGAAGCTTTCTAGCACTCCAAAATCGGGAAGAACTCCGTGAGTTCTAGGATCTACAGGGACATAGCTGCAGCAGGGTGAGTGCATAAGTTGAGGTACAAAACTTCATAGCCCATGATAAGAGAAGAATTTGTCTCCAGAAGACCAGGTTTTATTCTGAGGACAACTCTAGAAAAACCAGAAGTTAAACGTTCATTCTTACATTAACAATTTTTGTTCACACTTGGTTTTGTTTTGTTGTTGTTGTTGTTTGTTTGTTTTTTTTTTTTGAGACAGAGTTTCACTCCTGTTGCCCAGGCTGGAGTGCAATGGCATGATCTCAGCTCACTGCAACCTCCACCTCCCAGGTTCAAGCGATTCTCCTGCCTCAGCCTCCCGAGTAGCTGGGATTACAGGCATGCACCACCACGCCCGGCTAATTTTTTCTTTTGTATTTTTGGTAGAGACGGGGTTTCTCCATGTTGGTCAGGCTGGTCTCAAACTCCCGATCTCAGGTGATCTGCCCGCCTCGACCTCCCAAAGTGCTGGGATTACAGGCATGAGCCACCATGCCCGGCCCCACACTTAGTTTTTAAGGTAACACTGAAGAAAGGTACTCTAATAAGAGAACAGTTATGTGAATTAGAAATATCTGGTGATTAAATATTATCAAAACATTTAAAAATGTTTTACAAAATATATAATGAAGGGGCTGGGCATGGTGGCTCATGCCTGTAATCCCAGCACTTTGGGCAGCTGAGGTGGGCAGATCACTTGAGTTCTGGAGTTTGTGATCAGCCTGGGAAATATAGTGAAACCCCATCTCTACAAAAATATCAAAAATTAGCCACACACGGTGGCATGCACCTGTGGTCTGAGCTACCTGGGAGGCTGAGGTGGGAGGATTGCTTGAGCCCAGGAGGTGGAGGATGCAGTCAGCCAATATAGTGCCATTATACTCCAGCCTGAGTGACAGTGAGACTCGGTCTCAAAAAAAAAAAAAAAAAAGAAAGAAATACTAGGAAGAACGATGCCACCATGTTACCAGGTTGATAATGATTGATGCTAAGTGGAGGAATTATGGATGGTTCTATTTTTTACGTAACTTTTAAAAAATTATTATACGGTCAAACTTTTCTGGGGGGATGTTCAGTTCTCTGAATTTTAACACATGTAGATTCATATAACCACCACCACTATCAGGATACACAATGGTTCCATCATGCCAAGAAACTATCTCATGCTATTTCTTCATAGTCATGCCTGATGGTTTTATTTAATTTTTAGCCTTTTCTGTAGCTTCCAAACTCTCTATAATTAGTAGGTATTACTTGAATTTTCAGGAAAAACAAAAAACGTATTTTAAGGTAATGAAAGTAAAAGAACATAACAGCAATAACCTAAAGCAATGGCTTTTTTCTTAATCATTATTTGAGACAGATGTCCCAGATATTTTTCAATTTAGAATCTTCCTTAAGTGACTCATTCTGCTCCTGAACAAAAATACTAACCTTTGAACAATGTGAAAAATACAATGTTTGCAGGTAGGGCCTGGGAGATATTTTATGTTATCAAGAAGATTCTCTCAAAGAACAATGACAATGAAAAGTAACAGAGAGACATACAGTAATATTAATAGTAATGCCAGCTCAAAAGACCTAGGAGAGAGAACAAACAGAATTGAACACAAGAAACATTCCTGCTGGAGCTCCAAGCATTGCTATGTGGTGCCATAGGATTCCAATCCAAGCGGTCCACCTTCAGAAACTGTGTTACTATTACCTCTCCTAGAATGTCATGTTGTTTATAGTGGGGAAAAAATAGGAAAGTAAACTAAGGCCCATTAGCAGGAATGGTTGAATATACTATAGTCAAACATAGCATTGAATGCCAGGCCAAATTAAGACCTGTAACAGTGACTGTAGAAGGATTTTCATCATCCTTTTATTGACAAATGCAAGATAGTAATATGATCTGTTTTTCCAAAACAATGACAGAAAACACTATATATTTCTATCTTAATTGTTCCTCTATAATTATATGCACATTTAGGAAGGTAATAAAGGATACACATCATGTTGTTAACATTGAAAAGGGAGCTTTTACTCTTAATTCATAACTGCAAATTAATAATAATTCTTGTAATTTTAACAAACAAGAAATAGACAACCTTCTGATCAATTTAGTCAAGTAGGTATGTATCTGGACAACACCTGAGCCCACAGGATACAGGTTTGAACTGTGAAGTCTGCTTTACAGAGAAAAGCTGCAGACGGCTGCTGCTGCCAGGATTCTTAATCACTGAGAAAGTAGAACAGAAACTAGGAGGACAGTATATCTCTTAAGCAGACTATCTGAGAGCCTCTTCAATCCTTTTACTAGAAGGTAAATACACCCTGGCCTGCAGATAGACGGAGGTGGTGTGCTCGTATTCATGTGTGCTAATATGTGCACATGTGTTTATTCCAGCAACCCCACACCCTCCATTGCTCTAGTCTAGCTAGAATGGTCCTGGAGAGAAGAGGACAAATCAATCAATTCAGCATGTCACTCTCAGCCATCTTAGGAAATCAGCTGCATGCTCTGATTTCTTCATTAATGTCAAGAGAAGAACAATGGGTCCCAGCCATTAAGCTCCTCGCAGTTCAAGATAAGAAAGAGTTAAGCAGATAATAACCAGTGCATGTAGCTGGGTTTCAAACATTTGGCTGCTTAATCATTTCTTCCTCGCTGGGCAGTGCCCAAACACACAGGAAATATTTTGAATGCCTTGGTCTTAGTGATCAGGGAAAGTAAGAGGGTTTCAAGAGAGGTGTGGGTATTGTAAAGGGAGGGATGGAGACGGAGAATTTATAGAGGTGGACAGGCCAGAAAAATATCACTGGCAAACCTTTACTAGGAAATAAAACCATTTCTTAATTGCCATTCGGGAAATAGGCTAAACACAATCTCGCTAAGCCGCTATGGACTAGCTAACTGATTAAGGCAGGGATGTCAGCAAGAAATACTTATTTCTAATATTATATGACAATAGATTTGTGACTAACCCATTTAGTACTACTGTTTCACAAACTAGCTTATTTTAACTTTTAAAGTAACATTTTGATCATGCTTCACTGAACACATCAGGGGTAAAATTATACACTTGAATTTAATAATAAGGGAGACAGAAGGAAGCTAATTCCAGGTGGCCTATATTTCAATCAGTACAAAATAAAAACAATAAAAAAATAGCTGTGGTTGTTTCCTGAAATGAGTGGGTTTAGGAATATAGACTTTTTTGATAAATTGGCACAATGTTTCAAAAACATTTATGAGTAACCAAAATAGTAGCTATAGAGGATAATCCATCTTTCTATCATCAATGTGTTGAATTATACAGAAACTTAGACAAACATAACAGGGATTGAGTCACTTTTCTCTTAGATGAAAATAAACTTAAGGCAGCCTTTTATGAATACAGGGACCAAATATAGTTTTATACTCTTGGATTTAATAAAATCCATATACACAAAAAGGCTCTCTGTCTATTTTTAAAGGCATGTCCTTATCCTTTGAGGAAAGCTCTGAGCCTCTCCCCACTCCTCCAATGCAGCCTGAGATAGTGAAGATGACCATAAGCAATCAAAGGGACTTCTTATAACATAGCTGTTTCTGAACTTTCTAAGTTTATGGTCTAATTATAAAGAGTGTGAACAAGAAAGAAGATTACTTACTTATTTAAAAAATGTTTTAAAAATACATACTCATATATTGTCTCATTTGATATTCTCTAGCAATGGGACATTTGAATTTACAAGTTCTATTCAAATCAAAATAAGATTCCTAAAAATATACCTAGAAGAATAAAAATGTGTGTGAAATGGCAGTTGGGAGAGAGGATTCTGGAAAGAAGGAGTAGGGACCTGTCTTCTCAGCTAGACAACAAACACACTGGCAAAATTTGTCTCATGTAACTATTTTGGAACTCATGCAACCTCTAGGGGAAGGCTTGGATGTCAAATTATGGTTAATTTTGGTCAATTTCAGCTCTTAACTCAGCAGCAGCTACCCATTCCCCACCTCTCAGCCCCATGGCAGGCAGCTGTGTATGTACTCCTGGAGCAGCTTGCCAGGGTGTGCAAAAGGGACTCTATCCTCCAACGATTAGGATCTATGTCTTGATCACTGATTGCTGCTTTGGATCATGGAGTGTAGACATAGAGGCAGGCTGTCTTTGTTGCACATACCATCCCTTTATTACAAGGTCCTCCTCCTCCAGCTAAAGCAATTGCCAGAGGTTTTAAAGGACCAGCATCCCTTTTCTTCTTCATTTTTCTCCTTTTCCCCTTTTGGGAGCCAGACATTAAAAAATAGAATATGCAAAAGCAATGCATAGAAGGAGTAAATTTACAAGTCACCACACATGCCCAGTGAAATGTACAGGCTCAGAAAAGACCTGAGAACACCTTAAGTTTATACCTCAGGCTGATCCTTGGCACAGAGACAGCCTACAAGAATAAAAAACAAAATAGGATGAAGACAAAAATAGCAGGCTGGGTATGGTGGCTCACGCCTATAATCCCAGCACTTTGGGAGGCCCAGGCAGGCAGATCACCTGAGGTCAGTAGTTCGAAACCAGCCTGGCCAACATTGTGAAATCCTGTGTCTACTAAAAATAGAAAAATTACCTGGGCATGGTGGTGCATGCCTGTAATCCCAGCTACCCGGGAGGCAGAGGTTGTAGTGAGCCAAGATCATGTCACTGCACTCTAGCCTGGGTGACAGAGTGAGACTCTGTCTCAAAAAAAAAAAAAAAAAAAAGACAAAAATAGCAAACCATAGGAAAGGGAGAGAGTCTGATTTCCAGTTATCACATTATTTGTTTCGAATGTCCAACTTCCAGCAACAATCACAAGACACATAAAGAAACAGGAAACTGTGGCCTATTCAAAAGAAAGAAATAAACCAACAAAAATTGTCCTTAAGAAAGATGAGATAGCAGACCTACTAGACAAAGACTATAAAAAACAGTCTTAAATATGCTCAAAGAGCTAAAGGAAGATGTGGGGAAAGTCAAGAAAACAATGTATGAACAGAATGGAAACAGCAATAAAAAGATAGAAAACCTAAAAAGAAACCAAGAAACTCTACAGCTGAAAAGTACAAGGACAAAAATGAAAAATTCACTAGAGGTATTTGGCCAGATTTGTGCAGGCAGAAGAAAAAAATCAGCAAACTTGAAAATAGGACAAAGACAATGATTGAGTCTGAGAAACAGAAAGAAAAAAGATGGAAGGAAAGTGAGAAGAGCCTAAGGGACCTGTGGGATGCCATCGGTAAACCAACATACTCATCATCATGGGAATCTTATAAGGAGAAGAGGGAAAAGGGGTAGAAAGATTATCTGAGGAAACAGTGGCTGAAAACTGACCAAATTTGATGAGAGATATGAATATAAACATCTAAGAAATTCAGTGAACTTCAAGTATAATGAATTCAGAAATCCACACCAAGACAAATGATCAAGAAAAGTGAATCATCATTTACAAGAAATCCTCAATGAGATCATCAACTGATTTCTCATCAGGAATTTTAGGGGCAAGAAGGCAGTGAGCTAGTATATTCAATGTACTAGGAGCAAAGAAAGCAAACAAACAAAAACCCTCAGCCAAGAATCCTATATCCAAGCAAAACTATCCTTCAAAAGTGAGGGGAAATTAAGACATTCCCAGATGAACAAAAGTTGAGGAAATTGGTTACTACTAGAACTGTCCTGCAAGAAATGCCAAAAGAGGTCTTGCAGGTTGAAATAAAAGAACACTAGACAGTAACCTGAAGCCATGTGAAGAAATAAAGAGCCAGGAATGGTGGTACATACCTATAGTCCCAGCTACTTGGGAGTGCTGAGGCAGGAAAATCACTTGAGTCCAGGAGTTTGAGGCTGCAGTGAGCTATGATTGTGCTACTGCATTCCAGCCTTGGCAACTGGGCAAGACCCCATCTCTAAATTTTTGTATTTGGCTAATTTTTGTATTTTTAGTAGAGAAGGGGTTTCACCAGGTTGGCCAGGCTGGTCTCAAACTCCTGACCTCAAGTGATCTGCCCGCCTCAGCCTCCCAAAGTGCTGGGATTACAGACATGAGCCACCACGCCCGGCTGTAAAGTTGTTTTTAACTCTACTTTTTTGTTTTCTACATGATTTAAGAGACTGTTACACTAAGAAACACAATTATTAGTGTGTTTCTGAGCATACAATGTACAAAGATGTAGTTTTGTGGCATCAATAACACAGAGGTGAGGATGGAGCTATAAATGAACAGAAGTTAGCATGTTATTGAACTAATTTAGTGTAAATTCAAAATAGAGTGTTGTAATGTGATCTCATGGCAAATACAAAGAAATTAAATAGTTACGGAATATACAAATAAATGCAAATTAAAATGTTTCACTACAAAAAATCAACTAATCTAGCCTGGGCAACATGATGAAACCCTGTCTCTACTTAAGTTAGAGTGCATGGTTAGCCGTGCATGGTGGTGCACATCTGTAATCCCAGCTACTTGGGAGGCTGAGGCATGAGAATCACTTGAACTTAGGACGGAGAGGTTCCAGTAAGCTGAGATTGCACCACTGCACCCCAGCCTGGGTAACAGACTTAGGCTCTGTCTCACAAAAAACAAAAAACAACTAAATTCTAAAGAGACAGTAATGCAGGAAATGAGGGTCAAAAAATTGCTTCTCCATAAGGAATATAGAAAACAAATAGCTGGCCAGGCACAGTGACTCACGCCTGTAATCACAGCACTTTGGGAGGCCGAGGCAGGTGGGTCACTTGAACTCAGGAGTTCAAGACCAGCCTGAGAAACATGGTGAAACCCTGTCTCTATTTAAAAAAATTTTATTTAAAAAACATAAAAAAGAAAACAAAAAGCAAAATGACAGAAGTCTCACTTCATCAGTAATTACTTTAAATGTAAATGGATTAAACTCTCCAATCAAAAGACAAAGATTGGCAGACTGAATTAGAAAACATGACCCATGACCCAATTTTATGTTATCTATAAGAGATTCACTTTAGATCCAAAGACAAATAAGTTGAAAGTGAAAGGATAGAAATATATATCCCATATAAATAGTAATTAAAAGAAAGCAGGGTAGGTATACTAATTTTAGACAAAATAGTCTTTTTTTTTAAATTTTTTTGAGACAGGGTCTCTCTCTCTCTGTCACCCAGGCTGGAGTAATGTGGCATTATCATAGCTCACTGCAGCCTCGACGTCCCAGGCTCAAGCTATCCTCCCACCTCAGCCTCTTGAGTAGCTGTGGCTACAGGCATGTGCCACCACACCCAGTTAATTTTTTAAGTTTCTATAGAGACGGGGAGGGGGGTCTCACTATGTTGTCCAGATTGGTCTTGAACTCCTGGCCTCAAGCGATTCTCCTGCCTCAGTCTTCCAAAGTGCTGAGATTACAGGCATGAGTCACCACACCTGGCCAAAATAGATTAAATCCCAAGAGTTTAGAAGAGACGAAGAAGGATGTATTTTATTAATAAAAGGCTCAATACAGCAATAAGATGTAACAATTACAAACATTTAAACACCTAGTAACAGACCATCATAATATTGAAAGCAAAAATTGATAGAACTTAGACTGAAGGGAGAAGTAGTCAGTTCTACAATAATAGTTGGAGATTGCAATACTTCACTCTCAATAAAGAATAGAACAAACAGAGAGAAATAAGGAAATAGAGCACCTGAACAACATAACGAACTAATTATATTTAACAGATATATACAGGACATTCTATGCAATAACAATAGAATATATTCTTCTCAAGTGTGCACAGCACATTCTCCAGAATAGACCTATGAAACAGACTTAAAAAGACTTTAGTGTCATGCCCAGTGTGGTGGCTCACACCTGTAATCCTCCCAGCACTTTGGGAGGCTAAGGCAGGTAGATCACCTGAGGTCAGGAGTTCAAGACCAGCCTGGGCAACATAGTGAAACCCCGTCTCTACTAAAAATACAAAAACTAGCCATGCGTGGTGGTGCACACCTGTAATCTCAGCTACTTGGGAGGCTGAGACAGGAGAATCACTTGAACCCGGGAGGTGGAGGTTGCAGTGAGCTAAGATCACTGCACTCCAGCCTGGGTGATAGAGGGAGACTCCATCTCAAAAAAAAAAAAAAAAAAAGAGAGAGAACATGAAAGACTGTAAGACTGTAGTGTTATCTCTGAGTACAATGGAATGAAGTTAGACATCAATAACAGAAGGGAAACCAGAAAATGAACAAATTTGTAGAAATTTAAAACACTATTAAATAATAAAAGAAGAAATCAAAAGGGAAATTAGAAAAATAATTAGAGATGCATGAAAATAAAATACGACATGCAAAAACTTATGGGATGCAGCAAAAGCATTGCTAAGGGGGAAAATTTTTAGCTATAAACACAAACAAAAATAAGAAAGATCTTAAATCAACAACCTAACTATATAACTTAAGTAACTAGGAAAAGAACAAACTAAACCCAAAGCCAGAAGATGAAGGAAATAATAACGATTAGAGCAAAGATAAACAAAATAGAGAATAGAAAACAATAAAGGAAATAAATGAGACCAAAAACACTAGTTCTTAAAAGATAACCAAAAAAGGGGCAAATCTTTAGCTAGATGAACTAAGAAAAAAAGAGAGAAAACTCAAATTACCAAAATCAGAAATGAAAGTGGGAACATTACTACTGATTCTACAGAAACAAAAATGATTCAAAGAGAGTACCATGAATATTTGTATGCTAACAGATTGGATAAACTAGATAAGATAGACAAATTCCTAGAAACGCAAAACCTACCAAGACTGAATCACGAAGAAATAGAAAATTTGAAGAGACCTATAACTAGTATGGAGAATGAATGAGTAATAAAAATAATAATAAAAAATCTCTTGACAAAGAAAAGCCCTGAACCTGATGGCTTCACTGGTGAATTCTACCAAATATTTAAAGAACTAACACCAATTCTTCTCAAGCTTTAAAAAAAAAAATAAAGAGAAAAGAACATTTCTTTACTCATTGTATGAGGCCAGCATTATCCTGATACCAAAGCTAGTCAAAGACACTACAAGAAAACTGCAGACCAATATCCCTTATAAATATTGACACAAAAAACCTCATCTATATACTAGCAAATGAATTCAACAGCATATTACAAAGATTAGGCCAGGCACAGTGGTTCATGCTTGTAATCTCAGCACTTTGGGAGGCCTAGGTGGGAGGATTGCTTGAGGCCAGGAGTTCAAGACCAGCCTGGTCAACAGACCAAGATCTCATCTCTTAAAGAAAAAAACATACTAAAAATTAAAGAAATATTATACATAATCTCCAGGCGTAGTGGCTCATGCCTATAATCCCAACGCATTTGGGATGTCAAGGCAGGAGGATCGCTTGAAGTCAGGAGTTCGAGACAAGCCTGGGCAATATAGAGAGATTCTGTCTCTACAAAAAAAAAAAAAAAACTAATATTAGCTGGGCATAATGGTGCACACCTGTAGTCCTAGCTACTTGGGAAGCTGAGGTGGTGGTGGGGTATCACTTGGGCCCAGGAGTTACAGATTACAGTGAGCTATGATTGTGCCACTGCACTTCAGCCTTGATGACAGAGCAAAACTCAGTCTCTTAAAAAACAGATTTTAAAAAAAGGTTAGATGGTAAATTTTATGTTATGTATATTTTATCACAATTTAAAAATTGAAAAAAAAAAACTACCCATGTTTTGTTATCTCTAAGCCCATTATTTCTATGTCTCTAAAATGGAAATGATAATACAACCCACCTCATAGGGCTTTTGTGAGGATTAAATGAGAAAATATTTGTTAAGTCCTTTAGTGCAGTGCCAGACACAACAGTAAACTTTCAATAATGTTAGCTATTATTCTTACTTAAAAGTAACTTAATGAGTGGAAGGGAACTAGAATTAAAATAATCAAGAATTGATAACTATTAGCAAATAGTAAGAAAGGTGCCAAATTGTATGAGGGTGATTATTTCTTCAAATTTTATTTTAATTCAGGGTTGTCATGAAAATATGGTATTGGCTGGGTGTGGTGGCTCACACCTGTAATCCCAGCACTTTGGGAAGCTGAGGCAGGTGGATCACAAGGTCAAGAGATCAAGATCATCCTGGCCATGGCCAACATGGTGAACCCCATCTCTACTAAAAATACAAAAATTAGCTGGGTGTGGTGGCACAAGCCTGTAGTCCTAGCTACTCAGGAGGCTGAGGCAGGAGAATTGCTTGAACCCAGGAGGCGGAGGTTGCAGTGAGCAGAGACTGCGCCACTGCACTCTAGCCTGGTGAAAGAGAAGACTCTTGTCTCCAACAAAAAAAGAAAATACGGTATTGTACTTTGGGAGACTGAGAAGGGTGGATCACTTGAGCCCAGAGTTCTAGACCAACCTGGGCAACGTGATGAAACCCTGTCTCTACCAAAAAGAAAAAAAAAAAAAATTAGCTGGGTGTGGTGGTGCACACCTCTAGTCCCAACTACTGGGGAGGCTTAGGCAGGAGGATTGCTTAAGCCCAGAGAGGCTGCAGTGAACTGTGATTGTACCACTGCACTCCAGCCTGGGTGACAGAGCAAGGCCCTGTCTCTAAATAAATAAAGTATTCTTTAATATGCCTAGCTATTTTATTACTTTACTTTCTTGATAATTTCATGTGAAAATGTTCATTTCTTCTCTTTTTAACAAAGTCGATTTGTCTGGTTTTGTGAGACTCTACCTGTGGGTAAGGCATCATCTTCAACTGAGTCACAACATATACTAATTGCAGAGAAAATGCCTCAGGAAAAATAAATAAGTTTCCTGCATCTGATGGACTCAAGCCTATTAAAGGAGACAGCTATGGTCTGGGCACAAAAAAAGTTAAAAAAACAAAACTGGGATGGGAATCAGAAGATCAGACTCTCACTCCAACTCGGGCTTTTTGTTTCTTGTCTTTAAAATTAGATAGCTGATCTACTTCTCTTTAAGGCCCCTTTCAGGTCTTAATTTCAAAGTTGTGTAGTGTGGTTGTTGCCCTGGCACCTCTTCCCACACACTGCAGAAAACCAAGCTTGGAGATAGCCCAAGCCTCAGATAAAATCATGGTTTCCCCGTCAACTGGACTGTCCCCATTGCCTGGCATTCATTCCATGTTTCCCACCTTGGTGGTCTCACTGGTTTCCACAACCTCAATTTCAAACTTTCATCCTCAATCTTCTGCCCTCCAATCTCAGGAAACTGAAGATCACTCTGTTTCACAGAGAAAATATAAACCACTAAATTACCCTCAACTTTCTACCACCCAAAGTTAAATTCCCCAACATCCTCATTTTTTTCTTTAGCTTCAGTGAAAGGAGTATTAAAAGGAGGCCGTGGACTGGAGAGCACTTCTCCAGGAAGCATTCTTTTGCCCCCTAAGCCTGGGCAGATCCCTCTGCTGGGTCATCCCTGAAGATCCTGGGACTTCTACCTTCATTGCACTTATCATGGAACCACATATTTAAAAGGTGTCCATTTACTTTTCTGTACATCTCAAGCTGCTGTAAGTTCCATGTGGGCAAAAGTTATTTCTGGCTTATGTATATTTGTTTCCTCTATATAACACAGAAGTTGTTCAATATATATTCTAAAAATTGAAGAATAAGTAAGTTTCCCAATAAACTTACCAGAATGCCAAACTCTTGGCACCACTTGGGCTGTGCCTGCAGGTTCTTTCCAAAACAAACTTTTTTATTACTATAAAAGCAATGCATATTCACTATGAAGAAAAAAAAATCAGAAAAAAAAAAAAAAAGAGAGAATACAAATGACAGGAGACTCCAACCTACCAACTATTGTTAACTTCTTTAGGCATATTCTTCCAGAAGCTTTTAATCATATGCTGATATTAAAATAGGATCACTTCAGATATACAGATCAATATAACAATACAGAAATAGACCCGCACATATTTGATCTACTGATTTTATATGAAGATGCTTGAGCAATTCAATGGGGGAATGGAAAGTCTTTTTAGCATACGGTGCTGGACCAACTGGATATTCACATGGCAAAAAAAATAAAAATTGACCCTTATCACCATACATATAGATTATCTCTAAACGAATCTTAGACCTAAATGTGAAACCCAAAACTATGAAACTGCCATAAGAAAATGTAAGAAAATATATTTACAACCTTGGACTCAGCCAGTTTTTTAGATAAGTTACCTGCCCCCCACCCCCGTCAAAAAAGGCATAAACCATTAAAGAATAATACATTAGACTCCCTCAAAATCTAAAACTTTTGGTTTTGAAAAGACATTAAGAAAGCAAAATGGGCTGGGTATGGTGGCTCACTGCTATAATCCCAGTGCTTTGGGAGGCCATGGTGGGAGGATTGCTTGAGGCCAGGAGTTTGAGACCAGCCTGGGCAATATAATGAGTGTGAGACCCCATCACTACAAAAGAAAATCTTTCGTAATTAGCTGGGCTGTGCACTTGTAGTCATAACTACTCTGGAGGTCAAGGTGGGAAGACTGCTTGAGCTCTGGAGTTTGAAGTTATAGTGAGCTATGATAGTGCTACTGTACTCCAGACTGGGTGACAAAACAAGACTGTGTCTCAAAAACAAACAAAACAAAACAAAATGGCAAGCCACAGACTAGGAGAAAATATTCACAAAAGATATATCAAACATAGGACTTATGCCCAAAATATATAAAATACATAAAGAACTCTCAAAACTTAATAAGAAAACATAAACCAATTTTCTAAATGTGCAAAATAGTAGAATAGAAACTTCATCAAAGAAGATATACAATGGCCAATAAGCCCATGAAATGATGTTCAACATCATTAGTCATGAGGGAAACGCAAATTCAAATACAATGAGGCCGGATGCAGTGGCTCATGCCTGTAATCCTAACGCTTTGGGAGGCCAAGACGGACAAATTGCTTGAGCCCAGGGGTTCGAGACCAGCCTGGGCAACATGACAAAATCCCAGCTCTACAAAAGATACAAACAAAAAAAAACCAATTAGCCAGGCATGGTGGTGCACGCTTGTAGTGTCAGCTACTAGGGAGGCTGAGGTAGGAGGATCACCTGAGCCTGGAGAGGTTGAGGCTGCAGTGAGCCATGATGGTGCCTCTGCACTCAGCCTGGGTGACAGAGTGAGGCCCTGTCACAAAAAAAAATAAAAGAAAAAAACCAAAAAGTTGAAGAGACTGTTATATCCATACAATGGACTACTCAACAACATAAAGGAATGAACTCTTGATCCACGCAACAACATGGATGAATCTCAAAATCATTATACTGAGTGAAAGAAAACAAAACAAACAAGTGCATACTGCTTATTCCAGACAATGCATATTTGATCTACTGACTTAAGATGCTCAGGCAATTCAGTGGGGGAATATACAAAGTCTTTTTAACATATGGTGCTGGACCAACTGGATATTCACATGGCAAAATAATTAAAATTGACCTTATGTACCATACATCACCATACATATAAATTAACTCTTAATGAATCTTAGACCTAAATGTAAAACCCAAAACTATGAAACTGCTATAAGAAAACATAGGGAAGGCCGGGTGCAGTGGCTCATGCCTGTAATCCCAGCACTTTGGGAGGCCAAGGCAGGCGGATCACAAGGTCAAGAGATTGAGACCATCCTGGTCAACATGATGAAACCCCGTCTCTACTAAATATACAAAAATTAGCTGGGCATGGTGGCGTGCGCCTGTAGTCCCAGCTACTCGGGAGGCTGAGGCAGGAGAATCGCTTGAACCCAGGAGGTGGAGGTTGCAATGAGCCGAGATAGTGCCACTGCACTCCAGCCTGGCAGCAGAGCAAGACTCGGTCTCAAAAAAAAAAAAAAAAAAAAAGAAGGAAAGAAAGAAAACATAGGGAAATATATTTACAACCTAGAAAAATTCTAGAAAATACAGTCTAATTTCTAGTGACAGGAGACAGATCAGTGTTGGCCTGGAGATGAGGATGGAAGGAAAGATGGATTAATGGATTACAAAGAGACACAGGAAAACTTCGGGGGTGGGGGTTGCTAATGGAATGTTCATCATCTCAACTGTGATGACATCACATGTGTCTGTGGATGTCAAAATGTATCAAACTATACACTTTAAATATGTGCAGTTCATTGTACTTCAATTATACCTTAATAAGGTAGAAAAATAAAGCCAAAAATGGAATCATACATACCTATTACTTTTTAACTTGATAATATGGTGTGAACACATTTTCATATTAATGCCTATATTTCTATACCATGTTTTAGTATTCCATTACATGAATATACTCTGATTTATTTAACCAAACTCTTGTTATTGGATATTCAAGTTGCTTTCAACTGTTCACTATTACAAACCACAGATAAGAGTATTTTTTCAGAGAGGCCATGTATAATTCTTAGTTGCATTACCTCAGTTAGTTAAAATACTACACTTATGAAGCAAAGGTCCAACATTAAAATTCTGTTTCATAGCCATGAACTTGGACATAACCTTAGTCTTGGATTGCTGTGCTGAAAATACATGCGATTGGACCGAAAGACACTGGACCACCTCAGTGTGAGGAAAAATCACCAGAAATCCAGCCCCGCTGGAGGAAAAAGAAACATATGCTGAAATGGCAGATCAGCCACATTATCTCCAAAAGCAAAGAATATGCTTAATCAGCCTTAAGAGAATCATGAAAGAAAAAAATATTTATTGAAGGTATTCAATGTGTTTTTTAGGGTAGAAGAGGAATGCAGAAGAGCTCTCCAAGGCACATAACACAGTCTCAACTCTATTGGTGCTGAAAGCTGATCTTGCACTGAGGAAAGTGACTTAAGTAGGTAAATTCACTATTTGCAAACCCACTCCAGGGGATCATGTGTAATGAGCTAAGTGCCAGCTGTAGGAATAGCCTGAGACCCAGCATTAGGAGCTGGTGAACAGTCAGCAAAGCAGCCAAAGAACATTTCACATGGGTTTAAAAACAATTTTTTTCTCTCCTGCCAAACAGAGGGTTTTTGCCCCTCATTTGTAGGACACTCTCAAGTGATGAAATCAAAACTGCTTAGAATAGAAGAATATACATTATTCAATACTTATCTGGTACTTTTAAGATAAAACCCTACATTGATCCACTCTCATTCTCTCCCCCGTTCCTCCTGGTCCCCCACCACCTATTTTTCCATGCAGTCTGTACTTTACAACTCTTTCTCTCCCTGCTAGAGCAGACCTCTCCCTCATGCCAAAACTCCCCTTTGAAGTCCGCCCTCCCATTAGGGCTTTGGTGTAGGTATTCAGACTGATCACACAAGCCCAGCAGAAGTCCCGGACCATCCGCATTCTGTCGTATACAGTTGTTTCATGTGGCCTGTGATTTACAGTCTTAATTAATGCTCAAAAGAAGAAGAGCACATCTTTGGTGAAGTTTTTCCCCCCTTCTTTCTACAAAACAGGACTCTTGGGGTTTCTGTGGACATTGTGCAGGATGGCTTTGCCAAATGGAATGAAGCACACTTAATACTTTTCCTTTATAACCTTTGCCATAAATCAGCTGGCACTCCGTTTGCACAAGTGCAGCGATTAATGTCTTGCCCCTCCCCCGGCACTTCCCGAATTTTAAACAAAGTAGGAATAAACTGAGGGAGAGCAGAGCCAGCGGGCCCAGTAAATCAGTTTAATGAGATTCGAATAGATCACATAGGACATATTGTGGAAGAATAAGGTGGGTGGTGGGGATCCGAATTTCAACAACGTGGGAGTACTGGGGGCTGAGAGAGGGAACTGATGCAAGTTGCGGTAGGCAATGCTCAAACTCTGACACGTCTTTGGTAAAAACAGCACATCTTACATTCTCTTTCCCATTTGCTGAAACTTACTGCTGTGACTCGTTTAGATTTAGCGCTGCTTCCTGTCTGTGGTTTTCCTGGTCCATGTTCTCCCACAGCTGGAGAGATTTTTGCTTGCTTCTTCTCATCCATGACCATGTTGATCTGCATTCATTCTTATTCTATGGTCTCCTTTCTACAAACACACATCTTTGTATGCACAAGTAACTTTCTATATAAGACAGGAAAAATAAAGACCTGCATATCTAAGGGCTGAACTAAGTTAAGAAGTAAGAAGCTAATTATTGGGTGTCATCCATCCACACTGGACAGCCAGAGGCTGCTTAGTTCACCCTTCACCCACTGTCACTTACAGGTAGGAAATTTACAGTCCTCCCTCCCTCCCACTACACCAGACGAAAACATTGTTCAGTTTTCGGCTCTTTATTTTATTTTATTATTATTATTATTTATTATTATTTTTGAGATGGAGTTTCACTCTTGTTGCTTAGGCTGGAGTGCAATGGCACGATCTTGGCTCGCTGCAACCTCTGCCTCCCGGGTTCAAGCGATTCTCCTGCCTCAGCCTCCCAAGTAGCTGGGATTACAGGCACGCGCCACCATACCAGGCTAATTTTGTATTTTTTAGTAGAGACGGGGTTTCTCCATGTTGATCAGGCTGGTCTCGAACTCCCGACCTCAGGTGATCCTCCTGCCTTGGCCTCTCAAAGTGCTAGGATTACAGGTGTGAGTCACTGCACCCGGCCATTTTCTGCTCTTTAAATCAAATATACAAATAGGATTCTTCTTGCATCGAAGACTATATTACAATGAAAAAGAAAACCTTAAACCTTTTCTCAAAAGAGTTGTCTGATTACATATTTCCTTAATATCACTCACAGAGAAAAAGTAAACCATCCTAAGTACCTCTGTTAATACAGTTCTTATGTGTTAGAGAATATGAGGGAAGATGATTCAAAGAAAGGAAAAGAGAAATGAAATAAACTGCCTTCATAATGTTTCATTTAATTTCAGAAATGCATGAGGTCTGTTTCAAAACTTATGAGTCCCCTGTATATGAGATTGCCAACTTTTAGTCATGTTTATTATTCTTATTACTCTCCATGACTAAACACCAGAAAGACATTAGTTTAGTATGTTATGAGGTCAACCAATTTTATCAGGAAATGCTGCATAAACAACTTATTAACTCCCCAAAGAGTATCAATTTGATAATATGATGCATAATAATGCTATGTTATTATACCTTTG
This sequence comes from Homo sapiens, assembly GCF_000001405.40. Taxonomy (NCBI): domain Eukaryota; kingdom Metazoa; phylum Chordata; class Mammalia; order Primates; family Hominidae; genus Homo; species Homo sapiens. Next base: position 106,025,691 of record NC_000006.12, on the reverse strand, counting down.
AGATTTTATTCTTTTTTCTTTCCTCAGGTGAGAAATGAAAATTACTCTTGCATATATCCCTCCTCTCACTTAATCCTGAACATGCTAGGCAACCTCTTACTCTCATACTGAAATATTTATTCTAAAAAGCAGATTCAAGATTTGACTATTCCAAATCTGGGTTTCAACTAGAAAACAATTCAGAAAAATAAACACAATCCTAAACTTGCTTTACTATGGATAATAAATACTAATTAAATATTTTTTAAAATATTGCCAGATATTCAACCTGAGGAAAATCAGTGGGCTGAAAGTTATGGATCTTTTATGACAAATTAGACCTCTTGTGCTTCTGGATTATTTTGTACTATGGATTATGTCAAGCATATGGCATAAACGTTAACTAATCCAACAACACAAAGGAATACAGCTGTGGGAGAACCTAAATTACACAAGAACAATTTTGCATTTTAACATGTAGGCCTTTAGTGCTTTTTCAAACTTGACATAAGGTCTCCATCTCCACTGCTCCTCCTCTAAAATAAATGGGAAAGAAGTTGATTGATAACATACTTTAACTTTAGATTGCTCAGACATGGTGTGCTTGCTTAAAAAGCCTCACCTCTATACAGCACTATTTATTTTTAAACCATTAATTTTACATTTTTTTTTCTTAACGAGATCAAAGAAGTTCTACCTTGCCAAGGGAAGGAAGAAAATATTCAGCAGACACACGACTTGTGAATATTTGGCATTCACAAGTGCCAAATGCCCAACACCCACCCTCCTCTACATACAACTGTTTCCATTTCCATTTTGTTGTTGTTGGTTATGAGCATGGACATGTTACCTGACACATATTTTAATTTCAAATCTGATGGCTAAGGAAAAAGAGGGATTTCAGTATCTCTCCTTCTAGAACACGGCAAATAACCTCCTGAAAAGATGAGCTAAACACAGTGTCTCAGTGGTGTATAAAATCAGTGTTAAAAGCCACCAGAAAAACCAGTGCCTTTGTTTGTCCTCTCCTGGCCTGAAAAAGATTCAGATTTGGTGAGATTTAAAAAGCTCCACACTGTCTTATGTGACTTCTTCCACTGTACAGATGATTAAGAATGAAGAAAATAATCATTTGAATTTATAGTATAATGACCATTGCAAACATCACATGTCTGTCTTATAAGAAAGTCATTTCCTTTCATAGAAGAGATGTCTGAGACAAGTTTAAAATTTCAACTGCAATCTGTCATCGTTACCACACCATGCAAATAAAATAAGGTGTCGAGAGTATTTTTAATCCTCTGAATGAGACATAGTACTAATTAGATGTGGAGAGGAAATGTAGTGAAGAAACAATAATATATTAACGTATGACAATTGTTTAAAGGCCATTTCTCGAAATGTTGAAGAAAACTGTAGGCACACAAATGCTTGCATTTAATTTTGGGGGTTCATGGCCATGTGCAGACAGCCGTAGGACCATGCTCCATAGCCTGCCAGGCACAAAAGGAATCAAACCAGCTTCAGGAACACTTAAATTAACACGTAGGCACTGATTCAATTTTTTTTTTGAGACACGGTCTTGCTTTGTCACCCAGGCTGGAGTGCACTGGCAAAAGTAGGGCTCATTGCAGCCTCAACCTCCTGGGCTCAAGCAATCCTCCTACCTCAGCCTCCCAAGGACCTAGGACTACAGGCGCGTGCTACCATGCCTGGCTAATTTGTAAATTTTTTGTAGAGATGTGGTCTCACTATGTTGCCTAGGCTGGTCTCAAACTCCTGTTCTCAAGTAATCCTCCCATCTTGGCCTCCCAAAGTGCTGAGATTATAGGCATGAGCCACCGTGCTAGGCCAATCTAATTTTTCTGAATCTTTTATCAGAGAAAAAGTAAAGATTCTGGTCACTTTTGAAATGGAGGTAGAAAAACAACTTCAAGTCAAATATCAGCTAGCAGATTCCAGCAGCACAAGCAGTGTGGCCTGTCCAGCTCTGGGACAATTGCATGCGAACAGTATCCAGCCCCGTTCCAAAGGACAGGATTTTCTAGGAAAGTTGTGTGGTTCCTACCCTAAGGAAGAACTAAGAGTCTACACAACAGAAATGATAAGAACTCAGCAAAATTCCTGTTAGATGAAGAAAATGTAATGACCTCCATTGCCTAATTTAGTAAAGCTTCCTAGAGGAGGGGAGGGCTGGTCAGAACTTACTTCAAATCATTATTTATTTTTTTTTTTTTTTGAGACAGAGTCTCGCTCTGTCGCCCAGGCTGGAGTGCAGTGGCGAGATCTCAGCTCACTGCAACCTCTGCCTTCTGGGTTCACGCCATTCTCCTGCCTCTGGGACTACAGGCAAATCATTAAAATTTAAACCACTGTTAAACACTACAGGGAGTCTTATTAAAGTGCCAGAATCTTACAAACACTAAAGAAAATACCCCATAGTAGAGGAAAAATAGAAAGAAAATAAAAATAATGTCCATAGTATATGATAGATTAAATAACCATTGAGAGGCTACAAAGATCATGTCCTCAAATCATGACAATTCCCCACTACTGACCAAATTTACTTTTACATCAAGACAGTGCTAATGAATTACCAGATTTCAAAGCACCAGAGCAGAACACTGGAAAAGATGAAGGAAATCGCTTTAACAGCACACGAGGGGGAAGCTGACAGTCTGTAAGTAAGAAAGGAATGGGAGCTCAGAACACAGGAGGAAGAACACAAAAGAATCGCAGCAGCCTGAAGCCATTTAGACTGAAGGGCAAAGACCCTGAACAGCTCCTTAATTAGTATTCATGGTGACGACATTGAATCTATAAGAAATAGTGAAATGATGTTCAATATTTCATTTATGGCCGGGCACAGGGGCTCATGCCAGTAATCCCAACAATTTGGGAGGCTGGGGTGGGAGGATTACTTGGGGCCAGGAGTTTGAGACCAGCCTAGACAACATAGTGAGACCTGGTCTCTTTAAAAAATTAAAAAGGCTGGGCGGGTGGCTCACGCCTGTAATCCCAGCACTTTGGGAGGCCGAGGTGGGCAGATCACTTGAACTCAGGAGGTCCAGACCAGCCTGGCCAACATGGTGAAACCCCCTCTCTACTAAAAATACAAAAATTAGCCAGGCTTGGTGGCATGTGCCTGTAACCCCAGCTACTTGAGAGGCTGAGGCAGGAGAATTGAACCCAAGAGGCGGAGGTTGCAGTGAGCCGAGATCAAGCCATTGCACTACAGCCTGGGCAAAAAGAGTGAAACTCCACCTCAAAAAAAAAAAAAAAAAAATTAGCTGGGCGTGGTGGTGGTGCATGCCTGTTGTCCTAGCTACTCAAGAGGCTAAGGCAGGGGAATCACCTAAGCCCAGGAATTGGAGGCTGTAGTGAGCTATGATCACTTTTGCCACCATACTCCAGCCTAGGTGGCAAAGCAAGACCCTGTCTCTAACCTAAATCAATGAACTAAATAAATAACTTTTTAAGTATTCCACTTAGTGCTTAAGGGTAAATGCCCAATTATCTAGAAGATTTGCATGGAATCTCACATTTCGAATTCTGCTAGAACAGCTTGCTCTTTCAATGGAAGTACCATTATGTTGGTGTAACACCTGTACCTCTTAAGCTCTTTCTTGCTTTATTTTATCCTTATACTAGTCTTTTGGGTAGGAGGATAGATACTGTAACTCTCATTTCAGAGATTAGAAAACATGAAGCATAAAATGACTTTCTCTGTCATCAGTCTACTTTGTGACAATCTCCTGATAGTTGATACACACTTGAAGAAATAAACATTTCACGCTGGGCACGGTGGCTCACGCCTGTAATCCCAGCACTTTGGGAGGCCGAGGTGGGTGGATCACCTGAGGCTGGGAGTTTGAGACCAGTCTGACCAACATGGAGAAACCCTGTTTCTACTAAAAATACAAAATTAGCCGGGCGTGGTGGCGCGTGCCTGTAATCCCAGCTACTTGGGAGGCTGAGGCAGAAGAATCGATTGAACCCGGGAGGCAGAGGTTGCGGTGAGCTAAGATTGCACCATTGCATGCCAGCCTGGGCAACAAGAGTGAAACTCTGTCTCAATAAATAAATAAATAAATAAACATTTCACTTTGAGAAGAGGAGGTGAATGTTCCATTTTGCTTCTCAATTAACTGCATTGCCATCATTATGTTTTCCTGCAACAGTACTCAAGAAAGCTTCTTCTTTGCCCTAAGTAAAGGAGAGGAGCCTCTCAGGTTAATTCAGAGAAAACCAACCCTGTCTGGGCTTACTCTACTCAAGACTTGGCTACTTGGGCAAATTTCAATGAAAGGGAGACTGCTGATTTCTGCACTGCCACTCACTTCACTGTGTGCAAGAGCACACAGCCTTTCTTGGCTTTTCCTCCATTTTCTGCATTTTTTACTGAAATTGGAATAAGAGTAGGGAAGGAGCTTGGGAAGGGAAACCACCCAAACATAGGAAACTAGAAGTACTTTTTAAAAAGTAAAAAGAAAGCATAACCGAAGAATCTGATGTCAGTAAGCCTGAAGTCTGCTCAGTTTATACTTGGCATCAGATTACACAGTCTTGCCAACTTGATTTAGTGCACACACTTGTGTTTTTCTTAAGATTATCAAAAATCAAATAAAACTATCTTTAATAAGTTATTGTTATGAATGGCCTACTTTTTACTGTACTTATTAATGCTAGTCTTTTATAATAAGAGCCCAAATCCATACCAAGAAAATGAAAGTCCTCAGAGGATGTGCAGGTAGACAAGAGGGGGAAAGGACTGGCATGGAGCCGGGTGCAGGTTTGACTGCTGGGAGGCACTCTAGGCTGGCCTGCTCAAAGTTCTCTTTTTATCCATTTCGAAATTGAGATTTAGGTGTGAAGGGACTTGCCCAAGTACTTAATAGCCAACAATCAATTTATAAATTACATAAGTCATAGAAAAGTAGTTTCATGTGGAATGCCAAACACGTTACTTTAGAATGTTCTATGAATTAGGACAAACTATTCCTTCCTCCTCCCCTTTATCAAATTCACCATGAAGTATAGGGGAAAAAAATGGTGGGGGGTGCATAATAGAATACAAAGAACACTTAGAGGTTTTGTAGACGTGGACTGGATCCAGGTTGGTCTATATAAACTTTGGGCAAACTGCTTAATCTCTCCAAATCTCAGCTTCTTCATCTGTAAAATGGGGACAGTATACTCCACTGCTCCCCATCAGTTCTCTGAGTGTTTGTCAGATAACATAAATGTAGGCCAGGCATGGTGGCTCATCCGTGTAATTCCAGCACTTTGGGAGGCCGAGGCGGGAGGATCACTTGAGGCCAGGAGTTTGAGGTTGCAGTGAGCTGTCACTGTGCCACTGCCCTCTAGCCTGGGTGAGGGAACTGGACCCTGTCTCAAAAAAAATAAAAAAAGGTAAAAATACACATATAAATGTAAACCGCCTGGCATACAAGAGGTTCTAAGTAAATATTGGTTCCCTCTCTTTTTAACTTTCATGTTTTTGTTTGTTTGTGGGTTTTTTTTTTTTTTTGAGACAGAGTCTCGTTCTATTTCCCCTCCTGGGTTCAAGTGATTCTTCTGCCTCAGCCTCCCAAGTAGCTTGGATTACAGGTGCACGCCACCCACACCCAGCTAATTTTTGTATTTTTGGTGGAGATGGGGTTTCACCATGTTGGCCAGGCTTGTCTCTTCCTGACCTCAAGTGATCCACCCACCTTGGCCTCCCAAAGTGCTGGGATTATAGGCGTGAGCCACCACACCCGGCTCTTCCTTTTTTTGAAAGAGGCAGCTCACGCCTGTAATCCCAGCACTTTGGGAGGCCATGACAGACAGATCACCTGAGGTCAGGAGTTTGAGACCAGCTTGACCAACATGGTGAAACCCCGTCTCTACTAAAAATACAAATATTAGCTGCTCATGGTGGCGGGCGCCTGTATTCCAGCTACTTGGGAGGCTGAGACAGGAGAATTGCTTGAAGCCAGGAGGCAGAGGTTGCAGTGAGCTGAGATCATGCCACTGCACTCCTGCCTGGGTGACAGATCGAGGAAGACTCCATCTCAAAAAAAAAAAAAAAAAGAAAAGAAAAAAATTAAGCAAGTCAATAAGAAACATAGTGTGCATCACTTATTAATTAGGGGTTGATATCCAATATAGAAAATATTCACATCTACTTCTCCAGCTACCCCGTTTCATTTTTAGCTAGCTTCTTTTTGGCATAGATAAGTGAAAACGCAAATTAATCAAATTTTCAGTTCTATTTTTTTTTTAATTATAGGGAGAAGAAAAAAGCTATAAACTCAGTATGAGCGATCTATATTTCAATCATTCATGTTATTTTCAGATGCTACTTGGGTAAATTTATATGAGTAAATAACATATACAACATATTAAAATAACATATAAAATCATATAGAAGGTTCTAAGCTTTCCTTTTTTTTTTTTTTTTTTTTTTTTTTTTTTGAGATGGAGTCTCACTCTGTCCAGCATGATCTTGGCTCACTGCAACCTCCACCTCCACCTCCCAGGTTGAAGCGATTCTTGTGCCTCAGCTTCCTGAGTAGCTGGGACTATAGGTGTGTGCCACCATCCCCAGCTAATTTTTGTATTTTTAGTAGAGACGGGGTTTCACCATGTTTGCAAGGCTGGTCTCAAACTCCTGACCTCAAGTGATCCACCCGCCTCGGTCTAAGTGCTGGGATTACAGGTGTGAGCCACTGTGCCCTGCACTCTTCTTAGAATATAAAACCCCACTATATCAAATAATGTATGTAGATACTCTGTCCCCAAGGAGGTGGAACATAATTCCCTCCTCCTTGTGTGTGAGGTGGATATAGTAACTTCCTTCCAAAGAATACCATATGAAAAGGTGGAAAAAATGGGTCATTTTTTTCTCTGGAGAAACCTGAAAACACCACCTCAGCTAGGTGATCCAGGTTAACGTCGACAGTGATAAGTCATGTTGATATATACTTTTGATATGATGTGATGAAATAGCACTTTACCTGTCTGGTCTTCCTCCAAAAAGCCCATAACCCCAGACTAATCATATTTAAAAAAAAAGACATATTTCAATTGAAGGACATTCTAAAATAGAGCTGCCCACTGCTCCTCAAAACTGTTAAGGTCATGAAAAACCAGAAAATTCAGAGAAACTGTCAAGACCAGAAGAGTCTGAAGAAAACATGACCATTAAACATAATGTGATCTCCTCAATGTAATCCTGGAATAGAAAAAGGACACTAGGTAAAAGCTAAGGAAATCTGAATGAAGTATGGATTTCAGTTAATGAGAACACATCAACATTGGTTCATTAATTGACTAATGTAAGATGTGAATAACATGGGAAATTGAGTGTGGGGAATATGAAAACTATACTAGCTTCTCAATTTTTCTGTAAATCTAAGCTGTTCTAAAAAATTATGGTCTACTTAACACACTATAAATTATTATATTAACAAAACTACTTTAATAACTATACGTTCCATTACTAGCAAATTTACTTTTTCATATCAAATATCTTTGATTCTAGCTTTATTTTTTTTTTAAAGTATTCTGTTGAGGAAATAGCCCTCAAAAAATCAAGATGTTTCATAAAGGCTGAGCGGTTCAGATGAAAATGTCTTGGTATCTGCCCAGTTCTGCCTCCTAGTTACATGGTCACATATAAAGCTCCTGAGCAATCTCATCTGTTAATTTCCTCAGCAATAAATCCAAGACGCTGGACTAGATTATCAGTATGGTTCTTTACAGCCCTACAGGTACACCATGTTCAATATCATTTCTCCAAAAGCCAGAGGCACACGTTTGAAATAAGAAAGAACTTTCCCACCCACACTCCCCCTGACCCTCAGCCCACCCCAGGCTTTATTTCTCATTCAAAAAGTGGGCCTGGCCTTTAATCTGCCCCTGCTTCCACAGTATCCTGATGACTGACAGAGTCAACCGTGAGGAGATGCCACTAAATCAACATCCTTCAGGGTCCCTTTCCGAAAAAGAAAAAAACTGGGCAGCTGGTCTTGAAATGGGGATTGTTCAGTTTGGTCAAAGCTGCTGCATCATCCATCATTGAGAGATAAGGGGACATTTGCCCAGGGTCAGACTGGCCAAGCAACTGTGTGAACTTACCCAAAACCCCACCTCTGCTTCCCTTTGCCTGTTTCTAAACTTAGTTGCTTTATTCATAACACGGTGCCCTCCGGCAAGGGTAGGGTGGAGGTGCGCAGGTCACCCTCTAAGGCCAGTTCACAATGGAGTCACACACCCAGACTCAGACACACACAGAGCAAGAGTGTTTTCTATTAGCCTGTGTTCATTAATATTGCCTTCTGACTGCCATGTTGTGTTTAGAAAATGGATACATTTCTACAGCAACTTCCTATCATCTAAATATGTTTTAACTTAAAACTAATTCCAAATAAACAAGATCACTTCTTCAAAGCTGACAGAGCTGAACAAATACAAGTTGTCCATTGAGCAATGAGGGGGTTGGGGCACCAATTCTCCTGTGCAGTCAAAAATCTGCATATAACTTTTGACTCCCCAATACTTAACTAATAGTCTCCTGTTGACCAGAACCAATAACATAAGCAGTCAATTAACAAACACAAAAATGGACAAGTATCTACATATATTTTATGCATTCATAATGCATTTTTCTTAATTTTTTCAACATTTCTAGGCTGCATGGTTCATCTAGGAGTTTCTTCAAATTATTGCAAATCTCCAAAAAATTTCCAACGTATTTCTTGAAAAACATCTGTGCGGCCAGGCACGGTGGCTCATGCCTGTAATCCCGGCACTTTGGGAGGCCAAGGCGGGCAGATCACAAAGTCAAGAGTTCGAGACCATCGTGGCCAGCGTGTTGAAACCCCGTCTCTACTAAAAATACAAAAATTAGCTGGGCATGGGCATGGTGGCGCACACCTGTTATCACAGACACTCGGGGGCTGAGGCAGGAGAATCGCTTGAACCCAGGAGCTGGAGGTTGCAATGAGCCGATATTGCGCCACTGCACTCCAGCCTGGGTGACAGAGCGAGACTTTGTCTCAAAAAAAAAAAAAAAAAGAGAGAAAAGAAAAAATCTGTGCATAAATGGACCCTCAAAGTTCAAACCCTTGTTCAAGAATAAACTTTTCAAATCTTCTTTTGTCCTTTATGAAATAAACTCAAAACTAATTTTCCATCTACCATTTAGTCATTTGACAGACATTTATTAAATGCCAACTGAACACCTGCTTGTTAATCTGCGGGTACCCAGGGTGCGAGAAAGAATAAGACATACTACATGTCCCTTACTCTCAAGTCAAGTTCCCAGGCTAGAAGGAAAGATAAATGTAAATAATATAAATTTTTAAAAAGTAAATAAAAAGATAAATGTAAATAATTATACATCATAAGTATAAAACAATATGAAGAAAGCACTAGAAGATTCATAGCAGCATTTTTCTCAATAGCTAAAAGGTGGCAACAGCCCAATGTCTATCAACAAATGAATGAATAGACAAAATGTGGCAATCCATACACACAATGGGATATTATTCAACCACATAAAGGAATGAAATTCTGATACATGCTACAATATGCATGTTCCTTGAAAACATTATGCTATGCTAAGTGAAATAAGCCACATACAAAAGGCCAAATATTGTATGATTTTACATATATATATGAGCCAAATTCATATAAACAAAGTATAATAGAAGTTGCCAGGGGCTGAGGAAGGGGAAAAGTTATTGTTGAATCAGTAGAGCTTTTATTTGGAATGAAGAAAAAATTCTAGAAACAGATAATGTTGACAGTGTGTACAATGTTGGGAATAAACTTAATGCTACTGAATAGCATACTTGAAGATGGTTAAAATGGTAACTTTTGTCATGTATATTTTACTACAATTTTTTAAAAATCACACCCTACTCCCTGCAAAAAAAAAAGAAAGAAAAGGAAAAAACAAATCAGACAAGTATCAAAGATCAAAATAAGATGGGATTTAAGAATGTTTGTTTTACATTTTTGGATAGGTAATACACTACATGATTCAAAAATCAGAATGATATAAACAGATAAATAGGGAGAAGTCCCACCCTCGGTCCTGTCTCCACCCATGCCCTTCCCACCCACCCCTTACATCCACACCTGTCCACCAGAGACCATTGTTACTGCTTTCTTCTTTATTCTTCTAGTGTTTCTTTAGCAAACAGCAGCAAATCTCTTTTTCTCTTTCTCATACAAAAGGTGGCATATTCATTGTTTAGCACCTTGCCTTTCATTTAAGTCTTGAGGAGTCTGAAATCTTCAAATGCCAAGCTCAAACGGGATAATTTTACACATTTGTAGAAGGGACAGACATTTTCTTTGCCCAAGTAGCACTTTTTAACAAGTGCAGAGAAGCTCATTTTCTACTTCATTAACAAAAAAGTTTTTAAAGGAAAGAAAAGAGGAGGAAGAGAGAAAAGAAATTTTAACTTCAAGAAGCATTAAGGATGGCTGACTTGCCCTGGGGGAAAAGTTTACAATGTGTAAAGCTCCTCTTTCAAAGCAGCCTTATTTCCATAGGCAGCTAAGAGATTACCACCTTGTAAAAGAAAGGAAGAAACGCAACCTCCCCACCTTTGAGTTATCCATCCCAGCAAAGGGAACCCTTGGTTGGGGGTGGCCTCCAGATGACCACTGCTCAGACTACAAGGGCAAGGCTGTGTTCTTTTAAATTTAAGGAAATTCACCGGGCATCCCAGGGGGCTGTATCTTGAACTCTATGAACTTATTATGTCCCTGTGTCTTGTTCTCTCTCCTCACCCCCATCTCACAGAAAGACAAGCAAGACAAAGCAAAACCCCTGCTCACCATCTTCCCAAACTATTTTTGATCACAATAATTTACAGCTTTGGTTATTTTAAAAAAGAAAGAAAGACACCTGTCACCAGAAGGCCAACAGCTGCCTTTTAAGGTTCTATAAAAAAAAATGTGTTCTATCTCTCAGGATAAATCCAAAATTTAGAAATGTGATGATTATAGATTAACTGTATTATAATATTAAATAAATTTATAGTATATTTAATTTAATATTATAGATTAAATCTATTATCTATCATCGTTTTATTGATGTACAATAAATACATTTGTTACAGATTAAATTTAGACTTACATTATAGATTAAACGTAGATCATATATATTAAAATAATCTGGTTTCAATTTTTTAAAAAATCCTGAGCATTTCAGCATTTGCATTCATCCAAGTCCTTTGTTCAATACTTTTTATTCAAGTTTTTTTTTTTGAACATTTCTTATGTGCTAGAAACTGTTTCAGACACTGGAGACAACAGTGAACAAGGCAAACACATGAATTCCTTGTCCTGAGGCAGGCAGCAGTGGCTCATACCTGTAATCCCAGCGCTTTGGGAGGCAGAGGCGGGCGGATTACTTGAGCCCAGAAGTTTGAGACCAGCCTGGGCAACACAGGGAGACCCTGTCTCTACAAAGAAATAACAAATTAGCAAGGCATGGTGGTGCATGCCTGTGGTCCCAGCTATTCAGGAGGCTGAGGCAGGAGAATGGCTTGAGCCTGGGAAGCAGAGGCTGCAGTGAGCCATGATCGCACCACTGCACTCCAGCCTGGATGACAGAGACCCCGTCTCAAAAAAAAAAAAAAAAAAAAAAATTCCTTGTCCTCATAGAGTTAGCATTCTGGTTGGAGAGACAGACAGTAAAGAAGTAAACAAATAAATACATTTAGACAGTGACAAGAGCTATGGAGGAATAAAATAAAGCAGGATAAAGGAATTGGGAAGGAGGAAGCTCCTTTTGTTAGGAGCAGCAGGAAAAGCCTCTGTGAAGAGGTGACCAAACCCATAAAGGGAGGGGAACAAGATTAGGGGGAAAAGAATTCTATGCAGAAGAACCAGCAAGTGAACAGAGGCTGGGAGGAAAGGGCAGAGGACAGTGTGGCTAGCCAAGCGGACAAGCAGCCACTTCAGCAGCGGAATCTCTACTGGTACTTATGGGACCTCAGGAACTCTTGGCAGCACTATACAATATTGGCTCTTGGTGAAAATGACTCTCAAAAGAAGAAAGGAACTTTAAGAAAAGGTCGGCTGGGCATGGTGGCTCGCACCTGTAATCCCAGCACTTTGGGAGGCCAAGGTGGGTGGATTACCTGAGGTCAGGAGTTTGAGACAAGCCTGGCCAACATGGTGAAATCCTGTCTCTACTAAGAATACAAAAATTAGCCGAGTGTTGTGGCACACACCTGTAATCCGAGCTACTCGGGAGGCTGAGGCATGAGAATCGCTTGAACCCGGGAGGTGGAGGTTGCAGTGAGCTGAGATCACGCAGTTGCACTCCAGCCCGAGCAACAAAGAGAGACTCTGTCTCAAAAAAAAAAAAAAAGAAAAGTTCAAAAAGCAGTTTACAGGCAGGGGTGAATGAGGATAAGCTCAGTTTAGGCAGATGCCTGTACAAAATTTCTGTTTTAGAGGGATTGGGAAGGTTGATGATAAGCACTGCAATTATTGATGATCTGTTGTTGAAGAGTATGGCCAGGCATGATGGCTCACACCTGTAATCTCAGCACTTTGGGAGGCTGAGGAGGTTGGCTTGATTGAGGACAGTTCGAGACCAGCCTGGCCAACATGGTGAAACCCCGTCTCTATTGAAAATACAAAAATTAGCCAGGTGTGATTGCGCGCGCTTGTAATCCTAGCTACTGGAGAGACTGAGGCACGAGAATTGCTTCAGCTGAGAGGGTGCCACTGCACTCCAGCCTGGGCGACAGAATGAGACCGTCTCACACACACACAAAAGGATATGCCAAATCTTATACATCTAATGGCATATCTGTTCAGCCATCTGACAAATTAAAAACTGAAAAAGCAGAAAACAAATTTCAAACCTTTTTCTGCATTTTCAGACAGAGAAACAAGTAATCTTTTCCCTAGAGTGTATCACTCAGGTTCCGCTCTTCAGAGTTCCCGAGTTTTCTGAAGTTGTTCTAGAAAACCATTTACCTGAACACATCTGGGGCAGGTGCTGGGAGAGGGGGAGTTGCCAGCTGCAAAGCAAGTATAATAGTGGGCTGAGTGTGTAGGGGGGTAATGTATGGTGTATGTTTGCAACACATGCAATATGTGTGGTGTGTGTGATGTGGGATGTGTGTGGGGAGTGTTGGGTGTGTGGGGCTGGTATGCCAGTGTGTGCATGTGTGTAGTATGGTATGTGTGTAAATGTGGAGGGGTGTGTGTGTGTGTGAATGTGGAGGGGTGTGATATGCATGTGATATGTTTGTGTGTATGTAGTATGTTTTTTGTGTATGTGTGTATGTGGTATGTTTTGTGTGTGGTATGTGTAATGTAGAGGGTTGTGGTGTGTGTGGTATGTTTGTGTGTGTGTGGTGTGTGAATGTGGAGGGATGTGGTGTGTGTGGTATGTTTGTGTGAGTGGTGTGTGTGAATGTGGAGGGTTGTGGTGTGTGTGGTATGTTTGTGTGAATGGTGTGTGTGAATGTGGAGGAGTGTGGTGTGTGTGGTATGTTTGTGTGTGTGTGTAGTGTGGTGTGTGTGAATGTGGAGGGGTGTGGTGTGTGTGTTATGTTTGTGTGTGTGTGTATGAATGTGGAGGGGTGTGGTGTGTGTGGTATGTTTGTGTGTGTGTGTAGTGTGGTGTGTGAATGTGGAGGGGTGTGGTGTGTGTGGTATGTTTGTATGAGTGGTGTGTGTGAATGTGGAGGAGTGTGGTGTGTGTGGTATGTTTGTGTGTGTGTGTAGTGTGGTGTGTGAGAATGTGGAGAGGTGTGGTGTGTGTGGTATGTGTGTATAGTGTGTGAATGTGAAGGGGTGTGGTGTGTGTCTGCTGTGGTACTTGTGTACTGTGTTTGCGTGTGGCATGTGTGTGAATGTGTGGGGGTGTGTATGTGAGTGACTGAGGCAGGAGGCTGACTGAGAGTAAGAACTTGGCCACCAGCACAGTCTTCATTTAAATTGAATGTTGAGGTGAGCTTGAACCACTCCCAAGCCACCCGCTTTGGCAATACCACTAACCTGGGACTTCGGACTCCAACTCCTTTTCCTTGCACCACAGTAAGCAGCTTTGCAGGGGGCGGGGGGTGAGAAGGCAGGAGGGAATGAAGGGTTCTCACCCACTTGTCTGGGCACTGCCCTCAGGGAGGAGGGTATAGTGTACTCCGCTCCTCACACTCCCAAGGCTTGCTCCCCTCGCACATACTCTTCCTGCTTCCACCCCAGGAAGGCAGGCTGCCTCCAGCAACCTGGACAGACCCAGGCAAGTCCTGGTATTCTCCCAGGCTGGAGACAGACTGAAGAGTTCAAGTCTTACTAAACAAAAGGACCTAAGTGCCTTTTTATAATAAGTTTACAATAGCTGCAGTCAACATCAAGAAATCCCAGTATAGGGTCAACTGCCCTTTCCACAGACTAGGCCCAAATCAGCAACAGAGGTTCCTCAGAGAGTCTTCTTAGCTCTGGGATTGTTATAAAGGTGATAAATTTAAGTCTTCGGTACATCTTCGGTAATATCTATAGCAATGTAATTTAATTCTTTAAAATAGAAAAGCTAAACAAAACAAACAAATAGAAGAAAACTACCCCAAGATAAAAAGATACAATCAGAGAAGACAATGAAGATGAAAAGGTACACCCTATGGGGATTAACGGTGCAGGGCCTACCACAGCAAGAGCTTTCAAATGGGACTCTGCAGGCTGGTCCTGCTGCTACTCAGTGGCTGCAGCTGAAATCCCCAGATGTGCATTACTGAGAGGACACTTGCTTTGCCCTGGTCTTTTAAACCTGTAGTCCTGAGCAAGTCCACACACTTCAAGCTATCTAAGTGGATCTCCAGTACCCACAGGTTGAGCTCAGTGACATCCTGGGAAAGGCTCGAGGTCATCGCCCCATGCAGGTTCTTGGCCAAAAGTGAGTTGTGCAGTTAACAAATGCACCCCTGACACGACAGGGCACGTGGTGATAATACGGCTCCACGGTGTCATGCTTCAGAGAATTCTAGTTTTAGTACTTCATAGTTTTGGGTGCTTCTGTGACCTTAAAACTAGAACTTTTTAAAAAAGTAAGTTTAAAAAGAAAACTTGCTGATAGAGGTGATAAGGTCAATTAGCTTTAAGTTGAATTGAATCAAACTGGCCAATATGTTCATGAAATGGATTGATTTGATAAGGTGCATGGTGTATATGCTTAATTAAATTCTAAAGATGTAGAATTTAATTAGATGCACGGGCTGATACAAGGCTATAACTGTCATCCATAACCATAGATTTCTTGTTTGGGAGTCAAAAAAGTTGAGCTGATTCACCTCCTAATAAATAAATGCTTTAAACATAAATATATAAAATATGTATGATTATGCATTTGTAGTATTAAACTATCATTTATTCATATTCTATTTATTAAGATTCATTGTAAGCTTTTCTTTGAAAAAGGGGTTCTGCAAGGATAAACAAGTAAGTAAAGGATTAGAAACGCCTGTCGAAGAGTGCCTGTCAGACTCTTGGGTATCTCAAGCTGTGAGAATTAATTACACAAGCTAAATTAGTTTGTAGAGGCCCTACGCCAAGCTTACCATACTCTGCAGAGAGGGGAACTGGGCACATCTTGGGACCCCATAGCTCTCAGAGTGCCTGCTGGACTTCAGTGACTTTGACCTGCCATAGGGGTAACTCAAATATTCAGGAAGGGCCAGGCATGGTGGCTCACGTCTGTAATCCCAGCACTTTGGGAGGCCCAGGCAGGTGGATCACTTGAGGTTAAGAGTTCGAGACCAGCCTGGCCAACATGGTGAAACCCTGTCTCTACTAAAAACACAAAAACTAGCCGGGCGTGGTGGCGCATGCCTATAATCCCAGCTACTCAAGAGGCTGAGGCAGGAGAATTGCTTGAACTCAGGAAGCAGAGGTTGCAGTGAGCTGAGATCATGCCACTGCACTCCAGCCTGGGCAATGGAGCAAGACTCCATCTCAAAAAAAAAATTCAGGAGGGAGAAGATAATCACATCACACTCAGGTTGGATGCTCAAAACTTTCGTCCTGAGTTAGCTCCTTCTTTGGTTTCAGGGCTCTCTCTCATACATGCACCCCTAATTTGTTCATTTATGGTTTCCACCTTGATACAGTTTTCCCCCCATGTGTATATATGTAGGTAGATTTCTTGCACACCCTTTCCCCCCTTTACTATAGCTTTGAATATGTGCAACTTTTTGAAATGAGCAGAGTTGTGAGAAAATGAAAATATAATCCTGGGGGGAATTGTTTGCCTAAGGAATGCTAACTACTAACCCAAGTAAATTTAAAACCTTTCTACATTTTTTCCTTCAGCCTAGGGTGATCCAGCTTTCCGGACCAAAAGGAAGCGAAAGTCATCCTAAAAAATCCACGTAAATATTTGCCACACTATAAATTGGAACTGGAATGAATCCACTTTGAAGCACACGAGTAACATTAACCTGATTGTCACATACATACTTCAAATATATTTCATTCATTTGGAATTTGTCCAATTTCCTTGCTTCAAACATCTTTTGTCAAAGTAAATTTATGCTGAGAACCAATACCAAGAGCCTGACAACCCCCTACGCAAGTGTTCTAGGGAGGCAAGAGCGCTAAGACAGAAGGGGGCGTGAGCGAAAGGGTAGACATAGAACGTGGCAGAATATAACCACTGCCGTGAGGGGCCTGTGTTCAGTTGCTGGGGTCTTAGGAGTCAGAGACAATGCCTGGCCATGGACCTGGCCACCGCTGCGGGAAGACTATAGTCTGTGATTTGAACCTTGTGGAAAGGGGAGTATTCCTAGAGGTAGAGTCGAAGGAGTAGACATTCCAGGTGGGAGTTACTGGAGACAGGAGAATACAAAGCCAACAAGAGAAGAAAGGCAAAGGCAGTACAGGCAATGGCCAGTAACCAAGCATCTATTTTAGACAAAGCATCAGGGGAAAGCCCTGGAGAAACGGGGATAAAGAGCCAGTGTCTAGTCTCTGCCTTTACTTCCAGTAAGGGGCACCATCAGAGCCCCACCCTCCCTCTCACACTCAGAAGGGGTCTGACTGGGCCCTCCTTTCCTGCCTGCCTGTCCTGGGAGAGAAGGAGAATCCTAGAGAGCCGCTTGACTTATCTTGTCTATATCCTCTGTACCAGGCACTTAGTAAATATTCAGTGTGTTCGCAAATGTTATAAAGGAGACACTTGTGGCAAAAGAGTGTGAAAGGGTGGGGATCTGGTGCCCAGGTACTGAAAGGCTTTAAGGAGGGGCACCCCAGCTCGGCACATGGAGAAGATTTCCACAAGTGTGAGTCATGTGAGAAACACTGGAACCATTTCTTTTTTTTTGAGACGGAGCCTCACTCTGTCGCCAGGCTGGAGTACAGTGGCACGATCTTGGCTCACTGCAACCTCTGCCTCCTGAGTTCAAGTGATTCTACTGCCTCAGCCTCCAGAGTAGCTGGGACTACAGGCGCGCGCCACCACGCCCAGCTAATATTTTTGTATTTTTAGTAGAGATGGAGTTTCACCACATTGGCCAGGATGGTCTCGATCTCTTGACCTCGTGATCCACCCACCTCAGCCTCCCAAAGTGTTGGGATTACAGGCGTGAGCCACCGCGCCCAGCCCCACTGGGACCATTTCTTAAAATGCTTTGAAAAAATGTGGGATTAAGATGCCTGAAATTTAGTCTGCACATGATGTAAAGCCATTAGAGGTTCTGGAGATAAAAAGAGATTTCATCAAAACGGTACATTTTTCGTGGAACAAACATTGAGCGAATGCACAGGGTGCAGTGGGGAAGAGGAGAGGCCTGGCTCATGTCCTCATAGGGCGTACCAACTACTGGTTAAGAAGTTTAGGAGGAAAGACTGGAGATGGAAGAGCTTGGAGCTGGAGAAAGTCGTTAGGAGATGCATTTAGGAAAACAGAAAGAAGGCTACCAGTGCAATGCAAAAAGAATAGGTAGGCAGGCAG
Organism: Homo sapiens; assembly: GCF_000001405.40. Classification (NCBI taxonomy): domain Eukaryota; kingdom Metazoa; phylum Chordata; class Mammalia; order Primates; family Hominidae; genus Homo; species Homo sapiens. Next base: position 106,007,741 of record NC_000006.12, on the reverse strand, counting down.
GTGACCTTGTTAGCTAACCTCAAGGGACGAATGACAGCAGGAGAACTCTTAGGTAAAGGAGAGCAAAGTCCAAATAATGTGGGAAGTTTATATATCACCTGCTTTGTTTAAAAGTCTTAAGAAATTAAAAAAATTAAAAGTACCAAGAATATTAGTTATGAATGTAACTTTCGAGTTGTCAATACCCCCATCTTTAGTTGCATGTAATTTGGAAGATGCAGTAGTAGATAATTTCACATGAATGGTCTGCTCAAATAGTATTGTAACAAAAATGACAGTTGCCTTTGTCTCAAATAATGTTTTTTTTCTTTTTGAGATGGATCTCGCTCTGTCACCCAGGCTGGAGTGCAGTGGCGCCATCTCGGCTCACTGCAACCTCCACCTCCCAGGTTCAAGCAATTCTCCTGCCTCAGCCTCCTGAGTAGCTGGGATTACAGGCACCCACCATCATACCCGGCTAATTTTTGTATTTTTAGTAGAGATGGAGTTTCACCGTGTTGGCCAGGCAAGTCTCGAACTCCTGACCTCGTGATCCGCCCTCCTCGGCCTCCCAAAGTGCTGGGATTACAGGTGTGAGCCACTGTGCCTGGCCTGTCTCAAATAATTTTGGGTTCACCAACTCCTAAAGAACATGTAGAATGGTAAGGAAGCAAACTAAGAAAAATGAGAGAGAAATCACTCAGAAGGAAGAGAAATCAAGTCAGATGTGATAGTGACCAAGCCCCAATGAAATACAATGGGGATGCTGCAGATAATAAGCATGACTTTGAGTGCAGTGTGTTGCCATGTCTTAGTACACCTTCCAAATTACACACAAGTGCCATAAACGATCACTGAGCAGAGAGTTTGAAGAGACCTTAGACATTTTTAAGCTTACTGTGATACCCCCAGCCCCAGGGTGATGAGATAACTTTGCTCTGTTGTCAAAGTAGAGAAGCCATGAGGAACATGGCTGCCTTCCAGTTCAATATTCTTTTCCCACTACAGCACCATGCCTGAGTGGAGCATGGACCAGCCAGGACACTGCCTTCACCTCAAAAAACTGGAAAGAAGGAAGTAATTTCTTCGTTATGTGTACCACCCAAACCCTGAGGATACTTTGATGGTATCTGGCAAAGGTCTTATTTTCTTCCCTCTTTTTATTTTTATCTATTTTTGGTGAGGAGATGAGGTGGAGATAACTCCTGGGAGGGTAGAGGAAAAGAGAAAGTATCTTCTACATACAAAGGGAGACGATAAAATGCTATCTGATGTTAAATGATGTTGAGAATCTCAAGCTTCAATGTAGAGTTTAGGTTCACCCCACGAGACTAATGTATTAAATTCTCATAATTGCAAGCTCATTAGATAGGGGTCTGTGGAGGAAACAGAGCTGCTTCTTTCCTTGACATATTTTCCTCCTTACTACGAAAGTAAAGTTTATACCAAAAGTCACTAATCAACAACTCAGTTGTTATCTGGAGAAGTCAGTCCTACCATCCATATAAGGGAGGAAAAAGAAAAAAGAAGTCATCCATCAGTCTTGGCTGAGTCTGCTAGAACACACGCATTAAGTGTTTACACGCAGCATGTTTGCCTCAATCTAAACAAGTTCCTGCTGTCCCCAGAATACAGCACTTTCCATGCTCAGAGGAATCGGACACCTTCGTGAGAAGGAAGTGGAGGCTGTGAGAAAGTAAGGAGCAGTTTGGATGAGGACTATCGTTGTTTTGAACTGAAAAGGCTAGAAGTGCCTCATCTAGAGTCACAAAACCAGTCTGTGACTTTACTGCAAGCCTCAGATGTCTTCTGATGCTGGAGAAATAACCTTTCTGGATCCACAGGATTATAAACTGAAAGGGATCACAAGGCTGAAGGATATCTAACCGTAAAGTTTTCTCATTTCTAACACTAAAATTATGCAAGAACATGAAGCAGAATCATCAAAATTTAAACCCATGAACTGCATGTATTTTAGTGGGGAGAGTCTTATGTATTTTCCTACAGTATAATTTTTCTTCTTCCTCATTCAGCCATCCCTTGTCAAAAAACAGGGCAGGAAATTCTTCAATTTGATACGTATATTTCCAGCCAAGCTTAGGTTAAGTGTTTTAATGATAATTCTAGCGCAATGTGTGAAAAATTGAAACTCATAGTCAAGCTTTATAAACCCAAAGTTTCGAATTGAAAGTTGCATTTTTTCCTAGTTTAAAAGGTTTTCCATATTCATTTTACTCAAAATTCAAGGAGTGCTCGTGAACAAACAGAAAATCTAAACCTGATTGATTTGGCAAGTTATTGGAAGATTTGAACAAAATAAGTTCTCTTGAAATTAAACACCTGGTTGACAGCTTCACTAATTACAGTCCACTCTACAGAGGAAGGCCAAGGCCTGTGGCCAAGCAGACAGATTAGCTACAGTTACTCAATAAGACAACTATTTAGTAGAGACAAACCCTGGGAGAGAAACCTAAGAAGTCATGTGCATATCCAAACAGGCTGCCACAGTGTAAAGAAATCCTCTTAAGTCACTTTCGGCTTCATTAGCACATGAAAATGGGGTAATTGAACATTCTTCAGCCTTCCATCAAGTGCCAAAATCAATCATTCATGGAAATTAAGTTTTGATAAGAGGTGTTTAAACACTGTCAAAGACTTCTTGAATGTGTCATTCTTTCAGCCTTAAGAAGATTGCAGCAAGCACTTAACTGTGTGAAAGAACTGGAGAATTAAAGGTATCAGACCTGTTGTAAATGTATTACATTATTAGAAGAATCATGTACTAGAAGAGGAAATCTAGCAAAGAGTTCATTGTTTCCATAAAAATATTTATTTTGGAAAGTTTTTCCCCTTTCCACAAATATATCATTTTTAACAATTGTTTTTGATAAACTGATAAGGATACATTTTTAACAAGCATCTATTCCAAGAAATGGTAGTTTTATGTTGACAATATATTTTTAATCAAGAAATGCCAAAATGTATAAAATGGAAGTGGGCATAACTTTTGATGACTCTAACATGTTAAAATGCTTTTTAATATATTCATAACAGCATGTGTCATACATACCGTTATCACCATTACTATCCCGCCTCAAAAAAAATTAATCCATATTTTGTGTTTCAAAATCCATTACACCTCCACAAGCAAAACTTACCATTTTTATCAGATAAATTATCTTCTGAACTGTAGGAAAACCAGAAAATAAGCCACTCCAAAATCACTTGGCTCTTTTGTCAAACTATATTATTTCAGCCTGTAAATATTTGCAAAGGGTCAAGAAGTCACTCAGGTTATGCTTATCTTTGGTGCCACAAATAGCAGTCTCTTAAACAATATTAGTCAATAGTTACATTCATTATTGCCAAATAAAAGGTTTCTAAACCAAGAAGCTCTGATGAAAGATTAACAATCTGTTTCAATATTCATGTTAGCATATATGTTACTGTTTTTTTTCTACCCTCAATAGCTCACATTTATCGTATCCATGGATAGATGCACACATTCCATCTCAGAAGCACCTGGGAAGTTCCCCCCAGCAGCTTTCTATCTAGATGCCTATCAAAAACTTTGTTACAATAAGAGAGTGGAGAGGTCAGGCTGCAGAGAGCCACAATAGCCCCTTTCCCTTTTCAGGTAGGTTAGCCCCCTGGGAACCTTTGATCTGATTATCAGCAAACACACACTCCCATATTTTGTACTCTCAGATATAGATTTCAGAAAAGTGGGGGAGAGCATTACCCACAAAAACAAAATGACTCTTTGCCAAACAGTCCATATACCTACACAAGGAAAGGTGACCCCTTCCTCCATCTGTCACTCCTCCACTGATTCACCACTCACTCTCCCTTTGGAGAAGGAAGCAAACTGCAATTAAAGCAACAATACTGGAATACAGGCACACAAAGCTGTTCTGCCTTGAGAACCGAGTACACTCATGTCCAAAAATAAGTAAGATCTGGACCTGGGGTGAAAGTCTGTGCTCCTTTCAGATTCTTTATATTCCAGATAAACCACCTACAAAACGTTTGATTGGAGCAATCAGACAGGAATAAAAAGCACATGCATTACTAGGAGGCCTTCTTCCTAAGTGGTCAAAAGAAACAGCTAACCAATTTTGCCTAGAGAATGGTCTGAAAATCCAACTAATCCAACTATAAAGTAAGAAAAATAGTAACAAAGACAAGGGCCAGAAGTATGTTACCAGCCCCAAATAAAAGTAATGCAGAAGCTAAAGATAATTTTTTAAAATGTCTAAGGATAGATAGTAAGGAAGCAAGGTACAGTATGCCAATGAAATGAAACTAACAGACTACAGCAGGGCACACTTAGCACCCAATAAACCTGCAGTCTGTGAGTGAAGCCTCTCCTTTCTAATCAACTCTTTCCCTTCCTTTCCCACCCTGAGGGTTAACTAAATTATTTAAAATGTCCTGAATGTATGAAGCATGACACACAGTAGTCAGTATCTGATGACCTGCCAGGGAAGATCCTGATTTGTGTTTATAGTCCTGGTATAATTGTCCCTAATGCCCCCTTTCAGTCTCAAAAGTGTCCTGCTTTGGACAATACATTATACTGACACTTTATTCATAATATGCATGCTTATGTATGATGAGTGAATGAATCAATGAGCAATTATCTTAAATTCCAAATCTCTGTTCCTATGTATGTCTGTAAAGGTATTCTCTGACTAGGTATATCTTGGTCTTTCTTAACTTGGAATAAATCAACTTACAAAAAAGAAAAAGAACAAAAATAATCACAAACTAATAACATTGCATTATAATAAAGTAAAAATTCCTAAATTCCATAACATGTAATCCTGCTGAATGCTCCAAAAGAGAATGGCCAACTCTATTCCTCCTCTCTTGGCCACACACAGTTGAGGAAGCTGGTCAAGTGAAGCTCAGAACAGAAAAGGATGAAAAATTGAGAAAAATCAGGACCTTGAACGAGCAACCACACTCTCTATAGGTAAACACAGAGTATCTAGGGCCAATCCTTGATAAGTTATAACACGGAATGAATAGAATGCCTCAAATATCATTTTTTCTTCTAGTGGGCAAAGACAATAAGTAAGAAAATAAATCTCAAAATATTTATAAAACAACTATGATGTCAAGTCACATTTGATGAGGATAATAAAAAATATTTTCTAAGTTTGTATAAAGCAGAATACATTTTAAAAACCTTAAGAGTTAGATATCTTTGTACATTTTAACATTAAAATTCATTTCTAATATTAGATGCCTTAAGGACGAAAGAATCCAAAATAAATTTCCAATTAAATAAAACTATGACAATCCTTTTAATCGCTCCCCAAAATAAACATACTATGAAATCCCTTATCATCACCCATAGCCACCATTATCTAACCATGTCCCAGCAACATCAACAAAGTAAATGTTTATAAGCAATTCTCTCAGAAGTTAAACATTAAATTAAAAAATTAAAACACCACTAAGAACCTTGTGATGACCTGAAGGCATTTTAAGAGCAGCAAGGGTTAGAAGGGCAGCTCTCAAGTAACACCCATTGTTCTACCTCTGCTTAATGACAAAAGGAGAAAAGAAAGCGATTACCTGGCCTTACCTCTACATCTCAATTCAAATGCTACTTAAGAAAACAAAAAATCTCATTTTTTTTTTGCAACCCAACACTTCAGCTTAGTCAAGCTCCAATTTTTTTTTTTAATCTAAACTTCTCCAACTTTGTTCATGCACTGAAATTCAGGACAGCCAAATTCAACAGCAGGTTTCAAATTAGTTTGGTATCAACCACATACTGCATTTCAGTGAAGATCCAACAATTAAATAGAGAAACCATTAAATATTTCCAGTTTCAGATCTACAAAAAGTTATTGTGGATATTAGCTCAAAAATACTTTTTATAATGTTTTCCCACTTTTTAAAAAGTATATCTACTGACCCTACAATCCATACAGGAGAGCAAAACACCAAGAATAACCAAGACAATTTTGAAAAACACAATTGGGAACTCACTCTATCAGATATCAAGACATACAGCAATGTTCTCCAGTGTAATGGAACAGGGATAGTGGAACAAATACAAATAGACCAATGACAAGAAAAGAGACATACACAAGTATACATAAAACTGATACATGATAGAGATGGCATTTTAAAAGTGCAAGGAAAGGATGGGCTACTTAACAAAAGGTGCCTGGATACTTAGTTATCCACTTGGTAGAGTAAAACAGCTTTCTATCTCATAACAACAACAATACATTTTAGGTAAGTTAAAGACTCAACAAAATTTTATGAAGCTTTTAGAAGAATATATGGGTAACTATATCTATAACTTTTAGATGAGAATTTCTTAAAAGACAAAACGATAAACTCTACAAGATGAATACATTTCATTGTATTAAAAACATTCTGCATTTTTAAGACACCATAAACAACGCAAGGCTAAACCAAAGATTTAGGAAAATATTTTTACAGCAAACATACCAGTAAGGAATTAGAATCCACACTAGACACAGAATAATAAATTATTAATGAAAACAAATCTCCCCAAATAAAAAATGAGCAAAGGATAAGAACAAGCAATTCACAGCAGAGGAAAACCAGGTGTCCAACAGTGAAAAGATGCTCAATTTCACTAGGTCAGGAAAACATAATTTAAAAATGAGTCACCATCTTAGATCCAGCTGAAGTGGAAAAGTATTTGAATGTCAGACCTTATCAAAGTGTTGGTGACAATATACTTGCAAAAGGAACACTCACATGAAGCTATAATAGTATCGGTGTAAATTAATGCAACCACTCTGAAAATCAATTTAGTGATATTTATCAAAGTTGATAATATTCATATCCTGTGACCCCACAATTCCATTTCTATGTGGTATCCTAGAAAGACAATTATACCTGTGTACAGGGAGATATGTATGAGAAGTTCACAACAGCCTCATTTGAAATAGTGAACATTATAAAATAGATAAATTAATAATGGCATGTCCATTAACTTCTACAGTACTGATAATGGAATGAAACAAAGCAACATATATCAGTATGAATATATCTCAGAAAAACATAATGCTTAGTTAAAAAGAACACGTGTATGATGATACTATTTATGTCAGCTTTCTTTAATAAGACAAACATTACTATACATACAAATATAAAAGTCTGTACATACATGGAAATTACATACATGGAAAACATACATGGAAATAACCTTGGTGAGGGAGGGAGGGAGGGAAAAGAGATGGAAAGAGTATATAGGAGGCTTTAACATTTAAAAATGTACGTATTTTAATTTTTTATTTTATTTTTTAAAGATGGAGTCTCACTGTGTTGCCCAGGCTGGAGTGAAGTGGCTATCCAAAGGCACTATCATAGCTCACAGCAGCCTTGAACCTCTGGCTTCAAGCGATCCTCCTACCTCAGCCTCTGCCTCAGCCTTGAGAGTAGCTGGGACTACAGGTGTGCACCACTGCCCCTGGCTTGTATATATTTTTTAAAGATGAGTTAAAGATAGCTTTGAAATGTCTTGGAGATAGGTACACAGAAATAAGTATATTGGAGATAGGTGTTGGTTTATAATATTCTCTATAGTTTTTTGGTATAGTTGAAATACATAGATAATGCCAGGCGCGGTGGCTCACGCCTGTAATCCCAGCACTTTGGGAGGCCAAGGCGGGCAGATCACGAGCTCAGGAGATCGAGACCATCCTGGCTAACACGGTGAAACCTCATCTCTATTAAAAATATAAAAAATTAGCCAGGCGTGGTGGCAGGCGCCTGTAGTCCCAGCTACTTGGGAGGCTGAGGAGAATGGCGTGAACCCAGGAGGCGGAGCTTGCAGTGAGCCGAGATGGCGCCACTGCACTCCAGCCTGGGCGACAGAGCAAGACTCCGTCTCAAAAAAAAAGAAACACATAGATAAAGGAAGGTCACATACTTTGCCCTTTAAAAATAACTTAAAATACTCTGAAATTCTTGGATTTAAGTTGGATATTTTTGCAAATATCATTTAATCTCAATAACTTATATTTAACCCATAAAGAAATTGAGGCCCTGCACGCCAAAGGTTACATGAGCTTGTTGGTAAACACTAGGTCTAAGTTTATTTCTACTGCAGTCATGGTCCTGAGCCAGTGCAAGGAGGGCATGGAATTGGAAGGTAGCTTAGGTACACCTGAGCCCATCACGATGACACTTGAGTCTGAGAGGACTTAGTGTAAGGCAAGTAACACAGCAGTGGCAACACACATAATCAAAGTCCACAGGAGGAGTGCCCCTGGCTGAACAACAACAACAAAAAAAGCAAAAAACATGTCACTTTTGTATACAAATTTTGTTCTAATTGGTCACAATGTGTTTTCTAATTTTTTTTTTTTGTAGACATGGGGGTCTTGCTATATTGCCCAGGCTGGTCTCAAACTCCTGGCCTCAAGTGATCCTCCCACCTTGCCTCCCAAAGTGCTGGAATTACAAGTGTGAGCCACTGCTGCCCAACCCCCTGTTTTCTAAATTTTATGAAAAAACATATTTGGGCTGGGCGTGGTGGCTCATGCCTGTATTACCAGCACTTTGGGAAGCCAAGACAAAAGGATCACTTGAGCCCAGGAGTTTGAGACCAACCTGGGCAACATAGTGAGCTCCCATCTCTATAAAAATTAAACAAAATTAGCTGGGTATGGTGGCACATGCCTGTGGTCCCAGCTACTTGGGAGGCTGAGGTGGGAGGATTGCTTGAGCCTAGGAGGTTGAGGCTGCAATAAACCGAGATTATGCCATTGAACTCCAACCTGAGTGACAGAGTGAGATCTTGTCTCAAAAGAAAAAAAAAAAAAAAAATATATATATATATATATATATATATATATATATATATATATATGTATTAACTTTTAAAAATCCCAATGCAAAACAATAGCCAGGTTGATTATAGTAACCCAGTAAGGGAAGATGGATATTACCAGCCTGGCAGAGGCAGAACTATAAATGGTAAAAATAGTTTTCTTTTGATGAAAGTTGACTAACAGTCCTTGGGCAGACAAAGAAAAGATGTGAAATGAACAAATGAAATACTGGGAATTCATGTCATTTTATTTTAAATTAGGTGGACTAGCTTCCCGAAGTCTGACTGAAGAAAAAACTTTTTGAAACTGGTAATCCTAGGAGAAGCAAAAATCTAAATAAAGTAAAATTAACTGTCATGTGTATAGAAAGAAACCAAGTATATTCATTTGACTTATGGGTTTATTTACAGTATAAACTTCCTATCAAGCAAAACGTTGCACCTTATATATTAATTTATGTTAGAGACAGAAATGTCAAATGTAAAATGTTCTAAAAAGTTTTTTCAAGTATGTCTTATATTTAAAGTATTCCCTTTTTTTTAGGAGATGGGGTCTCGCTATGTTGTCCAGGCTGGCTTTGAACTCCTAGGCTCAAACAATCCTCCTGCTTCAGCCTCCCAAGTAGCTGGGACTACAGACACGTGCCACTTCTCACAGCTTAAAGTATCCTTTCAATTAAGAAATTGAAAAAACGTTAATATTTTGCCACAAGCTTTCAGCTCGATGGACCCAGAACACAATATACAGATATTTCAAATGTGAAATGCTGTGAAAGGCAGCAATGTTTATCTATAAGAGCAAACTTAAAAAAACCACAACCAGAAGTAAATTAAATTTGTAATAAAAATACTTAAAATTCATTTATTCAAACTCCCTGCACTTTGTTTAACATAAAATAGAAACCAACTAAACATACACAGTTTTCTAATAGAATATTTCTAAACTCAACCAGTTTACTTTTTAATTCTGCTTGAGCATACAGTATTAAGGTACATTTTTGAAGGGCAAGAAACCATCATATTTAAAACTTCACTATTGAACAATAAAATACTACTGAAATAGAAAGTATAGTTCCTTTTTTCAGACCATAATCTAGAAGCTCTCATCCAAATGCCCATTACAAAGTCCATAGATCTCTTCTTTTGTTTTCCAGCATTTTCTGCTACTTTGTAATGCCTCCGATGATTTTATAATTTCCAATGGGTAAAGAAATGTTTCAAAATCCCTTTTACAAATATGGAGAATACGAGCTTTATGAGGGTAACCCCTCCAACCTACTTCCCTTAAAAAAGGCATATAAGTGAGTTGACAGCAAAACTCAGGGAACCTCTGGTACTAAGGTGTCATCACCGCTAACCCGTTAAGGAGACAAGACTAGGCAGATTCCCAAATGAGACTGAAGCAAATGCAGTTGAGAAATGTCATTAATGTTAATGAAGAACAAACAAACAATTTTTTTAAAGAAAGGACTAAAATTCTACTATTAACGAAGCAAATATCCTAGTATTTAAAAAGAGAGAACGAACTGAGAAAAATGATTTTTTTAACAATTATAATCCTGGCCCAGACTTTCAGGCCTTCCATGACACACGAAGAAGCTCTAGAACAATTGAGACAGCTAGGAAAAACTACTTAGCACAATATAAAAAAAAATCATTCAACAGAGATTCTATTAAAAGGTAGAAAAGAAAAGAAAGCCTTATGAAACTGCTATGAAAAGAAGTTGCAGCCCCATCCCAGTGTCTTAGGCTTATTGGTAAGGCCCATTCATTTGGACGGCTGAGTTACTGGTCTTCCACTTTTTACCCCTGTCCTTACAGTATGTGCTCAATACACATTTGTCATTTAAATTATATTGGCCATCTAGAATTTTTTTACTGCTCAGAATTCCAGCAGCCTGTCAGTGTGTAGTCCAGGGCAGATAAGTGAAAGAATCCTAGTCATTAAAGAAGCTGAAAAATAAGTAGTAGCTTTTGCAAGTCCAGCCTTTGTTTTCTTATTTATTTCAATGTGGCAAACCAAAATCGTGGTGATGTGCCTCCACGCCAGGAGACAGTCAATTTGGCGGAAATCACATTTAATTTGTGTCAGAAACATAGGATTCTACTAGCCCTCTGTCAAAAGATGTAACATCAGCCCTATCTACCCTTCACCCTCAAATAGATATAGAATCCCAAGAAGACAGACCTCACTTTGTAATGTTCTCTCTTGGCACTTTAAAAAAACTTTTATTTAAAATAGCCATAAAGATCCACTAAAGGATGACAGGTTATTTGCACAGAGGCTGCAGCTTGTTCAAAACCAAATAGATTTCAAAATATGGCATATATTAAAATGCAGTCCAAACTATAAGATGTTTTGGCAGCAGAGGAGTTGAATGCTATAGAAAACGTATTAACTTCCCCCTCTTTCCAATGTGTAGGAAACAGGTAACTTACAATGACAAATCTTCAAATCTTCAACACACCATATAGAGTTTAGAAGTCATGATGCCATGCCAAGAATTAAGAACTGGATATATTAGAGCATCCCACTCAATATTTTGTCTTAACATTGTATATTCAATTTAAAAATGATTAATTGTTAATTAATTTTTACTACACCAAGCAGAACCAGTGGCTACCACATTTATCTGACAATTATAGATAATTTGATCTTTGTGCTTATATTTCAGGGTACTGGAAGTTTGACAACACCGATTCAGATTAAATTATACATATTTGAAAGCTATATTTAGATGAAGAGTTGCTTAAGCATATTCTTTATAAGACTTAGTTTATGAGAAAAGTTATGTGATCTGATCAGGAATATGTTATATTTTAAGGATTTCACCTCATCTGGCTGACTTTTAAAAATCAGGAAATATTTTTAAAGTAGAATTTCTAAGATCAGAAAGAAATCAAGTTTGAAAAAAGAGGTTTTGGAGTGAGAGAGAAGGGTCATATCCTACTTAAGGCTTTTCCAACACAGAGCAAGGAAATGGTGCCACTATAAGATCTGGAACAAATGTTTTCCTACATTTTTGAACCACAGTGTTTAAAAGCATCGTATTTTAATTTCAGGCCTTACAAACTAAAGATTGTCCCCGAAAATTAGTTACACTTATTATTTTGGATCAGAGTTTGTGGCTGACAACATCTGTTAGAAACTTCATTGTGCCTCCTAATTAAAGAACCAAGTCTAGCTGACTGATTAAAAAAAAAAAACTTTCATTCAAAGGACAATGTAATACTGTGAAAATAACTAAATAATTTTCCTCCATAAATATTCTCCCTGGGAGAAAGAGGCTTTCAGTGGGAGCATAAGTTCTCAATCGTCTGTGTAATGTATCTAGTGTACATTTTATTATTTTTCCCATTTACTGTGTCTTTTCTATTACGTTACAGCTGAAGGTTTTACTTAACCAATTCTCTTCTGAAACGCTCTTCCTCTATCCTACACTATGGTAGCTTCAGCAATGACTGCCAAGTAAAACACCTTTTCCTTTTGTTTCCTCCCTTCCGCTTTGAAATTTTGTTATCCGTTTCTGTAGACATCAGTATATTTAAAACTTTAAAAAACACTTTTCCTAGAAGGTTCTGTTAAAAGGTAGAAAAGAAAAGAAAAAAAGCCTTATGAGAACGTCCCCCAGAGTGCCCAGAGGGCTGCACGAACATGCCCAGCCTAGTTATGAAAGATCATTGATCCCAAAGGGAACGTGACAACGCCGGGTAGGTGCCCTGAGCTGGCACCTGCCCCGACCCTCTTCCGTGCAAGCCTAACCTATGCACTTGTCACGAACCGAAGACCTAAAAGAAGGCAAGGGAATGGGGAGGAGGATGAGGCTGGCCAAAAGCTCGCATTGTCACTCCGGAGCTTTTGCGCTTGACTCATCTCTCTGGCTTTCAAAACCGGGAAGTGCGCGGCTGCGACGGCGTCGGGCAGCGTGCTCGGCGGAGAAAACGCGCGCTCTAATCCTCTCGACCAGAGGCTTTCCTCTGTCTCCGCCAAAAAACTCAAGCCCTCCGCAAGCCGGGAGGCTCCCGCGACAAGCGCGCCGTCCCCGGACCCGGTCGGACCGCGTGGCCGGGCTCGCATTCCCGACGCGGCGGGACTGGAGGGCTGACAAACTGTTTTCGGTTTGCACACCCAGCCATCCCCGCCGCGGAATCTGCTCCAAGAAGATGTCGTTAGGAAGTTACGGGCAGGACTGATGCTTTGACCGCAGGAGGATCCGGGCAAAGATTTATCTGGAAGTTTGTCTTGCACAACCCACTTCTGGAGTCCCGCGACACTCCAGACAAAAGGACGGGCTCTAAACCTATCTCGAGAGTCCTCTGGACCTGCTGTTAGGACCCTAGTTCTCCTCACCTCGTCCAAATGAACTCAGCATTCGGAAACTTCTCGTCCCCACCTCCATCCCCCACCCCGTTTTTGGTGAGCGACTTTTTAAAAGGGGGCTCGAGCTCGGAGAACAAGAAACGTAATAGAAAAGCTATCCCCGCGCTGTCACGCGTCCCCGCTCGTCTTCCAGCGGAAGCGTCGCTGTAGGGTGGCAGTGGTGTATTTTTTTTTTTTAATTACGCAATTTAGGCGAATGCAGTCCAATCCAGAGCCGCTAGCTGTGTACGCGCTGAGCTTGGTAGAGTTCACCGTGGAATTTGCTTTTCCAACAACGACCCCGGGGGAGAGCCCGGGCCTCTTTAGGCGGCGTCTTACCTCGCCCCTCGCCTCCCGGCGTCTTCGGCGACCGCTCAGTAGATGCGGCGTCCCCAGCGCGGCACCCGAGCCCAGCCCAGCAGCGCGGGCTCTTCGCCTCCCTCTCCACCGTCCCCGCGCTTTTTAAAACTTTGGGCGCAGCTTTTGAGTGACTGTCCAGGAATCAGTGCTCCTGCCCCACTTCAACTAGCGTACAAATAAATACCTTACCCCCGTTCACGTTTCATAAATTAGGAAAAGACATCCAGCTTACATTCCCCCAAATTAGCTGTATCCGACTCTGCAATTCATTTACCCTTCCAAGTTGGTGACACGAAATTCTATTCTCCAAACAAACCGTAATGATCAATCCAACGTCCCTTTCTACTCCGTTTTAAAAGACTGAAGAATTAATGCCAGAGGAGAGCTATCAACACTGCCGGAGATTACAGATTAAGCGATATCAGAGCCCCATACCACCACTCTTTTACTATCCCTCATTCTGGGCGTGATCCCTCTTCACTAAAATCCTAGCCCAAATGTATTTTGTCCCCTACCCTTGATTCTTTGAAAATCTGTTTCCTAAAATAGTAAACGTAACGTTTTAAAGACCTTCTAACGTCACCCTCCTCATTGCAGTCCTAAGCGGCACACCAGCGCAGCTCAGCCCGCTCCTGAAGACTTCGAAGCAGGAAACCCAGCAATCTTCCAAGTGGCACCTTCCCTGCTGGCCTAGATGAACCTAGAAAGCAAGCAACTTCAATGAATGCAAACTAAGCTTTCCCGAGGAGAAACGTCAAAGCAGCTACAATCAGTCTCTGATTACACAAACATACCTAGGGGCAGGTTGGAGTAAGGAGGGCTTTAGGGGTGGGGGTTGCCTACCCAGAGGTGGCTTAAACCAGTTCTCCTATTGTTACTGAGTTTAGGAAAGCTAGCTTTTGTTTCGTGGTGGATTTTGGGGATCAAACCCGAGATGCCAGCTAAACATCCCTGAAGTCTTTGTAAGAGAACCTAACCCAAAGTTAGGACTTCAGTTCCTTTAAATTAAGATACTGAGTTATGCATAATTAACGATTCCAGTAGAGAAACAATGCAGAATTATTTTGAAATATTGTAAAAGGAGGGTCGACATGTGCGTCTATCTGCCCAGTTTTGCGAGAGCTAAATGCCACTCACGGGCCCCCTCTACCAAACCGGGAAGAGTGGCGACAGCGGGACTCCTTAGGTCATGTCTTGGGACCCAAAGGTTTCGGACTCCCTCCAACCATCCTTTTGGAGGAAGGAGGCTTACAGCTCTAACTCCCTCCCCAGCAAACAAACCAGAGAGAACTGAGGCCCTATCTTTCCTGGGCCCATCTGGAGACACACGCCTAGAAAGCAAAGCTCTTTCCCGCCTACCTAGTAGGTAGCGGTTGACGAGTGATTGTGCACAGTGTCCAGGAACTCCCAGGCTAAGGGACGTCCAGCTCTCGAGGTTTACAGGCAAGGGGGACCTGAAGTGGAGGGAGGTGCATTGTTTCCACATGGCGTTTAGGTGGTAACAGCCCAAAATATAGCTTTCATTGAGAGAGAAGAGCTACCCAGGCCCAGCTCTGCGCGCGGCGAGGGCCCGCTGGGATTGGGCGGACGCGCGTCACGTGACCGGGCGCCGTGCCCTGGAGCCCCGCCCCTCCCTGGCGCTCACTCGGCGGTGCTGCAGCAGCCGGGATTAGTCCCACTTTCACTTTCTGCACTGGGGCTTCACACCTGAGTGATATTGTTTTGTTTTCTTTTGTTTTTTGTTTTGTTTGATTTTGAGATGGCCAGTACAAAAAAGAGGCAGTCCAAAGAAAAAGAGCTCCATGCGTTTCTGGAAGGGGGTGATGAGCCGGGGAGGTCGGACGGGGGCTGTTCAGGGTCCGCGCTCCCGGGAGGACGAGGACCCGGAAAGCAGGTGTTTTCCCCATTGCAAGGGCAACACTGAGCTCGCGCGTCCACAAAACGTTCTGCGAAATTGTAAGGGCCTCCAGCATCACAACCAAAAGTAGAAAGTAGTAGGGGCTTCACCCTCCGAGCGCTGACGTGGTGATTTGTTTCTGAAGAAGGACTTGCTCCAGGTAGTTTATTAGGGTAGCGAGAGCGAAGGGCCACCAAAGCTGGCTTGTCATCCAACCTAGGAAACGGCACTCGCTGAAAAAACAAACTCACGATGGCTTCCGTCTCACCTCTAACCTGTGGGGGACTGGACTGGACTCAGTTCAGTACGAGTGCAGGGAGAGGGCTGCGCGCCAGCTCTGGATGAGCCCAGCCAGCGGTCCTATGTCTGTACCTGTCCTTATCGCTTATCACTAACCGCCCTTATCAGTCATTATCGCGGCTGGTCACTGACTAAAACATTCTTCCATAGTCCTAAATAAGTTCACCTATAGAAAGAAACCATTCCAGATCACTAACATGAGCTTGGCCCATTCATTTGTTCTTACATTTATATAACAGTGTTATTTTACATGTTGCACATTTTCCAGTGCCTGACTTACTAGGTTCTGAAGCACAGCAGCAACCTGTGAACCAGTCAGGCTCTTTTGCCTACGGTGACCTTCAAGTGTCCATCTGTAACAAGTCAGGGCAAGTTGCAATAAATAATTGGATCTTTGAAAGGAAAAAAAATGGTTTGTTTTCTCCTCTCTAAAAAGATTTCTCCAACACCTGAAAACTTTTAGCAAGTTGCTCAAACTTTAAGACTTCTGGGATTTTTTGTTTTTTTTTTTTGTTGTTGTTGTTTATTTGTTATTTGTACACTTCAGAGGGTAAGAAGAAACCAGGTAAAGTGTTGACAGTTGCCTAGCACAATGACTGGTACAAAGTAAATGCTCGATAAATTATTATTGTTAAAGTTAAACAAGTTATGCTTCCTCCTGTGTGTAGTTTTAAGTGACAATATAGTATTGTCCATTCTTCCATGCTTTATTTTTATATACAGGTTTGATTAGGGAGAAGGGAAAGCTTATAAAGCAATTTGCTTCAATCTTTGGTCGTGATAGTAACTTCCACTAACTAATTACACATCATTTTGAAAGTATTTCCTCAAATTTGTTTTGAATATATAATATGGCCTTTGAATTTCCTTAACTTCTCCCTTATACTTTTACAAAATGAAAGGGTATGGTCTTATCCCACTAGCTATTTCACAAGCAAACATGGTAACTCTTTTGGGGGAAGAGATTATTATTTTCTCTGGGAAGTTAGCTGAAAATCTACCAAAAAGTGCAGTCCAGAATAAGAATTAATTAAATAACCAAAAAGATCATTTTTGTTTTGCTATCTGGAAAAAAATGACATAGAATAGATATGTAAAATGTTAATTTTAAAATATAGCTGTTTTTTAATTCCTGCTTTTGGAAGCCAATTTGGATGGTTGAAATGAAAGTTGTTTTCCCTTTAAAATTAATATAATTATCACTAGGTCACCTAGAAAGAATATCTCTGGTCTAAACTTCTCTTCTGTGCTCCAAATTCCCTCTTTCACAAATGACAAAGAAACCGCTTGGATATATATGGAGCTAAACTCATCACCTCTCCTACCATTCTCCCTTTGGACATTCTAGATCTTACTTAGTTCAACCTCCCAGTCATCCATACTACAAACCTGGAAGCCATGCTCGAATCTTCTCTTTTTCTGCCCTCCACTTTAAGTCAGTTATCAAGTCCTGCCTGATTTAAACTCCTAATTGTGCCTCAGATATGCCCCTTCCCTTCCTTTCTAATTCCTGCTGCTCCAGTCTAGGCCTTCCTTGTCTTGCTCCCTGGCTCCCTTGCTGCAGCAGCCTCTTCACTGTAAGCCTCTGCCATTATCATTTCCTTCCAGTCCTTTGTTGAGTGACTTATCTGAAAAGCAGATCTGGACATGCCACTCACCTTTATAGGCTTCCTATTACTTACCAGATAAAAATCTAAGCTCTTTACCACCATTCTAAGGCTCTGTACCTCTCTCTGGCTTTGCCTTTCTCTCCTTCCTGCCCTGACTTCACATTCTAGCCACACTTCATTCATTCATTCTACACCACTGTGTGCTAGCTACTGTCCTAGCCACTTGGGATGTCTCAGGGAAAAAAAAGCTAAGATCTTTGCCCTTGTGGAGCTTATGTTATGGGAAGGATCACATCAGTAAACAATAAACATAAGTAAGCACAATTGATAGGACGAGGGAGGGTAATTCTAGATAGGTTGGTCAGGGTTGGCTTTATTGAAAAGGTGACTTTTGAGCAAAGATGCAAAAGATGAGGCAGTGAGCTATGTGAAGAAACAGAGGAAAAATATCTACACCGAGGGGACAGCCCGTGCATATCCCTGAGGTAGGAGCGTGCTTAGCATACCCAGGAGAGGCAAAAAGAGAGCAGGGAGAATGACAAGAGATGAGGGCAGAGAGACAACAGGGGAGTGTGCCTTTGGACAGGCCCTCATTAGCCATTGTATTAAGTTGGAGACTTTGTATTTAATGGGAAGCCAACTGCTTGTGGTGGTCACACTCTCCCCTACAAGTTGTGTTGTTCAGCCCTATGGTCTTTAAAGACGTGCTGCTTTTCTTTGTATTGCATCCCTCTCTGCAGCTGAGTTTCTGCTCCCATAGCTCCTTGTGATTATCTCTGTTATTGTAGTTGCCATATTACTTAAGAATCTTACATCTTGAGGGAGGATTTTGGTTTATTTTTGTATCCCCAGTGCCTATAGCAAGCCCTCAAAAGCTTAGTGAATGAATGGTAATGTTTGTTTGTAGAGTACCTCCAAATATCAGGCGTATATGTTTATTAATTCTTAAAACAACCCTACAAGGGAGCTCTGTTGTACCTATTTTACAGAAGAGGAAATGAAGTTCAGAGAGGTTAAGTAACTTATCCCAAGTCACACAGCTGGTAAATAACGGAGCTGGGTTTCAAACTCAGCTGTCTGGCCAGTTGCTACCCTGCACTATTCACTAATGAGACTTCCTCACTAGATTGAATAAACGAGATGGAAGGAATTTATCTCTGGTTGTTTCTTGCCCTTGGCTTCTTTGTGCTTAAAAAAAACCCCACTTATCATTTCTCCTAGGTCTATTCATTAATTCATGAAACATTTAATAAATACCTACTGTATGCCATGTACATCGAATACATTGCTGAGCAAAACAGATCTATTCCCTTCCCTAGTGGAATTTATACCATAACAGGGAAGATCCAGAACTGTATAAGCAAGGGCAGTAAAGTGCAGTCATTGCTCTGATGGGGGAAGTACAAAGGGCTGCTGAGCTGTATACCATTATAACAGTAGCGCCAAATTCAGCCTGAGAAGGCCATATGGTTGACAGCATCTGTCCTGGAGGAAGATAATTCCAAGTGGAATGTGCCATTGGTCCTAGAATACTGAAATTCAGAAAGTGAAGTTATAGTTGTGAATGAAAGAATCCCCTATGAACTTGTATAAGGTAGTAGGTATTATATAAACTTGTAAAGAATCTTGTTCTATCTTTGCTCTATTCATTTTTTTCAAATTTGGCTAATGTTAGTGCCATTTTTCCAAATCTGATTACAATCTTTATGTGTTTATAAAGCATAAACTTTTTAACCACTGTTTTTAAATTTTTATTTGATAAGTTATTTGTCCTATTTATTTGCAAAGAGAGAATGCAATGCATCTGTTTTAGTAGGTAAGACATTCCAAAACTATGAAATCTGAGGGCTTATTCAAATTATTTTGTTCCACTGGAATTTGGTGGTATATTGCATCATTGGCTGGAGTTTGGTAACTTGTTACAGAATGTATTTTTTTTATTATGCTGATGGGAATGAAATTTAATGTTTGCTCACTTTTAATTAGTGCTCAATGGAAGAAATAGCCCAGGAAACCATGAAAGGTGGTGTGACTGAGACAGGAAGAAGCCAGGCTGGAAAACCAGAGACCCATATTCAGAAAGTAGCATTTTAGTGCTTTCTAGCTGGTGGAAAATTAATAGGTTGTTCTCTACAGATTTCCCCTGTTTTTCAAGTGGGAATATTGTATTTGCTACCATAATAACTCTAATATATGACCTGATTTTCAAAATTAAAAATTTAAGCATGAAAATAGTTACTCAGACTTGAAACTGGTGGTGGCAACAGAGCAGTTGTTTTTAATAAGAAAATGATGGCGAAGATCAAAGAAGAGCAGGATCAGGATGTGGGAGTGAGTCTCTTTATTGTAAACTGCTTTGGAGGGAGGTGAGAGATGGAGATTAGAGATGATGAAGACCTTTCCTTTTGGTTTCTCTGATCTAGCCATGGATGATGAGAGTCCCTCTGGATGAGCGTCAAAGAAAAGACATGGTTAAATGGGTAATAAAAAAAAAATCAATGGCCCATAAATGCTAAGTGTTTTAAGTTTAAAATTTTCCCTCAAAAAAAAAAAAAAGTTTAGCTATTCAGTTATTGTCTACAGCTTGTAAAACACAAGTTTCCCTAATGGAGCAAGTCCAGCAAGTCTTGGTTGTAGAAAGAGATAGGACTATCATGAGAATTCAAAGACTCCTGGCAAATATATGTTTTAAGGTTTTAAGAAGTTCCCCAGAGGAGAAAATATGCTGAAAAAAAAAATAGTCATAAAGTGCTTTTTTATGTTAAGAACAAAAAGACAGGAAATGTTTTTTCCCCAAATATTGTTGCATTTTCTCCATCTGGTGAAATAAAATAAGACAGATATGTTATTCTCCACTGTTACACAAAAACACCAGCAGCAGGCCGGTTAGATAGTGGATAGCTGCTGTCCCTGGTGCACTAGGTATATCATTACTGTCCCCCCACCCCACATAAACAAAACAAAAGAAAACAAAACATCCAGAGTATGTACTGCTTCTCTGAGGCCATCAAAAGTTCTTGGCATATAACATAGAAATTTCTTGGTTAATAGAATAACAAAATACAAAACTGTCATCATTACGTCTAAGGAAACCTTCCCTGTTTGCTAACTTCCTTCCAAAACATTTTTGCCCTAATTACATTTTTGTTGGTGGTTTGGAGAGGCCAGGACAACCCAAGGGGATGATTTCATTCTAATTGCATCTTTCCTTTCCCAGGAGGTCTGTGTCCTTTCATATCCACCAAACTCACTTGATCCCTTGATTAACTGTTGTCCACTTGTTACTGAGAAGAAACAACAATCCAAACAAGCTCTGTGAGATTGACTTGATTTTTTTTCCCTGCTGAGATCACAAAACTTGTATGCCAGTTCTTATCCAGGGCTCCAGGTGTGATAGGGGAAGGGTGTGTGTGTGTGTGTGTGTGTGTGTGTGTGTGTGTCTGTGTGTGTGTGTGTATGACTGTGTGTGGTGTGTGTGTGTGTGTGTGTGTGTAGTGGAAGGTATTACTAGAACGCAGAACATGTATCCCAAAGTGTGCTTTCGGGGGGCTACTTTCCATAGTTTGTACCCAATTTTAAAGAGATTAATGACCCTCAAATTGTTAAGATCCACTCCCCATAACATCCAGGTTAATTCCTCCATTGTTGCCAGACGTGGGTTCTTGCTAGGCCAGGGTTGCTGGAATGCATTGAAAAGTCGTTTTAATGAATTTCTGCAATAATCTATGATCTCCCCAGCAACTGCCCTCGGGATGTCATCCGCAGGCTCTGGCAACAGTGTCCAAATGCAACGTCCTTCTGAGCTGACCCCATGTAGCCGCGTCCGGGGCGAGCAAAAGCAGGACCTCGGTCCGCAGAATGCACTCTCCAGATCACACAGCGCCCGACGCGGTCTTCCTGGGGTGGCCTGTGTACTGGAAAACGGGGCCCCATTTTCCCCCAGAAATCTGAGGGATTGCTGTAGAGGGAAAAAGGGAATTCGTCTCTTAAAAAACATCATAAAAGAAAGGGCGCCTTTCCCCAGGGCATTTACGCGGGTGGGCAGAAGCCGCGCGTGTGCCCGAGACTTGCAGACTAGAGTCAGGCAGGCAGGTCCTTCCGTGCCTCCGGACTAGAGACCCCGCGTCCAGGCAGCAGCATAGTCACGCAACGCATCTTCGGCCTCAGAGCTCGTCCAGGAAGGACTGCGGCCCAGAGGACTCAGCTCCGGCGGGAGAGGAAGCGCTCTGGTCGCTCCTCCTCGCTTCGCTTGCGGTTAGGAGAAGGTGCTTGCCTGAGTCCGGAGACCCGGCGCCCTGCCCAGGCCCCAGGACAGACCCACCATTGAGGCTCGCACTATATTCGGTAGGAGGGTTTCCCTCCCTTAAGGGCAAGATGAATTGACAGCGTTCACTCCTGGCCGGCGATGCCACTACCATCTTTGGATCCATTAATTCTTTCTCTGAGCCCCCGTTTTGTACCGGCATGGCACTGGAGATGTGAAGCGTCTATGTAGATAGGACAGTGTGTGGACCTAGGTGAAGTGCTGGGGAAAGTCCTGAGTAGGAGGAACCAGCAAAAGAGCGAGTTTTATGGGCTCTTTTCTCTCACTGATCCAAGATTACTACTCCCTAAGGGAGTGTTAGCATCCCCTTTGACAGAGGGGAATATGGACACCCAGAGAGATCAAGTGCCTTGGACCATGGGGCTGGAGCCTGTGGCTGTCCACTGCCAAACTTAGCTTCCTCCCAGCTGCCTCCAGTGAAAAGGCTTAACTCTGTCCAGGAGAGTGGGCAGAGATCCAACAGAGGAAGCAACCGTGAACCTGGGTGTGTCTGGGTGCGCTTCTCTTTCGCTCTTCAGTCTTTGTAAAGTGGGAAAAGTAGGAGCATACCTGGGCAGGCTCTCAGACCTCTTTTTTTTTTCTTTTTTTAAGTATCTACCCTCACCGCTTATGTTTTCTCTTGCAGTCACCAGCTCCTACAGCCTGACCATCCCCGAATTAAAAAAAAAAAAATTCAGCCTGTACTTCTTCCCTAAACTCCAACCTTGTTTCATTTATTCAACTGCCTACTTGATATTTATCTCCACTTAAATGTCTAAAAGAACCTCAAATTTATTTATTTATTTATTTATTTATTTATTTATTTATTTATTTGAGATGGAGTCTCACTCTGCCACCTGGCTTGAGTGCAGTGGCACAATCTAGGCTCACTGCAACCTCCACTTCACAGGTTCAAGCAATTCTCCTGCCTCAGCCTCCTGAGTAGCTGGGATTACAGGCACCCACCACCACACCTGGCTACTTTTTTGTATTTTTTAGTAGAGATGGGGTTTCTCCATGTTGGCCAGGCTAGTCTCAAACTCCTGACCTCAAGTGATCTGCCCGTCTCAGCCTCCCAAAGTGTTGGGATTACAGGCGTGAGCCACCAAACCCAGCCTCAAATTTAATTTGTTAGACGCTTAGCCCCTATATCTGCCCCATCTTCAGTGTTCCCCCTTTAGATTAAGAGCAACACCATTTTTTTCAGGAGGTGCTCAAGCCAAAAACCTTGGAGCAGCCCTTGGCTCCTTGATCATACTCCAAATGGAGCCTGTTGGTGAATGCTGTGCCTCTACCTTCTGTGTATATCCAGAATCTGACCATTGCTTACGACTTCTTCTCCTACTGCGTGGGCCCACACCATCATCCTCCCTCACCTAGGTTGCCAGGACAGCTTCTTGACTGGTATCCATGCTTCTGTCTTGTCCCCCTTTACAGTGCATTCATTCTTAGCACAGCGGCCAGAGTGATTGTGATACATAAAGGAGCTCAGAATCCCTCAGCGATTCCCCACTTCACTCAGAGAGTAAAAGCCTAACTCTTCTACCTCCTGAGTGACTACTGCATGTCTGACCTTTTCTGCTTTCTCCTTGCCCATGCCCACTCCTGTCTGGCTACACTGACCCTCCTGTTTTTCCTGCCTTAGGGCCTTTGCACTTGCTGTCCCCCCTCTGCCTGGAGCACTGTTACCCAGATAGGCATAGTTTGTTTCAACTTTTTGCTCCAATGTCACCTCCTGAGTGCAGCTTTCCCTGACCGCCTATTTAACATTGCCACCTGATCCCCTCCTTTTCCCCTTTCCCTGCTTTGTTTTTCTCCATGGTATTTAACTTCCCATATACTACATTTACATTATCCCCCTCTTACTGCTTCTGTCTCTCCACAAGAATGTAAGTAATATATATGAGGGCAGGGATTTTCTTTTAAGTAGCTGTATCTCCAATGTCTCAAACAGTGCCTGGCACATGGAAAGCACTCAATAAATATTTATTTTAATAAAATGGGGAAAGGGAGTGGCTCCAGTATTTACTAGCTCTATGACCTTGGACAAGTGATTTAACTGCTCTAAAGCTCAATTCTCTCATCTGTAAAATGATGATAGATTCTACCTTATAGGGTTATCAATAAGTAAATACACATAAAACACTAAGTACATAACACAATAAGTGGCAGTTGTTTTTACTGGTATGTGATATTGATAGTATATGCAGGCCAGACTTCTGTGTATATATGGTTTGTACTTTACCTTCCTATCTTTTAGAAGCCATTTCTCCTGTCTACTTGTAGCTGCACAATGTAATTAGAAACATAGCAGGCCAGGTGCTGGGGCTCACATCTGTAATCCCAGCATTTTGGGAGGCTGAGGTGGGCAGATCACTTGAGGTCTGGAGTTTGAGACCAGCCTGGCCAACACGGTGAAACCCCATCTCTACTAAAAATACAAAAAATTTGCCAGGCATGGTAAAAAAAAAAAAAACACCTGTAATCCCAGCTACTTGAGAGGATGAGGCAGGAGAATTGCTGGAACCCTGGAGGCAGAGGTTGCAGTGAGCCAAGATCACACCACTGCACTCCAGCCTGGGCAACAGAGTGAGACTCTGTCTCAAAAAAAAAAAAATGTAGCATCCAGCTCAAAATGTCTCTTTGTTACTGATATTATTTGTATGGTGTCTCAGAATTGTGTGGTCACTGTTACTCTCAAAAGCTTAAAAAAAGTTGGTTCTCTGAAAAACCACTTTTTGCTTAGTTTGTGTCAGCAGCATGACCTACATTTCTCATC
Organism: Homo sapiens; assembly: GCF_000001405.40. Classification (NCBI taxonomy): domain Eukaryota; kingdom Metazoa; phylum Chordata; class Mammalia; order Primates; family Hominidae; genus Homo; species Homo sapiens. The sequence continues at coordinate 105,983,320 of NC_000006.12, read as the reverse complement.
ATCTTCCATGGAAAGGGGGAAGTGGAAGTTAGATTCCTTGAGAGAATGTGAATTATCCCCCTTTATGACTCTATTGGAAATTTTTTTTTCTTTTTGGCTGAAACAACAGAAAATTATTTTCTCAGGGTTCTGGAGGCTGGAAGTCCAAGATCAAGCTGTCAGCAGGTTTGGTTTCTTCTGAGGCCCCTCTCCTTGCCTTGCAGATTAGCCACTGTCTTGCTGTGTCTTCACATGGCTTTTTCTTCTCCACACCCCTTTCCCCCACCCCCACACATATTCCTCATGTCTTTTTCCAGGGAAATTCTTCTGAAGATGTACAAGGATGGGGCTGCAGGGTCCTGGGGGTTGGAGAAAGCAGCACTTGGCTTAAACCAATACAGGCTGGCGGTGGTGCTAGAACTGGGCTTCCTTCCAGCTACCCTGCCTGTCTCCTTAGGTATATCTCCCTAGGGAGGACTCACTTGATAACATGTTTGTGTGTGACAGGATTTAGTGAGGGAAACTGGAGCTCCCTCGTGCTCTTCCCTCTGGCTAGACAGACCACCTTCTCCCCTGGCTCCCTGTCACCTGGCTTTGCTCACTGTCCACCTTGTTTAAAATCGCAACTGCCCCACACTGCGCATTCTCACTCCCGCCCACCGAGTCCACACCCATGCAAGCTCCATGAGGATGGCAGTTTCTCTCTGTTATGCCTCTGCTTTCTTTTTTTTGAGATGGAGTTTCTTGTTGCCCAGGCTGGAGTGCCATGGTGCCATCTCGGCTCACCACAACCTCTGCCTCCTGGGTTCAAGCTATTCTCCTGCCTCAGCCTCCCTAGTAGCTGGGATTACAGGCATGCACACCACGCCAGGCTACTTTAGTATTTTTAGTAGAGACAGGGTTTCTCCATGTTGGTCAGGCTTGTCTTGAACTCCGGACCTCAGGTGATCCTCCCACCTCGGCCTCCCAAAGTGCTGGGATTACAGGCGTGAGCCACCTCACCAGGCCATGCCTCTGCTTTCTCCATAGTTCGAAGGGCAGGGCCTGGCAAAACATCACTGTGAAATTCTTGTTAGTTGCACGACTCCTCTCACCGAGCTTATTGAATTCTACCAAGCAGCCCCTGACATTCATTGAGCAACCCCCGTGCCAGAACACTTTAAATGCATCATCTCATATTCTCACAACAGCCCTCTGAGGTAGACGTTATGATGATCCCCACTTTGCAAATGAAGTGAAGACCAGTGAGGTTAAGTAACTCGCTCAGGGTCGCGCGGCAGCTGACAAATGGTTGAGCTAAGGACAGAATCCAGACAGCCTGGGTCCAGGGCCTGAGTTTCAGTCTTCCTTGGGAAGGTGGGTCTCAGGCAGCATCGGGCGCAGCAGGCCTGGATCCTGCAAAGTCCGAAAAGGCTGGTGTCCTTCCAAATCCTTTCATCCCTTCCGCGGCCACCCGTGTGGCCCTCGCCGTAGTGGAGCTGTCCCGAAGCCAGCGCTGGCCTAGCGTGAGACCCTCAGTCAGCCCAAGAGGACAAGCAGAGACGCGCCTTCTCCGACGCCCTCTGTCTCAGAGTCCCTCCTGGTGCCCAAACAGCTTGAATTTTCCGGATAGGAATGGCAGAGCCCGTGGCGTAGGTGCGCCCCCAAAGGCCCCGCAGGCCGCACCCCTGCGGATTTCCCCAGCGGGACTTGGCCACCATTCGGATCCCCTTGGAAGACCCCGACGGAACAATCGCGTCGATAAGGAAACTGGAAACCGGGAACTGGGACTCCGGGAACCGAGAACCCGATTGCCCCTGGCCGCAGGCGTGCCGTGTGAGCTCCTGCGCACGGTTCCCGGAAAGGCGAGGAGGAGCGAGCGCGCCGGGCCGGCCCCCAGAGGGTACTCTCGGGTACCTGCGCTCCCACCGCTACGCGGGGCCGCCTGGCTCCTGGTTCTCATCGTTCTTATGCTTAAAGTGGAAAATAAAAACAACTTGGAGATGGAATAGTTCAGTCGGTGAGTCCGTTTTTCTCAATCCTTGCGGAGATGGAATCCAATCTTCCGGCTCTACCACCCTGCGACCCCGGATTCGGGGTCCCTGCCCGGGGACCGCCCGCATCCGTCTGGGAATACATCCACTCACCACAACTTCTTGAAACTCTTTCAACGCAGGAAGGCAGAGAGGATAATTGACAATTTCATTGCACAGTCACCGAATTCATAGCAGTTTTTGGTCATTTTGTTGTGATGGGTTTTATTTTCAGTCACGGGATACCGAAAGCATAACAACTCATTCTGTGGGTTTCTGGTAAAATCTGGAGGTTAAAATACCTGAAAATTCTGGTAATCTCTATTCTGATGAGTCAATTAAAAAGAGTTCGTTTACCCATCACAGCCAGGTAGAATCATGAAAAAAAAAAAGAAAGAAGGAAAGAAGGAGAGAGAGAGAGAAAGAAAGCAAAAAAGAAAAAGACAGAGAGAAAAAGAAACTCAACTTCTGCAGTTACGTTTGGAAACTCAAAACTCAGCTCCTATGTTTTCAGTTGCAAATTAGAGTTCATATTACTTGCCTACATTTGCCTTACGGAGAAGTTTGTTTCTGAACCAATATTTGCTCAGGTTTTCTTCCCCAGACATAAATGGCATCATGGAGTCATTAAAATAAAACTAACAAACATAAGACCCAACTGATTTATGTTTTTTTAAATGTTAGTTATTGAATCTTGTACTCTGAGTTGATGTTTTTTAAGAAGGTTTACTTTAAAATGAATTTTAGGCCGGGCGCGGTGACTCACGCCTGTAATCCCAGCACTTTGGGAGGCCGAGGTGGGCGGATCACGAGGTCAGGAGATCAAGACTATCCTGGCTAATACGGTGAAACCCCGTCTCTACTAAAAATACAAAAAATTAGCTGGGCGTGGCGGTGGGCGCCTTTGGTCCCAGCTAATCGGGAGGCTGAGGCAGGAGAATGGCGTGAACCCGAGAGATGGAGCTTGCAGTGAGCCGAGATCGCGCCACTGCACTCCAGCCTGGGTGACAGAGTGAGATTCCGTCTCAAAAAAAAAAAAAAAAAAAAAAGAAAGAAAAGAAAAGAAAGAAAAAAAAAGAAGAAAAAATGAATTTTGGAATAAAAAGTAATTGAGATTGGGAGGCCGAGGGGGGTGGATCACGAGGTCAGGAGATAGAGACCATCCTGGAAAACATGGTGAAACCCCGTCTCTACTAAAAATACAAAAATTAGTCAGGGGTGGTGGCAGGTGCCTGTAATCCCAGCTACTTGGGAGGCTAAGGCAGGAGAATCACTTGAACCCAGGAAGTGGAAGTTGCAGTGAGCTGAGATCACACCACTGCACTCCAGCCTGGTGACAGCGCAAGACTCCTGGAAAAAAAAAAAAAAGTAATTGAGATGTTTGGCAACCTCATGGTAAAATATAACAGTACACCAAGGATGAATTTAGCTCTGTTTCTTGCTCCATTACTCACTCACTTGACGTGGCCTCTGACAAGTCCCTTCACTGTCCTGGGCCTCAGGCTTTCCAAGAGGATCATCTTTACCATCTACCTGCCCCTGGGGGTGTCGTAAGGGTTAATGAGATATATGGTGAGTGCTTTGATTCTAGGGTGAATGACCCTGTACAAATAAAATATGATTACATCTGAGATCCATCTTTGATTCATCTGAATAAATGGGCCTTCCCTTTATGAAATCTTCCTGTTAAATTTTCAACATTGGGTTGTTTGGTTTTAAAACTCTATGCGTGGGCATTCTATCGCTTAACACACCATGTAAATGTCCTCAAAAAGTTATACTAGCATGTTAAGGGAGAACTTCTATTTGTTCATAGATATCAAAGAATTAATTTTTCTCCTTAAATCATTCAATGTATTTATTCAACAAATGTTTACTGAAAATACACTTTTTCTGAGGACTTCAAGAGGTTCAGGGAATGCTTACAAGGAACAATCTTGTGTGTCTCCAGCTCCCAGGCATTGTGTTATGTGCTTTATGTGTATTAGTTCATTTACTTCTTATAACAACTCACTGAGATGCAGGTACTGTACCGTGATTACCTGGTGTATCGAGTGCAGGCTGAAGAGTTTCTGTGTAATTCAGTAAGCAAAATATTGAAGACTTTTGAATCAGGGAAGTGACATCAGCAGAGTAGCATAGTTTTGTGAGGTCACTTGCAGCAACAAGGAGGTACTTTTTTAAAACCTCTGATGGAAATTTATGGTCACTTCTTTTTTCTTTTTAAGAAGAAAAAAGATTTGGCCAACACTGCCTCAGCAAGTATGAAATTCAGCTATCTTGCAGTGTTTAACATCCTTAGACCAGGTCATCCCAGAGTTGAGAGGATGGATTAGACAAAAGGTAAATATAAGCAAAATATGAGCACTTAGTTGGAATTAGCCAAACATCCAAAAGTATAACTACCCCTCACCTCTGCACTCCCCACAAAAAGAAACAGAAGAAATGCACATAAGCTTTCATGTGGTCACTTCCTGGTTTTTAGAAGTTATCTAAAAGGCAAAATTTTAAGAAGCATATCAGCGGCATTGATTTGAATTTGTCTCAAGTGTTAAAGTGATATCTAATCACTTCCAGGTGTCATTGCCATACTAAGGCTCTTTTTTAAATGGTGTATTTGAATTATGAACTTGCAGATTTTAGACAGGAAGAAAAGGCAATACAATAGAGTCTATAGCTATATAGTTCATAGGCAAAATTTGAAAATTGGAGAAGTTTATATTCTTCACATAAGAAAGAGGTTCATATCCCCTTATTTAATGGGGAAAGAAAAAAAACCTTGTGGATTAGGCCTATTTTGCATGAAACACAAAGATGTTTTATCCATCCTGGAAATATAGTCTACCAAATGATGACTTGTGATGTTGGACAGAGAAGAAGAAACAAATTGAACCACAAATACAGTGTGGATAGTTAGGCCAGCTGCAACAGATTGCTGAAAAAGTTCACTATTTATACTATAGTATTATGGTGTTATACATTTGCTACATGTTGACAATGTGCTAAGTCATCAGTATGATTAAAGCGAACACCCATATGCTTGGTTGACAGTGTCCTAGTTTATAGTCTTAGATATACAACACTGACACATACACACATATTACAGAAGCAGATGTATATATGGAGTACAGCAAGTGTTGAATGATTTAGATATACAGGAATTAGTTCCGGTGCTTTTCATGCGCAAGAGAATAGAAAGTAAGATATGCAAGTCACATATTCAGAGAAAGCATTCTTAGGAGAGTTAGAGGAAACTCCTGTCTTGCTTACAGTTACTTAGTTGGGAAAGGATTCTTGAGAAGGAGCCAGAGATGGGGATTTCAGAGTAACAAAATCACAGTATGTTAGAATTGGAAGAGTCTTCAGAAGTCAAAATCTAGCCGGGCATGGTGGTTCACACCTGTATTCCCAGCACTTTGGGAGGCCAAGGCAGGTGGATCACCTGATGTCAAGAGTTCAAGATCAGCCTGCCAACATGGCGAAACCCCGTATCTACTAAAAAAACAAACAAATAAAAAATTTAGTTAGGTGCGGTGATGCACACCTTTAATCCCAGCTACTTGGGAGGCTGAGGCAGGAAAATTGCTTGAACCCAGGAGGCAGAGGTTGCAGCGAGCTGAGATCACGCCACTGCACTCCAGCTTGGGTGACAGAGTGAGACTCAAAATAAAAAGTGAAAATCTAATTCATTTTATGAATAAAGAAGCTGAGGGCCAAAGCCCTTGAATGGTGAATTAGTAGCAGATCTGGACTACAATGTAGATGATCACCCTCTGATGCTCCGGTGTTCTTCCATGTCAAAGTTTTTTTGTTTGGTTATTTGTTTGTTTATTTGTTTTTCTGTTTTTTGTTTGTTTTGGTTTTACTTCTTATAAAAAATCTTAAATGCATACAAAAATAGAATAGTACAATGAACCTTCATATATATTGCCTAGCTTTATGCCACTCTGATTTCATCTATTCTCTCATTTTCATTTTATTTTTTTCTGGAGTATTTTAAAGCAATTCCCAGCATCCATATTGTTTCTCCCGTAATTACTCCAGGATGGCACTCTAAGTGATAAAGACCTTGCAAAAACATAACAACCATGCTATCAGCACACTTAACAAAATTTACAATAAACCTTAATGTCATCTAATACCCACTTTTTATTCACATTTTCTCTAACAATCTGAAATATACATTTTTACTGTTGATTTGTTTGAATTGGCATCCAAATATGGTCCACATTTTGCATTTGGTTATTATGGTTCATAAGCCTCTGTTATTCTGTGACAGCTCATTCTCCTCTGTTTTGTTTGTTTGTTTTTGAGACCGTCTCCTCGCTCTGTCGCCCAGGCTGGACTGCCTGCAACCTCTGCCTCTGGGGTTCAAGCAATTCTCCTGCCTCAGCCTCCCAAGTAGCTGGGATTACAGGCACGTGACACCATGGCCAGCTAATTTTTTTGCGTGTTTTTAATAGAGACAGGGTTTTGCCATGTTGGCCAGGCTGGTCTCGAATTCTGGTGCTCAAGCAATCCTCCCACCTTGGCCTCCCAAAGTGCTTGGATTACAGCATGACCCACTGCACCACGCCTCATCTGCACTTATTAAGTGGAATAATTCTTTAAAGAACTTTCTCTTATCTACTTTTTGTCTCCTTGAAGTACCATGGTATAGGGAAAGCAGGAAAAATGCTTGATGTTTTCCCTTTATTGTTACATTTTCAAAGTAATAAGTTGATGAACAATGCCCAAAGAACCTCCAGTGATGACCAATTGATTTGCATCTATTTTATGTGTTTTAATCCATCACAGTTATTTTCCTGTTTGATATTCAGATTGTCACATCTTAGGCTAGTCCCTTGAAGTTGCCTCCTGTGTCCTTTTATATAACCAAATTACTCTTTGATATTTTCCTTCATTTCTGGTACAACAAAATGTCTTAAGCTCATCTGATACATTTCCTGCCACAAATCTGGAACAGTCATTTCTTCAAAGTCCTGGTTCCTTTTGGTGGTAAATTATATTTATAGAGCATAACCTGGGCATTGTGGGTGCTTCTTGCTGCTGAATTTATTATCCCTTATAAGCCTTTTTGTGGTGAAAGCTAGGAAATTTTTTTTTAAAGAAAAATCTGTCATTTACACTAAGATTTTTCAATTCAAATTTAAAATATAGCACTTTCCCTTAACTTCTCTGATTTTATATCTATTTTCCCTTATGCTGAAATCTTGGGTCCCAAGGAAATTAACACAAGTAATTATTTGCTTTATCCTGTAATATACCTATAATAATTTCTAAACTATTGCAGAAGTAGGGTAATTAATTCTGGACAAGGTGATCAGAAAAGATTTCTCAGTGTAAGTGGAATTTTAGCTAGGACTGGAAAAAGATCTATGAGGTTTTTTTGTTTTTTGTTTTTGAGACAGGGTCTCACTGTGTCACTCAGGCCGAAGTGCATTTGCACAATCACAGCTCACTGCAGCCTCAATCTTCCAGGCTCAGGTGATCCTCCCACCTCACCTGGGACCCACTTCAGCTAGGACTACAGGTATGCATCACCATGCCCAGCTAATTTTTTAAATTTTTTTGTAGAGACAAGGTTTCACCACATTGCCCAGGCACATCTCGAACTTCTGGGCTCAAGATATCTGCCCACCTCAGCCTCCCAAAGTGCTGGGAATTATAGGTGTGAGCCACCACACCCGACAGATCAATGATTTTGACAACCAAAAATGGGAGGAGGGTCAGAGCATTATGATCTAAGGGAACTCCATGAGCAAAGAAGAGGATGCAGTTGATAAACTGTTGTGTCTGGGGCACAGACTACCTGAGCTGCTTGCGGAGGGCCTGCCTCCCTCTCAGCCCATTGTGACACTCTTGAAGAAAGGATTTTCTTCACCTTTGGAACTTCAGTGCCAAGGGAGCCACTTGCCACAAACTGAACATTTTCTTAATAAGTGTTTTTTGACTAAATGAACAGATTAACCTGAACTTTCTTCAAGAGTAGTATATATTTTTGTTGTAACTTGGTTTACTTTCCTAATGAAAGGGCAGAACAGGCTATGTCTCATTTAACTTAATAGGCAAATTTCTGAATGAAAAAACATTCTTCTGCCGCATGGTTTTGGTTTACATAGTTGGTATTCATCTCTGAGAATGAAATACGTTAGGAGTTTTCCAACAGCAAACTATGTGTAAAATTCCATAATTAGAAAAAAATTTCTTCCTTGTCAGGAGGAAGGAATTTCTGAAAGACACTAAAGTAGACTTGAACAAATGGAAAGATATCCTTGATCTTGTGTAGGACAACTGAACCTCATGTGAATATCAGTTCTCCCTAAATTAATTTATAAATTTTACTTACCCTGATAAAAATATCCACAAACTTTTAATGGAGTTATACAAGTGGATACTAAAATTTTTATAGAAAAGTAAAGATGCAAGAATAGCTAGGAAAATACTGGAGAAAAAAGCAACAAGGGGGAACTAGCCATTTAAGATATTAAAGCATGCTGTAAAACCACTATAATTGAAGTTGTGTGGTGGTAGTGCATGAGTAGACAAACAGATGAATGAAAAGTCTAGAAATCAACCCAAATACACATGAAAAGGATAAAGGTAGCATCTTAAATCACTGGAGCAAGGATAGACATTTTTAAAAAATGATTGGGATAACTGGTAACTACTCAGAAAAAGAAAAAATTAGATCCATATCTCACACTATATAGAAGAATAAAATCCAAATGAATCACAAATCAAAATATAAAAAACAAAACCTTACAAATACTTGAAGAAAAAAAAGAAGAATGAATTTCTCTGTACCTTGGGTGTAAGGAAAGACTCCATACCTCAAAATCCTGAAGCAGTTAAAAAATGTTTTAAATTTGACTTTTTTTTAGCATGGCAGAAAATATCATAAGCAAAGTCAAAAGGCAAATGAAAAATTGGAAGAAAATATTTGTAACATACGATGATAAAAAGTTAATATTGTTATTATATAAAGGACACCTAAAAATTGAGGAAACAGACAGACAAAAGAAGGAATATGGAAATGAAGAACTCGATCAATGCTATAGACCAATTGAACCTAACAGACATATATAGAACACTTCACCCAACAATGAGAGTACACATTTTTCTGGAGTATACATATAATATTCTCCAGAATATACCATACATTAGGCCACAAAACAAGTCTTACTAAATTAAAAAAGATTAAAATCATACAAAATATCTTTTATATCACAAGGGAATAAAACTAGAAATCAGTAATAGAAGGAAAATAGAAAATCCTCAGATATGTGGGAATTAAATATACTTTGACATAATCAATGGGTCAAAGAACAAATCACAACATAATTTAAAAAATATCTTGAAACAAATGAAAATGAAAACACAGAATACCCAAACTTGTGGGGTGTGGTGAAAGCAGTGCTAAGAGGTAAATTTGTAACTGTAAATGCTTAATTAAGAAAGAAGAAAGATCTCAACACATTCTGGCCACACATTAAGGAATTAGAAAAAGAAAAACAAAGTACACCTAAAGCTAGCCAAAGGAAGGAAATAATAAAGATTAAAGAAAAGATAAACAAAATGGAAAATAAAAAACAATAGAGAAGATCCACAAAGCTAGAAGTTGGTTTTTTTGAAAAGATCAATAAAATTGACAAACCTGTTAGACTAAGAGAAAAAGAACATTCAAACAACTAAAATCAGAAATGACAGCAGGGACCTTACAACTGACATCACAGAAATAAAAGGGATTAAAAGATAATACTATGAACAGTTGTACTCCAATAAATTAGGTAACCTAGATGAATTAGATAAATTTCTAGAAACACACAACCTACCACTACTTCAGCTTTTATGAAGAAATAGAAAATCCAAACTGATCTTTATCTAGTAAGGAGTTTGAATCAGTAATCAAAAATCTCCCAACAAAGGAAAGCCCAGAACCAAATGACTTCTGCATTTAGTCAGAGTTCTCCAGATAAACAGAACCAATAGGATATATGTAAAGAGAGAGAAATTAAATATGAGGAATGAGTTCACGTGATTATGGAGTGAGAGAAGTTCCATGGTGTGCTGCTTGCAAGCTGGAGACCCAGGAAACCCCGTGTTATAGTTCAATCTGAGTCCAAAGACCTGGGGGCAGGAGAAGACAGATGTCCCAACCCACACAGTGAGGCAGAAGGAGTGAATTCTCCTTTCCTCTGCCTTTTTAAAAATTCAGTCCGGCACTGGATAGGATAGCACCCACTCACACTGAGGAGGGTAGTATTTAACTGAGCCCACCAATTCAAATGCTAATCTCATCCAGAAACATCCTTATGGTCACACCCAGAAATAATGTTTAGCCAAATATCTGAACACTCTGTGACCTAGTCAAATTGATACTTAACATTTACCACTACAGCTTCCCTGGTGATTTCTATCCAACATTTAAAGAATTAACACCAATCCTTCTCAAAGTATTCCAAAAAACCTGAAGGGGAGAGAGCACTTCCAAGCTCATTCTATGAGACCAGCGTTATCCTGATTCCAAAGCCAGAAACACTACAAGAAAAGAAAACTAAAAACCAATATTCATGAGGATTATTGATACAAGAATTGCCAATAAAATAGTGGCAAATAGAATTAAACAGTATATTGAAAGGATTATATACTATAACCAAGTGGTACTTATTCCTGAAATGCAAGGATGGTTCAATATATGAAAAGCAATCAATGTAAAATATCATACTAAGAGAATGAAGTAAAGAAAAACACATAATCATCTTAATTGATGCAAAAAAGAGCACCAACACTCTTCCATGAAAAAATTCAACACTCTTTAATGATAAAAACACTCAACAAACTAGAAGTAGAAGGAAACTACTCAAACATCTGTGAAAAAGCCCACAGCTAACATCATACTCAAGGGGAAAACTGAAAGCTTTTCCTCTAATATCTGGAACAAGACAAGAATGCCCATTTTCACCTCTCTTATTCAACATAGTACTAGAAGTCCTTGCCAGAGCCCTTTAAAAAAATAAAAGAAGCAAAAGCATCCAAATTGAAAAGGAAGAAGTGAAATTATCTCTGTTCACAGATGACATGATCTTATATGTAGAAAACCTTAAATATTCCAAAGAAAATGTTAGAACTAATTAATAAATTCAGCAAATTTGCAAGATACAAAATCAACACATGAAAATTAGTTGTGTTTCTATACACTAATAATGAACAATCTGAAAGAAAATTAAGAAAATTATTGCATCTACAACAGCACCAAAAAGAGTAGAATACTTAGGAATAAACTAAGGAGGCAAAAATCTTCTGCACTGAAAACTATAAAATGTGACTGAAAGAAAGAATACACAAATAAATAGAAAGACATTGCATGTTAATGAGTTGGAAGATTTAGTATTGTAAAGATGTCAAAACTATCAAAACAGTATACAAGATTCAATGCAATCTGTCAAATTGCAATGATTTTTTTTTCAAAAATAGAAAAATCCATTATAAAATTAACATGGAATCTCAAGGGACACTGAATAGCCAAAACAATCTGATAAAGAAGAACAAAGATGGAGAGGGATCTCACATTTTTCTGATTTGAAACCATTTTAAAGCTATAGTGATCAAAGCAATGTGGTACTGCCATAAAGACAGATATATAGACCAGTGGAATAGAACTGAGAACCTAGAAATAAACACTTGAATCATATAGTCAGATGATTTTCAACAAGAGTGCCAAGACCATTTAATTCAAAAAAGAAAGTCTTCAACAAACTGTGTTGGAAAAACTGGATTTTTGTATGTAAAATAATGAATTTGGGCCCTTACCTTACACTTTGTACAAAAATAAACTCAGGCTGGGCATGGTGGCTCACACCTGTAGTCCCAGAACTTTGGGAGGCCAAGGAGGGGGAATCACAAGATCAGGAGTTTGAGACCAGCCTGACCAACATGGTGAAACCCCATCTCTACTAAAGATACAAAAAAATTAGCTGGGTGTGGTGGCATACTCCTGTAATCCCAGCTACTCGGGAGGCTGAGGCAGGAGAATTGCTTGAACCTGGGAGGCAGAGGTTGGAGTGAGCTGAGATTGCGCCACTGCACTCCAGCCTGGGTGACAGAGCAAGACTCCATCTCGGAAAAAAAAAAAAAAAAAAACAACTCCAAATGGATCAAAGACCTAAAAAAAAGAGCTAAAACTGTATAACTCTTAGAAGAAAACAAGGAAAAAACTTCATGATGTCGGATTTGGATGATTTCTTGGACACGACACCAAAAGCTTGGGCAACAAAGGGAAAAAAAAACAGATAAATTAGACTACATCAAAATTAAAAATTGCTGTGTGTCAAAGGACACAATCAACAGGAGAAAAAGACAGCCCACAGAATGGGAGAAAACATTTGCAAGTCATATGTCTGATGAGGTGTTAATATCAAAAATATATAGAGAACTCTACACTCAACAACAACCAAAAAACCCAATTAAAAAATAGGCAAAGGACTTAGACATTTCTCCAAAGGAGATATACAAATAGTCAACAAGCACATGAAAATATGTTTAATATCAGTAATCATTAGGGAAATGCAAGTCAAAACCACTACTGCTTTACATCCCTTAGGATGGATACTATAAAAAAATCCAAACCAAACCAAACCAAACCAAACAAAACAAAACAAGTGTCGGTGAGGACATGAAGATCCTGTGCACTGCTGATGGGAATGTAAAATGGTATATAGCTACTGTGGAAAACGATATGGTGGTTCACTTAAGACACTAAAAATGGAATTACCATGTGATCTGGCAATTCCACTTCTGAGTGCGTACTTAAAATAATTGAAGGTCTGGCGCGGTGACTCACGCCTGTAATCCCAGCACTTTGGGAGGCCAAGGCAGGTGATCATGAGGTCAGGAGTTTGAGACCAGTCTGGTCAACATAGTGAAACCCCGTCTCTACTAAAAATACAAAAAATTAGCCAGGTGTGGTGGTGTATGCCTGTAATCCCAGCCACTCGGGAGGCTGAGGCAGGAGAATCGCGTGAACCCGGGAGGCAGAGATTGCAGTGAGCTGAGATTGTGCCACTGCTCTCCAGCCTGGGCAACAGAACGAAACTATGTCAAAAAAAAAAAAAAAAAAAAAAAAGAATTGAAAGTAGGGTCTCCAAGATATATTGGCACATCCATGTTTATAACAGCATTTTTCATAATAGTCAAGAGGTGGAAGCAACCCAAGTCCTCACAGATGAATGGATACATAAAATGTAGTATAGACATATAATGGAGTATTATTAAGCTTTAAAAAGGAAGGAAATTCAGACATACGCTACAACATAGATGAACATTGACATATTATGCTAAGCGAAATAAGCTATTTTCCAAAAACCAAATACTGTATGATTTCACTTATATGAAGTGCCTAGAAAACTTCAATTCAAGTAGAATGGTGGTTGCTTGAGGCTGGGAGAAGGGAGGAAGGGAGAGTTATTGTTTAATAGGTGCAGAGTTTCAGCTTTGTAAGATGAAAAGATCTCTGAAATGGGATGATAATGATGGCTATACAACTACTCAACCTTACACTTAAAAAGGGTAACAATGGTAAATTTCATATTATGTGTATTTTACCATAAAAATGTCTTAGGATAAATAAAATTCCTTGCAACTATATAGTCAATCATATAACAGGAGATGATGGGGAGAGAGAGAGAGAGAAAGTGAGCATAAATGTTTCTCTCTTACGTTCTGTTAAATAAATGTAGGTTCAATTACAAATTTTAAAGTATACTTAAATCCTGAAAAGAATGGAAGGTTGAAGAAATGTTCCAGGTTAGAGGAGACTAAAAAGATACGACAATTAATTATAGTATGTAATCCGGATTGAACCCAAGATCACGGGGGAGAAAAGTTATAAAGAACATTACTGGGACGAATGACAAAATTTGAATATGAAGAGTGGGTTGGATATCAGTATTAAAAGTTATATTTGTTGACTTTGATAAATGTGCTGTGGTATGTCAAGGAAAATTCTTCTTCCCAGGACATATACACTGAAGTATTTATTGATAAAGGGGCATTATGCCTGCAATTATGCTCAAATGACTAAGAGTAAAAATATATAGAGTGAGCAGATGATAAAACAAAAAGAACAAAATATTAACAATTGGTGAATCTGAATAAAAGGTGTATAGTAATTCTTCACACTATTCTTGCAATTTTTCTCTAAGTGTGAAATAAAAATTAAAAAACAAATAGAAGCCATATGATACAAAGCCACCCTGATCTAGTTTATCAGCAGAAGTGGTGCAATTAACAAAAGGGTAACAACAAACCAGTCGCAAAAGTGTGTCCTTGGCTGGGTGAGTTTAGGGCTTTATGACTTGCATTTTCTCTGCTAAGAAATAATTGAGGATTGACTTCATTAAGTACAATCTGTACTTTTGTGTTGCTCTTTGATACATTAATAATTTGTTAACACTAAAAATCCTCCAAACATGGGAGAAAACCACTAGGATAAATTCTATTGATGTTATGTTTGTGATGGAAGTCAGATCAAGGGAAAGCAAATATTTGATTTGTGGCTTGTATGAATCAGAGCTCTTGTTTGAAGTGACAGATACTCAACTCAAACTTGTTTTATTCATCAAATATTGAGTGCCTACGATGTCCCAGCTAATTTTACTGACTTTGGGGATATAATAGAAACCAGACAGGCAAGAAGTCCCTTGTGTTTGAAGCCTCCATTTTGGTATTTAAAAACAAACAAACGAACAAAAATATTAAGAAAAGGGATGTGCATGTAATCTATTGGCTCCATAACCTGTGTATAGGCCAGCCATTTCTGCATAATAAACAAGCACGCATATCCCAGTGACTTGTGATAGCAAGCATTTATTTAGCTCACACATCCGTGGGTGGCTAGACCAACTCTGCTGATCTCAGCTGAGCTTGCTAATAATGCATCAGCAGATTTAGGCTTGGAAGGCTGTGGTACAGAGCTGTGGGTCTGCTTCAAGTGTCTCATCTTTGGACCAGTAGTTGAGCTGAGGCATGTTCTCCTGGTCATGACGAAGGCATATTAAAGTCCTTGTTTGTATCATTTTTGTTAACTTCCAACTTGCCAGTCTGTTACCTAGTCAAGCTCCAAGTTAGGGAGTGGGGAAATATACTTTCTCCATGGAAATAGGGGAAATGCAAAATTTTAGATGCAGGGAGGGTTGAAATTTGGGGCCAATTATGCAATCTGTCACCACTGGGAAGTTCACAGCTTTAGGCCAGCTAAGCCTACCTCTTTATTTTCTCTCTCTCTCTCTCGCGCGCGCTCTCTCTCTTTCTCTGTCATTAGTCGCTGATTTTGTGTGTGTGTCATTGCATTGACTACATTTTCTCCTGTGGCCCCCCAGGATCCAAACATAGCAAGATCTAATAAAAGAAGGGTGACATTTATTCTCTTGAGTTTCATCTAGTAAATCTCAGGGGAGGACTTTTTTCGTCCCTACCTGGGTCAAGCTTAAGTGTCTGATTGTTGGTGTAATATTGTGGTCAGGGGACTTGCGTGTCCTAATTCCCAACCCCTGTGCCTCATGTCCACCTCTGCAGTGCACACTGTGGTTGGCAGGTCTACTAGAACCACAGAGGAATACTGGGTGGTGAAGGTTTATGTTTTCCCACAGAAAGAGACTGCTGGGTAGACAAAACAAGATGCCTGTCTATAAAAACCCAGTATTTTGGAACTCATTCATATAAAACAGAGTATTTTCTCAACAAGTCTTTCTCAAGACTGCAAGAAGATGGGTAGTCTTTGACTATTTGCTGATATTTTGGGGGAATGTTTTTTCTGTTTTATTTTCTTTGAGACAGAGTCTCGCTCTGTCGCCCAGGCTGGAGTGCAGTGGCGTGATCTCGGCTCACTGCAACCTCAGTCTCCTGGGTTCAAGCGATTCTCCTGCCTCAGCCTCCTGAGTAGCTGGGCTTACAGGCGCCCCCCATCACTCCCTGCTATTTTTTGTATTTGTAGTAGAGACGGGGTTTCACCATCTTGGTCAGGCTGGTCTTGAACTCCTGACCTCGTGATCCACCTCGGCCTCCCAAAGTGCTGGGATTATAGGCGTAAGCCACCATGCCTGGCCCCGTGGAATGTTATCTAAAAAAAAAAAAAAAAAAAAAAAAAAAACAACACTGTTGCTAATGTAGAACAAGCTCTAATTACCAGTATAAATCTATTTCATTTAGGGTTAGCGCCTGCTCACATTTTATTCATGGGGTTTTCCAAGGGACAAAGTATTAAACTAGAAAAAAATTATGGAAATAGCCCATTTTGGATCTCATAGCAAGTATTTTATTCTTAGGCTGAATCACACATTGGCTTAACAGCAGCCTAACACGCACAGTCAGTTGCTTACCCAGAATTTTGACTTTGCCCCTGTGCCCTACCATGGGACTTAGTTAAACCTTGCCTGGTCTAAGCAGCTCATGAAGGTCTCATTCTTCTTACATGTGAATGGCTTCAGGATGGGTCACAATCAAGTTCTCGACAAGGAGATGAGAAGGAGCATCTTAGTTTTTAAAAAGACACATAAACCCCTGGACATTGGGTTTGAGGATGTGATGCTGTCACTGTCTTGTGATTATGATCTAGCTGACACCCTGATGATGAAGTGGGAAGATGGAAAGACCCTGGGTCCTTAACCATGTTGCTGAGCCACTGAATTAATCAGCTCTGGAACTGATCTTCCCCTGGACTTTTGTTATGTAAGAAACTAAATTCCCTTAGAGCATAAACCATCTTCAGTTGGGTCTTCAGTTGCTTACTTCCAAAGACATTCTAATGAAAACAAAGGCTTCCTTGTAGCTGTCTGGAGCTTCTTTCTTACTTGTATTTTAACAGGAAATACAGGAATATTTAACAGGAAATGGATTTAGAAACTACCATACTTAACTTACCCCTCACTCTACAAGTAGATTTCTATAGATACATAAATATATATTCTTTACTATGACACGTGCAGAAACATGTGGAGGATTATGTACAATAATCACTCTCACTACCTCCATTCTACTACTTAGTTTGCCAAAAACATCTTTTCCTACCTAATACTTTTTTTTTCTATTTTTTAATTATGGGTACACAGTAGGTATACATATTATTTATGGGGTATGAGATACTTTGATACAGCCATAAAATAATAACACATCAGGGAAAATGGGGTGTCCATCACTTCAAGCATTTATCATTTCTTTGTGTTATGAACATTCCAATTATGCTCTTTAAGTTATTTTAAAACATACAATAAAGTATTGTTGACTTATACTTTAAAAAATGATTTCACAAGTATGTTTCATAACCCTAATTTGATAAAAGTTGCATGGGAGAAAAGTACTCAATTTATTCAGACATTTTCTGTCTCTCTTTCTCTTTTCAGATAGAGTCTCTCTCTGTTACCCAGACTGGAGTGAAGTGGTGTGATCTTGGCTCCCTGCAACCTCGACCCAGGCTCAAGGGACCCTCTTGCCTCAACCCTCACCGAATAGCTGGGATTACAGGCACACACCACCACACCCGGCTGATTTATTTTATTTTTTGTAGAGATGGGGTTTTGTCATGTTGCCCAGGCTGGTCTTGTCTTGAACTCCTGGGCTCAAGTGATCCTCCTGCCTCAGCCTCCCAAAGTGCTGGGATTACAGGGATGAGGCACTGCACCCAGCCTTCTCTCTTTTAAGAGGAAGAGCAATGAAGGATGAATTGTTTCTCCTCATCAGTCCTAAAGTTGAGGGAAGAGTGTTCGTTTTCACAGGATGATGTAATCTTACTGAAAAAGATGATAGAGTTGGTGTCATTCAGCCTATCTTGTTGTGCTTTGGTTTTCTTCAAGTACCAAGCTTTCAGCATCTTGCAACATTGAAGAAGTAGCATTTTCTTATATATGAGGCTGAGTTACCAAATCTTTACTGCTGTCTTTATTGATGTTGATGGCCCTGGTTGTTGGCACCCTCTTGACAGGGGTGTTCAATTTAGCCTTGCCATATGAAAGCCTGTTAGACTGTTACAGAGTCAGCTATGTCCATTTCTCCTTGGGACAAGCAAATGAGTTGGATTTTTATTCATGGCTTATTGCCTATGTCAGCTACTTTTCAATTTTAAAAGCTAAAAGAACTTTCTTTTTCTCAAGCCTTGTCTGTTCCAATGTTGATGAAATCCTAATAAAGGGGAATCCCCTGGTGGAGTACTAGATTGACTTATTGTTTTCAAATGATAATGTTTTATATTTGACGTCAAGAAGGTGAATTTCCTTTATTTCAAAAATAAGGCAGTTACCGTCTTTTTGGGTCCTTGGCAAGGAGGGATTTTACGGTCCCCTAATCAGTTAATTTCTGAGCATGGAGGAGACAGTGTCCTTAAAAGGGAAGAAGGAAGGTCAGCAGAGGAGGTGGGAGGCAATCTTATTCTGGCACGGATAACTTTTCTTTCCTTGGCATAAGGCAGTTACTGTCCATCCAAACCTCCAAAGGAAGCAGGAGGGAGTGAGGTGGTTGGAGTAGGGAGCAGTTTAGGGCCAATTTCTCTGACTCTTAAGACACTTCCTGGTATAACAGGTCAGGGTTGGATCAACAGAAGCTGAACCACGAGATACAGTATAGAATAAGGGCTTGATTATAGGGATTTGGTTTAAACACTTCACATAAGGCCTGTTGGCTTCTGTGGCTGGTGCTGGAGCTTAAAGTCAGAAGGTCAAGTGGTCAAATGGTCAGGAAAGAATGATGGATGTGAAGTGGGGAAGAGTAGGGACAAGCTAGAACCCACAAGGATGGCCTGGAGCCTGCATGGTTCTCTCACTACCTCCAAGCTTTTGGTTTTGATGATGGGAGTAACCTGCAGAAACAGCTGACGCCCTTTGTTAGGGAGCTGCATTTGCACCTGGCCCAGGAGGCAGAGTGGCTGAAGGAGATCTGCAGGGGCTGACGGAGCTGCAGGCCTGGCTGCTGATTCAAGCTCCCTCCCAAACCTTGGGCAAAATAACTCTTGAGGCACATGCTAATTCAGATAAACACCAGGAGGGAATTCTGAGAAACATAGTTCCAGTTTAGCTAAGTTAACATGGTACAAATGCACCACACTGTTGCACAGGTGCACAAAAAGGCAGAGGAGGATGATCTTTGCAGCACTGTAATTGTGAACAATAGGAAACATCCTGGCCAGGTGAGGTGGCTCACACCTGTAATCCCAGCACTTTGGGAGGTCAAGGTGGGAGGATTGCTTGAGCCCAGGAGTTCAAGGCCAGCCTGGGCAACATAGTAAACCGCCCCCCATCTCTAGGAAAATATAAAATAAAAGTTAGCCAGAGGTGTGGTGGCATATGCCTGTAGTCCCAGGTACTCAGGAAGCTGAGGTGGGCGGATTGCTTGATCCTGGGAGGTGGAGGCTACAGTAAGCCATGATCCCATGATCGCACTGCTGCCCTCCAGCCTGGGCAACAGAGATCCTGTCTCAAATAAAAGCTCCTCATGTTATTCCCTTGCATAACACCCTCATTATGAGAACACTGTTATACCCTACTCTTTTCAGAAGGGTAAAGAATTTTGGAAGGGCACATACGCAGGCAAGATTTTGGAGGCAGGGGTTAGAGATGGAATATTCTGTACCCCCAACCCACCAGAAGGGCTCCTGACATATACGGAAGTGCCAGGAGCGAAAGCTAAACATTATGTCATCATCACTAATATTAAGACTTTACGTATTACAGCCAATAGTGTTGAGGATTTTATTTGTTATATTATTTTTTTTTGGGTGTGAAGCTACGTAGAATGAAAACAGTTCCTTTGTATAAATGAGGTGAAGCATAAGGAATGAGAGGGTGAATTGTCCCACAATACACTGCTGTATCAACCACCTGCTTTGCTTCTGTTGC
Source organism: Homo sapiens (assembly GCF_000001405.40). Taxonomy (NCBI): domain Eukaryota; kingdom Metazoa; phylum Chordata; class Mammalia; order Primates; family Hominidae; genus Homo; species Homo sapiens. Next base: position 105,963,447 of record NC_000006.12, on the reverse strand, counting down.
TTGTTCCTGATTTGAAAACTTGTCTAGAAATCCTATTGGTGGGTATTTTTTGTGTGCTATTATATTTATCTTAGGGACATCCTGATAGATCAGGATTTCTTTCCTCAGCCAACGAGCAATCACACAGCAGAAAGCAAAGATACTGTCATCAGGTAAAATCTCTTTCTGAAAGCCAAGTGAGCCAAGTATGATGGTTCATGCCTGTAGTCCCAACACTTTGGGAGGCTGAGGTGGGAGGATTGCTTAAGCCCAGGAGTTTGAGACCAGCCTGGACAACATAGGGAGACCCCAACTCTACAAAATTTTTTTTGTTGTTGTTTTTTGTTTTAAATTAACAGCGTGTGGTTGCCCGCATTTGTGGTCCCAGCTACTCGGGAGGTTGAGGTGGGAGGATCACTTGAGCCCAGGAGCTCAAGGCTGCAGTGAGCCATCAGGGGGCATTTTGAGGTTCAAGAAATCTGCTCATTTTCTTCCACATGGAACTTGTTCAGATCACCTCCTTTTTCTGAACTCTTTGTGGCATGTTCCTATCTCTCTTGTGACACTTATTACTTGAATTATAGTTCTTTGCATTCATACCTCTCCCTGTCACAAGTTTAAAACTCCCTGCCTTCTGCAATGTGTCTTTTATCATCACTTTACCCATTGCACAGCTGTGTTGTGAACTCTTCACATGGCAAATTCATGCCTTCATGTTTAACACATGCTTAGTAAAAATATTTGTACAGTACAAAGAATGAAAGAATCGGGAGATTGATTCTGATCTTTAAAAGGAATGTTTCAGAGACTTTTGTTGACCTTATTTGAGCTAGTGAGGGAAGCAACTAAAAGGCAACAAACTGAGAATGACGAGCATTTGAAATGAGCGTGTGCATGAAGATGCTGTGTTGTGTCAGACTTTCATCAACATTAAAACTAAAATCAATTCATACCTTTTTAGAAGTGAGGGTATGTTCACACGGTTTTCTTTGTAATAATGATACTGCTTTGCAAAACTGCATCATGGTCTCCTCATCTCTATATCTGTTTCTTCTAATTTAACTTCTATTTGCTCACTTCCTAAACTGTTACAATAAAGATAATCACGATTTTTATTGCCTCTACAGGCATGTTTTCTTCCAAAAAGGATGTAGGCATTCTTCTCTCTTTGGCATTTCATTACTGCATACCTTCATTCCAGGCAACAAGGATCTTCACATTTTTCACATTTTTCCTCCATACTTTTTTTTTTTTTTCTGAGATGGAGTTTTGCTCTTGTTGCTCAAGCTGCAGTGCAATGGTGAGATCTCAGCTCACTGCAACCTCTGCCTCCTGGGTTCAAGCGATTCTCCTGCCTCAGCCTCCCAAGTAGCCACCACCCCTGGCTAAGTTTTTGTATTTTTAGTAGAAATGGGATTTCACCATGTTAGCTAGGCTGGTCTCGAACTCGTGACCTCAGGTGATCCGCCTGCCTCGGCCTCCCAAAGTGCTGGGATTACAGGCGTGAGCCACTGCGCTTGGCCCTATTGTTGATTTTTGACCAGGGCAATAAACCTTAACTTGTGCTTAGTTAGGATTTTGCCTCCTGACAGCAACCTGCTTTAAGAGGCTGTCTCTTGACAAATATTTATATTCCACAAAGTGAGGTTTGTGGTCTTTCCTTCCTTCCCTCCCTCCCTTCCTTCCTTCCTTCCTTCTCCCTCTTTCTCTCTCTTCTTCTCTCCCTCCTTCCCTCCCTTCTTCTCTCCCTCCTTCCCTCCCTTCTACCCTCTTTTTCTTTCCCTGCTTAAAAAAAATTCTGTCATTATAAATATTTCTAAAAGCCATGACTCAAGACAATATTAGGGTATCACTCAGTGTCTTCATCTGGTCAGACTTTCCTTCTTTATTTCTTGAGACGGAGTCTTGTTCTGTCGCCCAGGCTGGAGTGCAGTGTAATCTCGGCTGACTGCAACCTCTGCCTCCCAGGGTCAAGCAATTCTCCTGCCTCAGCCTCCCGAGTAGCTGGTATTACAGGCATGCACCACCACACCCAGCTAATTTTTTTTGTATTTTTATTAGAGATGGGGTTTCACTATATTGGCCAGGCTGGTCTCAAACTCCCGACCTTGTGATCTGCCTGCCTCGGCCTCTCAGAGTACTAGGATTACAGGCATGAGCCACTGCACCCGGCCCAGATTTACCTTCTATCATTCCCAAACTGATTAAGTCTAGATTGGTTTAAAATATGTTATGAAGCTCAAATATGTGTGAAGTGGTCTGTTATGTCAAATATAAAGACAAATAAGAGCAAATCCATGCCTCCAAGAAGAAAATAATTATCCCTCTAAATATACCTTACATGGTTATCTAAGACTGGAAAATTTTCTGTAGAAATTTAAGCAGAGCAAAAGTTGCCAAATAATTCTGCACTTGTACCAACTAAAAAGAATAAAACAAAATAAAAACTATGCACCTCTGCACGTTTTAAAGTTGGCATCTAATTTTTTTTTTTTTTTTTTTTTGAGACTGAGTCTTGCTCTGTCACCCAGGCTGGAGTGCAGTGGGGTGATCTCAGCTCACTGCAACTGCCACCTCCCGGGTTCAAGCAATTCCCCTGCCTCAGCCTCCTGAGTAGCTGGGATTACAGGCACCCGCCACCATATCCAGCTAATTTTTTTTTTTTTTTTTTGAGACGGAGTGTCGCTCTGTCGCCCAGGCTGGAGTGCGGTGGTGCGATCGCAGCTCACTGCAAGCTCCGCCTCCCAGGTTCACGCCATTCTCCTGCCTCAGCCTCCCGAGTAGCTGGGACTACAGGCGCCCGCCACCATGCCCAGCTAATTTTTTGTATTTTTAGTAGAGAGGGAGTTTCACCATGTTGGCCAGGCTGGTCTTGAACTCCTTACCTCATGATCCACCCGCCTTGGCCTCCCAAAGTGCTGGGATTATAGACTTGAGCCACCATGCCCGGCGGCATCTAATTTTTTTTTTTTTTTTTATCATAAGGTTAAGTCATTGCAAAGAAATAATTTTAGATATGTGCCAGTGGACACCAGCTGTGGCTTCCCTTGAGAGGTTCTACCCTGGGCAGAATAGTCCCCAGTCCGGAGAAGGAGTGTGCTTCTTTTTGGTCAGTGTTGGAATTTTCTTCCATCTAGGTTCTGCATACATGTTTGCTCAGAAGAATTCTTTGTTGTCAGGGTCAGATGGGAAGGAAACTTAGACTTAAGGATCTACAGGTGTCCACATTTATAGGGGCCCTCAGTTTCAACATCTTTAGGATGGGAATAAAAGTACCTAATTTAAAGAATTGTGAAGATTTAATAAAATAGTGTGTACAGGCCGGGCGCGGTGGCTCACGCCTGTAATCCCAGCACTTCGGGAGGCTAAGGCGGGCAGATCACGAGGTCAGGAAATCGAGACCATCCTGGCTAACATGGTGAAACCCCGTCTCTACTAAAAAATATATATATATATATATAATTAGCTGGGCTTGGGGGCGGGCGCCTGCAGTCCCAGTTATTCAGGAGGCTGAGGCAGGAGAATGGTGTGAACCCGGGAGGCGGAGCTTGCAGTGAGCCAAGATCGCGCCACTGCACTCCAGCCTGGGTGACAGAGTCAGACTCTGTCTCAAAAAAAAAAATAGGGTGTATAAAGTGTTCAGCATGATGCCTGGCACCTGGTAAGCACTAAATTATAAGCAGTGGCCAAGTCCTCTGTAACTCACGCGGTATATCACGTGGTCTCTCATATCCTCTTATCTTCATGGCCTCTTGCCCATCATAATAGATTCTTTTCTGGTTATCCACCATGAATCTTTCATGATGAAAATGGCTCATTCTGTATAAAATCTAAACTCCTGAAGGTTTGAGTTTTTCATGATCTGGCTCCAAGCTCCATTGCTTATTTCATTTTCCATCTCATCACTCCTACTCACCCTGGTTCCAGCTAACTGGGATCATGTTCATTGATGCACACGGGCAGACCCCCTTCACTCAGCAAGATGTTGTCAAATACCAATTACATATCTGATGTGGTTTTATGTGCTACGAATGCAAAGATGAAAACAATGACAGTCCCAGATCTTTAGGAGTTAGCATTTTAGTTGGGAAGAGACATCTTAAAGAAATAACCATAATACATATGGCAGGTGCTATGGGGACCCCGGGGTGGTGTCAGAGGCCTGAGGGAGGTCATCAAAGAGGAGATAATTTGCATTACGCCATGCGTTTACCGTATTCTTTCTAGACTCCATTTCTTGCTCACGCTATTTCTTCACTTGGAGTACTCTTTCTCCTTCATGTTTCTGCCTGTTACTCAGTTATAAGAGCTAGCTCAAAAACCCATTCAACTGTGAACATGCCCTGAAGCTTCTGGTGCTGCTATAGTTCTGCTACATAGGCTTTTCACCTATAGTGTGCTAATAATACTTGTTTTAATCTTCTTGCAAGCAGAAAATGCATCTTAGTGGGAACTTTGCCCATAAGTTCTCCATGCATTTTTTTCCCATCAGTAGTAGGCATCCTTTACCACCTAACTCCTACACGTCCAATACAACTTTTCTCCGAGAGGCAGTGAGAGAAAAATTAACCTCAGTTACTGTTATATAAACCAGATATATTGGAGAGAGATACTGGTGCAGCCACTGCTGACTCTCAGCCAACGATAAGGGAGACTAGGGGAAAATAAGCGGGCTCAGGCACCTGCCATAGGCCAAAACATCTGCCTCTTAAGGGTTTAGTTTCTTGTTTGTTTATAGAAGGCCATTTCTCTTTCATATAAAATCTCAATGAGAGCCTCAAGTAAATTTTTTTATAGGTAATATCTGTGTCTTTGAGGATGCAATCAGAAGGCACCTAAAAATACATATGTATTTATATATTTCCTATATCCTATACAACATGCACAAACAAATACAAATAAAGTAAATTAATTGTTGGATTTACATAGTGTGATATAGACCAGCTAGCCACACTAAAAAAGGAAAACCATTTCCAATTATTTCTCTTTAATTTTGGACTCATTTATGCATCTAAATGTAAAAAGACGTTCAACTTATTCTTCCATTTCCCTTGTATTACATTATGTTTTATCTATGTGTAAAATAAATCAATATATGTATATCCACCTGAAGTTTTCTGTTACTTTGAGGATTGGGAGGGGCTAGGAATAGCAATCCATTGACAGTTTGTTCACAGCTACAGATAACATATTTTCTGAGATCATCAGTTCAGATGGGTTATGATTGTCATGGTGACAATGGGCTAGACTACTTGGGGTCAGGACATGTGGTGCTTTCCTTGTGGCTGCTGGCCTGGGCATTGTCTCCTGTTCCTGTGCCACATGTCTCCTCTCCAGGAGTGCCCTGTCCCCCTTGGTTGAACGGTCACCTCCCCTATTGTCCAGTCCAGTCCTAGGGATTCAGTTTAGGTTACCTCGTGCCCTCCCTCCATGCACTTTCTGCCACAAACAATAATTTCTTTTTTTTTTTTTTGAAACAGACTCTTGCTCTTTCGCCCAGGCTGAAGTGCAGTGGCACGATCTTGGCTCACTGCAACTTCCACCTCCTGGGTTCAAGTGATTCTCCTGCCTCAGCCTCCCGAGTAGCTGGGATTACAGGCGCCCACCAACTGCCCTGCTAATTTTTTTTATTTTTTATTTTTAGTAGAGATGGGGTTTCACCATGTTGGCCAGGCTGGTCTCGAACTCCTGACCTCAGGTGATCTGCCTGCCTTGGCCTCCCAAAGTGCTGGGATTACAGGTGTGAGCCACTGTGCTCGACCCAAACAATAATTTCTTTTAGGCCGGGTGTGGTGGCTCACGCCTGTAATCCCAGCACTTTGGGAGGCTGAGGCAGGCAGATCATGAGGTCAGGAGATTGAGACCATCCTGGCTAACATGGTGAAACCCTGTCTCTACTAAAAATACAAAAAATTAGCCGGGCATGGTGGCATGTGCCTGTAATCCCAGCTACTTGGGAGGCTGAGGCAGGAGAATTGTTTGAACCTGGGAGGTGGAGGTCGCAGTGAGCCAAGATCGTGCCACTACACTCTAGCCTAGGCGACAGAGCAAGATTCCGTCTCAAAAAAAAGAAAATTATTTTAATCATCCTCGTAGTCCCTGTTTTTGTTCTGTCTTTGTTCAGGTCCTTACCATTTGTTGGATTGGATTTCTGCAATAGCTTCAAAGTCTTGTCCATTTCTTTCTTAACTCTTCCTCTTCCAAATGTATCATTTCTTCTACTGCCAGAATGGTTTTCCTGAGAAGCATATCTGATAATGTCCCTCTGTCACCTGTGATCCTACAGTAGCGCTTGGCCTGGCTTTCACTAGGATAAAGACCTTCATTGTCTGGCCCATGTATGCTCCTCTAAGGTCATTGCCCAGCACTCCCTCACCTGCAGCTTTGCCCTGCCATTCAGGGTTAACTTGAGTTCCCCTGGGGCGCTCTCTCATCCTCTGTGCCCTTGTGCACCCTGTTCCCTTCTTGGATGGTCCCTTCTCTGCTGTATCTGTCTAAAGCTCTTTCTTCAAGATCAACTCCAAGAGTCGCTTAGATTCTCCCTGAAAAAAATGGTTTCATGAATGTGAAATATTTGAATAAATTAAAGGAAAATATCTTCATAACTTGAAAAAACATTCCTTTTAGAATCCTCACTGAACAGTCCATTTCCTTTAATCCAGCCGAACGACTAGCCTCTCACTCCCAGGTTTAATTAGATATTGCTTAGGGCTTCCGTGGCAGATGGTGTATGGGCACAGTGAGGTAAAAATTTTGGTAGACGCATCTGTCTCATCCATTGGCCTATGAGTTCTTTAAGGGTAAGGGTTTGTATTTTGTTAACCTCTGCATCCTAACTACTCAGTAAAATGAGAGGGAATTTCGTGTTCTTTAACAGACTATGGAATGAGTGAGTGAGCACTGAGGTTAAATGAAACAGTTAATACATGAATGGAGTATTCATGATTAGGCCCTGTGTTCATCTTTCTCCCTTCCTCCTACTACTTGCAGAGTGAGGTATGAAAAAGTTTTCTTTATATTTTGAATTTTGCCCTCCCTCATCACAGCACAAGATAGAGGGGACTCTATTCATTTTCAGTTGCAGATAACCAAAACCTCTACTACTGGCTTTAAAGATTAGTAATTTTTGGCCAGGCGCAGTGGCTCACGCCTGTAATCCCAGCACTTTGGGAGGCTGAGGCAGGCGAATCACGAGGTCAGGAGATCGAGAACATCCTGGCTAACACGGTGAAACTACGTCTCTACTAAAAATGCAAAAAATTAGCCGGGCGTGGTGGCGGGCGCCTGCAGTCCCAGCTACTCGGGAGTCTGAGGCAGGAGAATGGCGTGAACCCTGGAGGCGGAGCTTGCAGTGAGCAGAGATCGGGCCGCTGCACTCCAGCCTGGACACAGCGAGACTCCATCTCAAAAAAAGATGAGTAATTTTTGATTTTATGTTACAGAAAGTTCAGAAATAGGGCAGTTTCGAGGTTGGTTAATTTGGTGGCTCAATAGTGTCACTAGAGATCCAGGTTCCATGTCTCTGTTGTGCCGTCTTCATCCAGGTGGCCCACCCTCTCTCTAGTAGTGGCAAAATGACTGCCTCAGTTTCACAAACCCTTTGAAGGACAATAAGAAGTAGGGGCAGAAAATTAGATCTCATTGACCAGACCTGGGTCACGTGCCCCTTCCTAATGTCCTCATTCATTGCTATGAGTGCCATACACTAACCAAATTCACATCTTGGATCTGGACCCAGCCTTTCTCAAGTTTTTGAAAGGAGTGTGGACACCTGAAGAGAATCATGGTTCATCTGTGATTCTGGATCACAGGAAGAAAGAGCAACAGTCAGTGGGGAGGGCGTTCCAAATTGTTTTATTGTTTCCACTATATAACAAAAAAAAATTGCTTTCAATTGAGAGGCTAGGTGAAAAACTGCCTTAATTAAGTATATAGTTTTCAGCTTGTACCTCTTAGCAGTGAAAAAATAGCAAGAGGAAACTGAAACCAATGGTGAATGTGGAGGAAAAAAAACAAATGTTACTCCCTGGAAGGAAAGTTTTTGATCTTACAAACTAGTGGCTTTTATTCTTTAGCTTCCAAAGTCCATAAAAATGCTTCTAAGCAAAATTAACTTCCAAGTCTATAAAAATGTGATTTATCATTTGCAACATGACATTTATAGTATCCTTTTTGGGTCCTGGCAAGGGAAACTGAGAGAAAGGTGTGAAGACCTCCTAGTCTTTGAAGATGACTAACGATGCAGTATATTGTTACTTATATATCTGAAATCAAAGTATGCCATTGTATTCATCCAAATCTAACTAGCAAAGGAATTTATACACACTTTTAAAATATAATTTATATAATAAAAATATTGAAATATGCTGCCTTCTGTAATTAAGTGGAACACATTATCAAACAGGAACTAAAACTTGAATTTTGTTCTACAATTGATTCTCAATTGTGTCTAGCATAGCAGGAGTCATCAAATGTGTTTGTATATGCTTATAAGAGCATGGATGTGTGTTTTGCATTCTGTATACCATCTTAGATACTTTTTTCCAATAAGGTGATTATAAATAAGTATAATGATAAATATGGTTCTATTTCCAAATCATGTGCACACACACGTCCAAGTATTGTTAAATTTTTTTTTTTGTTAAAAACGAATACAGCTACAGACTCTATGTATACAGTGGAAATAATTTTAATTAAAAACAAAGCAAATGTTAATGTTTATTAGAAAGCCTAATTTGTCTCCAATCCATAAAAATTTACATGTTTTCATCTTTGCTTGTATCCTGCAAAAAAGAAAGATCAGATTTTAAAAGAAAACAATAAGTAACCTATAGTATGGTTGACATGTTATGGGACAATATAATACATACAATAAATTGAAAGTCCATGCTTATATGGAGAAATATTGCTTATACTGGTTCTGTGTTTCATTAAACTCTGTGCTAACTTTGACTACTTCTAAACAAAATACTTTATACAGAGGACTAAACTACTAACTAGCAACTACATGTGGATTCATGTTGGGAGTATCCAGACTGCTGATTTTGCAAGTTTTATTATGGGAGGAAAATGAAAGCTGGCGAGAGCGCTGGACTTTTTGCTTTAACTTCCTAGATAATTACCTCAACTCTCAAGTACACATTGCCTATGTTGATACAGGCTTTATCTACTGGTGAAAGAATAAAAGCCAATCAATGGATGTTGATCCAACAAAAAGTCTAAGTGTTCAAGGTTGTATCAGGTGCTCAGGGTGGTGGTAGGTGCGAGGTATTTTGCTGATTTTTATAATTCCCATCAAGTAGTTTACATGCGGTAGATAAGCATGTTTCCCATAGAATAATTAGGGCGCAATGTAAAACAATGCAAAATTTCATGTAGAAGTGCATGTAAGTCTCATGGGCCAGAGCTAGGGTTGTAGTAGTAAGTAGTAAGAATAGGGAAGAGTAGCTGGGATCGAAAGTTTATATTTTATATGTATATATGCATGTATATATGCATATATATGTAAGTTTATATAATAGAAATTTTAATGTTTCTAGTATAACTATATTATGTTAATATTAATACAAATATGTTACTAATATAACTATTAATAATAGTTACAATATTATGCTAGGAACATAAAAATACAAAAAAAAGAGAGAAAAATAAATCTATGTACTTAAAGTATTGAATAAGTTTTTTACAAAACGATTGGCCAGAGAAAGTAGGTAGTTCGGTAGATTATCAAGAAAATCAAGTAAGTGTTGAAGGCTTGTAGGAATGAGGTCCAGAAAGCTCTTTGAAAAGGCCGTATATTACCACCATGCACAGCAATCAGAGAAGGTAATGGAAAATGTTGATCCCTTTTTTTTTTTCAAGATAGAAAGCTGCTAAGGAACGACATGAAAAAGGCAATGTCATGGCATGTAGATATATTCTTTAGAAAAGAATTCTTCCACTCCTAACAGGAAATTCAGTAGAAAGAGGAACCAAAATGAAGATGGTCACTGCCTTTTAAATGATTACATAAACTGATCTTGGCTACTTTGTATAAAACACCACCACTCTGTAGTGCACTGACTGAGATAGCAATATCACTGATTATCCTTAAGAACGTGCATATAATAGAAAAGGTCTCTAAAATTTAGAAAATGAATGACTCTTAAAAGGGCGCCACTAGGGAACAAAGTAGCCATAGATTTAATCTGCTAACAGTTTGAAGAAGTCCTGGGTAGTGACAGCCTGGTCTTAAATTCGGTCAGACTATCTTATCTCTTATTGTGATAGGGTAAAGGGATTGGTAGGAAAAAGGAAATGACAGATTTTATCTACATTGATTTTAGCAAGAATTTTGGCATTGTCTTTCCATAATGAAATTGAGAAGCACAGTTTGACTCTAGCTTTTTGCATCTGTGGGTTAATTGTTCAGGGCAAACGACACAATGGACCACCTTCTTTTTGCAATCATTAACAACTGCTTATAAAAATCTGAATATACGCAGTTAGAGCTGCAAAGTGAGATAAAACACAGTGCTTGCCCTCTGGGGCACTATGGAGACAGACATAAACAAGTAACAATACACATAACAGATAGTGAGCTTCATTTGTGTGATAAATAGTAAATGGCACCTCAAAGAAAAGACTTTTTTAAAAGACTGAAATAAATACTATCATCCTTTAACTCTAAAAATGATGTATTTTTACTATTTTTTAGTGATAAATTACTAATTTATGCCAGAAATGTGGTTGTAAGAAAAAAAAAAATCAACAGTAAAAGAGATCAAAACACCAGGACCTCGGAGTATATTGGGAATGAGGGTAGCACTCTTGTTTTCCGCTTCTCTGAAACAGTGCTTCTCAGACTTTAATATGCAAGCAGTCACTTAGGATCTTGTTAAAACACAAATTCCGATTCAGTAGTTGAGTGGGCCTGAGAATCTGCATTTCTGACAAGCTCTCAGATGATGCTGGTGCTGCTGGTGCTAACCCACACTTTGAATAGTGGCAAGGGGCTAGACCATACTGGATTGAGAAACACAGGACACAGAAATCATCAGGCTAACCTGCTGTGGAAATCCATGTTGGTTAGACTCTTGAATCCTTGGACCAAAGGATCTAGGAAGCTTTGAGCCAGAGATACAGTTAAGAGAAAATTAAATTTGCCAGAAAGGATGAAAAAAGTTACTACCTTGCAGCATTTTATTTTATTTATTTTTGTGACGGAGTCTCGCTTTGTTGCCCAGCCTGGAGTGCAGTGGCACAATCTCGGCTCACTGCAACCTCTGTCTCCCGGGTTCAAATGATTCTCCCACCTCAGCCTCCCAAGTAGCTAGGATTACAGGCAAGTGCCACCATGCCCTGCTAATTTTTTGGTATTTTTAGTAGAGATGGGGTTTCACCATGTTGACCAGGCTGGTTTCGAACTCCTGACCTCAAGTGATCCGTCCACCTGAGCCTCCCAAAGTGCTAGGATTACAGACGTGAGCCACTGTGTCCAGCCTCATGTAGCCTTTTAAAAAAGGAACTACAGGGTGCTATAATAATGTGTATCAAAAATATAGACTGTTACACAGAGAGTTTGATGGCTTTATTAAGTCTGCATTTGACGGTGTCAAAGGAAAAGAAAAGGTCTTGGGCCCCTTCAAGCTGGGAACTGGTTAGGGCAAATCTGCCTCCCATTCTGTTCAAAGTCATTTCTCTGCTTTGCCAGGACTGAGTGAGTTAGCTGCAGAATAAAATTATGTCTCAGTGAAGACACAGACCCCTAAAAGAGGCATTTGGATTTCCTTTTTTCTCCATGGGACTTTAAAATAAGATGGTCACTCAGCAGGGTTGGCTTAAATGAGAACTGTAAATGTAGAGAGATGTTCTCAGCATTCCTTGTAAGCCTCTAAAGGTAACATTGAACGAGAGTGCCACTTACGGCTTCGGAAGAGAGACAGTTCACAGCCACAGCAGTAGGCATGATTACACAGGTTGTGTTCATTGTAAATCAGTACATTAAATTGTCATGCCATTTATCTTGTTCCTGAATCCATCACATCTTACCTGTCTGTAGACTACTAATTATGTAAGTCCTTGTTTTTTTATTTTTGTAGAGACAGGGTCTCGCTATGTTGACCAGTCTTGTCTCCTGGGCCCAAGCTATCCTCCCACCTCAGCCTCCATTAGTGTTGGGATTACAGGCATAAACCACCACACCTGGCCTTATTCCTTATTTCTTAAAGAGAAATGATTTGAATGTCAGTTAAATGCACTGTCCCAGTGGTTTCATATAGCTCTGAAACTACAAGCGACCTAGGTGGTTCAGGGAAAGAGATTTTTTTTCTTTTTTCTTTTTTTTTTTTTTCTGTTTGTCCTACTGATAGTATTCTTGACTCTGTTTGGGAAATATGAATAATGAAAGTTTTATTTTCCTGCTGTCTGACTAATATTAAGCTTTATAGAGTTAAAGCTGATATTAAATAAGATTCAATGAAGTTTTATCAGTTGGCCATAGGCTCATGTTTTTTGTTTACTTTTTCCACAAACTTCAAAATAGTTCACAATCTTTTAGGAATTTTTAATTTTTGTATGTTTCCTTCTATAGGAAAATATCCAGTAAACCTATATAGGATTCATAATTTTAGCTTTAAATATGAAAGATCTCGATATATCTCTCTCTGTGTATACCTTGTCCTAGGCATTGAGGATATAGCAGTAAACAAAACAAAGTGCCTGTCCTCATGGAATTTACATTCTAGCTGCAGAGATACAGATTATAAACAAATAAACAATTAAATCTATAAATATTTCAGATGCTGCAAAGCACAGCAAATGTACAGCAGAAAAACAGGCATGGGGAAATGGAGCTCTGTGGTAGGAGATGGGGGGTTGCTATCTTAAATCAGACGCTTGAGGAAGGCCTCTCTAAGATGACATCTGAGCCATGAAAAAGTGCCCTTTGGATTTCTGGAAGAAAAATGTTCTAGGCAGAGGGAAGATCAAGTTTGTATTGGACACCTATTGGGCACCTCTCTTCAAATCCTCTCTTTCTATTACTCCAGCCATTTCTACGGGGATCAGTCCCATAGGCTTCACCCAGCTTCACAGAAGTGTAATCTGATAGCAGCTCCATTGCAGCCTGTGTTACCTACATTCACATGCTTTTGATTCCTGACCTGGGACTTCTACTTCTTCTTCTTTCTTTCTTTCTTTTTTTTTTTTTTAAAGAGACAGGGTCTTGCTATGTTGCCTAGGCTGGTCTCGAACTCCTGGAGTCAAGTGAATATCTGACCTAGGACTTTTTTGTTGCTACACCATGGGGGTCCCAGCAGAAACCCATTTACCACTCATGCTTGCACAACCCAGAAATGCCAGGGAGTTCTTGCTGATGGGGCCAACTCTTGACCAATAGGAAACTGGAGCCTATAGATAAATTCCACCCCCTTTGAAATAAGACACTGCAGAATTTGCAAAGGAGATCCTGAGAAAAAGAAGTTTCCCCCACTTCCCTTTTAGGGATGATTTATTTTCTTAAAATAACTTTTATTTTCTTAAAAGTGCAGTAACTTCGTAAGAACTGCAGATTTTGTACTAATAATAGTAAAAGCATCAGCAAACTTGAAAAAGAGGAATAAGTATTGGTAGCAACAACTCTATTGCCAATACCTTTGTTTTTAACCAGTGATTCTAGGGTACAAAGAGTAATTCAAACAACACTACCAGGTTCTTATAATCTCAAAGCTAATGGCAAGCCTTTGATTTTCCAAAGTTGTTTCCTTTTAAAAAGTTTGTATTCTTGGCCATGCATGGTGGGTCACGGCTGTAATCCCAGCACTTTGGGAGGCTGAAGCAGTAGGATTGCTTGAGCTGAATTCAAGATCAGCCTGGACAACATAGTTAGACTTCGATTCTACTAAAAATTAAAAAAAAAAATTAGCCAGACATGGTGTCATGTGTCTGTAGTCCTAGCTACTTAGGAGGCTGAAGTGGGAGGATCACTTGAGCTGGAGGATCCCACTTGAGTGGGAGGATCACAGGAGATTGAGACTGCAGTGAGCTTTTTTTTTTTTTTTTTAAAGGAGTCTCGCTCTGTCTCCCATGCTGGAGTGCAGTGGTTCGATCTTGGCTCACTGCAAGCTCCACCTCCTGGGTTCACGCCATTCTCCTGCCTCAGCCTCCCAAGTAGCTGGGACTACAGGTGCCCACCACCACGCCTGGCTAATTTTTTGTATTTTTTTTAGTAGAGACGGGGTTTCATCCTGTTAGCCAGGATGATCTCGATCTCCTGACCTCGTGATCTGTCCGCCTTGGCCTCCCAAAGTGCTGGGATTACAGGTGTAAGCCACTGCGCCCGGCCCTGCAGTGAGCTTTATTGTGCCACTGCACTCCAGCCTGGGTGACAGAGTGAAACTTTGTTTAAAAAAAAGTTTCTATTTTCACTGACTTTATAAACTGAGATAAGGACAGATCCACAGTTTCGCTAATTTTACTGACTAGACAGGAAGACTTGAATAGAGGGTGAGGATGGGTAATCTATCATTCTTATTTGTAGGTTCAGATATTGAATTCCTTGTTTAGAATTACCTACTCCACAAAAGGAATAAACTGAACCCAGTCTTAACAGATATCCTTTGCAGTTCCACTGTAGTCTGAGGATTTTTCTACCAATCCATAGGTTGATTTTTGAAAGATATGAATTCCTAACGACTTGCTAACAATGAGGCCCCACACTGTCATTATCTGAATCTTATTTTGTTTGAGACAGGTCATTGAAAGAGAAATGCATCGAACCATATCATCTTAGAATAGAAAGAGATTTTAAAAACATTTAAGGGCCGGGCGCAGTGGCTCACACCTGTAACCCCAGCACTTTGGGAGGCCGAGGTGGGCCGATCACAAGGTCGGGAGATGGAGACCATCCTGGCTAACACGGTGAAACCCTGTCTCTACTAAAAATATAAAAAATTAGCCAGGCATGGTGGTGGGCGCCTGTAGTCCCAGCTACTTGGGAGGCTGAGGCAGGAGAATGGCGTGAACCCGGGAGGCGGAGCTTGCTGTGAGCCGAGATTGCGCCACTGCACTCCAGCCTGGGCGACAGGTGAGACTGCATCTCAAAAAATAAATAAATAAATAAATAAATAAAAATAAAATAAAATAAAAACATTTAAGGCCAACTTTCCAAACAAAGTAATCATGTACCATCACATTTTCTGATCTTGGTGATGTATCTTTTTTAGTGGGTTTTTAACATTTCATTATCTTTGGGGTCAACTAAACATCCATATCTTTTTTTTTTATTATTATACTTTAAGTTTTACGGTACATGTGTACAATGTGCAGGTTAGTTACATATGTATACATGTGACATGCTGGTGCACTGCACCCACTAACTCGTCATCTAGCATTAGGTATATCTCCCAGTGCTATCCCTCCCCCCTCCCCCCACCCCACAACAGTCCCCAGAGTGTGATGTTCCCCTTCCTGTGTCCATGTGATCTCATTGTTCAATTCCCACCTATGAGTGAGAATATGCGGTGTTTGGTTTTTTGTTCTTGTGATAGT
Source organism: Homo sapiens (assembly GCF_000001405.40). NCBI lineage: Eukaryota > Metazoa > Chordata > Mammalia > Primates > Hominidae > Homo > Homo sapiens. The sequence continues at coordinate 105,947,940 of NC_000006.12, read as the reverse complement.
TTACTGAGAATGATGATTTCCAATTTCATCCATGTCCCTACAAAGGACATGGACTCATCATTTATTATGGCTGCATAGTATTCCATGGTGTATATGTGCCACATTTTCTTAATCCAGTCTATCATTGTTGGACATTTGAGTTGGTTCCAAGTCTTTGCTATTGTGAATAGTGCCGCAATAAACATACATGTGCATGTGTCTTTATAGCAGCATGATTTATAGTCCTTTGGGTATATACCCAGTAATGGGATGGCTGGGTCAAATGGTATTTCTAGTTCTAGATCCCTGAGCACCCATATCTTTTTCCAGATTCAGTTGTCATTAACATTAGGTAGGGCCGGGCGCGGTGGCTCACGCCTGTAATCCCAGCACTTTGGGAGGCCGAGGCGGGCGGATCACGAGGTCAGGAGATCGAGACCATCCTGGCTAACACGGTGAAACCCCGTCTCTACTAAAAATACAAAAAATTAGCCGGGCGTGGTAGCGGGCGCCTGTAGTCCCAGCTACTCGGGAGGCTGAGGCAGGAGAATGGCGTGAACCCGGGAGGCGGAGCTTGCAGTGAGCCGAGATCGCGCCACTGCACTCCAGCCTGGGCGACAGAGTGAGACTCCGTCTCAAAAAAAAAAAAAAAAAAAAAAAAAAAAAAAAAAAAAAATTAGGTAGGTTCTCCTCAATCTAAAATCCTTTAACAGATTTTTCAACTATTTGCCTCAGTTTAATTAATTAACACATTTAATCAGAATTATTTTATTTATTTATTTTTATTTTTTGGGGGGATGGAGTTTCTCTCTTGTTGCCCAAACTGGAATGCAATGGCATGATCTAGGCCCACTGTAAACTCCACCTCCTGGGTTCAAGTGATTCTCTTATCTCAGCCTCCTGAGTAACTGGGATTACAGGCACCCGCCACCACGCCCAGCAAATTTTTGTATTTTTAGTAGAGATGGGGTTTCACCATGTTGGCCAGGCTGGTCTCGAACTCCTGACCTCAGGTGATCCACCCGCCTCAACCTCCCAAAGTGCTGGGATTACAGATGTGAGCCACCGCACCTGGCCTTAATCAGAATTATCTATTGAGTGTTTATGATGTGGCAGGCACTGTGCTATACTTATGGATACAAGTCTGACAGGGCATGTAGTATGTACCCTCACGGAGCTAACAGCATTGCAGGAGCTATGGGATACATCAACACACAATTACAAGCCAGTAGAACACAGCATTCGATGGGAATGCTCAACAGACCCAACTAACCCACCTCAGAGGATGCATTGGGAAAGGTGTCCCAAAGAAACTGGTGTCTGACATGAGACTATGCCCTCTTATGCTTCAGAGGCAGGATGGAACAGTTATATGTGAGGATTTAGAGGGTGCAAAGACTCAGACACTGAAGGACAGAGTATGCAGATCCCAGGACCCGGAACTGATTTAGTATGTTGGTGTGTGTTATCAAGTGTGTGGCAGAGAGAGGAGAGATAGGGTGGGGTGGTTGAAAGACAAACTGGGCCTAGATCTTGAAGGGTCTAGAAAATTGTACTGAAGAGTTTGGGTTTTACCCTCAAAGCTGTAGTACATCATTAAAGTGTTTTGAGAATGACAGTCCTGATCAGATTGACCTTTAGAAAGGTAACTGTGGGTGGTTATCTTTCTATCTATTCAGGTGGTACTGAATGTTTTCCTCCATCTGTAGTCAAAGAACCAACCACTCCAGCCCCCATCCCTGTTGCTCTTAATTCCTATCTACAGCATGAACATACTTTGAACTCTAATTCCTCAAACTCAGTCCAGTGCCTGCTGTCGTCCACCCTGCAAGTCCCCCTCCAAGTTTGCAATCTCGTCTGGACACATGTCCGCCCTTCTCCTGTGTCTGGCCATTACCCGGATGCTTTCATTTTCTCACATGCTCATCCATCAGAGTTTGGAGGTGGAGGGCAGGGATCTCCTTTGCTTTATATTGCTGCTTCCAGATCACTCTGTGTCATCCTCATCTTCAAGCTCTTGCTCCACAGGGGTACAGAGTGCTCCAGTGGCACATGTCATTGCTTCTCCTCTCTGCTGTCATTCATGACCCCTCAGCTCCGCCTCCTTCATCAGGGATGTGGATAGCAGGCTCATAGTCTTTCCCCACACTCTGTCTTCTACTTTCAGTCTCCAGAGTTCTTGTGGATGATACATCTCATACCCTGGCTTGGAGTGTGCCCTCCTCACCTCCAGGGGTCCCTTATATCTCCCACTGCAACAGCCCATTGCCACATGCCCTGGACACTGTCTTCCCCCCACACTGATGTTATTCCAAAATTACTAATTTGAAATTGCTAATTAAACTGCTCCAAAATTGCTCATTAACATTACTAATTCAGAATGCTCACTTTCTGGTCATGATTCCCATCTTTCCAGTTTGCTTATGAAACTACTTCCATGCCTATAAAACTCAAGGTCTGAAGGAACAGTGAATTTAAGATTGCTACAGTCTGCCTGGCTCCCAAAGAGAGGAGATGGGCATGAGAAGAGTATGCTCATTTCCTCCCCTCAAACTCACTAGTCCTGGGGAGAAAGCCCAAGAGTGTCACTCTCTAGAGTTTCTTTCCCATGAAAATATGTCGCATCCTCACCCATCTGCCCAATTTCCTGGCTTAGCCATTTTGGCTTTATTATTAAGCCTTCAAACATCCAGGGACTGAACTCGAAGCAGGGCGGCTCCCCTAAACCTACCAGGGACTGCTGGTATGCAATATAAAATTTTCCCCTAGGCATCTTTTAAGTGGGTTAAAATGGACAATGATCAAAATAACCTAAGGTTGAACATTCACTTTATAGTATATTTCCCATCCCAAATTATGTCCATGTACATCTATGCAATTTAGAGACTCTACAATAAGATTAAATATCCACATAAGAATACTGCAGTAATAAAGTATAACCAACATAAATATGCCACGATTTGAATAAAAATCCCCTTTATTATCAATCTTTTAGGAAGAAATCCAAGACCAAAGATGAAATTCCCTAATAAGTTAGAGTTGAAAGGAGTAAAGTGCAAAAGAATTGAATCCAAAATTCATCCTCTCCAATTTCTTACTGTGCTCAGTTTTAACCCAAGGGTTTCTTTCCTTCAGAAGCCAAAGTCTTCATAGTCTCAGAGGTTGTATTAATTCACCACCAAGGCTCTCATGTGTCATCTTTTTAAAAATAAAAAATCCAAAGAATTAACAGGATATACAAGATTGTCACAGCAGTAGCCAATGCCCACAAAATTTAGAAAACAAGGAAATCCTCAGCCCTAGGGCAGCTATTTCAAGCAAAATGATGTTCCCAGAATTCAGGACCCAGACTTACCAAAAGCCATGGGAGAAGCTTAGTGGAAAATTCTTCTTGTCTTCAGTCTTGCCAAGATCCCTGTTCTTTGATGCCAGCTATTATGTTATGACCCATGAAATAAACTTGATTGAGAGAATACTTCTGTCAAGAGGTAAATTGATTGATTTTCATATGTTGAACCAACTTCGCATTCCTTGTGTAAATCCTATTCAGTCATGGGCCATAATCATTTTTATTTGTTGCTGGACTTGGTTACTAGTATTTTGTGGAGGATTTTCCCAGCTATGATCATAAGGCATTTGGTCTGCAGTTTCCTTTCCTTGTGATGTCTTTTTCTAGTTTTGGTATCAAGTAATACTAGTCTCATAGAATGATTTGTGAAGTGGTCTCTCCTCTTCTATTTTTGGGAAGAGTTTGTGACACAGTGGTGCTAATTCTTTTTAAAACATTTGATAGAATTCACCGCTGATGACATATGGTACTGGGCTTTTCTTTGTGGAAAGTTTTTTGGTTACTAGTTCAATCAAAATAATAAACCATATTAATGGAGTAAAAGACAAAAACATCATGATCATCTCAATGGATACAGAAAAAACATTTGATAAAATCCAACACCCTTTATGATGAAAACACTTGATAAACTACGGTAGAAGGGAAGGGGAAGGGAACTTTCTCAGTCTTCAAAAAACCCACAGCTAACATCAGATATAATAGTGACAGACCAAAATCTTTCCTCCTAAGATCAAAAACAAAAATCAAGATCAGAAACAAGAAAAGAATGTCTTCTTTTGCCACTGCGATGCAACATTGTACTGGAGGTTGTATTCAGGGTAATTAGACAAGAAAAATAAATAAAAGAAATTCAGGTTTAAAAGAGAGAAGTAAAAACAATCTCTACTTGTAGATGACATCATCCTAAGGATGCGGAGAAAGCCACCAGAAAATGTCTTAAATATTAGAGCTACTAAATGAGTTCAACAAGGTTGTAGGATACAAGTCCAACATAAAAAAAACTAATTCTATTTCTGTGCACTAGCTGTGAACAATCAAAAAATGAAATTAAAAAACAAACCCATTTATAATAGCATTAATAAAACTTGAAAATAAATTTAACCACAAAAGTGATAATGACAATTTAGAATTTTCTTATTGCTTTTGTGGAGGAGAGAATTTTTGGAAACCCTTATTCCACTATTTTCTTTCTTTAATTTTTTTTTTGCCATGGGACAGGGTCTTGCTCTGTTGCCCAGGCTGGAGTGCAGTGGCGTGATCATGGCTAACTGCAGCCTCAACCTCCTGGGCTCAAGCCTCTCCCACATCAGCCTCCCAAGTAGCTGGGACTACAGGCATGCACGACCACATCCAGCTAGATTTTTTATTTTTTGTTTTTGTAGAGATGAGGTCTCACTATGTTGCCCATACTGGTCTTTAACCTCTGGACTCAAGAAAAGCCTCCTACCTCGTCCTTCCAAAATGCTGGAATTATAGGCATGAGCCACTGCATCTGGCCCACCATTTTTATTAAGATCTTCTTGAATCTGCTTTTTAATTTGGCTGCTTTTCTTCTCTAACACTGATGGGGCTTGCTCTGGGTACTGGAATTATGTACCTTCTTTCCTTTTACTTTTTCAATGCTTTAGGGATCAGATTATTATTTTTTTGTTTTGTTTTTTATGTATTCCTTTATAATGTAGGTTATTTCTTGTGGTCTTTTCCATAGTAAGAGATATAAAATCAGTCAGTTTTAAGTCTGTCAAAAGCATTCTTGTTCAAACACATTTTGTCTACTTTTCCTTTTCGGGATTGGATGATTCCACCCATCACTAACATTTAATTTAGGCCTGGATGCAACCTATTACTCTTCTTCTTGGGTTTCATTAATATGTCCCAAATTTGCTGTGCCTGCCCTTAGCATCCTAGTCCTACAAATTTCTTGGGTATATTTTCTTAGGACTTAGACAATATCTATAATATGTACCCATCTGTAATAATTGTATTATCCTGAAAGTTACTCAATTATCTTTAGAATATTTTTATTTATTTGCTAGCAGTAAATGTGAAGATAGATCTGGATAGTCTTACAGAAGTGATAATCTTCAGACGAAATGTGGTAGAGTTTTTTAAATAGAAAACAGTATTTGAGGATTTCTTTGAACATCAAAATCTAGCTTAAATTCCATTTTATAAATATAAATGTCTTCTTGGCCCCCTTTATAATTATACAATAAAGAGAAATGTAAAAGATCTTGGCTCAATTGTGCCTCCACTTAGCCATGTGATCTTGGGAAAAATCAGCTCATCATTTTGGTGCTTAGCTTCCTTATAGAGAGAGGAGGTATCTGGCTGGACTGTAATGTCTCTAAGGTTTCAGAAGGCTCATCTTATCTTAGTAAATCAAAAGACTCTGAAGCAGGTATTTTACCACATGGTTGGTACAGTTTTCTGAGATATCTCTTTGGACCCAATCCCTGTTACAAATGCGGTTTAGGAGGTGGAACTTTTATTTCAGTACTCAGATGACTCTTGTTCAGTACCCATCTAGAAAACTAGCTGGCAGCTTGAAAATGAGGGGAAATGAGACAAAGAGAAAAGTCCCAAATATTCCCTTAATCCTTTAAGCAAGAAAACACTGGAAGGGAGAAATGTGGGAATATATACGGTTCTGAACAAGCAATAACAGTAATGTGGCTTTCACCCTCCCTCTCCTTTTTCTCACTAGCCCTACACATAATTTAGTCATCTATGTTGGAAATGAGAACTATGTCTCTTGATAGAACTTATAGTACCAGTTCCCATGGTATAAGAATGACATCATTCATTTTTTTGCAGTTCAGTGAAAAACAAATGAAATTTCTCACCTCAAATTTCAGAAAGCAAAAGGAATTGTTCCCAAGAAGAACTTGTCATTTCCTTGGAGTGATTATGAAACCTGTCTGTGGTTATGGAGAATTTTCCTTCTCTGAATTTATGTAAACTCAAAATTTTCCAGGCTTTAGAAATAATCGTAGATAAATAAAAATATTGAGCCTCTTAGTTTTATTGGTTCAGGTTTGGATGTGATTCAAATTTTGTACATGTGCCAGTGGTTGGGGTGGATGGATGAAGGAAAGAGAAAACGAACTGAGGGAGACATTTGGAGTACAAGATGGATGGTGCCAATGCACTGCACATGGCTGTTTTTTGTTTTTTGTGCAGGTGGAGCCGTGGATGGGAGGATTAAACACCCCATTCATCTGAGGTGTGCATATGTCAGCACCTTTCAGGTACTTAGAAATGGAGTGCTTTATTTTAGTGATTAGTGTGTGAATGAAAAACCTGAAGAAAATGTACTAGAAAGAAGCCTATGTTGAATGCCTGGGGAGGGTAGTGAAATTCTTTCAGCCAGCTCCAGGTTAAAGAAGCCTCACATTTCAGCTCTAGGGCAGCTTGGAGCACTGGGAGAAGGACCTGTTGAAGGACCTCATTAGCGTGAATGATGGCTTCCTTTTACACATTAGTCAATTTTCAGGCAAGGCTTTTCACACTGTAAAGAGATAAAACAAAACAAAACAAAAAAACCCCCCAAACTCTTTTTGAAAATGTCCTGAAGGCGACTTTATGGCAGCAGCAGATCCCAGATTAGTCAAAGAAGCTGTTTGTTTACATTGTTCAGTTATTTTGAAAACTGTTAAACTATTGTTTCCAAGATGACAAATAAGTGGATCCTAGGGTCACTTAGAATCACATGTTAATCTTCTTAATGTCAACACTAGGACAATTTGGGAAAGAAAAGGGATCTCACCCTTCCCTCACATCCATATTTTGTTACTCTATAAATTGTATTTCAAAAAGAGGCATGGTTTTCTTTCTTGATACCTGGTTCAGATCGGCCAGGAGAAATCCTTCATGTTCTGTCTTCCTGCCTTGCATAGTTGCTTATTTTAGGAATAAATATAATAACTTTATTAACAGCACATTGGCAAATTAGTCTTAAAAATGGTTTGGACTAATTTTAATCTTTTGAAAACTAATTTTTTCATTTAGGTTAAAATGTTTCATTGTTGGTACAATTTATTTTGCCTTCCTTCAACTTCAATCAGCTGTCTATGCATGTGTCTGTCTGTGAGTAGAACTAGGAAGGAGTCCGTGTGGGAAAGATTAAAATACTTTTTTTTTTTAATTTTAAACTCAGTTATTTAGTGTTTATACAGTTTATCGAGTCAGAGCCTTGGAAATTAAAATTTGGAGGATCAGGACGAGCTTCCAAAAGCAGTTTTAAAACCATCTTCTCCTCAAATACCCATAGATCCAGTGGTGAGCCTGGGGTTATCAGTCTAGGTACCTCCTCCCTTATGGTGAGCTCCCCTTTGGGGCCAGTTGAGACGGTAACAGGCCATCAAAGGAGTACTCATGATTTTGAACCTCAAAGGGAAGAGATTGGGGCCTGGATTATTTTTCCGCAAGAGATTTCTCAGTATTTATTTATTTATTTATTTATTTATTTATTTATTTATTTGGGATGGAATCTCGCTCTGTCGCCCAGGCTGGAGTGCAGTGGCATGATCTCGGCTCACTGCAAGCTCTGCCTCCTGGGTTCACGCCGTTCTCCTGCCTCAGCCTCCCAAGTAGCTGGGACTACAGGCACCCGCCACCATGCCCGGCTAATTTTTTGTATTTTTTAGTAGAGACAGGGTTTCACCGTGTTAGCCAGGATGGTCTCGATCTCCTGACCTCGTGATCCGCCTGTCTCGGCCTCCCAAAGTGCTGGGATTACAGGCATGAACCACCACGCCTGGCCTGTCAGTTTTTATGCATATCTAAGTTCCCCTTGTCATCAAGTTATGACAAGATTATACTTTTTTTTTCTTTTTTTTTTTCTGAGACAGGGTCTTACTCTGTCACCCAGGCTGGAATGCAGTAAGTGGTGCCATCATAGCTCACTGCAGCCTTGAACTCTTGGGCTCAAAAGATCCTCTCACCTTAGCCTCCAGAGTAGCTGGGACTACAGGTGTGCACCACACGGCTGGTTAATTTTTCTATTCTTCTGTAGAGACGGCTCTGCTTCTCTTTCCTTTCATTTCTCAGAGGTGTTGCCCCCAAGTAAACCACTTGTGTTGCTTACACTGTTTCAGCATCTGCTTCCTGGGAGACCTAAATGACACACATACTTGTTAATTTACTAGTTCATTTTAACCTCTCAATAATCTTTGGGTGCTGACTGAATAGGAATTACCTCTCTTTGAAGTCTCAAAAAGCTGAGGCACAAAGCAGTCAGTTATTTGGATTGCCTGCATCTAGAAACAGTCTAATGCTCCAGTTGTGCGCAGCTCCCACTACATGCCTCAGGGGGCTTCATAGAAATGCCTCTGGTTTCCTTAAACAGAGAGGTCAACAGGAAGTTCACCACATTGAGGAACGTTGGAGAATCATGCTCTGAAAAGAAGGGTACTAGGGCATTCCTGGGGTTCTTGGAAGTAGGAATGAACCCATCGTTTTGTGAGTGAATGTATGAGTACTTCATGCTCTGCACCCCCCAACCCCTTTGTATCACTCTGCTAAAATTCAAGCCTCTAGAGAAGGTCTGATTGGCTTGGGTCACATGACCAGCCACCCCTTCTTTCAGGGAAGAAGGCTGAGGACCTTTAATAAGAATCCTGTAAATAATGGGGGAGGAATAATTCCTCATAAGAAAATGAAAATGGATGTGCTATTACCAAAAAGAAGGAATGGATGCTGAGAAAAAGCAAACATTTCTCACAGTCCCTAAAGCCACTGTCTCCGAGTCTCTCAATAATGTCCTATATCCTTCCTGAAGACAGGAGGTGAAGTATATGTCTTTTCAAGGTGCTTTTCAAATTCCACTTTCCATGTGGTTGCCTTTTCATTGTATCCTTTGAGAGTGGAAACTAGTCCTCTTCTTCTGAGATGGTGGCTAACACAAGCAGGCATTTAGTAGATACTGAATGAACTTTTTAAAAGGAACCCAGAGGGGCAAGTTATGAGCATTTTCTGTGCTCTCATTTGAGTCTGGTCTGGTTGTATGTGCAAAAGTGCTCTCCTCCCTCCCTTCCCTACAGCTCTGGACGCTAACTCCCCAAGGATGCTTGTCCTGGTCTGGTGGAGACCTGCTATTGATAAAGAATAAATGAACAAAGAATAAAGAGCAAAATGGCAGGCACTATTTTGTTCCCACATTCTTCAAATGAGCTGAGAAAGCTTTGCAGCCTATCTACTCATTCATTTATTCCATAAATGTTTATTAAGAACCTACCATGGACCAAGCACTGGGGATGTGACAGTGAACAAGGCAGACCAAGTCCCTGCCCTCATATACCTCACAGCCCTTATAACATCTTGGAATGACAGGCCAACAATAGACAAAGAAATGAGACCTTTTCAGATTGTTGTAAGCGCCACTAAGAAACTACAACAGGATAATGGCATGGAAGGTGGCTGGGATTGTCAGGGTTGTCAGGGAAGGCCTCTCTGGAGAGGTGACACTTGTGGAGGCCAGAGTGACTTGCAAAGATCTGAGGAAAAGCATCCCAGGTCAAGAGAACTCTAGGGCTCAGGCTCTGGGATAGGAATATGCTGGATATCATAGAGGGCATGAAGCGGGGTTGGGCGGGCTGGAATGGAGTGAAGGAGGGCAGGCTGGTGGGAGATGTGGCTGGAGAGGTAGTGGCGGTCAGATGATGGATGTCTGCTCCAATGAGCAGGACTGACTTGTCTGCTAGGCACAGCATGAGCAAAGGCTAGAGTCCACATTACTTTTAGGGCCCATGAAAATGTTTTAATTTCTTTAAACATCACAAGGAAAAAGATAGTATAGTAATAACAGTAAATATATACAAGTTGAATTCCTAATCCAAAAATTCAAAGTACGAAATGTTCCAAAATCTAAAACTTTTTGAGTGCCAACATGATGCTCAAAGGGATGCTGAACTGGTAAGTGTATAGTGCGAATATTCAAAAATCCAAAAATATCTGAAATCTGAAACCTTTCTGGTCCAAGCATTTTGAATAAGGGATACTCAACTTGTAATAATGAATCCTGCATGGATTATATTCATTTTTATACCAATGTAATCATAAAATAGGATTTCAATTTTTTCTTTAATGGAGGAAGTACCCATAAAGGCAAAAGAGCCTAGGGTTCACAAAAATCACAAAGCGGCCCCAGTGGTGATGATGTGCTTTCTAAGGCAACCAAGCCTGGTCTGAACTATGCACATTTTCATCCAAGTTATAGAGTTCTCAAGATGTTCAGCCACTAAGATTTTCGACTGCTAAGTTTCTTTAGCAGTTGAATATCTCGAAGCACATCTTCTGATAATACAACAGTGGCAGCCATCACAGCATCTATGTTTCATTCTAATAAAGACTTTTTAGGGACCAGGATGTTGTAGAGAAGTAGAGCAGCATGTAGCAACAAGTCCTATAAGCCTCTGCTCCTGATAAGCCCTTACTTGCTTTGATGTTGAGAAGGAACCTGGAATGCTGCCTGTGATAAGTCTGGTATGTTTGTTTTTGTTTTTAAAAGATACTGTTAGCAATGTTATCTTCAAATATAAATAGTTTATTTTGAAAACAATCCTTATTTACTCACCTGAGATGAGGTAGGCAGGGTAGGTATTATTATGATATGCATCCTACAAATGAAGAAACTGAAGTGAAAACTCACAGAGCTACCAACTGGTGGAACTGGGACCATGTCCAGATTCCCTGCCTCCAAAATGCATGCCCTTGACCTTATTGGAATTATTATTAATGGAGCTAAATGTAGTATCTGGCTTCTAGTAGATGACCAGTAAAGCTACACATAAAACTAATAGAATATGCTATTTAATTGTATCTGAGAAAATAAGTTTCAGGTTTGTGTCATTCAACAGAAATAGGAAGGAAAATGTAGTGAGATGAAAAGCATTCACTAACACTTATTGAATTGCTTTCACTGATCTGAAATTAACAAAACTTGTCAAGTCAAAAAGAATTTATGGATTAAATACTACTGTATTCCTGGCCATGTTGAGGAAAGAAACAAACTTTCTATGGAATGTGAGTTTCTTGAGGTTTGTAGAATGTGAGATTTTAGGTTTAATGTGTCTTTATATCCATAGAAACTATCATGGGGTTTGGGACATGTAGGTATGCTCCATGCATATTTGTTGAATCTATCTTCAATTAAAAACAAGCCCTTGGAACCTGGTGATAAATCTAAGTTCTAAACACTCAAAATAAAAGTTTGCAGAATACTCCCCCCATTCATTGCTTAAGTTTCTATCACCTCCCTTATGTGCTTAAGCACCTAAGTCATGAACCCAGCCCTCTGTGATTTTTCTCTTATCCAGGGAATTCCTTCATGCATCTGTGAAGAAATAGCTGTTAACGTCTAGAGAAGGGGCAGGTTTGGAGTGGACCACGACTGTGTGTAAAGGAAGAATAGAGCTGACCTCTCTACCGAATTTGGCAAATTAATCTTAATGTTTTCCTACTGTAGGTGGCCCAGCTATAAGGACATCCTAAACAAGGCCCTCTGTGATGAGGCCACCTTGGCCCAGTGATCACATTCATAAGGCAGTTTCTCAGTTTGTAAGTTAAGAAGTAATTTCGGCCGGGCATGGTGGCTCACGCCTGTAATCCCAGCACCTTGGGAGGCCGAGGTGGGCAGATCACTTAAGCTCAGGAGTTCAAGACCAGCCTCGCCAACATGGCAAAACCACGTCTCTACCAAAAATGCAAAAAATTAGTCAGGCATTGTGGGTCATGCCTGTAGTCCCAGCTACTCACCAGGCTGAGGCAGGAGAATCACTTGAACCCGGGAGGCAGAGGTTGCAGTGAGCTGAGGTCGTGCCACTGCACTTCAGCCTGGGTGACAGAGCAAGACTCCATCTCAAAAAATAAACAAACAAAAACCCCCAAAAACAAAAATAAGCAAACAAGAAAAAAGAAGTAATTTTCTCTCTGAAGATGTTCTGGGGCTTCCTGGATCGTATAGTATTGACAAATACTGAATTTGATGTTGTGTCATGGAATTTCCTGTTTTAGAAACAGAGTCTGTTTATTATTTCACTTCCGAAGATAGCACTGTTATTAGTTAATTTAGAATGTGTGTGTGGCAAAAGCCTCTCTGTTATTTTCTTAAGTTGGAAGTGATAAAAAATACTTAATTATTTATTGACAGGCATAATTTGATAATAAACTCATGCCGTGAAATCAGACTAACAAGCAGATTTTGTAGGTTCTGTTGGACTGATGTATGCAATTTATTTACCATTCCTGATGGGGCTTTTTCCACCTCCTCCTGCCCAGGAGCACTGCTGCCCCCCAGATCTGCATCCCAGGTGCCCTTGGCAGGGCTCCTGCCATCTGGGCCTCCCCAGTCCCTTTTTCTTTACACCCTACTCATCTCACACCCACCCACCTTGCCTACCCCTGCCTCTGGCTTGTCATCTCCTCTCAGGTGGTACCTGAACGTGGGTAGTGTGTATTGTACGCAGGTCCTCTTTTCAGAGCAAATTTATATGAATTTGTGTAAATAAAAAACTTTCTCCTCTCAGTGGACTCTTTGGTGGCATGAACTAGGAAGAGGAAAGAGGGAAAACGATCTCGGAAGGGTGAGTGAAGCATTTGGGTTGATAAGCATACTGACACTTTCGTTTTGTGGTGTTCTCCAAATTTCACTGTATGGATGTAGCAATGATCCACAACTAGGCAGGGGAAAGAACCCCAACCAGGATGATTGATAAATTGCATACATCACTGGTACACAGACGAACACTCAGTCTCATACTGTGTCATGGAACGTCCTGTTTCAGAAACAGCAAATGATTATTATTTCACTTCCAAAGATAGCACTGTTATTAATATGGCCTTTTGTATGGAAAAAATTTCTGTTATTTTCTTTCATTATAAAAGCCATTCTTTCTGGCTATTATTATTATTTTCCTTTTTTACGAGATGGAGTCTCATCTGTCACCCAGGCTGGAGTGCAGTGGTGCAATCTTGGTTCACTGCAACTTCCACCTCCCGAGTTCAAGCGATTCTCCTACCTCAGCCTCCTGAGTAGCTAGGATTACAGGTGTGTGCCAACATGCCAGACTAATTTTTTGGTATTTTTTAGTAGAGACAGGGTTTCACCACGTTGGCCAGGCTGGTTTCAAATTCCTGAGCTGAAGTGATCTGCCCGCCTCGGCCTCCCAAGGTTCTGGGATTACAGGTATGCGCCACCGTGCCGGGCCTCATGGCTATTATTAAAAAGTCAAAAAAATAACAAATGCTGGTAATGTTGTGGAGAGAAAGGAATGCTTACATGTTGCTGATGGGAATAGTGAATTAGTTTTCCATTGTGGAAAGCAGTTTGGCGATTTCTCAAAGAACTTAGCACTGCCATTTAACCCCATGGTTAAATGGCTATTTAACCTCAATCATCTCATTATTGGGTATATACTCAAAGGAATATAAATCAGTTTGCCATAAAGACACATGCACATGTATGTCCATTGCAGCACTCTTCACCATAGCAAAGACATGGAGTCAACCTAAGTGCCCATCAATGGTAGACTGGAGAAAGAAAATGTGATACATATACACATGGAATGTGTGATCATGGAATACTATGCAGCCATAAAAAATAATGAGATCATATCCTTTGCAGCAACATGGATAGAGATGGAGATCATTATCCCAAGTGAACTAATGCAGAAACAGAAAACCAAATACCACATGTTCTCATGTGTAAGTGGAGCTAAACATTGAGTACACATGGATACAAAGAAGGGAACAACAGTTTTCAGGGCCTACTTGAGGGTGGAGGGTTGGAGGAGGGTGGGGATTGTAAAACTGCCTATCAGGTACCATGCTTATTACCTGGGTGACAAAATAATCTGTACAGCAAACCTCTGTGATACATAATTTACCTATATAACAAACCTGCATTTGTACCCCAAAACTAAAAGATTTTTTAAAAAGCCATTCTTTGGCTGGGCACAGTGGCTCACGCCTGTAATTCCAGCACTTTGGGAGGCCGAGGCGGGTGGATCACGAGGTCAGGAGATCAAGACCATCCTGGCTAACACGGTGAAACCCCATCCCTACTAAAAAATACAAAAAATTAGCCGGGCGTGGTGGCGGGCGCCTGTAGTCACAGCTACTTGGGAGGCTGAGGCAGGAGAATGGCGTAAACCTGGGAGGCGGAGCTTGCAGTGAGCCGAGATTGCACCACTGCACTCCAGCCTGGGCCACAGAGCGAGACTCTGTCTAAAAAAAAGAGCCATTCTTCTTGGGAGAGGGAAGAATGGGTAGTTGTTGTTTAATGGGCATGGGGTTTCAGTTTGGGAAGACAAAAAAAGTTCTGAAGATAGATGGTAGTGATTGTTGCATAACATTGGTAATCTACTTAATGCCATGGTTAAGTGTACACTTCAGTGGCATTAAGTACAGTCACGCTGTTGGACGTACAATGGTAAGTTTTATGTTAGGTATATTTTGACACAGTAAAAATGAAAAAAATCATTCTTGCTTGTGGTAAAAATTTAAACGGCATAGAAGAACAAAATAGTAAAGTTTGTCTTTCTTTTACCATCAATTCACATTCCTGTAACAGAGACTTCCTAATCACTCCCCACTGGCACACGAATGCGCTTTCCCACCATCATCATCCGTACACTGATTGTCATCTAGGACACCATGAGCTCTGCGGTTCACCTGCAGATGGACCTCTGCAGGTGCCTGCAAACCTAACCACCCTTTGTCATATTTTTTATCTGGGAAAATATGCTCCAGGTTCCTAGCAATGAACTTTTGGAATAGAGCTCATTTATAAGTTGAAAACAGCTTGCTCTTTTTTTTTCTAAAACATATATTATTTTTCTATTTTTTTCTCACAAAAGTCTATGAAATAAGTATTTTGGGTGATACAACTCATCTTTTATTGATAGGGAATCTGAGGCAGAGACATGAAACAACTTTAAGGTTACATAAGCTAGTTAGTACTTGAATCACTAAATTCTGCTATTGAATGACTAACAAACTAGCTATGCACAGTAAAATACATAAAGACACTTATTTCATGGACATGGGCTGAGCTTCATTTCGGCCAACTTGTGAATGTGTATTTTGCAGTGGTTGGAAGTGAAGTGGTGATAACATATATACGCTGCTACTAAATGACTTCTTGCATTAAAAAAAATCCTCTCTCTCTCTTTCTATCCCTCAGTAAGAAATTGTACTGAAGGAAAAATGTTATGAAAGACAGCTCGCTTGCTTTTGCTGGTGTATAGTGGATATATTGCCTTTATCTTGTTCTTTCCAGCTAAACCTGCCAACATGGACTTGATCCAAAGCCAGGGGAAAGCTGGGAAGGAAAACCCAATTGGGAAAATTCACCCCGGGGAATATATAAAAAGGAAACCACAACAATAAATGTTCTAATGAGTGAAAAACAGCAATTAAAAAAAAAAGAGCAGAGATAGGCAGGTAGGTGCCCAGGGAGAATCGTAAGTGGTAGAATAAAGACATCTAGAAGGGAGTTTCTAAGGATTAGGACCTAAGGCTCTGTTAGGTGGATGGAGTAGGTGTAATAATGTACCTAGAACCTGAAAAGGCTAGGGTTGTTAGTTCCAATGAATTTATAACCTTAAACCCAAACTGGCCTCCAAAGGAAGCAGCTGACAGTCATTATTGGAAGTTCTAATTTGATATACCAGTGCTCCAAGGGCAAGGACAGGCCTAAGTGCAATAATTGAACTCATTTTCAGCTCAATTTGAGATTTGAGTTTTACGAAATATCCTTCTGTGAAATAGACCATTTCCCCTCATATGTGAGGGAAGATTATAATTAGAACATCCTGGGGAACTTCTTCTATTAATTGTTGCATACCTGAAATATCACAAAGGAGAGTGAAGCTGTAGGTAAAACATTCATTGGAATGACTGTTCTTGCCTTTGTTAGTTATAAGGAACTACAGAAATAAATACTTAATGTCCTTGAGCACTACAAAGCCTTTATCGAATCAAGACAATAGGGGCTTCTGGAAGTATGTGAACTTGAGAACCCTGTAGGGTGTGGGGAGAACCGAATTTGAGGCCAAGAAGATGTTCTGTCCAGAGCACAAATGTAATATACAGAACAACACACCCACCAGCTCCCAACTCCAGGTGGGTAACCTTGAAGATTTAAAGGGGAAAAAGGAATACTTTACAGGAAAATGAAAAGGTTTCTTCTTCTTCCTCTTTAAAACTGTCCTTGAAACATCAGGTTTTCCAGTCGCTAGAAGTGATGCAAACCTGATTTCTGGTGCAGTGGTTCAGAGCCTGGATTCTAGAAACAGGCTGCCTGCATTTGAATCCCAAGTTGTTAGCAGCTGTGTGAATTTGGACCAAGAATATAACCTGTGGGCCTTAGTTTTGTCATCTATAAAATGAGAATACTAATATAGTGTGCTTATATTGTAGAGTTGTTTAAAGTCTTGAATGAGATATTATAGGCGAAACACAGCACAGGATATGTCCTACAGTTAAATACTCGAAACTATTAGCTGTTATTATTCAGGCTTTAAGGATGGCTCTGTATGAAACTAGTGAGGTGGACATGGTGGTCCCTTTAAATTTAGGTTTCTGTGTTTGACATTTTGGAGACTGATGTGCTCTCTGTGACCCGTTCTGTGCTAGCCTTACCCTGATGCTATACAGGAGGTGAAGTCGGGGCTTTGTTTATTTTCTTTTTGGTAACCTGGACTTTAAATATAGGGGTTTAGGCCAGGCGTGGTGGCTCACGCCTGTAATCCCAGCACTTTGGGAGGCTGAGGCAGGCAGATCATGAGGTCAGGAGATCGAGACCATCCTGGCTAACACGGTGAAACCCCGTCTCTACTAAAAATACAAAAAATAATTAGCCGGGTGTGGTGGCAGTTGCCTGTAGTCCCAGCTACTCGGAAGGCTGAGGCAGGAGAATGGTGTGAACCCGGGAGGCGGAGCCTGCAGTGAGCTGAGATGGCGCCACTGCACTCTAGCCTGGGTGACAGAGCGAGACTCCGTCTCAAAATAAATAAATAAATAAATAAATAAAATTAAAAAAAAATTAATAAATATAGGGATTTGACACGGAATAAAATAATATCAAAATTAATGTGGTCATGTAAATTTGTACAGCTCTGTAAGAGAAATTAGATCAGGCCCCCAAAAGAAGTTAAACTTGGAAAAATAAAAAGTTGACCACTTTGGTCCCCTTGTAGGTAGCATAAGACACAATACCAAGGATGGTGCTGGGTGCAGGACAGGGGCTTAGCGAGTTCTTGCAGATTGTTTGGTTGATTCTTTAGATGGGTCTGAAGGCATGGAAGTTTTGCGCAGCACAGAATCATATGGATGGTATCAGAGGCAACAGGGGAGAACACAATTTGGTAGTGTTTCGTGGTTTTTCTGGATTTTTCAATACTGTTGCATCTGTCAAGGTCCCAGCAGAAGATAGATGGCATGCTCAAATTGAATAATAGGAAGAGAATGTAATAACGGGACCGTTAAAAAGGTCTTGGCAAGGTGTAGGGCAACCTATAAGAAATAACACAGTGTGCTGGAGCTGTCACAGCCAGACACTGCTACGGCCCAAGACTTGAGGGCAATAGGGGGATGGGTTATTGGAACTGGAAAAGAGAAAGGTGCTTGGAGTTGCTGCCTGACAGAGTTGTGATCTTTGGTGGAGGGGTGCAGCCAGCCCACTGCAACCCTGCAGGGAGGAAAAGATCTGGGGAAAAGGCCTTGATCTCTCTCCTCCCTCCCTTCCTTCGCAGGAGCAGATGACAAGGGAACATTATCATCTGTTCCTGGGGCACAGAGAAGGGTGGAGAGAGGTAGGAAGCAGATTTGGAGAAGGAAATGGAAGACACCCAGCAAAATCATCTTTACTGTTAATGCCAGCTTAGGGGGAAAAACAGAAAAGAGCCAGACCATCTGTTTCATTCTATTATCTGGGATGGTTTTAGGGAATTCACCTGCCAACTGATGCAACCTGTGTCCCTGGATTATTAGCATCTCTTCCTCTTTTTCCATCCTACTTTGCTTAATTCTCTTTCACATTTGATTATTATTTACAGGAGCAAGTCATTTCAACAAACATCAATGTAATGTAAAGTAAGTCTAGAGCTGTGTAGTACAGATAATATTGGGAATGACACCTTCTACTTTTCTGTGTCTCTGCTGCTAAGAGCCCGGGAAATTTGAATTAAGTGAAATTTTACTGGCTTTGACAATGGGGTCAGCATAATCAATAACTTGGGCATTTAAATAATCAAGTAATTAGTAATTATAGACTAATCTATTTCCAAAAGGAAATTGATTTCACCTAGAAAGTTGGGGCTAGAAGAAGGTGATCTCCCTAGGATCAGTATGTCGGGGAAAATGTAGTGTGAACACTGCTCACTAGTGTTTTTGTAGGGATATGTTGAGATGTAGTTAATCAAAGGTATGTCCATAAATGTTCAAAAACTAGCTGTCTGGAGAAAAAGCGCGATTTGTAGTATTTGCTAGTTGCTGTGGTGTAAATACTTCCACCATAGCCCATTTCCAGCTGCCAGTGCAACACCACTGAATGTGGAGTTGGGAAGAGATTTGAGCAATTGACTCTTGAGAGCTTGTAGGTGCTGACTCAACACACATCACTGCATGTAATCCCGACTTCCCCAACAGATATCCACAAAGACAAACACTGTGGGCATGTGAAATTTCTCCTCAGCTGCCCTAGGGTCTCTAATCAGTCCATGACTCCATTGAAATCTCTGGATTACTTCTAACATTGTAGGCTTTGGGAATGGATTTATTTATTTATTTATTTATTTGAGACGGAGTCTCGCTCTGTCGCCCAGGCTGGAGTGCAGTGGCGCAATCTCGGCTCACTGCAAGCTCTGCCTCCCGGGTTCACGCCGTTCTCCTGCCTCAGCCTCCCAAGTAGCTGGGACTACAGGCGCCCGCCACCACGCCTGGCTAATTTTTTGTATTTTTAGTAGAGACGGCGTTTCACCATGTTAGCCAGGATGGTCTCGATCTCCTGACCTCGTGATCTGCCCACCTCAGCCTCCCAAAGTGCTGGGATTACAGGCATGAGCCACCGCGCCCGGCGGGAATGGATTTAGACTCATTTATTCTGCAATTGGGCTAGGGCACATTGGTATTTTTGTTAGGATCTCTGATGCTTACTGGAGAAGTCCAGTTAAGTCATTACCTGCTTAGGAAAAGTCACAGAGGTCAGCCCATTCTTCTTTGTGGATAAGCACATATTATTCTTTCCTTCTTCCCATTTTACCATTTGTTACTTTGAAGAATTACCTAGAAGCATCAAGGAGGTGAATTTTTATTTAAGTTTCTTGAAACTTTAGCACATTTCTCCTTCCATTTTATTCTCCAGTGTTTAAAAATGATTGAAATTGATTTGGATAAATGTAGAAAATCATTTAATCTTTTTTCTATAAAAACCCAGAGTAGAATATGCATTTCTTTCTTAAGAGCATTTAACATGTTGATGTTTATACCATCCTATATGGTTTCCACTTTATATACACTTCATATTTCATTATGTGATACAACATACATTACCATGTGTATAATAGTTACCAAACATGAGTATAATATTAAATTAGAATAATGTTACAATAAAGTTAATACTAAAATAAACAACAAACATCCCATTTACTTTTAATCTTATTTAACTTATTTAGCTTAAGGTTGTTTTGCATTATTCACTGAAGTGTGCAGAGAAGTTATAGCCATGCTGAAAATGGATCTGGACAACTTTCTGCAAATGTAGCTGTTCACCAGCTATTTTATTATCTTTATTCAATAAATAGATTCATGAGCTGTTTATTTCTAGTGCAATATCCAATTTATGTATTACAGATACTCAACGAAATTAAGCATATGCTTTTGATTATATAGTTTTATTACGTTTGTTAGGAGGCAGGATAAGTAATATCTCTTACATGTTAAAATGCACACCTGGGCTATCTGTAACTGGGAAGAATTTAACTTATTTTTTAAGCCGACTTGCTTGTTTTTCTTTTATTTTTGACAAGCATGGGTTTTATTTTATTTTATTTTATTTTTTTTGAGATGGAGTTTCACTCTTGTTGCACAGGCTGGAGTGCAATGGCGCGATCTCGGCTCATTGCACGTCTCCTGGGTTCAAGCGATTCTCCTGCCTCAGCCTCCTGAGTAGCTGGGATTACAGGTGTGCGTCAAAACAGCTTGCTAATTTTTTTGCATTTTTTAGTAGAAATGGGTTTCACCATGTTGGCCAGGCTGGTCTTGAACTCCTGAGCTCAAGTGATCTGCCTGCCTTGGCCTCCCAAAGTGCTGGGATTACAGGCGTGAGCCACCATGCCTGGCCAAGCATGAGTTTTAAAACATAGGTTTCAGCTACAGTGAAGCCTTGATTATGACTAATTAGATTAAGAAAGTATATTAATTGATTCTGGATCACTCTTTTTTAAAAAATGTGTTAGGTTCAAGTGTATCTATTAAACCCATTATTAAATAGTAGTGACAGGCAGAAGAACATAAAGATGAACACATAATTTGATTTTAAAATGTACCTTAAAAATCTAACAAATTATTTTGTTAATTATTCAGCATAATAGCACTCTTATTAATAAATTTGCTAATGGTCGCCTCTTTTGAAATGCATATTTGGCTACTACATTTTATGCTATATGATCCTTTGCAAACTACCAGTATTTCCAAGGTTAAGAAGAAGTGAGTTCAAAACCTTCTGTCCTATTAAAATCTAAGCATTCAAAGTGCATAAAGGGGAATAACATATGCTAGGCTAGTTTTTTTGTATCCATTTATCCACGCATCCATCTTTCCATCAGATAGATATTTCTGTAATCTCTATGCATTTTCCCCCTCAGGCATTGTGCTACCACTGGAGTACTAAAATGAAAACTACCACCACCAACAATATGATTCTTGCTTTAAATTGCTTTCAGGGAATCATTAATTCAGTGTTGCTGAAAGCACTCAGGTTAATAGCACAGCAACTTTCCTACCCAGTTGCATGGAGATTCAAGTTAGAGTTCAGTGACAGCCACAGTGAGCACAGCCATCTGCCAGATGTCATGAATGCATCAGCGTTTCCATGCTGCCTTCAAAGAGGTCAGATATGTCTGCTGGGTCTGTGGTGGTATTAATCTTCTCTCTTTTACTATCTTTAACAGGTTCTTTTTAAGCTTTAACTGTGTCTGACAAAATTAGTTTTCTCCCCTTTGTAAACTTCTGGGCTGACTGGTATAAATCTATATCATCATTTTTGCTCTTTGAGAAAGGTCACTAGTTGTTGGTGCTGTTATGGCAATAGATAACCTTTCCTGGGAACCTTTTCATCTTGTCTCAATGACCCCCAGGATATCCCCAAAATGGATATTCCACACCTACTGCCAATCCTCCTAATTCATACTGTCTTTGAAGATTGGAGTGGCTTTATAATATATTCACAAATTATGTTATGCTTCTCCCTGCAAGAGGTGGAGTCTAGTTCCCTTTCCCTTGAGAATGAGCTGGACTCAGTGTGTCCTTTCTAATGAATAGACTGTGGCAGAAGTGACAGTGTGTCATTTGGTGAGTCCTTTCTAATGAATAGACTGTGGTGGAAGTGATAGTGTGTCACTTCGGAGACTGCGTCATGGAAGATGTTGCAGCTTCCATTTTGGTTACTATCTTGGCTTACTTGCTCTGTGGGAAGCCAGCTGCCATGGCATGAGAAAATATACATGTAAGAAGGAACTGAGGCCACCAGCCAATAGCCATGTGAGGCAGCCACCTTGGAAGTGAACTTTCCAGCCACAGTCAAACCTTCAGGAGATTTCAGCCCAGGCTGGCACTATGACTCAATCTCATGAGAGATCTTGAGCCAGAACTAGCGAGCTAAGCTGCCTCATAGCAATTGTGTGAAATAGTAAACATTTGTTGTTTCAAATAATTAAGTTTTGGATAATTTGTAATGCTGCAATAGATAACTAATAGAAAATCTTGCTTCTTCTTCAGACTAAACATAGTCTGTAAAGAGACTCCTTTCTAGGTGAATAGTCTCTATTCTTTCATTTTTCCTTCATAGTACTTTATATAGTATAGTTCTTTTGACTTTTCTGATAATCCTCTTGTTAGCACCTCAGATAAAAAGATGTTCTTTCATTTTCATCTACTGATACTTTGAACCCCATTCTTACTCCTCTAAATTGTCTCTAATTTTCACCTTTCTTTTTTTTTTCATTTTTTTTTTCTTTTGAGACAGGGTCTCACTCTGTAGCCCAGGCTGGAGTGAAGTGGTGTAATCACAGCTCACTGAATCCTTGACTTCCCAGGCCCAGGTGATTCTCCCACCTCAGCCTCCTAATAGTTGGGACTATAGGCTTGTGCTGCTACTCCCAGGTAATTAAAAAATATATACTTTTAGTAGAGATGGGGTTTCACCATGTTGCCAAGGCTAGTCTTGAACTCCTGGACTCAAGTGATCCTCTTGTCTCAGCCTCCCAAAATGTTGGGATTACAGGCATGATCCACAGTGCCTAGCCTCTAATTTTAATCTTTAATTTCTTCCTCTCCTTAGCCTCAACAAGCTCGAGTCTCTCCCTTCACCAAAACAAAACCTCCTCACCCAAGCTAAAATGGTTTTTATAAAAAGGACAAAAAAAGAAGGCCAGGCGCAGTGGCTCACGCCTGTAATCCTAGCACTTTGGGAGGCCGAGGCAGGCGGATCATGAGGTCAGGAGATGGAGACCATCCTGGCTAACATGGTGAAAACCCGTCTCTACTAAAAATACAAAAAAAAAAAAAAAAAAATTTGCCGGGCGTGGTGGCGGTTGCCTGCAGTCCCAGCTACTCGGGAGACTGAGGCAGGAGAATGGCATGAACCTGGGAAGTGGAGCTTGCAGTGAGCTGAGATGCAAGCCACTGCACTCCAGCCTGGGCGACAGAGCAAGACTCTGTCTCAAAAAAAAAAAAGGACAAAAAAAGAAAAAAAACAAAACAAAAAACAAAAAAACAATGGCAACAAATGGATGCTGGCAAGGACGCAGAGAAAGGGCAACATTTGCACACTGTTGGTGGGGATATAAATTAGCACAGCCACTATGGAAAACAGGATGTGAGTTCTTCAAAAAATTAAAAGTAGAACTACCATATGATCCAGCAATCTCACTGCTGGGTATATATCCAAACAAAAGGAAGTCGATATATCAAAGAGAGATCTGCACTCCTATGTTTATTGCAGCACTATTCATAATAGCCAAGATATGGAAGCAACCTAAGTGTCCATCAATAGATGAATGATTAAAGAAAATGTAGTACATTTACACAATGGCATATTATTCAGTCATAAAAAGAATGAAATACTGTCATTTGTAACAACATGGATGGAACTGGAGGACATTATGTTAAGTGAAATAAGCCAGGCGGAGAAAGACAAATGTATGTTCTCACTCATATGTGGGAGTTAAAAAAATTGATCTCATGGAAGTAGAGAGTAGAGTGATAGTTACCAGAGGCTGGAAAGTGTACTGGGGATGGGAGAATAAAGGGATTAGCTCATGGATACAAAAATACAGTTAAATAGTAGGAATAATATCCAGTGTTCAGCAGCACAATAGGACAACTATAGTTAACAATAACTTATTGTATATTTCAAAAGAGCTAGGAGAGAAAATTTGGAATGATACACCAAGAACTGATAAATGTTTGAGGTGATGGGTTTGATCATTAAACTAGATTTGATCATTAAACTAGATTTGATCATTAAACATTGTACACTTTGGCTGGGCTCAGTGGCTTACGCCTGTAATCCCAGCACTTTGGGAGGCCGAGGCGGGCGGATCACGAGGTCAGGAGATCGAGACCATCCTGGCTAACATGGTGAAATCCCGTCTCTACTAAAAATACAAAAAAAAATTAGCCAGGCGTGGTGGCGGGCGCCTGTAGTCCCAGCTAATAGGGAGGCTGAGGCAGGAGAATGGCATGAACCTGGGAGGCGGAGCTTGCAGTGAGCCAAGATTAGGCCACTGCACTCCAGCCTGGGCGACAGAGCGAGACTCTGTCTCAAAAAAAAAAAATTGTACACTTGTATAAAAATATCACATGTACCCCATAAATATGTACAACTATATATACACCCATAAAAATAAAAAAAGTAAAGTTAAAGATTAAAAAGATCACCTCCTTTTGATCTTGCTGCTTTTTTGGGCACTTGTGTTTATTTGTAAAGTATTGAAGACCTATCTACCCTTTTCTTCTCAATCCTTGCCTGCTAGTTTCTGCTCTTGATGGTGGCATTTTCTCTTTGAGATTACTGTAGTTATCACACTCTTTTCCCTCTCCTGTCTTTCTTGATCTCCAAAATCTTTAGCCCTTAGAATCTCAAGGATTCTGAGAGCTAGAGATAGACTTCGGAGGTCACTTTCAGATTATGACATGGTGGCCAAAGACGTTCAGACACTTGCTCCAGCTCACAAGCCTAGCTTGTGGCAGAACCCATGGTCAGGTCTGGCTTCCCTGAATCTCAGGCCTGAGTCCTTCTCATACCAATCATTTCCTTGAAACTTTCTCCACCAAAGTCATGAAACTGCATTTTCTTGGTTGGTCTTCTCTCTCCCTTTTCTTTTACTTTTTCTTCTCAGTCCCCTTTACTAGTTGCCTTTCCTACTGCACCTCAGGCTTTGCTCCCTGTCCTCAGCTTTTCTCTTCTGCTAATTGCATTTACATGCCTGCCATTAGCTTCCACCTCCACATTCCACCTCCAGTCCTGGTTTGGTCTGGGGCTGTGCCTCCATACTGATGACTTCCTACAAGGCAGTTCCACTTGGAGTTCCCACATCACTCCAATCCCATGGCCAGATGCTGTTTCTCCAGTTTGCCACGGACGCTCCTCCTTTTTTCTTCCTTTGGGGTAAATACTCAGATCCATCCTCTCAGCTACCTAACTTCCTCCTGTTCTTCTTGTTCTTGTTCTTCTTGTTCTTCCTACTTCTCCGTTCCTCTCTCTCCCCCTTCTTCCTTTGCCTTCCTCCTCTTCCTCCTTCTTCCTCTTCTTCTTATTCT
Source organism: Homo sapiens (assembly GCF_000001405.40). Classification (NCBI taxonomy): domain Eukaryota; kingdom Metazoa; phylum Chordata; class Mammalia; order Primates; family Hominidae; genus Homo; species Homo sapiens. The sequence goes on along the minus strand of NC_000006.12, from coordinate 105,922,568 downwards.
TTTCATCGTTTTTATTCCATTTTTCTTTTTCTTTTTTTTGAGACAGAGTCTCAGTCTGTCACCCAGGCTGGAGTGCAACGGCACAATCTCGGCTCACTGCAACCTCCATCTCCCAGATTCAAGCCATTCTCATGCCTCAGTCTCCCAAGTAGCTAGGATTATAGACACCTGCCACCACGTCTGGCTAATTTTTGTATTTTTTAGTAGAGACGGGGTTTCATTTTGGCCAGGCTAGTCTCGAACTCCTGACCTCAGGTTATCCGCCCGCCTCAGCTTCCCAGTGTGCTGGTATTACAGGCGTGAGCCACCATGCTCGGCCTTATTCCATTTTCAACAGAAATGTGTTGTGAATTGTGGTTCCAGGAGCATGTGAGGCTCTGAGGACACAGTCTAGTAAGTCTTCTATCTGGCCCTTCCTTGACTTTTCTGTGGCTACAGCTCTAGCTAAGGCCCTGGTCAGCTAAGTTTGGATTCCCTGACGGTTTATTTAGTTTGACTCTTTGCTCCCTCTCTCTCTCCTATTCATCTACAGTAGTCCCCTCTTATTGGTGGTTTCATTTTCCATGGTTTCGGTTACTGGCAGTCCACCACAGTCTGAACATATTAAATGGACAATTCTGGAAATAAACAATTCCTAAATTTTACAATGTGTGCTGTTCTGAGGAATGTGATGAAATTTCTTGTCAACCTTCCCCATCCCACTTGGGATGTGCACCCCCTTTTCCAGTGTATCCACGCTATATACACTTCCTGCCCATTAGTCACTGGCATCATCTGCTCCTGACATCCAACCATTAACATCATCATGGCTTGATGCTCCAGGATCACCCGAAGCAGATGAGCCTCCCTTTGATGTACTGTGTGAAGGTCAGTCGTTGCCTAATGCTATGCCACTGTGCCTCCTTCATTCACCTCACTTCATCTCATCATGTAGGCATTTTATCATCTCACGTCATCATAAAAAGAAGGCAGGTAAGTACAGTACAATAAGATGCTTTGAGAGAGAGTAAGAGAGAGAGAGAAAGAGAGACCACACTCATCTAACTTCTATTACAGTATATTATTAAACTTGTTCTATTTCATGATTAACTATTGTTGTTAACCTCTTAGTGTGCCTAATTTTTAAATTAAATTTTATTATAGATATGTATGTATGTATAGGAAAAAAATATATAAAATACACAGGGTTTGGTACTATCTGAGGTTTCAGGCATCCACTGGTGATCTTGGAATATATCCCCCATGGTTAAGAGGGGACTACCATATACTGGTTTCTTCATATTATTATTTGCTGCTATTATATTCTATTGTCACCACATCAAGACCCAAATTCTTTATACAGTTGATCCTCCATATCCGTGGGCTTTGCATCAACAGGTTTAACCAACAGTGGGTAGAACATATTTGGAAAAATCATAAAAAATAAAAATACAACAATAAAAATCATACAAATAAAAACAATACAATAGAACAACTATTTACATAGCATTTACACAGTATTAGGCTTAACACATAATCTAGAGATGATTTAAAGCATACAGCAGCAGTGTGTAGGTTACAGGCAAACACTGAACCATTTTCTCTCAGGGACTTGGTATCCAAGGAGGTTCTGAATTTTGGTATCCAAGGAGGTTCTGGAAGCAGTCCCCCTGTGATACTGAGGGGCGATGGTAACCCACGTTAGCTCTGCCTGTGCAGTTGCTTTTCTCAGAGCCCCCAAATTCCACGCCAGGTGCCTCTACTCTGTGGCTTCCAGATGCTCTCCCTGGCTCACAGTGGGCTTTGCACCCCTGTGGACCATGTCTTGGCTTCTCTCCACTTGTGGACAGAAAGGCACCAGGGCAGTTGCTCTCAATGCCTTCTGAGGGTTGTTGTTAGGACAGGGAGCAAATAAATGTTGGGGAATGCAAAAGGCTTGAATGAAAATGATGCCCAAGATATATTGTCATTTTGACATGTTCTATTTATTTTTTATACTGAACTACCATAACTCTATTACACAAAACTCTCTTGAGGTGAAGTGGAAAGAGAAACAGGTGACTCAATGAGGAGAATTGACCTGAATATTTGCCTTTTCCATTATAGTTGAGAAGAAATATCAGTGACTGTTGGTTAGGGTTTTGGGGTCTTATGACTTGAACTAAACAAGATTTCCCCACATTTCACCATCATTTCATGATTCAGGATGCTTGGAAGGCAAGTGGTCTGTGGGTCATTGGACTGAAACCAACAAGGTGTTCTTTCTAAGAGGAAGATTTCACTATGGGTGTGACAAATCTTGAGGGTGACTGCATTTCCATGAAACCAAACAGGTTTAAGAGTAAGGAAGTGAGTAATTCCCTATGCTGCCTGTCTAGGTCTCTTTTCTATGATTGCGTCTTCTATTAGATTGATAGAGCACTGTGGTTTCTGTTGAGGTTACTATGAGATGGAGATTCATACTAGAACCGTGAGGATGTCAGAGATTTCTGAATGCACAAAATTTGGATATAGATGCTTAAACATTTTCTGGGTAAATGGCTATTCCTTTTGCATCATGTAGCAGAGACAATATATGGTCACTGCCTCTTTGTCATTTTCTGGCTTAGTCATTAATTCATTTATCTATTCAACCAAATTTTTATTAAGTAGCTACTACAGTGCAGGTAGAATGCCAAATGCTATGGATACTGTGGTGACCACGATAGAGTTTTGGCTCTTCTGATAACTCACTGAGCCAGCACGCCATAAACAAAGTGAAAATGGGGTATTCTCCATTTTCCTGATTGACCTTCACTGGGATGGTAGTTGCTGCCCACATTCTTTTCTGCTCTCTTCCCTATAAAAAGCCCTTCTCAAGTGGCATCAACTTCCATCAACTTCTTTGGTAGTGGTAGTGGTGGTGGTGCTGGTTGCACACCTCTCATGGTGAAGATCTGGGAAAGTGGAGTTGTCACTCAAGCTGGATGTCTAGTCTATTTCATTAACATGAGGCTTCATCTGATGCCTTAAGGTTAGCATTCTTTTTATTATTTTATGTATGTACTTATTTATTTACTGAGATGGAGTCTCGCTCTGTTGCCCAGGCTGGAGTGCAGTGGCACGATCTTGGCTCACTGCAATGTCCAATGTCTACTGCCCAAGTTCAAGTGATTCTCTTGCTTCAGCCTCCTGAGTAGCTGGGACTACAGGCATGTGCCACTATACCCAGCTAATTTTTGTATGTTTAGTAGAGATGGGGTTTCACCATGTTGGCCAAGCTGGTCTTGAATGCCTGACCTCAAGTGATCCGCCCACCTCAGCCTCCCAAAGTGCTGGGATTACAGGCATGAGCCACTGCGCCCGGCCAGCATTCTTAATATTCAGACAGCTCATTTGTTGCCTTTTTCCTTAGTGCCTCATTGTCTTATTCTATGTCAATAAGTTAAAATATTTTTCCTCTTAATTGTTAAAAGTGAATTGAGTGGACTTATTCTACGGTAGAGGAAGAATATAAATGACAGGGTCTGGCACACAGCAGGTGTTCAATAATTATTTGGGAAAAAGAGATGCAGAAAGCATGGGGGGAAGAAGAGTGCTTACAATGAATCAATTTTACAATTGATTAAGATATAAGTACTGTCCCTCTTTTTTAATTTACTGGAAGAAATAAAACACTGAAGAAATGAAGGATGAAAAAAGTAAGACACAGATAAATCATCCAGATTTGATGTTAAGTACTTTATATCTATAACCTCGAAATACTTCTAAAATATCCCCAACTTGTATATTAGACCAATCTTTCTCTCCTCCCTTCCTTCCTTTTATTCTTCCTCTTTCTCTCTTTCTCTGGCTGTCTCATTGCTGAGTGTTCTGTGTGGTACTTGGCTTTCAAAGATCATAGCAGTATCAGTGGTGTTTAAAAGATCAGGATCTTCAGCTACTCAGAAGGCAGAGGTGGGAGGATCACTTGAGCCCAGGAGTTGGAGAACAGCCTGGGCAAAGTAGTAATACCTCGTTTTTACAAAAAAAAAAACAAAATTAGCCAGGCATGGTGGCATGTACCTATAGTCCCAGTTACTCAGGAGGCTGAGGCGGGAGAATCAATTGAGCCCAGGAGTTCAAGGCTTCAGTCAGCTATGATTGCACCACTGCACTCCAGCCTTGGTGACCTAGTGAGACCGTGTCTTGAAAAAAAAAAAAGATCTGCCATCAGACAGACTTTGGGTCCTAATGTTGGCCCCACCATTTACTAGCAGGGTGACCCCTTGGGCAAACATTGCTAAGTCTTTGTTTCTTCATCTATAAAATGGTGATAATAACAATTTCTGTCTTGTAGAGTTTAGTGAGGGTGATGATACAAGCAAAGTGTTTGACATTTTGCCTTATACCAATAATATATATAATGTCTGGTCTTCATTCCTTATTTCTCTCCCAGAAGGCTATGTTATAGAACTCTATATACAGTGGGTGATATTCCACCAAATTAAATACATATGTTAATTGTATTTTTTCATTCTTTTAAAACATATTTAAATAATTTAAATGCAGCTGAGGATGTTTCCTTTAGCTTTGTAAGAGCATTCTTTCTGAGATGAGATTAAATTTGGAAAATGTTGATCCAGAAGAAGAACCTCTCAGCAGGTTATAAGCAAGTGATGCCACAGGGTGATAATGTGAATCTATGTTCTCATTTAGCTTACTGTGTGCTCCTGCAGCCCTTCATTAAACATAATAAATGAACACTATTGGATGACATCAGAGTTGAATTCTCAAGAATTAAATTTGCACCATTTTCTGAAGGCATTTTAGTACCAACTGATAGGTTCTTTTGGTAAATACGATAGTCCAAATCAGTTTTGGCATTGTTTTAGGGAGCCCTAATTCACATTCTTACTGCATCTCTAAGAATAGGAAAATACTTTTTCTTCTATATTGGCAGTTTGCAGCCAAGGCTTCTGCAACTTTAGCATTCTTGCCAGTAATTATTCATTGGTCCTTTCCAATTTTTTTTTTTGTTTTTTTTTTTTTGCTTAGAATACAAACCTATGGGAAAAGATCCAACACCACAGTTGTTACTTTCTCAGTAGAAATGCTTCAAGTGGATCATGAGACCAAACTGAAAGGATATCTCCTTAGAAGTGTCCTTGTATTGACAAAAAGTGAGAAGCGAATCTCAAAAGAGAAAGAAAATGATATTCTTAGTGCTGAGCTCAGTTTAGTTGAGGTTTGAATATTCCTAGCCTCATTTTCTGGTGAAAGTTACTTTTAAATTAAAGAGTAAGATGCCTCTCTCATACCCAGTGGGATTTGCAGAGTCAATCGGTACATCTATATCAGGAAATTCTATTCTAGCTTTTACTGTGCTGATGAAGAAAACATCTTTCCAGATGGATTTCTGTTTATACAGCCTTTAACATTTTTACTTGCACCCAGTTTGTCCCATTGGCAGTACTTCCAGTTCTAATTTTCAAGACTTGAAGCTCACAATAGTGTTTATAGAACAGGAAGAGAAATGGCTCTTTTTTTGTGAGAGAAAAGAAGCTTCAAAATTCCTTATTACTAGGGATATTTTTAGAAAACTTAATAAATAGTACCGATGGCTTGTCAATGGGATTTTCAGCCTTTTATTATGAAAAGTTGAAGAAATTATGTAGTCAATACCCATGCACCTACCGTCTATATCCTACGATTAGTGTTTTGCTATATTTACTTTATAACATATCTATTTACCTCTATCCATTTATCAATCTATATCTATTATATTATTATTATTGATTGGGCCCCTCCCTTCTCTTCCCTTCCCTTTTCTTTTTTGAGTCAGTCTCACTGTGCCACCCAGGTTGGAGTGCAGTGGCGCAATCACGGCTCACTGAAGCCTCAACATCTTGGGTTCAAGCAATCCTTCCACCTCAGCTTCCTGAGTAGCTGGGACCACAGGTGCATGTCACCAATGCCCAGCTAATTTTTACATTTAGTTTTGAAGATATGGGTTCTCACTATGATGTCAAGGCTTGTCTTGAACTCCTGGGCTCAAGCAGTTCTCCTCCCTTGGCCTTCCAAAGTGCTGGGATTACAGGCTTGAGCCACCATGCCCAGCCTATTATTGTTTGGATGCATTTCGAAGTTATTTACAGACATTAGAAATGATGCTCTCATTTTTGAATCATAGATGATACCATCTGGTTATTTGACCAATAGTATATGCTGTATCACATAGGACTAGGTTCAGCCTCAGTTAATAAAAAAAGAGTAGCTTGATGTGTTTTTAAAGAGTCTTTTTCACCCCCTCTGGTAAAAGAAGGCTGAAGGTAGGCATTCAAGGCTGGTACAGTGGTTCTGACATCATCAGTGGCTTAAGCTCTTTCTATCTTTCTGGTCCACTATCCTAGCATGTGGCATTCATCCGCAAGGCCTCTCATGACCCAAGATGGCTGCTGGAGTGCCAGACATCTCATTTTCTAACAGCAGGAAGGAGGAAGGGGATAAAGGCTTCTTTAATGACCTATTCTAGAAGAACAAGCAATTTTATAATCAACTTGTCTAGCTCCAGGAAAAAAACCAAATGGATAGAATTTTATGGGAATCATATTTATAAATGAACTTAGGAAAAATTGACATGTTGATAATGCTTGTATTTTATTAGCCAGAATATAGTCGCACTTGAAGGCTGAGAAATATATTATTGCATATTCCTTTGATGACAATGATGATGATGATTATTATTATTGAGACAGGGTCTCACTCTGTCAACCAGGCTGGAGTGCAGTGGTGCAATCATGGCTCACTGCAGCCTCAACCTCCCAGGCTCAGGTGATCCTCCCACCTCAGCCTCCCGAGTAGCTGAGACCACAGGCACATGCCCCCATGCCCTCTTAATTTTTGTATTTTTTGTAGAGACAGGGTTTCACCATGTTGCCCAGGCTGGTCTTGAACTCCTGGGCTCAAGCGATCCACCTGCCTCAACTTGCCAAAGTATTACAGGTGCAAACCACTATATCTGTCTGTCCTTTGATTATTTGAGTAGCATATTTATTTCAGCCATTTCCCTTTGTTGGGAAAAATCAAATGAGTTGAGGTTTCCTACCCTAGCACAACTGTATGGGTCTTGGGTTACTATTAGAGACAATTGTGGAGGCATACAAGGTGACTTCAAATGTTTTCATGTGGCCAGGTGTGGTGGCTCATGCCTGTAACCTCAGCACTTTGGGAGGCCAAGGTGGGTGGATCACTTGAGGTCACAAGTTCGAGACCAGCCTAGGCAACATGGTGAAACCTGTCTCTACTGAAAAAACAAAACTAAACAAAAAATTAGCTGGGCATGGTGGTATGCGCCTGTAATCCCAGCTACTCAGGAGGCCGAGGCAGGAGAATTGCTTGAACCCAGAGGCACAGGTTGCAACGAGCCAAGATTGGGCCACTGCACTCCAGTCTGGGTGACGGGATGAGACTCTGTCTCACACATACACACACACACACACACACACACACACACACACACACACACACACACACAGTTTTCATGTAACTTGGATTAAACAAAATCATTTGCTCAGTAAATTTGTTGATTATTATGTTGAAATAATATCAAAGTGGTACTTGTATAATAGGATGATCATAGTGAAGTCATCAAAACACAGTGGTTCAAGGCCAAAGGACTAGATGGTCAGCCTCCACTATCCTCAGGGAAACGATCCCCAGAGCTACAAAGGTTAAGAGTCTGCTCTCATGATGTCAAAAATCCTGAGAATTATTCTTAATAGCTTTTAAAGGCCTTGTCTTTGAAGAAGAAGCTTCATTTCCTGGAATTTAAAATGATTCATACCTGGAGAGGTCTTGGGCTGGCAGAGAAGGGTAAAGCTTGATGATATAAGATGCCCACTGTCATTAGGGTATGTTTGAGGCATTCATGTGAATGCATTTATTGTGAAATGCTCCATGCACAATAAAGAGGGAAGGCAATTTTACTTTTACGTTCAATAAATTAAAATAGCTACCATAGGTAGAAAAGTTAAACCATGCTGACATGTTTTTGACAGAAGAGTAAAAGTGTCCAAAATAGGGATTTCTTCTTATCCTCAACCCTTCATTCTCCAATAATTTGTGTTTTGAAATTAAGAATTAGTGTTTTACATACTGCTCAAAGCAATCTACAGATTCAATGGAATTCCTATCAAATTGCTGATGTCTTTTTCCAAAGAGTTAGAGAAAACAATTCTAAAATTCATATAGAACCAAAAAAAGAGCCCAAATAGCTAAAGCAATCCTAAGCCAAAAGAACAAGGCTGGAGGCATCACATCACTTGACTTCAAATTATACTACAAGGCTATAGTAACCAAAACAACATGGTACGTACAAAAATAGACATATAGATCAATAGAACAGAATAAAGAACCGAGAAATAAAGCTACATACTTAAAACTAACTGAACTTCAACAAAGTCAGCAAAAATATATAATGGGGAAAGGACTCCCTATTCAATAATGGTGCTGGGAGAATTGGATAGCCATATGCAGAAGAATGAAACTGGACCCCTGTCTCTTAACATACGCAAAAATTAACTCAAGATGGATTAAAGGCTTAAATATAAGACCTGAAACTATAAAAATTCTAGAAGAAAACCTAGGCACAACTTTTCTTGACATGGGTCTAGGCAAAGAATTTATGATTAAGACCTCAAAAGCAAATACAACAAAAACAAAAATGACAAATAGGGCTTAATTAAACCAAAAAGCTTCTACACAGCAAAAGAAACAACCAACAGAGTAAACAGACAACCTACAGAATGGGAGAAGATGTTTGCAAACTCTATGTCCAACAAAGGACTGATATTCATAATCTATAAGTAATGCAAGCAGTTCAACAAGAAAAAAATAACTTCATTAAAAAGTGGATAAAGGATGTGAATAGACATTTCTCAAAAGATGTACAAGCAGCTAACAAACATGAAAAAATGCTCAACATCACTAATCAGAGAAATACAAATTAAAACCACAATGAGATAGCATCTCATACCAGTCAGATGGCTATCATTAAAAAGTCAAAAAACAACAGATGTTGGCGAGGATGCAGTGAAAAGGGAATGCTTATCTACTGTTGATGGAAGTAAATTAATACAACCTTTATGGAAAACAGCATGGAGATTTCTCAAATAATTAAAAATAGAACTGCCATTTGACCTAGCAATCCTAGTACTAGGTATCTATCCAATGGAAAAGAAATTGGATATCAAAAAGACACTTTCACTCGTATATTTATCACAGCATTATTCACAATAGCAAAGTCATGGAATCAACCCAAATGTCCATCAATGGATGATTGAATAAAGAAAATGTGAGATATATATATATATATATATATATATATATATGAATACTATGCAGCCATAAGAATGAAATCATGTCTTTTGCAGCAACATGGATGGAGCTGGAGGCCATTATCCTAAGTGAAATAACTCAGAAACAGGAAATCAAATACTGTATCTTCTCACTTATAAGAGGGGGATAAGCAATGGGTGCACATGGACATGCAAAGGGAAATAACAGACACTAGAGACTCCAAGAAGGAGGAGTTTGGGAGGCAGATGAGGGCTGAAAAATTACCTATTGGGTACAGCATTCACTATGTGGGAGATGGGCACACTAGAAGCCCAAACCTCACCATTATTCAATCTATCCATGTAACAAACCTGCACATGTACACCCTGAATCTATAAAAATAAAAAAAATTTAAATAATTAGGGTTTGGGCATATAGATTGTTTTGAAAATATTAGCTGTGTTTATTTCCTTCCCCTTAATAAAATATTCTCCCTGAGTTCTGCCTGCAAACTGTGTCAGAATGATCTTTAGAGTTTGGTATTTAAACCTGAAACAGAAAACAGAATAAAGAATTAACTATCGGCCGGGTGCAGTGGGTCACACCTGTAATTTCAGCACTTTGGGAGGCCAAGGCAGGCAGATCACAAGGTCAGGAGTTCAAGACCAGCCTGGCCAATATGGTGAAAACCCATCTCTACTAAAAAAATACAAAAATCAGCCGGGTGTGGTGATGTGCGCCTGTAGTCACAGCAACTCGAGAGGCTGAGGAAGGAGAATCGCTTGAACCCGGGAAACGGAGGTTGCAGTGAGCCAAGATCACGCCACTGCACTCCAGCCTAGGCGACAGAGGGGGACTTCATCTCAAAAAAAAAAAAAAAAAAAAAAAGGAAAAAAAAATGCAAGATTAGGAATCTAGGGAAATGATGAGGATTATTATATCTTTGCTAGAGGCATATAATGAAATTATTATACTATATAGTAAATCACATAAAATAGGAAATAATACCATTTATTTGCCTTGAAAGATATACAAGTCCTATATTGACAGCAAATGTATTATTGCTTCTAAGTCACATGAGACCTAAATATTCCTGCCTCAGCCTGGGTTCCTAAAAAAGCAGAGTCTGAACCAAACTTATAAGTGCAATTATTCCAGGAGGCACTAGAGAAGGAGGGAGACACAAAGCAGATGTGTAATATAGAGTCAATCACCCTGTGGGCCACTGGTACTTGATCACCCTGGGTCTGCTTGAGAAACTGATTGAAATGGTTTTCCATTTCATTTGGAGGTTGCAGGGGGGAGAAGATGGAAACATTTATTAATCAGTTCCTAACCCCATTGGTCAAAATTCCACCCCAAGTGTGTTAAAAACCCCTCTCCCCAGACTCAACAGGGAAGCCCTGGAGTGGGAGGCAAGAGGCTTGTTTAAGGAATGGTTCTTTGGGTTACACTTATGTGAGGTTGATTGGAGTCTGTGCAAAACCAGTCGCTACAGTGGTTTTTGGAATAAGTGAAAGGTGGGGCAAAGAGAATCTGATACAGGGCACAAAAGGTATCACACACATCCTTCAACCTTACCATCTTATGGGGACAATAAATTTACATTAACATAATTACCAGAATCTTGCTGCCTCCAAGCTCCAGCTAGCTCACTTGGGAACTCCAGGACTTTGCACAGACTTCCTTCCCCAAGTGTTGAATAAGTCCACAGAGGGTGCCTAATAAAAGCTCTGATGGTGCCCCTGACTACAAAATTCCTGGCTTCTGCTGTACTGCCAGTTCCTTATCTGACTCCAGAGCTGGCAGTCCTCCTGCTTCTCCTCAGGAGTTTGGCATTCTCTTGCAAAGTGGGAAGAATGTTGTGCCTCCGGAGAATTGCTTGGACCTATGGAACATTATAGAACTTAATGAGCCTGCACTTTCCATGCATAAGGCCAGTGAACCCAGCCACCGTGCATCCCTGGGGTGCTTGTGTGCCTCTAGGAGAGCTGGGGAAAATGATTGATGTGCCAGCTGCCATGCCATAGTCAGGACTCACCTCTGCTCAGGAGCTCAGGGTCTGAAGGGCATTGTGGCTGGCATGGCTGGTTTTTCACATTACTTTCCTTTATAGTTAACTTCATTTTCGGGTGTGTGTGTTTGCACGTGCACTGGTTTCTCTTCCTCTCTTTATTCTTCTTTATTTTCATTCCTTCCCTGCCTCCACCAAGTCTCCCAGATATGTCTCAAATATCTAATTCTCAGCCAGGGGCATGGCTTGAGATTTTCTCCAGGATTCTCCTTGGTCCTTATGTAAATTATGAGGGCAAATAGATACTTGGATGGGATTTGGATATCGCCAAATTCCACACGCCAGAGACACATGTATCTTGGCTCTGGCCCAGGTGGGATCTAATCTGTATCACAAGTTATATATCTTATCTCTACTATCCTAAGGACTCTATGGATCATTCCATAGATGAAGCTGAATAAAATCCTTATGAATATGTATAGTTGACCTTTGAACAACATGGGGGTTGGGGCTCTGACCTCCCAAGCAGTAGGAATCTACATATAACTTTAGACTCCCCAAACACATAACTACCAATAGCCTATTGTTGATTGGAAGACTTATTGATAACATAAACAGTTAACACATATTTTATATGCTATATGTATTATATGCTGTAGTCTTATAATAAGATAAGCTAAAGAAAAGAATGTTATTAAGAAAATCACAAGGAAGAGAAAATATGTTTACTATTCAGTAAGTGAAGTGGATCACCATAAAGGTCTTCATCCTCATCACCTTCATGTTCAGTAGGCTGAGGAGGAGAAGGAAAAAGAGGGGTTGGTCTTGCTGTCTCAGGGGTGGCAGAGGCTGAAGAAAATCCAATATAAATGGACCCATGCAATTCAAACCTGTATTGCTCAAGGGTCAACTGCATTTAATTTAGAACAGAACAAATCTTTTCTTCTAAATGCAGATGATCCAAATTCAAAGAAAAAAAGAACATGTATTTTACCTTAAACACTAGTAGACTTAAGTTAGGTGAACCACCTTAAGTGTGTATCAGCCAGCCTAGGCTATGTCTTTGTGACCTGAGGGATAGAGGAAAATAACAAGACTTTAACATTCCTACTTTGCTGCTGGAGAATTTGAGGCACGAGAAGCTTCAGACATAGCCTAGCACAGTGGTTCTCAAACTAAATCTTGCATCAGAATCACTTGGAGCGCTTGTTAAAACAGATTGCTGGGCCCCACTCCCACATACTCTGATTCTGTAGGCCTGGGGCTGGGCCCGAAAATTTTCATTTCAAATAAGTTCCCTGGTAATAATGACACTGCTGGTCCAAATACCATACTTTGAGAACCGCTGGTCTAGTAGCTTCAGCTTGAGATCAGATGACTATTTTGGTTTCTTTCTTCCAGGCTAGATCTTGTTTCATGGCACTTTCTCTAGTAAAGTTGGCGCTTAATAAAGCTGATCATTTTCAAATAGATTTTAATTGTGTACTTTTGGCATTAATAGATAAAAGACCAGAAAGCAGGTAGTACATCCAAATCCAAACTAGAGGAAAGTATTTTTTGAAAGAACTCTTAGTGCTATATATCAGGATTTGGCAAATTACGGTCCGTGGGCCAGATCTGGCCTACCATTTTTGCAAATAAAGTTTTATTGAAACACAGCCATGCACATTCATTCATATAATGGATGGTAGGTTTTGTGCTACAACATCAGAGTTAAGTAGTTGCAACCAACAGAGGCTGTATTTACTAAAATATAAAGTATTTACTTTACAAAAAACGTTTGCCAACCCCTGGTCTATATGTCTTTCTGAGCAACTCTTGGCTGATTTAGGGAAGTTTTCTCTTGAAACCCAGCAGTAAGCAACATCAGTTTACATTAGCAGATATGAAACTCAGATCCTAACACTTTCTTCCGCCCTCCTTCGATCCTTCTCCCTCAACATGGAAAGTGGCCCAATAAGTGAAATGAAACTTGGCCTGATCAGCGATATTAAGAAAGTGGAAGGTGAAAGTGTTGACATCTGCTTGTATTTTGTAGCCCCAGCTTCTCTGGCAGCATGTGACATGGTGAGAGTGCTCTGGTCAGCTAGCCGTCTCACGTTTTGTGGAAGATTGTCTGGTGTTATCTGACCTTGGTTGGATTTATGTCTATGAAGATGTGTGGTTTGACAAAAGATCTACATCCCTTTCTACATAGTGGCTTGCTAGGTGAACTCTTCCTTCTTTGACTTTTGACAATTTCAGTAAATTTGAGTGTCTGTTGTATATTCGGTATCTGTATGTACACATTGATAAACACATCTGCATATTTTGGGGCATATGTTTAAATCATGGTAAAACACACATAACCTAGAAATTACTGTCTTAACCATTTTTAAATGTACAGTTCAGTAGTGTGGTATTTTCACGTTGTTGTGCAACAGATTTCCAGAACTTTTTCATCTTGCAAAACTGAAAATCCATCCCCATTGAACAACTAACACTCCATTCCCTCTTTCCCGTAGCGCCTGCCAGTCACCATTCTATTTTCTGTCTCTACGAATTTGATTACTCTAGTTACCTACATAAGGGGAGTCGTACAGTATGTATCTTTTTGTGAGTGGCTTATTTCACTTATATAATGTTCTCAAGGTTCATCCATGATCTAGCATGTCAGGATTTCCTTCCTTTTAAAGGCAGAATGATACTCTATAGTATCATATGTATACATCACATTTTTTTTATCCATTCACCTGCTGACAGCCCCTTGGGTTGTTTCCGCCTTTTGGCTATTGTGAACCGTGCTACTATGAGCATGGGTGGGCAAGTATCTGTTTGAGTCCCTGCTTTCAATTGTTTTGGGTACATACCCACAAGTGGAATTGCTGGATCGTATGACAATTCCAGTTTTAATTATTTGAGGAAGGGCATATATGTGTTTTAATCGGGTATGCCCATCCTAAACTTTTCGCCTCTTACCTCCTTCCTGATTTTATCTGCCCCTCTGTAGTTGGTTCAGGTCCCCAGAGAAGCTGGCGCCAAGGCAAGATTAAAAGTGCAAGACAGGATTAAAAGTATTTAGTGGGGGAAATGCTGGTGGAGAATAAAATGAGGAAGCAGGAATAGGCGGGAAAGCCTTCACACTGCAAAGCGGATCTCACTGGAGGAAAGAAAGAGGATTGTGTAGAAAGTCTCAGACTTCAGGGCAATTCTAATAAAGCTGCAGGTAGGTAGATGGGGGGTGCTTGAGCTCAAAGTTGGAGGAGTTCCATGTTTCTCAGGAATGGGTCAGTGCTAATATTGCCATCATTGGTGGGGCAGCTGGGGAAACGTACCCTCTGAAGAGATCTGAGTGGCCACTTTCATAGTCACCATGCCCTTATGTCTCCACATATTGCCACTGAAGATGTAATTTTTTTTTTAAAACAGAAAAAGTGCAGGGCATATTCTGGCAATGTTATATGCGTGGTGGAGAAAAGACTAGGAAGTCAAATGGGATTGGGTGGCAGGGCACCTTAAATGACTTTATTCTGCAATGAAAGGTAAGCCATGAGAGGTCTGTAAGGAGAATAATATGGTTGCTTTTCTGTTTTAAAATGCACTGCTCAGATCTGTGCAGAGGACATGTTTTCCTGGCTGCCCCACCAATGATGGCAATACTAGCACTGATCCATTCCTGAAAAACATAGAACTCCTCCAACTTCTAGCTCAAACACCTACCTGCAACTTTATTAGAATTGCACTGAAGCCTAGGACTTCCTACACAAATGTGGCACTTATCACAATTTGCCCATATGGTTCCCTTTTACTTACATGCGCTTCCTCTCTTAGCCACCCGTTGAAATACTACTTTCTTTTAAACTATTTCTTCACACAACCATAAATGAAATTAGCAGCTCCCTCCTTGAAAGTCTAATTTATTTAGGAAACATTATTTGAAATTATTCACTGTATATACTATGAAAAATACAAAGATGAATCAGATTTGAATTCTGTTCTGAAGGATTGACTTTAATAGGAAAAGTGATATCCCATGAACACTATATTAAAAGGAGAAAGTAAGAAAAGCCTTAAAGCTGGGTACAGAGAAAGTGCAGTGGGAATTCAGAAGAGGGAAAGATGATCTTATCAGAGAAATCCACTATAAGAGGTAGGCCTTCAAGAATCAGTAGGATTTGGGCATGAGGAAATGAGGAGAGGAGGGAATGCCAGATTAAAAACATAACAGGGGCACAGGTATGAATTTTAAAAGAACAGCATTGGCCAGGCACGGTGGCTCATGCCTGTTATCCTAGCACTTTGGGAGGCTGAAGAGGGCAGATAGCTTGAGCCCAGGAGTTTAAGACCAGCCTGGGCAACATAGTAAATCCCTGCCTCTACTAAAAATTAGCTAGGTGTGGTGTCATGTGCTTGTAGTCCCAGCTACTTGGGAGGCTGAGGTGGGATCATCACTTGAACACGGGAGGTCGAGGCTGCAGTGAGCCAAGATGGCACCACTACAGTCCAGCCTGGGCGACAGAGTGAGACCCTGTCTCAAAAGAAAAATAAAAAAGAAAAATAAAAAAGTCCTGACTGATTAAGGTTTTTCAAATTGTGCATAGACCCATTTGTAAAGTGTGAAATAAATTAATAAATTTAGTTTTCCTCTTATCAAAAAAAGAAATAGAATAGGATGGAGAATGTTTGAAGTGTATGGTATGCAGTAAGGGTATTATTTTGTAAAACTTGTTATGTATATATATATATATTTCTACATATATAATGGGTCACTATGTAAATGTACTTCTTCCTGTGGGGCAAGCTTCTTTCTTACATGAGTTTATTCAACAGGATGTCATCATGGAGCATATCTCACATGCTGACCATTAAGCAAAGTCCTGTGTGTGTGTGTGTGTGTGTGTGTGTGTGTGTGTGTGTGCGTGCACATGTGTGTGTGTTTAGTGATGGAAAAAAGCTGACATAGTCTCCATCCTCATAGAGAATATGATTCCGTATAGTGATTCTCAAATTTTCGTGGTATTAGAAACACCTGGAACACTTAATAAAACAAAACACAGATTTTCGGATCCTGCCTTTAGAGTTTCTCATTCAAGGTCTAAAGTGGGGCCTGGGAATTTGCGTTTCCAACAAGTTCCCAAGTAATGCTAAAGACAGTGGGCAGGTGGGTGACTTAAATCAATACAAATTAATACATGATGGCAAACTGTGATAAGTAGTATGAAGGAGATGAACAGGGAATTAAGAGAGAGAATAACTGGGAAACTGGGAAACCTATTTTATGCTGGATGGTCAGGAAAAGGTGTCTCTGGATGGTCAGCAAATGTGTCTCTGAGGTCAGGAAAGGTGACCTCAGAGAAAAGGTGTCTCTAGGAAAAGGTGTCTCTGAGGAAGTGATGTGTAGGCAGTGGGAACAACATGCTCAATGATTCAGAGGAGCTCAGGGAAAACAAAGGTTAAGTGAGATTGGAAAGCAGGCAGGGACTGGACCATGCAGTCCAGCAGTTTTCAAAGGGGAAATACGTGCATTCCTGGAGCAATGAAGACTTCCTACGAGGTAGGCAGGCACACGTGGTTTTCAGAGAAATGCCTTCCTTATGTGCTCTCCTAAAATGGATCTGCTCAATAGCCAGCACTTTGGTACTGATCATTTACCTTTCGTGTCTTTTTGCGAAAGAGAGGCATACGTACTACCTAGCAAATCTTACTAGGGTATTTTGTCCTAGGATGTAAAATTACTTGAGGGATGAAATGAGGAATAACTCAAAATCTTGACTTTGCTGTTGAAAAAATGAATGACTTTAATCATGGAGTAAAAAAAAGTTTTTACTTGTTTTTACTGGTTTTCAAGTCAATTGGTTTCTAATTCTTGGCTTTCTACAAAATCGTAGAACTTTTAGTGTTATTGCTATAACAAAATGTCTTTCATTTCCTCTATTTAGGTGACTAAAACAACTACTTTCTCAGTGCTTACCTCCATAAAAATGAAAAATTGGGAAAAGAATTGATTCTGAAGATGGCTACAGTTTAGCATTAAGGAATATCGAATTATAAATACAGTAACTCACTTAATATCATCAATAAGTTCTTGGAAACTGCTATGTTAGTGAGATGATGTATAAGGAAACCAATTTTACCACAGGCTAATTGATATGAACAAGAATTAAGTTCCTATGGCATATTTCTGGTCACATAAATGTCACCAAACTTCTAAATAAAGAAAAAAAACTTACTAAACTTTAAAATAAGTGTGAGCTATACATACATTTTAAAAAGATGACTAAAACCAAGTAAGATAATTATTTATCAGTCTATTCCAGTTCAGGGCCACGGGTGGCTGGAGCCTGTCTGGGCAGCTCAGGGTGCCAGTGGGAATTCACCTTGGACAGGACACCATTTCATTGCAGGACGCATTCACACCCACACCCACACTCACACGGGGACCGTGTAGACATGCCACTTCACCCAACGTGCACATCTTTGGAATGTGGGAGAAAACTCACGAAGGCCTGGGGAGAGCGTGCAAATCCACGCAGATGGCAGCCCAGCCTGGGAACTATTTTTTTTTCCCAATAACATTATAACAAAACAACGTTGAAGGAAACAAGTTTATTCAAAGACCTGCTATACATGAATTAATCGGATGAAAAACATGCCACTGAATTTGTTAAGAGATTCATTTCTCGAGAGCTTGTTTGGAGGTTCTAGCAGGGGAACGCAGTTACTCTTGTTACTCCTATACCCTTGACCGAAGACCCATCCTCCTCCATCAGGGATGGTTGTCCTCTTTGACCCAGCATGCAGCTTTGGGAGGGACGCACATGGAGCAGTGAGGGAGGAAGGGGACACCACCTAGCCAGCCAGATCAGCTGAATCAACCCTGGCGATCAATGGGGTGACAGATATTGCAGCCAGATCACCCTCACATCCAAGAGATTCATTTCTGATACAACATACTTTATATGTTTAATAATTATCTATATGATTTTAAATATGTTTATGTGATGTTG
The DNA here is from genome assembly GCF_000001405.40 of Homo sapiens. Lineage (NCBI taxonomy): Eukaryota > Metazoa > Chordata > Mammalia > Primates > Hominidae > Homo > Homo sapiens. Next base: position 105,904,292 of record NC_000006.12, on the reverse strand, counting down.
ATTAACTGTACATTTGAAATAAATGTAATAATAACTCCAAGAAGAATACTTTTTAACACTTGTTATGGCCACATGAAAATTTTTAAAATTCCTCTCTTCCTCTCCCTCATTTTTATATATACAGTGTATATGAAAATAAATGTAGTACAGACATATTATATATACATATACAAATATATAGCAGGAACAGATATATAAATATAAACACATAAATATAAGTATAAGCATATATATAGAGTTGCGGAAAAGCATAATAAGATGATCAAAATACTCTGAAGCCAAACAATATATAAGAATAACATTCTCTACATGGTAAGTATAATGGAAATATGAGTTTAAGGAGAAAATGAAATAATGTACTCAGGTACCCTCAGATAAAGAAGGAAGACCCCATGATTTTCAAAGACTGGACTAGAGGCTTGAGGTTGTGGGGAGGAGGTTTCTAGAGAAGGTTAGCCTCGGGAAGAATGGTGGGTTTGGGAAGAGACAGGCTATGAGCATGACATGCAGGCTGTGGGGGCTGCCATTCCTGTCTCAGCTCTCAGCTCCTTCTTGAGTTTTGAGCAGGCAAAATTGCCTCTGTCTAATAACACCCCCCACTACTTTTCTCTTTCTTTCTTTCATTCTCCTCCTGCCCCCTGTATGACAAAATAGGCAAAATGAGTACATCAGAGGGTGAGATGGAGAAAAAGAACTATAGTTGGAGATTTTGGACGGTCTCTTTTAGGTGGGAAGGGGAAGGTAGGATAGTGAGAAACATGATTGCAAAGAAGAAGCCATATAATTTTTTCCCTTTGACTTTAAGTCCTAAGATGGGCAGGCTGGAGGCCTGGGTGATGGAGCAGGCTGGGAGGACTGCAGTTCTAACCCTTGGACAACGCAAGTGGTAGAGCTGTTGAGCTGGAGAGGTTTTCTTTGTGAAAAAGGCAGCTGAAGTCATCGAAAGTGATCTGGACTGAGAATCGGGAGAAGTGGATTCAGTTCATACTCAGCCACTTTTTATGTGACCTTGGGAAGAGCAACTAGACTATTGATGCCCAGTTTCTTTATTTGTAAAGAAAACAATTGAATAAAGTGATCTGTACTTTTTCTCTCTGCTTTAAAATGACTAGTTAGAAGTTATGAAAATTGAAAACAGTTCACAAAAGCCCAGTAACTTGCTTTCTTCATCATTCTAAGAGAGAAAAGTTAAAGCGAACTCTCCAGTTCATTGTTAAAAAACAAAAGAAAAGAAAAGAAAAAGGCATCTTTTCTCTTTGAGAAACACCAAAATTACTCTGCCCCCTAATAGTCGCCTGGGCAGAATTTTCCATCTTAGCACAAAGCAGCTCGGCTCGACCTTGTTTCAACTAATCCCTTCTCTGTATTTAACAAGAGGAACTGGAAGAGTCAGACAGTGTGTGGGAAGACTGAAGAAAATAAGGAAGGTATAGAAACTACTAGAGATGGAGATAAGTTAAACATTCTGGCAAATTGTCATGGTGTATTGCTCATGCTGAATGGTTAGGCAGTTGGGAAGGTAGTTAAGAGAATGGCTTTAAATGCTTCATCTAATTGCAAGCAGCTGTTGATTAGTGGAGCTTGACCAACTGTTTTTAATTCCACTCAGTGGTGATGAAGAGAATGAGACTTTTAAGGGAAACTGGCACGGTCTGTGTATACGCATGGAGTTGCTTACACTTTTTCTGGAGGTCATAGAGTGCAGTAACTACTAAGAGATGTTCTCTGAAACCATTGCAGGCTTTCATGATAATGACTTTCCTAAATTTTACCAGCATTTGTTGGGCTTTTGGCAGGAGGCAAACTTCTCCGTTATCCAAATTCTGGAATGATTTTAGGGACTGATTCATTCCCAATCGCGAGTGACTGGATGTCTTGTGCCAATTCAGAAGCAACTGTTCAGTGGAAGCAGTAAATCTAGAATGAGAGCTGATAATGCCATTTTAGAGTCTTCTTCTTAGGAACATTTAATCTCATTTTTTTGAATTGGAAAATATAAGAAAGTAGAAACAGTTTAACTAGTTTCTGTAATTGAAAAGCCTGCTACAGATTATCTAAAGTTGAGAGTTTTCTGGAAGATAAAGTTTCAGGCTAGTTTAATCAAGTCTGAAACCTTACTTGATGGAATTACTCTACTTCTATGTTATATTTTCTTATTCCTAACAAGATTAGTAATCTTTCCTAATATTTATTTTATTTGCTTTCATTTCTCCTCATAGATTCTAAAAGTTATTTTAATGTTTCTGCATTGCAAACTGAAGAAACCATTCATTTGACTGAAAGCAAGGCTTCTATGAAACCAGGAAGGCCTTGTAGTTCTAACAGTAGCTGCCTAACTAGAAATATGTCAGCAATTCTTAGGGAGAAGGGTGCTAGATTTCTTCAATGCCAGTTATCCATTTTATATCCTGAATTTCAGTGTACTGTAACACAAAGTAAATTTCCTATGTACACATGTAAGATTTATCAACAAGGATCTTTTTCACAGCACTGTTGATAATGGCACAAAATCAGAAATATCCTAGGCCGTGCATTTGCCTGTAGTCCGAGCACTTTGTGAGGCTGAGGCTGAAGGATCACTTGAAATTCCTACTTTGAAACTTGAAGTTTCAAGTGAACCAGCCTGGGCAACATAGCAAGAACCCATCTCTTCAAAAACAAAAAAAATTAGCCAGGTGTGATGGCACATACCTGTAGTCCCAGCTACTCGGGAGGCTGAGACAGGAGGATTGCTTGAACCCAGGAGTTCAGGAGTTCAAGGCAACAGTGAAGCATGATGGCACCACTGCAGTCCAACCTAGGCGACAGAGTGAGACCCTGTCTCAAAAAAAAAAAAAAAAATAGAAAAAAAGAAAAAGAAATATCCTAAATGTTCATAATTGGCATTAGCTAAAAAGTTTGTGGTGTTTGTATGGTCTGATATTTTGCAGATATAGAAAATGTGGAAGAATATATAAATGACATAGGAAAATGGTCATGATGTACTGGATGAAAAAATCAGGATCAAAATTAATCATTTAAATAGATATCTCTATCTATCTACCTATCTGTCTAGATATAGATCCAGATATAATTTAAATCGTGTGTGTATATGAAAAACTAAAGTTAAAAAAATAAAATAGAAACAGTGGTGGGATTACAGGTGACTTTTATTTTAGTTTTTGTGTTTTTTCTGCATTTTCCTCCAAAGAACATATATTACTTTTACAACTAGGAAAAGGACCCTTATTTTACACTTAATTTCCCAATATATCAATTTTTATATCATAAAAGATTTTATTCCTTGCCAGGATGAAGCTAAGGGGGAGATTCATGCCTAAGCAAAGGAGAAAAAAAAAATCAAGAGGACAGCACTCAATAAACACCTAATTTTGTTTCTGATCTTGTGCCTGTTTGAAGCGCTCACACTTGTTTTGACTCAGCTAGATAAGTCAGCTCCTCTAAAACAGTCACAATTTCCACCAGCTGTTTTGGATGTTTGAGGTTATGTTTTTGTTTTAGTGAACTTCACTGCCTATCCCTTGAGCTAGCTTAGGAACAATTGCAAAGGAAGTCTTTGAGGCCGACTCAGAGGAAAGCTGCTAATCTTATGACATCCACAAGGATTTGAACAGGCAGCTCCATCTGTGTTGTTTCTGTTTTTCTTCTAGGGCAGGTCTCGATGGCAGAAAGATGGACACTTCTCAGGTCTAGTTGTTGCATGGTGTGTTCCTGACCACAGCTGTACCCAAGGAGTCTCACAGATTCCTCAGGAGGCAACAGGACGTTTATCAACGAAGATGTGAGAAACCCATGCCGGGTACCGTTTACGAACCCTGCCTGGGTTCTGTTTTCCGTGTAGTAATTCTTTTCCACGAGTTCAGGTTTATGAGTGCTCAGGCAGGAAGCTGTTTATCACTGAAAGCCACCAAAGGAGAGGTGTTATCGTCTTTACCCAAGACCTCTGAGACTTTCCTTTGAATTAGGAGCTGGGGGTTCTCGTTGCATGATATGGCAGAGTTTCTGGAAACTGATTTGGGGAAGAGGAAGCTGACTTATATGGGAGTCACCCTCTCATTTGTCGTTCTCCAGCACCCCCTCCCCCATCATGCTTTTTCAAAGAAAAGAAAAATGGTGACACTTCTAGTGAGAGGTGGGATTTAGTTAGAAATGTTCTAGGGCTGAGTGAAGGTTGATCTGACTTTTGAAGCTCACCTTTGAGGGTTGCTGCCTGTTTTCATTTAGCATTACTTAACAATGTGCTTTGCTCCCCTTGCTGCCATTTAAAAAATTCCATTCTATCTGGATGCAGACTAACCAGGCTCAATTTTGTTATTCTTATCTTATTTGGAAGGTTGTTTGCAAACAGTCACTCCATAGAGCATCTACTATAAGTCAGCCACTGTGCATGGCCACCAACAAAACTGTTATAAAGAGTGTAGTTCTTACATGCAGAGAGCTCACAGAGGAGGGAAAGGAGGTAAGTAAACAGTGGTGAGGCTAGGCGCTAAGTGCTACACTAAACAAGTGATCTGTTAGGGAAAATTTTATTCACTGGAATTCCAGAGGGGCTGGCAAAGGTATCAACCTGGCAGGTCTGTCCATCTGGAGAGAAACCATTAGAGCAGTTGGTTACTTAGGTACCCTGGAGCAGAGCAATGCATGAGTTGGCTAGTAGAACTCCCTCTTATTTTAGGCTGGACGCAGTGCCTCATGCCTATAATCCCAGCAGTTTGGGAGGCCGAGGTGAGTGGATCACTTGAGGTCAGGAGTTCGAGACCAGCCTGGCCAACATGGTGAAACCCCATCTCTGCTAAAAATACAAAACTTAGCCAGGTGTGGTGACAGGCACCTGTAATTCCAGCTACTCGGGAGGCTGAGGGAGGAGACTCGCTGGAACCTGGGAGGTGGAGTTTGCAGTGAGCCGAGACTGCACCACTGCACTCTAGCCTAGGTGACAGAGTGAGACTGTCTCCAAAAAAAAAAAAAAAAAAAGGTAAAAGAAAGAACTCTCTCTTATTTCAGTCTATACTTTCAGTTGCGAGTAATAAATGCTCAGCTCAGATTCTGGGGTATTCTAACTTCAAGATCTGCTGGATCCAGATAATATTGTCAGGAATATGTCTCTTCATCTCTTGGCTGGGTTTTCTTCAGTGTTCGTGTCATTCTCTGGTACATTTTTCCCACTAGTGGCAATGGCCATCGGAAGCCCCAGACTTACATCTTATTGGTTTGGCAAGCTCAGAGGAAAGGGATGGTTCCCGTCCCAACAGTTTGAACAGTCTTCTAGGGCTTACTTTCATTAGATCAACCTGGATCACACACCAGCTCTGAAGCAATCATTATGGGCTGGGTGTGACACACACTTATTGCACAGATCTAAGTTTTGGGTCCTCTCCTGTGCCCAAGGTGTGAAGTTGGCCTTACTTGAATCACAAGGACTAAGAGCTGGAGAATAGCAGTTCATCAAGGGAAAAGGAGGAGCTATTTTCAGAAGAAGAGTGGATGCTCAGTGGTCACATCCATCACAATGCCCATGATGTCCTTTTCTTGCAGAGATATTTTAATTTGGACTGTCCTAAGCTATCAGAGTGTTCTAGTCATCTTCACCCTCAATACAGAAGGGGTTGGATTTCCGGGTTTCTGATTTCTTGTTTCCCAGAGTTCCTTTAATTCCAAGTTTTCCCACATCCTGCTTAGCAGTCGGCCAGGGTTCAGGAAGAGGCGTCCATCCTCCCTCAGTACATTGGGAGCCTGCTTCTCTTATGTTTGTATGACTAAGAGGGGTGACTCAAATGTTTAGTGCGGTGGTTCTCAAGGTTGTGGTCCCCAGATCAGCAGCATCAGCATCACCTGGAGACTTATTAGAAATGCAAATTCTATGGCCTCATCCCAGACCTACTGATTCAGAAACTCTGGGGGTCAGGTTCAGACATCTGTGCTTTCACAAGGTCTCCAGATGACTCTGATAACATACGTGAGATTTGAAACCACTGATTTAGGGAATAGTCCAAGACAATCTACTCTAGGAAGACTGAGACCACCTCAACTTTTCTGTTTTATAGTCTGCCTTCCTAAGCTCCTGACACCAAGGGAAAGATTCATTAATTGTTGAATGTTGCTTGCTGGAAGCAAAGAGATTACTTTGTGCTTGGTGTAAGAGACTCTCAGTGAGCTGCAGTTGAGAATCTCTCAGAAAATTCTTTTTGGCCACACCTCAGGAAATGAATGTTCCTGGAGATGCTGCAGCTGCCAGGCTCATCCTAGATGAAGGAATTTTGGAATCTTTCTAATTCTCTGAGGTGATGTTGTTTGACATAGACCTGGTGAAGTTCTGCTGTCAATTAGTGTGCCTGCAATTCATGTATTCATGTATTCATTCTACATATATCAAGCCCAATACTGGGCTGGGTACTGGAGATACAATTGCCCACAAAACAGACATGCTTTCTGCCCTCATGGAGCTCAAGGTCTAGTGGAAGATAAAGCTGTGTAAACAGGCATTAACAGTAGAGTGTGATTTGATGGGGAGAAATACAGGGTCGTTGGGGAGATCATGGTGGAAAGGAGGGGGGCCCTAATCTACACTGGAAAGTTATGTCTATACTGGGACCTAAAGGATAAATAGTCATTGTTTGGCAAATAAAAGGAGAAGAGGCTGTCAGGCAGCATTTGCAAAATGCTGTAATTGTGGGAGAACTTGGTGTGTTCAAGGAAATAAAAAACAAAATAAAAACAAACAAAAAAACCAACTCAGTGTAACTGGACTGTAGAGTTTAAAGGAAGGTAGAGGTGAGGGATAAAAAGGTAGATGCAGCAAACTATGCAAATCTTATTAATAAATCTGGACCTTATACTAAGAGCAATAGAATCCATTAAAGAGATTTAGATAGAAGTGAGATGATTGAATTAATTTTAGAATGAGAGCTTGAGAATGAATTGGGGATGAAGTAGGGCTGAGTCAAGACCACAGACAGGCAGACCAGTTGGAGGCTGTTGTGATAATAAGAGGAAGACAAATCAGAAGTTTATTGTGGTCATGAAAAATAGTGGCTCCTTGGCCTAGGATAATGGAAGTGGGGTTGGAAAGCAGTGGATGGATTTTGGACGCTGATGTGTGGTTGAAGGATGGGCCAAGGGAAGGAGAGGACTCCTAGGTGGCCAACTTGGGTAACTTGTGAATGGAGGTGCCATTCACTGATAGCAAACACTAGAAGAGGCAAGAGTCTCTGGAAGAAAGTCATGAGTTCGACTTTAGACAAGTTGAGACTGTAAAATGCCCAAGAGGAGGTACCAAGGATGTAGTTACAATCCAGGCCCGAGCCTAGACAAGAGATCTGAGTAAGAGTAAATATTTGACAGTCATCAATACACAAATGACAGTGAAACCGAGGGAGTGCATGAGATCACTTAGGGAGAGTGTTTGAATAGGAAGAGGGGAGGGCTTGGAGCCCAGGGGAGCCCCAGTATTAAGAAACAGGCAGAGGAAGATAAACCTGTGAAAGCAACTGAAGGATGGCCAAGAGAGATAGGAGAAAATCAGAGCGTGGAAGGTGCTGGGTGTTGTGGAGGTCAAGGAAAGCAAGTTTCAAAGTTTTCTGTGCTAATAATCTCAATTCTGCACCTGACAGATCAGGCCAGACCATCTCCGGGGAAGCCATGCGGTTGCTACCCTTCATCTGCCAGCACCCTCTCACTATTCCAAACGGGCTCATCCTTAAAGACACTTTTCAGGAAACACTGCTTTCCTGTAATTACTTTCTTAGGCAGATAAAACGGCACTTGCTGAATCATAATTTACTTAAGGAGATCCCATCCCACACTTTCTTTCAACTTGCTGTGTCTTTTTAAGCGAAACCAATGGGATTCCTTGCATACTTCCCTCTTCTTTTTATCTTATCTCATTCCACTTGCAGGTTGCTGTATTCACCGAGCCTCTGACCTCCAGCATACTTTCAGACAGATGGTCACAGACAGATGTGTACTTTGCAATTGCAGGTTATCCAAATATTGTGGTGGCAGCAGCACCTCTTTTTGTACCCAACAGTATCAGTGCTCTGCAACCAGCTCGCGTCTTCAGCCGCTGTTGACGTCCCTGACTGAATTACTGTCTTTCTTCTTTTTTTCTTCCCCTCTCTCCAGCTGGACACTCTGGGGAGGTGTTTTGGCCAGAATTAGATATGCACAGCTGATACCTCCAGCTGCACGTTCTTTGGTTCTTTCTGGCTCTGCAAAAGCTCTTGGTGTTCTGACAATTCATTCAAGTGGAGAGCAGTATGAATGGTGGCCCACCCAGATAGTCTTTAAAAGCATTCAAAATGGTTCTATGATTTCTGTGGCCAATCCTGTCAGTTGAAGGTAGGAGTAGGAGAAATAGTTCAAAATAGACTGAGAGCCAAAATGAATATAGGTAATCTTGGCAATTCATATTTTGTTTCTTAATTATAAAATTATCAATAAAATTGCTATTGCATGGTAGACCTAATTATGCAGCTCCCTACAAGAAAAAGATGCGGTAGGCCAGACTTGGTGGCTCACACCTGTAATCCCAACACTGTGGGAGGCCAAGGTGGGTGGATCACTTGAGGTCAGGAGTTTGAGACCAGCCTGACCAACATGGTGAAACCCCATCTCTACCAAAAATACAAAAATTAGCCAGGCATGATAATGCACACCTGTAATCCCAGCTACTCAGGAGGCAGAGGCAGGAGAATCACTTGAACCCGGGAGGCGGAGGTTGTAGTGAGCCAAGATAGCACCACTGCACTCCAGTCTGGGCAACGGAGTAAGACTCTGTCTCAAAAAAAAAAAAAAAAAAAAAAAGAAAAGAAAGAAAGAAAACAATGCCATATATTTTCAAAAATTTTCATCCTGAATATAATATGCCATGAAGGCTAAAGATCTAGCAAAGAGTCTAAGATGGCAAAAATATGGGAATTTATTCATGGCTTTAGGTATCAACTCTAGGCTGATGTGTTTCCCAAATCCATTTCTCTAGGCCTATCTTCCCTTGTAAACCTTAATCCAATGTCTCCAATTATCCATCAACTTTTTTTATAAGCTAAAAATCTTGATAACATTATCTCAAAGTCCATAGATTTCTCCTGAGCTTGTTTTCCTTGTCTCCAAACATACTTCCTCCCCCATCTTTTTCTGTTTCCATGAACTTGCTGACCTCTCACTCAGGCTTCTGAGTCTTCTTTGACTTTTTCTTTACTCTTGATACCCAGCCTGCTGCCCGAGTCTTCATGGTCACACCACCAATCATCTTTGCTTCTTTTTCACTCCCATTCTGGTCAGACCAGCCCCGATCCATGTACTTTCATTGTGGTGGGATTGCAAACATTTCCTAAGTGCTAAGTGTCATTTATTCCTTCTATTTGTTCTCCCTTGAATCCATTACACAAAGAGATGTCAAGTTAATCTTCTAAAACACTGATTTTATCATCATGCTTCTCTATTTTAAAATATTCCATAGCTGCTTCTTATCTTCAAGATGAGTCTAATACCTCTCCCAAAAGACATTGATGTCCTTGTGCAATCATTTCAGCTGCTCTCTGGTCTGAGGTCACTCTTCTGGGATAAGATTACTCACTTTTATTCTTCCACCCTGTTCCAGCTTGTCGAAATAATTTTGAGTCTTTCTGCCATTGAATATGTTTGTTATCCAGCTCAGTTTTGTGTCAGTTACATATATATGTTCTTTGTGTGTGTTTGGTTGTTAAGTTGCATAAAATATGACAGAATAAGAACATAAGGATATGCTATTGTGATTTCTGCAGGACTGAATTTTTTTGAACTGGGGGCTGAAGTTGCTATTGGTCTCAGAAAATGATCCTTTGCCTCCTGCTATATCCTTACCTAAACATTTCATAGCTCCTTGAGTCATTCCTTTATTCATTCAAGTACCAATTGAGCTCTCTCTTCTCCAGACGCAATTCCTTTTTCTCTCTCAGTAGGTGTAGCTGCTTGGAACTCACTCTTCTCATAAAGTATTGAGGCTGGCTTTTATTTGTTTATATTTGAGAGATTTGCTGTAGGTAGAAGCTGTTAATGGAGAAAAGTTGGACATTTGCTTTGACATCTACAAAATAACTCCCATTTTTCTATATTGTTCTGGTTATTACTGCTACCTAACAAAAACCACTCTAAACACAGTTATGTAGAGCAATAACTATGTTAGTATCCGTTTGGGTTAAGAATTCCGAAAGGGCACAGTGGGAATGACTTGTTTGAGCCTCCCCTCCATCACAGCTGAGGCCTCAGCTGAGAAGACTCAAGGCTGAGGTTGACTCAACAGCTGGGTCTAGAATCATCTGAGACCTTGTTCACGTACATACGGCACCTGGGCAAGAAGGACTTGAAGAGGAGGACTGCCACCTGGAACATTTTCACGTGGTCTCTCCACGTGGCTTGGCTCCCTCCCAGCAAGGCAACCTCAGGAGAGTAAGACCTATCTGCCAGGGCTCAGGGCTCCTACCACGACTATTCCTGGGAAGAAGACAGAACTTCACTGTCATTCATGAGCAAGCCATGGAAGTCACATACAGCTCTTCCAATGCATTTCATGAGATGCATGGGAGACACAAGCTGCCTGGATTTAAAAAGGAGGGCTGTAGACCTCACTTCTCACTAGGAAGAATGCTGAAGAATTGGAAGATGTGTCTTCAAATCACCACATAAAAGAATTGAGAAGTTGGCTGTAGCTACTACTTCTAGAAACTTGACCTAGTGGCCTGGCGTTTTGGGAACTTTGCTAGCTTATTCAGCACAGGTAACTCAGGGTAAAAATAACCTGAAGAAGAAATGTAATAATCACTCACTTATCTTCACCCCAATTCAGCCAGGGCTAGATAATTTTTAGTTTTGAGCCTTTTTTAAAAAAAAAAATAAAAAGAAACCTGGTAATAACACATCTTTGTCTTTTTCTCTTCTTTAATAGGCTAGAGTTGATATTTAAGACTTTAGAAAGGTGCTTCTGGGAATTTCAACATTTGGCAGCTGGTAATAAGTAGGAAATGTCATTACATAAACGCCAGTTTGAGTTTAGAGGCAGGTGGTATTTTGGAGAAGTCAGTATCAATGTGAGGCTGTAGCCACACTGACCGCCTCCAGCCCATCTGCAGAGACATTTCTGTCTCTGGCAAGTAAAGCCCCCTCCCTCTGTCTGCTTTGACTGCCTCTCTGAGTTCCCCTTTTTTCTGACCTTGAGTTTCAACTTGATGAGTCATCAAAAGGACTGGGCCACTGGATTCTACCTGGCAAGAACTTCAGTGGCTGTGCCTGTGGTGAGGGACTGTTTTCTGCTCTTATCACATCTGTGTTGACATTCGTGGAACAAATACTCATTGAGAGCCTTTTATGTCCCAAGCACTGTGCTGGGGAATGCAGTTAGAAAATAATGAGTCCAACCAGACCTGGTTCCTGCCTTCATGGAACTTACATGTAGGAAAGACGGAAGCTGCAACTTATCCAGCTCTGCAGGAGTGGTGTGAGGTGCTTTGAAATCTTGTGCTAAGTGGGGTTGACACTGGGAGGCTGGGGGAGGATCCCTGAAGAAGCAATTGTTGAGCTGAGGCATGAGTAGGTGTTAATCAGGAAAGGAGGGAGAGTGATCCAGGCAGAGAGAACAGCTTGTGAAAGGAGAGGACAGGATGGGTTGAAAGGACTTAGAATGAGAAAAAGCTGGTGTGAGTGGAAGAGACAAAGCAAGGAGGACTGGGGTAGATGGTGTGGCTGGTGGGAAGGGTGAGAACTGGACTGCACCAAGCCTGGAGACCATGATGTGTCAGTCAGAGCTCTCCAGGGAAATGGAACCAGTAGGATATATATGTGTATGTGTGTGTAATATTATTAATAATACTTAATACAAATATATATAGTATATAAACAATTTATATATAAATACAGAACCAATAAGCTCTATAATATGTATTATATATCATATAAATATGTAATTAAGAGAACTGGCAAGTGTGAAGTCTGTAGGACAGGCTGGCAGGCAAGCAGGCTAGAAACTCGGGCAGGAGCTGGTGCTGCAATCTTGACGTGTAATTTCTTCTTTTTTGATGAAGAATTTCTTCTTCTCTGGGAATCTTAGTTGTTGCTCTTAAGGCCTTTCATTGATTGGATGAAGCCCACCACATTATCAAGGTGGATAACTTATTACTTGAAGTTACTCTAGTTATTTAAAGTCAACTGACTGCAGATGTTAAGCACATCTGTAAAACACCTTCACAGCCACACGTAGGTTAGTGTTCAATTACATAACTGGGTGCTGTAGCCTAGCCAAGTTGACACATGAATGAACCATAACATAGAGTAAGGAGTTTTGTCTTGATTCTAGAAGTCATGGAAAGCTCTTGGGTTTTATAAAGAGGTGACATGATTAGATTTGTATTTTCCAAATGCACTTAATGCTGTCAGAAGAAGGTTGGTGTCTATAACCATCACCATGGGCCCTTGTGATGGTCATAAGGCACATTAGAACACTCATGAATTTTTCCAAGAGGACTGCTCTGTCCTACATGGTGCCCTGACACTGGATTGGTCAGACGTACCTCCTGGGTATGCATCTACTGTCTTGAAATTACCTCCTGGGCAGCATTTATGCTGTGTTTTATTTTGTGTTGATCTCTCTCTCTCTCTCTCTCTCTCTCTCTCTCTCTCTCTCTCTCCTCTCTCTCTTTCTCTCTCCCTCCCTCTCCAAGCAGACTGAAAGTTCTTTGGAGGCAGGAGCCACGTCTTGTTCTCCAGTGCATCCCTAGTGTCTAGGTCACTGCCTTACACATGGTATGTACCCAATAAGCATTTGTGGATGTGGGCTTAACGTTCCACCCAAAGTGCCTTGTGAAGAATTAAGAAACATCAGTCTTATCAGTAGTTCTGGGCAGCAGACAACTAAAAATTGCTGTGCTTTTATTTCTAGTTTCCTTTCATTGGCATTCTATATAGTTACCCTTTTATTTTGCATGGATGGCCTATTTTAGAGTATAGTCATTTCTTAAACTTTTTAGGTTGGAATAATTTTGGATTTACAAAAAAGTTGCAGAGATAGCACAAGAGAGTTTCCATCACCCAGTTCTTCTAATGTTAAAATCCTATATGGCTGCAGTAAATTTGTCAAAACAAAGAAATTTATATAGGTACATTACTATTAACCAAACTCCGGGTTGTATTTGGCTTTCACCAGCTTTTTTTCACTGATGTCCTCTTTCTGCTCCAGGATCTGATCCTGGATGCCATGTCGTGCTTAGTCATCATATCTTCCAGTCTCCTCTGGTCTGCGACAGTTTCTCAGTCTTTCCTTGTTTTTTTGTGACCTTGACAGTCTTGAAGAGTACTGGCTAGATATCCTATAAAATGTCCCCAATCTGTCTTTGTCTGTTTTCTCATGATTAGACTGGGGTTATGGGTTTTGGCAAAGAAAATCATACAGGTGGAGTGTCTTTGTCAGATCATGTGACAGGGTACATGATATCCACATGTTATCCCTGAGGATGTTAACCATCATAATTTGCTTAAGGTAGCATTTGCCAGGCAGGTTTCTCCACTGTAAGGTCATTATCTTTCCACTTCTCCACTGTATTCTTTGGAAGTGAGTCACTAAACTTAGCCCATCCCCAAGCAGGGAGGAGGAAAGGGGTAAGTTTCACCTCCTGGGGTGGAGTGTCTACACACATTATTTAGAGCTCTTCCACAAGGAAAATTTGTCTCTTCTCCCACATTTATTGATTTATTCAATTATTTACTTATATCAGTATAAACGTACATAGGTTTATTTTATACTTTGAGTAATAATTCATTATTATTTTGTTGCTTAAGTTGTTCTAGCTTTGGTCATTGGGAGCTCTTTTTCTGTCTCAGAAACTCATTCTTTTCATGAAATATGGAGGCTAGCTTTTATTTATTCATTTGTTTGTTTACATTTGAGATTTTAAATTTTTGAAGTGCTCTAGAGACTCATCTTGATCCTAGGAGTAATGGAAAGCTCTTGATGGGTTTTTATAAAGAGTCTGGTTCCTGCGTCCATTTGACAAGCCCCTGTCCTTTTGTTTTTTAAGCACTTCCTTATTTTCTGGTACTATAAGATGCTCCAGGTACATCTTATATTTTCCTTACCCCAGTCTTACAATTAGCAATTTCTCCAAGGAACTCTGGTTCCCTTTATTGTAAAATGGTATTTAGAAGCCACTATCTAGGTGGTAGGTGTGCTCATTGCTCCTGGGATCTCATTGCTTCCAGACCCTGTCAGCAAACGGAGCTAGGAAATCTGTGAGCACATAGCCATAGATACCTATATCTGTAATTACTTCTGACTCTATCCATCTGTGTGTCTCTATCCATCCATATAGGAATACACACACATGCACACACACATATATATTAAACTAAATTTGAGTTTATTCTGATATCTCTGACTATAATTCAGTTCCACCAGGTTTATACTAGCCATCATTTCTTGTTTATCTGTTACTCCCTCTCCAACACTGACCATCATCCATTTTATTATTTGTTCAACATTTGTAAAGCAATTTCAAAATTGTTAACCTGTATCCCCATGAGCAAGAAATTTAGCAACTAGAGTACAGTGTTTATGTATTTTTTTAAGTATAATTATTTTTATAAGAAAGTGGAATAACATAGTGGTTGAAAACACATTTTCTAAAGCCAGATTGCCTGGGTTCAAATCCTGACTCCAACACTTACTAGCTGAATAATATTGGATGAATTACTATCTTCTCATTCCTTCATCTGTAAAGTAGGGATAATAATGACATTTACTCTGTGGGGTTATTTGAGGATTAAATGAATTAACATATGTAAAGTATACAGAATATTGTGTAACATTCAATTAGCATATTTATGTGCTAACTATTACTGTTAGGGCAGACATAACATCATTTTAATTGCTACTACTAAAATAATGCTAGGTATAGTGGGGCACCATATATTGTTGAATGGTAGCATCATCTCCGTTAACTTAACTAGTTCTAGCACTTCAGCAAAGGGATTTATGTACAACTTCCTCTCCCCATTTCCTTCTGTTCATCCACTCATGTTGTCTTTTTGTCTGGAGTTCATTTATCATTTATTTCTCCATCAGCTTTTTGTGATTCTGAAACCCAAGTTGAGACTTAAGTCCGAGATTTTTATCACTTTAACCCCTTTGAGGAGACTGTGGCCTCCTTGAGGTCATGGCTCATAACCATATCTAGCTTTGTGCCCCTGGCTTCTATGATTGAGGAGTCCAGCAGTCTGAGCCATGTTTTCACTTGCTGATTTCTTTTTTCTTCTGTAATTAAGCCTGGCTTCTCTGTGGTTAACACTGCCTGGAAAATTATAGGTTTTTGTAAACCTTGAAATAGAGGTTGGGGGGCTTCACTCAAAACATTTGTGATAATGATCTGCCTATTGTTGTTATGAATATTGTACAGCAAACTGGCCATGATTTCTGCTCAGTGGGGCAGGATTGTGTATTACTGGCATTTTAATTAGGCTTCAATGAAACCAGCTGCAACCACGTCAGTGGAGTCTCAGAATATTTCTCATAATCGCAGTTTAATAAGATATAATACATATTTCCCCAACTATTTTTCCTTTATACTAACAACAACAACAATCACCACCAAAAAACAAAACCAAAAATACTCACATAAGCCAAAACCATATATACACAAAGCCTAGGTGCTTTTGAAGGTAAACTAACTTGACATACGGCTACTAATTTTTGAATCATTAAAATATAAAAACCGAACAAACCTAAGCATTTTGCTGAGGTTTCACTCCTTGCCTGGCATCTGAGAATCAGGCCCTTTACAGTTTGTAGTGTCTTTAGCAATAACTATTTTTAGGAATTAACTTCTATCCCACTCAGGCCTGCTTTACCCTTGCTTAGCAAAGGTAGATGATTTGGTTTTGTGAGATGCACAGCCTGTTGGGTGTCACTTTTTTTGTTCTTTTGGAGATGGAGTTTCATTCTTGTTGCCCAGGCTGGAGTGCAGTGGCATGATCTTGGCTCACTGCAACCTCCATCTCCCAGGTTCAAGCAAGCGATTCTCATGCTTCAGTCTGCCAAGTAGCTAGGATTACAGGGGCCTGCCACCACACTCAGCTAATTTTTGTATTTTTTAGTAGAGACGGGGTTTCACCATGTTGGCCAGGCTGGTCTTGAACTCCTGACCTCAGGTGATCCACCCACCTCGGCATCCCAAAGCGCTGGGATTACAGGCGTGAGCCACTGTGCCCGGCCCAGCCTAGGAAGACAGTGATCCCAAACACTCTCCTGGGCTTTTCCCTCCCAAGTCCAATCCCTACCTATTCTTATTATAACTGAGGAGGGCAGAAGTTCTTTAGGTTGTTGTAATTTCAGTAAACAAAGAAGAGACCAAGAATAGGTAGCATTCATTAAAGTCCCCGACTGCCTGGAAAACAAATCAAGCAGAGAACCCTGCTGTGGGACGTTTAGGTGTGAGAGCTGCACACAGCTGTGCTGCCACAGTGGTTAACCCACCGCAGGGGAATTGGTGTGTGGTGGGCAGCGTTAGTCACCAGGGGAAATGATTAGGCCATTTCTGGGGGAATTTGTTGTAAAATAGGGCTATGTATATAATCCCATTTATTGAGTTGCTCACCATACTTCATAGAACAAGAAACCTTCCTGCCAAGGAGCAGGTGTCTCCACGTTTCAGCAGCAGGAAAATAAATTAGGTTTGCCTTAGGCCTCACAATCATTCGCGACCACTCAGAGGCTGTAACTTCCAGGCCTGGCTTGCTGATGGGGTCATGCTCTTTGTGACTGGTAATGAGCTGGACAACCTGCCCACTTAACTCAAGAGGCCACCAGCACCAGTAGCCCATCTAGGCAGTTGTCTGGAACCTCTACGTAGCATCTGGCCCAGGTTTCCAACTTTTTCCTGGTTTTGATGTCTGCCTCTGGGCTCTCTAGAGGCCCTAACCCACACCCTGCACTCGTCCTCCCTCACAGTTCCCAGGCTGACCACAGTGGCTTCTGCTGTCAGAGGGAGGGAAAGGTGATCTGGGCCTATTTCCCCTAAAGGAAAGAGCGTTTTATGGGAAGGCTTCTCCCTTCTAAGGCCCATAACTAAATCATAGGCAAATAGTTGTATGAATGTTATTTTGAGAGAATAGCCACATTACAGTATAAATCAGAAGTGACCAATTCATGTGTAAATCAGGGTACCAGGATTCAGTTTCTCAGCTTAGCATGGAAGAACAGCCTAGCCTGTCTTCTTGTCCAGATGGTGATTAATCAGCTCCATTCTGGCCAGATCAGGACAACTGGGCAATATGAATCAGGAAAGGGCAGAGGAAACCCAAGCCGCAGTCAGAAACATAAACCTCTAGTCATTCTCTTCTAGGGTTGGCTTCTAGCGCCCTTTCTCCACTCCAGAATGTAAATGCTTAAGAGGGGATTGCAAGGGGCGGTGGATCCCGACAGGCTTTGGAGTCAGCAAACATGAGTTCAAAATCATTGTGTACCCTGGTCAAGTTTTTTTTAAGTCCTTTGAGTCTTTTTTTTTTTTTTTTTAATGAACAAAATGGGAATTAAAAACATCTGATTTTCAGAATTGTTGTAAAGGCTAGAAATAAGTTATGCATTGCCTGGCACGTGATCATTATTCTATTATTAGTAACTGTCATTAATAATTGAGAAAGCACTGCCAGACCAATGACGACAGACCAATGACAGAGTGTTATAGACCAAAGTTATTGATTAATCCACTTCTGTGTCCCTGAAGTCCATAAACAAACTTCTTTTAAGATATTTTTCTTCTCTTAAAACGAATACATGTTCAACGCCAAGTTTGTGAAATCAGCGAATTGATTCCACAGTTATTACTTTTTGCATTTCTTTTTGTATGTATGTATTTAAATAAAATTCATTTTATGATTCAAATGTGGTTTTACATCCTGCTTTTTTCACTTAACATTAAAATGAGGAAAGGCTTTATCTCACATCTCTTACTTCATATAACAAGAAGTTCCTGAAAACGTTCTCTTTGATGGAACTGTGCCTAATGTGTGTGCTTACCCAATACAGAAGCAAATTCCTAGAACAGTGTGAAGATTCTTTGTTAAACGAAATGCTCAGTTTTATAAGCAAAAGTAAGCACAAAACCCAAGAGCATCTGTTTAGTGGCTAGAAAGACCAGGGAAATGGTGTGTTCTGACTGTTAACATGGCACATTTAAAATCAATTATTTTGTATTATGGAAAATTCCAAAAATGTACACAAATAGGATCATACTCTGAATGCTGGGATCAGCTCTCTTTCACCTCAATCATTATGAACACATGGCCAATCTTGTTTTACCTTCCTTCATTCATTTCGCCACCCATCCCCTTCCCAGTTTACCTTCCCAGGTTACCTTCCCAGGTCCCAGATACCCTTTGGTTTCACACACAACAGACTTGTAGGGCTGATTCTGCATTGTTCTGTGGTGTCTGTTTCATGCTCACCGGTGCTGTGTGTGGGAACAAGCCCAGGATTTAGTCTCAGACATGTAGGTGTTTAAATCCAGGCCCCACCACAAATCAGCTGCAACCTAGGAGAAACCAAGTCTCAGTTATCTTAGCTTGAAAAATAGAAAGAAGCTTCCTAGGGTTATTGTAGAAATCACGCCAGATGACATATACAGAGCATCTACCAGCCTGCCTCAGTTGGCAGGTGCTCAACACACATTTCATCCCTCCCCTCACTTCCAACCGGGTTTCCCACTGCTGAGAGATCCTCGCTGTGACCGACCTATCAACCTCTGCCCGTTGGAGTTCCTGGTGCTCAGATCCTGCCATCCATTGTCACTCACAGCCATTTCCCTGACTCTAACTCACTTTACAGAGGATCTAAACCGCTCTGTTCATGAGCCAAGCTTGATGGGGCAGGAAATTCCCAGCACCTCCGTCACTCAGTGAGTGAGGCCTAGAGTGATTCTTATTACCCCAAATCTGTTGTGTGGGGTTCTTTTGAGAATCCTGAACCCTGTGTAGCCCATACCCTCTCCCTCCCCTCCCTCACCAGAATAAACCAGTGAAGGCTTCTGGAACAGTTTACCTCCCTTTCCTGCATTAATTTATCTCCATTTTTCTGGAATTAGGTCTGCAGTTTGGGTCTGGAATCAAGTCTCCTATTGTTGCAGGCCTTTGACGCTCATCCTGACTCCTGACTGATGAATTATTTGGTCGACTGAGGCAGAATCACCTTTACTGGAGCATAATCTGTTGGAGGCAGCATCTCCTGAAGTCTCCATGAGTTGCTGGAATGAAGGTATGAACAAAATGGTGGGTGAAGAAGCCAAGACTAGGGGTGCTGATGGCAGGATGGAGTGGCTCAGGGCTGGGCAGGCTCAGGTTGAAGTCAGCAGCACTAATACCTCCTAGAGGGGTTTAATACTCTGAGGAGGGGCAGGCACTCAGAGGGCCCGAGGGCATGAAAACACCTGGTATCCCATGGGGAGGAGCAAGGAGCTGTGCAATGGGACTGGATGTGGCAGGCACTTTGAGGAGGGCTGAGGTTGGGCAGGTTAGGCCTTGACAGCCTAGGAGCCTTGTGCGGGGGTGCCTAGCTCTTTTTGTACTCCTTCTCCACCAGTCTGGCTCTCGCTGTCTAGATGTAATAACGAGGGAGGTCTTGCATGGCTACACTGTGTACCCGGCATTGCACTTCCCACTAACTGCAGCTGTTAGGCAGCTGGGCCCTGCGTGGGCCAGTCTCAAAGAGCTGCATTTAAAGAAGCATAGCACAAGCAGGAATTCTCATCTTTCTTTGAGACTCTTGCTAACATTTGAGAGTTTTCCGCTACATGATTCACATCACTTCTTTGGCATTCTCTGCCCGCTTTTCTAGTGCTACCACATTTTGGGGAGCCTCTCACTCTCCTGTCTCTTCCCCAGACTCTCTATTGCATTCACTTAACACCGGGTGTCTTGTTCTTCCATCCCCTCTCCCCTCTGCCTTGGACCTACCGATTTGTCACATGGCCCTGGCCAGCCTCCGGCCAGTGCAGTGTAGCTTCTCTGACAATTTTTCCCTAGAGAACTTGTTGCTGTGGTTTTGGTCTTTCTCTCTTCAGATAACGGGGAAGGAGGAAGAAGCTAAGCAAGAAATGCTTGAAGGCTCTATCAACAGGGGAAGGAGAAGGCCTTTCTTTTCTCACATGACACAGCTCTGCCACCTGTCTGGCCTCCTCACCCCCAGCCTCCTCACTTGACTTGTCCAACTCAGGTGCTTGGCTGTGCCAGCTGCTCCCTGATAGTCATGACTCCAGTGACCTTCTCCTGGGTCCATCCAGCCCCTCTGTTGCTGTGGTCCTAGTGTGGCTTTTTGCCTGAGTCAAACCAATTTATGACAAGAACTTAGACTGAAGCCCTCTGGAGGAGTTTGAGTAGCTTTAGGTCTGTCTTCTTGAGTACTGATATCTGAGTGTCCACCTTCTTCTGTGTACCTGAGTCCCTGTCTTTGGAACCAGCCTGCATCATATGACCCCTTGTTCTGACTGTGAAGGACTGGAAGCCTGCTGTGGAATTCCAGTGGGGTAACCAGGGCTTGGTCACCTGCTTCCTTGAGGCTGCATGTGGGTCTGGATTTCTGAGGCTCTTGAATCCCCTGTGCTAAAATCCTCCCTCCAGCTGGGACAGCACTACTATTTCCTGTCATGCTTCGTATGCTGGCAGCTTGGCTACACTTGGATGCCACATTCTGCCTACTGGGAGAATGGAGCCCCGGCACCTTCAGCTGCATCTGCCCCTCCGTGTGTTGCCCACTCTTGTGCTCAGTCCCTCTTGGCTTGGCTCTTTCTGCTCCAGACACAGGGTCTTTCTCATTTGCATTGCTGTTTTATTATAATTTTACTGATAGCTACCATATCTAAAGTAGCTACTTCGTTCTGGGCAGTTCCCTCATACTATCTCATTTATATCTCACAGAAATTCTAAGGGGTAGCTATTATAAACATTCTACAGAAAATGAAACCAAGGCGCAGAGAGGTTTAGTAACTTTCCCAGTGCATGTTCCAGGTTGTAGCAGAGCTCCGATTCTAGCCAGAAAAATATAAGAAATGCCCAGGAAAGTAAAAAATGTAGATTCTTGGGTCTTACCAAAAGAAATTCTAATTTGTAGATTTGATGTGGAGATCAAGGAATGTATATACGTATACACACACACAATTGTATTGATCTGAATCAACTGGTTCATGGACTGTGTCATTTGGGAACTATGCAATATACCATTCTTTCCTGAGATAAAGCTAATTATGGCCTTTGTGGGTTTGATTTCTCTTATGATACGGTGTAAATCATTTACAAATGACCAGTTGTGTGTAATGCATATGAAATGCATTTTGACTCTGTCCTCAGAGGCACCCCTGGGGTATGTGTGTGTAGTCAGTCCCTTGTGGAAGTTGCAGGCTTAGAAGGCATGCCCTCAAAATTTGGGGACCAGGTGAGGAAACTTCTCCTGTGAAAGGGAAACTGAAAAGGATCAACAGAAAATGGAGATTACCTTAAGAGATGGTTTGTGATCACCTTAAGAGATGGTTTGTGATTACCTTAAGAGATGGTTTGTTAAGACCCTGCTAACAGCCCCAGGATCTTGTAAGCAAAAGCCTGGAATGTACCATGTTAAGAAAGCTATGAACGACCTGGCTGCATTTCAACTGGAGTAAATGTTGAGTTGTGGTAATAGGAAGGTATGTTGTGTACAGGGACTAGGAGGAGGCAAGCCAGGGAATAAGAAGTGTTGCCAGCTGTATTTAGACAAGAGTGTGTTCTATTTCAGGGCAGTCAGCCTCAGTTCTTGGTATAGAAATTTCCCTTGGAAGAGAAGAGCACTCTCCAAGAGTGTTTCCAGCAGGAGCTTCCCTTAAAAACAACTAGCTTCCTCTGATCTGAAGTTGAGCTCACTAAGGAATTGATCCAAGATGGGTCAACTGGATGGGAAAGAGAAACCTCCATGGATGAGTAGTCTCTGTTCCCAAACCAGGCCAGCTCATTTGCTCCTTTGTGTTCTGCTTGATCAATTGTTCTCAGATGGATTTGGATAGCATGAGCTCATTGTCTACAGCATGATTCCCATTGGCTCAACTGACTGAAGTTGAGTTTCAGCAACTGAACTCTAAACCCACGGTCACATCATCAAGTACTGATGCCTATGAGATTTAATCTGTAACTACAAGCCAGACTTTCTTAGCTGCAAAAAATAAAAAAATTATTTGTCCAGGCTTAAGGGTCCCAGGGGTGGGCAAAGGACCACTACTGACCCTGTAATTGCGAGGTGACCCTATTCCTTAGACACTAAGAAGATTGGAGACTTAATTTCTTCCTAAGGAATACATATTTGAAAAATACTGCTTTTCACACTAACCAAATATAAAATTCAGTACGAATATGTATTTGAATAAACAAAACAGGTAACTTTGCGTATCTCAGATAGGTGGGTGGATAATTCAAATTATACAATGGAGAGACTCGAGCAAAGGGGAAGTGAACTGCCCAGTGAGTTAGTGGCAAAAGCAGGGTTAGGATGGGCTTCTAACTTCTCATTCTGTGCTCATTTCAATTAAATCTCAATTCTTCCAATAAATGTCACCACTCTGTCAATATTTTGCCTCCATTTTGTTCCTCAAGACAGTATCTTTTTACTCTCTTGGTTTTGGTTGGCCCTTGAATTCTTTTGCATTAGTGATCTTGAGATTTTACTTTGCATACGACAAGGAAGAGTGTGCATGATGTGCTTGTTGTGATTATAGACAGAGAGCTAGAGATCTCACCCAGGGCAGCAGTCAGTGATGGACAAGTGAACAATTCTCCCTATCGAAAAGATGTTGTTCAAGGGCTTTGCTTGAGATTGATCTCTATAGAATGGAAGGTAACTTGTGCCAGCAGAAAACCAGTAATAGTCCACCTGAGCTGCTGCTGAAGCTTAGGAGGGAAAATTGTGGCAAGTCTGTGAAAGATGGTGAAATTGGAGCCCAGGCTGGACACAGAAAGGACATCTGATGAGTGAGGGTTGGCAGGGGGGACAAATTACCAAAAACACCCCCGCAAAATGAAAACCCTCCGGTTTCTTAATATAAGTCCTCTAACAAATACATATAAATGACTCATAATTAATACGGCAAATACTTCACAGTATTTCTTGCATCCTTAAAAGTTGTGAGTCAAATACTTTAAACCTTCCTTTCCACAAGGTTGCCCACCAGTGAATTTGCAATGAACCCTCCTTTTGAGCACAGACTCCTCTCCTACCCCTGCCGCCTTGTGTTCACCTCCATCACACCTGCCTCAGGAGCCTGCCTATGTCCTTGCTGGATTTGGCTCTTCAAGGAAAGGCTCAGCAAAGCCAAAGTGAACGTTTGCCCCTCTGACTCTGAGTGATCAGCTTGTGATGTTATATACATGCAGTTGATGAGGTTTTCTGGTGCAGAACACAAATAGAAATGCTGCGCCAAATACAGGCTCTTCATCTTTGAATTTATCCAAAAGCTTGAAATTCTCTGGCCCAAACAGATATTTACTGGAAAAGCAGCGAATTCTGGGATGTCAGGGATTGCTTTGAAGTTTCTCCTTCTAAGAGAAGAACAACCTTTTTTATATCACCATGGCCTCTACTGGGTACTTGCAGCTTTTGAAAAGAAGCCTTCAAAAGGCTTTTTGCTAATAAGCCATGAAGTTGAAAGGTTGCTTGTTTGTCCTGAAGACATTTTATCTGTGTGAACTACTTGGGGGAGGCAGAGGGAGAGGTGGTCAGAGAGGAATCAACACAGCTGGTTTCAATATTAAAGGCAAAGATGGGCATTTTGCTCTTTCTCGTGATACCTGCTTCAGGAGTCAGATCCGACACGTGAAGAGTGTCAGTAAGTGCGGGGGCGCGTGTGCTCCGGCACAGGCTGGGAAGGTGGCTGAGGGCTGTCTTCCCTTCATCACGCGCTGTGGTTATAGCATCTTCCCCAGTCCCTCGTGTCAGCACTCTTGGTTTTCACTAATTGTGAAAGTTCCTCTTTTTGCAGAAGGATCTACGTCTTCCTTGCCTCATAAAAATCATCCTGAATTTAAGCTGCAACTATAAAAAACCCCCGGCCAACAAGAAGCAGCCTTCCTGATCTAAGTTATGGGAAAGTGGACTTTTATTTTCTATTTAAAGAAATAGGAGTCTTCGTAATGCATTAGTAATTCTAGCCAAAAAGTGTTTGATATGAACTTGATTTCACAAAAGAAGGCAGTCTTCAACATACTCACCCATTTCTGCTCAGAAGCATCATCACTTTCAGTTTTTACAAAAAGTAAAAACTATTTTGGAATTGGAAATGAAGTCACTTTTAATGCAACAATCCCCACACAAAGTTTAAGAAAAAGGAACAAATAATTTTTTTTTAACTAGAAAAGGTTTATTGAACTTAGTGAGAATTTGGTATTTATAATCAAATACAGTAAATTTTAGCAGAAATGTACCATGCTTATTACAGGGCAATCTCTCCATCTTTAGTATTCCTTTATTATTTTCACTCATCTTCTGCTTTTCCACTAGACTCTTAAAAAAACACTTTAAGCTTCTTTCATTGATATATAATAGTTGTACATATTTATGGGGTACATGTGATATTTTGATAAAAGCATCCAATGTGTAATGACCAAGTTGGGGTAACTGGAACAGCCATCACCTCAAAATTGATCATCTCTTTGTGTTGGGAACATTCCAAATCTTCAAGCTATTTTGAAATATACAATAGATTATTGTTAACTATAGTTTTCCTCTTGTGCTACTGAACACTAGACCTTATTTCTTCTATCCAATTGTACTTTTGTACCTGTTGCCAACCCCTCTTCATCCCACTACCCTTCCCAGCTTCTAGTAACCACTACTGTATTCACCACGCCCATAAAATCAAATCTTTTAAGCCCCACATACGAGTGAGAACATGCAATATTTGTCTTTCTGTGACTGGCTTATACATCATGTCCTCCTGATTCCATCCATATTGCTACACATGACAGGATTTTCTTACTTTTTTGGAAGAATAATATTCCACTGTGTGTGTGTGTGTGTGTGTGTGTGTGTGTGTATCATATTTTCTTTACCAGTCATCCTTTGATGGACACTTAGGTTGATTTCATATCCTGGCTATTGTGAATAGTGCTGAAATAAACATGGAAGTGCAGTATCTCTTTGATATAGTGATTTACTTTCTTCTGGATCTCTGTGAAGCAGTCAGATTGCTGGATCATGTGGTAGTTCTGTTTTAGAGTTTTGAAGACCCTCCATACCGTTTTCCACAGTGGCTGTACTCATTTACCTTCCCATCAACAGTGTATGCGCATTCCCCTTTCTCCGAATCCTCTCCAGCATTTGCTATTTTCTGACTTTTTGATAATAGCCATCTTAACTGGGGTGAGATGATATCTCATTGTGGTTTTTCCACCAGACTCTTTTCTAATTGAAAAACATGTCTAGTGTGCCTCTGTGCTGTGATGGTGCCGCCCGTCACCACCCCTTGCTCAGAGCCTCTTTGCCTTCCTTTCCATTCCCTGTGTTCTCCCTGGGAGATCTCATTTGTTCTCTTTATTTTAGTAACCTGACGACTCCTAGATATATTTATTCAGCATTGACTTCTCTTCTGCACTTTAACTTAAGCGTACAACAGGAAGCTTGAACTCAAAACATTCCAATCTCAAATCATCCGGCATACCTTTCCCCAAAACTGCTCCCTACCGCCCCCCTTCCCACTGTCCTGTATTCCTTTTCCAGCACCCAATAGCCTAGGTGTCATTCTAGATGTGGTTCTTCCTCTTTCCTTAAATCCTGTCACAATTTAGCCTCATAAACTTGGCCCCTAGACTTGGATCCAGCTTCTCTTTTCTTCTCCGTTCCCATGGTCACTGCCATAGTACAAGCCCCGGTTGCCTTAATCCTGAACTTGGGCGATAATGTTCTACCTGGTCTCCCTGCTTTCAGTCTGATCTTCCTCAAATATGTTCTTTCCTCCTGAACCATAGTGATATTCCTAAGACACATTTCAGATGGGCTCTATTGCCCCCAGTGTTTCCTTCTCTGTCTGTTATACCAGACTATAAACACCCTGAAGTCATGGGCTTTGTCCAACCTGTGTTTCTATCCTAAGCCCTCATCACAGAACCTGTTAAACAGTAGCTAAGTAGTCAGGGTATTTATTGAGTGGATAAACCAATGAATGCTGTGGCTTCCAAAGTGTCAACAATGAGCTTAATGATCTCCCTAACCCAAATGTGTTAAGTATAGGGAAGCCCCTTCTTTGTATCTCACACTTACCTTGTATCTTACTACCCTTTAATCACTGTGCCTTGCCCTTGGGCCTTCCCTTGGTGTTCACCTTAATCTATATAAAGCCTAAGCTGGGATGGACTGTCATGGGTGGGCATGAGGAACTAAATGGGTTTGCCTTTTCTCAGGACCACCTTGCCCACCTCTTGTCTTTTGAGCCATTCGAGTATCCCCAAGTATCTTGGAGCTTTTCCATAAAGGGCCACTAAAGCAGGAGAGTCACTGAATCTGGATTCCTAGATCACCTCCCTGTGCCAGAGAGACTGTGTTTTGCAGAGGAACTCATAAAGCATAATTTCCTCCAATTTGTAGCATTGGCACCCACTTTGAAGAAATGACATATAAAAATTCAAATTAATGTGATATAGAAATTAGAGTTGATGGTTCATGTCACAATAGGATAGTTTTCAAGGATTCATTGTCTGCTTTTTTTTATGTATTAAACTTGCCTAGGTATTGACACTGCAATGCCTGTGTAAAGACTCGGTTGCCTGTAACTATTTAGCAGACCATCCACAAAGAGCTACCGTTGTAACGTGGAGTTGTTTGCACTAAGATGGTGCTATAGTCTGAATATGTGTGTCTCCCCATAAATTCTTATGTTGAACTCTTAATCCCAAGGTGATGGTATTAGGAGTTAGGGCCTTTGGGAGGTGATTAGGACATAGGAGTGCAGGCCTCATGAATGGGATTAGTGCCCTTATGAAAGAAACCCAAGAGAGAGACTCACCCCTTCTACCACGTGAGGATACAATGAAAAGGCAACATCTATGAGGCAGAAAGTGGGCTCTCACCAGACACTGAATCTGCTGGCGTCTTGATCTTTTACCCCCCAGTCTCCAGAACTGTAAGAAATACATTTCTATGGTTTCTAAGCCACCCAGTCTATGGTATTTTGTTACAGCAGCCTGAATGGAGTAGACCAGAAGTTTTCATCTTATACAAGTTGTTTTATTGGTTCAAATAGAGAACCTATTTCTTTGGGAGTTTATTTATTAGTTCTAACATTTATTTGTGATATAGGATCAGGAGCTTCAAAGACTTTTTTGCCTATGATGATGACTCACATGAAAAGGCTCACTATCAGAAAGGCATATGAATGGTTTTGCTGAATTTCATCACTTTTTCTCTACAGATTAGCTTACAACCAGTGGCGAGGTACCCAGACAACTCACCTTGCACGTTCAGGTCACTGGTTCCCCGCTGGCCTGGATAAAAGAATTTGGCTGGGTTAGTAACATCTCGGTCTGTGACTCAGGAAGAGCTGACACCAAGTGAAGGCAGGTGACCCACACAACAACCAGATTTAAGCCTCAAGGCCCACTGCCACCAAGCGTTAACCAAGGGAACCAATTGACTGCCGACTCTGGATAGGTAGGGTAAAAACTGGAAGAAAACGAGGCTAGGTTAATCAGTTTCCTCTGAGAACATGAACCCTGTCCTTTCTGAAAGATTTTTAAGAACTACAATTGAGATTGTGGACAGTCTGCAGTGGAAGTTACATTTGACCACCTCTAGACTTGAGGCTGTTATTTATATGAAAGTCTATTTTAATCAAAGGAAATCCTGTTTCACCAGCAGCACTGGCAGCCCTGAGACGCACGGTCTCAGGAGTGTTGTGAGGATACAGGCTGTCTTTAATCTCAGAATAAAAATATTTGATGTTTACAAGGTGTATTAGTGTAATTGGAATGTGTCTGCCTGTCTGCCGGCCTTCCTTCCATGGTGGGACCACGTAATTAAAGAGCATTGCGTTCATGTGGCTGCCTGTTTATCCTTTCATAGCCTCTCGGTAAGTAGTCACGGTCAAGACCGTTACCCTGGGCTCTTAGAGAGCTCATCCAGGCAGAGACAGCTGCAGCCAGAACAAAGGGGAGGCTGCACTCTGCTTGCAATCCTTCTGAGGGCTCTAGGGCAAAGTGGGATGAGACAAGTTTAACTTGGTGGATAAGAGACGCCTGGTATCCCAAGAAACTCTCAGTGCATGCATGGGATTATGCCTTGAAAAATGTGTGTAGGTGTATATATTAGGTTGGTGCAAAAGTAATTGCACAGCCTTTGCCATTACTTTGAATGGCAAAACTGCAATTAATTTTGCACCAACCATATATACACACACACACACATATGTGTATATACACCTACACACATTAAGGTCTATCTATCTTTTTTGTTTGTATCTATCTCTATCTATATGTATATCTTTCTCTGTCTTCAAAAAGTGATTTTTTTTTCTTCAAGTAAAAGTCAGAAAAGGAGATACTCACCCTTATCTCTTCGTGTATACCTAATTCCACGTTATGTATTCAAGTTCTATTCCTAATGCCTCAGGACTTTGCTAGTTGGAGCCTTGTGGGTCACATGAGCACTAAGAACTCAGGTTTCCTAAGTGAGATTCTACATTTATTCCTATCTCCTGTAATCTTGGAACTTCTAAGAGAGCCTGGCTGAGAGTAGGTGCTCAATAAGTATGTATTAAATGAATGAATGAATCTCCCTGTAGTGTTCTAATGAGTGAATGAATCTCCCTGTAGAGTCCTCCTCTTGAATTAGTCTGGAAGTCCCCAGGCAGGGTGTCTGCCATGTGCTCAAGTCGGTCTATTAACCACAGCCACCTTGTGACCTCTGGCCCGTTCTGATTCTCCCACCCTGGCTCTTCTTGTTGCTTGAGGGTGTCTGGTGGCTGTGGCTGTTGTTGCCCTCCCTGAGAACCTGACCATCTGGGCTGCATCACCATGCTTGCTGTCCTTCTAGCCCTGGAGCTGTATGGCCTACAGATTCATGGGCCCTCTCAACTCTCACTGATTGCTTCCCTCGTAGAAGCCCAAAAAGTCTGTGGAGCTGGACAAGGAAATGTCTCCACATCTTTCTTCCCCTCCATGCCCTTGATTCTCTCACTCAAGACTGAAGGATTCCTGGCACAAAAATGTCTCTCTTTCTTGAGCTTTAAAGCAAAAATGTCCTTATCTCAGCATTTTTCAACCCTAGTTAGATAAATTATATACCCAGACCTCACCCCTAGATACTTTGATGCAGTGAGTCAGAAGCAGAGTCTGGCATTCGTATTTTTACAAGGCTCGTAGGTGATTCTGGGGTACCGACAATTGAAATTTTGGACAGTCTGCGGTGGAAGTCAAATCTGTGTTGTGAAGCGCACTGTCACAGGTGATCAACTCTTACAAACAGACACCTGGGGACATTGAGTTGGGCTCAGCAATGATACTCTGCTAGAAAATGCAATCTTTAGAAAGGCAAGGATAGGCTAGGCACAGTGGCTCACACCTGTAATCCCAGCACTTTGGGAGGCCAAGGCGGGCAAATCACTTGAGGTTAGAAGTTCAAGACCAGCCTGGCCAACATGGTGAAACCCTGTCTCTACTAAAAATACAAGAAATTAGCCGGGTATGCTGGCACGCACCTGTAATCCCAGCTACTTGGGAGGCTGAGGCAGGAAAATCACTTGAACCCAGGAGGCAGAGGTTGTAATGAGCTGAGATTGCACTACTGCACTCCAGCCTGGGCAACAGAGCAAGACCCTATCTCAAAAAAAAAAAAAAAAAGGAAGGCAAGAATAATTAATATATTTTAATTTGCTTGAACAGCACTATATCTAGATGAAGATATGATTAATTCTTTTTTGTTTGTCATGTTAACCTAAGGGTTGAAATTGCAGCAGAAGTACTGAGCACTGTCACTGGAAGCATTCCAAGAGATGTTGAGTGGTCACCCATAATAGATGCTGCAGAAGGGATATCTGCATATGGCTGCACTGACTCTAAGATATGGTGATTCAGTTCAGTGATATAACACCTATTTACTGAAACCCTGTTGTGTATTTTGGGGCATACAATGAATAATTAGATATGCACTCTGCCCCCAGAGAGCATAGAATCTATTCTCCATTGATTCATTCATTCACTGTGCCAGGCAGTGAGTGGTTAACTCTTTACTGAGTTACTTCCTCAGCGGGAGGCATCTGAACAAGCAAACATACCACTTACCTGAAACAACTGTCAGGTTGGGTAGAGAACGTAAGTGTCTTATGAGAGTTCTAGGTAGAGTGCTCTGGGACTTCAAAGAAAAAAAGTCATGCCTATGTAGTTGGGTTTGCCCTTTAAGACAAAAGTAGTAAAATTCAAATGCTAAATAAAATGCTCAGCTCCACTAATGGAATTTTTGCGCATGAAAAAAAGCAAGCTATAAAGGTTAAGATAACCAGACTGGCTGTATTTCTGTCCCTGCTGCTGTGGGGTTATTAACATCATTCTGTGCGAGTGAGTCCACCGGAGAGATGGGGTAGCAACTCTTTGTTCTTCCTTTTTTGTATCATTTCAGCCCTGAGAACAGCTCTTTACAGATGGTTTATAGAACTGAAATGAATTGAAATAACTTGTCAGCTGGTCTGTACCAACCCTAATAAAAGACTCAGAGGAACAAGCTACTGACAATTAGACAGTGTTTTCTATTTGAGAGTTGTTTCTAACAACCACAAATCTGAAGTGTGTCAAAGGAACAATTTTGTGATTCATTTGGGTAATGCTATCTTTCCTGGAATGAAAGGATTTCTTTTCATATAGAAATTGAAAAAGAAGTATGCCCTTATTTTGAACTTATAGTTGACACAGCTTTGTAAACAAGAACAGTTCCAAGTCGTGGAGATATTTTTCCAGTCTGCCGTCTTGTGATGAAGTATAGTGCAGGAAATAAACAGTCTTAAGAATTGGCCAAAAAAATGTTTCCTTGGGGGCAAATCACCCTTGCCCCAGATACCTACTTATCTCTGCTCACACTTCTTAGGATGCACTTGGATTGGCCACACCCATCCAGTACACATGGAACTTCATTGCTTTTATTGATTGATTGCTGTTTAAAGCTTTATTCCATTATTTCATATATGTATCAGACATGTAGCAAATGTATGTGAAAACAAGGCAGAATATGTTATACCTGTTATTCTAACTCGATTGTAAATGTTTGAGAGCAAGAACATTTCTCTTCAAATTTAGTTGTTTTTTTTTTTTAGGTACTCTTTGTTCCCCACTGTGTAGCACGAAGTCCAGCATCTCACGTTTATTATTTTGGAATAAATATTAATTATTATCTTGAGCAAATGGCTCTTTACAGTATCTGAATGTTCAGTACCATAGTCAGAAAACTCTGAGAACTTACATTTGCAGATGGTATTTGACATAACTGAAAATGTTTAAGAAACAAAAAACAAAAAGCCTCAAATATAAGCAATTGTGGATACTTATGATTCTCTTCTTAGTTATGCTTTTTTCCTTTGCATTTTTTTCCCTAAGGATGTATGATCACCGTTTGTTATTACTATGAGGTTTAGGGCATTATCCATTATTAATTCTTTTGAGATTTACTTGCTGCTTTTTCCTTGAAAGAGAGTTCTGGATTTTTGATACTTCCCTTTAGAAGTGAGGTTTCTTTGAATAATTGGGGCCTTAAGAAAAGTTACAACACACTGTCTTCAATCCATCCACCAGACTTTGCACGCAAACACCCTATTGACGTCAGCAGAACTTGGGTGAAGTTCTTTTTTTTTTTCTTTTTTTTTTTTTGCCTATCACTGGGAACTGGGGAGTGAGGGTGGTAGGGTGACGTGCATGGGACTGGGTCTGGGTGCTAAGAATGAGTTGACTATGATGAAATTTGGAATGCTACAGTTTTCTAATAAAATTGAGTCTTGTGCTGTTTTCCCATTGGATAAGAAAAAAATATAGTCGGAGTGACATTTATTCCAGGAACTTTAAAAAATTTTCCATTATGTTTGATAGACTGTTTTATGAGGACTGGCCAGTGTTAAAAGATTTGGCATTTGATTTTGGAAAAGAATAACTCCGAATTGAATTTATTAGACTCTCTGAGTCTAGTCTATAAGTAGAGACCATGTGCCTTCTTATGAGCTGATGCTTCAACCCAGAAGATGTCACGTTCATAAGCATATGCATTTAAAATTGATGTCCCATGAGTTTCAGAAAAATCTATGGACCCAAACATTTTTGAGATACAAAACAATTCATTATTTGCATTCAGCATTTCCTAATCTTCTACCTTTCTTATTTAGGACTTTAATTCAGTGCTAAAACTTCCTATCCGACTACACTTGAGCAAATATCATCTTTCTTGAACTGTAACTAAAATTGTTCGGCTTGATTAGCAAATTTCTCTGTGTGTCTGTGTACCTAGGCTTGTATAGATATATCAAAGGTTTTAAATCTAGCTGGAGAGATAAGATAAGAACACAAAGCATTTATGAGAACGAATACCCTTTGAGGTGGTTTGAAATCTCAGTTTAATTGCAGTTTACAGACGAGAGGAGTGGTGATTTTCCGTAGAGGAAAGATTCATGGAAGAGATGGGACTTTTAGTGGATTTTAAAGATTTAGCATCATATTTATAAAATATCAAAAAGGAAAGAGGATGGGAAATTTTTAAATTAATTTTGGGCTTTTTGGGGTCAGCCATGGAGTCATGTGTAGACAGGGTTTCAAGTTGAGCTATGTCTTCTTAGATGATAGACACGTGCCTGTGAATTCTTATTAGACTGTTCCTTTTATTTATAGCTCCCATCTGATTGTGCTCATCGGGTTGTTACTAATACTGATAAAATTTGTGGGTACAGAAACATTCTGAAAAGAACCTTTTATAATTTTTTTTTGTTTGTTTTTTAGCGAACTGGAAGGGGAAACTGAACAAAAAAAGAGTAACCAAATACTGTGAAACCCCCAGATCTCTTGATCTTAGGCCAGGTGTCTATTGCCAATCTGATTAATTCTAATTATATTCAGCTTCATTTAAATTAAGTAACATGAAGGCTTTCTTACCCTTGTTCATTCAATTCAAGTATAGTTTTATATAGTTGACTAATCAACTGATGATTATTTATTGAGTAGCTATTATGTGCTTGGAATTTTCTTATATATCTATAGTTTAAGTTCTGCCTCACAGAGCTTAAAATCTTAGCAGTAAAAAATATAAAGCATATTGAAGTGTCAGTTAATAGTGTGATGCCGTAGGGGAGTGTCAGTAGTAGAAGTCCAGGAAAGAAAGACGTAAAAGACACCCAGGATAATTGGCGATGAAGAAAGTTTGTAAGGAGAAGAAAAAGCACTGTAGGCGATTAAAACTGTAGAGGAAAAGCTCTGAGGCAGGAGAGTGGAATAGAGAATGTGAAGGGATTAGAACTGATAAAGTGTTTTCCAAACAATTCTGACTTTCCTTGTTGTTTGAGTGTTCAACAAGGAGGTCTTGAAATAGTTTTATTTAACATTGTTTTGCAAAGTTTCCCTCTCTCTCTCTCTCCTTTCACCCACACACCCAGACATGCAGATGTACATATATAAATATAAAACATTAATTCTCTAGGTTATCTTTGTAGTTGACAATAGAGAATACATATCCTTACTGTAATTGGCAGAAAACATCTGTGATAGTTAACATTCTTAATTTTTAAAGATTTCAACTGTGAGGCTCTATTGGTACATAATCAAATTTTTTATTATTTTTAGAAATCTTAATAAATATTCTAAATCAGTGAGTTCCAAGGTTAAAAGTTTCATAATTTTTTTGAGAAAAGTCGAAGCAATCAAGACTTTTCTTTTCCTTCAGTAGACCATTTGGAAGTAAAAGTTAAAAACTAAGTATGAGAAATGCAGAAGTTCTAAAGGGAACTTGAAAATTTATTTTTAGACTATTAAACAGACACACTTTTCTTGGCTGGCCCAAGATCCATTGAGATAGTGCACATCCAGAGAAACTATAACCAGATCTAAATGATAGTTTCCAAATAACCATATAAAATATTTGCAGATTTATCCTCTTGGGTGAAAAGGCAGCCATTTCTCTTAAAACATGTTAAGAGAAAAGGGCTTTTCAAATGTTGATGTGCATAAGGGTCAGTTGGGTAACAATGCAGGTTCTGACTCAGCAGGTCTGAGGCGGGACCTGGACTCTGCATTTCTGAGAAGCTGCCGGTGATGCTGCAGGTGCTGGAATGTGAGCTACTCTTTGAATACGAAGGTCCCAGAGAACATCAAAATAACCTCTGGTGCTATCGATTTATGAGTACATTGACATTTATTTTATTATTTTTATTGGAAAAATAAGTGCAGTGTCAGAGTGGAGAGGAACTTTTACACCTTTAGCATGGCCTGGCAATGTTGGCTATTCCCTAGATTACTACTCTGTAGAAAGCTGCACGTGGGCAGGGACTGAGCTACTTCTGTTCTTTACTGTATCCTAATGGCTACCACAGAATCAGTACTCAGTCAATGTACTGAGTCGAGTAAATGAATGAATTTAGTGTTGGCCCGCAAATGCCATTTAGCTGTATGCTTGTCCTTGTTACATAAGCAGAAGAATGTGAAAAAGTGCAACAGTGTTCTAGTCTAAAAAAAGGTCACTCTGGCCTTAAGAATTTATACTAACAAATTACAACTCAAACCTTGGTATTCTTGAATGCACAGCACAACAAAACCACTAACACGGAAGAGGCTGAGGAGAAGAAAAGAATCAGGGGTAAACACTACCTTTGTGAAGGACTCTTTTTAAGACAAAGTTCTTCCCACATACTTAAGGTCTCCCAAGCACTTTCCTTTCTGGTCCTTCTGTCCCATCCTGACCTAGAGCTTCCTCCACCCCTTTTTACTCTAATCTCTGATGCTCTCAGGTAGCCACTTGGCTGTGTTCACAGCCCTTTCTCCTGCTTGCCTTGCCTGTGTGTCCCCTGAGTTCTCCCCTGGGGCATTTCTGACTAAGATGACATGCCTTGTCATTTATTAAAGCAGGATGTAGCTCTTTCTTCCTGACTGCCATCTTATTACCTTAAAATTATCTTAGCATTGTAAGTATTACCTACTTAGCTACTTATATACCCTAACATTACCTTAGTACACTAGCATTACTGGAGTACTTAGTAGTACTTCACTTGGAAAATCACTTCTATTGCGTAAGTTTTCTGTCTCCCCACCTCCTCCAACACCCATTAGTCCATGACAACAAAGTACTACTTGCCACCAATGTGACTGTACGCTAGAAACAAAGATAGCACTGGCATTAAAGGGCAGGCCTGGATTTGAAGGAATCATAAAGACACTCCCAAATATGATTATATTAATTTTCACAATTATTGAAGTGGAAACACAAAATTGAAAAATTGTAGAGACCCCCTTGACCCCCAAGAATACTTTGGATCTGTGGGGATTTTTAAAGCCCAACTGGAGAACTTCTCGAGATCTCAGGGCACCGCTTCTAGACAAAAAGGGGCCTTGTGGCTTCTCTTGGTCTATCTCATTTCCCCAGGAGAAAACATTAGGCTTTAAGACAGAAGGCTTGTCAACAGTGGTGTTTGTCTGTTTCTTGGTGAGTTTCCTTAGCATGCTGCCCCTATAAACCTCTTGTGGTGGTTGACTGCTTCGGAATTAGTTCAGCATTTCTGGTCTTAGTTATATCTCAGTCTGTAAAACAACCACGTACACAAAGGCTGCAGCCTTCCACAGAGGACTTGGGTGAGTTCTGTAAGTTGGTTAAAGAGGATCTCCAATCCTCTCCAACGTTGTCTCTCCCAACCCCCATCCCAATTCCCTTACAACAAACAAGAAGCAGTTCTGAAGACAACTGAGACATTTCTGAGCCAGCTTATTAAGTTCTAATGCTGCCCTCTTCACACCTTTGCATAACAACCTTCTCAGCAAATCAGCACATTCTATCAAATGGGATGCGATCCAGTTCTGCCGTGAACTTATCCCCCCTTGGAAATTGCTTGCTCAGTGATGTCCCATTAACACGAATCATTCCATTCTTCTACTTGATTTTCCCTTTGCTTGCTTGCCAGGAAGGTCTATTCTTTAGATTGACCAACATCTAATTTTCCTCTCCCTAGTTCTCTGCCTAGACTATAATCAGTTGGTGCCTCTGGTTAACTTCCTTTCAAGTCCTCTTCCTCCTCAGATGAAATGGATTCCCTCAGTGCATGAAACTGGAGTTTAGAGCTTCCTCTTAACTATGGTTGAGTCCCTGATGGTATTAGTGGCACTGTAATCGTGGATCTGTGGAATTCAGAGTCTTGAAAGACAAATGAACACATCTTTCCTGATCTGGAAACATCCTTGATCATATATTGCAAAGTGTAATCTTTTCTTCCAGAATAGTCATCTGAAAACCTGGAAGTCATTCTTACTTTCTGCTTACTTCCCTCTCCTCCTATTTTCTTGTACTACTTCCTTCATTCCTATTGCTTCTAATTTGGCCAATGATACCAACACCATGATCTTCTTGCAACCACTACCCACTCCTGGCTCCAGTCCCACCCCTTGAAAGTGATTTTTCTAAACACAAATCTGATCAATCACTCCCTGGCTTTAAATTCTTCAGAGAATCACTATGGCTCATGTGATAATTTCCAAACTGCTTAGCATGGCTTACAAAGTTTTCATGGCCTAGATTCCGTTTACTTCTCAGCATCACGTCTTACCATGTCCGCACACACTCTGCTCCCTGGCCAATACTGAATTGCTTTCACTTCCCCTAATGAATGGTGCCCTTTCTCACACTAGTCCTTGCCATGTGCTGGCCCCTCTGCCGGGGAGGAGTACTCCTTCCAGACTCCTATTCCTCCTTCAGGAACTCAGGTTAGACATCACTTCCTCGGAGAACCCCATGCTTCCTCCTTTGTTCTTATTCCTTTTTATAGTCCTTGGCATTCTGGATTGGATTTACCTATTTGTCTTTCCCACTCAGGATGGTGAACAACTTGAAGGCAGGCATTGTATCTTACATTCAACTTTGTATCTCCTGGGGTTCCTTGGAATTTCAGGACTTTCCAACAGTCAATTTCTGGCATTGTAATTTTAGCAGGGACAAGGAGAAACTAGTCATTCTGATTTTAGTTCATACAAGGGCACCAACCTTTGAATTATCTATCCCATATAATAAGAACTCAATTCTTCCAGGCTTGATCTAGTACCCTGATAAGATCAATTTATTCTACCTTTAACTAGGTAAGAATTAACCCACTGCATGGCACATAATACATTTTTGATACATGGCAGCTGCTAAATATTGTTAGAACTATATCTATGGGTGAATTACACAAATACTTTTAACCAAGAGGCCAGCAAGCTGTGTTATTTATTTAATAATTAGCTTGTCTTTATTGAAGCCTACTCTGCAATTAGATTTCTTGTCTATTTCTTTCTTGGGACTTATTCTAATTCTCAATATGTCTAATGTTTAGTCTCCCTTACACAAAAGCAAAGGATAAAATTTAGGAGCTAAGAAAGTCCTGTGGGAGTAAGGATTTCTTCAAATCCTTGGTGAAACTGCCTGAATTCAAGGAGCTGAGAGTGCTCTCCTAAATGGAATTGTGGGGAGTTTCTATCTGTAACTGCAAACCAGGAGAAGCCAAGTTTGATTCCATCCTTGCCTAGGAAAAGCAAGGTACTCACCCTACATCCAAATTTGAAAAGATAGCTAAGAATTTTTTTAAAAGCTTCTTTTGGGGGCAAAATTAGCAAAGCAACATGATAATTGCTAATTTTAATTTATAATACCTGAAAGACTACTAAATCCAACCCCTCATATAGACAATGTGTTTCTTCAAGTGCTTAGAGTTCAATGGATCCCAAATGGGGTCTCACAGGGACAGCAACGATTGAATGTTCACTCTTCCATTCAACAGATATTTATTGAGCTCCTTCTCTACATAGGCATTGTGCTAGGTGCTGGGTACAAGATGAGAAGGAGACACATGTTGTCCTGCCCGCACAGAGGTACTTGAGTGTGTGGAGACACTCAACAATGAGCAAGCAAATAAACAACAGCAACATGACAAAACCAGTAGGTAACACAAAAGTAGGGTTTTGTGATAGAGAGGGACCAGGTAGCTCCTTCAGTCTGAATGATCAGGAAAGCCTCTCTAAGAAAGGGACAAAAAGGAGTCAATAACATGGGGGAGAAGCAATGAGTGGGCAGAGGTTCCGAGTTAGGACCAAGCTTTTCATATCCAAGGACAGAAAGAGGGCCAGGGAGGTGAGGGCTGATGGACGAGGTGAGAAGATATAGGGAGATGAGGTAGAGAAATAGGAACCAGATCAAGGAGGGGTTTGAAGAATAGGCTAGATCTTATTCTGAGAACGGTGGAAGCCACTGGAATAGGAAACTGACAAGTTGATTTCCATTTTAAAATGGCCACTTGGCTGTTATGTGGAGAAGGGATTGTAGAGGGGCGAGAGTGGAAGGAAGTGGATGGGGCTGTGTAGGACTCCAGGCCGGTGATGTGGTGGCTTGATTAAAGTGGCTGCGCTGGAAGAGGAGAAGGGGACATGTTAGTAGCATGTTTTGGAAGGAGGGTCCATGGGGTTTGTTCACGGATTAAATGTGGAGAGTGAGGGCAAGAGAATAATTGAGGATAATGCTTCCAACTGAGGACCCTGTCGTTCTACTCTGCATTCCATAAGCGTGTGATAACCCAAGCCTGAGTCTCCAGTGAGGACATGCAGCAGCTTTCACCCACCTCTCATGCTGAGGGGATGCCAGGAGGACCCTGTCTGCCAAGATTGGGGCTTATTCTATGGGAAACTTATTCTGATGGCCCAACATGATTCAGTGCTTTAAAGGAAGCTCTCCTCAGGTGGCCACAAAATTCTCTTAAGGCACAAAGACGGTCAAACCTTTTCTGAGAGTTGTTTCATTCATGAGAGGCATAGAACTTTGTGTATCAAATATCTCCCAGCTTCTTGCTCTTTCTATTGTCTGATATTTATTCTATTTTTCTATATAGTGGGAAAAAATATTTGCAATATGTATAATTAATGAAGAGCTCCTATCTAGAACATATAAAAGCTTCTTTCTACACACACACACACACACACACACACACACACCCCTCATTAATAAAAAGTCAACACAATAAAAATGGGCAAGACAAAAAAATAGCCATTGCATAAGACATCCAGTAAGTATATCTAATATCTAAACATCCAATACATATATAAAATGTGCTTGACCTCATTAGTAATCAGGGAATACAATAAAGCTTCAATCATACAACCACAAAAAAACAAGAACAACTGATTTTACCAAGGATTGAGAAGGGCATAAGATCAACCAGTACTCTCATATGTTGCTAGTGGGTGTGTAAATCGGTACAACCATTTTGGAATACTGTTTGCTATTATCTATTACAGTTGAATTTAGCATACCCTGTGACCTAACAATTCCACTTCTATTTCTATATCCAACAGAAATGTGTCATATGTGAACCAAAACACATGTAAAAATTGTTGACAATAGCACCATTTGTAAAAGACTAAAACTGGAAACCACCAAATGATCAGCAACAGAGAATAAAAAATTATGGCTTATTTCTACAATGGATTGCTATGCTGCAGTAAGAATGAATGAACAGCAGCTACACACAACCGGTATGGATGAATCTCATGAACACAATGTGAAGGGAAAGAAGGCAGAAACATACTTATCACACCCTCCATTTATATAAAACTCAGAGACAAAACAAATTTATGGTGTTAGGAGTCAGGTTCCTTTGGGGAAGAGAGAGGGAGTAGTACCTGAATGGAGGGGGCATGGAGGGGGCTTCGGGCATGCTGGTAAGATTTTTGTTTTGTTTTTAATCTGAGTGATATAGGTGGTAGTTACTTTTTGATGTTACATCGAGCTGTACACTTATGATCTGTTCATGTTTCTGTATGTATTTTATACTTCAATAAAACATTAGTGATTTGTGAATACTCAAGATTCTTTTTAAGTCATCATTGATTGTTTGGATCTTCTGTTTCCCTGAGATCAGTTTTTCAAGAGCTTGTTTTGATCTCTTTATTTTATTTTGCTATTGCATTTCACTTGTCCATCAATTCCATCCATTTCCACTTAAGTTTGAGGGCATGAGGGGCTGTGTAGAAAAGACGTCTGGCAGTTCCATGAATTGAGAGGTTTGTTCACTTTAGATAGAAAGGGTGTGGACCCTGGATGTC
Organism: Homo sapiens; assembly: GCF_000001405.40. Taxonomy (NCBI): domain Eukaryota; kingdom Metazoa; phylum Chordata; class Mammalia; order Primates; family Hominidae; genus Homo; species Homo sapiens. The sequence goes on along the minus strand of NC_000006.12, from coordinate 105,863,993 downwards.
CCCCAAATACCAGAAAGAGGGGGACTTCACATTGGCTTCCCTAGTTCTCCTCAGAGAGTTTAATTCCTTTAGTGAAGAACCCTATATTTTGGAGGAGAGGACCTAGAGATAATGTGTGGCTCTCTGTCTGTCTGGGGACAAGGGTAGGGACTGGGATATATGGTGAAGTGGCTAACTCTTCCAGATTAAAACTTTTGAGCTATTTTCCTCATTCCCGCCCTCTGACGTGTTTTCGCACCTGGGACACCCTAACTCCTTTTCCACTACAACTTCCTCCCCATGAATTCTATCTAGTTTGAGGTTCCTCTCACTCTGTTTTAATTATCAGAACTTCTTCCTCCCTATTTCAGAAACTTTTTGAAATCTCTTGTGTTCTGATAGTTCCCCTCCTGTTAGTTCTCTGTGATAGTACGGGTTTATACGTTTTCATTTTGCTTTATGTTTTATTGCATTGGGGAGGAAAGAGAGGCATGTTCTCATTTGGTCTTTTTGATCAAGGAAATTCATTATTTTGTTACTCAATATATTCACACTTAAACATTCTTTCCTGCCTTGTGTGCTAGTGTATGCTACATCCCCCATGAGGAATCAAGAGCATTTTACTACCTCTCACTTCCCTTTCCTGCTTCAACTTCTGATTTCTATCATTTCTGAATTGTTAAGGTTTATGTCATTTACATTTTTTCCTTTAATAAAATTAAGCTCTTTTGTTATTGCTCTAAAGACACTTTTTAAAAATTAAGACCCTCAAAACAGAAAGAACTAAGTCATTTGATTGGGCCCATTTTGAAGGAAAAGCAACCCTGTGTTAAAAATCTTTTTGCAGAGAATAGATAGTTTCAAAGGTCAAGGTCCGGTGGATCCTCATTTAGTTATTTTCAGCTTCTTTTACTTCTTCTGGGTCGTAATCAGACGCCACTGCTTTTTGATTCTCATCACATTCTCTTTAAAACTCTTTTTTGGGATTTCTCTTTTACTTCCATGAATAATATATTCTTATTGAATTCTTGGATGATAATATTTCTGAGTTCTTGCATGTTTAAAAATGCCTTTTGTTGACCCTTGATTGGTAATTTGGCAGAGCAGAGACATTTTGATTCAAATAATTTTCTCTTAAGAAATAGATGGCTTGTTTCTTCTTCTTCTAGCATTTATTGTGGTGATGAGAAGTCTGGTGTCAGTTAGATTCTTATTCTTTGTAGGTAATACGTTTAGTTTCTTTGGAAACCACTAGAATTTTGAAACTTTCCAGTATGTGTCTAGATGTGGATCTTTTTTTTTTTTTTCATTAATTTCTTCCCATACTTGGAGGGCCCTTTCATTCTTAGGACTTGTGATTTTTTTCTTAGCCTGGTGAAAGTATATTTTACTATTTCTTTTGATTATTTATTACTTATAGAATCTCTCTTACACTGGAAAGGAACAATCTGGATCTATCTTCCCATCTTTTTGCTCATATTTACATCTCTGCATTTTTACTCTATATCCTGGGATAGTATCTGAACTTAAATATCTAGATCACCAACTTGGTCTTTTGCTCCATTTAATTTACTATTTAGTCTGTACATATTTTATGTTGTCAATCATGTTTTTTCTTTTGTATGACTTTGTCATGGTCTCTGCTCCTTTTATAGTAGCCTGTTCTTCTTCCTTGCAGTGGAGATGGCATCATTAAATGTCTTCGAGACTATCAAATCACCATTTTGACCTTTCCTTGAGCTGTCTCTGTTTCTTCTAAAGTCAGTTTTTCTGTTTATTTATCCTAGTCCTTCTGTTTCTGTTACTCATTTTTTACAAATATTTGGTAATTTATGTTTGCCAATTCATATTCATGAATGAATTTATCATTGATTTGCATAGCTATGTAGTTGGTTAGGGTTTTTTTCTGTATTTATCATTTATTGCAATTTTGAATGGAAAAAGCTTTCCTGTTACACTTTCTTAATGGTAATTGCTTAAAGTATAGAATCTTGGCAATTTTTTGATAGTTCTCTTATATCCAGATAATTTTCTCAACTATGTTATTACATCTACTACTTTTCCCATTGATTTTCTTAATAAATTATCATTCTTCAATTCATAACTTTTTTCTTTCTGGCTATTTTACCTTTTATTCCTGTTTCACATCTCATTGTTTTGATATTTAAGTGCCTGTGTCCAAGATTCTGCATTATATGTGATAGACTTAAGCAATAATATGGAATAATAAATTATAACAATAATTTTATATATAGGTCACTGTAATGTTAGTCTTGTTATAAAATATCTGACAACAACAAAATGTGTCAATTGTTTTTCAGGCAGAGTAAATATTAAAGATTCAGATTTATTAACTCTCCATTGAATTTTGGTTTTCTGAATAGGGTTGATGTAGAAATGCGGTCACAAAAGTGTTTTGTTTGTTTTTTAAATGGCTACCTCCAGGAAACTTCCTCTTGAAATTTAGGAATATTCCAAGATGGGAATCTGGAAAGAACCCTTTTGTGTGTGTGTGTGTGTGTGTGTGTGTGTGTGTGTGTGTGTGTGTGTGAATTTTTTTTTCTTCTTTTTTTTAAAATTATACTTTAAGTTCTGGGATACATGTGCGGAACGTGCAGGTTTGTTACATAGGTATACACGTGCCATGGTGGTTTGCTGTGCCCATCAACCCATAATCTACATTGGGCATTTCTCCTAATGCTATCCCTCCCCAATCCCCCACCCCCCAACAAGCCACAGTGTGTGATGTTCCCTTCCCTGTGTCCATGTGTTCTCATTGTTGAACTCCCACTTATGAATGAGAATATGCAGTGTTTGATTTTCTGTTCTTGTGTTAGTTTGCTGAGAATGATGGTTTCTAGCTTCATCCATGTCCCTGCAATGGACATAAACTCATCCTTTTTTATGGCTGCATAGTATTCCATGGTATATATGTGCCACATTTTCTTTATCCAGTCTATCATTGATGGGCATCTGGTTTGGTTCCAAGTCTTTGCTATTGTGAATAGTGCTGCACTAAACACATGTGTTCATGTGTCTTTATAGTAGAATGATTTATAATCCTTTGGGTATATACCCAGTAATGGGATTGCTGGATCAAATCATATTTCTGGTTCTAGATCCTGGAAAGGACCTTTTCTACCTTTTGAAGTTAGTCAGTCATTTTCTCTTGTAGCTACTCATCATCTTCTCAAAATGCAGAATAGGTACACGTGCTCCGTAATCACTGTAGAGTAATTTGACTGTATTAAGTCTTCACCAAAGTTTTTGGATGGAGTTGCAATCCTGCTCTACCAAATAATTATAGCAAAACAAAAACAAACAAATAATAAATCCCAGAAACAATCAGACAGGCCCAGATTTTATGAGGCAGAATCTGATATTTTACTTTATGAATAGGTAACCTGTTTAATTATGCATACTTAAGATCTAGGCCATGCTTTTTTTGGTTCCAAACCACTGTGAAAAATATCTACTGCTTTTTTTATAAGATGACTTCTTTGTATAAATTGTCTTACTACTTCTCACTACATATATTACTATGAAATATGGAACAGATATACTTCTTATTTGGCAGATGTAAAACCACAAAAAAATAGTCAGTCACAGTTCAAGGATTAGAATTGGTTTCTCATTTTTCCTAGTCCTGACATGAACAATAAAAAACATATAATTGGATTTTCTTTTTCACTTTGGCTACCAAAGATTTTATGGAGAAATGTGGAGTTCAATTTGCATATTTGTGAGGTCCTTAGCCTGCATATATGCATTCTAACTTTCCCGAGGCCTCAACTTTCTATCGTAATGTACAGCATATTACATGTGCCTCTGAATTTCTAACGTCATTTATATTTTTACATTTTGTTTTTTAATTGCTTTCAAGCCACTTTAAGTCCTTTTGGTGTTACCAAAGGAAAGAGGTAAGAGAAAAGGTAGGAAGGGGAAAAAAAAGAAAGAGAAGGGAAAGGAATGGAAAAGAGTTGGGGAAACAGTTCATATGAAGATTTTACTTTAAAGGAGGCTTTTCCATTTTCTGGAAAAGACTTGGCTGTAGCCTAATGCTGACTTAGAGCAGTCTTTCTTCTTCTCCTCGTTCTCTCTCTTCTCTTCCCTCCTCTTTCTTTTCCTCTTCCAACCATATCCTGATACTTGCCCCCAGAGAGAGGTAGGCAGTCCCAATTAGTTCATAGTAAGTTATTTCAGTAAGTGCCACTGACAGTTATTGCCATTATCTTATCAGCTCCATTTTCTTTGATAGGAGAGGAATCACTCATAGGCCCAAAGGCCAGCATATTGTTCACACAACTGTCTGTACAATTTGAATGATTAAGAGAGCCCTTGGGTGGAGGATAGGAGGAAGGAAACTTGCTGTGTCAGGCATTCTCAGTTCTACTATTGATGGGAAAGTTTCTCTACTTTTCTTTTTTTCTTTTTTTTTTTGGTCTGGGTCTGTAATTTCTCATCTGTCCGCATACCCCAGCTCAGGTCCACACACATCTGTGTCACCTAGTTTAGTCTGCCCTGTGTCTATCCCACAGATACTAGCCTAAGTTAGTGTCCTTGTTACTCCTACATTTGTTACTCTGCAGGCAAACAGGATTTTCAAACTTGCCCATGAAACATATCACTTTCTTGCTTGTGTATTAACCCAGCTCTTTTTTTTTTATTACTAAAAGAATTGCCTACAAAGTGATCCACTTACTCAATAGCTCAGCAAGTGAAAGATAAATGGCTTTAAAATGTGATGTTCACTGGCCATCAGAGAAATGCAAATGAAAACCACAATGAGATACCATCTCATGCCAGTTAGAATGGTGATCATTAAAAAGTCAGGAAACAACAGGTGCTGGAGAGGATGTGGAGAAATAGGAACACTTTTACACTGTTGGTGGGACTGTAAACTAGTTCAACCATTGTGGAAGACAGTGTGGTGATTCCTCAAGGATCTAGAACGAGAAATACCATTTAACCCAGCCATCCCATTACTGGGTATATACCCAAAGGATTATAAATCATGCTGCTATAAAGACACATGCACACATATGTTTATTGCGGCTTTATTCACAATAGCGAAGACTTGGAACCAACCCAAATGTCCATCAATGATAGACTGGATTAAGAAAATGTGGCACATATACACCATGGAATACTATGCAGCCATAAAAAAGGATGAGTTTATGTCCTTTGTAGGGACATGGATGAAGATGGAACCCATCATTCTCAGCAAACTATCACAAGGACAGAAAACCAAACACCGTATGTTCTCACTCATAGGTGGGAATTGAACAATGAGAACACTTGGACACAGGAAGGGGAACATCACACACCAGGGCCTGTCATGGGGTAGGGGGAGTGGGGAGGGATAGCATTAGGAGATATACTAAATGTAAATGACTAGTTAATGGGTGCAGCACACCAGCATGGCACATGTATACATATGTAACGAACCTGCATGTTGTGCACATGTACCCTAGAACTTAAAGTATATGAAAAAAAAGATTTAAAGAAATGTGATGTTAACGAAGGGTCCAGTCATATTATAATTTGCCTGTTATATATATAACCAATTCTTTGTTTTTTTTGGCTGAAGTTTTCAACGACACTAAATTTATCTGTAATAAATCTGTTTCTATAATTGCCTTTGAATATTTTATTCAAAGAGAAAAGTAGCACCTTTTGCCATTGCATTTGTGTGAGCCACAGCTTATTGTTTGCAGGGGAGGCTTAAAGGCAGGGTGGCCCATGAGGAATGGGAGACAACCTTTCCTCTCCAGCCCTTGCCCTGCCTAATTGATCGTAGCTGCAATATTTGATCCAAGGAAACTCCTCCTCCCTGCATAACTATCAGAAGAGATTAACATTGTTATCTTAAGTCCAAGGGCAGATAGGACTGGAGTTGCTGTGAACTCCTGGTCTCTATACTCTTGAATGGGACATCACCCTGCAGATTTTCTACCCTGTCTTGCTGACCTTGGTACATGGACACTAGCAGTGACATCTGGAACACCAAGCCAGGTTTCTGGAAACATCTCAGCTAAAGCCTGCAGATGTGCAGGACTATGTGCTGTGTGCAGTGGCTGGAGTGACTGATGGTGCCAGAACCTGCAAAGAGGTTGGTCCTGTGAGGATGTCACCCAGTGCAGCTGGCCAACCTGGAAAGGAAAACAGATGGAAATAGGCTCTCATACCACTGTCTTTCTTTGATTTTGTGCTTGTTGTTGTTGAGAGGGGCAGACCTCCTGCCAGTCAAGTCACAGAGGTCCGAGGGTGTTTCTGAGGGAGTGCCCAGTGTGCCTCTGGTACCTTGATTCAGCACAATGGCTGTTTCTGATTTCTGGATGCGGCTCTTCACCGTCTGTTTCAGGCTGCAGCTGTGGCTGGTTTATTTTGTGATAGGAGTTATTACTATTGTTGGTTTTTCATTACATAATCCTTTACTTATATTCACAAAAACTTAATACCACGATGTTGTGCTTTTGAATAGGATGCAGATTTTGGGTTGAGGGTGTTCAAGAGATGCATGGAAACCTCTGGGTTCCCTGGAGAGGGAAGTTCAGAGTTGGGAGAAGAGACCAGCAATAATTCTGTTTTACCTTCAAGGAGGGGCATATCCGTGTGCATGGATGGAGTCAAGCTTCACCATAATCCTCTTTAAAGATAAGTGATGTTGAGAACTTGAAGAAATCTGGAAAATATAAGCTAGTGAAATTCAGAATGTATTTGATAGTACTCATACACACAGAGGGAGCTGTACTGTATGAAGAATAATCTGCAATCTGCTTTTATACTTTCTTTTTTTTTTTCTTGAGATGGAATCTCACTCTGTTGCCCAGGCTGGAGTGCAGTGGCATGATCTCGGCTTACTGCAACCTCCGCCTCCCGTGTTCAAGTGATTCCCTTGCCTCAGCCTTCCAAGTAGCTGGGATTACAGGCACCTGCCACCACACTCAGCTAATTTTTGTATTTTAAGTAGATATGGGATTTCACTGTGTTGGCTAGGCTGGTCTCAAACTCTTGACCTCGTGATCTGCCCGCCTCAGCCTCTCAAAGTGCTGGGATTACAAGCATGAGCCACCATGCCCGGCCTTACACTTTCTTTGCCTCTGCCTTTCCTTGGGCCTGCGAGCACTCTGGAAATGATTGTTCAGCAAACTTTCTAGTAGTAAACTAATGTTTCTTTAGGAAATGCTGCTAACATGGTATAACATATTTCATCAGTATATCATTGATTTGGAGGAGGCTCAAAGAGCTTTTCTTGCATCCCTGGGACAATGTAAGAAAGTCAAGCTTCCTGCTTCCACTTTGCTCTCACTTTTGTCAAATGTCTTGCTATACTCTGTGATTATTGAAGGCCCTGGAAGGCAGTTGGGTCCTGCTTCTAATTGCTAACTCTCTAAGACACGTGTGGAAGTCTGACAGGATAAGGGCATTACACCCACATGAGAGAAGACAGTCAAATATTTACATCATTTGCAGTGAGTTTCTGTTAGGAGCAGGGAGCAAGAGTCAATACAAAATTTGAGCTCTCTATTGGGAAGCCTCATTTTAGGATTTCTTTTTCTGGGTGAGATGATATTTGTATGCTGCACCTGTAGTCAGGTATGCTCTAGGCACAGAGTGTATAAGGACGAGGTCAAATTTGGGGTCAAGTTTGGAAGGTCTTGCCAACCTGGTTGATTGTTTAAATGGTAAGCAGACGTAGGTTGCGGGTGAGGTTGCAGGTGAGGTCTGGTGGACGGTCCTAATGCATAAAAAACTTGAAGGTGGTCGGAGGGACTATGGGAGCTTTCCTTCCCCAGGGCCGCTGTGTGTGAGCCGACCCTGGTCACCAGCCACTTTGCATCTACTGCTAGTTTGCTTTTTAACTGAATCATCCATTCTTTTCCACATCATCTCCTTATAGACAAAATGTCCACATGTTGGGAAGAAACTGGCTCACATTTCAACTAAATAAAAAGACCTTTTGACATTGGCCAGGCATGGTGGCTCACGCCTGTAATCCCAGCACTTTGGGAGGCCGAGGCGGGTGGATCATGAGGTCAAGAGATGGAGACCATCCTGGTTAACATGGTGAAACCCTGTCTCTACTAAAAATACAAAAAATTAGCCAGGCATGGTGGCCAGCACCTGTAGTCCCAGATACTCGGGAGGCTGAGGCAGGAGAATGGCGTGAACCTGGGAGGCGGAGGTTGCAGTGAGCCAAGATCGCGCCATTGCACTCCAACCTGGTGACAGAGAGAGACTCCGTTTCAAAAAAAAAAAGAAAAAACAAACAAATGAAAAAAAACAACTTTTGACATCTAATAATAGTTCCCATAGTACCAACTGCATCCAAGGCACTGGGCTAGGAACTTTGCATATATTATCTCTGCAATGCCAGAACATGTTTCACGAATGATAAGGCAAAGGCTCAGATATGTCATAAAATGTGGCCACTGTCACAAGCTAAGGAATCCAAGTGACAGACTCGCAATCCAGGTCTGAATGCAAAGCCTGCCACCCTCCAGCTCCTACACCATTCTGTGCCCCCTGCAGCCTCATGCCATGGGTATACCAGCTGAACTAGTGAGCTCACGCTTCTTTTCCAATATTTTGTATGAAAACGAGAAGACTCAGTAATATCCTAATGTGGGCTAAAAGAAAAAAAGGAGTGGCTGGGCACGGTGGCTCACGCCTGTAATTCCAGCACTTTGGGAGGCCAAGGCTGGTGGATCACGAGCTCAGGAGATCGAGACCATCCATCCCGGCTAACACGGTGAAACCCTGTCTCTACTAAAAATACAAAAAGTTAGCCGGGTGTGGCAGTGTGCGCCTGTAGTCCCAGCTGCTGGGGAGGCTGAGGCAGAAGAATGGTGTGAACCTGGGAGGCGGAGCTTGCAGTGAGCTGAGATCGTGCCACTGCACTCCAGCCTGGGTGACAGAGCGAGACTCCGTTTCAAAAAAAAAAAAAAAAAAAAAAAAGGAAAAGAAACAAAGGAGCAAATAAAAAACCTTGCTAAGTCAGCCAACTGTTTGGATTTTAGGCTAAAGATAATAGGTTTGCTTCCCTCAAGAAATAGGGTTTGGCTCTCCCTCTCCCTCTCCCCCTCCCCCTCCCCCTCTCCCCACGGCCCACGGTCTCCCTCTCCCTCTCTTTCCATGGTCTCCCTCTGATGCCGAGCCGAAGCTGGACTGTACTGCTGCCATCTCGGCTCACTGCAACCTCCCTGCCTGATTCTCCTGCCTCAGCCTGCCGAGTGCCTGTAGCGCGCCACCACGCCTGACTGGTTTTCTTACTTTTTTGGTGGAGACGGGGTTTCGCTGTGTTGGCCGGGCTGGTCTCCAGCTCCTAACCGCGAGTGATCCGCCAGCCTCGGCCTCCCGAGGTGCCGGGATTGCAGACGGAGTCTGGTTCACTCAGTGCTCAATGGTGCCCAGGCTGGAGTGCAGTGGCGTGATCTCGGCTCGCTACAACCTCCACCTCCCAGCCGCCTGCCTTGGCCTCCCAAAGTGCCGAGATTGCAGCCTCTGCCCGGCCGCCACCCCGTCTGGGAAGTGAGGAGCGTCTCTGCCTGGCCGCCCATCGTCTGGGACGTGAGGAGCCCCTCTGCCTGGCTGCCCAGTCTGGAAAGTGAGGAGCGCCTCTTCCCGGCCGCCATCCCGTCTAGGAAGTGAGGAGCGCCTCTTCCCGGCCGCCATCCCATCTAGGAAGTGAGGAGCGCCTCTTCCCGGCCACCTTCCCATCTAGGAAGTGAGGAGCGTCTCTGCCCCGCCGCCCATCGCCTGAGATGTGGGGAGCGCCTCTGCCCCGCCGCCCCGTCTGGGATGTGAGAGCGCCCGGCCGGGACCCCGTCTGGGAGGTGAGGAGCATCTCTGCCCGGCCGCCCCATCTGAGAAGTGAGGAGCCTCTACGCCCTGCAGCCACCCCGTCTGGGAAGTGAGGAGCATCTCCGCCCGGCAGCCACCCCGTCTGGGAGGGAGGTGGGGGGGTCAGCCCCCCGCCCGGCCAGCCGCCCCGTCCGGGAGGTGAGGGGCGCCTCTGCCCGGCCGCCCCTACTGGGAAGTGAGGAGCCCCTCTGCCCAGCCAGCCGCCCCGTCGGGGAGGGAGGTGGGGGTGTCAGCCCCCCGCCCGGCCAGCCGCCCCGTCCGGGAGGGAGGTGGGGGGGGGTCAGCCCCCCGCCCGGCCAGCCGCCCCATCCGGGAGGTGAGGGGCGCCTCTGCCCGGCCGTCCCTACTGGGAAGTGAGGAGCCCCTCTGCCCGGCCAGCCGCCCCGTCGGGGAGGGAGATGGGGGGGGGGTTAGCCCCCCGCCCGGCCAGCCGCCCCGTCCGGGAGGTGAGGGGCGCCTCTGCCCAGCCGCCCCTACTGGGAAGTGAGGAGCCCCTCTGCCCGGCCACCACCCCGTCTGGGAGGTGTACCCAACAGCTCATTGAGAACGGGCAGGGATGACAATGGCGGTTTTGTGGAATAGAAAGGGGGGAAAGGTGGGGAAAAGATTGGGAAATCGGATGGTTGCCGCGTCTGTGTAGAAAGAAGTAGACATGGGAGACTTTTCATTCTGTTCTGTACCAAGAAAAATTCTTCTGCCTTGGGATCCTGTTGATCGGTGACCTTACCCCCAACCCTGTGCTCTCTGAAACATGTGCTGTGTCCACTCAGGGTAAATGGATTAAGGGCGGTGCAAGATGTGCTTTGTTAAACAGATGCTTGAAGGCAGCATGCTCGTTAAGAATCATCACCACTCCCTAATCTCAAGTACCCAGGGACACAAACCCTGCGGAAGGCCGCAGGGTCCTCTGCCTAGGAAAACCAGAGACCTTTGTTCACTTGTTTATCTGCTGACCTTCCCTCCACTATTGTCCTATGACCCTGCCAACTCCCCCTCTGCGAGAAACACCCAAGAATGATCAATTAAAAATAAATAAATAAATAAAATAAAATAAAATAAAATAAAAAATAAATAAATATTTAAAAGGTCAAAAAAAAAAAAAAAAAAAACCTCAATCCATGCCCAGACTTCCTGCCTGGGCCTAACAAAGAAGCCTTCTCCTGCAGACCCCAGGACAGCTAAGCCACTGAGCTGGTTCTTAGCACCAATCTTCTAGATCAGTTCAACTCAAATTCCTTGCCAGGCTTGTAAGATAAATAAGGAAGCAACTGAGTGGGGACCATGGGGACCTGTCTTAAGGGGCAGCAGCTACTGCTACTGAACCCCAACCACCACGACTATGTGGGAATATGACCCAGTGTGGCCAAATTTTCCAGTTTTTGTAAGGGAATCCCAAAATCCAGACTTTTATTTTCTAAATATTGACTCAAATTTGTAAAAAGCTCTATGTAGCCCCAACTAAACATGTCTGTGGGCTAGATTAGCCCTTTGGCCAGCTGGCCACCAGTTGACCATTTCTGTAGACAAGAGTCTCAGAAAGGCAACCACAGCCTCAACTGTTACAGGATTATTTTCTACCTAAAGAGGCATGTGCATAAATGGCAGGATGCCCAGCACACCTCATTTTACTGTGTTTCACTTTATTGTACTTCGCAAATATTGCATTTTTTAACAAATGGAAGGTTTCTGGCAACCCTGTGTCAAGCAAATCTATCAGTGCCATTTGTCCAACAGCATGCGCTCACTTCCTGTCTCTGGGTCACATTTTGGTAATTTTTGCGACATTTCAGTTTCTCATTATTATTATATCTGTTATGGTGATCTGTGATCAGTGATCTTTGATATTACTATTCTAATTGTTTTGGGGAGCCACAAACTGTGCCCATATAAGATGGAAAACTTCCAATAAATGCTGTGTGTGTTCTGACTGCTCATCAAAAAAAAAAAAAAAAAAAAAAAAAAAAAGAAATAGGGTTTGGGGAAGAAGGGGTACAGAGCATAGAGAGGGTACTTAGATTACTATTGATGATGTGGATTTATCTATTAGACTGTAGTGCACCCTATGGGGTGATAGTAACAAGGTGCACTTTTTAATGTCTGAATTGAATGGACATCCGGGCAGGCAGGGATATTCAGACCCACTGGCTGACATAGCTAGACACTCGTAGGACACACAGAAAACAAAGGGGAAGCATTAAATTAATACAGGATGCAGACGTGACCCACTTGTATCTGGTACAGATCAAAAGTCAGTATGTCTGCTGGGTGATGGGCTGGAATAAAGGGGGCAGCTGGGGAAGGCCGTGGAGAAAGTGGACACATGTTGCTGGAACACAGTGGGAATTCTTATGGCCACCACCCCATTCCGGGCTGCTGCCCAGTAAATATGTAGACTAGTCAATAGGGAAAGTGACCTGCCAAGTATCATGGCCAGACTCCTGGATTCTTAGTGGATTTGCCTTGGTTAGTGGCATTTCCCATCATCAGGTTTATTTCCTTGATATGAAATATGACATTCACATTTTTTCCTGAAGTTTATTGTGGAGAATTAATTTCTAATCAAGTTCCTGGTGCACAGTCCCACGACTCGGGACCCCATCTGCGTTGCTTTGGGGGCAGCCTCCAAAGCATCTCTTGGATGCCTCTTTTGTCAGCATCTCCTCTTCCCCTCTCAGAGTTGCAGGCAGATGTGGCCGGCAGAGAGAGGTTAAGGAGCCAGCAACGAAAGACAGCTGGGGATCGTTAGCAACAATCAAGGCGCGGCATTAAGAGGCAGCAGGGGTGAGTGTCTGGGTTCTTACATTGGCCTGCCTGAGGAAGCCATCTGGACGGAGGAGATTCGCCTTAAACCTTGGCAAGAGAACTTTGTTCTGTTTGAACTTTCTTTAAAGCCCCAGAGTGGGTGAGCATTTTGTTTAAACTTTCTTTAAAACAAAGAATAGGAGATCCCCTGCAATTAACAACAGGAACCTTCTTCCCCTTTTAACAGATTTGATAGGAAAAACCACAAGGACTGTTCTGATATCCATTAGCACGGTTCAGTTAGCAGGCTGAAAAGAAAGATACAAAGGAGTGGAAGTTTGCAGTCTTGGGAGCACCTAGGTCATATAAGAAAGGTCTCATCGCAGTGCGCTCCATCCTTAGTCGGACCTTCTCTCGTGTGGGGCCTATCCCCATTGATTGCTGAGGGCGATTAATTTTCAGCACAATTTCCTGTGTTCACTATTCGTCTTGGCATATGTATTCACACAGCACTCACAGATAATGGGATTTGCAACTCTGTCTTAAAGTGATTCAGTAGGGAAGTGCATCCTCTCAGCTGTGAATGCTCAGTGTTATGAATGCAGTGTTATGAATGTCTCAGTGTTATGAATGCAGCTACTTCTTCTAGCCCTATTTAATGCAGTTCTTCAAATATCAGACTTCAACTTAGTTCATAAAGGGATTTTATGAAGTCCAGCATTTTCTCTTTGAACCCAAAGGCTACCATTACTATTATCCAGAACACACATATTTATACACAGGAATGCGTCCACATGGAGTCCCCATAGGAAAGTTACCGGAGAAAAACCCCAATATCTGGCTGATGTGCCTGTGGCAGAAGCCTGTGCATCCATCTTGCACAAAATCAACTTCCTTTGGCACTTGGGCAAGCTCTTTCACATTATGGGCCCTACTTTCTGTCCTTGTCAGATGTCCAAGTTGGCAGCTTCCTGCTCTAATGCACTGTTGTTTTCCAGTTGTGAGTAGGATCTGATGCTAACCCTTGGGCCGTCATCCTGCAAGCAGTGCCCATTGCTACTCTCCCAGCTCATGCCCCCTCCCTGCCTAGAGCATTTTCTCCTTGCCTCTCCGGCCCCCTGCGGCCCTGCCCTTCCTCCTGGGCCACTTCTGCTCTGGGACAGCCATCAGGCCTCTGCCTAGCATCCCTCTGCCACAGTCCTGCATTTCCTCTGTGTTGCCATTGCTTGTTTCATTCCTTGCCTCTTTTATTAGCCACAAGTCTTACGGGGGCAGCGCCTTTGTCATGTCTCCTGTTGAGTCCTCCGTTGCCTAGTACAGGAGCTGCTGCACAGTGGTAGATAAGATTCAGTGACTCTTTTTTGAATGAAAGGACAAACTGAGAAATGAATGGATGAATAAAAAGAGTGAATGAATGTTCCCTCACTCATACACATTCCTAAGAGGCGAGTGCAGGGAATCCCAGAGGAGGGGATTACTGCCTCGCTGCAGGCCTGATGTATCTGCTAACCTTACACAGAACTTGAACGAACATTGAAAAATAGCCACCTGATCACTTCCTCACATGTTGAATGCAAAAGGGTGGGGGCTGTGTGGACAGAGGTGGAAGCTCTTTGGGTGTTCCTCAGCCAGTGTTGTGGGGATTGTAAACCAGAAGTGCCTTCTCTCCTCTAGCAGAAGAGGAGCTGTGAATGGGAGGGGTTTTCTGGAGGCCATGGAGGCCCACAGGTCGAAGACCCATATATTCCTGGCTGTGCTTTCCGGCCTAATGCACCTTCTCTATCTGTAGAGAAGAAGTTTGCGTTTTCCCTCGTGCCCTGTAAACACCTCCTACACATCAGGAGCTAGGTGAGTGCATACTGTTTCACCCGGTGGCACAGATGCCAAAATGTTTCATAAGGCTACATAGAGTTTGGGGCTCCTTGTTGCTTTTTCACTGGTCCCTAGTCCTGTCGCTAAACCTGATCTGCTTGATCCTTTAATCCCACCTCGATGCCCAGATTTATGATTAAGTAGACCCTAGTTATAAATCAAATCAGTTAAATATATAATTAGTCTCATCAGTCACTGAAGAAATATCTAAAACATGCATTGATCATTTCGTTTCATATGGGACTAAAACTTAATTTCAAATGTATGATTTTTTTAGTTAAGAACAACCAACCATAATTTGTCAACTAAAAAATAAGACAAGTATGAGCCTGTGTGTATGCTACATATTATAAACAAACATTTGTGAAAGATTCATATGCTCTGCTCAATAATTGGCATCAAGAAGTCTGTCCTAAGGAAATAGTCGAAAACACCAACAGAAACGTATGCATAAAGATGTCCAATACAGCATTGCTTATAAGAGCAGAAAACCTGAATACAGCCTAAACGTCCTACTTTAAAAGAATGGATAAGTAAATGATAGCACAACCGTCTGAAAAGGAATAAAGTTATTAAAAAGATCTTTAATGTTTTTAGCGATCATTAGTGCTGATAGTAGAAAATTAAGTGTAAAGAGCAGTATACAAAGGTATGTACATAGGAAGGTTTTAACCATTCCAGTCACATGCCTCAGTGAAGGAAAACATACCAAAATGTTAACAGTGATTGTCTGGGTGGTGGGATTATGGATGCGTAGTCGCCTTGTCACATTCTCCGAAATTTCTGCAATGGACCAGCATTATCTTAAAGCGACCACATTTATCATAGGGAAAAAATGATTATAAAACATCCTAAAAGATGTTGTGCCATCGAGCCAAATACAAGATCATCTCATTACTCTTTGTTAAGAGGAACAAATCATGACTCTTTTTCAAAGCTGCCAAAACCTTATTTGCCAAAAATTACAAATAAGGCTTTGTAAACATATAAAATAAAAAATCTGCTTTCCGAAGTAAAGGCAGTATTATCATACAGTTCTTGCAGGCAATTTCTGAGTGAACTGTGTTCTCTAAGCAAGCTTTTCTTTGGGATCAATAGTCAATACATTTCATCAGAGTGGAAGTAAGCAGGGTGGATGGCTAGTTAACAGGGTGTCTTGAAGAGAGGCTGCAGTCTTCATCAATGCAAGTTTACTTTGTAGTTTATATCACAGTCCCACAGGATGGGAATAAGGTGATTTGTGTCTAGATTTAGCTATTTGGGGGCATCAAGTGGTGCAGACTTTGGTCATTATGGCCCAATTTGGGATTGCTTTGTTCTCTTGCAAACATTACTTGTGTAGGCAATAGACAATTTTAAATGAGTGGTGGCCTCCTTGAGGATGGTGAAGCTGTATAATTAAAGGTCTAGGTCCAGGCACATTTAATTTGATGCAATATTCTTTTTTCCTCTGATGAGGCTAGGTCAAATGGAGGCTTCAGGTCGTGTATAGACATGACTGGTCTCTGCATCCCATTTCACTGGCATTTCAAAAGACCTGCCACAATAGGCATCTCTTTATACAGGGCAGAAGATTGCAGTATAGAAGAAAAAAGAGCTCCATTAGGGTTGGATCATGAAATCCCTGACTCTTCCTGTCTAGGTTGAATCCAGTTATATTTGCTCCTTTTAAAATTTCCTTCTTTGAATTTTGAAGCGGTACAGTTCTCTCACTAATCTCAATGGAAAGACCACATTTTAAGAGCAGTGAGTGTGGGATGAGAAGTCTGAGTTAAGAAAGAGAGATAGGAATAGAGGGAATAAAGGAAGGAAAAAAACCCCTTTTCTTTCTCTCTTTCTCTCTTTCTTTCCCTTTTTCTTCCTTTCTCTCTTTCTCCCTTTCTCTCTTCCTTCCTTCCTTCCTTTCTTTCTTCTCTTCTCTTCTCTTCTTTCTCTCTCTCTCTCTCTCTCTCTCTCTCCTCTCTCTCTCTCTCTCTCTCTCCTTTCTTTTCCTTGCTGTGGCACCCAGGCTGGAGTGCAGTGGCACAATCTCAGCTCACTACAACCTCCACCTCCCAGGTCCAGGTGATTCTTGTGCCTCAGCCTCCTGAGTAGCTGGGACTACTAGCACATGCCACGACACCCAGCTAATTTTTGTATTTTTAGTAGAGATGGGGTTTCACCATGGTGGCCAGGCTGGTCTCGAACTCCCGGCCTCAAGTGATCTGCCCGCCTTGGCCTCGCAAAGTGTTGGGATTACAGGTGTGAGCCACCGTGCCCAGCCAAAACCCTTGTTTTCTGCATAACCCTGAACTATACCCAGCAGCTCAGGAACATTCTGTATATCAACTAATACTAAGAGGAGATTATATTTACCAAGCCCTGTACTAGTGGTTTATGGCATTTACTCCATTGAATTCTTGCAGCCACCATTTGAACTATGTTTATTGTTTTAATCCCTTATTTATAGATGAGGAAAAAGAAGTGCAGAGTGGCTAAGATGGAGGTTGATTTCCCCCCAGGCCAGGATATCAAATTATGGACCATACACAAAGAATTAGGCATTTCTAGGAATCACTTGAGGACCAGCATATTGTACATTTAATCATAAGCACTGCAAATCCCAAACTGCCTCTTCATTTCCCTGTGTACAAATGGGATTAGAGCCTGCCCTGCTCCTCAAGGTGGCCAGGCCTTGGAGACTCCAATAGTTTAGACCGTCCTGATGAAATTAGGACCTGGAGCACTTCACCATCTTCACTTCATAATTGCTTAAGCCAGCCAGGCATGGCGGCTGACATCTGTAATCCACCACTTTGGGAGGCAGAGGCAGGTGGATTGCTTGAGCCCAGGAGTTCGAGACCAGCCTGAACAACACGGAGAAACTCCATCTCTACAAAACATTAAAAAATTAGCCAGGCGTGGTGGTGGATGCCTGTCATCCCAGCTGCTTGGGAGGCTGAGACAGGAGGATTGCTAGATTCCAGGTGGTCGAGGCTGCATGAGTCAAGACTGTGCCACTGCACTCCATTCTGGGCGACAGAGTGAAACCAGATCTCAAAAAAAAAAAAAAAAAAATTGCTTAAGCCAAGCTAAGGAATAAACAAGAAAGAATGGCTGCAGTTTTGCTGGGGTAGGGTAATTGCCTCCGGCATGTGTCTTTCCTCCATGTTCCTAAGACACAGTGGGAAAATCCAGATGGAAACTTCAATTATCACCAGCTGTTTCAGCACTGCCCCTGTTCTCTTGTCGTGGGCCACCCCTGAGACAGCAAGACCAACCCTTCCTCTTCCTCCTCCTCCTCAGCCTCCTCAAAGTGAAGATGAGGAGGATGAAGACGTTTATGATTATCTACTTCCACTTAATGAATAGTAAATATATTTTCTCATGATTTTCTATATAACATTTTATTTTTCTCTAGTTTACTTTATTGTAAGAACAGAGTGTATAATACATTTAACATATGAAGTATGTGGTAATTGATTGTTTATCTGTAAGGTTTCCAATCTGCAGTAGGCTATTAGTAGTTAAGTTTTGGAGAGTCAAAAACTATACAAGAATTTTCAACTGTGCAGGTGGGATGGAGTGGGGGGTTGGCATCTGTAACCTCTGCATTGTTCAAGGGTCAACTGTATGATAAAAAAAAAAAAAAGGACGTTTATCAAATTGAAGCTAGTAAATGTTGCCTGTAAAATGTCCTGAGAGTTACCCTTTCTTTGAAACTAAGAGGTGAGGAAAGCAATTGTTAGCTGTTAAGACCGCAGTAGCTCAAGCTGAGACTTTCTAGTTGGTACAATCAGAAGCACTGAGAGAGAATCGAATGGGGCATAACTTTCCGGCATTAAAGTCAGACACCAGCCCCAGCGGTACCTTTCTCACACTGGGGTATGTGTGACTGAGCAAAGGAGAGAGTCAGGGCTGTGTATCCCAGAGCCTCACCTGCCACATGAGCAAGCGGAAACTTCTCCCTGTGCATTGTGTGTTTTTCACGGGTTTTTTTTGAGACAGAATCTCACTCTCTCACCCAGGCTGGAGTGCAGTGGCGCGATCTCGGCTCACTGCAACCTCCACCTCCTGGGTTCAAGCGATTCTCCTGCCTCAGCCTCCCCAGTAGCTGGGATTACAGGTGTGCACCACCACACCTGGCTAATTTTTGTATTTTTTAGTAGAGATAGGGTTTCATCAGGTTGGCAAGGCTGGTCTTAAACTCCTGACTTCACGTGATCCACCCGCCTCAGCCTCCCAAAATGCTGGGATTACAGGTGTGAGCCATTGCGCCCAGCCTCCTCACAGTTTTTTCTTTCACTTTAGACTAAATTAGCCTTTGTGGAATATTCTGATATAAAACTTAGGAAAAACATCAAACTATATTTCACAAAAGATCGAAACTGTTTTTCCATGTCAGGCACATTTGGTTTGACTGATCCTAGTAAAAAAAAACAAAAAAAACATGAACAGCTTTAGTCATTGAAGAAAAGTTTAGATACAAAAAACAGTCTTTAAGTCAATATATTTAACTGAGTTCTTAATACAAGTTTAACATAAACTAATTAGAAAATGAAGCTCTGTGGTCTATTATTTTAAGAGACGGTAGTTCTAAGTTCTTGCCTACGTGTTTTCAATTCCTTTGGGAATTGAAAAATCAAGTTCATTTTTCAGCCATAGTGATGATAAGGCTATCATTACTCCCTAAGTAAAAACTTACACAAATATATATGAGCTTCATTCCAAACCGAACTTGCCCATTTTTTCCAGATTTAAAGTAGGATGCTGTGTTTGTTCCAAGAATTGCAGTTCATGACAAAAGAACAGCTTCTCTTCTCCAAAGTAGGAGAATTAACCAGTGCGCCTGCTCCCAACAAGATGCGGGAGGACGCAGCTGGGCCTGAATCCAACTTCACTTGCTGCCACTTTTAGTCTGTGAGGAAGTGTTATTTGAAGGATGATTGCTCATGTTGAGTTTCTCCTGCTGCTGGCTTTGAATGTTCCCAATCATTTCATTTCTTTTATCGATTCTTTTTTCTTCACGTTCATGCTGACTGTCCCATAGATTGTGAAATCAACAATCTGGCAGCCTCAGGGACCCTGTGGTGAGCTGAAGGCCTGCGCCCTGGGAAACATGGCTGGGTGTTTGGATAACAATGGAGAAAGGAGAGGGTCTTGGCCTAGATGCCAGGGGTTTGGCTGCTCCTCCTTGCTCCTAGGAAAGCTGATTACCTTCTTGGGGGTGGGCAGGGGCTCAGTTTTATCATCCCCAAAATGAGGGTTTGGGCCCCATGTAGATTTCTTTCTTCTATAGAGTCATATGAGTAAAATGTACTTTACCACACACTAAAATTCTGGCTGGTTTATTCCTATCTTTTGTGATGGAACTCTACTCCTCAGCCCCAATATTTTTATCATCCTTCACTAATTTTTAAATCTTATTGATATTTTTATTGTGCTTTTGTAGTTTTTTTTTTTCCTCTGGTCAATGACTCCCCTTCCACCTCTTTTCTCTTTTGCCACTTCTTTTTCCTGCTCTCTTTTCTTGTCCTCTTGGTGTCATTTCCTTTTTTATCTCCTCAGTAGAAATGTCCACCTCCCTTCTCGTCGTCTCCTACACTGCCCCCCACCACCAGACTACCATTAAGAATGCCCTAGTACGGCCGGGCACGGTGGCTCATGCCTATAATCCCAGCACTTTGGGAGGCCAAGGCAGGTGGATCACCTGAAGTCAGGAGTTCGAGACCAGCTTGGGCAACATGGTGAAACCCTGTCTCTACTAAAAATACAAAAATTAGCTGGGTGTGGCGGCACGTGCCTGTAATCCCAGCTGCTCGGGAGGCTGAGGCAGGAGAATGGCTTGAACCTGGGAGGCGGAGGTTGCAGTGAGCTGAGATTGCGCCACTGCACTCCAGCCTGGGTGACAGAGCAAGACTCCGTCAAGAAAAGAAAAAAAAAGTGCCCTGCTAAATTGAGGAGTGGGGAAGGATGGGGAGGTTGAGGAAGCTAAAACATCAACCACCTTGCACTTTGCTTGCCTGCATACTGGGTTCCCTGACAGCACTCGCTACGGAGGTAGCACCCTCCTCAATGGGATCTGCCCACATCCGCGTGTATGCCTGTTTTGAATTCCCTAGTTCCGGCTAAATCATGAGCACTCCCCCTCCTCTTTCCTGCACTCTTTTCTGCTACTGGGAAGCATGTCACTATTAATTATTATGTCTCAAGCAGAGAATCCTTGCATCTAGAGTGCTTCCTTCCCTACTTCTGCTTGCTAGAATGGTAGCTTGGTTCATCTTTCATCTCTGCCCCTGACCAAGTCATTCTTTTGCACTGCCCCTTGTATTCTTCTCTTCAAATTCTATCTCACTATGTTCCTCCAGACTGATTGCTACAATGGAAAGTTTCCCCCTTCCTATCCAAAAAGCCACATTCCATTTATCTTTCTACTTCCTCCTTACAATCTTCTGTAGTCTTGAACTGACCTTCTCAAGGAGTAAGGGTTGTAAACAGGACCATAAGTGTTCACCAGTGTTATTGGGTCTTCGGGTGGGCTAATCTTCCTTCCTGGGAAGGAAGCGGCTCCTGGCCGCTGACCGTGCAGTTGTTTCTCCGGGATGTAAACCTAACAGCTCTGGGGCGCCTGCCATCATGGATTCTGTTCCATGGGCTGACTGTTGGTGGTCTCCAGGAACCCAGACAGGACTTGGCTCACACCCATTCTTAGTCGCAGTGCTCTACTCATTGCAATCAGGTGATCTCTTGCAGAATGTGCATATACAAACTGCTGTATAGAGCAGGGTCTCCCATCTCATCGGGGGAAACCCTTGTCAGTCAAAACTTAAAAACATGTGCCTCCAGTGTATCTCTATTTATTTATGGATGAAATAGATGCATGTTCTACTGCATGGAAATATGAAACATTTTATAAATCATACATAACATATAATTTTTAGTGGTAGCATGAGCTAAGGCTGCCATAAAAATGTTTTAAGCATTTTTTTATTATTCAAATTATGATTCTTTTTTTATTATTATACTTTAAGTTTGAGGGTACATGTGCACAACGTGCAGGTTTGTTACATATGTATACATGTGCCATGTTGGTGTGCTGCACCCATTAACTCGTCATTTAGCATTAGGTATATCTCCTAATGCTATCCCTCCCCCCTCCCGCCACCCCACAACAGTCCCCGGTGTGTGATGTTCCCCTTCCTGTGTCCATGTGTTCTCATTGTTCAATTCCCACCTATGAGTGAGAACATGCGGTGTTTGGTTTTTTGTCCTTGCGATAGTTTGCTGAGAATGATGGTTTCCAGCTTCATCCATGTCCCTACAAAGGACATGAACTCATCATTTTTTATGGCTGCATAGTATTCCATGGTGTGTATGTGCCACATTTTCTTAATCCAGTCTATCATTGTTGAACATTTGGGTTGGTTCCAAGTCTTTCCTATTGTGAATAGTGCCGCAATAAACATACGTGTGCATGTGTCTTTATAGTAGCATGAGATAATTTTTAATTTATGTAGTTCAATAGTACAAAAGACCTTTTTGCTCTTGCTGAGATAAATACTGTGAATAATATTTATAATGAGAGCAGTGTGGTTTAATATGTCAGTTCTGATGAGGTCACCATGGTTTTTATCTCATAATGTGGATGAGGAGGAGAGTAGAAGTGTTGGCTTTGCCAGTTTCTTGTTGTTTGTTTATCCTTATAGTATTACTCTTCTTTTCAATCCAAAAATTTCTTCAAAGGAAATTTTTGGGCCATCTGATTGTTTTGAGAAGGCTAGTTTAGTTCAGACTAGATTGTATGAGCCGAAAGCCTACTTAACCAGGCACATGTGAGCTGCAATGCATTACAAGCCCCTAGTGCCACTGTCTACCAAGGGAACCCTACCACTGGGGACCCTTTGAGCCATCATTGAGGGCAGTACTCTCCTGACACATAGATAGGATGAAGAAACCAGTGTCTCTGAGGAGGCCAGTGTTAATTATATAGTAAATACTGGGAAAGCTTAACTTAGAAAAGTATTTTTTTTTAGACTAAAAAACTATAAATAGAGGTTTTATTGCTTTCTTTCCACACCCCAGTGGGTTATGTCGTGCACTTTGGAGACCACTGATCTTGTCACCGCTTCCTGACAAATTCTGAATCTAACACATTCTAGGACAACTTACTCCTTTTTCGCCACCCTTTCCATGGTGTCCCTGGTTACAGTTCTTAGGCATAGCTGTTCTCAAGAAAATATCAACAAGTTTTCTCAAGACTTCCCAAACTCTTCAGCCCTTCCCAACCCTCTTCCTCAGGAGCTCTCAAATCAAATGTAATTGCATGTGGTTAAATATTTTTTTCTCAGCTTAATTGACTTGACTTTAGAAGACGGATGGGTGGAGAGGAAGTGTTTAGCATGTGCCTGGTGCTTTATGGAGCCCATCTCATTCCATCCTCAACAGCCTGAATGAGGCAGATGTTGCATGAGGCCCTGAGGCTCAGAGATGTTCAGTAATTGGCCAAAGTCTTGGTCTCTTTGACAGCAAAATCTACTCATGTTGACTTCTACCAGGGATTTAGTGATGGGGAGAATCTGGCTGCGGCATCTCGCCAGTGGCTGACATGGAAGCATTAGTTTCTGACAAACCTCAGGTCAAGATTTTTTTTCCAGGGAAGCTTATCCATCCATCCATCCATCCAACCATCCGTCCATCCATCCATCCATCCATCCATCCAACAAAAATGTTTTACTGACCATGACCCAGGAATGGGGGTAGGCACTGGGGATGTAACCTTCAGGGAAACACCTAGGAAGTTAAGATGAAGAATGCTGGGGTGAGAGAGTGGGGGTACCTGTCTGGGTAGGGGGTTTTGAAGCCACAGGAAGAGCTGTAGAAGGAGGGAGATGAGGGTCAGGGAGTCAGAGCTTGAAACAGCAGGTTGTTGGGTCGTGGTGTGTGATTTAAGATGAAAGCTGTGGGTGATTTTGGGAAGTTGGAGATCCACCTGAACGTCCTGCTGGTTCCATGATACATGCATAGGTCAGGGCATCTAAGTTCTGGGCAACATCTGAAGCTGCTCTTTAGGCCCTATGAGTTTCCGCAGTTCCTCATAGCACCTCTCTTGAGCTGCAAATACAGAAAATGCTACTTCTGCGCTTGCCCTGTTGAATTGATTTATATTTGGTTAAAGGTTTTTGCCTTGTAAGGTACAGTTGCATCACTTATAGCTGATTAAGATGACACCCTTGAAAAGAAACATCACTTTATTTTATGATATCGGCTGCTTTCTGAAAAGCAGATCAATTTACACAGTATCTTTGCTAGAAAGCTAACCCAAGTAAATTTGAGGCCTGCCTGTCATAACATCTTCTTGGAGGCTCTCTGGGTCCTTTTATTCTTCCCTCTTCCTCAGATGTTCAGGAGGTTCACAAAGTTAGTCATCCAGATGTCTAAATCCAAGTTTTTGACAATAACTTGGAATTGTCTACAAGAATTGCTTTATAACATTGACATGGCAGAGAAGGGTTTCTGTCATGACAAACTCCATAAATACAGAGCCTCATCTGTCATATTTACCATTAGAACCCCTTGAGCCCAGAAGAGTGCCTGGTACATAGCAGGTGTCCAATAAATATTTGTTGAAAGAATTAATAAATGAGTTTTTAAAGATAGAGAATAATGAGTTATGTTTTATTTTGTCCACTGTGGATGGTGTCCATCAGTTTTTTTTCTTTAAAGAAAATGTTAAGCAGTTAAGGAACTGTTTTACCATTTTAAGTTGAAAAACTGTGTGTGTGTGATTTTGTGCTTAACTTGGTCTTGGTCACAGAAGATGAATCCTTGAAGGTGGATCTACAGCGCTGGCCACAGCTAAGATGCATTCCCATACTCTCAGACCAGATTTGGGCAAATCTCTTTTTTGTCTACTGCAAGTGTTGAATTATCTTCTTTGAAGTGTTAATGGGCAATATGCCAAATGTATTGTATGGGGGACATCTTTTTTATTCATTTATTTTAAAAATCTCTGTGTTTTTTAGGGAAATGCAAACCATAAGTTTCTGATTCATTTACACATAACTCATCAAAATGTGGTTTTGTGAGCACTCTTTGGTATGAAAGAAGCCTCATGATTCTTTTCACTACACTGTTCCAACCTTCTTCCTTCCTAGAAACAGGGAGTTATATTTGGCCAAAAATAGATGCATAAATAATTATGCAGCAAAATACTTAACCTGGATCCAAACTCCAACATTTGAGGAGGCTTTAAACTTGAAAAAATGTTGCCACAGCTCATTACCTTTTCTCTCATCAACTGTTGTTATAAAACCCCAAAGAGGACAAGGGAACAATGTGCTGGCTATGGCTTGGGAAGCTTTCTGGTTCTTTTGAGAGAGTTCTTGGAAAATCTTTTTAAATGAAGTGAATATATGTGGCTTCCAATGGATGGTTTTTAGCTACAGATAGGACAATCAAATATTAGTTTTTCCTCTTTGTACTTGAATATTACAATATTTTTCAAGTGGAGGTGGATAGTAATATGACATATATGTGCCGACTGCTTGCAAAGTTTTGGTATCTGAGGAAATGGACACAATATATATGTTCTTCTGGTTTTTTTCCCCCCCCCATTATTTGGGCAGAAGTTTTCAGTCCTCAAAATAAGTATGCAAGATTGCTAAGGCTATATATAAATCCCATGGCTACTATATATATGGAAGAAAATATTTTAAAATAATACTTATTTGCAGTTAATATACAAATTATATTTCTTCTCAGAGAATTTTTTAAAACTGTCTTTAAAAACAATTTATCTTTTTAAAAAAGATAATCACTATCAGAATATTTTGTCATCCCATTTTCTAAAACCAAAACAAAATAAACCAAAACAACTAATGTGAGAAACTGAGACACATCTAGAAATGAAATGTTCTGAGTTCCAAAGTTCTAATTTTACAATACACATGCTGATAAAAGTATCATATACCTTGTTAGGTTGCATATAAATATGTTTAGACCTCATATTAATTTTTGGACCTTGGTGAACACACATTTACCCCATTTTCTGTAACAAATTAGTCTAAATGCTGAGCTGGCAAGCAGCTGCCATGAGTTGCATGAGAAACATAACTCCAGAAATGAAAAAATGTTATTGGTTCCCTAAATACTGGAGGTCAGGACTTTGAGAAGACAGGAAACAAAGTCTTTGGCTTTGGGGTCTTGCCAGGAGGCCTCATCAGTTTCAGCTGTGGATAAAGGCCTCGTCTAACCCCAGGGTTTTTTTTCTGCCTCTATTTAAGTGATCATGGACAGATTTCTTCTAAGCAAATCACTGGAAAGGCATCAGAAGATGACATCAACTCTCTTCAAATGTCCCACCTCATGTCATTCAGAAGGCATTTTCTTCTTGATTACCTGTAGTTAACTGGTTTTCCCCAGCCTATCATCCATAGGATGGGTTTTCCCCACCCTATGATCCCCACCCTATAATCCAATAAGTGTCAGCTTTTCAGATTCGAGAAAAGACCCACGGGAAGATAAAAGAAGGCTACGTTTCCAAATCCACCACTGACTTCCATGACAGAAAGTGCATCCACTTTGTTCAAGAACTTTTCTTGAAAGGACAGTAAGATACGGACTGGCTGTACTCCACTCAAAGGGACAGACATAACAGATTCAAAGTATTCAGAACCTCAGTGTCTTTCTTAAAGAATGCCAATACTTGAAGCCGACTAGTGTTTTATGACTGATTCAGGCAGTTTTGAATATTGTCACATTTTACTCTAGTTCAGTGCTTCAAATGAGATTCATATTCTGCTTTTGTAGCAAAAGACAGGTCAAGCATCTCAATCAAGCATTATTGTATAGACTTTGCCAAGAATGGACATCTCCACCTGCATTCAGGAAAGAGCTTTTTCTGGCTACTTTTTCTACCATTTCCAGATGACAACAAAATATCCTTAATGCTGTGACATATTTACTACAACTCAACCATCCAGTCAAATTCATTGGTGGATAATTCCTAGAAAACTGAGGAAGTCATCAATTTTTATTTACCTTCCCTTGACTGGTAGCATTCCCGTCTTGGGTTCTTGATGCAGAGAAAGCTTGGATCAAAGTGAAATAAACATCTTCCTACAGATAGGACCATTTCAGAAATGCAGTGCCAGGCATTTGAAGATTTCAATAATTTTAAAAGATAATGAGTCTGTGGAAAATGGAAAATTATTAGCTGTTAGGTATAAATTAAGAAATTATAATGTCACAAAAGATGAGTTTTCAGAAGTGGAATTTCCTAAAATCATGAAATTTATTCCTCATCAGTCCTCTCTCTTTTTCCTACCCTGTCCTATAGCACCAAGTCACCAGAACTTAGAATGTGGAAAAAGAAGACTGTCTTTGGGGCAGAGTCGGTCTTGTTCACCTTTCTCCTATATGGAACAGTGGTGATTCATGCCTTCCTCTGCTGTCACACTGTCAGCATCCACTAATCATAGCCCCATGATCACAGGACTTGTGCACATAAACAGTTTCCAGGAGGTACAGAACAGCCCAGGGACCTCTCAGGCGTAAACACTAGTTATTCTGTAATTCATTCTACTCCCTTCTCTATCCTTTTGTCATGTGCTTGAAATAATAGCTTTCCTTAAAACGTTTGAACATGTCAGCGGACGTAGGCCCTTTTGCTGTCTTTGGTACATACATGTTTGTTTCACTATATCCCCTTTCTTCAAAATGATAATCTTTGGCTGTTCTGGTGAAGCTCTGTGGATTTGCGTCTTAAAGAATATCAAGAGGATTCAGTGATGGCGTTTCAGACACATGCTAGATCCTCTTGTCCTTCGCATTTATGTTTCGGAGGAACCGGGGCACTACAGTGAGGCCCTTTACTGCTATCGTTAAGCAGACTACATATATTTATGTCCTTTTTTTTTTTTTTTTTTTTTTACACTAGTAAGTTAGGTCATTTAACTCCCACTTCCTCTCAAACAGGTGTCTTCAGCAAACTAAGTTCCTCCAGTCAGCCTGCTTACTTGAGGCAGGAGTCAATAACTTCTAGTTACTCTGATATTAGTTTCTTTACTCAGCCAATATGTATTTATTGCATGTTTACTGTGCCACACATTGCAACAGGCATTGGAGATTCAACAGTGGATGCAACAGTAACTTGAATCTAGACTTCCATAGGAGTCTAGAATCAAGAGGAAACATTTATGATTTGAAACCACAGTCATCCAGTGTCTGTAGCTTCTCTTGTGTTGTTACAATAAGGACTGTAGATTTTATAGTCTTTTAATAATATTGAACTTGAAATATAGAAGAAAAATTATCTATACTCATATGTCTGAGCTATGTGTCCTCAGCGATTAGAAAATCGGAAGTTTGCCTGTCATCCGGGCACTTTGGGAGGCCAACGCGGGCAGATCACTTGAGGTCAGGAGTTTGAGATCAGCCTGGCCAA
Source organism: Homo sapiens (assembly GCF_000001405.40). Classification (NCBI taxonomy): domain Eukaryota; kingdom Metazoa; phylum Chordata; class Mammalia; order Primates; family Hominidae; genus Homo; species Homo sapiens. The sequence goes on along the minus strand of NC_000006.12, from coordinate 105,836,110 downwards.
CATGGTGAAACTCTGTCTCTACTAAAAATACAAAAATTAGCCAGGCGTGGTGGTGCATGCCTGTGATCTCTGGGAGGCTGAGGCAGTAAAATCACTTGAACCCGGGATGCGGAGGTTGCAGTGAGTGAAGATCACGCCACTGCACTCCAGCCTGGTAGACAGAGAGAGACTCTGTCTCAAAAAAAAAAAAAAAGAATACTCTGTCAAGTGGAAATGATGCAGATTTAAAATGTATACAAATCGATCTTATGATTACAAATAGAAGAAAAGCAGATGCATGGGGGAAAGAAAGCTAGAGGAAACTTGGCCTAATACAGAGATTGAGGTCATGGGACTTCTTGTTGGTTTTTTTCTTCTTTGTCTATTTTCCAAAATTTAAGTCATGTTATTTATGTTACCTTTATTCAAATTATCAATAAAAATATATCGAATTGAGTTGTTCTCCACAGCTGCGTTGAGGCTGACGGTGGGTTTGGGAGTGAGTGGGAGGAAGGGTGGGGTCAGAACTAGCAAGCAGAACGTGTTGCAGCAAGCACTCCCTGAAGCTGCCCACCAGGAGGGGCAGTTTCTGAGAGGGTGTGTTCTGCAAAGAGCTTTGTAGAAACATTTGTGAGCAGAAATCCTAACAAGGAATCCCTTTATTCATCTGCTTCTTAAGCTGAAACAGTGGGATAATTTGTCTGACTTCCTTGCAGTGTTGCTGTCAGTACGATTGAGTTCATGCATAGGAAAGCGCTTTGTGCCCCAAACACCCTATATGGTGTCGGTTACTATCATTTTATGAATAATAACAATTTATTTGAATTTGGTTTCCTTATCTGAAAAATAGCAATAAGTTTCTGTCCTGCTTACCTCACAGGATTATTGTTAGAATCAATGAAATAATGTATGTAAATGAGTTTTGTTCACTCTAAGTGAACAGAAATAAGAGCTACAGAAATAAAAGTTACAGAAATAAAAGCTGTTATTTTTGACTGCACACCTGGTTCCCAAGATATCATGAATTTCGGAGTAATGCTGAGGCCTAGCTTTACAAAATGGTGCCCATTTCAAGCTTCTGGGGTCACACTTTCTCTGTGGCAGAGAAAGACAAATCCTAAAAAGGTTTTTCTTCCAGTTAGTGTTGGGCCAGGATAAGAAGATCCTGTTTATGTCAATGAAATAACTTGTTTAAGCAGAAGATTTCAGAGCCAAGAGAAGAACTTGCAGTCAAGACAATCTGCCACAGTGTGAACGATCCATCTGAGGACAATTGGGCTGATTGTGCAAGCTGATGAAGGAACATGGTACCACTGTCCTCATCCTCTGGAAACAGGGAACAGTCACTGTCAATGTGCTTGAAAATGTGTGGAACATAAGGAAACTACCAGCATGCCAACTTTTGGAATTTCAAGATATTGCTCAATCAGAAATCCGGAATATTCAACAGGAAAAAACAATCAGTTCAAAGTAATTAGTAACCATCTAATATATAGGTCTAAAATAGAAGGCTCTCAGAAGTTCCTGTGACTCTATGAGTAGTAGGTTAGAAAGAAAACATGAGAATGAAAAAAAAAGTGACCTTCCTAAGGCTTTGGCACTGCATACCATTTGTTCTCAAGACACAGCGTTAGTGCAGGAGTTATGCATGCAGGAAAAATATGCATTTTTGAGACTGATATTTGGCAGGTCTCAATTTGCTTATAGACATAACTGGGAAGACAACAATTTGGAAGTCACCATTTTGATTAATTGCTTTTGTAGAATTACAAGAGATCTGGTGATTGCTCGCATTTAGTAAGTGAGATAGAATGCAGGTGAAACTCTTCCTTTAGAAAAGAAAACAATAGTCATAACATTTTACATCAACTAAAGAGAGTAAAGTATGCAGATACATAAAAACTTGCACATGTACATAAGAAAATCCGTTCTCAGGACTTCCTGAAGTGAGCCACTTCCCCTCGTCAAGAGCTCCCCACCCTCAAATGAGACCTGCTTATTCCAGTGAGGAAGCCCTTGGACTCTTCAGTTTTACACGAACACAATTTTCCTAAGAAGTCTGTGTAGAATCAAACCCAGCCACAAAAGGGAAAAGAACATTAAAATTGAAAGGAGTTGGGAGAGGGAATGGAGGAAGAAGGAACTTAAAACAAAAATCTATTTTAAAAGAATGAATAAACTTGATCAGATCTCCTTTTGTGACAAAATAAGGACTCACAGGAACCAAACTGTATAAAGCACGAAGAGTTAGTAGTGAATAGTTATGTCAGCCTCAGGTGGGATTCAAACCTTGGCACCAGCTCACTCCCTGTGTGACCTTAAACAGCAGTCATCCAGTCGACCCCCAGTTTATCTGTAAATTCTAGGTTAGTGATGATTAAATTAGATGTCTAGAAAATGCTCAGGACATCAATGTATCCAATAGATTTTAAAGTATTGATCGACGTGTACATTAAAGGCATCATATTCAAGCACTTTGAGGGCTCCAGTGGTTACATTTGTAAGTTTTTGTGAATTGGATCAATTTTGTGAATTAGATCACATTTTGAGAGATTCCTGCATCAACTGGCTATGAAAAGGATTCTTCCTATATAAATTGACATATAACATTTGTATTTACCTCCTATTATGTAGGTTTGTAAATCAGGATTTTAAAAATCTTACTAGAATACATATTTAATTGTAGTATTAAAAACATTTTTCGGCCAGGCACAGTGGCTCACGCCTGTAATCCCAATACTTTGGGAGGCTGAGTTGGGTGGATCACCTGAGGTCAGGAGTTCAAGACCAGCCTGGCCAATATGGTAAAACCCCATCTCTACTAAAAATACAAAAATTAGCTGGCTGTGGTGGTGCATGCCTGTCATCCCAGCTACTTGGGAGGCTGAGGCAGGAGAATCACTTGAACCTGGGAGGTGGAGGTTGCAGTGAGCCGAGATTGCATCATCACACTCCAGCCCAGGCAACAGAGCGAGACTCTGTCTCGGGAAACAAACAAACAAACAAACAAACAAACAAACATTTTTCATTTTATATTTATTCTCAGCACGATAAAATACAATTATGTTATCCAACTAATTTGTTTTATAATTGTTGGCTAGTAAGGCCCAGAGAGGTTAAATGGCTAGGACTAGGTAGTGGTAGACCCCCAAATCAACTTTATTAAGGGTTAATTTTTTTCTATTAAAATATCTTAAAAACAATCTCCACTATGTAAGATTTTCTGTAGGCTCTTTGTAAATGTTTACAGCATATATCTAAGAGCAGACTTTTTGCTCTATGAGAACTTCACCATTGGATTTATATAATTTTCCAAGAAAACTCCCTTTCAAAAATGTTCTACAGCAAGTAATCTAAAAGTGATTTTTTTCTTCTTCAAAGAAAATTCCCTTTAGAAAAGAAGGAAGTGCACCAGGACAAAGGCGGCCAACTGAGATCAGTGACTCAATCTGTTCCATAAATTATAGCTCTGAAGTCAGTTTGAGTGAGTGCTCACATTTCCAAAAACATAGACTGTCGTGGCACCTAAGGGTGTAGAAATTGCTACAGAGGCAATTAGCTTTATAAAACAGAAAGAATCACTAAGTGCATGAACCCTAAGGTACATGCAGGCCCAGAAATACATATTTCAACAGGGAATTGCCAAAGGGCAATGGTGCATTGAGAAATCCTCCCCTACTCAGCGGTGAAAGTTAAGTCTGTGGTATGTACAGATGAGGGAAGCTTGTCTGTGTGTGACCTAGGTTGAAGGGAGAAGGTAGAGACTGCGTGGAATGGCCAGCGTGCCATGTTCTCCTGAGCCAGAAGAGCCTAATGGGCCCAAATTGTCTGTTTCTATCGGGGGTGTTCCTTGGGCCTTTTTTCAAGACCACAGACCATAATTCCTGGGAAACTCTCACTTAAGTGGGTGCTCTTGACAATGAGGAAAACTAGGTGAGAGGCCGAGAGCTCATCTGGACAAGTCTGTGGTTGGTACATAGAGAGCATAGTTACACTGGGAAGAGGTGTTCCCTTGAGACATCTAGTCACACATTTTAAAAAAATCACTCTCTTCCTTAAACTTTCCTTTTGGAAACTTGGCCACAACAAAATGTGGATGTTAAAACCCTCTATGAGAAGTCCTTGGCCAGTTCTGTGGATGTATTTTCACAGAAGGTTTGTCAGTCTCACTCTCTCTCCCACTGTGCTGTTTCTTGTGTCTCCCAGCTCATCTCGTCCTCCATCCACACCATGGCTGTCTGATTCTTCCCTACTGATGCAATTTTCCTGGTGCTCGGAGTCTGTAGGCTCAGTCACTGCCTTAGGTGCAGAACTTGTCTAGTTCAGTTACCTTTTCTGCAGCTGAGAAAAAACACAGTAATTTCTGCTTCATTCTCCAATCCACAGAAGCTAAAATCTATGGAGCAGAGCTGTTTGCCTCATTAGCAAAAGCAACTGAGAACCCCCTAGGAAAAGTACGTTTGAGTCTCCTCCTACTCATAATATGGTTTCAGGGTATGATTTCTTTTTCTGTTATGTTTTCCATAGTAGTTTCATTTAGAAATGCCTATTAGAGTGAAGTTCTGCCATGTCTCACTAACAAGCATGCAGGCCCCTTGGGAGTTGAAGCCCGCCTTTTACTCGTCATGTATCACATGGATCCTGCATAATGAATGGAGCCTCCTCAGATATACTTTGTGGCTGATGAGTTAGAGAATTCTGAGACTGTAATAAATTATTCCCTCTTGAGTCTAATGTCCTTCCCTATTTCACCATTTCCTATGGTAGTTCTTTTAAATATCTGAGAAAAGGTAGTGGATTTATTACCTTTAAAACATAATCTAATAATGAACTCCTCCAGTTGGTTGGCCCTTCCCCTCCTCCAGCTGCCCCTTCCCCTCCTCCAGCTGTCCCTTCTCCTCCTCCAGCTGCCCCCTTCCCCTCCTCCAGCTGCCCCTTCCCCTCCTCCAGCTGCCCCCTCCCCTCCTCCAGCTGCCCCCCTTCCCCTCCTTCCACTGTCCCCCTTCTCCTCCTCCAGCTGCCCCCCTTCCCCTCCTCCAGCCTCCCCTTCCCCTCCTCCAGCTTCCCCCTTCCCCTCATCCACCTGCCCCTTCTCCTCCTCCGGCTGCCCCTTCCCCTCCTCCAGCTGCCCCTTCTCCTCCTCCCGCTGCCCCTTCCCCTCCTCCAGCTGCCCTTCCCCTCCTCCAGCTGCCCCTTCCCCTCCTCCAGCTGCCCCTTCCCCTCCTCCAGCTGCCCCTTCCCCTCCTCCAGCTGCCTCCCTTTCCCCTCCTCCTGCGGCCCCTTCCCCTCCTCCAGCTGCCCTTCCCTCCTCCAGCTGCCCCTTCTGAGAAACTCGCTGGGGATGATTCGAGTGGTTTCTATCATAAACATTTAAACATTTCAGGATGCTACTTTGGAAATGACAGTCTTGTTTTGCAAGGCACTTAAGTCTCTATTGAGATCCATTGAAACTTGTCATTGTGACTGCCATTTTACATTCTAGACTAACTAGAAGGCTAGGTTAGACTCACCTCTTTAGCTAGAATGCAGCTTTTCTACATTCTAGACTAACTTCCCTACCCCCCACCTCTAATAAATCTGAAAAGATTTAAAAACAGTTTACAATCAGTTATGTTATTAACAGTAGATGTGGTAACTCTTTGAGAAGGAAATTTAGTTTAAAAACATTTGCAGTTAGGTGGAGTAGATTTCTTTCCCATGGCAAAAGAAATTGTTACTGGAGCAGCTGAATCATTTCTAATAATCTAAAAGAAACATGTAATGGGCTGAGTTTTTCTGAGAGTGCTTCAATGTTTGTGCTTTTCTGGTTACTTATTTCTATCAGACTTTTACCTTCAGGTTAAATCTAAGTGTAAGGAGCACCAAGGCTCAGTCAGCATGTTTCTTAGCCCCAAATCAAGGCATGTGTTCTCTGAACAAGAATTTTTGTCTCTTCTAGATGCAAGAGGAAATTTGGAGATGTTGCTTGAAAGTTTAAAGTATTGGTGTTACCGAACCATTAGAATATTACATATGGACAACGCCCATCCATTAGAATATTACGTATGGACAACATGGTGGAACATTTCGAATAAGGTTTGTCCCACAAAATCCAATATAAATGTTTGCTTTTGTCCTTTTTAATGATATTGCATTTGAATTATACTGAGTACATTATGACATATGAAGCTCTCAGACTGTAGGATGGGAACAGCCAGACTTTATGCAGTGCAGGTGCTGGCAAACTTTTTCTGTAAAGCATCAGAGAGAACTATTCTGGTTTTGCAGGTCATGTGGTTTATGTCAGAACACTTGACCGTTGTAGCACAAAAACAGCTATAGACAAGAAGTAAATGAATAAGTGTGGCTCTCTTCCAAGAAAACTATTTAAGGCCAATGATTTGAATTTTAAATAATTTATATATTATTTTATATAACATAATTTTATTTAATTTATATATTATGAAAATCTTTATCTGATTTTTTTCAATTACTTAAAAATGGGAAGCCGTTCTTTAGCTTGTAGGCTCTATGAAAGCAGACTGTGTGCGGTGGCTCATGCCTGTAATCCCAGCACTTTGGGAGACCGAGGCGGGCGGATAACAAGGTCAGGAGATCGAAACCATCCTGGCTAACACGGTGAAACCCCGTCTCTACTAAAAATACAAAAAATTAGCCGGGCGTGGTGGCGGGCGCCTGTAGTCCCAGCTACTCGGGAGGGTGAGGCAGCAGCATGGCGTGAACCCGGGAGGCGGAGCTTGCAGTGAGCTGAGATCACGCCACTGCTCTCCAGCCTGGGCGACAGAGCGAGACTCCGTCTCAAAAAAAAAAAAAAAAAAAAAAAAAGAAAGCAGACTGTGGTCTGGATTTGTCCTGAGGGCCAAGCTTTGCTAACTCCCATTATAGTGAATTAGCAAGTTAAGGATCTGAACCCAGGAGAAGACAGAAGTAAGATGTCATACACATTTCTTGGACTGATTGACTTTCTTCAGCTAGTAAAACTTCTGAATATCATACTTGGTTGTGGTTTGAGTGCTTGTTCCTGGTGGGAGTAAATGAGTGTTTTGGGGAACAAAGGTAAGGGGATTTATAAACAAAAATTTATTCCTAATGATAGCACCTCACATTCGTGAAGAGCTAAGCTCCACTGGCCATAATATGCACGTTTAAGAGTCTCATAAAAATTTGGCCTGCTGTGAAAATGCTTAAAATCTACTCAGCAACTTTCAAGTATATATTTTTATTAACTATAGTCACCATATTATACAATGGATCTCTTGAACTTATTCCTCCTAACTGAAATTTTGTATCTTTTCACTGACATCTCCCCAATCCCCTCCCCTTTCTGCTAGCTCCTACTAATCACCATTCTCCTCTTTGTGTCTGAATCCAACATTTTTAGATTCCACACGTAAGTGAGATGCTGTGGTATTTGTCTTCCTGTGCCTGGCTTATTTCACTTGAACTAATATCCTCCAAGTTCATACGTGTTTTTGCAAATGACAAAATTTCCTTCTCTTTTGAGGCTGAATAGTATTCCATTTTGTAAATATACCATATTTTCATTATCCATTCATCTATTGATGGACTCATTGGTTGATTCCATACATAGTGCTACAGTGAACATGGGAGTGCAGCTATCTCTTTGACTTACAGATTTCATTTCCTTTGGGTATATATCCAGTAATAAAATTGCTGAATCATATAAGTAGTTCTATTTTTTTCTTTTTTATTATACTTTAAATTCTGGGATACGTGTGCAAAACGTGCAGGTTTGTTACATAGGTATACACATGACCTGGTGGTTTGCTGCACCCATCAACCCATCATCTACATTAGGTATTTCTCCTAATGCTATCCCTCCCCTAGCCTCCCCACCCCACAACAGGCCCTAGTGTGTGATGTTCCCTTCCCGGTGTCCAAGTCTTCTTATTGTTCGACTCCCACTTATAAGTGAGAATATGCGGTGTTTGGTTTTCTGTTCCTGTGTTAATTTGCTGAGAATGATGGTTTCCAGCTTCATCCATGTCCCTGCAAAGGACATGAACTCATCCTTTTTTATGGCTGCTTAGTATTCCACGGTATATATGTGCCACATTTTCTTTATCCAGTCTATCATTGATGGGCAGTTGGGTTGGTTCCAAGTCTTTGCTATTGTGAATAGTGCTGCAATAAACATACGTGTGCATGTTGTCTTTATAGTAGAATGATTTATAATCCTTTGGGTATATAACCAGTAATGGGATTGCTGGGTCAAATGGTATTTCTGGTTCTAGATCCTTGAGGAATTGCCACACTGTCTTCCACAATGGTTGAACTCATTTACACTTGCACCAACAGTGTAAAAGCGTTCTTATTTCTCCACATTCTCTCCATCATCTGTTGTTTCCTGACTTTTTAATGTTCACCATTCTAACTGGCATGAGATGGTATCTTATTGTGGTTTTGATTTGCATTTCTCTAATGACCAGCGATGATGAGATTTTTTCATGTGTTTTTTGGCTGCATAAATGTCATCTTTTGAGAAGTGTCTGTTCATATCCTTTGCCCACTTTTTGATGGGGTTGTTTTTTTCTTGTAAATTTGCTTATGTTCCTCATAGATTCTGGATATTAGCCCTTTGCAATTAGAAAATTGCAACAATTTTTGCCCATTCTTTAGGTTGCCTGTTCACTCTGATGATAGTTTGTTTTGCTGTGCAGAAGCTCTTTAGTTTAATTAGATCCCATTTGTCAATTTTGGCTTCTGTTGCCATTGCTTTTGGTGTTTTAGTCATGAAGTCTTTGCCCATGCCTGTGTCCTGAATGGTATTGCCTAGGTTTTCTTCTAGGGTTTTTACGGTTTTAGGTCTTACATTTAATTAAGTCTTTAATCCATCTTGAGTTAATTTTTGTATAAGGTGTAAGGAAGGGGTCTAGTTTCAGTTTTCTGCATATGGCTAGCCAGTTTTCCCAGCACCATTTATTAAATGTGGAATCCTTTCCCCATTGCTTGTTTTTGTCAGGTTTGTCAAAGATCAGATGGTTGTAGATGTGTGGTGTTATTTCTGAGGCCTCTGTTCTGTTCCATTGGTCTATATATCTGTTTTGGTGCCAGTACCATGCTGTTTTGGTTACTGTAGCCTTGTAATATAGTTTGAAGTCAGGTAGCATGATGCCTCCAGTTTTGTTCTTTTTGCTTAAGATTGTCTTAGCTATATGGGCTCTTTTTTGGTTTCATATGAAATTTAAAGTAGTTTTTCCTAAGTCTGTGAAGAAAGTCAATGGTAGCTTGATGGGGATAGCATTGAATCTATAAATTACTTTGGGCCGTATGGCCATTTTCTCGATATTGATTCTTCCTATCCATGAGCATGGAATGTTTTCCCATTTGTTTGTGTCCTCTCTTATTTCCTTGAGCAGTGGTTTGTAGTTCTCCTTGAAGAGGTCCTTCACATCCCTTGTAAGTTGTATACCTAGGTATTTTACTCTCTTTGTAGCAATTGTGAATGGAAGTTCACTCATGATTTGGTTTTCTGTTTGTCTATTATTGGTGTACAGGAATGCTTTTGATTTTTGCACATTGATTTTGTATCCTGAGACTTTGCTGAAGTTGCTTATCAGCTTAAGGAGATTTTGGGCTGAGACAATTGGGTTTTCTAAATATACAATCATGTTACCTGCAAAGAGAGACAATTTGACTTCCTCTCTTCCTGTTTGAATACCCTTTATTTCTTTCTCTTGCCTGATTGCCATGGCCAGAACTTCCAATACTATGTTGAATAGGAATGGTGAGAGAGGGCATCCTCTTCTTGTGGCAGTTTTCAAAGGGAATGCTTCCAGCTTTTGCCCATTCAGTATGGTATTGGCTGTGGGTTTGGTAGTTCTATTTCTTAATGGAAATAAATAAGTATGTGAAGTTAAAAAGGAAAAAGACCTGTGCTATTAGCTTCTTTGTATTACTTTGGCACATGCACTTGTTATTTTATTTTTATTTTTTAAAGAAAAAGTATTTTATTCATTTAAAAAATTATTTTTAATTGTTCTGGGTAGTTCTATTTCTTAATGGAAATAAATAAGTATGTGAAGTTAAAAAAAGAAAAAGACCTGTACTGTTAGCTTCTTTGTATTACTTTGGCACATGCACTTGTCATTTTGATTTTATTTTTAAAGAAAAAGTATTTTACTTAAAAAATTTTTATTTTTAATTGTTCTGGATACATAGTAGGTATATATATTTATGGGGTATATGAGATATTTTGAAACAGGCATGTTATGCGTAATAATCCCATCATGGAGAATGAGGTATCCATCACCTCAAACATTTATCCTTTTGTACTTGCTGTTTTAAAAGTAGATGTTAACTTTTCCTTTTCAGTAGGATTCTTATTTTATCATTATATTATTATAGTTTTTAGAGTTTAATTTCAGAAACATATTTTCATAATGATATTCAAACATGCAATCATAAGGCTGCGATTTTAAGTATCCATCATTTAAGTATCCATCAATTCTAATACAATATTTTTCTCCTTTTCACCAATGGTATGCTCCTTAATTTTAAAGGCTGGAATAAAATGGACCCTGAATGACATGTGCTAGAGTGTTTACAGCAGCACTATTTGTAAGAGCCAAAACTAGAAATGACACAAATGCCCACAAACAATAAATTTGAGCAATTAAAATGTGATATATGCATATATTAGAATGCAACATAGCAATAAAGATGAATGACCTATAACCACACATGAAAATGTGAGTGCATCAGACAAGTCAGATAAAACAGTACACACAGTATAATCCAATTGTTTTTGAAGGACAAAATCAGATAATGCTGGTAGAGGTCAAAATAATGGGTGCCTTTGAATTATTTACTGGAAAGGGGCAAGAGGGATGCTGGTGACATTGTTTCTTAAACTGGGTGCTAGTTACCAGAGGGTGTTAATTTTCAACAATTTTTCCCGTTGTACATTATGAAATGTGTACTTTTCTCTGTGTATATTTTAGCTCAATTAAAAAAAAAGGGAGAAAAAAGTCCAACTTGCTGAAGCTTTAACTTTTAGAAGTTCCCTAAGATGAGAAGATAGAGTGGATAAAGGGAAGTTTTTGTTCTTCTTCAAATGGTTATCTTTTAAAATATTTTGTCTGTGACTATTTCTATAAAAGCAAAGTCATGACTCAAAAAGAAAATACTGCTAGTAAGAAGCCATCAGGGGCCAAGTCTTGTCTTAGAGAATGACTCTTCAGGAATCCCCACTATGTTTGTATCTTCACTTCACCACTTGCTTAGGGGACAACCACCTCTCACTCTCCACTCAGTAATTTAAAGAAGCTGATAGCATTGGTCTCCATAGATGATTTTTTTTCTTTCTGTATCAAATGCTTTATTTGTTCTTTTTATTATTCTTGTGTTCTTAGTCTCGGAGGCATAGCTTGATTTCTCTTCCCCTTTTCTTCCTTTCTCAATCTAAGATGTCAAACACTAAAGTACCCACCTCTGATTTCCTTCTCTAAATCTGGCTACCTTTTCTGGTCTAGATGTTGAGGAAGGAAAAAGGTAGGCAGATCTCCCTAGAACTGGAAGAGCTGGAGTGTGGATTAGGAGAACTGTCTTCTGATGTATATTGTCCCTCAATGGGATCATCACAGCCATCCCATGCAATAGTGATTTTCAGACAAGGAACCTCTTTGATTTTTAAAAAAGATATTGGTATATATATACATATTGGTATATGTATATCTGTGATGTCTGATTCATCAGTGGCACAACTTTCTCAGGAGAACCTGGGGTAGCTGGCAATCAGATTCTGCTTGGGGTTACTTAAATCTATAACTTCTTAGATGTTATAGTTGCTCTGCATGTGCCAAGGATCTCAGCCAAATCAAGAAAACCATTATATATATATATATATATATATATATATGGCATATATACACACACACATATATGTATATACATATATACACACACATATATGTATATACATATATACACACACATATATGTATATACATATATACACACACATATATGTATATACATATATACACACACATATATGTATATACATATATACACACACATATATGTATATACATATATACACACACATATATGTATATACATATATACACACACATATATGTATATACATATATACACACACATATATGTATATACATATATACACACACATATATGTATATACATATATACACACACATATATGTATATACATATATACACACACATATATGTATATACATATATACACACACATATATGTATATACATATATATACACACATATATGTATATACATATATATACACACATATATGTATATACATATATATACACACATATATGTATATACATATATATACACACATATATGTATATATATATTTAAATTACATCATACTTATGCCCAATTTCCTCATTTACACATATTTTGAATATTTTAAATATATTACTAAGTAGCAACTGATAAAAGTTGTAAAAGAATTTTTTTTCATGTTCTGTAGTTTTTCAATGTGTCAGGAGACTGTGATTCTTATGTAGTCTGAAGCATTTCTGTTGGTCTCCATATTCTGCCAAAGGAGAGATGTTAATGGATGGGAGGTCAGAATTCAGAGGTGATTGAAGACTTCCTGCCTCAGTGAGGGAGATGCTTCTGATTTTTCAAATCCTTAGGGTAGTGATGTTGATGCTGTGGGGCAAAAATGTTATTTAGTATTAATAACCAACCTTAGGCTGGGCTCGGTGGCTCACACCTGTAATCCCAGCACTTTGGGAGGCCGAGACAGGTGGATCACCTGAGGTCAGGAGTTCTAGGCCAGCCTGGTCAACATGGTGAAACCCCGTCTCTACTAAAAATATAAAAATTAGCTGGGCGTGGGGGCGGGCATCTGTAGTCCCAGCTACTCAGGAGGCTGAGGCAGGAGAATCGCTTGAACCTGGGCGGCAGTGATTGCAGTGAGCCGAGATGGTGCCACTGCACTCCAGCCTGGGTGACAGAGCAAGACTCCAACTCAAAAAAAAAAAAAAAAAAGAAAAAAGAAAAAAGAATAAACAATTCCTCTTAATTCTTAATGGCATGTTTCATAAGGCAGGAAACATCTCTTTAGAATCAGGTCTCTGTTAGTCCACGAATCCAAATAGATGACAAACTCTAGTTCACATGAAAATGCCCAGTGACCTCTGCACATGGTAATGAACAGACAAATCAGTGCCCATATCCTGTATCTGAAACCAGAGACTGGTGCTGGCCCCTTGATACATGGACCATGTGGCACACAGGCTCTCCTAGACTCCCACCCTGGCTTCTCCACTCTTTACAAGGTGAGCGTTTGCGTCTTCTACATGGGTGGTGATGGGTACATGCTTATGTTCACCTTCTCCCTCCCCTGGGCTCTGGGGATTCCCTGGATTCAGGTGCTTCAAGACCCCAGCTGGGAGGCTGGAAGCCTTCATTTCCCATGTCTAAAGGAGAAGGACCAGAAACTTAGTTCACCATTTTTTCAATATTTTTTCTGCAAGAGAGATGTAAGCACAGTAAAAGCAAAGAAAGGTAGAACATAAGAGAGACTTTGAAATATAGGAAAGGAGAATACAAATGTAAAGTTAGAAACATTTCCATTAGAGAAAAGAGTATCTCTTATTACTGTTACTAGTCAATACTGAACTAGAAAGTCCAGCCAATGCAATAAGCCAAGAAATATAAATAAGAGGCATACAAATTGAAAAGAAAGAGTGGAATTATCCTTTTTTGTGGATTATATGATGGTATGCCTAAAAATTGAAAGATAATCATTTATCACAACTAATGAGAGTTCAGCAAGTGACCAGACCCAAGGAAAACATTTAGAAAAGGTGACCAAAAAGCCAAATTAATGATGTGACAGTCTCATTTGAAAATAATTGTGTAATAATTTGTTAAAACAGTTGGAGAAAATTTGTTAAAACAGCTGGAGAAAATTTTTCTAGAAATAAAATATGTTTCCATTTTGACTGTCCTCTTTAGGTTCAAAAGTGGCTAAATGTTAGACTGATGTAATCTTCTTTAAACAGTTAAAATTATCTATTTGTGTCTTCTTTCTACATGTTTTACTTTTTCAAAATATCCTCTGCATAACAGCTTTTGCCAAGCTTCCCACACATACGCAGGCTTTGTTCCCACAGTCTGGGTCCTTTCCCTTTTTCTGCCTTCCTCCTTGGTTAGTCTTTCATGTGTCCTCACTTTGTCTACTGATGGAACTTGCCACTTGGTCATATTTCTTCCTGGGCAATGTTTCTTTATTTCATATTGGATTTATTGAAAAGATCACTGGCTTTGGACTCAGATACATATAGTAAGTTATTTAGCCTCTTGGTATCTCAATTTCCTTATCTGTGAAATCAGAACAATAAAAACTACCTCATTGGATTTAAGTGATGACTAAATATGATAGATGTGTCTTAAGTGCCTAGTAGCCTAATGCAGAAGATATGTTACAGGTTCAGGCCTTTAGGGACAATCACACCCACTACCCACTATTCTGGCCAAAATAATCATGCAAAATTAAGTGAAAATGAAGCTAATGGTTTGGTACAACTGGTGACAGCCTCAAGTCAGGGAAACCCAGGTAAACATTTTGAAATCAAATAGTATTTATGTTCATGTTTATTTTATTTTTGGTGAAGTATAGCACATATACAGTGACGTATACAAATTCTAAGTGTACTGCTCAATTACTCTTTCTGTGTATGTACCACTCCCTCATATCACTTCTCAGGCAATAACTACCCCTGAATGCTCATATTTTAACTTTTATTTGCATTGATGGGAAGAATAACATATAAGCCTTGCCCTGGCAGATTGCCTTTGCCCTCAAGACCTCCCTGACTTGTGTTGTCTTGGCCAAGTCATTACACTTGTCTGTGTTAATCCCTTGGGTATAGAGTAGGTTTGACATGACGTAATGTTCAACAGACCAGGTGGGAAGTTTTAGAAGCTGTTATTAAAAGGAACTCTGTGAATCTAAAGCAGTAACTCAGCTATTGTGCCAATTCCTACTTTCACTGAGTCGTATTTGACATTGCTTGATGCTATTCTCCTATGGCATGGTTTCAGAGTCAAGACATTTGTATTTGTTGTCTTAGCCAGCACCAAGAAAGGAGCTTTCCATTATACTGTCCAAAAATCTGAGTCCCTAATGCGGCCTTTGGGAAGAAAACTTGGGTGATAGAGCCTTTTGCATGTCACTTACTATACAGAAACAAGTTTAGTCAAATATTTCTTTTTGTTTGATTGAACTTTAATGACTGCTTTAATCCTTAGAAAAGATTGGAATCTCCAAAATTGAGTGATAAGGTTTAACAGGGCAGAATCTTTTTTTTCCCCTGAAGAAATGCTGACAATTTTTCTAGTTTCAGCATATTCCTTGCCAAGGTTCCTGTTTACTGCCACATCTGAGACAAAATGGCAACACTTCCTGAAGTTCCATACTGGGAGTAGAGATCTTGAACATGTTTTCCTTCTGGCAACATTTTCTTCAATTGCTTTTTGTAACGCCTGCTCTTTTGATTTCTCTCAACCTCTCTAGTCTTTCTCTTCATTCTTCTTTGAGAGGACAATCTCCGTCATATATCTGACGATGTGTATTTCCCACAGAGTTTGTCTCAGACACTCTTCTCACTCTATACATTCTCCATGGGTAATTTTATCTGAACCTATAGCTTCAATTATTATCTATATGCCTATGATTATCAATTTTGTATGTCCAGCGCAGATCTCTCTCTACACTCCTGAACAACTCTGCTATTGCTTACCGAAAGTTTCCAGTTGTAAATATGAAATGAACCCCAAACATGCCCATTCAAAACAGGCCTCACAGATTTCCCACACCTACCTTAACCTCACCCTACCTGCTCCTCTGCTTTCTATATCTGTGAGCAGTTATCGAGTTTCCCACACCAAACACTAAGCAATCATCCTTGACCTTCTCATACTCCATGTCACCAAACCTTCTATGTTGCTATTGCTTAAGTATCTTCCAAAACCTATTTACTTCTCTCCACCTTCCCCTAACCTAACCTACCTTCATGTCTGGCCTGGAAAACTACAATGGTCACTTCATTTTAGCTTCCTTCCAGTTTCCCACACAGCAGCCAGAGTGATCTCACTGTTGGAACAATAAACAAAATCTTTCATGTGGGTGCATCTTACTTCCCCTACCACCTCTTATGCCATTCCATCCTCATTCTGAGCTTCAGCTCCACGGGTCTGCTTTCAGTTCTTTAAAATATTATTATCCTTCTGCTACAGGGCTTTTGCACATGCTTATTTCTCTAAGTGGACAATGCTTTCTCCTTTTTAAAAATCTTGTCTGCAGACAGATCGGCTGAAATATCAGTTCCCTAGGGGAGCATCCCCAGCTCTCCCATTTGGTCAAGTTTTTTTCATGACACATCCGTGTAGCAACTTGTTTCTTTCCTTCAAAGCTCTCGATTTGGATTTTCATAGTATTTGTCTGCATGTGATTTTTTTAAAGCTGAAAATGTATCTCCTTCATTTGATTGTATACTCCGTAGTACTGGTTCAGTATTCGCTGAGATAGATGTACAGGATTCATGTATACACAGAGTTTTGTACCTAGTAGGTCCTTGATAAACGTTTAGAAATACAATTAGTTTGCGGTGAGTTTTGCAGTGTAAAATGATCATAATTGAGGGAAGGAACAATGGTCACTGAGCAAGCTGGGATTTCTTTTTCCATTCAGTGCCCAAAGGTCACTCTTATATTTACTGCTCCATGGAAGGCAAGGAAGTGGTATCTCTTCCTGGAGCTCCAGCAAATAGAAACATGCCATGAATGTTGGCAGGAATGGAGACTTTAGGGAAGAGGGATTGTGGTAGAAAATGTCCTATCCTTCTAGCACCTGGTCCTTAGTAGTGATGCTCAATCCCTCCCATCAATACTTTCTAAGCTTTAGCAAGCCTAAGAATCAACGGGAGGACTTGTTAAAACTCAGATACCTGTGGCCCACCCCCAGAGTTTCTGATTCAGTAGTTTGGGGGTAGGGCCTGAGACTCTGCATTTCTAACAAGTTCCCAGGGGATGCTTCTGCTGCTGCTGCTATGGGACAACACTTGGGAAACTGCTACCCTGACTAATTCTAACATGAAACTCAGTCCCAAATTAGTTCCCCATGATGGAAGACCTCCTGTGCCAGCAACTGCTTATTGACTCTAATATAAAGTTTATATGGTCAAAGAGGTAGTCATTGACTGATTTTCATTATGTTACCAGTACTAATACCTCTGTGGGATATTCCAAATAAGTTAACATGTTATTGGTCGCTGAGTTTCTAAGTGTTTTGAGAAATACAGCATAGTAATTATAGTGTGTGAAAAAAAGGAAGAAACCCAGGTGATCTTCTGTTTGGTACAAACAGCAGATGAGTAATATGTACAGCACTTTTTGGCAGGGGCAGGCTACCCACTATGGAAGCTGCAGCAACCCAGCTGGGAGAATGAGGGATGGGGGAAGGCCTAGAGGTGAGCTCAGGTAAAAGCAGCCATTTGTGGGTGAAATAAAATTTAGTCTAGTAGTATCTTAGTTTGGAAGTCAAAAGATCTGAAAGAACATGAGGTACGAGGATGACAGTGTGATTGTGTGTACAAAGCATTGGCTAAAGAATGCTTTGAAGAAGAGCCCTGGCTCCAGTCTGCTTTGGTAATGTACTCAACAACTCTGGGCTTCAATTCCTTCAACCCATCAAAATGGGGTTAGTCTAGATCAAGGGTCAGTGAATTTTTTCTATACATGGCCAGACAGAAAATATTTTAGGATTTGTGGGCCATACCCTCTCTGATGCAGCAACTGAACTCTGCCATTGTAGTATCAAAATAGCCAAAGATACTATGTAAATGAATGGGCTTAGCTATGTCCCAATAAAACTTCATTTACAGAAACAGGTGGTGGACAGAACTTGGCCCAGCATCTTAAATCAGCAGTCCCCAACCTTTTTGGCACCAGGGACGGGTTTCCTGGAAGAAGAGTTTTTCCACAGGGGAGGTTGAGGGGGGTGATTTAGGGAATGAAACCGTTCCACCTCAGATCATCAGGCGTTAGTTAGATTCTCATAAGGAGTGTGCAATGTGGATCCCTCATATGCGTAGTTCACAATAGGGTTTGCGCTCCTATGAGAATCTAATGCCGCTGCTGATCTGATAGGAGGCAGAGCCCAGGCAGTACTGCTTCCTCACCCGCCGCCCACCCGTGTGGCCCAGTTTCTAAGAGGCCATGGACCAGTACTCCTATAAGTAACAACAACAACAAAATTTAGCATGTATGCTTAATGGATGTATACTAATTTATAAATATGCATCTGTAAAGATCTAATATATTATGTACAGTACAAAACACACCCCTGAAACAGAAGTTTAAAAGAAATATGTTAAAATAAAGAAACAAGTGATCCAATATTTTCCCTAAATTCTACTGGATCTTCTTATGTGGAGGCCACTCATCTTGATAGTTTCAAGGGCTGTTTGACGTTTTAATGTCCTATTGTTATATGTGTGGCAAACCACCCACACTGTACATCTGCCAGGTGATTTTTGGCTGAATCAACTAGAGCGTTAACTCCGGGTAATCTGTACTAACAGGGGGAAGAAGAGAGGCAGGCAACTAAAAATACAAGAGCCAGCTTAATGTGATTTTGGAGCAAGTCCCAGTGCTCAGCGGCTGGGAGCCCCTCTGGGCGTGGGTACTCGCCACGGCCGTGGCTGCAGTGGGCTGGGAAATAGAGAGGGTAGTTTGAGTGGCTGTGGATACGTGAGTATTTACATGAAGAAAATTGGTCATGAACTTTTAGTTGTGAAAGGAGCCTTCAAAATCTGTTAGTTCACCCGCTTCGTGTTTCAGATGAAATCTTTGTATCTAGAAAAACTTCTGTGATAGCTAGTGAGAGGCAAAGCTGGTCTCACAACTCAGGACTTGAAACATTCTCACCTAAGTCCTCAACAGGAAAAAATATTTTTCTT
Organism: Homo sapiens; assembly: GCF_000001405.40. NCBI lineage: Eukaryota > Metazoa > Chordata > Mammalia > Primates > Hominidae > Homo > Homo sapiens. The sequence goes on along the minus strand of NC_000006.12, from coordinate 105,817,141 downwards.
TGTATTTCTTTAGTGCTTTTCATTTTAGAACAAATCTGTTTTCAAAGCATTGTGAAATTTTGCTACAATAGCAAAAATTGTTCATCTCCATGTGTAAGTGAACATTTAAATGACTGTACAGTCCCATGCACATGAGCGTTCCTGGAAATGGGGAAGGAGTACATGTTTTGGGGCTTCTTTTCTGGTCTCTCACGTTACTTTAAACTTGGAGCATGTGGGCACCTGGGGCCTGAAGAAGATACATCACTATACTGGCAGAATGCTCTAAGAGTACGAACAGTCGTCAGCCTACTGTGAATGTAGTAGTGTTTGCAATGGAAAAGGAATGGATCCTGAATTCAATATTTTCCATATAATTTTATGCAAATGCTTTTATGAATTCCCCTCTTTGAAGGAAGAAGGAAGAGGGAGATACTGCCAGTGGGGAAAGTTTATTAGCAGTCTTCCAAAGCTACCCACCCAATTGGCGCTGGTTCATGATACATTAGAAAGAGGAATTTGGAGATTTATTCTATGGTGAAGGGATTTGAACTCAGAATAATCTGGGTCCCCAAGTGGATCTAGTGCCTGGTTCCTGTCCTCAGGGGATTCGAAGAGGATTTTGAGTATGGTCACTAAGGTGGACGCTGAAGGATGCTGCAGGGAGTTTGTGTGTTTTGAGTAGGAATAGACACAGTGCTGTGGTGTTTCAGTAGATCGTGGGCTCTGCCAAGGACTGCACAAGTGGGTCCTGGACTGGGAGAGGCCAGGATGGCTGTGTTGCACAAGGCGAGAGAGTGAGCAGTCTGACTCCCTGGTGAGTTACGTGCAGCTTGTGCAGGAAAATCTGGTGTCCTGATTCTGCTGGTGTTTCTGCACAAATTCATTTGCCAGTCTCTTCCTTTTTGGATATGCTTCTGGGCATTACCCTTTCAGAAAGGTTTTAGGATGGAAGTCCCCAAGGGTCTGTTCCCTTCCTCTAAGTTAATATTTCCATGGTAAGAAGTACAAAAATTTTCTGTGTAGGTGGATACCAGAAGGGTTTGTCTTTTTTCTCTCTGCCCTCCCCTCACTCCCTGAAAATGATGACAAACATGCTCTCTCTGCAAGATTTTCTGGCACCAAAACACTTGCCCATGCCATCTGATCCTGCTGTCTTGTTGGTTCTGTGTTTGCAAATCTAGCAAGCTAAACCCACTGAATTGCTGATCTAGAGAAGTTTTTAAAGTGCCCATCTTTCATTCCCTTTCTGTTACTTCTTATAGAGATTTATTTCACTCATTATTCTTTCCTGTACCTTGGTGGCTAGTTTTGCTTTGAGTGCAAATTAGAGAGTATTTTCCCCCTCTGGCTTCCATTTTTAATCACTCAATGAGAGCATATGTCAGAAATATTCCGTTTTTAAACTTCACCAAAGAAGCAGTGATTTTGGATGCATGTAAAAGAGGAGAAAAAAGTAAGAATAATCAGAAGATTCTTTACAATGTGAGAATTTGATTAGATATAGTTTTGTCCTCACTTTCCCTTTGAAAGGCTAAAACTTTGCTGCAATTTTAAGATTATTTACCCCTTTTCATTTTTTTTCTTTAATGTCTAGGCTAAAATTTCCTCTTGCTCTCATATTTGAATATGGATTCCTACTTTAGGAAAATCACAGCTGACAAAATTGTCTCAAATGGCATGATAATCTGGTTCTCTGCAATTTTCCAAATGCAAAAGTTAGCAGGTGGAAATCATTGAAATGCACCCAGGAGAGCCCACTGCCCCTCTTGGAAGACTGTGGCTTTATGTGTTCAAGGCTGGTAAAAGGTTGGCCAGATTTGAACCTCAATGGTAAGTGTGAGAGGTAAACATCCTCCTGAAGCCAAACTGAAGAGTCATGCTAGGGAGGTGGGGAGGGGAGGGTTTTCTAGGAAGTGCTCCACACAGAGCTGATAGCATTTTCCAGGACAGAAAGTAAACAGGGGTTTTGTGTTGGTCTTTGAATACAGAACTGGTAAAAGCCACAAACAGAAAAACAAAAACTCTCCCAGATGAAGGTTCTAGTAAAAGACTTGTTATCTACCTCCATGCAAAAAAGAAAAAAACCCAAAAAACCCAATGAGAGTAAATAGCACCTTCAATGACTCTTCAAACGCTTCATTGCACACCTGAGTTGGTTGATTGAGTTTCCTTAGCAGGTCTGAGGGACATTGTTCCCATTCTCAGGGGATGACCTAAGACCCTCAAGGTAATTGAGCGAATTGTCTGCTCCTGAATGGAAGCCTTCCTGTCCATGAAAGTTGCCCAAAAGCTAATCACAGGTGATGTATGGGGACCGCATTCCTTCTAAATGCACCTTTCTTTTTAAGAGGGTGTTTGTACCTTTGGCTGGAAAAGAATGCTACCTCCTACCCCTACTTCCAGACTATTCTGTACAGCTCAAAGAAACTTCATCTCTTCAAGTCCTCACCACGCTGAAGGGGACTTGGCAGCTTTCTGTGCACAAGTGAATTTTTGTCATATTTATCCAAGTATGTCAGGTGTAACTTGTCATCTTCCAAAACAGAGATGTAACTTGGACATTTAATTCTTACATTTAACGTTGTGGAGGATTGAAGATATGGTTAAATGACCAGGGTCCTCATTCATCGTTTCTGTCTCAGGATGATCACTGGTCTAATGGGATTCCTTTCTTTTTGGAAGGGATCCACTTCTATTGTGACTCCCTGAGCAAGAGATGCATCATGTATCTTGTGTTTTTTCCAACGTCCTCACTGTTTCTGTCAGGAGAAGTCTCACACATCTTTCTAGGTCCGTTTAAATACTCCCTCCTCTACAGTAGGTTTGGAAGAACACTATCATCATATTTTTCTTAAGCGTCTTGTATCTCCTCTATTAGATGTCAGGAACCTGGAATGCCAGGACCAAGGCTTTTTATCGTTTTTGCACTTATCTCTCCTACCTACACCCCAGATAAGATATGATAATTAGTGCTTAGTTAAAGCTAATATTTGTAAAACACTTCACCTGTTACAAAGTGCTTTCACAGAGATTCTCCTACCTAGTAATATGAGTTGAATTGAAATTAACTGAAGTAACTGAATCACTCAATCCCATTAGGGAGTGGAGGCCTAGGCAGAGGAGGAGAAAAAGAAATGGGACTAGGGAAGGCAAGATAAATGCGATGAAAACACATACAATAGGGAGGGGCAGAGTGCCACCAACAGCTATTTCCAGGTTATACTGGCCCCACTAGATGGCTCGTTCCTGCTACTCCAGGTGGACTCGTTCTCAGCTTCATACCAAGAACTCCAGCCTTAAAGGCAGAGTTGGCTTCTGCAAAACTGGAGAGATGGACTGCAGAAAAAGAGAAGTTTTTTTTTTTTCCCTGATAAGAAGGATGCCACCAGGAAGAATGCACATCATGGCTACAATCTTGTGGTTTGTTGTGGTTGTTGTTTTTCTCCTTCTGCTGAGGGAGTAAGCAGGAATGGGGTTCAGCTAAGCCCCATGAAAGGCAAGAGATTTTCCTTTCTGCCAGGGAGGCCCAGGAGAGGCAGCAGAGCCGGGGAGGACTGGCAGGTCCAAGGTGTTCTTGAGGTCCAAAGGAATTGTGACGCTCTGGATGAGAGCGGAAGGAAATAGCAGTGACTGGAAAGAACTTTCTTAAATCAAAAAAAGAAAAACCAGACTTCAGTTCAGTAGTGGTTGGTCAGAGAGAGCAAGATGGTTTACTTGTGATTTTTTATAGATCTCCAAAAATTTACTCTGAATTATATCTCAAGCCCCTAAACTTTAGGAAGTATTTTTCTATTACTTTAATAGCCATGTTTTTAATATTAAACATGGACACATGTGTTTTATGTTTCTATAGGAAAAGGATAATTTAATAGGTCTTTTTCTATTCCTGCTTCTCCCTGTACCTACAGTTGAAGAGTTTGACTGTATGGTTGACTTATCACAAGCAGATACCAGGATGCCAAGTAGGGTTCTGAGGAAGAACCCATTAACTTTGATCTGACTGTCCTTGCCCAAAATAAGCTTGCTAACATAATACAAATGTCTTGGCTCCTCATACCCAACGCCACTTTTCGCACATGGGCTATGTTATTCATTTTAGTTCTGTAACATTTTTTAAAAATTTTTATTTATATTTTTATTTTGGGGGTCCATGTGCAGGATGTGCAGGTTTGTTACATAGGTCAATGTGCGCCATGGTGGTTTGCTGCACCCATCAACCCATCGCCTAGGTATTAAGCCCAACATGCATTAGCTATTTTTCCTGAAGCTCACCCTCCCTCAACCCCACACCCCATGTGTGTTGTTCCTCTCCCTGTGTCCATGTGTTCTCATTGTTCAGCTCCCACCTATAAGTGAGAACATGTGGTATTTGGTTTTCTGTTCCTGCATTAATTTACTAATGATAATGGCTTCCAGCTCCATCCGTGTCCCTACAAAGGACATGATCTAATTCCTTTTTATGGCTACATAGTATTCCAGGGTGTATATGTTAATATTAAAGGGCATACACGATGTCTGTTTAATTTCTCTACCATTCTGTTCCAGAACTTGGCAGGAGGAGGTATTACAGAGACTATTTGATGGTGGTCATGGAACTGTAAAGGGGACAGTACTGTCAAAATCCTAGCAATTTCTCTAAGGCAGCAGGCTGTTTCTAAGCCAGCTGGGCATGTACGTTCTCTCTCTCTCCCTCTTGAACATGCACGCATGCACGCACAACCCTCTCCCAACTCTAAGAATGGATATCATTCCTGAAATATTTAATAGGCAGGACAGGACAGCTCCAGACCTGCTGGAGACCACTTTCCCCTTTAGTTGCTAAGTTGTAGGGTAGGTCTTGGGGATGGAGTGAGAGGAGGTCTTGGGAGTGGGTGAGGTGGGGTATTTCAGAGTCACCAAGCAGTAGTAGCTGAACAACTGGGACAGCCAGTGCCCTCTGACCAAATGTCAACCCTGAGAGCATCTGTAGTGATGGGGGTGAAGCTTAGGGCCCCACAATTAATGTCCACTGCGTGCCCACTGGGCTGGGCACAGGGTGTGTAAAGATGAGAGACCCCATCTCAGCACTTTAGTCAATGGAGTTGATCATTTTTTTCTTTACATAGCAGACTCTACCTCATCCTTCAGTTCTGTCACTGCAGCCTGTTCATCTCCTGCACAACACCCACCGTAATGTGTGATTTAAGTGTATGCATTTGTGTGTGGATGCATGTGAACGTCGGCGCTTATTTTCAGACTCCCCAGTAGAAAAGAGCTTCATATATCCTCAGCTCCTATCAAGGGGCCTGACACTTGGTAGGCATGGAATTTTTATTGAACACATGAATCAGTGGTCACAAAGTGATTATCTGATTCAAGAAAACCACTAAAAGATTGTTAGCCAGCAATTCTGTGGAAGACATATCTGTGTATACCAGAAGTGTAACATAAAATGCTGGATTTTGGCCAGGCACGGTGGCTCACGCCTGTAATCCCAACACTTTGGGAGGCCAAGACAGGCGGATTGCTTGAGGCCAGGAGTTTGAGACCAGTCTGGCCAAATGGCAAAACCCCATCTTTACTAAAAATACAAAATTAGCCAGTCATGTTGGCACATGCTTGTAATCCTAGCTACTTTGGGGGCTGAAACATGAGAATCACTTGAACCTGGAGGGCGGAGGTTGCAGTGAGCTGAGATCACGCCGCTGCACTCCAGCCTGGGTGACAGAGTTATACCCCATCTCAAAAACAAACAAACAAACAAACAAAAAATAAAAAAAAATTAAAAAAAAGCTGGGTTTAAACCTGTCCTGGGTCACTGGAGGTATATTGGTTTCTGGTCCCATCACAGGTGACTTTTCTGATAGAGGAACTTGGACAGCGCTTGAGACTAGACAGAGTGTGTGAGCTCCTGTCAATGGCCAGATAAATGACACTATCAAACTGCTGACTAGCTAAAAGATTAAGCTACTCAAAGCCCCTGTGAATGGCCAGCTGAGTGAATGACCCAAACTTTTGTGAACCCATCAAAGTCACTAGAGGAAATGGCACCTTTAAGGCTCAGCAAAGATTCCCTTCTAAATCACCCTAAGTTATAGGGGGATTTTTTGTTATTGTTTTCCTCCATTTATTTGACTCATTTCACTTGACATTCCCCCTCCTCTTTACTAACTATGTAGGTCCTGAAGGTCTCAAAGGAAAACAAAGAAAGGAGAAGGCTAAAAAGACCAAAAAAAAAAAAAAAATGTGCCATCTGGGCAGTTGCATAGGCTCCACTGTCAGGTTTCTTGACTCTTGAAGAAAGTTGGAAGGATTTTGTTCAGCAGAGACTTGCAAGTGTCCTCACTCCCTCTTTCTGCTCCCCACCACCCCCCTGCCTGCTCCTACCCTACAGCCCCAGATCCTCCAACTCCACCCTTCCTTTCCGTTGCCCTGAAGGGGAGGACATGAGTCAGCATTCAGACTTGAAAGTGTGAGCTGCCTCTGAGTCCTCAGAATGTAATCATTTCAGAAAATCTAGGACACAGAACTACAGAGAAAGTCACCCTCCCCACCTCCTTCTGCTCTGTGGCCAGACATTGACTCCCACTCTCTGAATGCAGCTTTAGCTAGGGCTGAACTTTAACCTTAAAAAAAAAAACCACATGGTATTGGGGTGGGAGCAGGAGAGCAGCAGCGACAACCACCACCCAAGTGCAATTAGATGAACAGATTTTGCAGAGAACTCCAACGGTTTACCACTCTGAACATCTGGTGTTTGGCAGTGTTCAGACTGGAATTAGAGAGCACTCACAAAAAGTCATGTTCTGATAAGAGTCTCAGTCCTGATCTTAGGAGCCAGAATTAATTCTCTCCTTTACTCTTCCAAAAGAGGAAGTGCATTGGAATTCCCACCAGGTATCTTGTTACAACTTCCAAGCACACCTGTAAACTTATGCTTTCGGGAAGGAAACCAATTCCACTGATTTTTTATTTGGTCCACACTCCATCAGCCTCCACATCCTGGTTTTTACTTTGCAATAGAAAAAATAAACTTTAGTAAATGTGTCTTGCCTGCCCACAGTGACATCTTTGGTCTTGGCTTTTGGAGGAAAGGCAAATAGTCTCACATACAGGGGATAGCTACAACCCCATGGTGGATCAGACATTTTCAAGGTGAAAATCTCCTTAGACTTGTGAAGATGTAACCTGTTTGGGGTTAAGAGAAAGCCAAGACCTCAACTGCTCTCATGTACGGCAATGTGAAAGAAAGTAATTTGGGAAATTATGGTATTTCAGCTATACAAAGAACTGCTGAATTAGTTATACAACTCTTTACCTGCTGGGTTTCTATTGTGCAATCTCTTGCCCTTGTTTGAGGGGTCTCCTTTCTCTCACAAATTATCAAAGTAGTCTCAATTTGGAAAGGGAGAGTGAGTATTGAGTGCTGAAACTCCATTTATTGTGTTCTTATTTCCAAGTGTCTTGTTGCCAAAACAGACAGGAAGCAGTCCCACCACACTTTTATTTAATAAACCAACTTGCACTCTAAGCAAACAGAAAATCAGATCTTGCTCTGGCTTTGACAGTGTCCTGGTACAAACTGGGAGACAAGCAATGGAAGCTCCTCCTTCTGAGGAATTATGGAGACATGCACCTTTGTGCAATATCATTGAAGGAAACTCAGAGTCCATCTACAGCAGGAGAAAAGTGAGGGCCAAAAGGCAAGGGTCACACAGCCGGCTAGTGGCCCAATAGAAGTAGAATTATCTGCTCCTTCTGCTGGTCTTAGCCTTTCCACCACACCATTTCCAGCTGTACTTTCATTCTTAATGGTGTGAAGTTAGCTAGGCTGTGATTAATCAGTGAAAGCAGAGTGATTTTGCAGTGCTTATGCACATTTTGTAAGACAGGGAGAGTGTGGGAGAGGAAGGAAAGGGTGTGTGTGTGTGTGTGTGTGTGTGTGTGTGTGTGTGCGTATGCATGTGTGGGTGCATGCACAAGTTAGAAGGGTGAAAGTATCCAAAATGATAGGAACATGATCTAAATGGTTCTACATTGTAGAAACAACACCTACGTGCTTTAACTTATACACAACCCACCTTTCTCAAAGTAAACAGAGTTGGCCTGGGGGTCAGTGCAATTTAGTACCTTTTCTTGGTCGTTGCTCTGGGCCTGCAAAGCATTTGTGACTCTGGCTGACTCCAAAGATAAGTAAGACCTGGGCTCTCTCCTTCTGAATTCCACAACCTTTTAAGGGAAACATATAGGCACACCAAGGCTCTGACACTAGATGGACTATAAGGTTGTGATAGGGTGAAAGCAGCATGGCCTGGGAGGATGGAGGAGGAGCCCATTTGTTCAATCGTCCTGCACTTTGGAGCTCCAGGAGACACAGCAACAGTGACTTGACAGTCTTCTTAGAGGCTTGCCTTTGGAACTGGCTTCTACAAAGTGTCTACACTGGGTGTGAAACCATGTGGAGGACTAGGTAACAGGTGGCTCGTTCCCTTTCCCTTTGTCTTTGCTCTTCAGTTTTTGGGGGTTCTTTTTGAGGAGTTGTGCATGGTTAATTCAAGAGATGACTGTGAAGATGACAAACACTTCAGGGGCATTCCCACCAACCATCCTCCAAACCAAGCAACATTCAACATGTTGGAAAGACGTTCAGTCTTTCCAATAACCTCTTGTAGATGTCAATGTTTTACTTCATTTACATCTATACCTTATTTTCCATGTATATAGAGATGTATGTGTGTGTGTGTGTGTTGTTTATTTATTTAGTTTTTTACATGATCATCCCCAAAGAATATATACTTGTGGGGGAATTAAAGTCAATCAAATGTTTTCCTATAGAATCTGTCCCTTTTTTTGTTGTTGAAAACAGTCACGTTCATGAGATCACTTTGGCTAGCGAGAATCAATCATGCCTTCCTTCCTTCCCTCACTATTTCCTTTCTTTTTTCTTTCTTCCCTGCCTTTCTTCCTTCCTTCCTCTCCTCCCTTCCTCCCTCCTATCTTTTGTTTATTTTTTAAGACATCTGAAAGTAAGGCGGAGGGACTCTAGCAGTCTGATCTTTACGAAGTGTATGACTTTTAAACTAAAGACTCAGCAAAATTCCCACTCAATGGAAGTGCAAAATAAGTTTTAGATATTACAAAAGATAATTTTCATAATTATAAATTCTTAAAATGGGGAGCTCTCAATATTGGTAATATTCATTTAGACTAATTTAGACTAGGAATGATTGTGCTGTTCCCTGTACCGTAGTCTCTGCAGAAACTTTTAAAAAATGCCAATCCCATCAGATGGGCAAACACAAAACAAACAAAAACCCTAAAACACCTAACAATACCAAGGACCAGAGATGATACGGAGCAATTATAACTCAAATACATTCTGGCGGGAGGCTAAATATGTACAACACCTTGGAACTGTTTGGCACCATCTCCCCAAGATGAGTCTGTGGCCCAGCAATTCCACTCCTACATTTATACCCAAGAGAAACAAATGCATATGTGCATCAAAGACATACAAAAATGTTCCCAGCAGTACTATTCACACTAGCCCCAAACTGGAAACAACTCAAATGGCCATCAACAGAGGAATGAATAAATAAAATTGCAGTGTATTTATACAGTGAACAAACTATGACAAACTACAACAACATGGATGAATCTGAATCCCACAAACAGAATGTTGAGTGAAATAAGCCAGACACCGAATAATACATAGATTAATGTGCCATTTCTATAAAACTTAAAAACAGGCAAAACTAATACATGATTTTAGAAGCTGGGGTAATGATTTCCTTTGCAGCGAGGTAGTGAGTGGGAAGGGCCATGAGAGGTGGTTCTCAAAGGGCTGGTTGTATTTCCTGAGCTGGGTACCGGCTACATGGGGGTGTTCCTTTTGTGAAAACTCATTAAGTTCTAAACTTACAATTTGTATACTTTTCTGTGTATATGTTATGATTTAGTAAATAGTTTTTATTTAACTACTGAAATAAAAATTATGGATACATTCTGTGTTCTTATCTAAGGACATCTGTTTTTACTATTCTCACGTTTTGGGAAAATTGTTTTTATTTTCCAAGCTAAACTTATGGAAGTTTATATTCTATATTCAAATCTAAATTTGGCTTAGTGTCAAGCAACATTATGGGTGCCAGATTTGAAATAATATTACATACTTACACGGTACATATATATTCCAGATTCACATGTCACATTTTCCTTAACTTTGGAGAGGCGTAGGGTACTTATGTTTTTGGACAAAGTAAGGCAGGGTGACAGGAGGCAGTTTGGTCTTTAGACAAATGACAGTCGTGTGAACCATGAGGAATTTCATCAGAGCACTCTTGCTGTTTTTGGCACAGGCTTAGCCGTTTCTTCTTTAGGTTTCTCAGTCGTCTCTAGGACTCTGTTGAAACCATGGTAGGATTGACCACTCAAGAATGATGGAATTAGCCATTTTTCAAAAAGCTCCTAATATGGCTAGGCTAAAGAATAAACATTAACACTGAACATGAAGTTCAATGTTTTACACAAAACAAACACTTTTGGATTGCACAAAAGGTGGATTGCAAACACTACAGCAAAAGGCCAAGATGAAATGCCTAAATAAGAGCATTCTTGTGAAGGGCATGCAACCCTGGGCAGTTGGTTCTACCCAGCCTTGATGTCATTAGAGGTCAACATTGCCCATTTGAGGCAAGTTCCAGTCTGATTTTATCTTGGAGCCAGAATACTGGGAAGTTCACTCCTTGTGACATGGGAAGGGGTCTGTGAACTTTTATAATGTATACATGTTTGATGTGTGTGTGTGTGCACATGTGCATGTGTGTATGTGTGTGTGTTTGTATGTGTGTAAGGAGGAAGGAGTATTATGTTCCACTTCAAGGATCATAAACGTCCATGTGAACATCTACTTGCCATGTCAGATAAGACGTAAGAATTAAATATCACTTTTAACAAATAAAATATGATAAAATATTTTCTAAAAAATTCCCCAGATATTAAGTATACACTTTTGTCCTCTCTAGCCATGATTCTATTTCTAATTCACTAATAAATATTTTTGAATACATGGTTCATATTCTCTGTCACTGTTTCCTCTCTTCCTCATCCCTCTTTAACTCCTTGAAATCTAATTTTCACCCCCAACTGTTTACCCAAATTGACCCCTAGAAGTCACCAGTTGCCACTGTAACTCCCAAGGTCATTCTGACTTCTGCAGCTGTCACTGTATTTTCCACCCCCTTCTTCTTGGAAATTATTAATCCTTTCATGTTTCTGCCCTTACACTATTCTTGGTTTCCTGCTAATCTTCCAAGTCTTCTGAAGCTTTCCCCATGTCTCTTGATCCCTTCCTCATGCCCCGTCTTACCCAAGGTTCAGTCCTTGGTCCTCCATGCTTCTTGCTGGACACCACCATGTTTAGAGGTCAACTCTGTTCTCATGGCTGCAAACACGAGGGCTGATGACTCACAGATTTATGGCTCATGTCCTGTCTTTTGCTCAAGGTTTATTCCCATATCTCTGACTGCCCACTGGTCATTTTCACTTGAAAGTCTTCCCATCACCTCAGACTCAACCAACAGTCTCTAATTGAGCTCATCATCTCCCCTACAAAACCAGTTCCTTTTCTTATTTCCTTGTTTTTTCCATGGTGCCCATGTCTCATGGTCATTCCCACTCAAAGCTTTGAAGTCATCTCTAATGTTTCTTTTGCGTTTATACTTGGTTGCCGCATAGCCTTTTTCATTGTGCCTGATAATCATCAAGTTCTACTGATTTTTTTCCCCAAGCCTCTCTTACTTCCTTGAGTTTCTTCCCACTTTCTAATTTGGGTTCTCATCATCTCAGGCACAGGTCGTTTTCAGCCCCTTCCTGGCTAAACTGCCTGACTCCAGCCTCCCGCCCTCCAATCTGATCTCATACTCTCAATTGGTGCGTTTTTCTTAAACACTGCATTTCCCTGTCATTCCTCTGCATCCAGGTTTTGAGACCTCCATACTGTTCATTGCTTTTTCTTAGTTTCAGATTTGAAGACAAACAGTTGCTCTTTGAGTGCCAATATGTGTCAGGTGCCATGTTGAAGTCTAGTTGGTGATGGCTAGAGTCATCCCGGCAATCAAAGGGAATCTTCGCACTCCCACCTCCCACCATCCCCCAAGTTGGGAAGAGAGACCAACATTCAAATAATAGAACGCATAAGGGAATAGAGAGACATTGGAAAATTATAAGTGCTGCCTGTGTGCTGGGAATTGAAAAGCAGGCCCTAGGAAACCAGATTCTTACATTTATATAGGGATGTGTGCTGATTTTAAAGCTCTGCCTATCTTAAGGCTCAATAGTGGTAAATTCTCCTAAGAACACGTAACTAATAACTGGCCTGGTGAAGAAGACAAAGAAAATTTGCCATTGATCATGTTTCCCCTCCTGGGTCACAAGCTTTCTGAAGAAGGGGCCAGCTGTTATTCTTCCATAAATCTTATAGTGCTGAAAAGATTGCTGAACTCCTAGGAGTTTTTAGCAAATTCCTACTGATTCATGTTTTGACTGACTATAGTGAATGCTGCTGAATCTCTTTCTGATCTCTGACTCACCCAATTACTAAAGCTAAAGCTCAAGTTACTTGAAGGTAAATTGTTATAACGTAACAATGCCAATGATCTAGCAGGCTCTGTGCCTGTTTCGGACTGTCCTAGGCCAGTCACATCTACATGCATCTTCTTTGGAGAAAGGAACCAGGAAAGAATCTTTCAATTCAGTTATACCCAGATGTTGGGGAAGAAGATGTTGGAAGAAGATAAAATAACAAAGCAAATTAACTCAAGAGGAAAAAGAGAGGCTGAAAAAAATGTCATTTAGTTTTTCAAAGTCTATTTTTATTTAAAAAGGGAGTTATTGTGTGACTTTGTACTTTGTTCTTGAAATCACTTTTATTTTCCTAACCACATCAAGTTGATAAAATCCAGATGAATATTTGGCTGGGTTAACTTTGGGATGCCTGTCCAGAAAAAGGTCATCCATCTTGGTCCCCAACACAGATCATTGCAAACAGGAGGCAAAAACAGGAGATTAGAAAGCTAGAGATTTTAATTCTGTTGCTGTTTGAAAACCACGACCCTTGGTCCACCTACTTACCTCATAGAAAGCCACTCTTTTCTTCTTTTTTTTTCAGCTCCATGTCATAAAGAAAGCCACTCTTTTCTTGATCTAATGAGTTTGCAATTTTGCTTACAAACTTTTCAAAAGGACATAGTGTGTGCTGTCCATGAAAACAATACAAGCTGAGGTGGTGGGGTAGTTCCTGTATGAATCTCATCATGGATGTTGATTTATCCCTGGGAGTAATGTTATAAGGCAAAAATGTGAAATAAACCAGAAGTATATACTTTCAGGATTGCAGTCATATCTCAAAAACTCATGGCATGGGGAAAAAGGGAAAGACAAGTCTGGCATTAATGCTAACTGTTGTTTTTAGTTCCAGTCAATTACTTCATCACATTTCTAAGGCAGCTGACAAGCTCACCCACTGGCTTAAACTTCATCTTAATTTACATGGATAAAACATTAGACTCTATGAGATGTCGTCTACCCAATATATTACAAGTCAGGACAGGCTTTCTGTGTTATCTTTGGTTGTGGTGACTGTGGATAGTGAGACAATACCAAAAAAAGCACTGAGTAATAAGAAGGTAGTTATGGTTTTGTTTGCTTGAAAGACCAGCAAACTCCCGGGATGGGAATGGACCTACACTGTCCCAAATCTCTTTGGTAGTGATAGACAGTTCTGAATAAATATTTGTTTGATTCAATTGCTGATAAAATTTCTGTCCCTTGCTTTCTATTTTAAGTACTACAATGGCTTTATATAGCTCAAAAAAAGAAAAGAAAAGAAAAGAAAAATCCCAGAAGAAAACAACTCTTAAGCACCTCTTCCTGTTTTAAAACGAATATGTGAGATGTTGGTTAAGTCAAGAGAATACTTTTGACGTTGGGGGTGTTGGTAGGGCCAGTTTCCTTGGGGTTTTCCTTGAGGGCATTTTAAAGGATATGGATTTTACTCCAAATAGTGGGATGTCAATGAAAGATTTTACTTAGGGAGGTGCAACGATCTGAAATATTCAACAAGACCACACATTCTGCTCTCTAAGAACGGGATGAGGTTCTATCCTCCCTCCATTGAGTCTCTTGGCTCCCCAGCTCTCACAGCTCCCATGGCTGCTGTTCTCAGCAAGATCAGCCTGCTCATGAGTCAAGGAGAGCCCTCAAGATGGAGTGGGTGGCCAACTAGGTCAGTACCACCAGAAAGCCTCATAAGACAAGAACAGGAAAATATCCAAAGGACTTGGCAGTGTGGAGGCCACTAGTAAACTCATGAGAGTGGTTTCAGTGTCAGTGGCATGTTATAGGTAAAAACCAGACAAGAGTGGGTTGAAGAGAGACTTGGGAAGTGAGGAAGTGGAAGCAGCACGTCTAGACATCTCTCTACAGAAGAGTGGCTATTAAGCGAAGTAGAGAGAAGAAGTGGTGATTATGGAGAATGTAGGAGCAAGGGGTGGGGGTGATCTAGGAGGCAGTGAGAGACTGATGATGCAGAAAAGAGAAGGTAACCCAAGGAATGGGGTTCCTGAAAGTGTGGAAGTAGGTAGGGGCTAGAGTCCACCAAGGAATTGAGAGAGGATGTTCCTTTCACTGTAACAAGAAGGCAAGAAGAATGTAGATGCTGATCTAGGTGAGTTTAGAAGTGTAATGTTGGAAAAGTTAGGGAGAGACTAGCTAGAATCCTTTGGTTGCAAGCAACAGAAGGTAACTATGATTAATTTAAGCATAAAATAAATGCCTTAAATGAATCCTGGGTAGCTTAAAAATAAACCAAAGACTAATAGCCAATGATGATACTCCTGATATTCCATAGGGAAAATTGACTCCTTTTTTACACCTCTGAACAGAGAAACAGGTAAGCACAGTTCTTTACTCAAAGATCTAGTACACCTAGCAGAGCAGGGCAGCAGAACAGGATCAGAAACATCCTGATCCCTCTACTGCACAAGGGTAAGACGCTTTCCAAAAGTGGTTGTCACACATCTCCTCCTCTCTTCCACTCCCTCTCCTCAGTCTTCTTTCTCCTCCCACTGTTCCCCTTTTCAAGCCTTCCAGGATCTAGGTTCTAGCTTCCTCCCCTGTAGGAAGTACAGCACCTGTCTTCAGGTACCTTGCCACTCCATTGTCTTCAGCATATGCCAGACACTAATGGAGGCTTCATCTGGGTTTCACAGCCGGGAGGGGTCAGGGTGGGCTCTGAGTCGGTGGGACGCCCCATTTCCTGTTTGGCCTTTCAAGCAGGGAACAGAACAGCATGGCTGAGTTTTCACAGGGACAATATTCCTACATAAGGAAAGCATTGGTTGTCTGCAGAAGCAGCACAATCTAATCCCATACGAGGGGAATGCATTTTGACCCTCCTCCTGGCACAGCAGTTATCCTGATATTCCTGTGTTAAGGAGCATTTAACTTGCCCCAGAGCTCTTTTCTTGCCAGAGTTGCTGCCACTGGCTGTGAGCAGAACTTTCTCAGCCATCCAGGATGGCCAATGCCAACTCTCATTGAATTCTTCCTAATCCTCCAGAAGAAATGGCAGCAACCTCAGTTTGTCCTGCTTCCCTCTGTGAAGTTTCAAAGCTAAATAGATGTCCAAAGTGAGATGAGGTGACTATTTTATGTAGAATTTCACAGATGATCATGATGGTCCAAAGTCCGCTTTTTAGCTTTATAGGTAAAAACACTTCACTTTTTCAGTTCTCTGGAAGTCTTTAGGTTCTTGAGGACTCATGCACAGTTGCCAAATTTCAAGGAATTTTTTTTCACTGTTGTTAAAATACTGTTTTAACTTATTAATTTAGGAGGTAATTCTTAGAAGTCAGATTATGTGTGTCGGTGGGACTGCACACTTTCTCTACTGTAGAAAAGTCTGCATGGAAAACTGTATATTTGCTTCCTGTTTTTTGGCCTGAGAGTAGTTGGGATGAGCTGTAAAGATAGCAGCTCCCAAACATAATGCCAGAGTTCAGTCTGGATCCTTTAGGTTCCGACCTCCACACAATACTTTCTCTTTCCCTTTCCACCAAATCATTAACTTCTTGAATTAGTTGTTCACAGCCAGTGACTTTTCTCACCTACACTTAACTCCCATGAGTAGGGACAATATTGCATTCATCTTTGTATTGTGACATCTTCTTCCCAGAGGTCAGGACAGGTTTTGCATATGGTAGGTGTTCAAGACTTGTTTGTTGCTGTTACTGCCAGAATATTTCTTGGAAAAATACTTCTCACCTTGACCCTGAAGAGGCTGGATGATGCACGCAGCAAGCAGTGGATTTATAGTTATAAATTTCAAGTATCATTCCCGATCTTAGCACTTACTAGCTATGTGACTTGGGGTTAAATCACTCACTACCTCTTAAGCTTCAGTTTCTTCATCTACCAATGAACAATCCTTTTCCGACAAGATTGTCATGAAGATCAAGTGAGATCAGGCTGTCTAAGTGTTTTAAAGCCCATATAAAACTAAGAGTTTAGTAATGATCAGAGTCAGAACAAAGGAACTGGCATGACCTTAGTGACTATTGTTAACACCCACCACCTTGATCTACTTGTCTTTTCATTTCTGTATCCTTAGCACCTAGCACAGTGCTTTTCAGAGTAGGTTCTCAATAGATTTTTTTTTTAAATGAATGCCCATGTTATTAAAGTCAATTTTCATCTTGCTTAGGTGCTGGCTGGGGGAGTAGAAGTTAAATGGTTCCAAAACATTTCATGTGAATGTGAATGAAGGTGGTGGGTACAGAGATGAAAAGTGTTCCCCTCTTGGGGGGGCCTCAGGAAGCGAGAGTGGTTCTAGAAGCCCCTGAAGCTCCAGGCCTCTATATGGTGTGTCTGCCAAGCTCAGCCTGGCCTATCCCCTGGAGCAGATAGTCCTGATGAGATCTCTTGGTTGTGACTCTGTTACTGGGACACTGATGAGAGGATCAGGAGTGATACTTGGAATGATGCTCTGGGAGGCACACTGAGAAGAGTCGGTTGCTTTTGGAAAGGAGACAAAGAAAGTCAACTAGGCCAGTATTGGCCATAGCCCAGAGTCAGGAGAGTGGAGTTGGGTAGGGAGGAGATGATGATTGGAACACACTGTGGTCATCCTGGGCCATTGCAGCGACCATTGATGTGGGTGTACAGAATCTTCTGGTGTGCTCTTTCAGTTGTATTAACCAAGTAACAAAACACCAACCTCATTATGTGTTCATAAAGAAATCTTTTCACTGAAAGCATTCTTTTGAAAATTAGAACAGTAATTTAACCAACTTGTTTTTGTTTTGACCACCTCATTAAGGAATTATCTAATGTCAAATGGATTTGTAACCTTTGCAGAATAAATAAGGTTTTGATTTTATTACAATACTGTTTCCTACTCTTCCACATCCCTCTGAAAGAAATGGTTAATCAGCAGGAGCATATACTTTTCCTTTGTTCTACTGCAATTTATAGAAAGACTTATAAGGTGGTTTTTCCATGGAGATAGGTTTTTTCTTCCCTTCCTCCACCTACTGCAGAAAGTCATTGCAGGGAAACCTAAGGCTTATGACTTTCTTTGCTTGTAGGCTTTGTGCAGACCTGTTCACAGTCTCTTCAGCCTTAGGACTGTTGGGAGCCTAGAGAGACTGCTGGTGTCCGCTATACTTTGGTGGGATTGTCCTCCCTCAGCCAGCCTCATCTTCAGCTGTCACCTCAGCTGTCACCCACCATGAGGCCTTAGTCTTCCTAGGGTGGCATTTCAGTTGCACCGTGGATATGCTGGACTTCCTCCTTCTGTTGAGCATTTCTCAAAACAAAGCAAGACCTCTGTGGGAGGATGTGGGACAGCCTGAGCCTGGGTTGACAGTAGAACCTGGAACACTGGGAGAGAACACAAACAAGGACATTGCAGCGTGGAGAAAAAACTTGGCAGAAACAATGCAGATCCAATGCCTTGGCTTGGAAGAGGAACAAGGAATCCAATTATAGTACACTCTGTATAGAGAGTTTAAAAAAAGTGCTTTTGTTTTGCTTTAATCCCATAGAAGTAAATGACAGAATATGAACCAGATTGAGAGTGAGTCTTTTGTTCAAGATTTTCCTTTAGATGGTGTCAAGATGGAAAACATCTTTTTGAGCTTGAAGAATGCTCTAATTTGTAGAACAGCTAATTAAAGCTTCTTACAACCTGATTGACCTGTTGTGGTATTGTAAGAGCTAAGGAAAGAATTTACTCCCTACAGGACTGAAGCATCCTTATCCTATATATACTATGTGTCCTGTGTGCTATCCACCCTGGGGGGTGGGCACAATGTTCTAATGACCCTCAAATCCCTAGTTGTAGTTCCTTTCCTATAAGGGATGAGAGTGCAAAGGTACGCAACAGAGTAACAGACAAAAAGCCTGTCACCCACAGCTTGAGAATTGTATTTTGTCCATTTAGACCTATATAATCTATGCATAAGCGGATATATCGATATCACATGTAAATATATATTTATGTGCAAATACATAAGCATCATATATAACATGCAAGTTTTCATTCTGTAATGAGAACAAGTATCAAAGGAGCCCAATTCTTTCAAATATAAGGGGTTTAAATCAGAACACTTAAAACGTTTGATATTACATTCAGATTTTACATCAGTCGTGAAGAATCTGCTTTTCTCTCAAATTGTAATGACTGACTAGCATAACCCCTACCCTATGATCTTTCCTTGGGGCTTAACAATTAAGTGAGTAATGATCTTGGAAGGTTAAGCAGATAATATGATTGTGAAAACCTATTAAATCCAATTATTTTTTTTTCCGTGACCATGAAACACAATCTCTAAAAGCTGAGGTTGTGCAACTCCCTGGAAGGCTCAAGGCTCAGCTCAGTGTTGCATCTAATGAAAACAAAACCAAAAATAAAACACAAGTGATCCATGAGGCTGGCTCTTTGAGCCTCATTGCCTGTAATTGTAAACATCTGAACATCGGGATTTTCAGGAAAAGTTCTGCCCTGCAAGACATGCAGAAAGTCAAGAGAAACCCAGCCCAACCCTTGTTTTTAACCGATGACTCTTCTGGCTACTTGTCATGAGTATTCCAATTCAGATGAGAGAGGTATTCGTTTCTGTGTGGAAAAGCTGTCTGGCCTGGGATAGCAGATAGCTGTTGAATTCAGCTCTTCTGTAGATCTCCTTGGGCGACTAAGACCCCTCAGGTAGAGATTTCACCCTGGCATTCCAGGTCTCTGTCCTGGGCTCACTCTTGATGAGGAGGTGAGATGCTGACCCATATTGGCGCAGTTGTCACCTGGGCATGGGTGTTGTTCTTGGTGCCAGTTGCACCCGATACTAAGGAAAGGGTGAGTTATGCCATCATCACCAGTGTTGCTTCAAAGTAGGAGGTGCTCTAGTTGTCTGGTTACCTGTGTTGTCACAAGTTTAATAATCCTTTCAGGGTGGAGCTCCCACTGGTGAGTTTCCTTCAGATTAACACTGAATTCTCTTTGTCCTCTCCATAATGGTAATAATAAAAATAATGTTTCCTTTGCTAAAGGCATTAACTTTCAGGCTTAAGTTTATAACACATGTTTAAGCGATTACTGTGCTTATATATCCAGCTTCCTCCAGTCACAAGAACAATGGTTTGCAATAAAAAATATGATCCCTTTCATTTGTAGAACACATTAAGTTTTATGAAGCACTTTTACACCAACTATCTCCTGTGTCCCTCAGGCAAACCTGTGAGCTAGACATGGAAGGCATTCTTCTTGCCTCCTTCCCCCTTTTAAGAGAGGAAGGCTTTTGAGGTCCTGAAGATTGAGAATCAAAGGTCATCTGAGTAATAAGTGGACTTAAAATCTGTCTTCCAGTTTAAGGACTGGGTCTCTCTCTCTGTCTCTCTCTATCTCTTTCTTTGCCAATACTTTGAATGTTTGGTTGCAGAATTATTTGGCGATTTTTTTTTTAGGGCAAAAATGACTTGATAATACTTCAAGAAAACAAACACTACTAAAATAACCCTCCCGTAGTATTGCCAGATCTCCAGGTCTTTTGATTGATCTCAGTTATAAGGAAAGAGATTATGGTCTACCATTTGAGAGTTCTGAGAAGCAGGCTGATGTTGCTTTACTGGTCATTCCAAATATTCAGGGACCTGAATGCTCTTTATGAGTAGATTACAGGCCTTTTAGTGTTGTTTTCTACTTCAGGGATATACAGAGATTAGATTCACTGAATCTCAAAGCTGTAAGGGAAGTGTAGAGATTATTCCTACCCCCCGCTTAAGCATTACACTCATGAGAAAATTGAGGCCAAAAATACTAAGTCATTTACTCAAGGTCACAAGTTTGTCCAACAGGAGGTAAACATTATCTGTTAAAACTGTTTCTGTCTAAATCATGAAAGCTACCTTTCCTCCAATGCAGAATGTCATTTTTAATTTCAAGTTATGTCTGTCATATTCTGCCTAATGGGAATTACGCAGTGTGTCGTGGATGGAGCTTTTTGTATATTTTACCTGGAAGTGACAAATCCACTCCGCAAGTTACTATTATTATTTGAACATATCTTAGTGTGTGCATTGTGCTTTGGATCAGTGTCAGTCAATTCCCCTTGAGTGAAATGCTGGGCAAAGAGCAGAGTCGTAGGTCCAGGAGTCTCAGGCTTCACTGCACTGGTGAGAGGCTGGGTGTGGCCAAGGGCATTTACAGTAAGTGGGGCATGGCCTGGTCCGAGGGGCCGGGGTTCTGTGCTGGCCTGTTTGCTCTTTAGACTTCTGTTTGTCTAAGTTGTTGATCAACACCAAGGCAGAGACTGTTTCCTGACTAAGAAATCCCTTTGACATTCTGGCAATGACTCACGGAGTCACTTCATGCCTACAGAGTAGCCAGTGTCACCTTCTGGGGTTCTCAGCCTTTCTCACGTAGAGCACGTAAAACACAAGGAATCAAGTTGATCCTGTGTCAGCCTGCACTCCTGCGCTTTCTTCGGTGCCCTAGGCAGGACCTCAGGCAGCCTCATGCTGCCCCAGAGCCCCTCCCCTGCAGAGCCTTCCCCTGGCTCCCTGCTCTCCTCTCTCCAGCTCTCATCTCCCCATTGAATGGTCTGTCTCACATTGTTTTCTTCTCTACTTGATCCATTTTTTGTTATCTTTTTGCTGTATTATAATTTTCCTTAGGGTGGGATCCCTGACTGACACCTCTCTTATATCCTAGCGGAATACAGAGCACCTATTAAGTGCTTCAAAACACTTAGGGTTGGTTAGTTGCTGGGGTAATGAGAAAAGATGAATTTTCTGAGTCTTCCCTTCCTGCCTGACCCTCTTTTTGCTTTCCTCTCTCCTATCCTTCCTTTCACAAATGTCCATTGCAATAGGAGACAGGCACTGTACTTGGTTGGGGAGAGAGTAGTGAAGGAAGAAGATGTATCATTATGGAATTATTATTTCACCAAAAATTCAGAGCAGGGGAAGATCTTGTTTGGGAAAGGGGGATGAAGGCATTTTGTCTCATAATTAGAGATGAGTACTAGTTGGAAAAAGCCTGACTCCCTCTTTAATTGGGGAAGTGGAGGTGAGGAGGAAGGAGCACTGGAGTTGAGGACTGTTCAGGCTCTGACATGAGCATGTGAGAAGCTATGGGCAAGTTACTTTACACCCCAGAGCCTAGGGTGCTTCATCTATAAAACAAGGATGGTTGTGAGGATTACATTAGCTATATATAAAAATGCTTTTTTAGATTAAGCAAATATTTTACTTTAGTTGATGTTAAGTAAATGCTTTTTTTAAAAAAATTATGCTTGGTATTATGTTTGTGCTATGTGAAAATGCTTTTTAAATGTCTATTATACAAATGTGAATAGTTTTATTCTACAGGGCAAGTCACATTTTATTTTTCCTCACTGCAAAACTTGACTTGAATAGTTGCTACCTTCCTTTTAAGCATGTGATAATAGGTAATAGGCCGGTTCCTTGTGGGCAGAATTAAGAACTCCTCTGCGTGTCAGACGCAGTGCACCCCTGAAAGTACATTTATTTCCTTCACTGAAGCAGCAGTTTGCTAAGTGACACGAGTCATGCCTGAATGAGCTAATAAAGTTTCCAGTTGAAGTCACACTTGGAAATTGTTCATAATGCAGAATATAGTCCCATGATAATTTTTAAAAATGCAAAAATATTCTGGGTTGACACAATTTAAGGTAAAAAAAAATCTACATTTCGGAAACAGTAGAGACCACCCCAGTTCCCTTCCCTTTTCCCAGCACCAAAAAAAAAAAAAAAAAAAATCCCTGAAACCAGAAGAAGAATTCCTTCCAGATCTAGAGTGTCTCCCTCACTTCTTACATTTGACCATTCGCCACAATTTAGGGGACCCTGGCTGGGCCCAGGGGGCTGGGCCGCAGCATCCCAGGCAGGATGCTTCAAAGTCACTCACCTTAGAATGCAGCTAGAACTGGCAAATGCTCACCCCAGTTTCTCCACTGATTAAATGGGAGGACTGGTGCTGACCTGATTAATAATCTTTCTTTCTGGAATAATAATGAAAGATCTCTAAAGCCCTCCTCGTGAAACGTGATGCCAACACAGCAGGACCTGACTGTGAAACCAGTTCCCATGGCAGACAGCCACTGTAGAGCACAGGTCGCTTTCACTGGGAGCCACTCCTGGTGGCCTGTGTTGTAAGCCTCCTTCCCATTACATAAGAAGAGTGGCTCCTTCCCCAGCCGCAGCAGCACTGCCAGGCAGATCTCATGAACTGGTCCCTGAACTTTAGACCTTGCTTTCTCCGTGGTCACAGACAGACTGGCTCTCTTTAGAGAAAGCCTGTTCCTGCCTCCTTCCAAACTGCTGGAGTTCCCCTTTGCCATTCACAGGCTCACTGGTTTCAAAGGTGGTTTCTTTCTTTCTTTCTTTCTTTTTTTTTTTTTTTTGAGATGGAGTTTTGCTCTTGTTGTGCAGGCTGGAGTGCAATGGTGCTATTTCAGCTCACTGGAACCTCCACCTCCTGGGTTCAAGCAATTCTCCTACCTCAGCCTCATGAGTAGCTGGGATTACAGGCATGTGCCACCACACCCAGCTAATTTTTGTAATTTTTGTATTTTCTCCATGTTGGTCAGGCTGGTCTCGAACTCCTGACCTCAGGTGATCTGCCCACCTCGGCCTCCCAAAGTGCTGGGATTACAGGTGTGAGCCACCGTGTCTGGCCCTCAAAGGTGGTTTCTGTAAGGTAATTAAATCAAATCCAACTGAGTCATTTTCTGGTTTTCAAAAGCCATGAATGGCAGAGCAAAGCTTTTCAGAGACCTCTGGAGTAACAAGGGCACATTTGTCACACCCAACCAGTTTCCTGGTTGAAATGGAGACAATTATTGGGTGTTCATATTATAGTCAGCAATAGAGTGATATATTGACCACTGATAATATCACTTGACCTTCCCATTTCTGAGAAGTGCCTGGTCTGCCGTGTATAGCAAACTGCACTTACATAGAGGAGGCTAGGTGGTAGGAAAACATTTTCCCGATGCATTGGTCCTGAACAGTAAGCAATGCAGGTGATATTGATATTGCTGAGTTTAGAAGACTCTGTAGGCATTGATCTTCCCATCTGAAAAATGGGGAGGCAAGGGAAGATGATCTCCAAGTCCCTCCTAGGGTAAACAGGATTCTCTGAATTAGTGACAATCTTTTGGATTAAGTGGAAATGAACTCTGTGTCGATCTTTTGTTAGCAACTTGCCAAATGACCTATCTGGGCAAATGACTTCCTCATCTGGGCATTGGGCTTGTGTGTCGACTTCCTGCCCTCTGGTGTACATTCTTCTCCCTTCACTGGAGACTCTAGACTGTCAGAATGCCTGGGGGAGGGACTGGAAGCATCCGTGGGGCACCAATAGGTGTCTGCTGTTGCTACAGTGCAAAAGAACATTTCAGGGCAGGGTTAGCTGGATTTGTCCGTATTGCAGATGAGAGGGAGTTTTTAGGACCCAGTTCCAGCAATTTTTCCTCCTCTGCACAGGTGCCATGCATCACCTTTTCCTCCAATCTAGTCTGAACTAGATTCAAACTTCCCTTCACTCTCAAAGGGTTTCTCATGTCAGTGAAATTGCTGCTTCTGGGTGCAAGTTTCCTGTGCCTCCTACAGGTAACAGTCGACTGATGGTTTGAATCCAAGGGTCTCCCACTGACATGACTGCAGGGGTCAGGCAGTGTGTAGTCATTTCAGCGTGAGACTCTTGGATCCTTGGATCCTTTTGATTTACAACAAAGAAAAATGGGGCACCAACAGGCTGTTCCTATAAGGCATATGTGTTAACTGGTGGGGCAAGGAGGACTCTGTCCTCCTTTAGCATTTCTCCCTTTTGCACCCATTAAATAAGAGGAGAAAATGTGGCTGCCTGTTGGCTGAATATGACCTGTTGATATGTTTTATTTTGTCTACTTCCAGTTTAAAACAAACTCATATTTAAAAACTAAGAACATAACTTTGATTTAGTTGGCAACACATGTAAAGTCAAGATCTTAAATAAAAATTTAGATTTCCAGTTTTTCATGAAAATTTCTAGCCACACTGGGATCTCTATTTCTATAAGGTCACACCTAGCTGAAGCTCAGAGGTCGTTGTTCCCATGCAATGGTTCAGGCACTCTCCATGGTGACAGAACCCACCTGGCCCATTTTACTGTTTACTTTTTCTGCCTGGCCCTGGTGGTCATTTCAGTGTGAGACCCTTGGATTCAATTGATCAATTGACTGTCACCTACAGGAAGCACAGGAAGCCTGCCTCCAGAAGTAGCAATTTCACAGACATGAGAAACCCTTTGAGAGTGAAGGTAAGTCTGAAAGCATCGAGAGGGGCAAGGTTCTAGAGGGAGGTTCCATCTCAGGCCTTGGGCATCACACAGGTATTGGGCCAGGGCAGTGGGGCAGGCAGGCACCTGAAATTGAGCCCAACAGCACAAACGGGTGGTGCCCCAGGGAGGAGAACCTGCTTTCCTTCTCTCATGCCTTGGGTCAGCCCTGCGATTGCATCAAAGTCCAGGCCTCAGCATGACCTCCTAATATCAGCAGGGAAGTCTAGTTGGTACGTTCATCAATAAGGTAATATTTAACCTCCTATTTTTAGCTCTATTCATTTTTTTTTAAATTACCCTCAGCCTTCTTAACTATTAGAACCCATGAGTGAAGGATCATGCCCATGACTTCTTAGATTTTCATGCTCCTTATCTTTCACAACAGGGACCTTGGCTTAGCCAATATTTTCATGCCCTAATAACTGTAATCAAAGCTTGGCTTGGTCATATGGTAATAAATAGTTGCCCATCTGGGACAAGGCCCTGTAAAACACAGAACAGGAAATCCCACATCATTTGGAAAGTTGTACTTTTAGTTTCATAACTCAACTTTTGCTTAACAAAGATAGCTGTTATTGAAACTGAGCCTTTACAGCATAAGAAATGTACTTAAATATTTGTGAAAATCATGTCTTCATACAAAGTATTTTCCTATATGTCATCTTTTTAGAGTATCGCCCTGATCTGCTGAGGCAGGCAGAGATGTTATTATTATAAAC
Organism: Homo sapiens; assembly: GCF_000001405.40. Classification (NCBI taxonomy): domain Eukaryota; kingdom Metazoa; phylum Chordata; class Mammalia; order Primates; family Hominidae; genus Homo; species Homo sapiens. The sequence continues at coordinate 105,791,563 of NC_000006.12, read as the reverse complement.
AATTTATGAAAAAGAAAATTGGGGTTCAGGAAAATTTAAGTGACTTTGCTCATGTCTCACAATTAGGTAAACAGAATCATAACAGGTTCCTGAGGTTTCTGATTCTCCTTCCACAGATCTTTCCAGCCTCCCTCTGCTGCCTGTGTGTCATGGTGTGTGTGTGTGTGTGTGTGTGTGTGCACGTGTGTGTACAACACATACCAACACAGATGGATGCCAGTGCAGAGAGGCAGAGTTGTTGTTTTAATCTAGGAAAAACTTGCAAAGTCTTTTGATTTGGAAAAATAGCATATGTTTGCTTATAAAATATGTATGGTTACTTAAAATTAAAAAGAAGCACTCCATGAAAACTTAGAGAAAAGATTCCATTACATTGAGGGGATTATAGGACAAAAGACTTTATAAGCTTATTTTTCTTTATGGATTCAGGGCCTCTAACAAAATAGTGTTTTGATTAGTTGTTTATAAGAAAATGTCTATAACGTATGATGCTATGCAGGAAATGTTTTCCTTAATTGTTAAATATGTAATGACTATTTTCTATGTATAAAATATGCTAAAGAAAATTCACAAGTTCACAATTCTATTATTCAGCTACTGGTAGCAAATCTGCATCTATTTCCATAAGGCTTCATATTTCACCTAAACAACTCCATCCTCATTTCTTGTTGTTGTTACTTTATCAAAACAAACACAAAACAAATAGAACATACTAGACAGATTAGCAAGATTAGTTGCTTGGATAATGGCTGCCACTAGGAGTGGTATGTTCATCCTACCTCCTCCTTTCTCAAATTGAGATCATGGCTCTGCCTCTTTAACTTTCAAATCTACTCCACGGAGTTTGTTAGCCTTTTCTGCTTTCTGTTTTTTGCTTTGTTTTTGGCCAACTAGCAATGTATTAGAAACATGCTGAAAGCAAACTTGACTGTTCTATAGAATTATTTATACAGTTTTAAATATTTGACCAGTTTAAAATATTTTGAATCTTCAAAATGAAGACTTCTGTAAAACTTTGTGTGGAGATGGAAACTGTAGTGTATGTCTTAGGAAAATATTATTCTCATATAATTCTTATATAAATAATTCATACAAAATAGTATTCTTTATATAACTTATAAAGTAGAGGTGCTCGCTTAGTAGAAAAAATTACTTTGAAATGCCTAACACGTTTGTTTCAAATAATTATTTTGTGAGATTTAAAAAAAATCTAGATGTCATTTTTATGACATCTAGTGACCTTGTTTTAATCAAGTTTTTACAAAATCAAAATGCAATTTTAGAAAAACTGTAAACATCTCAACACTAAACTTGTTATTTTCAGGAAAGTGTGCTCTGTATTTGCTAGCTAAACATTTAGCCTTTTAACACAAAACTGGGGTTGGCTTGATCTGTGTAGGAAGTGACCTTCATTTACTACCCCTCCCTACTGAATTCTAGCTTAGTTTTCAGCTTCAGTGCCAAGTGTTCACAGTGTGAAGTCAGCTACAGAGTGTTAATAGTTCTTTCCTCATCATCAGGAACCAACAGGCTTTATATGATCATTTCTTCAAATTAAGTCTACAAAGAAAACGTTACCAAAATGTCCAGATTTCTTTATCTGCTCGTTTGCACCTCCTCATAGGAATCTTACTAATGCCAGCTTTAGCATTAATCTTTCTATGAGTTTTTTTTAAGTACACTTTAAAAATTCCTGATTCTGTGCATTTGATCATGTTATTTCCCCACTGGAAGGGTCCATTCTAGTTTTATTTTCCTGGTGGAAGCCTTCCCCTGTCTTCAAGCACCACCTCAAATCTCACTTTCTTCATCAAATTTCCCCAGGATAGGTGTTTCCTCTGGACTCCTATACAGTTTATGTCTAAATCATTATTTTGGCATTCAGCATTCATTCATTCATTTATCAGTTTTTAGGACACAAAGGTAAAGTAGGCAAAGATCTTTCAAGAACTTGTAATTTAATAGGGTGATGGCCTATACTTTTATTAATTCATTAAAAAATAAGCTCATTGCATATTAACATTGTTAGCATATTTGAAATGAAAAAATATTTCAGAACCAAAATATGAGTGAGAAGAGTGGCATTCTTTTTTCACTTTTAGTAAATGAAAATAGCCTAATAATTATGGCTTCATAAGAGAAAGCTGGACTCCTGGTCTGCTTCTGCATTCAATGCAATATCACAGATCATGTCACCTCTAGAAAAGTCCACTGTACACTCACGAGAAATGCAAATTAAAAGCAAATAACATAATTATATATCATTAGGTATTATTATAAAAATATTTTTTCCTTACTGGACTCCCTGGGAGTCTCAGTGTCCCCCAGAGGTCTCTGAACCACACTTTAAGAACTGCCAGTTTATGCTATACAGGGCTATTCACCTCTTTTGATGGATATTCTGTATTTGCTCTCTCATTAAATTGCTACCTCCACAAGCACAGGGATTGTGACAGGTGCTCAACAAAATGAATAGCTGCTGCTGCTGCTGATGATGGTGTTTGTGTGTTCACATTTAAAACCATATATATCCACACGTATATACATACCTGTGTATATCTATCTATCCATCTATCAGTTTATCAATCACGAGTGTTTTAGGGAGGTAAAGTTCACGTACTCGTAATACTGTTAAGTATTACTGTTAAGCTGTAGCTGGCTGTTAATAATTTGCGTAAAGGTAGTAACAGAGGTAATGTTAGTAATAAAGCTAATTACTCTTTCTACGAAGAAATTAGTCAGAAAGGAAATTCATGTCCATAGACAGGAAGGAAAACTAACAGTTGCACTTTGGCAAATTTTAAATTCCTAGGGCTTTTGGTACCACTTCATCATGTTCCTTTCCTGCTTGGTGACCGATGGCAGGTATGGTCAGATTTGCACGTGAATAAAACATACCTGGAAACCCCAGCCTTGAAATCTGCCATAGGAAGTTCATATTCTTTAGCAATTTCTCAGGTGAATTACATCAGGAAGCGCTTAACAGGTTCTTTCAGGAATCAGTATTAATATACCTTCCTTAAGGCTCAAAAAGAGAAACAAAATGTGCCCTGGCCACATATCCCTTCCTCAGAACATGCCATTCTTAGGCATGTCAAAGCAGGGCTGAGTCTCACATTATCTTTCTCCAATGTAAGCCTTGACCAGACTTGATTTGCTTCAACTTATACATTCAAGATGAAATGTAGCCACAAAGAGAACTTTAAAATCTTTTGGCACTTACAACTAAGTATTTATACATCAGTCTTTCTGGAGCTGATGTATTTCATTTCTATTTTGTAGGTGGAAAGAACAGGTTAGTACAGATTGAAATGATCAGACGCATGGGATGAAAAACCATAAACTTACACATTGTTAAAGCTCGAAGGAGTTTGGAGATTGTCTTGTGTGTCCAACACTCTATTTTACAGTAAGGATGATGAGACCAGAGATGTTAAGCAACTTGCCTGGGGACTGTGAGCTTTCTCTCTGAGTCTCTGAGCTGAAGGTCTTTTGTGTCCCGTTCTGTGCACCAGCCCAGTGAGTGGCTGTGTTGAGCCTTTCTCACAATCCAGGCTTCATCTCCCTTAAAGGCTGCACTGTACCGAGAGCACATGTTTAACATGAGGCATTGGGGACATGGTCTCTGCCGCCAAATGAGTGACAAGAGGTGCTTTTGCGTTGCTCTTAACAGGGCCACCATGCTTCTGAGTGAGGCTTTGAGCAATGTGTCCAAGAGATCAGGACACCGGGCAAGTGGTTCTCAGTGCTGGCTGCCCATTCCAACCTGCTGGGTTTGGTTTGCAAAATTCCAAGACTTTGGCCCCTATCAATGAAGTGAGAACTGGGGAAGGGGATATTGTGAGCATCACACTAGGTAGTTCTCGTGCACACAAGAGCATGATCTGGCCATGCTCTTTTCTCAGACCCTTGGTCTCTTCTTCCTCCAGCCAAATTAAGCTGCTCTCTTAGCCCTACAGGAGAGGCAGCACCCATCACAGGCCTTGCTTCAGAGTTTCAGGAAGATCTTGCTGAGTTAGTTGGGCAGAGAGTGCACTGCCCCTCAAGGCAAGTGACCACGCACCTCCGGCTTCGTGAAGGACAAGTAATTTTATGACACATGGCTTCCTGCTTGTCTGCATGCTGCCCACCACACCACACGCCTGGCCTTCCGTGAGCAGAAGTTTCACTACTGAAATCAGTGGGTGACCTTTCTCATTTTTCATACCGCCGGAAGAAGAGACAATTTGCTATCAAGTAGGTTTGCAAACAAGTTGGGTATTTCTGCAAGACAGGGAGAACCTAGTAATGGAGGCCTAAATGGGAAGCATTCCTGGGTACCACTTCATCATGTTCCTTTCCTGCCTGGTGACAGATGGCAGGTGTGGTCAGATTTGCACATGAATAAAACATACCTGGAAACCTCAGCCTTGAAATCTGCCAGAGGCCTTTGCCTTTTCACTGTTGGCTGCAAGAAAAGGTGGTTATTTTGTGAACATTTTCAATATCATTGTAACTCACTAAAGAAGTCTACCCACAAAACATCAAAACACTCTGTGTTCCCAGGCAACTGTTATTTGCTCTCTCCACTTTTATGCCAGAGGTGTTGGCGTCATGGAACGTGAGTAGGAGATTTCAACCTGTAGGGCCCAGAGTGCTGGCCCATCACAGCGACATGCCACCTCTTCCTCTTTCGAGAACAGCCCAGCATTTCAATGAGCGGGAGCTGAATGAAATCCTCATCTGGGGAAACCTCATGGGATAAAATGTAGGGAAGGCATCAAGCACAAGGTAAATCCAAACTTGGAGCAGAAGGGGTAACAGTGCAGGAGGAGTGGCACAGTCTCCAGGGAGCCAGCTCTGGGTTCCTTTTCCTACATCGGCTCCTCCAGGGTGTCTCCTCCCACCCTGGGTAGATACTCCCCTTGCAACACAGAGGAAGCTTCATACCCTTGGCAGCCAGGGAAGGTGCTCTGCTCCAAACTGCCCAAGGCTGATCTTGCATTTGAATGATCTAATGAGGAAGCAGAAGGCTTAGGTGCCTCTCCCCCAGCCACCATTCCCTTTAGGAAATGTAGTCTCATGGTTCTGATGGGAAAATCATGAAATTAAATATTGATATAATGAATTCCATTGCAGGAAGTAGTAATTTTACCAGTAGAAACTGTCATTTAATTATATATGCATACATGCAAAATAGTCAAAAAAGTAAGAGTCCATCAAATATTTAAAGATGTAAATTCTGATATTTTGATGTAAGTTATTAATTTTTTTCAGATAAACAGTAGAAGATACCATAAAAGTTTAGAAAATTTAGTGAAACAAATAAAAGTGATAAAAGTCTACTTATTTTCTTTCCCCCCTCTGTAAATTAGAAGATCACTATTATCTTATTTTAGTAAAACTCCGTCTCAGTTCCACTTTTGAAGAGAAGTTTGGGAACTTCTGATGTAATGGATAAACTACTAGACCCTAAGCAAAACCGTACTCTGTCTCACACTGAGATTCTGGTCAGTGTTCTGTTCTTAACAAGCCTGGTTGCTTTTGACAAAGTCTCAGCCCTGCTCCTGCCTGAAAAACGTTGCCCACACTCCTGGTCCCACGAACTACTAGCAGTGAGATTCAAGCTAAGTTGTCAGTTGCCTGGGAGGGACAGGAGAGATTTAATTGGAAGGAGAATTGTCCGGCAAATATTGTTTAATGATGGCAGAATAGAAACCAGTAGGCAAAAAGGCAAACTGTGGTGCTGATCATGAGCCAGAGCAACAGCTTTCAGGAGCTGATTTTGCACTGAAGTACCTGAGAAGAGAGCCTGAATTTCAAGCTCGAAGAGGAAGAAAAAGGCTTGAGACAACCCCATCAGTGCAGAAAACAAAACTCAGTGGGGAGAGAGGGGAGAGCAAGAGCAGAGAAGGAAGTTCCTAGTCTTGGGTCAGTTTTAATGACTTCCTCTAGACAAACTGAAGGACAAAAGAAGGAAGGCCCAAGCTAGCAGCGGAAAGAAGAACCTTGCTGGGTGTGAAGGGTGGCAGGGCACGGCAGAGTACCACTCAGGGCAAGACATGTGAGCAGATGCCACTGAGAGGTAGAGGAAACAGAACCCCATACCGAAATAGCATGGCACATTCATTCACTAGAAGGCTGTCCCAGGATAATGCCTGAAATTAGAACAAAATATAACATCAGGCCAAAGACATGGATGCTGTGGTGGAAAGAGGTTGGGCAGTGTTGTCCACAACAGACCTGGGTTGCAGCCCCAACTTCAGCATTTTATATCTGAGAGAGGACAAATTGCTTAAAACCACTCAGCTTCCTCATCTGCAAAATGCTGATGATAATCACCTCTCGAAGGTTTCTTATGAAGTTTGAGATCACATATACAAAGAACCTATGAAGATTCCTGTCACATAGTGAATATTGAATAAAGGGTAGTTATTAGCATCTTGTTTTGAATGAAATGGTGGCTGTGTGGAGGCTCCTTTTATGTCTGAACATCTCCGTAGGGAAGGAAACAGGAGAGTTGAAGGTAGATCTACCTGGGCCTATGAGGGAGGAGTCTGGGGAGAACATCAAGATAAACTGCTTAGTTATTCCATGTGGATACTGAGGGGCTGGCTGGCTAGATGCAGAATGCAGCCAGCTTGGACTTCATGGGCCACCAGCAGGGACACTGCGTTAGCACACAACCCGCCCATTAACCTCTTGGACAATGGAAAGTAGGGTGTGGGATCAGACCTCCAAAGGCAGGCTGTGAAAAGCCAGCAGTGAAGAAGCAGGTGCGGTGAACATAGTTCCGGCCTACATCCCCATGGGCAGCCTGAGAGCTCACAAGAGCTAGATGCAAAACATCCAATGCAGAGAGAAATGGAGAGGACAATGAAAGGAAGACTACAGGAGGAAGATTTGTAGCCAGGTCGGGGGTGGAACAGAAAAGCAAGCTAGAAATAAGCATCTGGCACAGGGTGAGATCAGCAACTTTTGATCTTTTACCTGTTAAAAGGTGATTTATGGTCTAAGAGAGTGAAGGTTGAAGGCAGAATTCGCCAGAAACACTCCCTGATGACTGTCTCCATGCAGGTCCAGGAGGAAAAAGAGCCCATGGAGGATGAGGGCACTGCCCTTGGGTGAGTGGTGGGCACAGATGCAGTGAGCCCCAGGGCAGCCGATCTGTGTCTGAGTTTACCATCTGCCTCTTACTAGCTGTATGACCCATTCTTAAGTCATTTCCCTGCTCCAGGTTGCAGCCTCCTGGCTACCCAATGAAAGAATGGAGCCAGAATATCATCTCTAAACATTAAAAAAAGACACCCCTTTTGGAGCAATACCAGAATCTCCTGTGCTCTCCCCTCCCCAGTTGGGCACATGGTCCTTTTCAATAACCCCCACCCCTAGCTGGATCATCACCCTGGCCCTTTCCAAAGCTGACGGTTGGTTGTTCCATGAAGTGAGAGGGACATGTATTCCCAGGAGAGCAAAAATAAGAAAGGTGGAAAGAGAAGCAGAGGGGCTCAGTGCAGATTCTGATGTGGGTGCTGCTCTGGAAGAAATGGTCCAATAGCAAAAGCTGAAGGCAGGGTGGGAACAGGCAAGCTCTGGGATCGTCCAGCTCCTGAGCTTGAAGGAGTGTGACTTAGGGAGCCTGGAGCAGGACAGGCCACCCTATGCGGATGGCTGATTTCCCAAAGGAGACTCCCTGGGGACACACCATGTTGCTTTCCAGCTCGGAGGAAATAAGATCTTAGAAGCTGTGCCTCGAGGTTGTTTCCTGACTATCTGAACGGGCAGCCCTGGACAATCTGTGACCAGCCCCTGAGTCCTTAAATTGGTGGTGCTTCTTGCCTCAGCCACTTCCTATTTTAACTTCCTTGAATCTCCCTGCTAATTTCCCTCTTCGTGCTACTATGCATATGCAACTTGATAATTTCTTGTGAAGTAGGTACTAAAATATAAAGAGGCAATGCTGGCTAGTGTTTAAGAAACAAAACCAAAAGCAGATTCTGGAGCCACACTGCCAAATACACACGCTGGAGCCAGATAAGCTTGCTAGCTGTGTGTCTTTTGTAGGTTACTTGACCTCTCTGTGCTTCATTTCCTCATGTGAAGCGTGGTTAATAATCCTCCCAGTCTCACAGGATTGTAAGAAGTAAATGAGTTAATAAGTATGGAGTGCTAGAAGAGTGCTGGTATGAAGCAAGCACTTCGTACTGCATTAGTTCTTATTATTTTCCAATTTGTCACATTTCCCCCAACTGTCCTTTCTCATTATTCTTGAGCGCACACAATAAAGCGACTGTAGAGTCAGCAGTAACAAACCTGAGGTGTTCCCACCTCCTTCTTTCTTCTACTTCTGCCCCAATTTGAAAAGGACTGTTGGTCATTATGTCTTAATCAGTTCTGTAATTTCATCACCTGTTTCTAACTGATTTATTTTTTCAGAAAAAGGAGTGCCAAGGGTACAAAAAAAATTAGTTAGAAACAATGAATAAGACCTACAATTTAGTAGCACAAGAAGGTGATGATAGTCAATAATAATTTAATTGTACGTTTCAAAATAACTAAAAGAGTATAATTGGATTATTTGTAACACAAAGGATAAATGCTTGAGGGGATGGATATCCCATTCTCCATGATTGGATTATTACACATTGCATGCCTGTATCAAAACATCTCATATACCCCATAAATATAGGCATCTACTATGTACCCACAAAAATTAAAAATTAAAATTGAATAAAAAGAAAAAGGAATGCCAGTGAACTGAACTTGGGAGAATACTGGGAATGGGAAGGTCTCTCCTCCTCTCCCAGGTCTGTCTTCCTCTGGCTCTACCTTTTCTCTACTGGAGAGGTTCAGGTTTAAATTTCAAAGCTCGTTTTCAGATTGAGTTTTTGAATTAATCTATCAAAATCTGAGAGAGAAGGAAAGTGGTGAGTTTTTCATCCTTCTAAGCAGATGAAAACATAGCAAAGAAATCACAGCAAAGAAAACCATTTTGCAGAGTTCAATATCTCGATCTATAAGTAGTTGGAAGGTCTCAATGGCTGGCGCTTAAAAGGAGAATGAAATGAACATTTCTGTATTCCTATGGCTTTGTTTCACAAAATGCATCCAGTATTCTGGATTGGAAATGAGGTGGCAAGTAAAGCAGCACGTACTATCTTCTATTGTAATTGAATTTTATACCATATCTGCGGATGAGAAAGTATTGGAAAGGAGGAGATCATCATAAGATTTAAAATTCAAGCTCATGAGCTAAAAATGTTTTCACCCAGGTTTTGATTTGTTTTGTTTTGTTTTAATTTTGTAACATCAAGGGATTTTCTTTTTACCTATCAAATAGCAAATACTTCCTGTCTGGGTCCTTTCAACTTTGCAACTGCACTTAACCTTTTGTAGTCAGACTCAAAAGTCCCTTAACCAAGGGAAAGTCAACCTAACCACACCCCAGAACAGGAAAAATAAAAGACATATTATTGTGTGAGACACTTTCTTTGAGGCAACGTGTCTGTTGCGATCAATTATTTCATTTATTCATCATGAGCTGGAGACAGTCATGGACCTTGTTTACAGGAAGTTCTTTAGAAATGAGCTTTCCTAGCTTAACTGAACTTACAGCAAATCGTGTCACTCAGAACTCCACCTGTATTATTTTCTTTCATTTTTACCTGACCAGGTAAAGGGGGATAGGGTGGGGACCCTCTGAAAACCACATGCTTTTCTCAAGAATTTCTGCCGGTCCAAAAACAGATGGCAGAAATGGCATAAACATGCCTTTGGATTGTAGGCAATGTCTTGTGTCTTCTGCACACTCTGTGGCTACTTCTAGTGTAGTGTTGACCCTGTGTGATCTGTTCACCTGTCAGGCTTCTCACTAGATCTTGAGCCCCTTGAAACCTGGGTCCAGGTCTTATTCACCTTTTATACCCTCGGTGTCTAGCATGTTGTTAGAGCTTACTAAATTATAATAGTATTACTTTTTTATGCCCCATCCCATTCTGCCAGAGAACTTAAGAGATTCATACACATCCTTGTTGAATTAACAAATGTTCTTGAATCACATGTACTTTGATACCGAGAAGGCAAAAATCAGTCTAGGCACACCTTGATGAAACGGCAGAGATGACTCACCTCCCAACTGGGGGCGGGAGTGGGTGGGGAGAGAGCATTTGTGGAGTCATAGGATGATGGAGGCCTCTCCGGCAGGAGGCTTTACCGAGATTCCCTGTTATCCCTGTTTGTGTAATTCCCCCTCTGACTTTACATGAACCCAGACAGTTGTCTGGCATCGTCCGTGTCTGTTACACAACCAAAATGTGTTTTCTTGTAAGCTTTTCATTTCCCTTAGCAAACAGGTTTTGGCTTCCATACCTTAAAAAATAAAAATTAGGAGAAGCCTTATGGAAGAGCTATATGCATATATATAGTAAAAATATCGTTACTAAGGACCGGCATGGGGAGCCCCACCATGAAGATGAGGAAATGGGAGCCCAGAGGTAGTCGTCCTGGCTTAGGTCAGCCAGGGTCCCAGCCCCTGAGAGAGAATTGGATGTACCACGTCTGCTTGATCGGCTTGGCCCACTATACCTCATTGTTCTTTGGAGAACTCTTTCCTATTGAACTGAAGATGTGGGATCCCTAGCCAGAAGGAACAGTTCGCTGTGAATCAATTTATCCCATCACTTCGGCCCACAGGGAGAATGCTGGGTGGGATGCCACAGTTCCATGATGGAGCCTCAGCGTCTTCTGCAACAAAGGATGAATTTCAGAGTGACCACAGGAAAACAATACTGCTTTTGTTGTGGAAAATGTCCTCTAATTTTCCTCCTGGTTGTGGTTGCTGCAAAGGCTGTTTGTTCATGCAAGTGTTTATAGCATGCCTTTGCACTTTGTCAGGGGAAACTGGCCTTCCATCCTGCCATCTTGCAACACGACTTCTGAGTGTATTTCACTGATCCTAATAATAGACACTGTGGCAACCACCTGTACTTAAGGTCATTGTCTCATGGGTTTCACTCTAATGCTCTACTTCCTGGTGTCATAGTCAAGCTCTGAATGGGCACACCCCTTCCCAACTACATGAAAATATGTCATTAAGAAAACAAACAAAACAACTGGCTTCTCCATGAAAACCTCATGACTGACACTCCGTGAAGTATAGTGTTGATAAACCTGTTGTTCGTCCTCCCTAAGCGTGAGCTTGGTAGATGTCCACTACCTTAATCACCAGGCAATCTGAAGGAAAGTATTTTCTGTTATCGTTAAGCTTATTCATGAAACGTGGAGTGCGTTTATGCTTACATCACGCCAACTGGATTCAGTCGCAAGGACTGTAATTCAGACAATCCAGTCCTACAGGTCATCGGGACATATTTCTTTCAGGCACGATACCTATTTACACATTTGATACCTGACTTGTAACACACACTATATTCTTGAATAATAGAAACAAAGATGAGGAAAGCCCCAAGCGATACAGCACCGAGAACACTCTGGGCTTCTTGGGTTTGGTCACTATATTCCTTTCCCTTTTATTAGCTTCACCGTCCAAGTTGCTTAATCTCTTTTGGTTTGGTTGGTTCATCTATAGACTGGGGGTTGATAGTAGCATATTACCTACAGCCCACTTGACTGATGATATTTTATCACTGATGATATTTTAAGACTCCTTAAGGTCTCGTTCTTCCCTGCAGGTTTTTTTTAATTGATTCAAATGAAGGGCCCTTTCACTGCCACTGAGATTAAGTACAGTTGAATATAATCGGCCTCCACCTTTATTACCCCCACCTCCCTGCCAGTCCTGCTCCTGTTCAGGAATAAGTCAGGTGGCATTGGATGGTAATATATCATCAATTAAGCATCATCAGGTGAGCTCTCATGTCAAGATTCTTGGGTTCGAAATTTTATCCAATGATCTAAGTTAGATGGGCATAACCAATTCAGAGTGATCTTATCATGATCCAAATTATTTGTGCAGGTTCTTGGAAGTAGCAAGCATCCCTCTTTGTGCTGGGTTCCAACATATAGGAGCAGAAACCTTCAAACCATATTGTCCTTCCTCCTTATGCCTGCTTAGGGTTAAATAATTGTCTGATTGTAAGTTGTTTTCAGCACAGCTGGGCAAGTGGTTTTAAGAGATTTTAGAGATGAAACTTTGAAAACAATAACAACCAAAAGAAATGACTGTCGGGGATATATTTTATGATCATCTGCAAATAGTTACCACATAGAACGTGTCGTTAATAAACTGAATTACCCAACAGTCTTCCTTGCTGGATGTGCTCTGTTTCCTGCATGTGCGTCTGTTTTTATCACAGCTTGGCATCATTTTTAAAACATCTGGGCCCTGACAAAGGGGATTTGAGTACAAAAGAATTCTACGTAAAGTAAAACAACAACTTTCTCTCCTCTTTAATGTTCCCCTCCCCCATCTTGTTAGCTCCCCAAACTGTGGAAGGAGAGGCTTAAATCCAGACCCCCACATTCTGTGATTCCTACCCTAGAAAGTGCCCCCACCCCCCACACACACCTCTTTGGCTTAGCTGTGTTCTTTCTGTCTACTGAAGTTAGGTTTGGGTCTCACTTCCTTTACCTTTGAGTTTTTCCAAACTTTGATCACAACCCAGTCCACACAAACACACACACATTCACACAGTGTAATGTATTTAACAAATACTTACAGTATGTTCCGGGCACTGTTTTAAGCCCCTTAAAAATATTAACCCACTAAACCCTCATAACCCTACGTGGGAGAACCTATTATCCCCACTTCATAGATGAAGACACTGAGTAGCAAAGGTTTAAGTACATTCCCCAAGGTCAGTGCTAGTAAAAGTAGCATCATTTTGAACCCAGATATGGATTGTACTCTGGTCTGGTCTATTCTAGTCTAGTCTAGTCTAGTCTAGTCTATGACTCTGTTCTATTTTTTTTGAGACGGAGTCTTGCTCTGTCGCCCAGGCTGGAGTGCAGTGGCGTGATCTCGGCTCACTGCAAGCTCCGCCTCCCGGGTTCACGCCATTCTCCTGCCTCAGCCTCCTGAGTAGCTGGGACTACAGGCTCCCGCCACCACGCCCGGCTAAGTTTTTGTATTTTTAGTAGAGACAGGGTCTCACCGTGTGAGCCAGGATGGTCTCGATCTCCTGACCTCGTGATCCGCCTGCCTCGGCCTCCCAAAATGCTGGGATTACAGGCGTGAGCCACCGCACCCGGCCGAGTCTGTTCTATTTCTTTACATAAATGTTGATCTGGGTACACTAAGTTCCTTCAGTGTCATGAAAAACAGAAACGTATCACTTTATCTTTGCCATCATTGCAGTCTGATAGCACAGAATAAGTTGTATCACTAATTTGGCCTTTGTCAATGCTGTGATTATTTATCTTTGTGGATATTTAACACAGTGACTCTGGTAAAGACTGTATGGCTTGAACGTTGGTTAATATATTGGTGTCAATTGTTAAATGACTGTCTTTTGCGGGCTTCAGGGTCAGATCACACCCTTGTGGATGAGGGTAATGGTTATCATGAGTAGTGGGGGAGACCAGACCTTAATATTGGGGCAGAGGATAAAGCCTCGGAGAAAAAGGTCCTTATTTGGGACAGAGCTGTGATTTCTTCCTTTTTTGAGCTGGAGATGTGTTTGATCTGGACTTCACAGCTTAAAGAAGCCAGGGGTGGGTTCTGTGGTGGAAGGAGCTTTCTCTGGCTTACGTGATGGTCATTTGGGAGTGAAACAAGAAATCAGACAGTGAGAGACCAGGGGATGGATCTGGGTTTTGAATCAGCTAAATAGGCCTGGGCCTCCATGCCTGGGAAGTCCTCTCTCTCAAGACCCTAGTAGGGATACATTCTTGCAATAGAGACCCCAGGATATTCTTTAACGTAGTCCTTAATGAGTGTCCTAGGTTGGCACAGGGCTGTGCCCTACCCTGAAGGAAACTATTCTGGCACCTGGGTTCCTTCCTGGAGTTTATTCCATTGCCATGGATCTCAAAACGTGTGGTTCCTCAGAGCCAAAGCTATTTTGTAACAAGACTAAGACATTATTTGCGTTTTTTTCACTTCCTTTGTCCCATGAGTGTAGAGTTTTCTGGAGCCTAAGTTTTAGGTAATATTGCAACAGACTGAATGCATTAAGTGGATTATGAGAATCTTGCTATTTTCTTTTTTTTTTTTTTTTTTTTGAGTCTCACTCTGTCACCCAGGCTGGAGTGCAGTGGCGTGATCTTGGCTCACTGCAAGCTCCGCCTTCTGGGTTCACGCCATTCTCCTGCCTCAGCCTCCTGAGTAGCTGGGACTACAGGCGCCCGCCACCACGCCCAGCTAATTTTTTATATTTTTAGTAGAGACAGGGTTTCACCGTGTTAACCAGGATGGTCTCGATCTCCTGACCTCGTGATCCGCCCGCCTCAGCCTCCCGAGGTGCTGGGATTACAGGCGTGAGCCACCACGCCCGGCTGAGAATCTTGCTATTTTCTATTAAGCCAGACTTTAAAGACATTTGCAAAAACCGTGAACCAATGCCCCTGTCCTCACTAAGTTTATTTGCTAGAAACATAGTTGTTATTAATATTAACATATAAAATATTAAAATATTAATTAAAATGGTACTGATATTAACATGTAGTGGCTTTAAAATTATTTTAGTGAATTAATAAATATATATTATTAAATTCTCAGTTTTAATTTCTAATATAGTAAGTTTTACTAGAAATGACTTATATAAACAAAAATGTTGAAATCATTAATAGTTTTTAAGAGGGGAGAGAAGTCTTGAGACCAAGAAGTTTTAAAACAGCTGTGTTAGGGCACTGTTGTCTGAATGGTCCAATCTGGTTCACTACCATGACTGGATGAAGATAGCAGGAAGAAAGAAGAGAAGGGTTCTTTTCTATTTGTGCCTTTCTATATGGCTTCTTGAGCTTTGTGACATCATGGTGGCTAGGTAGCAAAAAAAAAAAAAAAAAAAAAAGAATTCCCACAGTGAACAATTCCAAGTGGATAAGGCCCAGTATGCGAGCACTTACCAAGCCTCTGCTACTCACATGACCATTTCCAGAGTCAACGTGGGAGGGAAATACACAAAGGCATGCATCCCAGGAGGAGTGATTCATTGGGTGCCACCAAAATAATAATCTACCTCAAGTGGATTTAGATAGAAAATTATACTTTTATTTTTGTAAAAAGAGGCTATTCTGAGCTATATGGATCATAAATCATATGTAATACCACATAGTCCATCTTTTACTTATGAGAAGTTGGGCACATATTGAATAATTTTTACCTGGAATACCAATTTTATTATAAAACAGTATTAAAATAATAGCAATTAAATTATTTAATCAATCAACTTTATTGCAAAGAATAAAATGACCTGAAATTGATTTCTTCTGAGATAAGTTATGAATTCTGTCCCCCTGATTAGACAGTGGCAGGGACTCCATCTCATACTTTTTTCCAACATTTAGGGTTACAGTAAGATGACATTTGAATTTGAAGATACATCTAAGATAAGTTCACGTTCTGAAATAAAAACTTGCAAAAATCAATACCTAAACGATGCCATCAGGCTGGTGGGTTGGAATTTGTGAATGTGTTGCTGATGATTAGGGTGCATCGTCTGAATCCTGTCCTGGAGACCAGAATATTTATGCAATACAATTCAGGCAACTAGCCTATTTGTTCTGGAAAATATAAGTGATTATAAAGATGCAGGTTGCAATCTACTTAATAGTATGATGACAAATATAATGGCAGCAAGGATGCTTTGAAGAACTGACTGTAAGGGAAATGAAGGTTAAAAAACTGTTACTGTAGTGACACACTGTTTATATCAGTTATTTCTTCCTTTTTATTGCTGAATAGTATTCTACTGTGTGGATGAAATATGATTTGTTTATCCACTTACAAGTTGAATGACCTTGTGTTGTTTCCAACTTTTTGGTGACTATGAATCAAGCTTCTGTGAACATTTGCCTTTGTATAGACGTATTTTCGTTTTGCTGGGGGTAAATGCATATGAGTGGGGCTCCGGGGTCACATGGTGAGTATATATTTAACTTTACAAGAAGCTGGCAAACTGTTTTCCAAAGTGGTTGCACTGTTTTGCATTCCCACCAGCAATGTGTGGGAGTTCCAGTTGCTCTACATCTTTACCAGTACTCAATTTTGTCCATTTAAATTTTTTTTAGCCATTCTAATAATGTGAGTTATTGTGGTTTTAACTGGCATTTCCCTAATAACAAATGATTTTGAGCGTTTTTGTGTATGCTGAGTTCCTATCTCTGTATTTTCTTTAGTGAATTGTCTGTTCAAATGTTTTGCCCATTTTTGATGTTGGGATTTTTGTTTTTCTATTGTTGAGTTTAGAGAATTCTTGATAAATTCTGGATGCATGTTCTTTATCAGGTATGTGTTGCAAGTATTTTCTTCTAGTCTGTGGCTTTTCTTTACATTTTTTTCAACTGTGTTTCATTTTTGATAGAATCTAATTTATAATTTTTCTTTTATGAAGCTTGCTTTTTGTGTTCTAAGAAATTTTATCTGCCAAGGTCAGAAAGATTTTCCATTTTTTTCTAGAGGTTTTATAGTTTTAGATGCCAGGTGTGGGTTGGGTTTTTTGCTTTGTTTTGCATATGGATGTTTCATCACTATTTGTTGAAAAGATTAAGCTTTATCTATTCAATTGCCTTGGCACCTTTGTTGAAATTGGGACTTTTGTAGATTTATTTATGGACTCTCTCCTGTTCCATTAATCTACATGTCTGGCTTCTTGCCAGTATCACACTATCTTGATTACAGTATAGTAAAGATTTATAGTAAATCTTGAAATCAGGTTTTATGAGTCCTCCAACGTTTTTTTTTTCAAGATTGTTTTGACTATTCTAGGTTTTTTTCTTTCAGTTGAATATTGGTTAAGTTATTCCCTCTAAACCTCAAGTTTCTCAGCTTTAACAAGTGGATAATAATAGTACCTACACCATAGAATTATTGGAAAAGCTTAAATTTTGTAATCCATTTAGTAACGTACCTGTCATGAGTTAATATTTCAAGAACTGTTAGCTATTATTTATCATTCTGTAGTTTGCATGACAGCTTTTCTACTATCTGAAACCTTGCACAGTAATATCCCCTTATCTGAGCTTTCACTTTGCATGCTTTCAGTTACCCAAGGTAGACTACAGTGAGAACTTGAGAGACAGAGAGAGAGAAAGAAGAAGAGACAGTACATCCATATAACTTTTATTGTAGTGCATTGTTATAATTGCTCTGTTTTATTATTCATCATTATTGTTCATCTTTTATTGTGCCTAATTTATAAATTAAACTTTATCATATGTATGTATACATGGGAAAGAACATAGTACATTATATATGGGAATCAAGTACTATCCTCAGTTTCAGGCAACCACTGGAGTTACTAGAACATATCCCTCACAGATAATGGGGGACTACTGCACCTTGCTTTATTCTACAACATGCACACACCTGCTGGAATAGTTTTTTTTGTGTGCGTGTGTGTGTGTGTGTATGTATGTGTGTAGGTTCAGCTACTGTAAAAAGTATTTTGGAATAACTGTTTGTTTAGTCAAGGAATTGAAATATAAATTTGAAAGGAGCATCCCAACATGGAAATATTTCTTGCATATCTCACTTTAGTAAGGGAATAATACTGTAAAACAATGAAGATTAATAAAAGATGCTATTGACTTTCTGAGTAGAGGAAGAAACAGCATACAGAACAGGAGGAAGATTGTTTAGAGTCAGATCCCAATAAATTTGTGTCTTGATTTGCAGCTTCTTAGCTATAAAACCTTAAATGCACTCTGTTGTAGTCACTTTTTTTTCTGAGGTGGGGTCTCACTGTGTTGCCCGGGCTGGAGTGCAATGGCACAATCATAGCTCACTGCAGCCTCGAACTTCTGGGCTCAAGCCATCCTTCTGTCACAGCCTCCCAAGTAGCTAGGACTATAGATGCATACCACCATGCCTTTCTACTTTTTTAAACTTTTATTTTCTTATTTTTAAATTTTTGTAGAGATGGGATCGTGCTTCGTTGGCCAGGCTGTGCAATTTTCTCATCTACATAGTGTCTCACAGTAGTTACAGTGAAGATAAGCAAGGTAGTAGCTGTGAAAGTGCTTTGTAAAGTATAACATGCTAAACCTATGGCTCCCAAATGTGTGCTGGGGTGTGCTAGAGTGCTACAGTGAAGTCACAGGGAGGTAGTGGGATATTTTAAATTTTCTTGGGAAGCACAATAATATCTGTTGGACCTTGCATGATATTTGGCCATAACTACTTAATAAATGAAAATGTTAGCCTATATTTTGGTTTAGGGTCCTGTAAAAAAAAATTACTGAGTTGTTAAGCATAAATGAATGAGAAAGCTTGGGAAGCTCCATGATAAACACCTGTTTCATAAAAGCCATAGAGTGTCAGTGTCTGGCATATATGTGAGTTATTTTTTTGTGGTTTTGTTACTTCATAATCTTTGATGTGCTTTTTTTTTTATATAAAGGGTCTTAGAACCCATCTCAGGAAATTTCATTTCCAGAAGAAGTATTGGGACAAGTTTGTAGCACCATCAAACATATACATGGCTTGATGGATGGCCGCCCCCATCCTCACTACTCTCCTCCACAAACACACAGAGAGATCCTATAGGCTAAGTGCTCTCCATGTATTAGCTCACTTAGTATCTGCCACATCTCTAGAGAGGACATTTCAACACTGTTATAGATGAAGAAACAGCTTGAAAAGGTTTTGGGACCCCAGTCCCTTGTATACCCACATACCCACCATGTGGTCTGCTAAGGAAGTCAAGAACTGCAGCATAGAGAATCCTAAAGTATTGATGTAATCCTGTGTAATTTACCAATATATTTTTAAAGCCTCATTGTGATCCTTTTTTTAATTATTTGAGGAAAAGTTGTTGGTGAGGTTGAATGGAGCTTGCCTGTAATCATTCTTGAATTCGTAATAGCATGATCCTGTTTTCCTACATCCAATACTTGACTCTACCAAAATCTGTGTGCTGAAGAACCAAAAGCATTTATATAAAGAAAACCCCAGTTTTTGTAAGTGCAAAATGGTACATGGATTTTTTTTTAATATATAAAAAATAAAAAGAGGGATAAGATGCCCATATAAAACTTTCGATCTCCTTTTTTCAAAGGAAAGTAATGAATTCATGATGTGGTAAGTTGCCTTCATTTCCATAAGACATATGGTTTCATAAACACAATTGGTGAAGCAAAGATGCTTGTTCAAAGGTTTCAGCCATGCAGCTTTTCAATGCCATAATGACTGGTTGATAATGAGAGACAGAATTTGCCAGGACTCGAATCCTCCTGAGTTTTGTGATATCAGCAAAGGAAGTCAATGGGGGTATGGCCTGGGATGGCCCCTGCTGTGCCTAAGTGCCTGTCATTCTCCCTCTCTAGGTACTCTGTTCTCCAGCTGGACTTAACCACCTGCAGTTATTCATACCAACATTCGCTCTTAGGTCTCTCTGCTTTTGTTGTTCTTTGTGTCCAGAGTCAGTGCTGTCCAAGAGAACTTTCTATGATGATAGAAATGTTCTAAATTTACATGGTCCAATACAATAAACACTAGCCACATGTGGTTATTGAGCACTTGGAATGTGGCTAGTGCAAATGAGAAACTAAAATTTGTATTTTATTTGATTTTAATTAATTTAAATATGCACAGTGGCTAGTAGCTATGGTACTGGACAGCATAGCTCAGATGTTTTTCATTTCCTTGCCTTTCTCCCCAACCTCTAGATCCTTACTGCCAGCTCACCTCCTACTCATTCTTCAAGACTTAAGAGTCAGTCTTTTGGGAAGCTTTCCCTAACCTTACTGCACCTTCTCCCTGTAAAGCCACATGCAGCATTCTATGGCCCCATCTTTGCAATCATAATAATATTTTTCATTGATTCCAGCAGCACTGTGATAAAGGTTTTATCCACCAGACTGAAAGTTCCATGAAGTTTTTGGACTGTATCTTTGAATCCCCAAGTATCCAATGCACTATACTGTAGCTGATCAGTACCTCCTTGTGGAATGAATATGGTTGGAGTTGTTGAGCCTTGCAGTTGTAAGATTCTATGACTAAGTAGGAGGGAGATTGTGGAATGTTGCACTGATACCATCAATGAATAAAAAAAGTTAATTGACTACCTGAAGGGGAATTGCTGACCCACCCAGAGAGTTGAGTATCGTTGGATGGCACCCTTTAAAGTGGTCATAATGGAGGCTACAATTTTTCTTAATATTGTTGAGGAGCTTAACATAGCTCTCTGCATTACTATGTCCAGTTATTTGCTCATTGTTGTCAATTGTGATCTAATTTTTTAATAAGTTTTATAAGTTTTACATATGAAAGCAGATGTCCTAGGAAGTGGCAAACCAATATTTCAGATTGGGAAAAATTGAAGAAACTACTTGAAGTTACTGCCTTCAGAAGTTTCCTTGGGTATCCGAAGCTCCTTACTACCTTTCCTTCTCTCTGGAAGTGAGAATTGAACAGGCTGGTCATTTTTCTCAGGCAAGGCTAAAAACATACAAAAGAGTAGTTTGCATGCAGTTTTACACCATCTCCCAAGGCCATCCAGGCTCGGTTTTTTTCTACTTGATCGTGACAATGTAAGCCATTTTCTTTATTTGTTTTCTTTTGTTTGTTTCCCTTAGAATATTTAGAGATACTAAGTCTTTGATCCTCTTATCCTAAAGACTTACGTCTAGTCCTTCAGTACCAATATGGATTTCTAAATCCAGTGTGAAGAAGTGACAAAGCCCATTTTAAGTAGTAAAACAAAAATATTTTTCTGAAACAAAATAATGATAGCCAATAATAATAAAACTCGTACCTTCTTTATCAGGTTGTGCACCTCACTCATTTTGCTTCACGTAGGGGAGCAGGGGAGAGGAAATTTCCATGCCTTAGAAGTTTAATATGTGGTTCATTGGTATGTGAGGCACAAATTCAGACAGCATGCCACAATACTTAGCATTTGGTAAGATGTTCTTAGGCTAGACTAATAGGTTTGGACTCCTGACACTCAATTAAAATCATGTATATTTAGTTTATAATTAGCAAGTTTTAAGTTGCCTTTATTTCCTAAAAAATATTATATCCAGACATTGTGAAAGTCTTTCAAATGGTTTTACTTAGTAACAAAGAGTTTTTAGTTAAAAATATTAACATTCAAATTAGTCACACAGCAAGTGGATGACAAAAGATAAAACAGCAATCTTGTTCAAGGAACAGTTTCAAGTTAACCAGGCTGAGCAAGACACACTTGAATGGAGTTGACAATTGATTCCAAACTTCCAAGTGGAGTTCCAGGGACATAAAACCGGCACTGTCATTGGCACTCTGAGTCATTCGGGCACACAGGAGAAAAACTGGCTCAGCAGCATGTCCCATGTGACTCAGCCTGGTGGTAGGATTTAGTCAATGAGGAGGTGATTCTTCAATTGGAAATGTCAGCAATGGAAAAGTCTGCTTCTAGTGATATCAATTAAGCAATAAACTAATTTCACTGATTTTTCACTATATATGTTTCTAAGTCACACAAATCTGATCTACTCCTTTAACTTTTAAAACGTTTTAGTGGCCTATCACCAACTATGTATTGAGTAGACCAATTCATTAGTTCATTTATTCATTCAGCAAATAAAAACTGATCATTTGCTGTCAGCCTGGCACTGTTTCAGGTACTGGACTAAACCAATAATTAAAATTAAGTCCCTGCTTTCATGGAGCTTACATTTCAGTGGGGCAGATGACAATAAACAAATAAACAACAAACACTTATAGCTTGTCTAGTGTTGATATCTGCTAAGAAGAAAAATAAAGTGAGTTAAAAGGATAGAAAGAAATTGGGGGTGATGTCTTAGTCCATTTAGTGTTGCTATAAGGGAATAGCCAAGGTTGGGTAAAATAAAAAGAAAAAAGATTTATTTGGCTCATGTTTCTTCAGGCTGTATGAGAAGCACGGCACCAGCATCTTTTTCTGGTGAGGACTTCAGGCTGCTTCCACTCATGGTTGAAGATGAAGGAGAGCCAGCATGTGTGGAGATCACATGGTGAGAGTGGAAGCAAGAGAGAGGGGAGGGAGGTGCCAGGTTATTCTTAATATCAGTTCTCAAGGGAACTTATAGAGTGAGAACTCACTGACTACAGTGAGGATGGCACCAAGCCATTCATGAGGGAACCAATCTCATGACTCAAATGCCTCACTATAGGACCAACATTGGGGATAAAATTTTATGAGGCTTGGGGTACAAACATAGAAAGTGTAGCAGCT
The DNA here is from genome assembly GCF_000001405.40 of Homo sapiens. NCBI lineage: Eukaryota > Metazoa > Chordata > Mammalia > Primates > Hominidae > Homo > Homo sapiens. The sequence continues at coordinate 105,769,268 of NC_000006.12, read as the reverse complement.
GGTTTTTTTATTTAGGATGGTCAGGGAAAGTCTTTCTGATTAGGTGAAGTTTGGGCAGAGGCCCAAGGAAGAAAGGGCACAAGTCAAATGGGATTATCTAAGGGAAGATTTTTCTAGGCAGAGGGAACAGCAAATGCAAAAAGCCTGTAATGAAGGAAAGACTTAGAGTATTTGAGAAACAGAAAGGAAATCAGGGAGATCAGAGGCAGATGTGGGGCTAGGGAAGTAGACTGGAAGCAGAGAAATGGGAGGCCGTTACAGTGGCCCAGTGGAGACAACAAAGTGGGCAAGGAGGGGACAACTGTGAGAAATTGATTTTGCAGAGGAGGCCAGAGCCAGATCATTTGCTCTGAGTGAAAAGGAAAGGCCACTGAAAGTTTCTGAACAGAGGATTGATCTAACTTGCTTTAACACTTCTCTCTGGCTGCCGCAAGAGAAGAAGTTGTTGGTGCAAAGATACATAGGAGCAGAGAGTACAGTTGGGAAGCTAAAGTAAGGCCTAGAGACTTCGATGGCCTGGATGAGGGTGATAGAGGTAAGAGATGAGTAGTGACTGGATTCTGGGTTTAGCTTGAAGGTGAGACCTTCAGGATTTGCTGAAGGATTTGATATAAGATGTACTATACATGGTAAAGTCAAGGACCATTTGAAGACTTTGGCCTGAGCAACTGGAAAGATAGTGGTAGAACTGCCGTTTGCTGAGATGAATGAGACTGAAGGAAGTGAAAGCTTTCCCTTATTTTGGGTAAGAGTAGAGAATCAAATGTGCAGTTGTGAACATTTTAAGTCTGGAGCTTCTATTAGATGACTAGATGAAGATATCCAGTTGGAAGACAGACACATGAATCTGGATGGTAGCAGTGTGGCCAATGTTGGAGATATAAATTGGAAGCCGTAAGTTATAGACAGGTATATAAAGCCATGGGACTAGAAGATGTCCCTGAGCGGGTGAATATAGATGGAAGAGAAGGGGTCTGAGGACTGAATTCTAGGAAGAATGACAAAGTGGTCTGAGAAGGACTGGCCAGGGAGGTGGGAGGAGACCAAAAGAGAAGGTGCCCTAACAAAGTGAAGAAGGCCAAGAAAGAAGGGATGGGGCATGTCCAGTGCTGCTGAGAGATAAGTCAGAACAAGGCAGAAGAGTGAACATTAGCTTTGGCATATGGGTGGCCACTGCTGACTGTGATGAGAGGTTTTTAATGAATGGTGCTGATGAGAGCCTGGTGAAAATGGGCTGAAGAATGTGGGAGGGGAGTAAATGGAGTCACTGTACATAGAAGATTGTTTTAAGAAATTTTCCTGTGAAGGGGAGCAAAGGAATATGGCAATGGGCTGCAGAGGTACGTGGCAGTCAAGGAAAGTTGTCATACTGGCACAATTCAATGCTTATGGCAAATGAACACTGATCTTTTAGAGAAAGATGACATTTGCAGTTGAGAACAATGTTAATAGTGCTCTGTGAAAGAGGAAGGTGGTTGGAGAAAAGTATCTTCATGAATGACATAGTCACTACGTTTTCTTTGTTCATACTGTTTTTGTTTGAACAATTGAACCATTGTTTCACTTTGCCTTTTGTAACACAACAGCAGCATACATTGAAAAATGCTTACTGTGCACAGGAAATGTGCTAGTTTATTTTACTTGATTTATATGATAATGTTATGGAGTACCGATTTTTGCTTTCCTACTTCACTGAGGCCAGAAGAGGTTATTTGTTGTATCCAAGATCCCACAACTGAGATTTGAACTCAGATGATTTTGACCATAGGATTTGAACTCTTGACAACTACATGTTTATTTCCACCTCTCCTTGTACCTGGATTAAGATGAAACTTGAACCTTTTGTGTATTACTTACACATTATTTGTCCATATTGTTATGTACCTTTAGTAGTTCCTGTTCCTAAGGCCACCTCTTCTTGGTGGCTTGCTCATGTGGTAGATCATGTGTTCCCTGGCTTATCTCAAGGGAAAGGTACAACAAGCTGAGGAATGTGACAGATGCTTTCAAAGCTCCTGGTAATCCCCAACAAACCTGGATTATTCAAAAGCTTCATTACAGAAATAAAAGAATATAGTGGGTAGGGAGGGGAAGTACATTGTGTTTTCCAGAAGAAAATCCAAGAGACAAAATATACTAACTGGTCTTCTCTATGCACCAATGAAATAAGAGATTGAAAAAACATATAAGCCGGGTGCAGTGGCTCACGCCTGTAATCTCAGCACTTTGGGAGGCTGAGGTGGGCAGATCACCTGAGGTCAGGAATTCAAAACCAGCGTGACCAACATGGCGAAACCCCATCTCTACTATAAATACAAAAATTAGCTGGGCATGCTGGCATTTGCCTGTAATCCCACATACTCAGGAGCCTGAGGCATGAGAATCGCTTGAACCCGGGAGGCAGAGGTTGCAGTGAGCCGAGATCGCACCATTGCACTCCAGCCTGGGAATTAGAGCAAGACTCCGTCTAAAAAATATATATAGATAGATGATAGATAGATAGATAGATAGATAGATAGATAGATAGATAGATAGATAGATAGAGAGAGAACAAGAGAATATAAGGAAATTAGGAATAATACATCAAAACATGATATAATCCAGTGTTAAAAATGTCCTGCTTATAGGAAAAAGAAGTATTCTTCATTCGATTTAGTCGGTAAAATTTTTCCATCTTTAGAAGGAAATTAGACACAATAAAGTAAAGAAATTGGTTCAGTTAAATTCAGGTGTTCTTTTGGGTTGACCAAATACAGAAAAGAGGTAGAAACAGGGCTAACCCCACTTCACTTCAACCAAGACTGCATGTCTTGCAAAATAGCTGATCCTTAGAACTTTACCTTTGCTGTTAGTTAACTGGATGCCTCTTAAAGATGTGATTAATACTAAAGACTTGTCTGTGTACATTTCATTTATAAGGGAGGAAGGAATAAAAGAGTTGCAAATAGAAGATATCGGACTTGCCTTGATTTCTTTTTCACTCTTGCTTATGAGATTATTTAAGTCTAAGTTAAAGTTTTAGTCTAAAGGGACCTCCAAATTATAGATGATAAACAATTTGAGTCTCTTGATTGAAAAGTATCAGAGCAGGGCACAATGATTTATAATCTGATTAAAGAGAGAAAAATGTGTTACTACTGTCTGCTCAGATATTTCAGGTTTGGATTGCTGAGTGGTATCACAGATATTTACAGGTTAATCATTGGATTAAATACCCTATCCTTGTCCCAGTAATTCTTTAGGTCTTGTTTTGACTATGATGCTTCTTTTGTTTTTTTAAACTTGAGACTTGGCAGCTGATAATCTTCAGATTCTAAAACTACTGTATCTCACTTCTTTGAAATTGCCAGCATTCCTGTGTGATCTCTTCCCCTCCTCATTAGGAGGAAACAGATACAAGGTATCTTCAACTTCTTCTTCATAGTAGCTAGCACCTTCCCTCCATCCCACCAAAAACCACATATATCCTTAACTACTGCTACTGCAACATCCTTTTCCTCTACAATCAAGGATGACCTGCATCAACTTTTTTTTTATTTGATAGAAGCAGTAAAGGATTCATGGATTTCTCAAGCACCTATATAATGATATACATAAAACCAAGCTTCTAAATCCTGTGAACTTCCATGACTAAGTGGCCTAGCTGCACAGGCTTAGGACAGTTGTATGCTGGAAATGGAATTATATAGGCTAGATTCATTTTTGTTTTCCATTTTACTTTCTAAAAACAAACACAAAAGCAACAATGCAAGGAAATGGCAAATGGGGACTTTGCCACTAGAGAGACACCTGTAAATTGATGTGGTTAATAGTGGGTGTATGGGCAGTAGGCAGTTGGGCCCTAGGGAGCATCATTGTGCTTTCAGAAGAATATCTGAGTCCAGCCATCCACCTCACCATTTGTTTGCAATTATATATCTGGAGTAAGTGATGTTTGGGATTGGTTTTGCATGAGTAGAAATGTTGTGTTCTGGTAAGAATTGGGAGCTTGTGTCTGGAATCAGTAAACTTTGCAAGTGAGGGAAACAGGGACACTGAAGCATTGCTACCTGTGCAGATCACAGATCTACCTGTTGTAGATGCAGAAGGTAGCGTGCAAGTGGACTACAAATCAAACTTTTTGTTTTTGTCAAAGGTCATAGAAAGCCACAGTGAAGGGAATGCTTATTTGCGGAAGAGCTATTTTGTGTTACCAAAACCCTTTTGTATGATGGATTTATTAGTCTTCTGCTACTCAAATATAATAGCTTAGCGTCCCTAAATTTCCATACCCTTTCTCAAAGGGTCTGCTCTCACAGCTCTGTCTGAGCAGCACATATGTCCTTTCCTTCTGAACCAATAAGATGCTTGGATCCTGGAATTTGGACCTGAAACCCAGAGAATGTCCTCAGTCTCAGATGGGTAATATCAGGGCAATGGGGTGGCTATATCAGAATTCAGTTGTGTGTATGTGGAGATACTGAGCAGGAAAAGTCAGCTGAAGTTGGAGAGAGACAGAAACAGAGAGAATGAAAGAAAGAGGGAATAGAAATGAGGCATAGAGAAAACTGGGCCAGCCTGAGAAGGAACCAGACTGCTCTATGCGTAGTAAAAAATAATGGGTAAAATGAGGTGGCAGATAATGAAGTCTTTCACCTATAGTCCCTCATAAAATTGGTGAATTCAGGATGGATTCTTCTTGCATGAAAGTGAACAGCATTTACTCTGTGAATGCAGACCTATTTTTGAAGAGTACAATGTGCTGATGCATCACAATTTGTCTTTGAAGATTTACACCTCTTTTTTTTTTTGAATGATTTAAAACTTGTCTGCAAATTCTTTGACCCTCCTCCCTCAGAGAAGCAAGGCTTGGGTTCCATCTGCTGAAATTAGAATGTGCTTGGGACTGCTTTAACCAACAAAGCATGGTGGAAGTGATTCTGTGTGACTCCTAGGGCTTGGATATAAAAGGTATTGCATCTTCTGACTGGTTCTTCTGGGATGCTCACTTTGAGGAAGACAGTTGCCATGAAAGAAGTCTGTCTGTTCTGAGACTGCCACGCTGGAGAGGCCACATGTAGATTCTCTAATTGACAGCTCTAGCTGAACTCTCAGCCAACAGCCAACGTCAACTCCAGCCACATGAATGAACTGTCTTGGATGTCCAGTCTTCAGATCACAGCAGCCCCATCCAACATCTGTCCACAACCACATGAGAAATCCCAAGCAAGAACTCTCCAGCCACCCTTCTCAAATTCCTGACCCACAAAACCATGAACAAGAGAGAAGCAATGGCTATTGACCATGCAACCAACACTGTCTAACTCAGATTGCTTGACTAAAGAGAATGTCTCCTTCTTGCTATCACCAAAGATGGTCTAGTAGGCAAATTTCTCCTTCTTTGTGCTGGAGACTTGGCTGGATATGACATTGGCTAAGATGGTCAAGGTTTTTTTTTTTTTTTTTTTTTATGGCTGTCTCTGTATGGATTAGCTAACACCTCTCATTTCTGTGCCACCAGTTGAACTCTGAATTCCCATTTGTCTTTCTACAAGTTAATGACATGAATCACAGTGTTTGTGTGGGGGCAGGGTGGGAGAACTGGTGAGAGTGCATATGGGCCAGTGCAAGTCATCACCGCAACTGGGAAGACTCAGACAAATTCTTCATGACAGTGCTGGGAACAGTCAGAGGAAAGGAGGAAGAGGAAAAGAGAAAAAAGGGTAATGGAGGCTTGGCTGATTGTGTGCCAACCACCTGGGTCTTCAGGGGAAGTGGGAATTCCAAAGCCTCTCAGACTTAAACACATGACTTCTTTGAGACAATCACTTCATTGGTGCCCAGGTGAATCAGATCGTAGCTCCAGGCATGCTATTTCATGAACTTTTTCTGATTCATGGAATCAATTATGTTGCCTTTTAATGTACCATTTGGGAGTTTAATGTTAAATTGACTGCCATCTAGATTTAGTCAAAATGAAACAATTTATATCAGAAAGGTATCATCCAAAAAGTATGCTCTCTATTCATTCTTCTAGATTTAGGCTCCCACATGTACAAATCTGCAGGGGCCAGTCCAATATGGCAATTGCAGGAAGCTTCCTGACAGAGACCATGATGCACAAATGACCCTTCTCAGGAGTCAGTGGCTGCTCAAGGCCAGCCAAAGGCTATGCAGAAAGTGATTTCAATTTGTCAAAAAAAAATGTAGTCTTTTTTTAAATTATTATACTTTAAGTTCTGGGATACGTGTGCAGAACATGCAGGTTTGTTACATAGGTGTACATGTGCCATGGTGGTTTGCTGCACCCAACAACCCCTCATCTACATTGGGTATTTCTCCTAATGCTATCCCTCCCCTAGCCCCCTACTCCCCAACATGCCCTGGTGTGTGATGTTCCCCTCCCTGTGTCCATGTGTTCTCATTGTTCAACTCCCACTTATGAGTGAGAATATGTGGTGTTTGGTTTTCTGTTCCTGTGTTGGTTTGCTGAGAATGATGTTTTCCAGCTTCATCCAGGCTTCAGAAGGTGGGTAATAACAAACTCCTCCAAGCTAAAGGAGCATGTTCTAACCCAGTGCAAGGAAGCTAAGAACCTTGATAAAAGGTTACAGGAACTGCTAACTAGAATAACCAGTTTAAAGAAGAACATAAATGACCTGGTGGAGCTGAAAGACGCAGCCTGAGAACTTTGTGAAACATACACAAGTATCAATAGCCGAATCGATCAAATGGAAGAAAGGATATCAGAGATTGAAGATCAACTTAATGAAATAAAATGTGAAGACAAGATTAGAGAAAAAAGAATGAAAAGGAAAATGCAGTCTTTTAAATGAAACTTGAAACTGGATTCTTATGTAAAATCTGAATCTTAAATATTGACAATGGATTAAAATTGTTATGAAACACCCTGTGTGTCCAATCCAGCCTGCAGCAGTCTGTTTGCAGCCAGTTTGAATCCTTTTTGGATTCTTTAAATTGTATTCCTGCATCAAGAAAGCTTACTAGAAAAAAATATACCAAGACTATATAGCTTGACTCCTTATAGAAATCTTCATTGAACTTTGTTTTAATTTGATGTCCTTGACTTCTATCCAAGATCAAAGTCCATTTTGCTATGAAACATTCTTATATGAAGATATACATGGAAATGTTTACTGGAAGTGAGTAGGGAAAAGAACTCTGTCTTTCCAGATGAACTTGTGTGCTTCCTTTCATCAGATAATTAAAACTGTGTAACTCATTATGTTTACTCATTTGGCTTAACTTCTAAGAAGCTCAGAGTTAAATATAGTGCTCAAACAAACATATTCCATGTTTCTGGTTCTATAAGCTTTTACTTTTCTTTAATACCAAATGGTTTCTAGGTTTCCTGCAATATATATGTAACTTACCAATTTCTCACGTCTTCATGCCATTGAAAGGTCTAATCCTATTTGGGACATGTGTGGGATATGCATATGTCACATTCATGTACACAGACATATTTTACATAGGAAACCACATTTTATATCGCATGCAACATATTTGTGAGTCCCATACCCTCTTTACTATTTCACAGTACTCCTCCATCTTGCTTTTTAAAAAATAAGTGCAATAAAATATTAAGGGGGAAATTTTTTTTGCCAAGTTCTATCTGGCTGTCTGGCTACTCAGTTATCTTAGAGATATTATTTTGGGCATCTTGAACTCCTGGCCTCAAGCAATCCCCCTGCTTTGGCCTCCCAAAGTGCTGGGATTATAGGCATGAACCACCATGCCCAGTCTAGAAATATTCTTTTAGACATCTAAGGTGTGCCTTAAGAAAAAATTTTCCCATACCTCAAACATTATGAAATTACAGATTTATAATTTCAAAAAAATTTATAATTTTATCACCCAGTGATTACTACCATGAACAAATTTTATTTCCTCCCATATCTTATCTCACTATATATTTACTATATATTAGATATATATACTGTTTTTATTATATATGTGTACATTTATATATCACATAATATTTTAAATAAAATTTATAATTAGATGTTTCTTCTTACTGTTACATTGAAGATTTTCTCATAACAACATTAAAAAAAGATTTTATATATTTTTATAATAAACAGTTGTGTGAGTATACCTTAATTAATTTAGCCCTTCATGAGAGAATGTAAACGAAAAGAAAAAAAAACCCAAAAAACAGAAAAACAAAAATTAACGTAGCCCATATTGTTAGACATTTGAGTTATTTGCCATTTTTCAACATTTAATCAATGCGACTCTGAATGTAAATATTTATGTACCTCTCACAATTTTTCCTGGAATAAATTCCTAGCAGTAGACTTATGGGGGTCAAAGTACATACCTTTAAAAAATATATTGGCAAATTACTTTCCCTAATGGTGGTGTTACTGGAATCAGTACATGTGTGCCTGCCTCCTGACACCAGTCAAAGAAGAGATTATCACATAAAAATGTTTCATTCATGCAGTACATTAAAAAATAGGTCCTTATTATTTTATATTGCACCTCTTTGATTATAAATGAGGTCAGGGCCTTGTTTGTTTTGTTTGAGTCTTCACATTTGTATTTCTTCTTTTACAAACTATATTTGTACTCTTTTGCCCATTTTTAAAATTGCAGTGTTAGTTTTCTTTAATGCCTTTAAAAAAAGACATGTGGACTAGACATTATTCTGTGACTGTTATACTTCTCTGGAATATCTGAAAAATCTCAAACTTTGTACCAAATGTTTCCAGACTAAACTCTACCGGCCCCTTCCACCCAATTACATACAAATCTGTAGTTTATTGAAAGGGAAATTGTACTGCTTTGTAACTCTCACTGTCTCTTGCCAAAGTTCAGTTCCATAAATTGGTAGACACTGACATGAGATCCACACTTTTTTTTTTCACCCCCTCTGAGACAATAAGAACTTTGATTTCCCTACCAAATAGAGCTTAATGCTGCTTCATGCAAGAAATCTCATCTCCATCAATTCAGTTTTCCAAGTGGGACTTTCCTGATGGGGCTTTCTTGAGTCTTACTCATTCTTTTCTTTCCTGGCCACCCCACCCCCTTCCTCTAGTAAGTTAGAGTTCTCTTTCCAGAAATATCAATCAAGTGGGTATAATTTTTCAGTGCTTCCTACTCCAGTGACGTAAAACACCCACAGAAATTTTCTGCTAATCCTGAGTAACACAAACAACAGTATGCCAACAATGCTCTTGAGGCCAGATCATGCAAGTCAGAATGCACACACGCCGGGAAGAAGACCGTGGTTGTGGGATGCATGTTCTTAAGGAGCAATGAGACAGCTTTTGCTTTTCTTTGGATGGGCTCAAGCCTCATATATGTCATTATTTAAAGAAATCAAAGATACTTTGTTTGACTGGGGAGGGCTGGAATTTGTGTCTCAAAATAGCTACAGTTTACTCGGAATTTATCATTCCAAAGAAGCAATTTGTGCAAACTACAGTAGTAAAACAGGGTACAGTTTTCTTTCAACTTCATTATGTGCATGTTAGCTTTTGTTATTGTATTTACATAAGGCATTTCCTTTGAAACACTGTCTATTTGGCAAAAGTGGGAAAAGCGAAACATATTTAGGTCTCATTGCTGTCTCTGTTTAGCTCTGAGAGGGACATGAAGGGGCACAGAGTTTGCTGTAGCCTTTTCTGGGCTAGCCTTCACTGGAGCAACATGGCCAAGGGCTCTGGACTGAAGACCCCAATAGAAATTCTCAGAGGGCTTCCTGGCCTCATGGAGGTCTTGTGAAGGACCCTACTTTATTGAGTTGTGTCCTGAAAGTTATCAGAAAGACTGCAAAAGGATAAAATGAACCTGAGTTTATTTCAAAGAGTAAATGAATCCACCCAATCCCCCTGATTCCATGAATATTGAGGGGTGCAACCTACCTTAGCCCCAACCTATACGTACTTTCCACCTCCCAGAGCTAAAAGGCTCCCAGAAACATATATCCTAGGTACTTGATCCAAGGCATGCCTCTCAAAAATTCAAGATAGAGGCAGGAAGAAACCATTCTGGTTATTCTGGTTAAGGAGGGGCCGGAGTTCCCTGAAATAACCTGATTGTAGGCTGCTCACAGCATGGGTGAGCCATCACTGTGTGTGGACCTGGAAGAGGAAGGTGGGGGCAGGGAACCAGGTAGTACATTCAAGAGGTCTTCTCTGAGCCACCCATATTGAGGTTTGTTATTTCTATTGGGCATCTGTTGGTTTGGACTCTTGGTTGAAGGTGACCAAACCAAAAAAGACAAAGCAAAACACTCAAATTAGCTTAAGCAATAGAAGTAATTAATTAGTTAATATAACTAAACAGTCCAAAAGTAGAACTAGTTTCTGACATGGCTAGAATCAAAAGCTTAAACACGATTCATTTTTGGCTCCATCTTTTTAAAAGTCTTTCTCCCTGGTGAGTATGAGGGCCAGAGGCTGCTTAAGCTTCCCAGTTTCACAACCTCAGGAGGAAGACAGCTTCTTTCTCCAAGAGAGAAAGATGAGGAGGACTGGGGAAAACTGAGGCTTGGCCCAACTCAGATCAGCCATCTGTCTATCCTTTAACCAAATGGAGGAGACCTACATCCTACATAACAAGTCCATTCCTAAGTAGGGGAGTAGGGTCCCCCCAGGAATAAGAGGTTTCTATTGTCACAGATTCTGTATCACATACCAGGGCTTGTTGGGGGGTGGGGGTAAGAGGAGGGAGAGCATTAGGACAAGTACCTAATGCATGCAGGGCTTAAAACCTAGATGATGGGTTGATAGGTGCAGGAAACCACCATGGCACATGTGTATCTATGTAACAAACCTGCATGTTTTGCACATGTATCCCAGAACTTAAAGTAAAATAGAAAAAGAAAAAAAAAAGAAGATTCTGTTGCTAGAAGAACCAAAGCCATTACAATCTGCTTATTGATGGTGTGCTGGCAGAAACACTAGGCTTATCGTCAGAAAACCTGTCTCCGCTCTGCCTCTATTTTGCTATTACCTGGGGCAAGACAGTTCTCTAAGCCCTAGACTCCTTAGCTTTCCAGTGAAGACAAGAATAAGCACATGATCATTTCACTGGGACCGCTGTGTGAAGGATACAGAAACAATGCAAATGTAAGGGGTTATTATTAATATTATGATCTCTTTCCGGTCCCTGGACCTGGCTTTTGCCAGATCATCTGTTTACTTGTTCCTAGGGCAAATTTAATTTGCAAGGTTCTAAAAGGGAAGGTGATTGCTCAATGTTCAAATTAAAGAGCTGCCTTCAACCTACCCAGGTGTGCAGGCAGGACATCTGCCTCCCACCTGCTTCACCCAAGTGATGCAAAGAAGAGTGTGTTGGTTTCGGCTTCCTAATCATGATCATGGAGACACTAAGAAGTGTCTCTGTCATGCAGCTTCACTCTGAAATGTTGGGCTTCTATTCGTGGACTCTTTTGAAAGCTGTCTTTGACTCCTGAAAACCAAAGCACTTGAAACATTCATTTTTTTTTTATCTCTAAAAATGGAATAGGACGACTGGCACTTGTCCTAAAGCCCCAGCCACACCTGCTGTTTATCCTGCATTCACGCAGTGATGACTCTCCCCTAGAGTTCATGGCATTTCCTTTGACACATCAAAGTGAAACTCCTAGAAGACAGAAACAACATGTCTATTGTTAGAGGAGGAGTAAATACCCCATTTCAAGGTGAAAACCACACCACCATGTTGATTTTTTTTTGAAGTCCTAATACCTTAGTTGGCTAGATTTCAGGGTTAGGAACCAGTGAATGGACATTGGTGAAAGTGCAAGCTGTCATTCTGGTAAAGTCACCCCCTTGGAAAGGAGTGTTATAAAAATATTTCAAAGAGGAGAACAGACCAACTAAATTCACAAAATCTTTCCCAAAGGAATTACTTGTCTCCACATCCAACTGGTCACTAGGTTCCCTGAACCCTGGATTTTCCATTAAGCGTAACCTCTTCTTTTCCTCCCTACAACCTTAATTCTGGCACGTTCATTTCCCATCTGGACCTTCCCTCCTAACTCATTTCTAGTGCCTTCTCTTTTCCAATCTGTCTTCTCTCCAAACTTCCTTCCTCTCAGCCTTATCCATGTAAATGCACACTGAGTTAGGATGATATGTCCTTGGGAACTTTTTTTTTTTTTTGAGACAGGGTCTAACTCTGTTGTCCAGGCTGTATTGCAATGGTGTGATCTCAGCTTACTGTAGCCTCCGCCTCCCAGGCTCAAGCAATCCTCCCATCTCAGCCTCTGGAGTAGCTGGGACTATGGGCATGCACCATCACACCTGGCTACTTTTTGTATTTTTTGTAGAGATGGTGTTTCGCCAGGTTGCCCAGGCATTAACCTCTCTCTGCCTTAGTTTCCTTAGTACTTAGTTCAAAGGATTATGTGAGAATTCAGTTAATATATGTAAAGGGCTTAGAATAGTGTTTGGCCTATAGGAAGCTCTAATTAGGGGTTGGCTGCATGAGTGTTACCTATTATCACCTAATCATGTTCCTGGCAGGCTGCTGCTTAAAACTCCCACCACTTTCTGGTCAAGGCAGATGTAGCTTTTGTACATGGCAGGCATCTCCTCAGGACCTGGCGCTGCAGCCTCTTCTCTCACACCCGCCCCCAGGCACTCTGGCCTCTAGTGTCCAACTACGTGTCCCACCCATGTGGTTTCTTCTACCTTCCCTCCATCCCCAATTGGAACTCCTTCCGATTCTTCAAGGCTGTGCACTGGTGATTCCTCCTCTGAACTTCTCCAGGGGAGACAAGTATGTCTTTTTTGGTGCTTTCTTCATTGAGTATAACTACTGTTTATTGGATGTCTAGAATAGGCCTGGGACTTTACATACATCATGTCATTTAATTCTCACAACAGAAACATCATTCCTATGATACAGATGAGAAAACTGAGGCTCACAGAGCTGACATTACTAGTTTGAGAAAGCAGTGGTACCAGGATTAAAACCCTGGTCTGATTCTGGACTCCATAGTCATTTGACTACGCGCTATGCTCCTTTCCGGTGTGGCTGTTAGTTTTTGTGTACCTCTCCTCTGAATCTCTGAGCTGCCTCCATGCCACAAACAACATCCTTGAGAGCTCCCTCCCTGCTCATGGAGGAGTCTGTGTCCCAATAAAAGTGCCTGTGCACTACACTTCCTTGACTCGGTAAATCCTCTCTACCCTCCTCCACCCCCACGGTGAGCAGGTGCACTCATTTCTGTCCTTCCATTTCTGAATCACCAGCTGGATTTTTCTTCTGTGTTGAAGACTCTTCTACCTGCCTTCTAACTTTGATTCCCTGAAGGTCATGGTCTTTTGGCTCATGTATGGGAGTAGAGAGTTACCCTGGCTGAAGTACCGAGTACATCCTACCTCAACTGTTTCTTTGGGCACCACCCTGCAGCTCTGGCTGGTGTCTCTGCCTCCCTAAAAGGGAGAAGGGAATCGACGGCAGACTTCTTGCAGGCAGAGATTGCGCCATGGATGCAGAGTGTGTAGCCCAATATCTGGCACACAGTAGTCACTCAATAAATATGGCTGAGAAAATAGATGATTGGAAGAAGCAATGGTAACCAGTTAATAGTGTACATTAGATGAAAATCAAAGTTAAGGAATTGGCTCCTCAGAAAGGCAAAAAGATGACTGTTTCTCCATTTTGCTTCTAATAAGAGACCTATCGGGGTGTTGCATGGAGTGGGGTGGGTACAGAGGCTCTGGATAATTGTTCTTTGAAGAATGGATTGAGACCCTCTCTAGCACTATTATTGACCTACAACTTAACCAAGACAGCAGCAGCTCCTCTATCCAGCCAGACTGGAGCCGAAGTTTCTTCCCTCCTGATGAACCTTTCTCTCAATTATTCATTTACTCTGCAGTCCACTAAAGCAGCAGTCCCCAACCTTTTTGGCACCAGGAACTAGTTTCGTGGAAGACAATTTTTCCATAGACTGGGGGAGGGGGAGGATGGTTTTGGGATGATTGAAATGCATTATATTTATTGTGTACTTTATTTCTATTATTGTTACATTGTAATATGTAATGAAATAATTATACAACTTACCATAATGTAGAATCAGTGGGAGCCCTGAGCTCATTTTCCTGCAACTAGATGGTCCCATCTGGGGGTGATGGGAGACAGTGACAGATCATCAGGCATTAGATTCTCATAAAGAGCATAAAACCTAGATCCCTCACATGCGCAGTTCACAATAGGGTTTGCACTCCTATGAGAATCTAATGCCACTGCTGATATGACAGGGGGCAGAGATCAAGCAGTAATGCAAGTGATGGGGAGCGGCTGTAAATGCAGATGAAGCTCTGCTCCCTCGCCTACTGCTCACCTCCTGCCGTGTGGCTCAGTTCCTAACAGGCCACAGAATGGTACTGGTCCATGGCCTGGGAAATGGGGACCCCTGCTCTAAAGTTTAACAACTTTTCTGTCTTGTATCAATCCCAAAATTAATAGAAAATATCTTTCTTCGAGAGAAAATGAGATAATGAATGTGAAACACTTAACATAGAACCTAGCACATATAGAATGTTCAATACATTGGCTTTGTTTTTCCTTTACTAAAAAATGTTAATACCAATTATGTCTGATTTTGGAAAATCCTTTTTGGGAAAATAAATTCTTCTTGAAAGCTAGCCAATTTCCTAAGTAATGAAGTAGAACAAATGAAGAAGGTGGCCAGGTACTGTTTAAAGAGCTACATATAGGCTGGCCATGGTGGCTCACACCTGTAATCCTAACACTTTGGGAGGCCGAGGTGGGCGGATCACCTGAGGTCAGGAGTTCGAGACCAGCCTGGCCAACATGGGGAAACTGTGTCTCTACTAAAAATATAAAAATTAGCTGGGCGTGGTGGTGCATGCCTGTAATCCCAATTACTCAGGTGGCTGAGGCAGGAGAATCGCTTGAACCTGGGAGGCAGAGGTTGCAGTGAGCTGAGATCGCGCCATTGCACTCCAGCCTGGGGAACAAGAGTGAAAATTCATCTCAAAAAAAAAAAAAAAAAAGGAGCTACATATAAACTATAAATAAAATCAAGCCTTTGTGAAAGGAAGTTAATGTATTTTTTTCACTATAGTTGTGTATGGAAACCTTACATCCTTCAGCTTTACTGAGGAATATAGACTACTGGGGTTAATTTCTCTGAACTCTTCAGACCTTTACCCTTGTCTAGAGGAGGTGGGCCTTGGTGCAGATGAATATTGGCATTAGCTGCCTTGTGCCTACAAGGGCGATTTCCCCATCCCATGTCTTTGTGGCTTGCAGACTATTCTAAACTCCATCTGGTCCCACCTGGGGCTTTCTCTAGAGCTGACATCCTTAGGCCCTCATGGTTCCTTCACAAAAAGAAGCCCCCGATGGTTCCTTCACAAAAAGAAGCCCCCGGCCCCCGTCTCACAGTATTTCCCTTTCAGTCTATGAGAAAATTAGTATTTGTTGCTTTCCCTGGCTTTCTTGGATTAGCATTTGCAGGCCTTTCCAGGCTTAAGGAAACTTGGCAGGAATGTTTGGCAGCTTCCTAAGCTTACTAGAAATACCAGAAGCCCACAGTCTGCATAATGCTAATTAAGTTTTCAGCTCGGTCTCCAAGTTCTTATAGTGTTTAGAGGATCGAGTAACTTAGGAAGTGTCCCATATAGAAATTGACCAGAGAAGACAAGAATCCCCATCCACCAATAAAACAATAAAACTCTGGCAGGCGTGCCCTACATCTGCAAAGGAGAAGGGGTCTTTTTTATTTCTTTACTTATCTTCCCTTGCAGTGAAAATCCTGCCAGCATCACATCATTTTCCGGTATCACCTCCTGTGGTGCCTGTATTGATTTTTCTGCCTCGCCTTTGGAAGTGTTTGGTTTGTGCTCAGCCATCACACTCAATGGGTGTGGTTCTCTTGTGTTCTGCCATGCCTCAGGGGTGTGGTGAGGTAGGGTGCCTGTGCCAAGTGGCTTCACCCGCCCAAGGTGTGGTGATATCGCCTATTCTTACCACATCTCGGAGTATTTTATTGGTATCTTACTATAAGTCATCCGAAATGAAAACGTTTCATCTTGTGCTTCATACCTGCCTTTGACAAACTTCCAAATATTGGTTATTGTTGTGGGGCTCCTATTATGCATCAAGAATCAGGCTTTTCATTTTCAAGTTTTTATACTACTTACTACAATATCATGTAAGAAAAGAAAATGCCAAGAGAGGAGACCAAAGTGCAACAGAAGCACTGACCTTGCTTACCTTTACTTGAGAAATTCATCTATTTAGAGAGGGTTCAAGTTAGGAAATGGTCAATGTGCACTAAAACTTTGTGCTTAAGAATATCTGTTAGTAATTAATTATTCTGTAATTTGTCAGTTTTGAAGCAGGTACTGATTCCTGGTGTCCAGCCATGGCTAGAGTGTTAGGCACCAGTTCCCTTCTTTGAGCTCTAGAATTTCAGCGCCTACATGGATGGCAGCCACTGCTGCTTCAGTGTGCTTAGGCCTTGGCAAAAGGCTCGGGTCAGAGAGGTAGGTGGATGGGCCCAGCCTAACCCCTAAAGGAGTTCCAGGGAGCAGCCTGGCCTGTGCGTCGGGAAACAGCCTTGGAGTGTGCCTACTGTAATGTAAGAGTTAACTAGTTTTCAAAGGAGAGAAAACACAACAATAAAAGGATGTCACCAGTTCCTTTCTTGGAGTGGTTTTGGTTTTGTAGCTGAAAAGTCAAAACTAATGTGAGAATTCATCAAGGGTTAAGTGGTCAGTTACATGTCATGGATTATGAATTCAACAGGAAAAGAGAAGCCAATGTCAGGATGAGCTGGAATAGCTGGAGGAGGCTTCATGGAGGATGGCAGGCTGGAATTAGGCCAGAATGATGGGTACAGTTTGAGAAGACCCCATATGAGGGTGTTTAAATATTTGATTTGTTCCCATGTTTATTGCAGCACTGTTCACAATAGTCAAGATTTATTTATTTATTTATTTATTTATTTTTGAGATGGAGTCTCGCTCTGTTGCCCAGGCTAGAATGCAGTGGTGTAACCTCTGTTACACCAGTTGCCCAACCTGAAATGCAGCTCACTGTAACCTCCACCTCCCCGGATTCAAGCAATTCTCCTGCCTCAGCCTCCTGAGTAGCTGGGAGTACAGGCGCGCACCACCATGCCCAGCTAATTTTTGTATTTTTAGTAGAGACAGGGTTTCACCATGTTGGCCAGGATGGTCGCGATCTGTTGACCTCGTGATCCACGCACCTCGGCCTCCCAAAGTGCTGGGATTACAGGCGTGAGCCACCGCACCCAGCTAATAGCCAAGATTTAGAAACAACTCAAGTGTCCATCAACAGACAAATGGATAAAGGAAGTGTGGTGCAGACACACAATGGAGTACTACTCAACCATAAAAAGGAATGAGATTCTGTCATTTGCAACAACATGGATGGAGCTGGAAATCATTATGTTAAGTGAAATAATCCAAGCACAGAAAGACAAACTTTGCATATACTTATTTGTAGGAGCTAAAAATTAAAACTGTTGAAATCATGGAGATAAAGAATAGAAGGATGGTTACCAGAGGATAGTGGGGAGGGGTGGCAGGGAAGCGGGGATGGTTAGTGGATACAAAAAAATGGTTTAAAAGAATGAATAAGATCTAGTAATTGATAGCACAATAGGGTGACTATAGTCAGTAATAATTTAATTGTACATTTAAAAATAACTAAGAGTATAATTGGATTGTTTGTGACACAAAGGATAAATGCTTAAGGTGATGGATACCTCATTTACCCCAAAGTGATTATTACACATTGTATGCCTGTATCAAAATATCCCATATACCCCATAAATACATACACCTACTATGTACTTGCAAAAATCAAAAATTAAAAAAGGATTCAATTTGCATACACAATGTTTGCTACAACAAACATTGCTTTGGATGTCGGGAGATACTGTAGAATAAAGAAGTAAGGTGTCTTGCCTTCCTACATTCAAGCTCTTTCCTGAGCTTCTTGTGAGAAGTTATTTACAGAGCACAAACTCGATTTAGGAGTAAAGTACATGCACCATATGAATAAGAGAACATTTATAAATTATTGCAGGGAGGTGGGGTTGCTGGAAACTAATATAAAGAAATTATCTCAGTTAAATGGGAGAAATCTGATGAGGATCAATTTTTTTCTCAGTTAAAGAATCCTTTCTTACAGGAATTGGCAAACTGCAGTTCTAGGACCCAATCAAGCCCTTTGATCATTTTATACAGTGTGCAAGCTAAGAATGGTTTCGATAGTTTTACATGGTTTAGAAAAACCAAAAGAATATTTCATCACAAGTGAAATAATATAAAATTCAAGTGTCAATATTCATAAGTAAAGTTTTGTTGGAACACCGCCACACCCATTTGTTTATGGATTGTCCACAATGGGCAGGCTAAGTAATTGCAACAGAAGGCATATGTGACACTCTCATCATTTTGCATCTGAAAACTGCAGTGACATGGTTAAACATCAACAGTGTTTTGGTGTCCCCCCCAAAGATGTGTAAGTCCTAACGCATGGTACCTGTGAACATGACCTTATTGGAAATATTATCTTTACAGAGGTGATCCAATTAAAATGAGGTTATTAGGGTGGGTTGTAATCCAGTATGACCTGTGTCCTTGTAAGAAGGGGAAATTTGGAGACAGACGCATAGGGAATATGATGTGAAGACACAGGGAAAAGGCCACCTAAAGCCAAGGAACACCGGAAGCCTCCAGAAATCAGAAGGGAAGCATGGGCTGGATCTTTCCTCACAGCCTGCAGAAAGAATCAATCCTGCTGATGCCTTCATTTTGGACTTCCAACCAAAGTCCAGAACCATGAGATGATAAATGTTTGTTGTTTAAGCCCCACAGTTTGCAGCTCTTTGTTATAGCAGCCCCAGGGACTCGTGCTCTTGCAGCCTCCCTGTCACTGGGAGACACCATGTGACAGTAAAACAAAGAGCTCAGCTTTGAAGACCAGAGCAGGTTCCTCCCCTGGGCTGGGTAGTCCTGACTCAGTGGGCAAGAATGACCAGTTGAAGTGTGCAGGAGCGGTTTTGCACGGTGCCTCTGTGGGACCCTGAGTGGCAACATTAGTGGTGGCCTGGCCAGCTCCAGTTCTCTGCATGATTTGGGGCTGCATATGTTCCTGGACTTCCTGATAATTTTCCTTGAATATTGCTCAAGAGGGAGTTACCTGGCTGGTTAACAGAGCAGGTTAAATTTAAAATTAAATAACAAAAAATAAATATCACTCTCTTTGTATTTCTAGCTTGGGAAATAGCTCATCTGGTTAAGCTTACAAGTGAGGAATTATCCACATGCAGGTTTTGAGATTGTGCAAACAGTATAGCCAATGAGAAGAAGTGACAAACAAAAAACCTAGATGTCAGGACTCCAACCCAGCCCAGACTCATCCTACCACACTGTGGGTTAGTTATGGGCTTTGAGCCAACTTACGTACAGTCACAAAGATGATCCTCATCAAAAGAGAATTTTATTGAATTTTTCTAGGAATTTCAATATTTGCAGAAATGTATTCATTTAGGAAAGTTTTAGGCATTTCAAAGCCTATTCCCAATTCAAATCATTTATTCACAAATTTAGCTCATTTTACTAGAACTCAGTAAATTTCTCTTGAGCACTGTTGGTGTTGACAGGCAATAAATACGGCTCTAATATTTTTCATCATTTTATTCTCAAAGTTGAGTTTCTCAGCATTGCATGGAGAGATGTTTGTGGCGGGTCTGCTACAAATATGAGGGAGCGTATCATTCTCAATTTCTATACCCTGTCTGCCCAGACAAGGAGGGTGTTCACCTCCATATTTGGAATGAATTTTAAAATACCAAAATGCCATTTCAATTAGCCATGATACCTCCACCAAATATTTATGAATATATTTTAATTTGAGCCATTTCTTGAATGTCACTCTGGTTGACAACTCAGCCATGGGTGGCTTTTCAGATTTCTTCTGCATATTTGGGCATATTCTGGGAAGCCTACCTGTTTGAAGCACTGAAAACAGCAAGACATCATTAACAGTATTTTTGAAAGCACCAAACTGAGGCTGGAGTGAACATGGCTGGGAATGTGTTGCTGGTTACACAGGACCTTCTGTATTCAGGAGAACAAGCAACCCTGGCAACAACACTAGCTCTAGCTTCATCGTGCCTGTTGTCATCACAAAACACGGGTAGTGAGGGTTTACCTTCTTCCAGGCCAAGGCAGGGCAGTGACGTGCTCTGGTGTTAGGTAATAACTTAGCCAAGCATGTCATGGATAAGTGTTTCCTTTTCTGATGTTCCTCCTCCTCTGCCCCCACCAGCATGACTTACTGAAGTGAAATCTAGGGGAAAGGGAACAGAGACAGTGGGCCCTCATTCAAGGTGACACATCGCAGAATCAGACCCCAGTCTCATGGCATCGCTCATGCATGAGGCAGAGTGGGTTGTGAGGTAAACAAATGAATGAGATAAGAAATACCCGACTCACAGGAAGGAGGCAGGATTGTAGTGGGAAACCAGCCTCCAGGAGATGGAGAAGATCTCATTCTGGTTTCAACATTGCTGAAGATGCTCTTGAGTAAATCTCTTTAGAGTTTGGGCTTATACTTCTTGTCTATAAACTGAAGGGCCTAGGTTCTGTGTTCTCCTAAGGTTCGCGTGTGTTTGCGTGTGTGTGTGTGTGTGTGTGTGTGTGTGTGTGTGTGTGTGAGAGAGAGAGAGAGGGAGAGAGAGAGAGATAAAATGTGTTGTAAGGGAAAGGGATGAGGGTGGTAGTGAACAGAGCAGTGAGTTCAAGCTCATTTTCCAAAAAATAATAGTGAAAAATGTGTGAACTACAGACAATTTGCCTGGCACTAGGCACTTTACATGGATTATTTAGTTTAGTCTGTAATTTCACAAAGGAAGTAGTGTTGTCACAATTTTACAGGTGAGGAAAATGAGGCTTAGAGAATGTATTAGTTAGTTAGGGTTCTTCAGAGAAACATAACCAATAGGTTCTCTCTCTCTCACCCTCTCACTCCCCCTGCCCCCCGCCCACCGGCCGTCTCCTCTTGAGAGAGAAATTTTAAAGAACTGGCTTATGCAATTATGGGGGTTGGCAGGTCTGAAATCTGCAGAAAAGGCCAGCTGGAGACCCAGGGAGGCATGTACATTGCAGCCTGAGTCTAGAGGCAGTATGGAAGCAGAATTCCTTCTTCCTCAGGGGACTGCAGTCTTTTTCCTCTTAAAGTCTTCAGCTGATTAGATGGGGCCCACCCACATTATGGAGGATAATCTGCTTTCTTCAAAATCTACTGATGTAAGTGTTAATCACATCTAAAAAATACCTTCAAAGAAATACCTTGACCAAATATCTGGGTGCCATGACATAGTCACATTAATACATAAAATTAACCATCACAGAGAAGTAAAGCCCATGCCAATTAGCTGTAAAATAGAACCAGGATTTGAACTCAGACAGCCCTACTCTTCCCTCCTGTGCCAGTTGCCAGGGTGGCTTTGTGCAAATCACCCAAGCGTCTACTCCCAGAGTCTCAGCAGTAAAATGACCACAAAATTTCTGCTTTGTAACCCATAGGCTAAATGTATGTGAAGGTCTTAGCATGGTGCAGGTAAATGTCAGTAACATTAAAATGTAGAGTCATTTCTTACCCCTGCCCAATTTAAAGTAATTTCCTTAGGAAAGTAAATTAGTATAACTATTTTTAGAGGGCAATTTGAAATTTTTTAAAAATATAAAAATGTGAATCCTCTATGATGCTACAGTTTGGCTTCTAGGAATTTCATTTTGCAAATAGATAAAGATATAATTACAAAGATGCCCTTCCAATATTGGTTGAAAGGCAAAAAAAGGAAACAATCTCAATATTAATAAGGGGACATAGTATGAACTGTGAATCCAGTCTATGAACTAATAGACAGTTACCTTGGAAAGGTGTTCAAGACACGTTATTAAGTGATAAGAACAATATGTGAAACAGTATCTTGGAATAGTTCTATTTTGATAAGAGAAAAAAACTATATATGTTTATATATTGATAAACATAGAAAAATACTGATGTATACATATTAAATTAGTGTCCCTGGAGAGTGAGATTAGAAGAAAAGAAGAACTGTCTCTTTGTGCATGCTCTCCATATTTCTACAATTCCCGAATGTGTTACAATGGGGTTTTCCATTTATTTAAAGATGCATTTAGTTTGTTACTAAATTACCTTTTCAAAAGATATTTATTTATTTAAATTTACAAATAAAAACTGTTTATTATGTACAACATGCTGTTAGGAAATAGGTATACATTGTAGAATGGCTAAATTGAGCTAATTAGCAATATGCATTATCTCATGTCTCTTTTTTTGTGGTGAGAACACTTAAAATCTACTCTCCTAGCAATTTACAGAAATACACTGTTATTAACTATATAAACACCTTGTTCTACAATAGATCTCTTGAACTTACATCTCTTATCTAACTGAAATTTCGTATCCTTTGAAAACATCTGCTGATCCCCCACCCCTTGTTACAAAATTACTGATTTCATTTTGAAATGAGTCAGCTAAACAGAATAGTTTGTTTTTGATCTTAGTCTATTTTATTTCATGTTACATTGACTGCTTCTCCTCCCAGCCCCTAACAGTGGGTCTATACTAATTTGCATAACTTTGATAAAACTTTTATTCAAGAAAAGAAGAACAAGTCTCATGTGGCTTGTGAGAAGATGAAACCACTGTGACTTATAGGGATATTTTGGGAAGACAACTCCTAAACTTGGTCAACAGACAGGATGGCACTCATAGGGAAGTCTGTCCTGGCACTTCTTGCCCTCTGTCTGGCAAAACCAGACCTGCAGAAAGGGGGTGGCCTTTAGGTTAAGGAAATTTCTTGCTGACACCTGGAGGGAAAAGTTTGTGCCAGTGACAGCTTACTGGGATACAAAACCCTCACAGGGGCTCTGTGGCTTTCTGTATTTTGAGGAAGTGCTTTAAGCAGACATGGGGGGAAGTAATTTAGCTAGGAATGTTAAGCTCTCCGAGGGAAAAATAAAGGTCCTTCAATAATTTTTTTAAAGAGTTATTGTTTCCCTTTGTAACACAGAGCTACTAGGATACCATGATGGTGCATGGTGGCATTTGCTAGTCACTCTCCACATAGCAAGGCACTTTGCATTCAAACTCAAAATAAGAATTTTTGCCAATAGCATTTAAAGGGAAATAAATTTTCACATTGCTCTGTTTTCCTGAGGGCAGGGGCTGCAGTCTCTTCTCTTTATTTTAGTACCCACCTCAACAGCACTTTGCAGCTGGTGTGGTGGGTACTCACTGGTAAACTAAACTAACTAATCTGCAGATCAGTCTCTCTAGAAAATATTTATGACTCATATTTGATCCTGATACTCCCTTGCTGAAACTCTTCAATGTCTTTTTCTTGCTATGAATATCAAGTCCAGAACTCAAAATGTGTCCTCCAAGGCCTCTCATGCTGGGCTGATGGTCATCTCCTTGTTCTGGTTCCACTATGCAGGTTCTTGATAGCCAGCCTCCCTTCGGAATGGCCAAGTCTGTGCCTTTCTAAATTGCTAAATGTTTAGAACATCACCCCTGCCTATGTGACCTGGCCCCTGCCCACCTCTCAGACTCATCTCTGGCTCACCGTCCATGTAGTCACACACTCTCTCTTTTTGGTTTCTTTGAATGTGCTGGGCTTCAGGACACCTTGGTTCCCACCCAATCTGTGTCTTCTACTGGGGAATCTTCCCAGTTTTGTTCACCTAGTAGTTAACTCTTTCTCATTCTTCTGATCTCAGTTGTAATCTCAAGGCTGTAGGTGGCTTTTCTGAATCCATACCCTGTGATTAAGTTAAGGATTACTTTGGTACACTCTTAAAGCACACTAGAGTTTCCCTTAAGTATTGATCATAACTTTGTTAAGATGATTATTTGGGTAATTGTTTATGGTAGGCTCCTAGAGGCTAGGAAACTCATCTTGCTCTGATAACACACATGTTTGCCACACAGAAGATTCTTAACTATTTGATGCAGTGAAAGAATAAATAAAAGGTAGGCTAAAGCAATGTGAATGATCAGTTTTTTTTTTCCTAAAACTATTCAGATTCTATAAAAACCCTTGTTGAAGAAGACCTCTGATTCAAATGTTTCATGCATACTCATTTCATCTGTGTTTGAAATGAGCCTCAGAGGTTTCTTAGCTCTTTTACAGCTGGACAGATCTACTTGAAAACAATTTTAAGGGATCTGCTTTGCTTTTTTTTTCTTTTGACATTCTTTTTGCCACAGTCTCCTGATTACATTTCTAATCTCTGGGTCATAATCAAGTGATGGCTGAGTTTCACCTACATATACACGTTCTATGAAAACCCACAAGAAACCTAAATGAAAGGAAAAGCTTATCAAATTTCTTTTAGGCTCTGTAGCCTAAGTTGTTTTAGACCCTAGGATTTAAGCATGCGCTAATTTGTCTGTTTTGTTTGATCAAATTATACTTTTATACTACATCAATTATACTTTTCTGGTTTTATTTGAACTAAAAATATTTTCCCACATGAAAGAGTCATTTTGAGTAATACTGTAACAAACCAAAGTTTGCCACGTACATCCTGAATGCTATTGCCAGTATTTCTTCTTGTTTTTATTTTAAATTTGTTTTTAATTAGCTTTGTGACCCATCAAATAGCCACTTCCATGAGTGAACCCTATACTGCACTTTCCTACCAACTACCAGCCGATTCATTCAACATTAATAGTCATGAAAAAACCCCTGCACGAAAACTTACAACAAGCTCCAAACACCCAAATAAAACTCCCCAAACCAAATAAGCAACACATAAATAATTTATTTTTTTCAGAATAGAAACACATTTTTCTTTTGGATAATATCAAGGTTCACTTTTAAAAGATGTATTCATTTTTTACGGTTCTCTTCAAATAGAAATGACTGTTCAATGCTGTGACACTGAATCACGAGATAAAATCAAATCTCCTAAGCAGATTTTCATGTCACCATATGTGGAATAAAGAATGATGGTGAGCAAGAGAGAAAAAAACATTCCTCTTAGAGTGGGACAAGAGAAGAGGACATACAAAATAACTAAAAGAGCAGAAAGTACCCTGAATGCTATAATTTAGGCTGTGGTGAAAGTAAATTTGGACTTCCCTGAGCCCTGTCAGTGGTAGAAAAAACATGCCAGGTTAGCAGGAGGAAGGAGATGCTCTCTGGTTGACCCTAAGGCAGGACCCCAACCCCCTCCCTAGAGATCACAGGATGCCCCCTCTCTTGGGGGAGATTCCCATAGTGAGTTACTCATTAGACTCCAACTGTTTCCAAGATTTGTGAGTGTGAGGACAGGAAACCCAGAAAGGTCTGCAGAAGTCTGGTCAATGTGGCTTCATTTGAGAAGGAAAGAGTCTTCTCATGGCCTCAACCCAAGGCTTTCTTCCACCGTGCCCCGTCCCAAATGGGCTGAGAGCCGTTATGGGACCTCTACCCTGCCTGAAAAAGAAATTCTACAAAACCAGTCAGAACTTGGGGCTTATCTTACTTCTGCTGTAAGAGTGTGCTTGAAATTGACATTCAGTTTAATTCCCTTAAAACCTTAAAAATAATGACAAGGGGCTTGCTGGAGTTCTCCTATTGCCATACTACTGATGTAAAGATCCACAGCTGGGCTTTCTTTTGCCCTTCGGAACAAGAAATCTTGTTTTCAGGCCATTCAAGTCACAGTAGACGTTTGGCTTTTGTTGTTTCTGCTTTGACTTGCTAAAGAGGTAATATACATGGTGAATGAGAGAGGAGAAATACTTCCAAGTTAAGGCTGGTGGTCCCAACATTGCTATTGTTGTGAGGGCTGAAGAAAATCATAGTTTTACTCTGTGATTTTTAAGGTCTGTAAATGAACCCATATATATTTTTCAGTTAGTCCAGGATAGAAGGGTTAAAGAAGGAAAAGTCCACTGGTTGGCCAGGAATAAGACAGGCCATCTTCTGTGGAGGAGCAGGTCTGGGAGTCTGGGGGAAGCATGAGCTTGATGCCTAGATCCATCTAAAACACAGAGGCCCAGTTCAGAGATGGTGCATGGTGGCATTCGCTGGTTACTCTCCACATAGCAAGGCACTTTGCATTCAAAGTCAAAATAAGAATTTTTGCCAATAGAGTTTAAAGGGAAATAAATGTTCACATTGCTCTGTTTTCAAAGTTTTAACTCAACCACTAATATCAGGATGCTTTTGGTTGTAAAGAAAGAAAACTCAACTTCAAGTAGCCTAAGCAATAAGGAACATTTTTAGCTCACATAACAAAACACCTGAAAGTTGAGCGGCTCCAGACTTGCTGAGTTTAGTGTTGAAATGATACCATCAAGGTCCCAGATTCACTCCACCTGTCCTCTCTGTAAATTGGCTTGTCTTTTAGCTGAATTCCTTCATGGCCCCAAGATGGCTGCTATTTTTTCAGCCTCAGCGCAGACAGCAACATCCAGAGGCGGCAAAAGGTTTGTTTCCTCTTGTGTGTCTTTTATTGTCGGTAACGAACACTTCTGCTGAGCTCCCAGTATACTTACGTCTCACTGTCAGAGGGCAGAAGGCACAGGGAGGGGTAGCCATTTAGTCGGCAACAAAAATCATTTGTCACAAAATCAGAGTCAGCACCCTAAGTGCAGGTAGGCTTTCCTAGGAGGGAGTGGTCTTCTGATATTCTTGATTATACACAATATTTTGGCTTCAACATCTTTCTGCTTTCACAAAAACGGTGAAGTGATTTCTTTTTTGAAAATGAAAACTGGGAAGAGATGGATTATTGAAACCACGGGTTTTAGGCTTTACCTTAGGTGATTCTCAAAGAAGGGCGGTGTCAGAGTTTCCTTCTGAAGGGTGTTGGAGAGCTCAGTGTTTAGAGATGTGGAGAAAATACCTATTATATCTTTTCCCTCTTAAATTTGTTGAATAATACAAGTAGAAGTCAGAGTTCTATTCTCTGACCTCTCTCCAAAGGAAAATGTAAAACACTCAAGATGTTTATCAAAGACTACAGGTAAATTGAGAAGACTGTGGGGAACTTAACTTCGGAGGGATCAACGCCTAAAGACAGGGAGGAACGCAGACCCTGTGGAATCTGTAGATGAGGCAGCTGTAGTCTCTTTAGGTGACTTATTTCAGGGTCTAGCCACTCCCAGCATCTCCTTCCACTGCAGATCTGCCAGGTTGCCCTTGTTTTGCCCTCAGAGGTGGATATTCATTGATGTCCATCTGCTATGTAATGATCCCAATTCTCAAAAATGAAAAGAAATGTTACTGTGAGAAAATCTCAAGGGGAGGAGAAAACAAGAGAGAACAGAAACCTCAAATCTGCTGGATATTTCAGAATCAGAAGAGGTTAGTAAGCAAAAGAAAACTGAGAACAAATTTAAAAGTTTTATTTCTCTATTTTAAAGTAAGAGAAAATGTTATTTGTGATTTTGGGGTAGAAGCTGAATGGCTAAAGAGAGAAAATAGAGTATAGGATCCTTTATTTTCCAAGTTTTGATTAGAAAGAAAACGTTCAGATACTCAATACTTAAGTGGTGATTACATTAAAGACATTTAATTTTGTGTCTTTTTTTTCATCCCTGGATTCCCTAATTCCCCACACAGTTTTATTTTTAAAGCCTTTGTACAAGATGAAATGACCAGAGAAGAGCTGTTTTTTAAAAAGGGTTTGAAGTTTGTTTGCTTAACAAAGTGTTTGCAGTCATAATTAGGTTGCATATTAAAGTTCAAAACCAACTCAAGTTGGAAGTGACTGAAAATTGTTACCATCTGATGGCTTTGTGGGCGGAGCTTTCACAAACGACACTGCACGCACCAGGGAATAAAGGCCCTATTCTGAGCATTGCCCCAGGAGACTTCACGGGTCTGGGCGACACTCAGACTGCAGATTTCCCGTAGTGGCATCATGGATCTAAATCTAACTGTCATAATAGCATGGCCTTGATCTGCTGGAGTTGTCCCAGTTTGGTTTGCTCTTGTTGTTATTTTCACCTCCTTAGGGTTCTCATGTCTTATCTCTAGTCCACACATCTATCTGTGGAACTGCAGAAGCCATGATGAGTTGTAGCTCCCGGGCTCAGTTCTGCAACTCTCACCATGGAAAATCCATCTCAAAGCCAGGTTTTCTGAGAGAGAGAGAGAGAGAGAGAGAGAAAGAGACACTGATTAGGGTGTTTGGGATGAGTCAGCTCCTCATCTGTTGTGTTGAAAGGCAAAACTGTCTTTAATTTTAACAGTGCTCCATTTCCATCTTCACTGGCATATGAAGCCTATTTGGGAACAGAAAGAGGAGTTTTATGTGGTACATTTCAAACATCTTGCCTCAGGCAAGAACCTCACTGTTTCTTAGAGGGAAATCTCCTTATTGGCCTCCACACCTGAGTCTTTTATTTCTACTTAGGAGGAGACAGAATGATGGAAGCTTGTCTCTTCTAATGATAAGCACGAGGTAAGAATTAAGACCTAATACACCCCATGATGGGGCATAATTATGCAAGAGTTAGTACAAATGACCTTGATGCTTGGAGCCATCACAGGCATTGTACTTGCTGAATGTATCTGATTTGTAGGTTCAGTGTCAATCTGAAAACCCAGGTTTATATCAGATGAGAATGGATTTGTTTCTTTAATAAATAAAAATATAATATGATTGTATATTAAATCATCATTGAACCTGGAGCGATTTGAAGATAAATTTTGGTTATTAAGTCAGTTGTCTTCCTGAATATTGATGCATATTCCCTTTTATTTCTTTTAGGGTATTCTTCCAAATGCTTGCTAGTATAGCCATTCTGCTTAACAAAATAAAAAATGGGGTCAGAATTTGGAAGAAAGCTAACATAATGACAAAAGAAGCAGCTAAGTCTTTGGTTTTGTGATTCAAAACAGACAACAATTTTAAAACAAAATAGAAGGAACCATAAAATACAGGGTTGACTTTACAAAGAGCAGAAATGTTTTCTTGGTGAGTGTGAGGCTGCATTCAGAGGGAGGACAAAGATAAATAGATTTATTTTTAGAACTTTTCTTACAGCTAATTGTGGAATATTTCTTGAAAGTCTTCATCAAAAGCAGGTGCTTTCAGTTGTCCTTAATAAATTAATGTTGTCCCTCTTCCCTCTTACCCTAAAATACTGATATTGGGAAACAAGTAGACAGTGCTCATCGTGACACTCTGCATGGACCCCCACAATAAAGACAGTGGATGCATCATTTCAGTCAGAGAATAGAATCAATTTGACCAACGATATTAGAGTGTATAGTTTTGCAAAGTGACTCATTAACCATGACCATCTAAAAACCACTGGGATCTAGTAGTATAGCAGTAACACAGCCACAGGGAGAATCCCCAGCCCCAACATTTACACTGATATAATATCCCCTAATTCAGTGACAATGGGATTGGCCATATTCTAAAACAAATTTAATTACTTTGCTTAATAAATTTGAAGCTTTTGAGAGCTTATTACTTTTTAATATACTGCTGCATGACCCTCACTTGCAAAAATAAGTATATTACATACAGTCATGAAGTTGCAAACGTTTCAGAACGAATGGTCTTTAGAGATATTTTACAAAGAGATTAATATATTAAAATGCCAGGCTCAACAGACTGGATATAAGGTCAAGTTGTTACCTTTGGGAGTGAGGCTCATGGGAGTTGTTACTTTGGGAGTGCCTGGGGCTCATAAAAAGTTTTCCTATGGAAATCTCAGATGTCTATACCCTGTTCTTTTTTTTTTTTTTTTTTTTTGAGGTGGAGCCTCACTCTGTCGCCCAGACTAGACTACAATGGCATGATCTCTGCTCACTGCAGCCTCCGCCTCCCAGGTTCAAGTGATTCTCCTGCCTCAGTCTCCCAAGTAGCTGGGATTACAGGCACGTGCCATCACGCCCGGCTAATTTTGTATTTTAGTAGAGACGGGGTTTCACCATGTTGGTCAGGCTGGTCTCAAACTCCTGACCTCAGGCGATCCACCCACCTCAGCCTCCCAAAGTGTTGGGATTAAAGGTGTGAGCCACCGCACCTGGCCTACCCTGTTCTTATAACCATCTACCATTCCCCTTTAAGTTATAGCTCTTGCATCAAAAAGAGAATATTAGGGGCCAGGCATGGTGGCTCACGCCTGTAAACCTAGCACTTTGGGAGGCCGAGGTGGTGGATTGCCTGAGCTCAGGAGTTCGAGGCCAGCCTGGGCAACATGGTGAAACCCTGTCCCTACTAAAATGCCAAAAATTAGCCGGGTGTGGTGGCACGTGCCTGTAGTCCCAGCTACTGGGGAGGCTGAGGCAGGAGAATTGCTTGAACCCAGGAGGCAGAGGTTGCAGTGAGCTGAGATCACACCACTATACTCCAGCCTGAGCGACAGAGTGAGACTCTGTCTCAAAGAAAAAAAAAAAAAAAAGAATATTAGGATAGAAACATCCAGCAAAACTCCCCCTGTTGAATCTGTTGTTCACTTGAAAGGACTGAAAGGGGAATGAGTAACATGGCAGATAAGTCCAGGGGAAGTGCATAAACCCAACTCTTTAAATTCAGAATCGAAAAGGAAAAGTCCAGTAGCCCTTTGTTAAACTCCAGTCATGAATGCTACGGAGCAATAAGTGAACAATGGAATTAACCAAAGTGAAAAATCTATTGTAAACAGTTGATCAAATGAGCTGAACATGGTATGGTGCAAGCAGAAAACAACATTACAGCATTACATTTTTCTCACATTGAACTTTTACTTCTCTCCTGGTAGATTTTTTTTTTTCCTTCCTCTAAACAATATCTTTGGAAGATCCCTCACCAGTTCCAGGTACTTTCAGGCTGGGCCAATGTCAGGTCCAGTTATACCAGTTACTTATGGCCATTGTACATTCTGATTGGCCACTACCTGTGCTATCCTAGCTGGAGAACATACCAAATATCACCCTTGCCTTCTGATATTAATGACCAGTTATGTTTTCAGCAAATAAAATGTCTAATGTATCAAAACCCTGATTTCATGTCAATTCAAAGCTTTCACCCCTCCATACCACTCAGGCCTGACACAGTCTCAGAAACCTGTGGTACAAGAAATGGACATGGTCTCTGTAATATTTTTGCACTACCTTTGTGATACTTCCAGCTATGTTCTACTGTAGGTCCTCCAGAGTAGAGACAAGGGGGGTGGGAAATGAGGTGAGAAAAGAGGGAAAATGTTTCTTACTTGGCCAATGCTGCTGTTATCTGGCAATGAGGCCCTCATTGTAGCAGGAACCCAATTATGGGTCCTTTCTCTTGTGGGGTGCTGTGTTGGGAAATCCGAATCACCCACTAAGCCTGTTCCTACCTTACTTTTACTAAAAGAGATTGAACAGATGAAAACTACACTTCCTAGACTGCTTTGCAGATAGGTTTCTATTAAATAGATGTGAATTTGTGTCCCTTAGATTCACTTACTAGGAGATTTGGAAGGCAGGAATGAGGTAGAGGTCATCTTCCTGAGCTTCAGGCTATGATTTCTTTTGTTTTTCTTTAAATTTTTATTTTTAGTTCTGAGGTACATGTGCAGGAAGTGCAGGTTTGTTACATAGGTAAACGTGAGCCATGGTGGTTTGCCACAGCTATCAACCCATCACCTAGGTATTAAGCCCAGCGTGCATTAGCTATTTTTCCTAATGTTCCCCCTCCCCAAACTCCACCCAGCAACAGGCCCCAGTGTGTGTTGTTCCCCTCCCTGTGTCCATGTGTTCTCATTGTTCAGCTTCCACTTATAAATGAGAACATGCGGTGTTTGGTTTTCTGTTCCTGTGTTAGTTTTGCTGAGAGTAATGGTTTCCAGCTCTATCCATGTCCCTGCAAAGGACATGATCTCATTCCTTTTTATGGCCGCATAGTATTCCATGGTGTATATGTACCACATTTTCTTTATCCAGTCTATCATTGATGGGCATTTGGGTTGATTCCATGTCTTTGCTATTGTAAATAGTGCTGCAATAAACATATGTATGCATGCATGTATCTTTGTAACAGAATGATTTATATTCCTTTGAGTATATACCCAGTAATGAGATTACTGGGTCAAATGGTATTTCTGGTTCTAGATCTTTGAGGAATCACCACACTGTCTTCCACAATAGTTGAACTAATTTACATTCCCAGCCACAGTGTAGAAGTGTTCCTATTTCTCCACAACCTTGCCAGCATCTGTTGTTTCTTGACTTTTTAATAATTGATATTCTGACTGGCATGAGATGGTATCTTGTTGTGGTTTTGATTTGCATTTCTCTAATGATCAGTGATGTTGAGTTTTTATTCATATGTTTTTCGGCTGCATGAATGTCTTCTTTTGTGAAGTGTCTGTTCATGTTCTTTTCCCACTTTTTAATGCGGTTGTTTTTTTCTTGCAAATTTGTTTAAGTTCCTAAATATTCAGGAATATTAGACCTTTGTCAGATGAATAGGTTGCAAAAATTTTCTCCTGCTCTGTAGGTTGCCTGTTTGCTTTGATGATAGTTTCTTTCACTGTGCAGAAGCTCTTTAGATTAATTAGATAGCATTTGTCAATTTTTCCTTTTGTTGCAATTGCTTTTGGTGATTTTGTCATGAAATCTTTGCCCATGCCTTTGTCCTGAATGGTATTGTCAGACTATGGTTTCTAACAAGTGAGATGATGGAACCATGAAGTTTTGGGTGGTAATTATATATTGATATAGGTTCATCAGTTGTAACAAATGTACCATTCTGTTGTTCCTGTGTCCACCTGCCATGTTCCCATATGGAGAGAAGTAGTGGTGGATATGGCTTCAGCTTCTAACTCAAGAGGTAGCCTCAGAGGTACGAAGTCTCCCAGTGGGTCAGTTCAGTATCACTCTGTGAGTGATTCTGGGAGGCTTGCTCCTTTAGCTCTCCCTAAGATTTTGTAAGCCCCTGTATTAAGTAATGTAGGTGCTTTTGGGGGTTCTTGATGAGACCACTCCCTTCCTCCCAAGACAACCTCCAACATTGCTATTCCCTAGGGCAGGTTATATTCCTTTGTCCGATTGCTTGCCATGCAGCCCAGCTCTTGCAACTGACGGGACACCCACAAAGACTTCTTCTATTCTTGAGACTCGGACTCTTCCAGTAAGAATTAAACACTAGTCTCCACGTTCCAGAAAACGCAGGCCAAATTTTCCCAAGAATTATGTAACCAACCAGGCTCTGCTCTGGACCTCTGTTTAGAGAGGGTTGTGGGAGAAGATGGGAGGTGTATGAGTGCGGTGCGATGTCAGTATTCTCTCCTGGCAAGACCCACACCGTCTACAAATGGTTTTTGTAAAGGCCCCCTTCATTTGTTTTGAATTAGGGGGAGCACCTCCCTCTCCTCTAACAGGGCTCTTCAAAGTAATACTCACTCTCTTCCTCGTCTGATCAGACTGAGGTAAGGGCCACCTCCTTGGTAAGCTTTGAAGAGATGGTTTAACATCTCTCTTTAGAACATGGGAGTAGTTATCACCTATGATTCTCAGCTTTGGGACCTCAGCTGAAAGGAAGGTAACAGGAGAGGTCTCATTTAGCATCCAGTTATACTACTGTGTCTGATTTTCCAGATGGGAAGCCAGTACCCTGCTTTGAGGATTGTTTGGGGCAGAGTAGCCTGGGTCATCAGCAAGATGAGAATTGTCTTCAGCGGTATTGAGTTAAAACTACCAATTCAGGACAGCTTGCTAACCCAGGTGACCATGTTTCTTCTCCATGCCCCTTCTCATTCCAAACTTTGCATTTTAAAAATTATTCGCTGGATTTTTTTCATGCTTATATGGTTTGTATCAAAAAGTTAATGGCAAAATCTGAGACTGAACCCAATGGGCAAAAGATCTTTAAAATTTACTAGTCATTCAAGAACTAATGTGACATCTGAAAGCAAACACACACACACACACACACACACACACACACACACACACACCGAAAAACAAAATCCAGGAAGGCTAGGCTTTTATAAAGGATAGAATAACAACTAGTCCATGTGTATGTGCCTCAGTTTCCTAAAGTAGAATGAGTGGATTAGGCCACCAAATTTCCTTTCAGTCCTAACGCTGCATGGCTCTCCATAAGCCAAAAGAAAGGCTAAACCTTAGTTAACTCTAAGGAAGCATTGTTCTCTTCCCTCAAGAGCTCAGATAAGCTAAAAATAAAACAATACCCAAATGACTTGAAAACTTACATTCATTCAAAAACCTGCACGTGGATGTTTATAGCAGCTTATTTATAATTGTCAAAACTTGAAAGCAATCAAGATGTCCCTCAGTAGGTGAATGGATAAACAAACTGTTTTATACCTAAGAAATGAAACATTATTCAACACTAAAAAGAAATGAGCTATCACGCCATGAAAAGACACGGAGGAAACAAATGCCTATTAATAAGTAAAAGCCAATCTGAAAAGGCTATGTACTGTATGATTTCAACTATATGACATTTTGGAAAAAGCAAAACTATGGAGACAGTGAAAAGATCAGTGATTGCCAGCAGTTACTGCAGAGGGAGGGGTCAATGGGGGGAATATAGAGGATTTTTAGGGCATGTATGGTACTGCAAAGGTGGATACACATTTGTCAAAACCCTTAGTTTCACCAAGAGTGAACCCGAATGTAAATGATGAACTTTGGGTGACACTGATGTGTCAATACAGGTTCATTAATAGTAACAAATATACCACTGCTGCAGGATGTCAGTAGTCGGGGAGGTTATGGGGGAAGGGGGCAGGGACAGAGGTATATGGAAACTCAGCGCATTCCACTCAATGTTGCTGTGAACCTAAAACTTCTCTAAAAGATAAAATGTATTGACTAAAAAATACTAAAATAATAGTTAAACCCACATTAGGCCAGGTTTCTTGAGAAATTACATAATAGGTCAAATACTTTGTTGTAGCCCCTGTTTAAGTCAAGGCACTTCTTGTATCACAAAAGGCAACATGGCCTGGCCATCTTTTGCCAAATATTTTCAGGAAAGAAGTCAAGGAAGCACCCAAACTGGCAGGTTAGAGATGAAGCATGAGCTGAAATCCAGAGATCTTATAGCAAGAAGTAGCAATCACCCTGTTCCATTTTCTGAGAAGTACAGTTTGAACTTTGAAAATGGCTGTCTCCAGAGTGGCAATTAGTTGAATGTTGGTCCTTGGCTCATAATGCTTATGATGAAAAAAATGATTGAATAGATAATAAATTTCTAAGGTATTTACTTTGCTTCCAGAATCATGTTGAAGCATCCCATTTTCTGTTAGCCATATCCACCCTTTAATTAGATGAATTCTCTTGGTGTGTGATTCAACGGACCTGGTAACTTGGAGTTTTAGTCTCTGTCGCATTTCTGCTGAATATTCCTAATGCACATTAAATTGAAGACAAATGATTTTTACACCTCCATTTTTATTCATTTAAATGAGAATTGTGAACATGAAGAACAGTGTTTTAAGAATAATTAATTCGAGTAATCAATATTCCAAGTGTTAAGTATATAGCCTCATGATGCCCTCTAGTGGTTAACCCACAAGAAAAGTGCCTCTGAAGTTCCACAGAAAACAGAAATTTTCCCTTTCTAGAGGTAAGTCTACCCATTCAAGTATGCTGTTATCTTTTATTTCTCTAACGAAAGCAATGGGGTTTTATGTTCAGTTGATGTTGCATTATTTTCTTAGTACTGCAAAGATAAAGACACATCAAGTTAGTAACAGTAATTGTGTCAAAAGCATTATAACCATTAAGTAAGGGCAATGGGTAGATATGGCCCCACTACAATTGGATTTATTGCCTCAGAGTACAGGAATACATCCCTTGGGGATAATGAGAAAATTCTCCTGGGATTGATTAATCTGTTATTGTTAATCCTTTTCCACCATTGAAATGGCTGTCTTGGAAGTGAGCTGTGATTCTTAGGCAGGTAGCGGCACTATTCAAGAAAGAAAAGAATAACTACTAGGCCCAACTAAAAATAAAACAAAAAAATGGACCTACTACTTGATACATGACTTATAAGAATTGTTTTCTGCATTCTTGAATTCTCAACAATAGCCGTTAAAGTGACGTCTATCTATCTGTCTTCACATATAAAAGATGTTTTATAAGATTTTGAATAAATGTTCAATAAAATTAGTGAAGGTCTTAAATTTGGGTTTTCTTCTAATTATCAGTTTCAAGAAATAAAAGATTTAAAAATGCTCATAAATTGTTGATTTGTACATTTTCCTTCATTCTATGGAAACCAATCTCATTTGAATACATTTAAAGATATCTCTTTAACGATTTCTTCTGGATAGCAAGTTGCAAGCTTCACACTCATATTCTTTACTGATAAATCTGTGTTTTTCTCCAAAGTATAAAGTTGCATGACAATAAATCCCTTCAAAAGAAAACATGCTTCGTAGCAGAGCTGTTTATATGACCTGACAGACACTGGTCTATGATAACAGTGCTTTTTGGAAAGTAGTTGAAGCATTTTCTCGATAATAAACTCAACAAATATTTTTATTAGTCTCCTTCCACGCGCCTGCTAGTCTGTATAATAAAGTTAACTAATTGTAGGCAGTTGGCATTGGGGAGAAAGACTGAAAAAGTGATTGCAACATAGAATTTAACAGACATTATGTCCTGCCATTAAGTAGTAACAATTTTTCAACTTTCTTTTTCTTTTTCCCCAACAAATATTCTAAC
The DNA here is from genome assembly GCF_000001405.40 of Homo sapiens. NCBI lineage: Eukaryota > Metazoa > Chordata > Mammalia > Primates > Hominidae > Homo > Homo sapiens. The sequence continues at coordinate 105,732,577 of NC_000006.12, read as the reverse complement.
CATCCCCACAAGGAAATTATAATTATTATAATAATAAATCTCCAAACAATTCACCAAGACAAGAATGCACATACCAAAAAGGATCTGGAGCTGGAATTAGAAAGAAACAAAATGGGGAGAGCTGTCTGAAGGTGAAACCTTCCTTTCCCATCAACTGTGTTTGTTTCCCTAATGTATAATTTATTCCTGTTGTTAGTTTTCTTCTCTCCCCAGGTCCTTGAGATTGTGAACATTGTTTCCAGGACTATATTTGTTTCCATAAAATTACCCTCTCATGAAATGATTTGTCAGATTCACAGGTTTGTTATACTTGAATTTTACCTGATGCTGTAAAGCCTGTTCTTTTTTCCCTTTCATCCCTGCTAATTCTAAAGCGAATGTATTCCATGATCTTTAACTCATTTTCTGAAGGCAATCTGAATCCACCCAACCCTCTGAGCATTGAATCTAGGAGTAAATGAGTCTCACATATACTAAATTCGAGTGATGTTAGGTTCACAGGATTCTCAGAGAAGCCTAGTTATCTTCAAGTGAGCCTAGGGACCAGGTCATTCTGAGCCTACTAAAGAGGACACGTGCTTCATTAGGTTAGGCCTGGTTCTGACCCTTACCTTCCCAGTGTCCTCGAATTGACCAGGAGCCAAGCTGGAGCTCCTGGAATCCTTCAACAGAGGAATGAATTAATCTGGCATCCAAACTGGAAATGGAAAATTTCTTCAAATTTTGTAACCATGGCCCCAGGGGGTGGGAGGGAGACTGCTGGGTGGAGTAGTGGGAGGCATTGTTTTCTTCTTTCTGAAAAGAGAATTTAAAATATATGCATAATATTTTGAGTTGTCTTTTCCAAATGAAAAAAATATTTTAAGGAAAATACACCCACATTGTAGTATAATTTGATCTGCCCCAAAGTGGGGCACACTGGGGACACTAATTGTGAAAATACAACTTATACACAGAAAGCAACTTTCTAATTATATTGACTTTTAAATGTCTGCAGTTTTAGTTACAAGAGAGTTACAGTAAATCACATTTTAAGGTATTTAAAGTGACTATAGGTTTTGCTTGTTAAGGACAGCCAACTGAAGATCAGAGGCAAGCATCAATATTAAAGTAAATAATGAAGCAATCATCTGACCTTAATATCCCCTATCGTGTCAAACTGATACTTATTTTCAGAAAAAGCTTTGCAAAACAGACGGTAGTGGGGAGAAAACAGTCTGCACGTATTTATCGAGGATCTGTTTTTCTGTGCGGAGGTTTTTTGAACATATGCCATTAACATTTCCTTATTTATTGTTCGCTCTTTTGAACATGTCATTGTACTTTTACTTGCCTTACTTTTTAAATAATCAAGTTGGATTTTTTTTCTGTATTTATGAAGCATTTATATTACTTTCTTGTCAAAATCTGGAATATACTCTTTTTTAAAAAGTTGATATAATAGTCATTTTCTTACTGATTTATAAAATGTATATAAATTAATATAATTAACCTCTATATTTTCCCCTAGTTTATTGTTTTCAAATTTTGTGTATGGTGTTTCTTTTAAGTACAGTGAAAAATGATTTTATAATATTTATCAGCCTTTTTATTTATATTTTTGTCTGGTGTTACACACTGAAAAGCTTTTCTCTCCTTAGACTATGTAGTCCCTTATTTTTTATTCTTGTAAAATTATGGGATTTAAACAATTTATATTTTAGAGACAGGGTCTCATTCTGTCACCCAGGCTGATGTACAGTGGTATGATCATAGCTCCCTGCAGCCTCAAACTCCTGGGCTGAAGCAGTTCCCGTCTCAGTTTCCCAAGTAGCTGTGACTACAAGCACATGCCACCATGCCCCATGCCTGGCTTTTTTTTTTTTTTTTTTAATTTCGTAGACACAGAGGCTCACTATGTTGCCCAGACTGGTCTCAAACTCCTGGTCTCAAGTGATCCTCCTGCCTCAGCCTCCCAAAGTGCTGGATTACAGGCATGAGCCACTGCATATAGCCCTCATTATGGTTTTATATTTTGCGTTTCAATATTTAATCCATCTGGGATTCATTTTGGTACCTTATATATTGTGTCAATTTGATTTTCTGTTTTCCCACAGATTTAGATGGTAGTTTTAACCAGTTGTTGAGTAATTCATTTTTCCTTTGATGATTTGAGATGCTAGCTTATCCTGTATTAATATTTTATATCTTTTTAAGGCTGTTTATGTAAAGTTATTAATGTCCTGGTATGAAATAAAACATTGAGCATTCTTTGATTTCCTCCTTTTCCTTGCTCAGTTGACTTACTACCCTTATTTTTATTATGCTCTAATAATTCTTTACATTATTTACACTCTCTTGACATTTGTATTAGGTTTTATAACTAGGTTTTGAGTTTGTTCTTTTTATTAATTTCTAAGTCAGCTGGTGTATATTTTCACTTCAAAATATCAGAAAAGATAAATGATTTCTGGTCTTTGTTTATCTTTGTATGTCCAAGAATAGGTCTTTCTGTTGTTTATATACATTAGAAATAATAGGAATGAGTAGAGAATTTGAGGACTTTTTGTTGCAGGGGATGACGGGAATGATACCTGGAAAATATCCCTTTTCTGGGAAACAAGATTTTGTTCATCTCCCTACATGTGGCTTGTAGGATTTTTCTTTCCCATTAAAATTCAAAGGTTGGCCAAGTTAAGTCATTTCATTAATTTTACCTCATACTTGATAAACTTTTGAAATCTAAAGATCTGAATCTCCCTTTGGTTGAGGTCAAAGGTTTTCTGTAGTTTATGTTAGCTTTTTGTACGTTTGCTTTATTTTCTTCTGGAATTTCTAATATACATATCATTTCCTGGAACTGCTTTTCATGTCCCTTTTCTTTCATCTTATTAATCTTTGCATAATTGAGTTATAGGATAACCTTTTTGAACGTATCTTCTAATTTTTTCATTTTTCCCCTGCTGTTTGCAGTTTGTTGTTACTTCTGGGTTCCAAGCAACTTAAAGCCAGACTGTGTTTCAGATCTTTGTATTTCCAGTTCTTAGTGCAGTGCTTGGCACAGAGAACATGATGAATAAAAGTTTATTGAATTATATTGCAATAAAGTTGCTCAAATATAAATGGTAAAAAATTTATTAGGGAATAATTTTCAGTGACAACAATATGTATATCTTGGTGTAAAATGATTGATATAAACTATATTAGCTGTGAAGTCTTTTCAGAAATTATGGTATTGTATGTAAGAATTTTAGCTTAGAGCCTCCAATATTATTCTATAACTTTAAAATCAAGCCCAGCCCAGCCCCAATCCCCAGGCACACTATTGTAGTAGGGTAAAAAGACATGTAATAAAGTATTAAAATAATGACTGACATTTGCTGGGGCTTACTAAGGGTAAGGACCTAGCCAAGGGCTCTGCATACATAATCTCATTTAATCTTCTCTACGAATTTGTTAGGCCTTATACTTACTGATGAAGAAACTGAAGTTTAGAGGGTAATTTGCAAAAGGTCATATAGCTAGTAAGTAGCTGAGCTGGGATTTGAGCCCAAGCCTGATTAATTCCAAAGTCTGTGATTTAACTAATTGAACTGGACTGGATGGCTTTTCCTTTCCCCAGTCCTCCCAACGCTGAGGTTCAGTGACACTGTAATGTTTCTTGACTCCATATGCATACTGACTCTTCCTTCCTTCCTTCTCTCTTTTCTTTTCTTTCCTTTTTCTCTTTCCCCAGAACTCTGATTTGGCTTCACAGAATCTGAATCTTTAAGATTATAGACCATGAAAATGGGAGGCTTATCCTTGATCTAAAACTGGTCAAGTTTATGTCATCACCCTTTTCCTCATCCTATTTGCTTTTAAGCCACATAATTAAATGCCTGTTGTTTACAGTGGCCTCAAAGAAAGAGAAGTAGGGTATGGTCTTTAGCTGCACAGGGTTGTAGTCTGGTTGCACAGGACAGCATATGTACATAGAAAGAGCCCATTTCCCCACATAGCTGCTTTTAAAATAGCATCTGTGTTATATGTTGGTTTGATATTTCAAGATTCTCTTAAAGATTCTTAAGAGATGAGGGAGGTTCTGATGTGAAATGGGTGTTCTCAATCAACCTTTACTCCAAGACCCTCAAAACCAAACCTTGCTCATTGCAAAGGAATTTAGACACCTGGATTGCCCACTCCAGGTGCTCCAAATCTGGGACCTGTGTGGGAATGATGGGGACTATGAGTGCTCTGCCTTGTGTTGGAGCACAGTGCCATGGAAGGAAGAGGATTGTGGTGACTCTTTTTTGACCTCTGTCTTATTTGTTGGTGACTGAGGCAAAAGCTACATTAAGGAGTGACAGTGATAGCAGAGATTATGAAACTAATAAACAGAAAGCAGTATGGTATATTAATTAAGGAACTGGGCTTTGGATTAAGAAAGCCCTAGCTCTGAATCCCTTCTCCACCAATTATTAGCTTTATGACCTTAGACAAGTTGCTTAAAACCCACTGAGCTTTATTATTCTCATATTTTACATCAAGTACTCAATAAGTAATAGCTAGTACTTTTAATAATAATTCACTGGGTGTAATGGACTTTGTTTTTCTACCTAGTGTCCATTTTTCCTTTTTTTTCTTTAAATAACATGATGATTTTCTCACCTCTCCCTCAATGTAATTTCCAAAGTTCTGAATCCTCCTCTCAGCAAGGGGTGAACATATGGCTAGAGCTGCCAACCAGTCTCTCTTTGCGGACTTGGAATCTTGAATGAATTGATACTCTGAAGAGATTGTCCATCGATTCCTGCCACCTGGACCTTTAGAGCTGCCTCAATTGCTGTCTTCCTTTAAACTTGATCATTTGACCACCTCCTGTTCTTCTTCTGCATCTAACATCTTCTTCTGCAAAAAGCTGAGCAGAGTAGGTTTTGTTTACAACTAAAGGAACCTACCTACTACATCTGGTCAACCTTCTCATGCCCACGTGGTTGATTTCTTTATCTTTGATTTACTCCAAGAAACCCATTCGATCGGTTATTCTGGTCCTAAACATTCCTCTTGAAAGTAATACAGTAGTCATCCTAGGCATCTCCTATATTGCCTAACATTTCATCATGAAGTGTATCCATTTTCTCCAAAGCATTTCTGTGCATATCTAAAGCCCATGTCATCTGTGGTAACCTCATGTATACCTGAGAATAATGCATCTTTCTTCCCCATGGTGTGGTGCACCTATGTGGCTGCTGTGTCTGTTTTCTAGACCCAACATGCCCAGATTTTTCATCTGCTCTCACAGAGTTTCATCTCCAAATCTTTTATTATATTGGATTCCCTCCTCTGAACTCTTTCCAGTTAGCTAGAAAGTACACCCTATCCAGTAATATCATATTATCCCAGACAGCACAGAGGTCACATCCTGTCCAGAAGGTAACTGTGTAGTCCCCAGGGCATGACATTTGTTCTTCATACCTGAGGTAGCTGTGAATGTTCTGGGTCTCCTGCCCAGGCATACTCAGAGCATGCCACAAGTGGGAAGGGGTTAGCAGACAGGTATCCACGTGTTCCAGGGAAGAGTCATTGCCTATTCTGAGCAGTGCTAATCAGTTCAATTTCTCTTTGTGTCTACTTTGAACTGCAGCCTTCTTTCAAACATAAGCACACCAAAGTGAGTGATAATTAACAATTATTCAGAGCTCATGATGTGCCAGGCACTGCACCAAATGCTTAATGTTTATGAACTCGTTTCATTCTTACCATATCCCTTTACACTAGGTTATTACCTTCACTTTACAAGTGAAGAAACAGTTATACTGGGTCTAGATTACATGGCTAGGAAATGAAGTAGCAGAAATTTGGATCCTGGATTTGACTGTGAAGCCCATGTCTTTAAATATAACATTGAATTGTTTAAACATTCAAGAGGAATGGACTAGAAAATGTTAGACAAAAATTAGAAAGGGCATGTGCATTTTTTTTAAAAGATAGAGTCTTATAATTCATGCAGCATGGCATAATGATTTCCTGGTTAAAAAAGAGTGAGAAATAACTTATGTATATTTCCTTTCCTAGAGATTAAAAATGAGTATTGCATATTGAGGGTTCTAAGAAATCCTGATATGAAGAAAGCTATTTAAGGCCACATTTTTTTTCTCTCTCTCTCTCACACACTCTCTCTCTTTTTTTTTTACAATTAGGACAGCTTTAATTTCTTTGTTTTGCTTTACTGCTTAGCTCGAATGCCCAGTACATTTTCCAGAACCTCTGATTCTAGGGGAAAGACATTTAGTTTTTAATTGTTAAATATCACATTGAGTAAAAGTTTTTTGTAAGTTTTCATTTATCAGGTGAAGAAAGTTTCTTTTTTTTTTTTCAGTTTGCTGAGAGTTTTTTTTTTTTTTTTTAAATACTTTAAGTTCTGGGATTCTTGTGTGGAATGTGCAGGTTAGTTACATGGTATACACGTGCTATGGTGGTATGCTGCACCCATCAACCGCTCATCTACATTAGGTATTTCTCCTAATGCTATCCCTCCCCTAGCTCCCCACCCCCTGACAGGCCCAGGTGTGTGATGTTCCCTTCCCTGTGTCCAAGTGTTCTCATTGTTCAATTCCCAACTATGAGTGAGAACATGTGGTGTTTGGTTTTCTGTTCCTGTGTTAGTTTGCTGAGAATGATGGTTTCCAGCTTCACCCATGTCCCTGCAAAGGACGTGAACTCATCCTTTTTTATGGCTGCATAGTATTCCATGATGTATATGTGTGAGGCCACATTCTCTAAATTTATTTTAACAGAGGAGACCTCTTTCTCACTGAGAGTACAAAAATATACCGTAGACTTAACTACTTGTTAGAATACTACACTGAATTATACATATAACACCTCACATCTTCATAATGACCTTGTAATAAATACATTATTATTTCAATTTTTCAGATGAGGGAACTGACTGTCAGAAATATTTACCTCTCCAAAGGCTGTGTATGAGTAAGTTGCTCATTAGGGATTTTATTCCAGTTCTATAAGATTCTAATGTCTTTGCTTTGCTTGCATGCTTAAAATATTTATTTCCCCTATCTAAGACCTCAAATGAAGAAAATTCAGTTTTAAGAGTTATTATTGCCTCAACTTTTTGGATGTCTTGGACATGTGAAAGCAGCATGCTGAGGAGAAAAGAGCACCTGCTTGGTGTCAGGAAATCTTAGGCTGGATGGAAACCTCTGCTACTGACAGCTAAGGTTGCCTGTGAAAGTTGCTTAATCTCTCTGAGCCTATTTTCTTTCCTATGAAATGGATATTCATAATATGAGCAGCTTATTAACTGCTTTCCCCAGCATATATATTCAACTCCATATTTCATTCTAATAAAGTGGACAAAACAAATGGCTTTATTTGTAGCTCAAAAGACAGCACCTTAGATCAGATCATGGTTTTCCTGATTTCATAACATTTTAGAGATAGCCAAAAAATACTAATATGCTTTTCCATATTTTTGTTTGATTTATTTATTTATTCATTTATTTATTTGAAATGGAGTCTCGCTCTGTCGCCCAGGCTGGAGTGCAGTAGCATGATCTCTGCTCACTGCAACCTCTGTCTCCCAGGTTCAAGTGATTCTCCTGCCTCAGCCTCTTGAGCAGCTGGAACTACAGGCACGCTCTACCATGCCCGGCTAATTTTTGTATTTTTAGTAGAGACAGAGTTTCATGATGTTTGCCAGGCTGGTCTTGAACTCTTGACCTCAGGTGATCTGCCCACCTCGGTTTTATCAAAATATCTTATTTAAGAGGCCAGGTGCATTGGCTCACACCTGTAATCTCAGCACTTTGGGAGGCCGAGGCAGGAGGATCACTTGAGTCCAGGAGTTTGAGACCAGCCTGGGCAACACAATGAGACACTGTCTTTACATAAAATGATTTTTAAAAAATTAGCTGGGTGTGGTGGTTCACACCTGTTGTCCCAGTAGGAGGCTGAAGCAGGAGGATCTCTTGAGCCTGAAAAGTCGTGGCTGCAGTGAGCCCCATCGTGTCATTGTACTCCAGCCTGGGTGACAGAGCAAGACCCTCTGTCAATAGCTCAACAAATAAATAAATAAATAAATAAACACACAAACGAATGAATAAATATATTATTTAGGATCTTCTTTTTATTTTATGTACTTTAGATACAGAAAATTGATCTATTTTAAGTGTATGTTTCATTAAATGTTGACAAATATATACAATCACGTAACCACCATTGCAGTCAGGTTACAGAACATTCCTATCACCCCAGAATGTTCTCTCCTGAACTTCTGCACTCATAGCCCTCCCCAGAGCCCTGGCTCCCGGAAACCACTGACCTGCCCTTGTCACTTTGATACATTTTGTCACTGTTTCACCTTTTCTAGGATGTTATCTAAAAGGGATCAGACAGTATGTAGTCTTCTGTGTCTGACTTCTTTCGTTTAGCATAATGCTTTTGAGATTCATCTGTGTTGTTTTGTGTTTCAGTAGTTCGTTTCATTTTGCTGCTATGATTTATCCATTAGCCAATTAATGGAAATTTAGATTGCTTTTAGTTTTTGCCTTCCATGATACTTAGTATGTGTCTTTTTGTGAACATACATTTTTATTTATTTTGGGTAGATACCTAGAGCAGAATTTCTGGGTCATAAAGTGAGTATGTGCTTAACATTCTAAGAAGCTGCTAAACTGTTTTCCAAAACAGTTTCTTCTATTTTTGCATTTGCATAAGTACAAATTATGAGAGTTCTTGTTCCACATTCTCACCTATTTGTCATTATCAATCTTTTAAATTTTTGATATTCTAATATATGTGTAGGTATCTCATTGTAGTTTTAATCTAAATTGCCATAGTAACTATGTTTAGTATCTTTTCATGTGCTTATTTGTCATAATATACCTTCTTTGATAAAGTATATATTCAATGTTTGTCCATTTAAAAATCAGTTTGATTGTCTTATTAATGTGTTGCAAGAGTTCCTTATGTATACTGGATAGTAAGACTATTTCATATATGTGTTTGCAAATACATTCTCCCAGCCTGTGACTTGTCTTTCCTTAAAAATGTATTTTGAAGATGATACAGATTTAATTGTAATGACATTTAATTTATCCACATTGTTTTCTTTTATGGCTTAAGCTTTTGGTGTCATATTTAAGAAATCTCTGACTGACCCAAGGTAACAATAATTTTCTTTTTTATTCTCTTCTAGAGGTTGTATAATTTTAGGGCTTATTTATTGTTCTAGGATATATTTATGTTTATGTGATAATTATGTTTATAATTAATTTTTGTAGGTGATATAAAATAAGGGTTGAGTTCATAGTTTTGAATATGGGTGTCTATTTTTTCCATTTGTTGGAAAGACTCCTCTTTCCTGATTGAGTTTTCTTGGCCCCTTGTTGAAAATCAGTTGACAACATATGTGTGGATGTCTATGGGCTTTCCATTGAGTTCCAGCAACCTATATGTCTATCCATACATTGTTAACTACATATTTTTTTAGATGTCCCATATCAGGTTGAGGAAGTTCTCTTTCATTCCGAAATTGCTGCAAGTTTCTATCAAATATTAAAAAATAAAATGTTTGTAATTATTTTTAATTTGGCATCTATTGAGATAACTATATACTATATCCTTTATTATAGTATGTTAATATGCTGAATTTACCGAGTCTCAAATATTAAGCTAACCTTGAGTTCTTGGGATGAACAATACTTAGTCATGGCATGTTACCTTAATATTCTGTGGGGTTTTTTTCTTATAATAATATTTATGTCTGGTATTAGTATCAGGGTAATACTGGTTTTATAGAAGAGTTGGAAAGGATGCCATCCTCTTCTATTTTCTGGACAAATTTGTATTCTCTTTCTTAGATTTTTAATTGAATTAACTGTTGAAGCTGGGCATAAAATTCTCTTCATGGGAAAATTTTTAAGCTAAAAATTCTATGTTCCTAGTAGATATAGGACTATTTAGATGATTTATTTCTATAATAGTTTGTGTCTTTCAACAGATTTTTCATTTATTCTGAAATGTTGAATTTGTGGGCATAAAGTGTTCCTAAGATTTCCAATAATATGTTTGATATCTGTAGGATCTGTAGTGACACCCTTTTTTTCATTTATGATATTGATACTTTGTCTTTTCTCTTTATTCTGATTTACTTGGCTAGATCAGAGGTTGACAAACTTTTTTATGTAAGGTATTAGATAGTAACTATTTTAGGCTTTGTGGGCCATAGACTTATTTCTTCTTCCTCCCTTCTTTGTCTCCTCCTTCCTCTTTAATATCTTTTTTTTTCTCAATATTTAACAATATTTAACTGTGTAATTATTATTATTATACTTTAAATTTTAGGGTACATGTGCACAATGTGCAGGTTAGTTACATATGTATACATGTGCCATGCTGGTGCGCTGCACCCACTAACTCGTCATCTAGCATTAGGTATATCTCCCAATGCTATCCCTCCCCCCTCCCCCCACCCCACTACAGTCCCCAGAGTGTGATGTTCCCCTTCCTGTGTCCATGTGTTCTCATTGTTCAATTCCCACCTATGAGTGAGAATATGCGGTGTTTGGTTTTTTGTTCTTGTGATAGTTTACTGAGAATGATGATTTCCAACTTCATCCATGTCCCTACAAAGGACATGAACTCATCATTTTTTATGGCTGCATAGTATTCCATGGTGTGTATGTGCCACATTTTCTTAATCCAGTCTATCATTGTTGGACATTTGGGTTGGTTCCAAGTCTTTGCTATTGTGAATAGTGCCGTAATAAACATACGTGTGCATGTGTCTTTATAGCAGCATGATTTATAGTCCTTTGGGTATATACCCAGTAATGGGATGGCTGGGTCAAATGGTATTTCTAGTTCTACATCCCTGAGGAATCGCCACACTGACTTCCACAATGGTTGAACTAGTTTACCATCCCAACAGTGTAAAAGTGTTCCTATTTCTCCACATCCTCTCCAGCACCTGTTGTTTCCTGACTTTTTAATGACTGCCATTCTAACTGGTGTGAGATGATATCTCACTGTGGTTTTGATTTGCATTTCTCTGATGGCCAGTAATGGTGAGCATTTTTTCATGTGTTTTTTGGCTGCATAAATGTCTTCTTTTGAGAAGTGTCTGTTCATGTCCTTCGCCCACTTGTTGATGGGGTTGTTTGTTTTTTCCTTGTAAATTTGTTTGAGTTCATTGTAGATTCTGGATATTAGTCCTTTGTCAGATGAGTAGGTTGCGAAAATTTTCTCCCATTTTGTGGGTTGCCTGTTCACTTTGATGGTAGTTTCTTTTGCTGTGCAGAAGCCCTTTAGTTTAATTAGATCCCATTTGTCAATTTTGGCTTTTGTTGCCATTGCTTTTGGTGTTTTAGACATGAAGTCCTTGCCCGTGCCTATGTCCTGAATGGTAATGCCTAGGTGTTCTTCTAGGGTTTTTATGGTTTTAGGTCTAACGTTTAAGTCTTTAATCCATCTTGAATTGATTTTTGTATAAGGTGTAAGGAAGGGATCCAGTTTCAGTTTTCTACATATGGCTAGCCAGTTTTCCCAGCACCATTTATTAAATAGGGAATCCTTTCCCCATTGCTTGTTTTTCTCAGGTTTGTCGAAGATCAGATAGTTGTAGATATGCGGCATTATTTCTGAGGGCTCTGTTCTGTTCCATTGATCTATATCTCTGTTTTGGTACCAGTACCATGCTGTTTTGGTTATTGTAGCCTTGTAGTATAGTTTGAAGTCAGGTAGTGTGATGCCTCCAGCTTTGTTCTTTTGGCTTAGGATTGACTTGGCGATGCGGGCTCTTTTTTGGTTCCATATGAACTTTAAAGTAGTTTTTTCCAATTCTGTGAAGAAAGTCATTGGTAGCTTGATGGGGATGGCATTGAATCTGTAAATTACCTTGGGCAGTATGGCCATTTTCACAACATTGATTCTTCCTACCCATGAGCATGGAATGTTCTTCCATTTGTTTGTGTCCTCTTTTATTTCCTTGAGCAGTGGTCTGAAGTTCTCCTTGAAGACGTCCTTCACATCCCTTGTAAGTTGGATTCCTAGGTATTTTATTCTCTTTGAAGCAATTGTGAATGGGAGTTCACTCATGATTTGGCTCTCTGTTTGTCTGTTGTTGGTGTATAAGAATGCTTGTGATTTTTGTACATTGATTTTGTATCCTGAGACTTTGCTGAAGTTGCTTATCAGCTTAAGGAGATTTTGGGCTGAGACAGTGGGGTTTTCTAGATATACAATCATGTCATCTGCAAACAGGGACAATTTGACTTCCTCTTTTCCTAATTGAATACCCTTTATTTCCTTCTCCTGCCTAATTGCCCTGGCCAGAACTTCCAACACTATGTTGAATAGGAGTGGTGAGAGAGGGCATCCCTGTCTTGTGCCAGTTTTCAAAGGGAATGCTTCCAGTTTTTGCCCATTCAGTATGACACTGGCTGTGGGTTTGTCATAGATAGCTCTTATTATTTTGAGATACGTCCCATCAATACCTAATTTATTGAGAGTTTTTAGCATGAAGGGTTGTTGAATTTTGTCAAAGGCCTTTTCTGCATCTATTGAGATAATCATGTGGTTTTTGTCTTTGGTTCTGTTTATATGTTGGATTACATTTATTGATTTGCGTATATTGAACGAGCCTTGCATCCCAGGGATGAAGCCCACTTGATCATGGTGGATAAGCTTTTTGATGTGCTGCTGGATTCGGTTTGCCAGTATTTTATTGAGGATTTTTGCATCAATGTTCATCAAGGATATTGGTCTAAAATTCTCTTTTTTGGTTGTGTCTCTGCCTGGCTTTGGTATCAGGATGATGCTGGCCTCATAAAATGAGTTAGGGAGGATTCCCTCTTTTTCTATTGATTGGAATAGTTTCAGAAGGAATGGTACCAGTTCCTCCTTGTACCTCTGGTAGAATTCGGCTGTGAATCCATCTGGTCCTGGACTCTTTTTGGTTGGTAAGCTGTTGATTATTGCCACAATTTCAGATCCTGTTATTGGTCTATTCAGAGATTCAACTTCTTCCTGGTTTAGTCTTGGGAGAGTATATGTGTCGAGGAATTTATCCATTTCTTCTAGATTTTCTAGTTTATTTGTGTAGAGGTCTTTGTAGTATTCTCTGATGGTAGTTTGTATTTCTGTGGGATCGGTGGTGATATCCCCTTTATCATTGTTTATTGCGTCTGTTTGATTCTTCTCTCTTTTTTTCTTTATTAGTCTTGCTAGCAGTCTATCAATTTTGTTGATCCTTTCAAAAAACCAGCTCCTGGATTCATTAATTTTTTGAAGGGTTTTTTGTGTCTCTATTTCCTTCAGTTCTGCTCTGATTTTAGTTATTTCTTGCCTTCTGCTAGCTTTTGAATGTGTTTGCTCTTGCTTTTCTAGTTCTTTTAATTGTGATGTTAGGGTGTCAATTTTGGATCTTTCCTGCTTTCTCTTGTGGGCATTTAGTGCTATAAATTTCCCTCTACACACTGCTTTGAATGTGTCCCAGAGATTCTGGTATGTTGTGTCTTTGTTCTCATTGATTTCAAAGGACATCTTTATTTCTGCCTTCATTTCGTTATGTACCCAGTAGTCATTCAGGAGCAGGTTGTTCAGTTTCCATGTAGTTGAGCGGTTTTGAGTGAGTTTCTTAATGCTGAGTTCTAGTTTGATTGCACTGTGGTCTGAGACATAATTTGTTATAATTTCTGTTCTTTTACATTTGCTGAGGAGAGCTTTACTTCCAACTATGTGGTCAATTTTGGAATAGGTGTGGTGTGGTGCTGAAGAAAATGTATATTCTGTTGATTTGGGGTGGAGAGTTCTGTAGATGTCTATTAGGTCTGCTTGGTGCAGAGCTGAGTTCAATTCCTGGGTATCCTTGTTGACTTTCTGTCTCATTGATCTGTCTAATGTTGACAGTGTGGTATTAAAGTCTCCCATTATTAATGTGTGGGAGTCTAAGTCTCTTTGTAGGTCACTCAGGACTTGCTTTATGAATCTGGGTGCTCCTGTATTGGGTGCATATATATTTAGGATAGTTAGCTCTTCTTGTCGAATTGATCCCTTTACCATTATGTAATGGCCTTCTTTGTCTCTTTTGGTCTTTTTTGGTTTAAAGTCTGTTTTATCAGAGACTAGGATTGCAACCCCTGCCTTTTTCTGTTTTCCATTTGCTTGGTAGATCTTCCTCCATCCTTTTATTTTGAGCCTATGTGTGTCTCTGCATGTGAGATGGGTTTCCTGAATACAACACACTGATGGGTCTTGACTCTTTATCCAATTTGCCAGTCTATGTCTTTTAATTGGAGCATTTAGTCCATTTACATTTAAAGTTAATATTGTTATGTGTGAATTTGATCCTGTCATTATGATGTTAGCTGGTTATTTTGCTCGTCAGTTGATGCAGTTTCTTCCTAGTCTCGATGGTCTTTACATTTTGGCATGATTTTGCAGCGGCTGGTACCGGTTGTGCCTTTCCATGTTTAGTGCTTCCTTCAGGAGCTCTTTTAGGGCAGGCCTAGTGGTGACAAAATCTCTCAGCATTTGCTTGTCTGTAAAGTTATTTTATTTCTCCTTCACTTATGAAGCTTAGTTTGGCTAGATATGAAATTCTGGGTTGAAAATTCTTTTCTTTAAGAATGTTGAATATCGGCCCCCACTCTCTTCTGGCTTGTAGAGTTTCTGCCGAGAGATCCACTGTTAGTCTGATGGGCTTCCCTTTGTGGGTAACCCGACCTTTCTCTCTGGCTGCCCTTAACATTTTTTCCTTCATTTCAACTTTGCTGAATCTGACAATTATGTGTCTTGGAGTTGCTCTTCTCGAGGAGTATCTTTGTGGCATTCTCTGCATTTCCTGAATCTGAATGTTGGCCTGCCTTGCTAGATTGGGGAAGTTCTCCTGGATAATATCCTGCAGAGTGTTTTCCCACTTGGTTCCATTCTCCCTGTCACTTTCAAGTACACCAATCAGATGTAGATTTGGTCTTTTCACATAGTCCCATATTTCTTGGAGGCTTTGTTCGTTTCTTTTTACTCTTTTTTCTCTAAACTTCCCTTCTCGCTTCATTTCATTTATTTCATCTTCCATCGCTGATACCCTTTCTTCCAGTTGATCGCATCAGCTCCTGAGGCTTCTGCATTCTTCACGTAGTTCTCGAGCCCTGGCTTTCAGCTCCATCAGCTCCTTTAAGCACTTCTCTGTATTGGTTATTCTAGTTATACCTTCGTCTAAATTTTTTTCAAAGTTTTTAACTTTTTTGCCTTTGGTTTGAATTTCTTCCTGTAGCTCGTAGTTTGATTGTCTGAAGCCTTCTTCTCTCAACTCGTCAAAGTCATTCTCCGTCCAGCTTTGTTCCGTTGCTGGTGAGGAACTGCGTTCCTTTGGAGGAGGAGCGGTGCTCTACTTTTTAGAGTTTCCAGTTTTTCTGCTCTGTTTTTTCCCCATCTTTGTGGTTTTTATCTACTTTTGGTCTTTGATGATGGTGATGTACAGATGGGTTTTTGGTGTGGATGTCCTTACTGTTTGTTAGTTTTCCTTCTAACAGACAGGACCCTCAGCTGCAGGTCTGTTGGAGTTTGCTAGAGGACCACTCCAGACCCTGTTTGCCTGGGTATCAGCAGCAGTGTCTGTAGAACAGTGGTTTTTTGTGAACCGCGAATGCTGCTGTCTGCTGGTTCCTCTGGAAGTTTTGTCTCAGAGGAGTACCCGGCCATGTGAGGTGTCAGTCTGCCCCTACTGGGGGGTGCCTCCCAGTTAGGCTGCTCAGGGGTCAGGGGTCAGGGACCCCCTTGAGGAGGCAGTCTGCCCGTTCTCAGATCTCCACCTGCGTGCTGGGAGAACCACTCCTCTCTTCAAAGCTGTCAGACAGGGACGTTTAAGTCTGCAGAGGTTACTGCTGTCTTTTTGTTTGTCTGTGCCCTGCCCCCAGAGGTGGAGCCTACAGAGGCAGGCAGGCCTCCTTGAGCTGTAGTGGGCTCCACCCAGTTCGAGCTTCCTGGCTGCTTTGTTTACCTAAGCAAGCCTGGGCAATGGCGGGCGCCCCTCCCCCAGCCTCGCTGCCACCTTGCAGTTTGATCTCAGACTGCTGTGCTTGCAATCAGCGAGACTCCTTGAGCGTAGGACCCTCTGAGCCAGGTGCAGGATGTAATCTCGTGGTGCGCCGTTTTTTAAGCTCATCGGAAAAGCACAGTATTCAGGTGGGAGTGACCCGATTTTCCAGGTGCCGTCTGTCACCCCTTTCTTTGACTAGGAAAGGGAACTCCTTGACCCCTTGTGCTTCCCGAGTGAGGCAATGCCTTGCCCTGCTTCAGCTCGCGCCCGGTGCACTGCACCCACTGACCTGTGCCCACTGTCTGGCACTCCCTAGTGAGATGAACCCGGTACCTCAGATGGAAATGCAGAAATCACCTGTCTTCTGCGTCACTCACGCTGGGAGCTGTAGACCAGAGCTCTTCCTATTCAGCCATCTTGGCTCCTCCTCCAACATCTTCTAAAAATGTAAAAACAATTTATAACTGCAGAGTGTTAAAAACAGGTGACACACTTTATTTGGTCCATGGGCCATAGTTTATCAACACCTGGTCTAGAGTTTTGTCAGCTTTATTAGTAATTTTTAAAAACCAGCTTTTTCTCTATTGATTTTCTCTATTGTTTTACTGTTTCCTTTATCATTGATACCTGATTCTTTTTCTTTTGTTTAGTTGAGGCTTTATTTACTCTTCTTTTTCTGGCTTTTTAAGTATAGATTCTTAGATTATCTACTTGAAATATTTGTTCTTTTCTAATATAAGTGGCTAATGCTTTAAAATTACCTTTAAGTGCTATGTTGCATCCCATAACTTCTGATATGTTGTTTTTGTTTCTATTAATCTCAAAATATTTTCCAATAATCATTGTGAATTCTTCATTAACCCATGAACTCTGAAATATGTTGACTGATTTTCAAATATTTTTAGATTTTCCATATAGCTGTTATCACTTTCTAATATAATATCACTGTGGTAAGAGAACATATTTTTTGTTATTTCAACCTTTTAAAATTATGAGACTGATTTTCTATCCCAGAATATGACCTGTCTTGGTAAATTTTCTATTTGCACTGGAAAAGAATATTTATTCTTCTGTTGTTGGGTAGCATGTTTTATAAATGTCAATTAGGTCAAAATTTTGGTAATGTCTTTCATGTCTTCTATATTTTTATTGATTTTCTGTATACTTGTTCTCTCAGCTAATGAAAGAAAACTGTTAAACTCTCCAACTATAATTGTTGATTTATCGATTTCTCTTGTCAGTTGTATCAGTTTTGTTTCTTATATACAGTCGTGTGCCACCTAACAATGTTTCAGTCAACAATGGACCACATATACAATGATGGTACCATAGATCATAATGGAGCTAAAAGATTCCTGTTGCTTAGTGATATTATACCTGTTGTAATGTTGTAGCACAATTTTGTATTTTCTAAATTTAGTGTAGCCTAAGCATACAGTATTTATACAGCTTACAGTAGTGTACAGTAATGTCCTAGGTCTTTACATTCACTCACCACTCACTCACTGACTCACCTAGAGCAATTTCCAGTCCTGCAAGCTCCATTCATGGTAAGTGCCCTATAGAGGTGTACCTTTTTTATCTTTTGTACTATATTTTTACTGCATCTTTTCTGTGTTTATATATACAAATACTTATCATTGTGTTACAGTTGCCTACAGTGTTAAGTATAGTAACATGTTGTACATGTTTGTAGCCTAGGAGCAATAGGCTATACCATATAGCTTAGGCATTTAGTAGGCCATACCATCTAGTTTTGTGCAAGTACACTATGATGTTCTCACAACAAGATTATCTAAGGATGCATTTTTCAGGACTTATCCTCATCGTTAAGCAACATATGACTGTATTATATTGCTTGCGTACTTCAAAGCTCTGATATTAGGTGCATATATATTTAGTATTCTCATAGTCTCTTAATGAATTGACCCCTTTTTTATTATGAAATTACCTTCTTCATCCCTGATATAATTCCTTGTTCTAAAATCTACTTCATACAGCCACTCCAGCTTCCTTTTGATTAGTGTTTTCATAATGTATCTTCCTATTCAATAACTTTTAGCTTATCTGTGTCTTCATGTTTATGTCTTATACAGGGCATATAGTTGGGTTTTGCTTTTTAATCTGATAATCCCCTTTAATTCGGGTGTTTAAACTATTATATTTAATCTAATTATCAATATGTTTGAGTTTAAATTTAACATATTTTTTCTTCTGTCATTTCTTCTCTTTGTTCTGTTTTTTCCTTATTTCTCCAAATTTTGTGGAGTTTAGTTTTTATTTAATTTCCATTTTTTCTCTGCTATTGTGTTATTAGCTATATTATGATAAAGTAACCACTTTATTTCACTATTTTAGTGGTTACTTCAGGGTTTACAATATACATTTTTAAGCTTATTACTGTCTACCTTCAATTCATGTATAGTGTAAGACTCATAACAATGCTTCTATTTCCCCACTTTTGTGTTATTGTTGTCATACATTTTACTTTTATCTATATTATAAACTTGACAATTCATTAGTTTTGCTTTAGTTAATTCTTTTTAAAGAAGTTTCAAACTGATAAAAAATGTTTTCTATTTATGCATATTTTTACCATCTCCAGAGCTCTTCATTCATTTGTATTGATTTAAATTAACATCTGATATAATTTCTTTTGATGTAAAGAACTTTCTCTAACATTCATATAGAGCAGTAAATCTAGTAACATTCTCTCAGGTCTTTTTGCTAAATACAGAATTCTAGGTTGATATATTTGGGTTTTCTTTTTTTTTGTTTTCCTGTGCGGTTAGATGTCTTTCCATTGTCTCTGGCTTCCATAGCTTTTGAAGCAGTCTGCTGTATTTCTCATTTTTGTTTCTCTGTTTGTAGTGTGTCTTCTGGACCCCCTCCATCCAGATTCTTTTAGGATTTTCCCTTTATCACTGGTTATCTTTTTTTATTATTATGTGTCTTGGTGTGTTTTTCTTTATATTTATTCTGCTTGGGGTTTGCTGAGTTCTTGAACTTGTTTCCAGTTTTCATCAAATGTGAAAAATTTTCAATCATTTCAAAAGAATTAAACTTTTGTGTTCTCCCCTTCTGGAACTCCATTAACACATACATTATACTTCTTAACATTGTCCCTCAGATGATTGTTGCTCTATTCATTTTTTTCCCTGTGGTTTTTTGTGTTTTTTTTTGTCCTTCATGTTGAACAGTCTGTATTGCTTGTCTTCAAGTTCACTGATTTTTTTTTCTTTTCTGCAGTATTGAATTTGTCTTTGATTTCATCTGATGGATTTTTCATTTAACATATTGCATTTTCCATCTTTACAATTTCATCTGAATCTTTTTTTTTTTTTTCTTTTGAGACTAAGTTTCACTCTTGTTGCCCAGGCTGGAGTGCAGTGGTGCAATCTCAACTTCCAGCTCACTGCGAACTCTGCCTCCCGATTCAAGCAATTCTCCTGCCTCAGCCTCCTGAGTAGCTGAGATTACAGGTGCCCACCACCATGCCTGGCTAATTTTTATATTTTTAGTACAGACAGGGTTTCACCATGTTGGCCAGGCTGGTCTTGAACTCCTCACCTCAGATGATCCACCCTCCTGGGCCTCCCAAAGTGCTGGGATTACAGGTGTGAGCTGCCACACCCGGACTCATCTGAATCTTTTTAAATATCTTATGTTTCTCCTCACTATGATTGTACTTTTCTCTACCTTCTTGAACATTTGGAGCACATTATAATAGCTGTCTAACATTTTTGTGGGGTAGTTCTGTCGTTTCTGGATATATTTCAATTTGATTAGTTTATCTTCTGATTATGGGTCTTGGTTTTTGTTTTGTATGCCTGATAATATTTTATTGGATGCCATACATTTTGAATTTTATGATTTTTACTTCCAGGTTTTGTTTTATTACTTTAAATAGTGTTGGATTTTGTTTTTTTGCTAATGAGACAGATTAACATATATTTCCATTAAAATGCCCTTTTCTGTTTCATTAAGAATACAATTACTTATTCAAACCTATATATATAATGTCATTAAAATACGCACATATATTTAAAAGATGTATATATATAGGGCAACCTTTAAAGACATGCATGTTTAAATAAATTATATGTCTTATTCAATATATTTGATTACTTTTTGTATCTCTAAGTTTTTGTGTATCTATCCTTTCATGTGCAAGAGAGAGAAAATATTTTTTTAAAGCAGTAATTGATTCTAGCCATGGCTGACTCCTAATGCAATTACATAATTTGTATTCGAAATAGATTTTTTTTTTAGTGAATCCAATTTATTGGCCCCTTTGAATGTAGAAGTTAAAGTTTTAACTACAAGTTCAGTAAGGAGAGAGTGACATAAAAATATTACTTCACTCATTCATTTATTCACTGAACAAATATATAGGGAATGCTTATGTTTACCAGGTTCTGTTTCTACATTTGTAGGCCCTGAGATATACAAGTGAAGAAGACAAGACATTCTCTACCCTCATGACACTTCGATTCTAATAAAGGGAGACAGGCAACAAACAAATCATTTTTAAAATAAATAACAAGATTTCTGATGGTGGTAAGAGCTCTGGAGGAAATGAAGGGAAGGGAGAGCAACTATAGATAGCTAATTCAGTGATAGCCCTTTTGAGAAGGTGACATTTGAGCAGACACTGAATGATGACAGAGAGAAGAAACATAAAGAATATACACGGGGGAATAGCAAGGATAAAGGCCCTGAAGTAGAATGAGCTTACTGTATTTAAAGAATAACAAGCAAACTAGGGCAGGTAGAGCAGAGTGGAAGATGATGAGGTCAGAGAGGCAAATGGGAGCCAGAGCATGTAAGACCTTGCAGGCTGTGGCAAGGAGTTTGCATTTTATTTTAGGTGAGACGCTAGTGGAGGGTTTGGAGCAGGAGAGTGACACAGTCAGACTTATGTTTTAAGATTACGTTGTAGCTGGCTATTGTATGACCAATAGACTCTAGGATAGGGAGGATGGAAGATGGGAGATCAGTTAGATGCTTTACAATAGATCAATCCAGAAAATTGAAATTATTTACATGTAAAGTTAATAGGCGTTTGAAAGGAGGAGGGTGGAGAAGATGAGTCAAGGAAGGGAGGACTGACCCATTAGTCAGGAGACTGGAACTCATGAGAAAAATATCTAGTGAGAAATAGCAACTGTTGAGATTCCCAGTGTCAGTGTGTCTGAGGGACATTTTAAAACAAGGCTGTCTACTAGTCCATTTCAAGTTGTTTGTGGGTCTATGATGTAAGCTCACTCTACTATCCCAAGCCTTAGAAAAAGTTTGCCGCACATACTGTCCTGCATTGCTAGTACTTTGAGGGTAGAAAGAAATCAATCTTGTGTCCTGTGCAATACCACATAGCATAGGAGAAGGAGAGTGTGCAGAACGTGGCAATATGCTTCACAGGGAAAACTAACCTAGTGGAATTGAGAGTACACAACCATCAGTGATGAGCAAAAAGTCAAAATTTCTCAAAGATTCTCAGGAGAGTTTGGGATGGATATTGGGTTTCCCAGCCCATATGTGATAATGGTTTGAGCTGACTTATTTGCCTCTTGAAAGGCAAGGTGACCTAGCAGATTACCAGTCACACAAGTAACTGAAGAACAAAGAGTAGTTTGATGGTGTCTGGCTATGTCAGTAGCATAAATCATTATGATGGTTTTTCCCAGCCAGATGTTTTTCCCAGAAGTTACTTATTAATAACTAATTTATATGGTCACTGACAAATATATATTGAACACCTATTATATGCCGGACATTGGATTAAGAACTGAAGCTACTGCACTAAACAACACAGCAAACATAGCATAATTTATCCTAGTTGGAGTAACTTGACTCCACTCAGTACTTCACAATGGCCAGGCATTTGGCTCAATTCAGGACTGGGCATTTTGATCTGGTGAGACACACAGATACCTAGGTTGGGCATTTGGGGAAATAAGCTTCCTTTCTGTTTTGTAGGAACTCCTGCTCTCCTTCATGGGGAAATCCAGTAGCCGCACACAAAAAACTTAGCTATTATCATTATTACTGTATATTCTCTTTTTCTTAACTTACCAATTTCCCTTAGTGTTTTAGGTGAACTAAATTTCTAAAATAGTTTCCTTAAGTAGTCAGAATTTTTACAACTTATTCTAATACATAGCTTGTAATAATAAAATGCTCATGTGTGATCAGATTATTTCTTGGAAAAGGTCAAAAGTAGTTCTAGAATAGAATATTTGCTAAACATTTAACCAGAAAAAATAAAGGTAATGTAAGAACAATGGAAAATGGTTTGGCATTATCTGCTGAAGTTGAATAGACACATAACTTATAACTCAGGAAATTCTACTCTTAGTTTATAACCAACAGATTATCTCTGTCTGTCTATCTTACAAGAATGTTCATAGTAACACTATCTATGATGGTTAAAAACTAGGAATAACTTAAATCTCCATCAACAGTAAAATAAATAAATGAATTGTGATATATTCAAACAATTGAAATGTATATAGCAATAAAAATGAATGGAGTACCTGCAATAATATGGCTGAGGCTCACAAACATAATAGTGAGCGTAAAAAGCTAGGTAAAAAGAGTACAACTTGCATGCTTTCTTTTACATAAAAGTTCAAAAACAGGTAAAACCTCTATGGTGATGGAAGTCAGGAAAGGGACTCCTCTAGGAAGTGTAGTTACAGGAAGGGAGGTAGAGGAAGTTTCTAGGGGCCTGATCGAATTCTGTTTCTTGATCTAAGTGCTAGCTACAAAGACGTGTTCACTTTATGAAAATTCATTGAGGTGTATACTTTTGTGTACGTATTTGTATGGATATTATACTTGAATAAAAAGTTTACTTAAAAAAGTAGAACAAGAGCAAAACTCCATCTCAAAAAAAAGTACAGATAAATGCATTTTATTATATTCCCTAGAGTTCATAATTCATTTTTTTGAAATGCTGTGGATTCTCAGTGAATATTTGGTGATTATAAATACTATCATTTTGATTTAAATTTTTATTTTATTGTATTCTTTGGGGAATAGTTTTTCAGCAAATATATTTTGGAGAGTAAAGCAAATATTCATATTAAGTAATCAGCATCATCTAAATAGGAGTCCTAGCCAAGAAAATGGTTCTAAGCCAGCATTAGATTTAACCATTAGATTTTACCAAAAAAGATATGTATCACTAAACTCTCAAGCAGACAGAATTTACAAAATTCAGTGAACTAGAGATTTCTTTTGTTTTACAAAATTAAAATTTCCAACTTACATTCTTCAATATGACTTTTTGCAGAGTTATTTATAAGTACAAAATACGCGTTAGTTTTTGCTCATAAGTATTTCTTGAATCTGATCTATTATCTAAGCTATCCTTGCTTTGGCGAAGATTCAATTCTTTCTTTACTACAGTAGCCTGCTAATCTGTCACATCCTGACTCATCTTGTTCTCTTGAAACAACCTCCATCAAGCCGGCATAGTGGCCACTGAAACAACAAATCTGATCATTATATTCCCTGCCCTGAAATTATTCAATTCTGGGAAGCTCTATTCTTAGAGTTCTCTTGCCAAACACCTTCTCAGTCTTAATTTTTTTTCTGGTCAGAATAATCCAATTCTGTTTTCAAACATAATCAGAATCTGACTATTTAATGCCACCAATATTGTTACCACCTCAGTTAGAGTCACCATCATTTCTTGCCTAGACTATTGCAAAGGCTGCCTAATTGATCTCCTTGCTGCCATTCTTGTTTCCCTACAGTCTACACTCAATGTAATACTAGAGAGATTTCTCACAAAACATAACTCTGACCATGGTACTTCTATGCCTCAAACCCCTCAATGGCTCCCAATGTACATAGAGAAAGATCTAGATCTAAAGCCCTTATGCAGCTCTATGACTTCTAACCCCCATTACTTCTCTCACTTTCTCTCTTACTCTAGCACACTGGTTTTCCCAGGAACACACAGTTGCTGTCTTCAGGGAATTAGAATCTTTTGAGCATTACAGACATATAATAGATAATTACAATGCGGTATAATAGACGCTATGATGGATTTGAAAAATATTGTTCTAGATGTAGAGGAAAGGTAGGACACACAGATTTGAGATTGAATTGCATATACACGAGAATTTATAAGAATGTAGAGAATGGGAAGAGGACTGAGGATTGCATACTAGGGAGTAGTTAGAAATGTAATAAAAAAAATTCAGGCTAGTATCTTACCCTGAAAGCCATTATATGTAGAATTTCAAGAAAAAAGATGGTCTGAATATAGGGTATTAAAGTTGGTGATTAAGTCACTAATGACCTCAAGAGAGTGTGGAAGAAATAAACCAGCTAACAATTGTCTTAGTTCATTTAGGCTACTGTAACAAAATACCTTAAACTGAGTATTTTATACCCAGTCTACAAATAACAAAAATTTATTTCTCACAATTCTGGAGATTGGGAAGTCCAACATCAAGGTGCTGGCAGATTTGGTATCTGTTAAGAGCCCACTGTCTGGCTCACAGATGGCATATTCTCCCTGTGCCCTCATGTTGTGGAAGGTGCAAAGGGTATCTCTAGGGCCTCTTTTCTAAGGGCAACAATCCCATTCATGAAGGCTCTACCTTCATGACTTAATCACTTCTTAAAGGCTCCACCTTCTAATACCATCACTTTGAGGGTTAAGATTTCAGCAAATGAATTTTGGAGGGATGTGTACATTCAGACCATAGCAGCAATGAATTGAGGCCTGAATGAGGGTTGTAGAAATGTAATCAGTGAGTGTCAACTATATAAATTATTCTTTCAAGAAATTTGTCAAGAAGGGAAGAAGGAAGTTGGGATGAATAAGGGGAAATTTAATTTTGCACAAGGCAGTGGTACAAACGGAGCAAAGAGATAAAGTTCAAGAAACCTAATCCATGTGATGAGGGGGAGGTTACCATTCTTCAAGGAAGTACCCTGAAGTAGGGTTACAGGGTACTAAGATAGCTGGAGAAAAACTGGCATATGAGAGCGCAGAAGGGTTTGGCTCAGCCTAGCTGAATACGAAAACATTTAGAATTGGGTTATTATACTCAACCACCAGCTTGAATTATGCAAAGGAAAAAAGATAATAAGGAATGGCTATACAGTTGACCCTTGAACAATACAGGGGTGAGAGGCATTGACTCCCATGCAGTTGAGAATCTGTACAGAACTTTTGACTGACTCCGCAAAAACCTAACTACTAATAGTTTACTGTTGGTCAGAAGCCTTACTGATAACATGAACAGTTGATTCACACAATTTTGTTTGTTATATGTATTACATGTTGTATTCTTCCAATAAAATAAGCTAGAGAAAAGAAAATGTTGTTAAGAAAACCATAAGGAAGAGAAAATATATTTACTGTTCATTAAGTGGAAATGGATGGTTTTCATCCTCATCGTCTTCATATTGAGTAGCTGAGGAAGAGGAGGGGTTAGTCTTACTGTCTCAAGGATGGCAGAGGCAAAAGAGGTGGAGGAGGTGGAAGGGGATGCAGGAAAGGCAGGCACACTTGGTTTAACTTTTATTGAAAAAAACCTGTATAAATGGACCCATATAGTTCAAATACCATTGACCCCTTTATCTCCAAGGGTCAACTGTATTTAGGAAACCAAGAGATATTTTCATAGTATGTCTGATGATCAACATTATTTGTAACTGTGAACAGCATTCCTTTGGACATGACCAATATTTATTGGGGCGAGGGGAAGGACCCTAAGTTCCATTTTCTAGGATGGTCACAGTTACTGTTCATGGTTTTAGAAACTAATTGTATTGCCTCTGTGACTTCATCTGCCAAATTTGACATTTCTAATCCTTTTAATATATTCTAATTTGGAAACCACTATAGTTCTATGATAATGAAACTTCACTTCTTTGGGTTTCCTCTTCTTCTGTTTCTTCTGCATTGAGGTATGGTGACCATAGCTACTTTAATACAAGGCAATGTTTATATTTTTTCTTCTATCCGAATATGCTGTTTAAAGATGCTCAACATTTTGTGAGCCTTTTTGGCCACACCAGCACTGATGCCTCTGAGAACAGTTGACAAGGTTTCTTGACCTCTCTCCCAGGTAGAAATCTATACATCAAGGCTGTCACTGCAGTGACGAAGTGATTCTTAAATCAATTGATTTCAGATTCTTTCTTCACCCACTCATTTCCTGCCCTTTAAGACTTGTATTAACTTGGCTTGAACTGGGGCAAAATTTGGTTTAATTTGCAGAGCTCACCAAATATGTGTTCAAAGTGTGTCTAATAATATTTTTGGGAGAGAGGGGAAGCAAATTACACTCAAACTTCCTTTTGTGTTTTCTAGCCATGACCTTAGAAATCCTGGAGAAAACCATAACACTGAATATTACTTGTTATTATATATTATTACATGTTATTATATGGCAGTTATTATTTTATATGATGTGTCATGATTAGTGAGATTTCCCCCTATAAAATTAGAAAACAGACTTGCATGTTTGGTAATTCTATCCTTAGGTTTGATACTCTTTTCATACCCTGGACTTAGTAAGTACTTTGAAAATTCGGAATCAGATTAGGAATTAGAAAATTTAGAATCAGGTGAGGAATTAGAAAATTTGAAATCAGATTAGAAATTAGAAGAAAGTTTGTCAAACTTTTTCTTTTAACCCCCAACTATTGGAGCTGGACACAGAACCATGAAAAGAAAACCTTCACAGACAAAGATAGACGTAATAAAAAAATGTCTACCTTGCACATTACCTATGCCGGGAGTGGATTTTAGCACTGTGCCACTGCTGCCGATGGTATTCTGTGGTTCAACCACAATAGTGATAGAAGGATTTTCCATTTATATTGCCACCCTGATGCCCCATGATCAGAGCCCTGCTGACCTGGTGTGGTAGGGAAATCTGTTGTGGATTGATACAATCGGGTTCTCTACATAGATAAGGCATGCGCCTACATAGATGAGGTGGTGCCAAGTGTTAGGGCACAGATGGGTGTGATTCCCTCTGGCTGTGCAATAGTCCCATTGGACAAAGAGAAACTGCCCCAGATGATGATGAGAGTGTAAGATACTGTGGTCCCGAGAGGTGGGGGAGAGGAGGTGAATTGTCTATGGAGGCTGCCTCAGCCCCCATATGGCTCCAGGGCACTAGTGATGGAGGGCTGCTCAGAGAAGCACAGTGTTATTGTGGTGCACATCCGCAGGGTCCCTTCAAGAAAATTCCCATATTCCAACCTGTTATGGGTTGAATTGGGTGTCTCCTTCCCCCTCCAAAATTTATATGTTGAAGTCCTAACCCCCCGGTATCTCAGAATATGACTATACGTGGAGATGACATCTTTATAGAGATAATCAAGTTAAAATGAAATCAGTAGGGCAGGCCCCAATCCAATATGACTGATGTCCTTACGAAAAGGGGAAATTTGGGCACTTCTTAGTGCCCAATCTGTAGAGGAAATATGATATGAAGACACCCAGAGAGAAGACAACCGAGGAGAATGGCCTGGAATAGATCCTTCCCTCACAGCTCCCAGAAGAAACTTATCCTGCCAACACTTTAATTTCAAATTTCTAGCTTCCAGAAGTGTGAAACAATAAATTTCTGTTGCTGAACTCCTCAGTTTATGATACTTTGTTATGGCAGCTCTAGCAAACGAATACATAGCATTCTCAATATTTCTGTTTCTTCAGCTACCCTCAATCAGCTCCCCTTTCCCAGGGTTGGCCACTACACTACTTCCTTTCACAGGTCATTTTTTGTTCCATACCTTGTGGAAGACTTGTTCTTCCTCGAAAGGCTTCATCCCAGATTGTTCCTATGCTAGGATTCCATGCTTCTTCTGTATTTCTGCACTCAGAATTGAGGAAGTGAATTCCTCTTTCCTGTGCTTTCTGTGTTCATATCTCTTCTTGGAACAGTGGATGTGGGCTACCCTCAGTGACAAAATGAGGGGACACAGGACAAAGGATATGAAAGAAAGTACCAGGATAAAGATATCCCTTAATTAATATTTCAATGACTTCATCACGTTGCCTACACCAAGATTTGGTTTATCTAGACAGTTGTCTGGAGCAGACCTTTGTGTTCTTTCCCCCTGTACATACCAGTGTTTCTACAACCTCAGAGAAGTAAATAAAACCCAGAATTAGAAGGACTGAAAGTTCAGCAATTGCCCAGCTGACTAGCTTTCAGTCTTTCTACCGGCTTTTCAGTACCAGCTTTTCCCAGGAGAAGCAGCGTCGCCAGGGTATGACGGCACCACTGCTGCTGGAAAGGGAAGGGATCATCGGTCACTCACTTGACACTCACTGGTGGTTTCCAATGCACAGCCAAGGGATTTCAGGTTTGTGGATCTAGGAGTGAATGTTTACAAGATAAGGTAGGAAAGGCCAAGAGGAGCCCCTCTTACCCTTCTGGGAGAATGGGCACAAATGAAAACAGAATCAAGAGAGCCAGGAATTATGCTCAGTTGTAAAGCACTTAATTCAATGGCTCACAGTAAGTTCTCAATAAATGTCAGTTATTATTATTATTATTAATGTCAGTTATTATTCCATTAACTCTGAGATGTACTTCTAATTTTTTTCCTGAAGCATTTTAAAGCAATACCAGATGACGTGTCATTTCACCTGGAAATATTTCAGTTTGCATTTCTGTGTGTGTGTGTGTGTGTGTGTGTGTGTGTGTGTGTGTGTTTGTGTGTGTGCACGCACATGCATGTGTGTGTGTGTGCGTGTGCGTGTGTGTGTGCGCGTATGCATGTGTGTGTTTAAACATAACCATTCATGAAGATTTTCTGATTGCTTTAATTTTCCATTTTTCTCAATCATAAAAGAAGTTCCACAGACATCCTTTACCATATCTATCCGCATCTCCATCATGTGCATCATATGCTCGGCCTCCTGACTATTACTCTCATGAAATTTACTATGTTCCTTCTTGAATCTAATCTTCCCACTTTGCTGTAGCTCCCATTTCTTCTTACCCACCTAAGGGTATCACTCCAGAGACTCTCCTTTTTCTCTAACATCAGTCGGCATTTCCCTTCTACTGACTTATTTCATCAGTATGCATGCATGCTGTTCTTTCTTGAATTTTGAAATTTCTCTTGACCACGCTTTTTTTTTTTTAATCAACTAGGTAGGTAATTAGTCTATTCTTATGCTGCTGATAAAGACATACTCAAGACTGGGCAATTTACAAAATAAAAAGGTCTAGGCCAGGTGTGGTGGCTCACGCCTGTAATCCCAGCACTTTGGAAGGCTGAGGCGGGTGGATTACTTGAGGTTAGGCATTCGGTTTGAGACCAGCCTGGCCAACATGGCAAAACCCTGTCTCTACTAAAAATACAAAAAAATTAGCCAGACATGGTAGTGCATGCCTGTAATTCCAGCTACTTGCGAGGTTGAGGCAGGAGAATTGCTTGAACCCAGGAAGCAGAAGTTGCAGTGAGCAGAGATTGTGCCACTGCACTCCAGCCTGGGTGACAGAGTGAGACTCCATCTTGGAAAAAAAAAGAGGCTTAATGGATTTACAGTTCCATGTGGCTGGGGAGGCCTCACAATCATGCAGAAGGTGAAAGGCACATCTCACATGGCAGAAGACAAGAGAAGAGAGCTTGTGCAGGGAAACTCTCCCTTATAGAACCATAAGACCTCATAAGACTTATTCTCTATCACAGGAACAGCATGGGAAAGGCCTGCCCCCATGATTCAATTACCTCCCACTGGGTCCCTTCCACAACACATGGGAATTCAAGATGAGATTTGGGTGGGGACACAGTCAAACCGTATCAGTAGGGCTCATTTTTCTACCTCCCTTTGCAGCAAAACTCCTTGGAAGAATTGTAAGGTGCCTGTTTTTGCCTCCCATTTTTAACAGCTTTGAAATCACAGTCCCCATAAAATGAAGGCTCATAGTCACATGGGTATAGCAATGATTGGTGAAGGGCAGAGCAACTTGTAGCTGATTTTTCTGCTGGCCTTGTCATGAGTTTTGCTGGCCTCAGCACACTCTAGTTGAACCATACTCATTCAGAGAATAGGCTCTGGAGTCGGATGAACTCAACTACAAAATAAGGAAATAATACAATTATGTAAATAATACATTTGTTATGAGAATTAAATCAGGTAATACATGTTATGTGCTTTGCAAAGTGCCTGGTACATGGTGTTCAATAGAGAGCAGCTATCATCATCATCCTTATTGCCACCATCATCATCCATCATAAATGATCTTATATGCACACATAAATGCATGTACGATGACCAAAGATGGGTCACATCAGAATGAATATATAAAGGATTTTATTCACATTATATAAAGAGCAGTGCATCATTTTTTTCTTTGCCCCAGCCCCCTTTGGTGAAAATATCAGCCATTCAGTTGTGATAATCACAGTGTTATCAACCTAGTAGAGACACCAGCGCAGCAGAATACTATAAAAGGCTAAGTTTTTTTTTTAATGGACTTCAGCAATCTATTGAAAATAAAAATGTAATTAGTGTGGCAAAACAATAGTTCACATCTTCTAATTACTGTTCTATTTTTTGACAGAATGTTTTAATTATTGTTTTCTTTCCTCTTCTCTTCTGTTTCTATTGATTTGTTGCCAGTTTAATTAAGTCAGTAGGACCTCCCAGTTCTCCATAAGTTACCCTCAGGGGCTTCTGTCTGCTTCATTGTTTTAAAGTAAACCAGATCTCCAAATACCTATAAAACAAACCCAGAAGTTGAAGGGATATTTTTAAATGAGAAAAAACTAGAAGGAATAAAGAATAAGACATACAATTCAAGGTATAAAGGGAAGATTAGACAGAAAACCAGTTTCTAATTTTAGAGCTAAAGGAATAATTATTATTAATAAATATGCTACAGACTTACCTATTTAAAATGCTAAAGCAGAGGAACAATAACGTAGAGTAACAGATTAAAAAAATTTTTTGTTTTACTTCTCAATTTGTTTCCAATTGTATGTGGAGATCTGTGTTTGAATAAGCACAGTATTCGGAGAGATGATCACTACATGGGGTGTATGTGGTGTACATTAGCCATGCCCACCCATCAATGAATTGGTGTTCTCCGTTGAAATTGAAAAATTCCAATTGACTTTTGGGTCAAATGTAGTGGGAAGGATTTTAACATAGAAGTAAAAGATGGGCCGGGCGCAGTGGCTTACACCTGTAATCTCAGCACTTTGGGAGGCCAAGATGGGCGGATCATCTGTGGTCAGGAGTTAGAGACCAGTCTGGCCAACATGGCAAAACCCCATCTCTTCTAAAAGTACAAAAATTAGCTGGGCATGGTGGCACATGCCTGTAATCCCATCTACTCAGGAGGCTGAGGCAGAAGAATCGCTTGAACCTGGGAGGTGGAGGTTGCAGTGAGCCACAATGGTGCCACTGCACTCCAGCCTGGGTGACAAGAGTGAGACTGTCTCAAAAAAAAAAAAAAAAGTAAAAGATCAAGAAGACGTTGATTAATGTTTTCTTTTATGATCAATCGGTCTAGTAAGCAAAGTGTTCGAAGAGTGAACAGCCTTTTCTACATGAACAACACGATAAATGACAATAGTATTGAGTCAAACAGATTTGGATTTGAGTGTTGGCTCTACCGCTATGTGGACCTTGAGCAAATTACTTGATCTTCTGAATCTTGGTTTTGCCATCTGAAAATGGGAATAATGTTAGAATCTATCTTAGAAGGTTGCTATGAATAATTAAATGAGATAATGCATATAAAGTACACAATAAGTATGCATTTATTACTATTATTACATACTATTAAAATAGTATTATGAAGCCAAAATTCAATACAAAGCCTTTTAATGGGTGTATTAGTCTGTTCTCATGCTGCTGGTAAAGACACACATAAGACTGAGTAAATTACAGAGAAAAAGAGGTTTAATGGACTTGTAGTTCCACGTGGGCTGGGGATACCTCACAATCATGGTGGAAGGTAAAAGGTACATTTTACATGACAACAGGCAAGAGAGACTGAGCAGGGAAACTCCCGGTTTTAAAGCCATCAGATCTTGTAAGACTCTTTCACTATCATGAGAACAGTGCAGGAAAGACCCACCCCCATAATTTAATCACCTCTCACCAGGTTCCTCCCACAACACATGGGAATTGTGGGAGTTACAATTCAAGATGAGATTTGGGTGGGGACACAGCCAAACCATATCAATGGGCATACATAAAAACACCCCATCCTTCACCCCCAAAAGAAGCAAATACAAGTGTACAGAGTATTACGCAGGGATCTGGCTGGGAGCAGCAGCTGGGATCAGTGTCTTCTTGTTTGATTATGTTCTCTTGTTCCATTCCATGAAATAAATGGCAGCCTGGAGCCACTTCCACACTTAAGAGTTGGGTATGACCTTGGGGTAGGACCAAATGTCACACCAACAGTAACTTGGTTGGTTTGGTTTTAGGAATTTATGTTGATGAGGGTGTTGAGGCAATGGTGTATAGTACTTTTCAAATGCTTTCTACCATGAGCCATAGTAAGGAATACATGTGACATCATGATTTCACACATATACACATACACACACACACATACACACACACACTGGAACAAAAGTTTTACAAGACAATATTTACTCTTATGAGATACTCTCTGATATTTTCTCATCTCTTCTTTCCTGTTCTGTTTCATTTTTTAAACTTGTATTTGGTTGCATCAAATTGATTTCACTTTCCTAAAGGGTCTCAACCTACAGTTTGAAAAAACATGCTGTAAATAACACCAGTTTTTACCTTTTTGCTTTGTACATTTCTCAGCATTTTTGTAATTTTATCTCCGAGAGAGGTAGGTGCTGTTACATAATAGGTCAATTTTACTGACAGCAATGAGTTTCTAAGCTGAGCAAGAATTTTGTTGTGTAGAGGTTTTTTAGGGACATGTCAAGATACCACCTCAGAGGTACAGAATTCGAAAGCAGTGAGAGTTCTTTTAGGATCAAGGGTCAGGCCACAACATCTTGCTGTTTCTTCAGAGGGTTTTGAAACACCTCGGACGCCTACTTGTACTTCCACTCCCTGGGCATTGTCATTGACATGAAACATCTTTAGATGACTGATCTGGGGCCCTTCATTTGCTCCTTCTGCCCCTTTGGTCTGGATAGCCTCTATGATTGCTCCTTGCAGTGCCCTATCAAGGTTACTTGATGAGGAGGAGGAGGCGGAGAGGCTGGAATCTGCTCATTATCAGCAGCACCTCATGGACAGAAACATGCAAGGCAAGCAAGTCTGGATGTTCCAAAGCTAAGAGGTATAATACCAACAGGGCCAGTTGGGAAGCTGGCATCAAGGCATGCAACTTAGTGCACCTTACATGTGAAGATGTCCAGGACACAGGGAAACACCTGCCTTTTCTTACTAATCATCCATAGCAGAGAAAATTGTGTCATTATGCAATGTAACATCTTTGTACATATCTCTTCAGTTAGATCATAAGCCCTTGGAAGTAGGAATAATATGTTTAATTGTTTTGTATTCCTCTGGAGTAGCATGTACATTGTTCACACCCAACATGGATATGGATTGAATAAACAACATGCTGTGGTTGCATTTTCCAGATTTGCTATTTAATTTTAGTTTGTTCTTCAATATAAAATGCTACTTTCTTCCCCCTTGCTGTCTGGGTGATTAAACTAGATTTGAAAAGTTTTAGAGAGAAATGTAGAAAAGCTGACAGCTTGCAAATGTGCACAATTAGTTGGTTATCCATAGTGATGGGGATGTCTGAAGTCTTTCTGACGACGTGTATAGAATGTATGAAACTTGTAAGAATTCAAACAATTCAAAAACTTCTAAATATCTTGGCAATTTAATTTTCAAAATTACAGAAGTGATGAGAGGAACTTATGATGAGTTGGGAACATTTTTTTGCCAGATTTTTCCCCCTCTTTTCTTAATGGTCCTGAAGTGACTGCAATAGAAGAATGGCCTAGGATGCAAGTGGCCAGTTGGGTTCTCCTGAATATTTTAATGGTTTTAGAAAGGGGTCAGTTTGCAAATGTAGTCTAGAGGGAAAGTAGACTTGCCCCTGAGCTGAAACTTATTTGGCAAGTTGCAATAAAGATCATGTTTCATGACAGAGTTAACATAAATACATGATCCGCAGGGGCTTTCATGAAGAGGTGACTGCTGGAGTAGGTCTTCATGTTTTATTTTCCTCATTTAGTTGAGCTCACTTAATCTCTAATCATTCTTAAATAAAAAAGAAGTGCTCCTTTCATTTAGTTTCCTCTGAACTAAAGAGAAAAACTGTGAAGCGTTGAAAAAGACCCCTAGTCTATAGGCTTCATTAAAAACAAAGCAAAAGCAGATGCCATGATTACAAGGTTTAGCTGTAATTTCATATAGACAACAGTAGCCATAACCACCCAATGACCTCATTAGTCATTTAGATACAGCATCCTTGAGGAAAGGTAGATCAGCTACAGCCTGCTGCAGGTGAATGATGCGATCTTATTTACAACACAAATAACTGTCAAGTGCCTTTGTGGTTTGAAGAGCAATTCAGAAGAACTTGGATGAAAAACAAAGTGGCCATTTGAATACGAGCCAGCCAGAAGCCTAAGTTCCTTGGGAACAGGGGCTTGCCAGGTGGTTGACTTTGGAATTTTAGGGGTATGTGAGTGTGTGTGTGTGTGTGTGTGTGTGTGTGTGTGTGTGTGTTTATGTGTAGCTGACAAGGGGTTCTGAGAACTCATTCATCCAGCCAACATAATCTGAGGAACTACAATGAGTATTATTATGTTGATTTCATTCATAAAGACATATAGAAGCCCAGGCCCTTACTGGGTTCTTAAGCTCCTTCAGTTTGGAGCACTCTTCTTCCCCAAGTCCTATGTCCTCTAGCTTCTTCCCTCCTTAACTATGCATACCACCCCTAACTGCAATTCACCATTCACGGAAAACCCTCTGCCCACCCCTCCCCCTAAATTTGGCTGAATTCCTGCCATTCATTTCCTTTCCAGCACTTACCTCAACCAGAAATAAATATCTGTGTAATTATTTGTTTAAAGTCTACCTTCCTTGTTGGGCAGAAAGCTCCATGCAGGCAAGGCCAGGTCTGTCCTACTCACTGTGTCCTAGGGATCTAAACAGTGTCAACCAGAGGGCAATATTAAGATATTTAGAGGCCCTGCCACCCTCCAGATTGGGTAAGTAATGCTAAAATGGAATACATGCATGTGAGAATTAAAAGAACTACTTTTGGATTTAAAGATTTTCTGACTATAAAATCCTAGACACCCAGCTGTTGCTCTACTGGAGGTCAAAACAAGAGCTAGTCTGCCTATCAAGTAATCTAGCACAGACTTGTCACTTGATAATTTGTCTAAATTCATACAAGTAGCCAGTGGGAGAGCTGAAATTCCAACTCAGGGCTGATTGATTTCCAAGTCTTCCATATTCCATCTGACTAGGCAGGAGGAGTGGGAAAGGGAAGGAAAGGGAAAGGAGAAGAGAAGGAGACGAGATATGGTTTCTGCCTTTCTGGGACTGGTTTGTGTGTCTAATGTTGTAAATGTATATATCACAGTGTTGAGCTTCTTTGTAATCATTCTTTTATTTACTCCTTCAAATATTTGATATTTTGTGTCTACTATGTGATAGGCTTTGGGGATACAAAGGTGAATAAACTCTGACCCATGTCTTTGAACACCTGGGTTCTGTGGGAATGACATGGAAGACCCCAGACACACGGTGATACCACATGGCCACTGATGTGAGAGAAGTAAGAACAAAGCCCTGAAAGAATCTACTTCTAGTAGTCAGCATCTCCACTGGAAATAGTCATTATTTTAGAACAATTAAGATTCTCTTTAGAAAACAAAAATAACTTGTAATATTATTGAGACATCCCTTGATACAAACCCAAACCAAGACATATGTTCATAGGGCAGATGCACACGTAGCATGTCTACGTTGAGATTCTTGTATTAGGAATAAACATTCATTATGAAATCTCTGTCCTTTAGCACCAAGAGAAGCATTTACACAGATTCTACATAAAGATAAAGTTTTTTCTCTATTTTCTTACCCAACATTACATTCACATGTGAAAAATTTTGCCACTGCTTTGATTTAAAACGTAATGATGTACACAAAAATACATTTTCTCCTGTCTCTTACTTGCCAAGGAATGATTGAAAACGAATTCCCTGATCTGCTCTCCGAATTCTCTCTTGCAATTCTCAGCTCAGTAATGGTACTTCTATGCTTCCAGTTGTGTGGGGATCTTTAACTCCTCTTTTTCTCAAGCTTCCTTTTCTCATATGACAGGAAATCCCATTCATTAAATGAAAAGCATATCCGGCATCTGATCATCTTTCACTGCCTTGGTGGATGCCACCATCATCCCTTGCTTTGGGTGTAGTAGGAACCTTCTAATTGATCTGCCTGCCTCTCCCCCTGCCCCACTCATTCCACTCAGTGTATCCTCCTTTCAAAACTCTCCGGTGACTTCTCATGTCATTCAGAGTAAAAGATATGGGATCTATAATGGCCTATAAAGCACTGCAAGATCAGTCGAGTCAGTGACCTCTCTGATCTCAGCTCCAACTCCCCAACCACCTTTACTCCACTCTGGCCACACCTTGACTTCCTTTTGTTTCTTTACCCTACTAGGTGAGCTCCTACCTCCAGCCAAACCAGCAGTTTCTCAGCTGTGATTTACTTTTCCTCCAGGAAACTTTTGACAATGTCTGGAGACGTTTTTGGTACCACAAGTAGGGTGGGTGGGGTGGGCTGCTGGCATCTAGTGGATAGAGGCCAAGGATGCTGCTAAACATCCTATAATGCCCTGGACAGTCCCCACTGCAAAGAATCATCTGGCCCATGATGTCAGTATTACCGCTGTTGAGAAACCCTGGATTATCCATATGCCTGACTCCCACACCTCCTTCAGATCTGTACTCAAATGTCACCTTTTCAGTGAGGCTTTTCCTGATCATCCTATTTAAATGTACTTCCAACACTCAACCTCCTGACCTCCCTTATCCTGCCCTATGTTTCCCTTTAGTCACAACGCTTATCACCCTGTAACATACTATATGATTTACTTATATGTTATGTTTATTGTTTATTTTCTGCTGCGAGCAGGTGTGTTTGTCTGCTTTGTTTACTATAGCCCAGCAGAATGCCTGGCAATAGTAGGCCTTCAGTACATTTTGTGGCATGAGTGAATTTAATGCTCCTACATGAAAGACTTGTAGTGGGGCTTTGGTAAGGTATAAATTTTTCCATCCTCACCTGCAACTCGATATCCTTCCAGGGATTCATTAAAAGGAAATCATCATCTTATCAAACCATCAGTTTGCATCACCTATTGAGAAGTAGTTTGAAGGTCTGGGCTTAGATGGGGGGCAAATTTTTCTTCTGTATTTTTTGAACTGATCCTCAAGCACTATCAACAAACTGCCAAAATAATTAAAATAATATCACCAAGAAGCTCTGTGTTATTTTTCTCTAGGTATAAATAAAAAATGTTGTGCATTCAGGCAGTTTCCTTTTTTTGTGATTGGTGTGACTGTCAGGAAACATTTATTTAATAATATTATAATTTGTCACCTTTCTTGGATTAAATGATGTTCAAAAATGGCCAATATAGAATATTTATTAATTTTAAACTGCAAAATAAAAAGAAAGATCATTTATCTCACCCATGCTCTTTTTAAAATATTAATACATATTTTAGTGTTTTGTCCTCCTCAGTTTGAAACATCTCCAGGGATAATTAATCGAATTTCAAAAGCTGTGATGCTCAATAGGTCTTTATCATTATTTACAGGTTAATTTTCCTAATTTTCACTCCACAGTGTGTTTGCTTTTATCGGAAGATGATTTTTACTAAATACATACCAGTTGAATGTAATTTTTGACACTTACATGGGGGCTCTCTAGACTGCCCTGTTTTTAAGAGCAAAATTTTTCTAATGGGGGAAAAAGAACTAATTTGAATATGTTCAAAAGATAGTGTTTACTCTCATAATTTTGCAAGTATTTGCCTTCAGATCTCATCATTCCCCTGCCCCCTAACCTGTTTTCATTCACACTTAACTTGCTCATTACACAAGGAGACTGGAAGTCCAGTTCAAGGAAACCGCACATTCTCAAGCAAATTACAGGTTTTAAGATGATAGAAATTTGTTGTCTGGGCCCACACTCTGGTTCCTTTCTTTTCTTCCAAACATGTAACATTGACTTGCTGTTTCGTTGTTTAAAGGGTGTTCTTTCTGTATGTCTCTCTTAAACCTAATGAAACAAAAATATGGGAATCATTGTTTTCTTTGTTTTGATGGCACAGTTAAGGTTGGTTGCGACACACGGGAGGGAAACTGGGAAGCGGCTTTTTACTTTTAAGCACAGCTTTAAAAATAAATCTTCAGACAAATGCTCTGGAGACATCTCAACAAATGCCTTGTGATCTTCAGCTGAACTGTCGAGTTATTTTTTCCCTCCTCCCGCCTTTTGAAACATCAGTAGCTTTTCTGCTTCTCTGTAAAACAAACACAGCCAATTTTGGGGGGAATCAGTAATTACAGATGATTTTCATTATAATTTCTCTCTTCTGTGTTAAACAAAAAAACAGACACCAAGGCAAAACCTCTTCTTACTTTCATGAGATTTGAATGTGTCTAAATGAATTATTAATAACTCCATAGGGCCCCTCAATAGTTCCACAAGATGAGTGCGGACAATTTTACTCTTAAACTTTTGCCTCAATTTCTTGATTTTTACCCTCATTCATTTACAAAATGGCTTTCCTTGACTAAGACCGGTAAGAAAACAGGTGCTTTTAACTACTGAAATGATTAAAAAATTATGTTATAGCAAAATCATAGGTCTGGAAGTCCCAGACTTCCTAGGGCTGACTTCCTTTGCAGAATAAAAATGACTAGAGTGTTATACAGAGTGTGAAGAAGTGGATTATTTGCATGTGTATACATTATAATGACTTGTATGTATAACTTCCTCGATCTGATGTTAACCAGTATTTTGTGAGGTTGCCTCTGGGAGCACAAACTATGCATTTGGTACAGGGATTGACATATTTGTACATCTTTTATATACTAGAGTGACATGCATATATTATTAATATATTTATGACTCAGTGCCCCATACATGTGGAATTAGAATGGTTCTTGAGAGTTCTGCATGTTTCATCTTTCTGAAATAAACTAGAAATTGTATCATGAAAATTATCGTTGAACAGCAGCAGAAAGACACAAAATATATCAAATCATCTTTCCAAGACTTTAGCATACCCATATAAACTACAAGTCAGAGAATAGCACACAGTGGGAATTGTGTAATTAAGAGTAGGCATTAAACTAAGGTACTCGGAAGAAAGGTTTTGTGAAGCCCAAGAAGACAAGAATCAAGTGAAAGGTACTCAGCTTTTTGTCATAGCCAGTGACCTTAAGGAAAAAAACATGACTAGATGTATTTCCCCAAATGGTACACTATCTTGGTGATTCAGAAAGGGGAAGTACAAGTTTTTTAAATGGATTATGCTCAGGAACAAAAATCAGGTCTCTTTTTCTGTTCTTATAGTGACATGTGCCAGAAAATAAGAGTTGATTCCCAGTCTGATCCGTCTGCAGATGCATGGTTTTTTTCTTTAACCAGCTGTAGCTAATTGCATGAGGGCCGCCTCTTGTGCTGAACATGAAAAGGAAACCTGTAATTTATTGCAACAGACCATACCATTTCTGCTGTACAACTGTCTTTTCTGTCATGTCAATGAGTGGATTTCTCATCGTACATTGGCAGCTCAAAGACTGGAAAACAGCATTAGCTGGAGACAGAGAAAAAAAAAAAAGAGTTTCAGAATCTCTTCATGTACTTTACACAGAGCTCAATTAAGGAATAAACTGGAAACAGAATTTCCCTTTGCCATCTGCCAGGGGCATTTTTTTTTCTATTGTTTATATGTAGTTCTTTGATTCAACTATACTGACTTACTAAGATACAAGCACATGTTACGTGTGACATTCAGTATAAGATTAGTTTCTGTTGAGCAATCATCTTTGCATGCCCAAGGAAGTGGCTGAAGGAGATCCCCCACTCAAAGTAGAGCTGGGACCACTCTAT
The DNA here is from genome assembly GCF_000001405.40 of Homo sapiens. Lineage (NCBI taxonomy): Eukaryota > Metazoa > Chordata > Mammalia > Primates > Hominidae > Homo > Homo sapiens. The sequence continues at coordinate 105,692,432 of NC_000006.12, read as the reverse complement.
CCTCTGCACCCCATCTTCCCCATGAGACTTTCGTGATCTTGAGCATCTCAAGAGTTCATCTAAGCATAAAATAGGCATGAAATAACTCAGTCTGAATTTTGTGCACTGGATCTGCCTATTGAGGTGTTTACTAGAAATTTAGTTCCTAATGAACTGGTCTCCTCCCTGCCTTAAGGCACACTTGTAAATGCTTGTCAATGTGATGCCGTTCTTTTGTTGAGTGGAAATCCAAATTAAAAGCCATTCTGTTTTGCAGCAATGGAAAGAAACAAGTTGAGAAAGTTCCATGTATGTTTTCCAGTTGACTCATGGCCCCCATCAATAGTTCTTTTGTGTGAGGGTGGTAAGTTTTCCTTGGATGCTCTGACAAGCTTGAAGAAGGGAGCCCCGGGACACTAATTCCCAGACAGTGGGATGGAAACTCCATGAGGGTCTCCAAACTGGGCCTTTCTAATTAGGTCAAGTGCATGTAGTACCTGGAGCCACACATGCTGATTGACTTTTTATCCCCTCATTTGTGCCCACGCACCGAGCCCAAACTACCCCACCTAATTAAGCATATGGTTCCTAACAAAGGCCACCCATTTGCCTATGACTGTCTAATCTGGCGCTGGGGATGCTCCCTGAGGTCATTTCCAATCTATCACTTCTTCCCGGTGCAATTTGAATCAATTAGAAATACCCCAGTTTTGCTTGTATAACTTCAAGAAGCAGATCTTGACTACATTTTTTTGTTCCTATGCATATTAAACAACAATATCACCAAGAAAATCAGTAAATGACGTCCATCTAAGTAATGAAAAATAACTGAACAAAACATTAAAGTATGTTACAGGGGAAAATGCCAATGGAAACATACATATGTATATGAACCAAATACATGTTTGTATGTGTGTCTGTGTGTACATACATATACATGTATATTTCAGGAGTCAGTGATGTCTAATCAGGTGAATATTTGCTAGCTGGAAAAATATAGTGATGTCGTGTACATTCCAATTCACATGATTTTTTATCCTTTGTGGAAATAAGGAGTAAAGAAGGGACTTTTCGAAAATCTCAAAAAGTGAATAGTGACCAATTTTCCAACCACAACCCTCACAAATAAACTTCTGTTTTTGATGACTTATACTACTTTTCTGTAGGGAAGTAGTTTCCCTCCCCTGACCCCTCCCCACACACATGGCATATTGCCCTTAAACCAGAAAAAAAAGATCCGTAATGCAAAATTACACAACTATCTCTGCCTATGACAATATGTATGAATATAGAAAGTCTAGAATTGTTATACTTTTACTAAATTATCTTTATATTCAAACTATTTTGGCCAGAAACTCAATGTTTTCACTTCAGAAAAGTTAAAATATAGAGAAAATACACTATATCACACCGTTATTAAAATTTACCCTGTATGTAGTCTTGGAATAAATCAGACATACATAGGTCCCCTAAGAGCTTTAATTCCCAGAAAAGATACATTTTTACTGTTTCTCATATAAAAACATGTAAAATATTCATTTAATTTTTATAAACCTTAGGAAAATTAACATGCACTTTACTTTCAAATATATTCTCTGAAAAGCTTTTCAAGAATTGCATTTAACTTAAGCCTTCAAAAAATTATATTTAATTAAATTGTGTTTAACTCAAGAATGTATTTAATTTTTCGAGGTTACAAATAAAATTTGTTAGTTTTCAGGGTTTGTGGTAATACTCTACATTATTGTTTTTGTTGGTACTGGGGTTCTTGAAATGATTGTTAGTCCAGGACTAAATATGATTCTTCTTAGGCAGATTAACCCATCAATATCTATTTATCCTCAAGGCTGAAATAAGAAGTTATTCCTTGACATTAAGAAATTTCAGTTTTGTTTGGAAGCCAACACTAATCACTCAAAATACCAGAGAGCATAGTGAAGTGCTATGCTGTGAGGTCCAAGATTTAGGTGTTGTGGGTCACCAACAGAACAGGGGGCTGGCTAATGGGGGCTGCTGTAATTAAGGAAAGATTCATGGAAGAAATGAATGTGATTCCTCTTGATTGACTGGAGTATTAGAGTGCCTATAGATACCTGGAGGTCCAGGAGACCTTCGGGTCATGTTGGTTTTCCTAAGGCAATGATTTAAACATATCCCAACAACTGGTGCCTTGGGAAAACTTGTGAAAGGATTGATCGGTCTATATATTAGGTTGGTGCAAAAGTAATTGTGGTTTTTGCCATTGAAAGTAATGGCAAAGAGAGAAAAGAGAAGTAGAAGAAAGAAAGAAAGATATTTGTTGAGTGCTTCTATGCCAGACACCAGCCTGGGGAGATTTGCTTATATGTGTTACATTCAGTATTCACAGTGACCCAGTAAGACAGTTTATTATCCACATTCTACAGATGAAGATGCCCAGGCTCAGGGGTATCAATTACCTTGCTCATGGTCACATGGCTATTCACCATTGGAGCCAAGATTTGAACTAAATAAGTCCCATTCCCAATCCCACTCTTTTCTGTATGGTGTACTATTTTTAGCAAGGTCTTTTTTGAAAAATTTTATCCTTTAGAGTACAGAAGAATTGTAAAATATATAGCTGTATATAATTTATATATAAATTATAGCTTGGTCCAACTTTATAAATAAATTAATTCATAAAATCCTTAGACCAAAATTCATCTTTAGAGTTTGTTTTGATTTTGGTTTCTAAAAATATGATATCTTTCCTATTTTAAAAAACTACTTTGCACTAAACAAGAGATAAGGAGAGTATATTTATGAAAAGAAACTATTTAATAATAGAAACATGGAGGGAGATCATTCTGCAGAGAGAGGTGACTCAGCATCTAGGCTCAGAGTAGCCACTACATATCTGAGTGACCCAAGACATGAACCCTAACTGGGGCTCAGTCTCGTTATCCGTTTTAGTTCGAACCATCTCTCCTCACTCCTTTTCTCTATTCATATTGCTTATGGAAGAGAAGTCTTTAGAGAGACTCATTGTGCATAAATGTCTATGAGGAACTATTATAGAATAGGAATAAATTAGTTAGCAAGACGTTGACTTTGACCAAAACTGTGATTCTAATAAGCTTTATTTCAAATTATAGATTTTGGGTTGAATCGTAACGTCAACCCACTGAGTTTTTCTGACTTCTAGTTTATGTGACAGAACTAAATAGTCCCTGAACTTTCTTTTGACCTAGGGCAGGAAGAATACCTCAACAGTGCCATAGTAGCTTCAGCTGATGATGCTAGACAGCTGTACTAGGGCATTATATTGACGCCATATGAATCTGGAAACACGTCAGCCAGTGGTCCTATGGGGCTGACATCTGAAGGCAAGGAGTTCTATTCTGTGTGGCAATAAAACATCAGGCAGATTTATAGCTTGAGTTGAATATATTAGGCTATGTGAAGTACAAGCATTCAAACTTCTCCCTGAATTATTTATTTTGGGATGGTTTTGGGGTAGGGTTCGGGCACAGCATACACATTTTCAGCTGGACCTTCAAACCTTGTACCTGCAATTGAATCAATGTGGACAGATAAGAATCAGCAGCCACTGATGGCCACAGGTGGTAAAATGTACCATGAAGTTGGTACTCACAGGCACCAATGAACCCTGCCCACATCAAAGTCATGAGGGCACTTTGGTTTCATAGCCCTTTTCATTGTCCTTTTATGTTACTGTGACAGAGGTTTCTGTGGTTAAAATGAGATGGTGTATCTGCCACTCATCCATTCAGGATAAGCTGCCCAGAACTTTAAAGAACTATGTAGAGCATTAGAGTACCAGTGATCTGCTTCTGTTGTTCAATGGTACACACCAGTAACTTTCACCAATACACTGTGTCAAAACTTTTCAAAGCAAAGATTTTAGGTTTCAGATAATTCACAGTCGTCTTCCAGGCGTGTTTTTCTTTCCTCAAATGTAACCACTGTGTCTCTGTTTTTTCCCTCCCACACCCTTTGCAATGCCATGTTGTCCTTCGTGCTGCTGTGATGTACACCTGTGGCATGTTGGCAGTGTGTTTTCATATGGTGCAGGAAACTCCCAGATTCCCAGCTGGCCCTTCCTTGCAATTTAGTCCCCTTTATGAAACATGTTGTTCTTGCCAGGGTTAAAACAAACATAGAGCAGAAGAATATAAGGCACTGAGTCAGAGTAAATGAATGAACCAGTCACTGATCCAGCCTCTATTTTTGTCACACACGTACATACACATATGTATTAGTCTGTTCTCATGCTGCTATGAAGAAATACTCTAGACTGGGTAGTTTATAAAGAAAAGAGATTTAATTGACTCACAGTTCCTCATGGCTGGGGAGGCCTCGGGAAACTTAAAATCATGGTGGAAAGTACCTCTTCACAGGGTAACAGGAGAGAGGATGAGTGCCGAGCAAAGGGGGAAAAGCCCCTTATAAAATCATCAGATCTTGTGAGAACTCATACACTATCATGAGAACAGCATGGAGGTAACTACCCTCATGATTCAATTACCTCCTACTGGGTCCCTCCCATTACATGTGGGGATTATGGGAACTACAATTCAAGATGAGATTTGGGTAGAGACACAGCCAAACCATATCATTCCACCCCTGGCTCCTCCCAAATATCATGTCCTCACATTTCAAAACACAATCATGCCTTTCCAACAATCACCCAAAGTCTTAGCTCATTCCAGCATTCACCCAAAAGTCCAAATCCAAAGTCTCATCTGAGCAAGGCAAGTCCCTTCTTCCTATGAGCCTGCAAAATCAAAAGCAAGTTAGTTAATTATTTTGGGGATACAGGCATTGGTTAAATACACCCATTCCAAATGGAAGAAATTGGCTAAAACAACAGGGCTATAGGCCCTATGCAAGTATGAAATTCAATGATCTCCTTTGACTCCATGTCTCATATCCAGGTCACACTGATGCAAGAGATGGGTTCCTATGGCCTTGGACAACTCTGCCCCTGTGGCTTTGCAGGGTACACCTCCCCTCCTGACTGCTTTCACAGGCTGGCATTGAGTGTCTGCAGCTTTTCCAGGCACATGGTGCAAGCTGTCAGTGGATCTCCCATTCTAGGGTCTGGAGGATGGTGGCACTCTTCTCACAGCTCCACTAGGCAGTGCCCCGGTGGGGACTCAGTGTGGGGACTCTACCCCCACATTTCCTTTCCTCACTATCCTAGCTGAGGTTCTCCATGAGAGCTCCACCCCTGAAGCAAACTTCTACCTGGATATCCAGGCATTTCCATACATCCTCTGAAATCTAGTTGGAGGTTCCCAAACCTCAGTTCTTGGCTTCTGTGCACCCACAGGCTCAACACCACATGGAAGCTGCCAAGACTTGGGGCTTGCACTCTCTGAAGCCATGGCCTCAGCTGTACCTTGGCCCCTTTTAGCCATGGCTGTAGCAGCTGGGACTTGGGGCACCATGACCCTACACTGCACAAAGCATCCAGGCCCTGGGCCAGGCTCATGAAACCATTTTTTCCTCCTAGGCTTCTGGGCCTGTGATGGGAGGGGCTGCCGTGAAGACATCTGACATGCCCTGGAGACATTTTCCCCATTGTCTTGGCAATTATCATTTGACTCCTCATTACTTATGCAAATTTCTGCAGCCAGCTTGAATTTCTCCTCAGAAAATGGGTTTTTCTTTTCTTTCACATTGTCAGGCTGCAAATATTCTGAACTTTTATGCTCTGCTTCCCTTTTAAACGTATGTTTCCATTTCAAACCATCTCTTTGTGAATGCATAAAACTGAATGCTTTTAAGAGTACTCAAGTTACTTCTTGAATGCTTTGCTGCTTAGAAATTTCTTCTGCCAGATATCCGAAATCATTTCTCTCAAGTTCAAAGTCCCACAGATCTCAAAGGCAGGGGTAAAATGCTGCCAGTCTCTTTGCTAACGCATATCAAGAGTCAATTTTATTCCAGTTCCTAATAAGTTTCTCATCTCCACCTGAGACCACCTCAGTCTGGACTTTATTGTCCATATCACTATCAGCATTTTGGGCAAAGCCATTCAACAAGTGTCTAGGAAGTTCCAAACTTTCCCACATCTTTCTGTCTTCTTCTGAGCCCTCCAAGCTGTTTCAACCTCTGCCTGTTACCCAGTTCCAAAGTTGCTTCCACACTTTTGAGTATCTTTATAGCAATGCCCCACTATGAGTACCAGTTTACTGTATTAGTCTCTTCTAATTGCTGCTATGAAGAAATACTTGACACTGGGTAATTTATAAAGAAAAGAGATTTAGGCTGGGCGTGGTGGCTCATGCCTGTAATCCCAGCACTTTGGGAGGCCAAGGCAGGCGAATCATGAGGTCAGCAGTTCGAGACCAGCCTGGTCAACATGGTGAAACCCTGTCTCTACTAAAAATACAAAAAATTACCTGGGTGTGGTGGTGTGCACCTATAATCCCAGCTACTTGGGAGGCTGAGGCAGGAGAATCACTTGAAGCCGGGAGGCAGAGGTTGCAGTGAGCCGAGATCATGCCACCACACTCCAGCCTGGGAGACAGTGCAAGACTCCGTCTACAAAAAAAAAAAAGTTTAATAGACTCACAGTTCTGCATGGCTGGGGATGCCTCAGGAAGCTTACAATCATGGCAGAAGGCACTCCTTCACAAGGTGGCAGGAGAGAGAATGAGTGCCGAGCAAAGGGGCAAAGCCCCTTATGAAACCACCAGATCTTGTGAGAACTCACTCACTATCATGAGAACAGCATGGGGTAACTGCCCCCATGATTCACTTACCTCTCAAGAGGTCCCTTCCACGACACATGGGGATTATGGGAACTACAATTCAAGATGGGATTTGGGTGGGGACACAGCCAAACCATGTTAACATACATTCTCCTGGCCATCCCTGACTGTGTCTTTTGGCACTGGACTTTTGCAAAATAGGGCATATGGTATCCTGGACTGATCAAGGTACAAGGCAAGATTGTAATTTTTCAAAAGGTTTGACAGAAACAAAGGAAAAAGTATACCATATCAAGTAAACAATTACAGATAATTATGATTTTTGATTATCAATAATTTTTTCCAAGTAATTATAAAAGTCAAACTCCGATACTTTGTTACCTTTTCATCAAGTCTTACCTCAAGTTACTTCTCCTCCCAAATAATGGCTCTATTAGCTGGTGCATACAGCATAATCCCAGTCTCCTTGCAATGAATCAAGCCTCATGCTACCATAAGATACGAGGTAAACAGTTATCAAATTTATAGTTCTTAGCTGAGCTGGTGAATTCAGATTGCCTGGAGAGATTTTCTACAATAGAGATGTTTAGATCCATCTTTATCTGATGAAAGACTTGTACTGATTGTGTTTAATAAGGTACAGTGCTGTACCCTACTGTGCAAAGTTCTCATCTTTATATGTACTGCCTTATTTTTACCATTACCAATCAAAAGAAAGAAACTTATTTGGATAACCAATTTAGAGGGGCTTCTTTGAGGAGACTTTCAAGGAATGTTAGCAATATTTAATACCTTTCTGAGAAGTGGGCATGTTTTATTTTATTTTTGTTATAAGCTTCCTCATATCAACAATAGGCCTCAGAGACTAAGCTGTTGGACATTTGCTGACTTTTAAACTGACTCTTGGCTTCCTCCATTTTTTTATGCTGCTGCTGATCTAGAAACTCCTCTTTGGCAACTGCCATTAAAAATGCTTGAATTTTTGCTTTTCAAGGGCTGTTACTCTTTTGTGCTTCCACATGAAAAAGTCTAGAAAGTTTGGTTAAATGGTGACTTCATCCAAAGACAACTAAAATTAACCCTAAATTTTAAAGATTCCAACAAAGTAATATTTCCTTGTGTTGGGAAATATTCTTCCTTGATTTGGTCCTCCCCATCAATATTTCTAGCTACCTGGCCTGTGTTATTTTGTCATATGTCATTTCTCACCTGACATATTAGATTTTTGTTTTGTTTATCCCTCCCACTCACCCCACTAGAATGTAACCTCCATGAGAGCAAGGACTGTGTTTTCTTTTGTGCTCTATTGCTCTATATGGTGCCTGGCAAATATTGAGTGCTTGATCAGTACTTGTTGAAGATTTGAGCAATTCAACAAAAGCAACAACAAATGTAACAATTTATTTGCCTTCCCTGAGAGAAAGGTAAAGAATATCAGCTCTGATGTGGAGAAATAGGAACACTTTTACACTGTTGGTGGGACTGTAAACTAGTTCAACCATTGTGGAAGACAGTGTGGCGATTCCTCAGGGATCTAGAACTAGAAATACCATTTGACCCAGCCATCCCATTACTGGGTATATACCCAGAGGACTATAAATCATGCTGCTATAAAGACACATGCACACGTATGTTTATTGTGGCACTATTCACAATAGCAAAGACTTGGAACCAACCCAAATGTCCAACAATGATAGACTGGATTAAGAAAATGTGGCACATATACACCATGGAATACTATGCAGCCATAAAAAATGATGAGTTCATGTCCTTTGTAGGGACATGGATGAAATTGGAAATCATCATTCTCAGTAAACTATCACAAGAACAAAAAACCAAACACCGCATATTCTCACTCATAGGTGGGAACTGAACAATGAGAACACATGGACACAGGAAGGGGAACATCACACTCTGGGGACTGTTGTGGGGTGGGGGGATGGAGGAGGGATAGATTTAGGAGATATACCTAATGCTAAATGACGACTTAATGGGTGCAGCACACCAGCATGGCACATGTATACATATGTAACTAACCTGCACATTGTGCACATGTACCCTAAAACTTAAAGTATAATAATAATAATAAAATTTAAAAAAAGGAAAACAAAAACAAAATAAAACAAAAAAGAATATCAGCTCTGGTGGCAAGTCTGTTGCTAGAGTATTAATTTTGTTTTTTCAATAACTTTTGTGGGTTTTTGTATAGGTAGTGTGTGACCTATATAGGACTAAGTCTGGTTTTCTAGCAAACTAACCAAATTTATACACCCAAAAGACTATTCTCCTTCAAGGTGGTACTCTTGAGAGAACACATATCTATTCAAATAAAGCTTAGAATATTTTGACGAATGTCTCTTTGAAATCACCTTAACAACTATTTGTCAGCTGTGTAAGGTAATTGACCTCATTTCTTTAAAAACAAAACTTCATATTAATTTTTGAATAGGCAATACACTTGCATAAATGTATATTTAGACTCCAAATATTTGAGGATATTTCAGATATCTTTCTTTTATTGATTTCTAATTCAACCCCATAGTAGTCAGAAAACATTATTTGTATGACTGATTGGAATCCTCTTAAATTTAGTAAAACTTGCCTTATTCCCCAAAATATGATCTATCTTAATAAATATTCTACACTTAAGGAAATAAATATGTATCTGCTGTTGTTAGGTGTAGTGTTGTATAAATGTCAGATCATTTTGTTGATGGCGTTGTTCAAATCTTCTATATTCTTACTGATTTTTTGCCACTTTGTTCTACTAGTTATTGAGAGAAGGTCAGGAGAAATCTATGACTATCACTGTGGATTTGTCTATCTCTTTTGGAAGTCCTATCAGTTTTTGCTTCATGTGTTTTAAACCTCTGTTTTTAGGTGCAGAAACGTTTAGAATATGTTATCTTTTAAACCCTTTAATATATTGTTATTATTTTGCTTTAAACAATTATCTTTCAAAGAGATTTAAGCAATGAACAAGTCTTTTATATTTAGCCACATGGATACCATTTCCAATAATCATCATTCTTTTTGGTAGAACCAGATTTCCATCTTTTATCCTCTTTTGTTCTGCCTAAATGACTTTCTTTTAATATTTTGTGTAGTACATGTCTGCTGGTGATTAACTCTTTTTGCTTTGTAGATGTGAAAAAGTGGGGTTTATTTCCCACATTATTTTTGAAAAATTTTCACTGGGTTCAGAATTCTAGGTTGATTGTCTTTTCTTTTTTTCTTTTTTTTTTTTTTTTTGAGACGGAGTCTCACTCTTTCGCCCAAGCTGGACTGCAGTGGCGCTATCCCGGCTCACTGCAAGCTCCGCCTCTTGGGTTCATGCCATTCTCCTGCCTCAGCCTCCCGAGTAGCTGGGATTACAGGCGCCCACCACCACGCCCGGCTAATTTTTTGTATTTTTAGTAGAGACGGGGTTTCACCGTGTTAGCCAGGATGGTCTCGATCTCCTGACCTCGTGATCCGCCCGCCTCGGCCTCCCAAAGTGCTGGGATTACAGGCGTGAGCCACCGCACCCAGCTGGTTGATTGTCTTTTCTTTCAATACTTTAAAGATGTTTCTCTACTATCTTCTGGCTCGCTTTTTTTTTTTTTTTTTTTTAACAAGACTACTTGCCTTTTTTTTTTTTCTCTGAGTACATTTAATATTTACTTTTTTTCACTGGTTTTAAGTAATTTGATTATGATGTCCTTTATAACTTTACTCATGTTTCCTGTGTGTGGGGATTCTTGGATTTGTGAGTTTGAAAATTTCATCAAAGTTTGAACATTTCAACCATTTCTCAAAATTCTTTTCCTACCTTCCTCCTCATCTCCTTCTGGGACTCCAGTTGTATCTATATTTGGCTGATGCCCTTTTTTGCCCCAGAGTTTTGCTCCTTGTGTTTCATTTTGGATAACTTCTATTGTCAAGTCCACCAATCTTTTCTTTCTGCAGTGTCTAATCTTATGTTAATCCCATCTAATATATTTTTCATCTCATAAATATATTTTCATTTCTAGAATTTTGATTTAGGCTCTTCCATATTTCTACTTAACATTCTCGCTCTTTTCTCTAGCTTCTTTGACAAAAAAAAGTTTGTAATTCACTGCTTCAGTGTTTTTGTTTACTAATTGTATTATCTGTATAATTTCTGGGTCAGTTTCAATTGATTTATTTTTCTCTTTATTATGAGTAATATTTTCCTGTTTATATGCTTGACAATTATTGATCACAGTTAGACATTGTGAATTTTACTTTTCTATGTGCTGGATATCTTTGTACTTCTGTAAATATCCTTGAACTTTCTTCTGGGACACAATTAAGTTACCTGGAACAGTTTGAATATTTTAGGATCTTGCACTTAAGCTTTGTTACATGGGATCATGGCAGCATTTATTTTAGGGCTCTTATCCAATCCTTCTGAGTATTCTAGCTGATGCTCCTAGGATTATGAGGTTTTTCATTCTGAATAATGAGAACAGAAACTATTCCTGGTCTTGTGTAATCTTCAATGAATGTTCTCTCCAGTCATTTTGGGTGGTTCTTTCTCTAGCCTTGAATAGTTTCCTCAAGAGCATGTGCTAATCATTATCCAGGTGAAGATTTAAGAGGACGACTCTTCAGATTTCCATAATATTCTCTCTATATATAACACAGCAACACCTATAAACAAGACTGACTGATTAGACTGTGACTACTTCTCTCTGTGTTCCTGTCTTGGTTTCCCAGAAATATTGACCTTCACCTTCAACTCCACAAGTCAATATTTCCTGTTCTTGCTTTCAACTTGATGTCACTGGATTCTTTCAAATCAGTAATGTCTCCAGTTTGTTTGTCTGTCTGTTTGTTTGTTTGAGACAGCATCTCACTCTGTCACTCAGGCTTGAGGGCAGTGGCATCATCTCGGCCCACTGAAGCCTCAACTTCTGGGGCTCAAGTGATCCTCCTCTGCCTCCTGAGTATCTGGGACTACAGATGTGTGCCAGCATGCCTGGCTAATTTTTGAATTTTTTGTAGAGACAGGATTTCACCATGTTGCCCAGGCTGGTCTCAAACTCCTGAGCTCAAGCCGTCTGCCTCCCTTAGCCTCCCAATGTGCTGAGATTACAGGTGTGAGCCACTGTGCCCAGGCGACATCTTCATTTTGATTGAAAGATTTTTGTTCCTGCAAGGAAATCAGACATTTCTCTTATTTTCTCTGATTTCTTGACAATTTTTCTTTGGATTTTGGACTTAGAAAAACATATAGATTTTCTAAGAAATGCCAAAATGGAATTCCCACACAATTTCACAGTCTCCCTTGCAGTTAACCTTGGCCACATGAGTAAGTAAATGAATAGAAAGAAATTGTCCAACTTTAAAATAAAGCCACTTTCTCTGGCCTTCCTTTATGTTCCCCTTATTGCAAGTATGGGGCTGCTGAGTCATTGTAGGTAATGCTGGTGAGAACAACACATTACAAATATCCAGGCCACAAGGTAGACAGAACTGAAGTCCCTGAATGTTGCTTACCTTCTTTGCTTTATGTATGTACCTACAGATTTTTTAGGAAGGCTTATATTTTTGTGTTTACTGATTACCTTTCTAACGATCCCCCCTATTTTTTAATCTTACAATAGTTTTTGCAGTTGTATCATTCCTATTTTATCAAATCACTTACATTCTATTTAATCCCTATCAAATATATTAAATGTTTGTTTCCTGTCCAACCATCGTAGTTTTCCCTGTTTTCCTTTTGTTGGCTGTAGCTCATTATCTAATAGTCTCCTCAAAAAAGGCTCATGGGGAAAATATTCTTTCAGTTCTAGAAAGCTGTTTGCATCCTTTATTCTTGCTGACTGTGAGGTCTCTTAGGATTACATTTTCTTTCTTTGAATATTGGCAAGAGTTATTAATCTGTTATCTTTTGCATAGAATATTGAACTCAGCCCGTTTTTGCTCCCTTATAAGTGAGTTCTTTCTGCCTGGCTGTGCAAAGAATTCTTTCTTTAATTGAAGGCCAATAACTGTATCATGATATGTTATAGTGTCATTACTCTGGATCTGTTATTCCTGATACATGTTTTAATTGCAGAAAAAGTTTCTTCAGTTAAATCTTTAGATTTTTGTTACGTCCCATTATTTTGTTTTTCTTCTTTTGGAATGCTAATTTTGAGTATGTTTGATATCCTTCTATATCTATGATTTTTCTATTCTTTAAAAATTTGTTTTATGTTTCTGATTTTTTTAGTGTCTATGCTCTATGTACCTTACTGTGCTTTCCACAAGGTTGATTCTTCTATGTCTTGGTTGGAATAAAAGGAAGATATGTGCATTACTAGAAGCAACGTACAACGAGAGAGCAAAGGAAAGTAGCTCAGACCCAAGGAAGATCAAATTAAGGTAAGGATGACGGAGTGTGGGAATGCAGCAGGAATCATGAGAATCCTAATTCTTAATGTTAATCTCTTCCTACCTTGTTATCATAACCTTTGGAGTAACTCTACCAACCTTCCCAGGGACTGACAAACAATACTGAAATCTCAGGAGTGTCTTTCTTTAAAGAGAATATGCCCAAGGAAAGGAACCATATAAGCTGAGATGTTAGCCCAAAATTACCATTATAATTTAGACTCACTTTCTTAGAGGTTGTAATAGAACATGATAATTTTCAAAGTGAAAATGAAAAGGAATAGGAAATCATATTTTGGTTTGGGATATACCTACCATTCTTTTTATTTTTAGGAATTATATAAGGATAGAACATTCCTTCAGGGAGAATGAGAAAGACAATAATAAGAATGGGATCTATACATGTAATTCATGTATACATATCTTTAGAGATGAAAGAAGAAAATATTTATAGCATCATTAAGCTAAACCAAGGTTATAATTTAAAACCCTCACACACTTATTACTCAAGTGAGTCTATTTATTGTTAGAATGATGACCCAGGAGGCGGGGCCATGTAGACAGAGATTAAACCATGCACCACATTTCTTTACATAGCAGGGAACTAGCAGAACTCATATATCACTTCAAGTTATCTGAAAGTCATTTGAGGTAAACCAATAAAAATGGTTTTACATTTGAAATAGTCAACATTGACATACTTGTAATTGCCCATGATTCAGGGTATTTATAAATAATGGTTCTTATTATGCAATACAATTGAGATGGCCAAAAGTAAAGCCATTTCATCATAAGTGACATAAATTTCAACCAGTCTTTGCAAAAAAATCTTATATTTTTAACAGGGATTTCAAAGTTCATCATTCCCAATCTAAATATTTTCTGTTCTCTGAGAGCATTTCCGTATACAGTCCTTTATTGCTCTTTTGCTTCTTCATTTGTTCAACAAATATTCATTGAGGGCCTACTGTATGTAATGTTGTGGGGCTAGATTAGATAAAGCCCTTGTTCACATGAAGTTTATATTCTATTTTGAGAGATAGAACAAGGAGACAGCCAGCCAGCCAACCATCTGATGTCAGCTTTGTACTAAGAATAACAAGCCTGGATAGAAACAGAGCTATGGGAGAGGTGGTATTGTCTCAGATAATGTGGTCAGAGAAGATTTCTCTGAGGGAATGAGCAATGTCTTAAATGAGAATAGCTGGGAAGGTGTGTTCCTGTCAGAGGGAACCCTAAGTCCAAATCTCTACATGTGGGAACATACTAAATACTCTGGGTATAGCCAGGAGGCTGCACAGGCTAAGAAAGCAAGTGCCATCAGAGAGTTGAAGAGGTTGGAGAAGGTCATATAAACAGGTCATGGGTCATATAAGATCTTGCAGGCCATGACAAGTGCTGTGAATTTTATTCTATGGAGATAATGGATTTATATCTATAAAAAGACACTGAGAGGTTCTGAGCAGAAGAGTGACATGACATAATTCACATTCCAAGGATGGTAGAGATAAGAGGTGGTGAGCGTTGTTCACATACAGGTCATGTTTTGAAGATTATAGCCAATAGGTCATGTTTTGAAGATTACAGCCAATAGGATATGCTGTTAGATTAAATTCATTGTATGAGAGAAAGAATAGTCTAGGACAATTCCACTTTTCAGCCTAAGTGCATGGTTGAATTTGGGAACCATTCACTGAGAAGCAGAAGATGGAAGAAGGGGTTGGATGACAGGGCTTGAACGAGTTCAGTTATGACGTGTTAAAGTGAGATACCTATTAGATACTGAGCAGGAGAGGTTGAGTAGACAGTTTGATGTCAAGGAATTCAGTGGAGGGTTCAAGGCTGGAGATAATAATCTGGGAATTTATTCATATACAGGCTATCTAAAGCCATGGGATTAGACAAGGTCATGTGAGATGTGAGCTTAGATAAAAGAAGATAATGTACAAGGATTGAATCCTGAGATATGATAACACTTAGAGTTAGGGAGAAGAGGTGAGTCCCACATCAAAGACAGGAGAGGAAGTAAACCAGGAGGATGGCACCAGAGAAACTAAAGGAGAAAAAAGTTTTAAGAAGATCAGAGCAGCTTTTAAAAGTGAAAAGTTGAAAAGTGTGTAATTGCGCTATGGTTATAAAAGATGGTATTATTAGAGGAAGCTATGTGAAAGTACTTAGGAGCCCTCTGAACTATTTTTGCAACTTCCGTGAGTCTAAAAGTATTTCAAAGCAGACATTTAAAAAAATAGTTAAAAGTAGTTTTAAGAAAAGGAGCAAACAAATGCTGCTGAGAAGTCAGTGAAGAAGAGGACTTGGAGTTGAGTGTTTAATTTGGCAACATGGAGCTCATTCATTAATGACCTTGCTAAGAGCAATTTCATGGAGTAGTGAGAACAAAAGTTTGAAATGAGTGTTTTCGAGAGAATGGGAAATGAGCATGTCAAGATAGTGAGTATAGACCATTTTTTGGAAGATTTTTACTATGAGAGAGAACAAAGAAATATGCAGTATGTGGAGGTGCACATAGGGCCAGGGAGCATTTTAAAACATAGTTAAAAGTTGAAATTCCAGTTGCTTAAGTCTGTATATTTCACTAACCACTTTTTTTATTGTAATCTACTAAATCATTTAATTCTATATTAGCTGATAATGGAATTTTCTTTTGCCATTCATGAGTTTTCTTCTATCCCCTCTAAATTATAATTTAATTAGTTTCTATAAACTTAATTCCTTGGGTTTTATCCTGTTATCTATCACTTTTGACCTAGTTTGCATCATTCAAAGTACTCGTCTGACGCTATCTTCCATGAGCTATTTTCTGTCCAGGGAAATATACAACTAACTCTTCTCAACAATTTTAGAACTCCAAGAACATTCTCACCTTTGCATAGACACGAGATTCAGATTTGTGTGCTTTTGCATGTGTTTAGCAGTTAATCAACAAAGTTCCTTTAGGAGCCATTGTGGAAGGAATATGCTCTGGGTGTTGTGAGGTTACAGAGGGATGGAGCATTTGAAGGGCCGTGTGCATTTCATGACTAAAGAAGCCTGAGCACTCTGGCTAGCTGTGGTTATGGCTCAGCTTAATGGGCTGACTCATTTCTGTGGCTGCTTTATAATTTTGTATCTCAAAGGGCCACCGTTCCTAAATACCTCCTGTCTCCTTCAGCATCTCCTGCCAACACTTGTAACTAAAATCAAATAGTCACGGCAAAGCCATGCTTTTTAACTGACAGTGCACACACCAATTATCTAAGTGTAGAGCAGGAAGATACACAGAGACTTCCCCCCCTCTCAATTGCTGGTCAGAAAGATCCAGCAACAACAAAAGACAAAGCATCTTGTTTCACAAAGCACATTAAATAGAGCAAACAGGCCTCTAACCCAATGGTTTAATTACAGTATAGGGCATTGTGGCAAACCATGCTTAGCCTTTCAAACCACTTGTGTGTTTCTCAATAAAAAGGAAAGCTCACCCAAAACCCTCACAAAGCTTCTCACACCCTGAGAAAGCAATGGTGTCAGAGAACACTATTCTGTTGGTTTTCGTCTTCAGTTCCCAAACTATCTCAACTTAGGAGCGTTAACTCAAACATGAGGAATTCATATATGGTTTTTTTCCTCTGTCTTCTAGCCAGTCTGACTGTCTGTCCTAACTTCATGCATCCCACTCCCTCCACTTTATTTAGAGTTTTTTGTGCAGGGAGCTTTAGGTAGAAGTTTTTGAACTAATCATCTCATCAGTTCAAGCCTCATTAACATCATCAGTCCAATCAAGGCCTCTATAAGTCATGATTTATATTTCTTTTTTTTTTTCTTTTTTTTTTTTTTTGAGACGGAGTCTCGCTCTGTCGCCCAGGCTGGAGTGCAGTGGCGGGATCTCGGCTCACTGCAAGCTCCGCCTCCCGGGTTCACGCCATTCTCCTGCCTCAGCCTCCCAAGTAGCTGGGACTACAGGCGCCCGCCACTACGCCCCGCTAATTTTTTTGTATTTTTAGTAGAGACGGGGTTTCACCGTTTTAGCCGGGATGGTCTCGATCTCCTGACCTCGTGATCCGCCCGCCTCGGCCTCGCAAAGTGCCGGGATTACAGGCGTGAGCCACCGCGCCCGGCCCATGATTTATATTTCTTTTTCCCCCTCCACAAGCAGTCACTCTAGAGTACTTAATATGTCTTCTAATATGTATATAAATTTTAAGAATATTTTGTGTATGTATGTGTTTTTAAACAATTATTTCAATAGCTTTTGGAGAACAGATGGTGTTTGTTTAACATGGATAAGTTCTTTAGTGGTGATTTGTGAGATTTTGGTTTACCCATCACCCAAGCAGTGTATACTACACCCAATTTGTAGTATACACTTTTACTACAACCCCCTTCTACACTTCCCCACTGAGTCTCCAGAGTCCATTATATCATACGTATGTCTTTGCATCATCATAGCTTAGCTCCCATTTATAAGTGAGAACATATGATGTTTGGTTTTCTATTCCTGAGTTACTTCACTTAGAATAATGGTCTCCAACTCCATCCAGGTTGCTGTAAATGCCATTATTTCGTTCTTTTTTATGGCTGTGTAATATTCCATGGGGTATATGTGTGTGTGTGTGTGTGTGTGTGTGTGTGGTATATATATATATTTCACATTTGCTTTATCAACTTGTTGATTGTTGGGCATTTAGGCTGATTTCATATTTTTGCAATTGCAAATTGTGCTGCTATAAACATACATGTGCAAGTGTCTTTTTCATATAATGACTTCTTTTCCTCTGGGTAGATACACAGTAGTGAGATTGCTGGATCAAATAGTAGTTCTACATTTAGTTCTTTAAGGAATTTCCATACTGTTTTTCATAGCATTTGTACTAGTTTACATTTCCACCAGCAGTGTAAAAGTGTACCCTTTTCACCACATTCACTCCAACAGCTATTTTTTTAAAATTTTTAAATTATGGCCATTCATGCAGGATTAAGGTGGTATTGCGTTGTGGTTTTGATTTGCGTTTCCCTGATCATTAGTGATGTTGACCATTTTTTCATACATTGGCCACTTGTATATCTTCTTTGGGAATTTTCTACTCATATCCTTAGCCCACTTTTTGACAGGATTATTTGTTTTTTCTTCCTGATTTGTTTTTCCTTGTAGATTCTGGAAATTAGTCCTTTGTCAGACACATAGTTTGTGAATATTTTCTCCCATTCTGTGGGTTGTCTGTTTACTCTGCTGATTATTTCTTTTGCTGTGCAGAGGCTTTTTAGTTTAATTAAGTCCCATCTATTTATCTTTGTTTTTGTTAAATTTGCTTTCGGGTTCTTGGTCATAAACTCTTTGCCCAAGCCAATGTCTACAAGAGTTTTTCCAAGGTTATCTTCTAGAATTTTTAGGATTTCAGGTCTTAGATTTAAGTCTTTGATCCATCTTGGGTTGATTTTTGTATAAAGTGAGGACCAGATCCAATTTCATTCTCCTACATGTGGTTTGCCAGTTACCCCGGCACCATTTGTAGAATAGGGTATCCTTTCCCCACATTATGTTTTTGTTTGTTTTGTTGAAGATCAGTTGGCTATAAGTATTTGGCTTTATTTCTGGGTTCTCTATTCTGTTCCACTGCTCTACATGCCTATTTTTATACCACTACCATGCTATTTTGTTAACTATAGCCTTGTATTATAGTTAGAAGTCAGGTAATGTGATGCCTCCAGATTTGTTCTTTTTGCTTAGTCTTGCTTTGGCTATGTGGGCTCTTTTTTGGTTCCATATGAATTTTAGGATTGTTTTTTCTAGTTCTGTGAAGAATGATAATGGTATTTTGATGGAAATTGCATTGAATGTATAGATTGGTTTTGGGAGTATGGTCGTTTTCACAATATTGATTCTACCCATCCATGAGCATGGGATGTGTTTCCATTTGTGTTGCCTGTGATTTCTTTCAGCAGTGTTTTGTAGTTTTCCTTGTAGAGATTTTTCACCTCCTTGGTTAGGTATATTCCTAAGTTATTTTATTTTATTTTATTTTATTTTATTTTATTTTATTTTATTTTATTTATTTAATTTTATTATTTTATTTTATTTTATTTTATTTTATTGCAGCTGTTGTAAAAGGAGTTGAGTTCTTGACTTGATTCTCAACTTGGTCACTGTTGGTGTATAGCAGTGCTACTGGTTTGTGTATGTTGATTTTGTATCCTGAAACTTTACCGAATTCATTTATCAGATCTAGGAGCCTTTTGGATGAGTCTTTAGGGTTTTTTAGATATAAATTATATCATCAGTGAACAGTGACAGTTTGACTTCCTTTTTTTGTATTAGAGTAGTTCTGGCTTCATAGAATGATTTGTGGGGGATTCCCTTTTGCTCTATCTTTTGGAATAGTTTCAGTAGAATTGGTACCAATTCTTCTTTGAGTGTCTGATAGAATTCAGCTGTGAATTCATCTGATTCTGGACTTTTTTTTGGCTGGCAATTTTTTCATTACTATTTCAGTCTCTTGTTATTGGTCTGTTCAGAATTTCTGTCTCTTCCTGGTTTAATCTAGGAAGGTTGTATATTTCCAGGAATTTATCCATTTCCTCTAGGTTTTCTAGTTTGTGTGCATGAAGATGTTCATAGTAGCCTTGAATGATGTTTTATATTTCTGTGGTATCAGTTGTAATATCTCCCATTTCATTTCTAATTGAGCTTATTTGGATCTTCTCTCTTTTCTTGGTTAATCTTGCTAATGGTCTATCAATTTTGTTTATCTTTTCAAACAACCAGCTTTTTGCTTCATTTATCTTTTGTATTTTTTTGTTTCAATTTCATTTAGTTTTGCTCTGATCTTTGTTTCTTCTTTTCTTCTTCTGTGTTTGGGTTTGGTTTGTCCTTGTTTCTCTAGTTCCTTGTGAGCTTAGATTGTCTATTTGTGCTCTTTGAGACTCTTTGATGTAGGCATCTAATGCCATGAACTTTCCTCTTAGCAGCCCTTTTGCAGTATCCCAGAGGTTTCACTATTATTATTCAGTTCCAAGAATTTTTTGATTTCCATCTTGATTTCATTGTTGAACCAAAGATCATTCAGGAGCAGATTATTTAATTTCCATGTATTTCTATAGTTTTGAGGGTTCCTTTTGGAGTTAATTTCCAATTTTATTCCCCTGTAGTCTAAGAGACTACTTGATATAATTTCAATTTTCTTAAATTTATTGAGACTTGTTTTGCAGCCTATCATATGGTTCATCTTGGAGAAAGTTCCATGTGCTGATTGAAAGAATGTATATTCTGCAGTTGTTGGGTAGAATGTTCTGTAAATAACTGTTAAGCTAATCTGTTCTAGGGTATAGTTTAAGTCAATTGTTTCTTTGTTGACTTTCTGTTTTGATGACCTGTCTAGTGCTGTCAGTGAAGTATTGAAGTCACCCACTATTATTGTGTTGCCATCTATCTTATTTCCTAGGTGTAGTGGTAATTGCTTTATAAATTTGAGAGCTGTGGTGTTAGGTGCATATGTATTTAGGATTGTGATATCTTCCTGTTGGACTAATCCTTTTATCATTATTTAATGTCCCTCTTTGTCTTTGTTAACTGTTGCTGCTTTAAAATCTGTTTTGTCTGATGTAAGAATAGCTACCCCTGCTCGCTTTTGGTTTCCATTTGCATAGAATGTATCTTTTCACCCCTTTACCTTAAGTTTATGTGAGTCGTTATTTGTTAGGTGAATCTCTTGAAGACAACAGATACTTGGTTGGTGGACGTTTATCCATTCTGCCATTCTGCAGAATGCCCCATCTTTTAAGTGGGGCATTTAGGCAGTTTACATTCAATGTTCATATGGAGATGTGAGGTACTATTCTATTTATCATGCTAGTTGTTGCCTGAATACCTGTTCCCCCCCCCCCCCTTGTTATTGTTTTATAGGCCCTGTGACATTTATGCTTTAAGGAGGTTCTATTTTGGTGTATTTTGAGGTTTTGTTTCAAGATTTAGAACTCCTTTTAGCATTTCTTGTAGTGCTAGCTTAATAAGGGCAAATTCTCTCAGCATTTGTTTGTCTGAAGACTGTATCTCTCCTTCATT
Source organism: Homo sapiens (assembly GCF_000001405.40). Classification (NCBI taxonomy): domain Eukaryota; kingdom Metazoa; phylum Chordata; class Mammalia; order Primates; family Hominidae; genus Homo; species Homo sapiens. The sequence continues at coordinate 105,671,315 of NC_000006.12, read as the reverse complement.
TATGAAGTTTAGTTTATTGGATACAAAGTTCTTGGCTGATAATTATTTTGTTTAAGGAGGCTAAAGATAGGACCCCAATCCCTTCTGGCTTGTAGGGTTTCTGCTGAGAAATCTGCTGTTAATCTGATAGATTTTCCTTTATAGGTTACCTGATGTTTTTGCCTCACAGCTCTTAAGATTCTTTCCTTTGTCTTAACTTTAGATAACCTGATGACTATGTGCCTACGTGATGATCTTTTTGTGATGAATTTCCCAGGTGTTCTTTAAGCTTCTTATATTTGGATGTCTGGAACTATAGCAAGACCAGGGAAGTTTTCCTTGATTATTGCAGCAAATAAGTTTTCCAAACTTTTAAATTTCTCTTCTTCCTCAGGAACACCAATCATTCTTAGGTTTGGTTATGTAACATAATCCCAAATTTCTTGGAGGCTTTATTTTTTTTTTATTCTTTACTCTTTGTCTTTGTCAGATTGAGTTAATTTGAAAGCCTTGTCTTTGAACTCTGAAGTTCTTTCTTTTACTTGTGTGATTCTATTATTGAAACTTTCCAGCATATTTTGCATTTCTCTAAGTGTATCTTTTATTTTCAGAAGGTGTGATTGTCTTTTCTTCATGATACCTATTTATTTCTCAGGATATGGATTCACCATATCCTGTAACATTTTCTAAATTTCTTTAAGTTGGTTTTTACCTTTCTCTGGCACCTCCTTGAGTAGCTTAATAATCAACCTTCTGAATTCTTTGTCTGGCAATTCAGAGATTTCTTCTTGGTTTATATCCATTGCCAGGGAGCTAGTATGATCTTTGGGGGTATTATAGAACCTCGTTTTGTCATATTACCATAAATGCTTTTCTGGTTCCTTCTCATTTGGGAAGACTGTTTTAGTAGAAAGATCTGGAACTCAAGGGCTGCTGTTCAGATTCTTTCATCCTATGAGGTGATCCCTTTTGTGGTACTCTCCCACTTCCCCTAGGGATGGGGCTTCCTGAGAGCCAGACTGCAGTGATTGCTATTTCCCTTCTGGGTCTAGCCACCCAGTGGGGCTACCAGGTCCTGGGCTGGTGCAGGAGAATGTCTGCAAAGAGTCCAGTAATGTGATTTGTCTTCAGATCTCCCAGCCATGGATACCAGCAGCTGCTCCAGTGGAGGTGGCAAGGAAGTAAAGTAGACTCTGTAGGAGTCCTTGATTGTAATTTTGTTGATTGCACTGGTTTTCTTGAATGCTGGTTTTGCTAGCAATGAAGTTGTCATGTGGACAGACTCAAGAGCTCTGGTTAGCCAGGGTGTTGCAGGCAGTGGAATTAGCTGTTGTTTTCTTCGTCTTTGGAGCAGGGTTGTTCTGTTATGAGTTGCCGTAATGGCTTGAGTTGGTTGGCCTCCAGCCAGGAGATGGCACTTTCAAGAGAGCACTAGCTGGAGTAGTTGAAGGCTGATATAAGCTTGCCCTACCTTGGCCAGGAGAAGCACTCGGGTTTTGCCGACAATGGGTGGGGCCATAGAGCTCCCAAGACTTTGTTTTTTGTCTTCAGCTACCAGGGCAGGTAGAGAAAAACCATAAGGCTGGGGCAGGGTTAGGTGGGTCTGAACTCAGAATCTCCTTGGGCAGGGCTTGCCTCGGTCACTGTTGGTGGCAAAGGATGGGAGGTGTTTCTCCAGCTAATAGAGTTATGTTCCCAGTGGGACTGTGGTTGCCTCTGCTGCATCTTACAGGTCACCAAGGAAGTGGGGGAAAACCAGCAGTGACAGGCCTCACCTAGCTCCTACACAGCCAGCAAGGCCAGTCTCACTCCCGCCATACCCCACCAACATCCTAAAGTTTATATCCAGGCAGCGGGTCACCAGGGCTGAAATCTTGCCCCAGGCTACAAGCCTCCCCGCTGAGAAAGCAAACAGTCTCAGGCCTTGCCCCTCCTTGCATGCCTGCCTGCACCATGCACTGTGGCTTCCGCACTTGTATCTACACTTCCCATTTGCAGTACCCCTGCCCCGATCTGCTTAGGTAAATTCATGCTCAGTCAAAATTATTACAAAGTTCAGCTAGAAGCTTCCTTCACCCTGTGGCCCCTCCCCAATTCCACTGGCTTCTGTTGCTGTCCCAAGGACTGCTATGAGATAAAGCCAGGGATGGTTTCCCTGGGCTCTAGCTGGGGACCAGGAGTGCCTACAGGGCTTTTCCTGCTGCTGCTTCTACTTTTATATTTTGCTCAACTCGAAATCCATTTCCATTATAGGTAAGGTTAAATCCTCCTGTGATATGGATTTTCAGGTTCCCCAATGGGGATGTGTGTTCAGAGGCAGACTTTTCCCTTCTCACACTTTGGGAACTCACAATTTTTTGGCTGTCTCACGGAGTTTATAGCAGCAAACCGCTTCTTTCTGTATATGTATATGATGGTTAATACTGAGTGTCAACTTGATTGGATTGAAGGATCCAAAGTATTGATCCTGGGTGTGTCTGTGAGGGTGTTGCCAAAGGAGATTAACATTTGAGTTAGTGGGCTGGGAAAGACAGACACACCCTTACTCTGGGTGAGCACCATCTAATCAGCTGCCAGCATGGCTAGAATATAAAGCAGGCAGAAAAATGTGAAAAGACTAGACTGGCCTAGCCTCCCAGTCTACACCTTTCTCCCATACTGGATGCTTCCTGCCCTTGAACATCAGACTCCATGTTTTTCAGTTTTGGGACTCAGACTGGCTTCCTTGCTCCTCCGCTTGCAGACAGCCTATTGTGAGACCTTCTGATCATGTGAGTTAATACTTAATAAACTCCCTTTGATATCTATCTACCTATTAGTTCTGTCCCTCTAGCATACCCTACAATGTATGTGTTTTTATTTATTTTATTTTTTTAACCTTCCAAAGTTTAATCAACTCCTGAGAAGCAAATATCTAACAATTACTTCAAATACTCTAAAATTCAACCGAGTAAAATCTCAAATTACTTTCTCATCTTCCTAATTCTAACTTTAAAAGGAGTCCCTCCATGAAGTGTCTGCACTTTCACGAGGATGCCAGGGAGGACTCATTGATTTTCACACTGGATAATGTTGAACTGCTCCAGTTTCAGAGACTCATGAAAAAGAGGATTCAGTATGTTAAAATGTTCACATCCCCAAGTTAAAAATGGAGACTGAATAAAACAGCATCCATATTTCTGGAGAAAAATCAGTACACATGTCACTTCTGTTACAGAAATCCATTTACGGCATCTGTCCCGCTCCATGGAAGCAACTGGTCTCAGGCATCTCCAGCTTCACCACCTCATTGCACACATGGGAGGTCTGGAAGGCTTTGAGCAGAAGCCAAGGTCCCATCAAGGTTCCAGACTTTCAGTGCCCCCTTTGTTTTCACTGAGTCTGGGCTGTTTTAGCTCTACGGGACTGTCCTGAGCATTTCCAGGCGTCTCTTACTAAATTCTTCTGCAGAAGGGGTGGAGATTACATTGATTGGTACAGACTTTGGTGGAGTGTCTGTCTTTAAGGGTATTGAGTTTATTCTCCAGGGTGTTGTCTTGCTCCAGGATTGCAGTGTGTTCAGAGTGACCCTCCGGGATGGGTGGGCTTTTGTGTTTTAACTACTGGGCGGCAGGGTCTTCTCCTCCGAAGGCCTCGGCAAGGAGCTTTTGACAGCAGAATGATAGAGGGAGGGTCCCTGGTGGCTGTTGGGGCTGGGGCCTGTCTGGCCTGAGTGGGGGTTGAGCAGGGGTTGCTGGGGTCTTGGGTTCTGCTGGCAGTTGTTCCCTCTACGGGTCTGGGTCCTGGCAAAGACCCTTGGTGTGTCTGACTCTTGGTTTTCTTTGCTGTATCAGGAGTTCTCATGCTCAAAACTGACTTCTCTTTTAAAAGAATTCCAAGTTCACGTTTCTCAAATGTCACAAACGAGCAGTAACTGTCTGTGGAAGAAATGGCCAGGAAGGCGCCATCGCTAGACCATGAAATGTCATTGAGGGTGTGGTAATGTATATTAGACACATAACCGAAAGGGAAGGACTCCTGGGTGTCCAGAAGCACAGAGTCCTCCTAAGCCACAGCAAATACCAGGCGGTAGGGCAGACTCATTAGCTCCGCACCTGTTTCCACCACTGGCCTCAGTTCAAAATAGACCAGACAGCTGCCAACAGCAAGAGTGGCTTTTCCAGGACACGGAAGATGAGCGATGGGCCTTTTAAGATCCTTCCCGGAGAAAACGTAAGTGATGTTCATTACATTTTCACCGGATTCCACACATCTGGCTGGTGTGAGGAGCAAAGATCCATTGGGAGTGAAACTCAGTCTATGGAAGAACAACTTCATGCTGTCATCATGAAACATGCGGTAGCTTCTTGCCTCTCCTTCAGCCCCTATTCCAGATAGCATCTTTGAAACATTAAAAACCACATGCTTCTTCTGTATATTGTATACCTGCAGCACCGTGTCACAGCTCAGAGTAGCAACATATTGACCTAAAGGGTCCCAGTTTATTCCTTGGACATAACTTTTCTGTTATGTTAATTGATATTTTTTGTCCTTTATTGACATCCCATATGATGGCTGTGTCATCCACAGAGGGAGAAGCCATAAAATTCCCATCAGTTGCCCACCAAATATCATACACATCTTCTAAGTGGCCCCGCAGAGTCTTCACAACCATCCAGTTCTCCTTGTTCAACTGGGCCTCGTCCTCATCCTGAAAAGAAATCTGCTCCAGCTCTTTGTTATCATTCACCTTCTACAACAGGATGACAGCATCATCTCCTCCCGATGCTAAAATCTCCCCAGATGGAGAAAAATGCAGGACATTGAAGGCTTTGGTATGACAAGCAAGATTGAACAAAAATTCCATGATGTCGTTTCCATCTAGTCCCTTTTCTACGTTCCAGATCCTGACAACGGAGTCCATGCCTGCAGACATCAGTCTGTGCGTCCTCCCGGCCATCCCATGCTGGAAGTCCAGGCTGTACACAGGCTCTTTGTCATGCCAGGCTACTTCACAAGTGATAACTTTCATCCTCCTGAGTCTTGAAGGTGCAAAACGTTTCTCCGGCACCGTTCTGCAGGGACCAGGATGGTCAGCGGTGCTGTCACCTCCCTTGCAGGGCTGTGCTGCTTCCTGCGCACTGCAGGCCCCGACCCCTCGTGAGCGGGACCGGAGTTTTAATTTTTATTTCTGTTTTTTGAGACAGAGTGCTCTGTCCCCCAGGTTGGAATGCAGTGGCACAATCTCAGCTTACTGCAACCTCCAGCTACTGGGCTCAAGCAATCCTCCCACCACAGCCTCCATAGTAGCTGGGACTACAGGGAAGTACCACAATGCCCGGCTAATTTTTGTAGAGGCAGGGCCTTGCTATGTTGCCCAGGCTGTTCTCGAACTCCTGGACTCAAGCAATCCTCCAACCTCAGTCTCCCAAAATGCTGGGATTATAGGTGTGAGCCATCGCACCCAGCCATGTATGTGTTTTTAATAGTCAATAAATGGGGTGCTATCAATTTCATTCTGTAACTTGATTTTTAAAAATCATCTTTCGATTTTTAAGATCTTCCCTCATATACATGTTCATCCAATAATTCATTGCTTCTAACTGCTTCATGGTACTCCACAATGTGTTGCCATCATATTTGATTTCTCTATTCCTTTAGTAGTGAGCACTTAGGTTGCCTCCAACTCTTGCTACAGTGAGATATTCTCATATATGTCTCTTTACAGCATACAGGTATGTCTCATTTTATTGAATGTCACTATTATACTTTGCAGATATTGTGTTTTTCTCAAACTGAAGGTTTATGGCAACCCTGTGTCAAGTAAGTCTATCAGTGCCATTTTTTCAACAGCATGTGCTCACTTTGCATCTCTGTGTCACAGTTTCATAATTCTTGCAATATTTCAGATGTTTTCATTATTGTTATACCTGTTATAGTGATCTGTGGTCAGTAATCTTTGATGTTGCCATTGTAATTGTTTTGGTGCCATGAACCGTGCACATAGAAGACAGTAAACTTAATCTATAAATATGTGTTCTTACTACTTCACCAAATGGATGTCCCCTCAACTCTCTCCCTCTCCTCACGGCTCCCTATTACCCGAGACACAATAATATTGAAATTAAGTCAATTTATAACCCTACAATGGTATCTCACTGTTCAAGTGAAAGGAAGAGTCACACACCTCTCACTTTAAATCAAAAGCTAGAAATGAATAAGCTTAATGAGGAAGGTATGTTGAAAGCTGAAATAAGCCAAAACTAGGCCTCTTGCACCAAACAGATAGCTCAGCAGTTAGCCAAACAGTTAGTTGTGAATGCAAAGGAAAAAAAATCATGAAGGAAATGAAAAGTGCTACTTCAGTGAATACATGAAGAATAAGAAAGGGAAACAGTCTTATTGCTGATATGGAGAAAGTTTGAGTGGTCTGCATAGAAAATCAAACCAGCCACAACACTCTCCTAGAGTGGAGAAGTTAATGTCTGTCTTCAAATATTCAAACAACAGGCTGACTCTCTTTTTAGGGGCTAATGAAGCTAGTGACTTTAAGTTGAACCCAATGCCCATATACCATTCAAAAAATCCTAGGGCTCTTAAGCATTATGCTAAATCTACTCTGCTTCTGTTCCGTAAATGGAACAACAAAGCTTGGCTGACAGCACATCTGTTAGCACCATGGTTTACTGGATATTTTAAGCCCACTGTTAAGACCTACTGCTCAGAAAAAAAGATTACTTTCCATAGATTACTACTCATTGACAGTGTATCTAGTCATCTGAGAGCTCTGATGGAGATGTACAAGGATATTAATGTGTTTTTCATCACAGCCTTCATTCTCCAGTGCATGAATCCAGGAGAAATTTCAACTTCCAAGTCTTGTTCTTTAAGGAATACATTTCCTAAGGCTATAGCTGCCATAGACAGTGATTCCTCTGATGCATCTGGGGAAAGTAAATTGAAACCATTCTGGAAGGAATTCACCATTCTAGATGTCATTAAGAACATTCGTGATTCATGAGAGAAGGTCAAAATAACAACATTAGCAAGAATTTGGAAGAAGTTGATTCCAACCCTCATGGATAACTTTGAGGAATTCAATATTTCAGTGGAGGAAGTAACTGCAAATGTGGAAACAGCAAGAGAACTCAAATTAGAAGTGGAGGTCAGGTGCGGTGGCTCACACCTGTAATCCCAGGACTTTAGGAGGGTGAGGCAGATGGATCACCTGAGGTCAGGAGTTCGAGACTAGCCTGACCAACATAGTGAAACCCCATCTCTACTAAAAATACAAAAATTGGCTGGATGTGATGGTGGACACCTGTAATCCCAGCTACTCAGGAGGCTGAGGCAGGAGAATCACTTGAACCCAGGAGGCGGAGGTTTGCAGTGAGCTGAGATCATGCCATTGCACTCCAGCTTGGGGGACAAGAGTGAAGCTTTGTCTCAAAAAAAAAAAAAATTAGAAGTGGAGCTGGAAAATGTAACTGAATTGCTGCAATCTCATGATAAAACTTTAATGAACAAAGAGTAGTTTACTGAGTTTATTGAGGTGGAATCTATTCCCGATGAAGATGCTGTGAACATTGTTGAAATGACAACAAAAGATTTAGAATATTTCATAAACTTAGTTGATAAAGCAATGACAAGATTTGAGAAGACCGACTTCAATTTTAAAAGTATTGTAGGTAAAATGCTATCAAACAGCATTTCAAGTTACAGAAAAATCATTCAGGAAATTAAGAGTCAATCCATGCAGCAAACTTCATTGTTGTCTTATTTTAAGGAATGGCTACAGCCACTCTACACTTCTGCAGTCACCACCCTGAACAGTCTGTAGCCATCAACATCGAGGCAAGACCTACCATGAAAAATATTATAACTTGCTAAAGTCGAGATTATTATCAGCATTTTTAGCAATAAAATATTTTTGCACAAAATCTGTACCTTGTTTTCTAGACATAATGACATTACACACTTCATAGACTTCAGTAGAGTATAAACAAAACTTTTATATGCACTGGGAAATAAAAAAAGTTGAGTGACTTGTTTTATTGCAATATTCACTTTATTGTGGGAGTCTGGAAGCGAACCCACAATATCTCCAAAGTATGCCTGTAAATCCAGAAATGGAATGACTGGGTCATGTGGTAAATGCACACTTTTTTCATATTAATGTTTTTATTGAAGCATAACATAACAAATACAAAAGAGTGTATATAGAGCAAGCATTCAACAGCATAGATTGTGATGAGTTTTCACAAAGTGAGCACACTTAGGTGACAACTACCCAGGGTGACAAGCCCCCATTCACACCCCATGCAGTTTTAGCCACCTCTTCTCCCCAGACAACCTCTACCCTACTCCTAATACATAGGTTTAATTTCTCTTGAAAGTTGAAATGTTTTTAAAGCAAAATAGAGTATTATATTTTTTAAACTTGGAGGAAAAAACAGAAATTTTACACCAAGACCGTGAAGATTTTTTTTCCTGTTTATTTTTATAAGTTTTATTGTTTGACCTTTTGCATTTTGGTCATGATCCATCTCAATTCAATTTTCAATATGGTAATAAGGTCAGGTCACCATCCATCCTTGGCCTGGCTGTTAGCCTAGTGTATTCACCTGGACCCCTTCTTTGGCAGATCTTGAATTCCTATTTTCATCTTATAAAACTGCTGAAAACTCTGATGATTCTCAGAGGCTTTCTACTTCTGTTTTTTTAGCCTCATACACTCCCAATTCAGCAAATGTCCTGACAGGAATTCCAGCTGTGTGTTTGAGGCTCTTCATGTCTCTTTTGGAAATTCTCTGGTTTCGCCATCTCCAGATTCTCAGCTTCTCCCATGACCCAGAATAGGTGAATGATCTTCAGGTAGAGGCTGCTAGCAGCAGCTCACCTCTCTCCAATTTTACACTCTCCAGTCTCAGCCCCTACAGTTCTCTTTGCCTCAACAGCATGTTACTACCTTCAAACAGACTATTTCTGCCTTGAACTTGGCCTTTCTTCTTTTGCTGGACAAGAGTGCCATTCTGCACAGTTACTCCATATGGCCTTACACAACGCACTTTTCATGGTTTTTGATTTAACCCCCAAATGACTGGGAGAGGTGGGTGCAGTGTTCTTCTCTTTACAGAAGAGGGTTTTGAACCCAGGCTTTTTTATGTCCAAATCATACACTATTTTCACAAGACTCTTTACCATTGCTGTCAGGATGGCTGAGCCAGAACCTGGCCTCTCCCTAAGTCATCAACTCCTCTTATGAGCTATAGCTTCACAATGTTGCTTGGTTATAGCATCCCATCTCATGACCCTCAGTCACAAGGAAAGCCATTGCAGGTGACTCCTCTCCTGTGCTGGGCCTGCCTCTCAGAGCAACTTCTAATTTTCCACTTTTTTCCTTTGTTCATCTTGCTTCACTGAAGACAATCTGTTCACAGTTTCCTTAACATATTGGTATTACTTTTCTCACTTTATACTGACTTTGTGTGCAACTGCCCCCAGGAAGGGAGATGATCACTATCGTTGTCTAGGAGAATCACAGTTATGTAGTTTACCAGTTTATTATAAAGAATATTACAAAGGATATAGGTTAAGAGATGCATAGGGTGAGGATAGTCTCTCTATCCTAATGGCCACTTAATATTATCTGACCTTTTGATTTTTGCAAATCTGATGTGTGCAAAGTATTTCCTATTTTGCATTTTTATAACTGCTATTTCTGTTGAACAGTTCATTATATACTAACTGGTCACTCGGTTTTCCTCTCCATTCTTTCCTGTTGGGTTTCCTGTATTTTCTTTTTAAATTTTTATTAAAAAAAATTTTTTTTGAGACAGAGTCTTGCTTTCTTGCCCAAGCTGGGATATGGTGATACAAACATGGCTCACTACAGCCTTGACCTCCTAGGCTCAAGCAATCCTCCCACCTCAGCCTCCTGAGTAGCTGAAACCACAAGTGTGTGTGCACCACTACATACAGCTAATTTTTTATTTTTTTATAGATACAGGTTCTCGCCCTGTCACCTAGGCTGGTCTTAAACTGCTGGGCTCAAGCGATCCTCCTGCCTTGGCCTCCCAAAGTGCTAGGATTACAGGCATGAGCCACCATGCCCAGCCTTCTTATTGATTTGTGGGGTTATGTGGATATTCTAGTCATTAATACCTTATCGTGTTTAGATAAGGAGACTATATGCCAAATTTATGCCTATCGTCCTAACATAAGTATTAAAAGGACCCTTTTTTACTCTCAAGCATGTTTTTAAGTTTAGATGTTATAAATATCTTTTCCCGGTCTTTGATTCTTCTCTTAATGTTTTCATTGGTGTTTTAATGCTGTCAAATCCGCTAAGTTTTTGCCTTGTGGTTTGTGCTTAAGAAGTCTGTTTTCAATTCAGACTTGTGCTATTAGACATTTAGGTTTTTCTGGCCATTTGCATTTTCAGACAATGCTGTATTGAATATCCTTTTATATCTCTTTGTTCATACGTGTGAGATTTTTTCTAAGTTGTGTATCTGTGTGGCTGAGACTGCTATGTACTAAATAGTTCCCATCTCCTTTTCCTCTGTCCATACAATGGCTGGAATACATTCCACAGCCTCTCTTACAATTGTTAACTGGGTGCCATGTGACTGGCTTCTGGTCAATAGAATGTGGGCAGAAGTGATATAGGATGTGTCCAGTCCTGGCTCATGAAAACTTCCCATAGGGATCCCCCAGTGTTCTTTCTCCTGCCTTCTGGGCAGATACAGAGGATACAATGGAGGACTCAGAAACCCAAAAAGATGGTGGTGCCACCAGATGAAAACACCTTGGGACCTGGGATTACTAGATGGATCCCAGAATACTAAATTGGGATTTATGTAAGCGCAGAAAAAAATTATGTTAAGCTATTAATATTTTGATGTTGTTTGTTACAATAATTTATTAATTGATGATATGTTTTGGCTCTGTGTCCCCACCCAAATCTCATCTCAAATTGTAATCCTCAGATGTTGAGGGGGGGGACCTGGTGGGAGGTGATTGGATCATGGAGGCAGTTCCCCCATGCTGTTCTTGTGATAGTGAGTGAGTTCTCACGAGATCTGATAGTTTGAAAATGTGGCATTTCCTCCATAGCTCTCTCTCTCTCTCCTGCTGCCATGTAAGATGTGCCTTGCTTTCCCTTCACCTGCTGCCATAATTGTAAGTTTCCTGAAGCCTCACTAGCCATGCAGAACTGTGGTCAATTAAACATTTTTTAAATAAATTACCCAGTCTCAGGTCATTCTTTACAGCAGTGCAAAAATGGACTAATAGAGTTGAAAAAAGCATGCAGAACTTGAAAACTATAAAATATTGTTGACGAAAAACTAAATACAAGAGAGAAACGTTGTGTTTCTGAAGTGGAAAATGATTTTAAGATTTCATTTCTTCTCAGATTCATCTATAGCTTCAATGTAATCTTAGTCAAAATCCTATCAAACTTCATTCTAAAAATTGACAAATTGATTCTAAAATTTATATAGAAATATAAAGTGCTTAGAATTGCAATAACAACTTTGAAAAAGGAGAACAGTGTTGGAAGACTTATACTAGATGATTTTAAGGCTTATTATAAAGGTACAATAGTCAAGATACTATGATATTTGTATAAAAGAGGCATATTTATCAATGGGACAGAATAGAGACTCTAGAAATAAATCCACACATATATAATCAATTAATTTTTAACAAAGATAGCAAGGCAATTCAGTGTGAAAGAAAAATCTTTTCAACAAATTATGCTCAAACAATTAGTCAAATGAAAAAAATTAACTCACACTACATACACAAATGAACTCAAAATGAATTATAATTGTAAAACAAAATTATAAAACTTCTGTAAGACAACATAGGAGAAAATATAGTGCACCTTTGGATTGGCAAAGATTTCTTAAATTCTATAGCAAAAGCAAGAACTAAAAAAACTTAATATATAAATGGAATTTAATGCACCATTTTTAAAAAGTTTGCCCTTCAATCAATATTCTTACAAAAATAAAAAGGCAAGACACAGATTGAGTGAAAATATTGGCAATATCTGACAAAAAGCCTATATCTAGAATATGTAATAAATTCTTCCAATTTAATGACAACCTAATTTTTAAAACAGGCAAAAGATTTGAATGAATAGTTCATCAAAGAAGATATACAGATAGGAATAAGCACATAAAAAGATGTTCAACTTGATTAATCACTAGGGGAAATGCCAAGTAAAACCACGATAATATTACTGTCGATGTTCATTAGAGTGAATAAAATTCAAGACTTCGTATCAAAATTTTGGTGAGGATACAGAGCAACTGGAACTCTCATATACTGCTGGTGGAAATGTAAAATGGTATTTTAAAAAGGAGTTTCACAATTTCTTTAAAATTTAAACATGCGTATACATCACAGTACTATGTCCTAGTCCATTTTCCACTGCTATAATAGAATACCATAGACTGGGTAATTTACGAAGAAAAAAAGTTTATTTGGCTCATGGTTCTGGTGGTTGGGAAGTCCAAGAATATGGTGTCAGCATCTGGCAAGGGACTTTGCATTACATCATAACAGGGGGAAGTAATTTCATGATGAGAGAGGGTTAGAGTGTATGAGACGCAGAGAGAAATGAGTGCCAAACTTTATCCTTTTATCAGGAACCCACTCCTGAGATAATGGCATTAATCCATTCATGAAGGCAAAGCCTCATAACCTAACTACCTGTTAAAGGCCCCACTTCCCAATATTCTTAGATTGGCAATTAAATTTTAACATGAGTTTTGGAGGGCACATTAAAACCATAGCATTCTGTCCCTGGCCTTTTCATGTGCAAAATACATTCATTCTATCCTAGTAGCCCCAAAAGTTTTAACTTGTTCCAGCATTAACTCAGAAGTCCAAAGTCCAGAGTCTCATCTAAATTGGATGTTAAGACTCAAGGAACCATTTATCCAGAGGCAAATTCCCTTCAGCTGTGAGCATTGAAATGAAAAGAAATTATCTCCTTCCAAAATACAATGGTGGGACAGGCATAGCATAGATATTCCCATTACAAAGTGAAACAATAGGTGGGAAAAAAAAGAGAGAAAGAGTAACTGGTCTTAGGTAAGTCCAAAACCCAACAGAGAAAACAACATTAAATCTTAAGCTAGTGAATAATCTCTTTTCACTCTATGTCCTGCAACCTGGGTACACTGGGGTGGGTGTTGAGCCCCCAAGACCTCAGGCACCCCTATCCCTAAGGCTTTGCTGGGCTCAACCCATGTGTCAGCTCTCTCAGGTTGGAAGCTCATGTCTGCAGCTCTTCTGGGCTGATGTTGCACACTGTTAGCTCTGAAATTCTAGGGTCTTCGTGGTGGTCCCACTGCCATAGCTCCGCTAGACATTGCCCTTGTGAGGACTCTCCATGGAAGCTCCAACACCACATTTCCACTCAGCGTTGTCCTAGTAGGAGCTCTCTGTGGTGGCTCCACATCTGTGGCAAGTTTCTGCCTGGGCTCCCAGGTTATCCACAACATCCTTTAAAAAAATCTAAGTGAAGAAAGCTATGCCTGTATACCTCTTGCATTCTGCAGGCCTACAGACAACACCACTTTCACCTTCTGGAGTGGTGGGTTAAGCTGCACCTAGGCCTGCTTGAGCCACAGCAGGAGCAGCAGAGGGGTGGGAACACTGCTCTGGAATGCAGGGAGCAGAGACACAAGGCAGCTCTGGGTTGCAAGTCTACAAAAGTCTGTAGAGGCTACCCCAGGCCCAACCCCTGAAACTGTTCTGACCTCCTTGAGCTCTGGGCCTGTGATGGGAGGGATAGCCTCAGAGATCCCTGAAATGCATTTGGAGTCTTTCTCCCTTTGTCTTGATGAATAGCACCTGGCTTCCTTCTAGCCATATTAATCTCTTCAGCAAATAGTCAATTGGCCACACCCTTAGTCTTTTCTCCCAAATATGCTTTTTTACTCTTTACATGACCAGAATGTAAATTTTTCAAGACTTTTCATTCTGCTTCTCTTTTAATTTTAAATTCTGTCTTTAAGTTTTCTCTATCTTCTCACATCTCACTGTATGTGTTAAAAGTAGCCACTCAGCAGCTTGAATGCTTTGCTACTTAGATATTTCTTCTTCCAGATATCCTAATTCATCGTTCTTAAGTCCTGCATTCCATAATGCCTGAGGGCAGCAGTCCACTGTAATACAAAGAGACACCCTAAGGGATGTCCTGTATTACAGACATACTCCTCTTTACTTCCATTGTGGAGTAGTAGTCAAATTTGCCCTTGGTAGTCAGAATCAATTACCCCAGCCAGCAAGTAACTCCCTTCTATAACTATGGATTCAGAGGCATGAAGAATCCAAAGTGGCCAGATTTCCAGTTCAATGATACCATTTTTGTGTCTCCTCTTTGCTCCCTTTGAAAGTAGGATATCTAGGCCAGCAAGTTATAAGGTCATGGGAACAAGAAGCAAAAATTTTACTAGTGGGTCACGAGGGGTAATAGTGAACTAGGGGTAATAGTGAGTGGTGCCACTCCCGTGTCTGTCTCTTGATTCCTAGAACAATGAGCCCTGGCTATGGGGGAAACAGCACCACGTATTTGATGCCAATTCAAAGCATATACAGTCTTCTAGAGAACATTGCCCAGGCTCTTTAAGGTATTGACACCTAGCTGGTATTATATCTGAGTATTATATATTCCAAAGGCCATCTCACTATTTTATCAAGCTACTAGCTGCTTCCAGACGGTAAGGAACATGGTAAGACTGGTAAGTTCCGTGAGCATGAACCCATTGCTGCATTTCTTTTGCCATGAAATGAGTTCCTTGATCCAAAGAAGTGTGCGTGGAATACTGTGCTAATGAATAAGGCATTCTGTAAGTCCATGTATGGTAGTTTTGACAGAAGCCTGTGTACAAGGAAGGCAAATCCATATTCAGGGTAAATATTTATTCCAGTAAAGAAAAAATGCTGCCCTTTCCATGATGGATGTAGTCCATTGTAATCAGTCTGCCTCTAGGTAGTTGGCTGATCACCCCAGGAAATAGTGCCATATTCGGAAAACAATGTTGGTCTCTGCTGTGGGCACATTGTGCACCCATCAGTGGCCATAAGCAGATTAGCCTTTGTAAGTGAAGTCCATGTTGCTGAGCCCAGGCATAACCTCCATTCCTGTGACCATGGCTACTTTGTTCATAAGCTCCCTGGGCAATGAAAGGGTAGCTGGGGAAAGAAGCTGACTGGTACCCACAGGACACATCATTCTATCCAATTGATTATTAAAATCCTCGTCTGCTGAAGCCACCCTTTGGTGAATATACACATGGGACACAAATATCTCCACATCTTTTTGCCCATTTGAAGAGGTCTATCTGCATATGTCTTACCCAAATTTCCTTGTCACCAACTTTCCAATCATGTTCCTTCCAAGGCCCTGAACATCCAGCTAAACCATTGGCCAGAGTCCCTGAAATGGTATATAATCACATGACTGGCCATTTCTCTCTTCAAAGAAAGTGAACAATCAGATGCACTTCCAGGATGAATTCCCTTCACCACTGCCTTTTAGTGTCTGTAGTGCTGCAGCTGTCCACTTTCAGGTGGTGGTGCCTGCATACAGTGCAAAACCATCAGTAAACCAGGCCTGAGTCTTTTCTTCCTTTCTCAGCTGATTGTAGGAAACTTCCTATGAGGCCATAGTTACAGGCTGGGAGAATGAAGGCAATGTAGCATGTAGCAGGCGTAAAAACCATAGACCTTTTGGTCATTTTTTCATGTAACTTACTTGTGCCTTTAGGTCCTTCTCAGGACTGATCTCACATATACCGCTTGAGGTGGTGAGGACGTGAGGATGGAGTGCTGCTGTGTATGTTCAACTTTATGGCATTGTAGGTCAGATAATACCCAGTTCACAATGGGCAGTTCAGGTTGCATGGTAACTTGATGGCCCATGGTTAAGCCTTCAGTCTCTACTAAGGCCCAGTACCAGGACAAGAGCTGATTCTCAAAGGAGAATTAGTTATCCATAGAAGATGGCAGGACTTTGCTCCAAAATCCTAATGGTCTGCACCATGAGTCAACTATAGGGGCCTGCCAGCTCCTCCAAAACATATCCCTACTCCTGCTTCAAGCACCATGGATCTGCTGGATCATGTGGCCCAAGTGTCAGAGTACATGCAGCTTGGATTTATTGCAGAGACTTCTCTTGTTCTGGGTCCCATTTGAAACTAGTCCTGAACTCAGACTTCCTACCTCTAGAACTGTCAAAAAATTAATTTCTGTTGTTAAAGCCACCAATCTGTGGTATTTTGTTACAACAGTCTGAGCCAACTAAGATGATAACCAACTGAAATTTATCCTAGGAATGCAACATTAGTCTAACATCGACAAATTAATTAATGTATTAAACTACATCAACAGATTAAAGAACAAAAACCACACAGTTATCACAATAGATGAGAAAAAAGCACTTGACAAAATTCAACATACATTTGTAATAAAAACATTCAACAGCTAGGAATAGAAGAGAACATCCTCAACCTGATAAATCTGTGAAATACCCACAGCCAACTTTACATTTAATGGTGAAAAATAATATGTTTTCCCTCTAATATCAGGAACAAAATAAAAATTTTCACTCTGTCACTTGTATTCAACATTGTACTGAAGGTTCTAGCCAGGGCAATTAAGCAAGAAAATAAAATTAAAAGCATACAAATTGGAAAGTAGTAAAACTATTTTTATTTGTAGATGATATGTTCATGTGTATAGGAGCATGTTTATAGGAAGTCTTTTGAATACACTAAAGAACTGTTAGAACAAATAAATGAGTTTAGCAAAGTTACAGGATACCAGATTAATACACAAAAATCTGTATTTGTATACAGTAGCAATGAGTAAACTAAAAATGTAATTAAGGAAACAATTCTATTTACAATAATCAAAAAAGATGAAATAGTAAATTTAACAAGGAAATGCAAAACTTATACTCTGAAAACTATAAAATCTCATTGAAGAAAATTTTAAAATTTCTAAATAAATGGAAAGACATCCCATGTTCATGGATTTGAAGAATTAATATTGTTAAGATTCAGTGCTCCCCCAAATAATCTATAGATTTAATGCAGTCCTTATCAAAATTCCAGCTGCTTTTCTGACACAGTTGACAAACTGATCCCAAAATTCATATGAAAATGTAGGAACCAAGAATAACCAAAACAATCTTACAAAGAAAAAGTTGAAGGACTTCTTCATTTTAAACTTATCTCAAGACAGTATGCTTCTGGCTTAAGGATAGATATATAGATAAATGGAATAGAGTGAAGGGTCTAAAAATACATTGGGCTTCAGCAGGCTGCCAAGACTATTCAAGGGGGAAAAATATTCTTTTCTACAAATGATGCTGAAGAGAATGGATATTCATATGTAAAAGAATGAAATTGGATACCTATTTCATACCATACACAATAATTAACTAAAAATCAATCCAAGACCTAAATGTAAGTGCTAGAACTGTAAAACCCTTAAAGAAAACATAGGTGTAAATCTTTGTGACCTTAGACTGACAGTGGTTTCTTAGCTATAACATGAAAGGCACAAGCAACCAAAAGACATGTATAGATAAATTGGACTTTAAAACTAAAGTTTTGTATTTCAAGGGACACTGCCAAGAAAATTAAAAAAAAAAAACAGCCCACAGAGATGGAGAAAATATTTGTAAATCATTTGTCTTATAAGTATTTCTTGTCCAGAAAGAACTAAATTAAAGAGCCATAAATTCATCAATAAACAGGCAACTCAATTTTAAAATGAGCAAAGCATTTGAACAGATATTTTCTTCAAAGAATATATAAAATGCCCAATAAGTACATGAAAAGATATTCAGCATCATTAGTCATTAGGAAAATGCAAATCAAAACCACAACGAGACACCAATTCACACCCATGAAAATAGCTACAATCAAAGAAATGGAAAATAAGTGTTGAGGAGGTTGTGGAGATATTGGAACCCCTCATACATTGCTGACAGAAATCTAAAATGGTGCAGCCATTTTGAAAAAGAGCTTGGCATTTCTTTAAAAAGTTGAACATAGAGTTACCGTATGACCCACTTCTAGGTATATATTCAAGAACTGAAGACTTATGTTCACACAAAAACTTGTGCACCAATATTCATAGCAGCACTATTCATAATAGCCAAAAAGTGGAAACATCCCAGATCAACTCAATGTCTAAAAACTGATGAATGTACAAACAAAATTTGATAATTTCATACAATGGGATATTATTTAGCCGTTAAAAAAGAATTATTGATACTTGCCACAATATGGATGAACCTTGAAAAAATTACACTAAGTAAAAGAAGCCAGACACATAAGGCCACATAGTGTATGATTCTATTTATTTGAAATGTCCATAAAAGGCATATCCATAGTGACAAAAAGATAGTGGTTTCCAGGGGCTTAGGGGTGGGGGAAATCAGGAGTGACTGCTATTGGATATGAGATTTCTGTGAGGTGGTAAAAATGTTGTGAAATTAGATAATGATGATGATTTCATAACCTTGAAAATATACTAAGAAACAGTCCCCATTCAATCAGACACTTTTAAAGAGTGAATTTTATGGTATGTGAATTATATCTCAATTTTGTTTTGTTTTGTTTTGAGACAGAGTCTCACTGTGTCGCCTAGGCTGGAGTGCAGTGGCACGATCTCAGCTCACTGCAACCTTCGCCTCCCAGGTTCAAGCGATTCTCCTGCCTCCGCCTCCTGAGTAGCTTAGATTACAGGAGCACACCACCATGCCTAGCTAATTTTTGTATTTTTAGTAGAGATGGGGTTTCGCCATGTTGGTCAGGCTGGTCTCAAACTCCTGACCTCGTGATCCGCCCGCCTCTGCCTCTCAAAGTGTTGGGATTATAGGCGTGAGCCACCACACCTGGCCTCAATTTTTAAAATCCAGAACTCTCTGTACTGGTGTAACTACATAATAAGACTTAATAGGCTCATCCTGGAAAATGTGGGCAGAAGCTTGCTTTTTGACTCTTTCTTGGTGCTTCTGTTATTCATCAGTTGGGTTTAGCTGCTCCTAGCATGTTCAAAGCCTCTATTCCACCCAAGTCGTTATTATCTCCTCCTTTTCCCTGTCTCTGAGAGGGGCTGTAAGACTCACGGCTGTGCCCTTGTGGCTTGGTGTGTGGTCAGCCACTTCTGTGTCAACTCTCTTGCTTTCTGGTGCCAGTGTCTTATGAGTGTGCTCACAGTGGTGATCAAAAGAAGAGAGAATATTCTTGATGTGATGAGCTGATTTCCTCTTTTTTGAGGAGCAGGATGGGACCCCTTCTGAGCCTGGTCAGTTGGCTATCCTGGAGGGAATTGAGTGAGTGCTACCTTTTTCTCATTTTTACCTGCACAGATACCATTTGGACAAAGTGCTGCCACTCATCTCAGCCCTGGGTCCTCTGTGAATCTGGTCCACAGGAAACCTCTGTTACTGATGGGAATGTTCACACCCTCAGGTGTTGGTGTATGGAGAAGGATAGGGATCACTACAGGTCCCAGCCCACTGTGCAGATGCTTATCTTACATTTTGGCTTCTAGAAAAAGCAAAGGAATCTCTGAAATGAATAATTCTGCACTTTCAGGTATTTTAAGCCTCTAAGAGAAGAGAAAATCTCTTTATGCTTGGAAAATCAGAATTGGGGTAATATCCCGAATTCTTCTAAAAGTTTTCCCTTCAAAAACTACCCCAAAATGCAAATGAGAACAAACATTCAGGATGCCATCAGAGCTTATAGATTTTATTTCCCACTGAAATTGAAGTATTTATGAATTATCATTTTTCTTGTTTTCTTATCCTGTCTTTTTCTTAACTAGACCTTCATCTTTTCTGTATTCTTTCTACTCAAATTTGTTTCTTCCTTTCTATCTCTAAACAAAGAAGAACTACGTAATTTTAATTACCTTGACACTGTTGTTGGCCTCTGGTCTCTTCAATTATTCAGCATTTTATTTTTGAAAGATGAATCAATGAAGTTAACTGAATTCTCAGTGACTAATAATGCTTATCTTCCTCTCAAAGATGATGTGAGAATCTACACCTAAATGAATAGTGTTCACAGAAAAGCAAGTTACTTAGATGTTAAATGATCATTTAGGAAATATATGGTTACTTAAAACACCCTCAAATGTATTGAAATATTTATCTAGGTGTTATCATGCCATTTCAGAAACCTTTATCATGAGGTTCCGCAAACATTTATAAGGCAAAGGTTTTTCAGAATATCTACCTTGGCTGTACCAACAGACCAAAGGTCACTTTCTTAGTAAACAATAAACATTTTATTAAATATTTGTGAAAGTTTAATTAGGATAAGTTTGAGGTGGTAACATGCTATTCTTGCTGATTCAAGGATCGCTATTCTACTAAACTGGTACAATAGTAGAGGTGAGAAAAATGCACTGTAAAAGTTATGTTTTTCAGATGTCATCAAATGAGAGTAATGAGTTCAGTCACAGTGTCCTGCCTCCTCCAATTTTGCTTCTTCAAGCTAAAGGCCCTGCCTCTTTTTTAGCCAAAACATTGTCATTTATCCATTTATTTTGCACATTTAAACAGAAGAGTAGAATTTCATGTTTGGCTTTTACAAACTCCCTAAATCATTTTTTTTCAGCTTTAAAAATGAGTATATTAATACTGATGCAAAGGTTGAGGCGACAGTGTTTATAATGTTTCCTGAGATCTGCAGATGAAAGGTAGATGTTGATGTTATAATAGTGTAATCTGGATTGTTATTGAAAGCTTCTGTGTTCTCAGAGTCAGATTTAAAGAGATCTCAATCTCTTTCTTGTGGGCTTAGAATGCTTTTAAAAATTGTCAAAAGAAAACCATTTCCTTCACTATTCAAAAAAATTGAAAGAGAAGAACTTCTGAATATTTATTCAGAAGTAGTTCAAAAAATAGCTGGTTTTATTTTATTTTGCAGAGGATTAGAAATGTAGTTTAAACTACAAAAAAGGAGTTTTTCAATATTTCAGAAAGAATCATTGGTATATTGAAAGAGCAGATTTGAGGCCGAGTACAATTGCTCATGCCTGTAATCCCAGCACTTTGAGAGGCCAAGGCGGGTGGATCACCTGAGGTCAGGCATTTGAGACCAGCCTAGCCAACATGGTGAAACTCTGCCTCTACTAAAAATACAAAAAATTAGCTGGGTGTAGTGGCACATACCTGTAGTCCCCGCTACTTGGGAGGCTGAGGCACGAGAATCACTTGAACCCGGGAGAAGGAGGTTGCAGTGAACCAAGATCGCACCACTGTACTCCAGCCTGGGCAACAGAGTGAGACTCTGTCTCAAAAAAAAAAAAAAAAATGTGGATTTGAGAAATGACAGCAAACCCAGAATTATTAATGGGAAAATAAAAATAGAAATGTAATATGATGTTGAGTTATATTTATGTAGAGCTTTAAAGTTTACAAAGTGTTTTTATCTTAACTCAGTCTATCCTCACAACATCTCTCTTGGAGGAAAACCTGTGTTTTATGTCTGAGGAAACTGATATTTGGGGAGGCTAAATCACTTGCCCCAGGCTATATGGCTGGTATCTTGTCGATGTCGAACTTGAACCTGCATCTTCTGATTCTTGGGCAATGATTGTTCTGTCCTTTAGAAAGGAAGATAGAACTTCTGCTTTGCTATTGGCTGTTTTCAGGGAAATCAGAAGATAAGAAAGAAAGACAATATTTCTAGCAGTTTGCTTTAAAGTGGTTGACAAAAATACATTGGTCCACACTACTCTAGTCACCTGCTTCTTTTGCATGAATTTTGGCCAGGTGAAGACTTAGCCTGAGAGGGAAGAAGGACCTGCTTTTAGACCTTCATCAGATGTCTTAAGTCACTTATAGGGAGTCATTCTGTTATTTCTTACCTCATGCTTTCTCTTTCTGTGGACATAAGTTTGTAGTGATATCTCATTCACAGAACATAGTAGTATACAGGAACAGAAAAGAAGGGAGGGATGGGCGGTGGATGGTAAGTGTGAGCAGGTGTTGGAGAGATGCTAAGCTCAGGCCACAGTTCAACTTCACAGGAAGTTGAAGAGCTACTTAGCCTTTCCTAAAACTCAAACTTTCTAAAACATTGACAATAAGGACAAGTAATTGATGGGTAGAAAATGGAGAAATGGTCATGGGAGGAAAGAGATAAAATAGGTTTAGAACATTTACTTATTTACTTGTCTCCAAAATTAACACTTCCACAAGCTTGATGAATGGGGACCTTGTGCATGGTTACATTTACCATCTTACAGCTTTCCTCTCGGTTAGTGAATTTAACAATATGAATGAAAATAGATGACACAATTTTGAAGTTGATAAAGGTTTTTTGTTTTGTTTTGTTTTGTTTTTTACTTAAGTCACCAAAGGATGGGTGGGCTCTAAATAGGAAATGGAAGAGGTAAAGAAGCAGGTCATATTGAAAACAAAAAATAATAAAAAATTTCCCCAGAGGAAATACCCCTTTCTAGAGCATACTAAACTCTTAGTTGCCATATGTTGCTTGAAAAAAAAAGTTATATACCACATTTTTTCATAATACAAACTATAGAAAATGAGGTTATAGGAAATCTTTTTAGCTGAAGGAGATCTTCAGAAAAGTGAGAAATCATCTGGGTGGAGGGGCTTTAGTTAGAGAAGTCTGAAAAACCCCAAATAAAAGGAATCAGCAGTTCCTAGAAGGAAACAGTTTGGTAGGAAAAAGGGATTATCCCAACTAAACGGCTAATGAAAACTGATAGCTTGAGTGGCTTCTGCTTGACAAGGAGATTGTCACTGTTGACAGGGTTGACTGGCAGGGTGGAAAAATGAGGGGGATAAAGCTTCACAGAAAGACTTCAGAGGAAACTTGACACCTTCAAAACCACAGGTGTGAGGGTAAGTGAAACCGTCAAGTAAAAGTTGGCGTTGTTTTTCAGGATCTGATGTTCTGCATACTTTAGGTTCAAAATTTAGGAGTTTAAGGGGAACACTGAGATAAGTTGGGACATGGGAGGTTAGGAATCGAGGAGTCAGAGGACTCTTTTCTGCCCGTGAAGGGACTCCGTAGACTCTTAAATGTATTCCACAGTACTTTCTAGAGCTCTAAGAAGACAGGCTAGCTTTTTTCTCTACCAGCCCAGCCTGTTTCAAATCACAGGCTTCAATAGGCTTTCTAACCTAGCTCTCAAAGGTGATTTATTGAGTGTCTGTTATGTCCAAGATGCTGAGCGTGGAGTGTGTGAATACATAAACATGTTTGAACACTTGTTCCTTGCCTTCAAGGGTTTCATCTCAATGAAAAAATGGGATAGAATGAATTCTGCCTCAAGATGAATTATTCTCAAATAGAACTAACAGTAAAAAGTAAAACACAAAAAACACAAATGCCAAGTAAATAGCATTAACATTAAATGCTATAAAAATTCAGAGATGGAGGTGACAGGAGTTGAAGAAGCCCTTTTTGGGAGAGGTGGAAGTTGAGTTACATCTTTAAGGCGGAATAGAATTCAGACAGCCTGGGTAAGGGTGGGGGGAGGAGGGAATGTGAAGAAATGGGGAAGAATGGTAGGACACTCCCAAAGGGGTAAAGAAACTACTGGAGTAAGGGGAACAGAGGATTACATTTAATAACTCTAAGATGCACCCCCTGGGAAAACAAACAGTGGAATTTGTAACAATTATTTTTGTTTGGCTCTTGAAGCTGAGCATTTATGTCTGTTGAGGATATAAAAAGTTCAGTGTTCTAAATGGGAAGAGAATGACCTGAAGTGAATGGCAGAATGGGCTCTGGGGACACTGGACCTAGGGCTGCACCCTGGCTCTGCCATTTGTGAGTGGTGTGATCTCCAATGAGTTCACGTTTTCATGCCTCAGGCTCCTAATTTTTAATTTGGGATAATATTAGTATCAATAGTATCTAATTCATAGGGAGCTGTGGGGATTAAGAGATAAAGTATTTATTATGCTTATAGTGTTGGGCACATAGAAGGAGCTCAATACATCTTTATTATTTTTATATTAATATAAAATAACAATAATAATGGTAATAAAATCTCAAAGCCAAGTAAGCATCATGAAATTTTTCACGTGCCCATGAGCACAGAGGAGATCTTCAGAACCTACTGTTTTCTGATCTCCAAGAAAGATGGAGAAAAGAAAATTATAGCATTTTTCTTTCATTTTTTCTTCCTTCCTCTTTTTTTTTCTAGAATAAAGAGATGAGGAAAATGCAAGACAGTCCATGTCGCTCTTGGCTGTTCTCTGCTACTCCCCCCAGGTTCAGGGGTCTGTGAGTGGTCGTGAGAACCCCACCCCCAGGCTTCTGCTTGGGTCCTTATCATAGTGGCCTCTCCTGCTACCCAGTGAGAGTTCACTGTTCTGGCAAGGGATATGGCTCCCGACTCAAGGAGAAAGGGAGCGCAATGCTTTCCTTCTCCATTATTCTATGGGCAGGTTTAATATCCAGTGCCTCCTATTTATAATTAACATGAAGTTGTTTATTTCTTGCTTCTCATTTTAGCAGGGTAAGCATGTAGAGGCAGGCCACTTTCTAGTAGATTGTGAGAAGATAGACCTCAGCATGAGCCTGACTGTGGGTCTGATGTGGAGAGAAGAGAGTCAAAAGGAAATATTCTGTGGCTTTCTATATGACTGAAATGCAGCAAGGCTATTGTTTGCTGTAGCAGCTGATTGAAAAAGAGTGACATTCTGTCCACTGAACGTTAATAGGCTCAAGTGGAAGTGTGGTGATCAAAGCTGAGTCATAACTTGAGAGGAAACCAGTCTTACCCATGTTTTTTGTTCTTTAGTGGAGACACCTAGTAAGCTCTTCGAAGACGGTGGCTTTCTACAAAAGGAGAGCTATAGTAACCGTTGGCCGCAGCAAGATGCTCTTCTCACTCTTGTGTTGGAACAAGAACCAGTTATGAGAAGCCTGGGTTTGACTTGCTTTTGGTGTGGTTAATGCTGGTGGGAAGGTTTCTTATAGGTCTTTTTATTTATTAATACATTTGGTCATAGATGGGCCTTCAGGATTTTCAATTGCTGTGACTATGTTGGTCTGGCTAGCTTTTTCCAGGCTAACAATGCAAACACCCCCAGCACCCCTGAGGGATAGTCTCACAAAGCCCCTGTCTGTCTGGCCTGTGGCTACATAAGCAATCTCTTGACAGTTCTTGGAACGTGAGACTTGGTGACGTGACCTAAGACTTCGATGTTTTTGTGATTTATCCAGGACACTTGACTAGGTAACAGGAATGCAGATGATCTCTGTCTCAGTGCTAGAACCTGCAGCTTTAGCCCAGGTTTATTCTTTGGGGTATGACTGCTAATCTGAAAATTTTGGGGAGAGTCCAGTGTCTGTGCAAGAGCAAATCTTCAATTTGGACTGATTCCACTATGAAGGAAATTGAGTTTTTATGGGAGCTAAAAATAAACGATCCTTAGCACTCCCTCCATCCTAAAATACATTAAATAGCCCTTACATTTTCAAGTTAGAACAAATCTGGCCTCATTGTTTCTGTCACTCTAACACTTGTTAATGTTATTTATGTAATTTTCAGATATTCTCAGATCAAAATTTTCCATGCCCAGTTATCTTTCTCATGCAAAGAAATTGTGATCAGTGTTCAGTTTCAATCAGTTTACTGAAGGAAGGGTCGTTTACAACACCTGTAGCCACTTTTCTCTTAGGGACTTAGTTAAAAAATCAGATGCAGGGTGTGAAATGAGACCTAAGTAATTCTTTCCAAGTTCCTTTGAGGAGCTCCCTGCTAGTACTCTCTCAGCCTAGAAATCAACACCTGCCTTTCACAAAGGAGCCTCCATCCAGTGTGGAATTCCAGCAAGTACACAGGTAGTTATTTCTAGGAATATTGCCCTTGCACATCTCTCCTCTTGCCAGGCACCAAACTAATTTCTCAAAGAGAAACAGTGGGAAACAATATGTTCTGTGCTGCCTTCACATACTACCATAAGAGGCAGTTAGTTACATAAGCCGGCTTCCAGAGATTTGCCAAGTGCTCTTTTTAAAAAAAGTGGCTGCTGATGGAACATTCTTTACATAAAACAGATACTTGTTTCAGCAACCAAAGTCCATGTCCACAGCAAAATCCAACTAGTGTTCTACTTTTCTATTTGTCTATAGAGTATAGATCTCTATACACTTCAGGAGAAAAACTTGTGTCAATAATGGATTGGGTTCGACAGTTTAAAAGAAAAAACAAATGGACATTTTTCATTACCTCAATTTCTCATTATCTACATCAACTCAGAACCGTCAAGAAGGCCCATAGTGAAGCCTAAAGGTTTTGAAAGGGGCTACTATGAGCATTATGGATTCTGTCCCATACTCAGGAAGCACCCCCCGACCAGGAATTTCTCAAGACCAAGGCGTGATGAGTGCAGTTTTACTACTGCCTCTGCTCATGAATAAGACCTCTGTGGTAAATCATTTCCCAGGTAGAATTTGCTCTTCCTCCTTAAGTAAGAGTAGTCTTTAAAAAAAAAAATCCTTTCTCAGAGTAGTAAACAACTCTCTGAAGTAGGCATCATCTAGATAACCTTTACAAAAGACATTCTCTGCTTGATTCCATATTGGTTCTGATGTAAAAGTGCATCAAAGTTAGAAAAATCTTGCTCAAGTTTCAACAGCAAATATTCTTAGCCAGAGGAGCTGACGTGGGGGTGAATGGAAAGGAAGTAGAAAGTCAAGTGCAAGATCAGTTACAAGAATACCACTTAGAATTTTTGGTTTTCCCTCATGCTTGGTGAATATATTTTTTACATGTCAGTGGGTTGGGCCCATCATTAAGCTATTGTCTCGCGGCATCAAGCCCATCCTCCTACACTCTGCTGTGTGATGCTGGACCTCTGCAATACACATTTATTTCTGTGTTGCTGATAATTCCCTGTTAGGCTCTGCCAACAGGGGATGCTAGAGAAAGACTGCAAGTCTGGGAAAGGAGAAAGTTTATTTTCCTCTCTGCTACCTCTGACTCCAGTTTTGCTTCCTATTTCTTTCAGTGTCACCCAGCAACACTTCTTCACCCAAACAGTGGCATTTTACTTCAGTAACAGCTGTTTATACTAGTTTGCATTTTTTTTTTCTTGACACAGGATCTCATTCTGTCGCTCAGGCTGGAGTGCAGTGGTGTGATCACAGCTCAGGTGATCCTCCCACGTCAGCCTTCCAAGTAGCTAGGACCACAGGTGTGCACCATACCCAGCTAATTTTTGTATTTTTTTGTAGAGATGGGTTTTCACTGTGCTGCCCAGGCTGGTGTCGAACTCCCGGGCTCAGGTGATCCACTTGCCTTAGCCTCCCAAAGTGCTGGGATTATATGCATAAGCCATCATGCCCAGCCCAGTTTACAATTTTTCCAATAGTTGCAGAACCAGTCTCATGGTACACCCCTCAGATGCACTGTCTTAGCTGGCAGTATCACCTTTTTGGAAGTTTGGGCCAACCCTGTGGCCCCACACTGGCATTAGGTACATCAGCACAGGCCACCAGCTGCCACTTCCCCTGGGGGATCTGAGTCTACTCCCTACTTAGGTACACCAGCACCAGCCAGCTGCCACCTCCCTGGGAGATCTGAGTCTACCCCCCTACCCAAGGTCTGAAGCACCAGCAACTTCAGAGCAGTGCCCTCTCCTCAGACATCTGAGTGTAGCATTCATTGGGATCTATTTTGATGGTTCCCATCTCATCCCTTTGTTCCCCAGCCCTGCAAGTGGTAAATGTGTCCTATTTCCATGATAACTTATTGTTCTCTTTTTGCATATTCAATCATTCAGTACCTAGTAAGTACTTCTTTATATTGTTTATATTAAATTATCTCCATTGGTGTAATTTGTCTCTTGTCTGGACCTGGATTGATAAAATAGGAGTCCTTTCCTTAATCTCACAGCTTTCAGATGGACATTGACTAGATCTTACAAGATATAGCTAAAGTCAACATGGTGTTCTTTGGATGGGAATTTCTTGTTCCTATTTATTCCCTGGGCCTAAAAGACCAGGGTCGATTATGAATTCTTACTCTGGGTTCTAGAAAGATGTTGGCAGCTTACTTAATACCTGAGTTAGCTGTTGCATAAGATGGAACAGGAAAAGGTGTTTCCTTTTTAATTGATAAGAAAGACTTAATGAGGCGCCATTTTCTCATTCTAAGTCTCCATGGAAAACTAAAATGTCAGAGGGCACTTGTCACTCCAGGCATCAGATGTTATGAAAATAATAGATCTGAAAGATTTGTAGCATGAGGCAAGGGAAAAAGATTGATGGGTTTAAGTGACATAATTGAAGTTCTCAACATTAGAAACTCCTTTTGTAAGCTGGGACACTTAAGGCTTGGCAAATATGCATGTCTGTTAGCCGTCTGCATCACTACTGACTGTGTATCTGTATTGAAGGATTAAATGAATCATAGACATATGATCGCTGCATGGAAAAAAATGTGTTGTGCCCAGCACTCTTTTCCATAAAGAAAGCGTCATTGGGAAATGCAAACATGTGGAAACAGGCCACAAAAATGCAGCAAATTAGTCCTTATTATCCACTCATCCACGCAGGAAAGTTTTAAAAGGTAATAAAGTCTTAGGTTCTTACAATTGGCACTTTAGCCTTACTGTTTTTAGAGTAAAATATATGGTGCTGGGAAACCACTGTGCATCTAAGCATTTCATTTAGCTTTTAACTACCTTTCAGTTCAATAGGCATTTCAAGTCATGCTGTCACCTGTTGCCAAGCTTTCTGCTGCAGGTTACCATCCCAAACTACCTCATTAAAATAAATGAAAACAAATAGGATTATCCAAGTGAAATGTCACTAATGCTATTATGAAGTAAGAATGTTTTGGCGCCATTCAATAAAGCTACAACTCTAAGCTGTAAATGTAACACATGGAAATTCAGATGACATCTCGACTCATTAGATCTTCTGTTCCATATTTGTGCTTGTGTGTGGAATAGATGATAATGTAATTCTGTACAGTCACAGTATCATAAGGGTACTTGTTTTTTCTAATGAACAATGATGCAATTCTATGATTCCACTATCCTTGTTTGTCAGGTATCCTGTTTATTGTAATTTCTGAGCACAACGGATAACCCTGTAATTTAAATATGGGTATGCCCACACCGAAAAGTCAAACCTACATACCTTTCAAAACAATTTTTCTCAAATTGCTTTCTAATTTTTCAGTGTTTGTTGGAGGAGGAGTTGTGCTAAAAATCTGGATGAACCATGTGTATCCTTTTCTAGAATTTTTTTTTAACCATAAGCATGTTGGAAGTTTATGATTTTTTATGAGATCAAGCCTGAGAGAGAGACAGAGGGAGAGAGAGAAAAGGTATGGACTGAAAGACGAGATGATGTACTACCAGGAAAAAAAAGGACAGGAACTTACTTGCCTGACTCAGGGGTACCCAAATACAACATAGGTGATACCAAATGTGAAGTGATTCTTACCAAATGAGCTGATACCAAATGTGAAGTGATTCTTAAACTGTAATCTAAAAGCTCAGTATATATAACCCAGCATGCTACTGTGTGCTATGACATGATGCACAACTGTATGCCTACAACTCCCCAGCTGGCCATTCTTCATCCAGATGTACAGGAAACTGAGAATCAAAGAGACCAATGTGGTCACATGTACACAGCACATCTGATGCTGGGGAAGCATCAGCTTTCTAAGCACAGGACTCACCCCCAAGAGTGACAGAGACCCTAAAGAGTGAACAGAAAAATGATGGTTTCTGAGCACTCAGAACATATGCTATAGCCACGGTAGAGAAAAGTATATTGTCAGTGTAGAAAACGCCCATTTAGGTCCAATTGACCTCTGGGAAATAAAGCTAAATTTTATGAATCTTTCTTTAAGTCATTTGTTTCTTTTACATGACCATGTGATGGTGTTTCTGCCTTCCCACTGCTGAGAGAGCCCACCTTCCTCTCCATTGGATCTGTCTCCATTGGCTGTATCTTAAAGTTTTCATCACTATCACCAAGAGGCTCAGATGGAAATGGAAAAGCATAGGGTAACAAGCATTCCTTTAACTAGCTCTTACTAGCTCTGTGACATTAGGTAAATTACTTATCTTTGAGGCTTAATTTTTCCATCTTAAAAATGTGTATATAATACCGATCTTATAGAGTTACCATGAGGTCTAGTACCTCTAGTACCATGAGGTACATTCCTAGGTACTCAGAAAATGTGAATTTCCCACCCACTCCCTTCACTTTTTCATTATACTTCCAGGTGTCTTCCCAGATTTGAAACATCTTGGCCTCAAAATGATAGAACCAAGTAACATACGTAGGAAATGTAGTTTATAGCTATCTTGTCACGAGGTTAGCTCAAGTCACAGTAGAATGGGTTGTTCTGGAAAGTGTTGGCATTGTGAAGGCTACAAGGAGATCAAAAACACATCTTTCTACCTGAGAAATGCACTCCAGTTCCTTTCCATAGGTCAGAACCCCAAACTGAAAGAACTTAAAGATGTTGGAGCATGGTGGGAAGGAAAAGAATGATGTGATTCTGGGACAAATACGTCTATACTACCTGGGCCAAGACAGAATGTACCAATTCACGCTAAGCCAGGTCTGGATCTGTGAGGGCAACTTTGAAAATTACAGTGCTCCTGAGGTCTTTAGAATTAATATGGAGTCTCTGGTATTATACGTCTGTGGATAGAGTGACTATATATCCTGATTTTCCCAGTATGGTGCCGGTTTATGTGTGTTATCTAAGCACAATTATTAATGATGCCTCTTTTGTTCTCCAAAGTATCACAGTTTGAGTGACACATTATATGGTTTTCAATGCCACTGGGTAGTAGTTGGAAGCTCTAAGCCTCCAAGCGGAAGTCACTAATCAAAAGAATCTACATTGGCTCCAGTCAGTAACTCTGCTACTATTATTAGTGCTCCTAGTATCATTATCAATAAACACACATTTTCAACAAGCTCATCCCCATCCTTGAATGACACCTGAATGTGAAGAAAAGAATGAATGGGGTCAGCTAAATCAATGAATGATTGTAGATTTTTGATAATCTACTTCTTTGGGGGTCATATTTTACATATCTGACTCATTCATTTTCTCACTTTCTCTCAAACTTTACATTTTCTCCATATACTTCTGAACTCTCCATTCAATTCATTTATCTTTTTGTCCTTAAACACTTATGTGTATTTAGTTACTATGGCCTTATAATGTCATGCTATCTGATAGGATGTGTTTTCACCTCACTGATAAGATGTGTTTTCTCCTCGCCCAATGTTATTCTGATTTTTTAAAAATTGCTTAACTATACTTGCAAATTTATATGTAATTTTTTCTTTACTGGAATATCGAGGAAACAGGCCCTTACTTAAACTTTGTGAAATAGGAATATCAAAGCCCTACAAAATTTCCTTCCAGTTTAACCTGTTCCATCTTAGGATCTCAGGTTTAACTGCACACCTGTCTTTGATTTTTCATATGTTTATACATGTTATGGATGGCCTATGAGATGTGCTTGTCTTTGGTGACAAGTGTTATGAAATAAAATTTCCTCCTAATTCAGAGCAGACTATTAACATGAAAGTACAATCAAGACATTGACGGAAACTTAATGACAAAAACATTCCAAGAACTGCAGAGGAGCACTCCCCTCATCTTTTCATTCTATACCCATTAGAACAAAATCTCCTTTGGCACACGCTAGGGAGAATCAAGGTAGAATGATTAGTTTGAATGTACCGGGCTATAAAGGATTTCCCCCCCTTTAAGTTAGTACAAACTGAACTACTAAATACATATGAAAATTAATGGTATTTAATTTAATAGCCATTGTTATGACCATGGTGTTTGTACAAAAGCTTTCTCATTAATGGAGAAGAGAGTTTTTATGATTAACAAGTCCATGCTAGCTGTTTTCCAACATCTTTGAAATCCTTCATAAATTGCTAAAGTATCAGCGATAAGCTGACAATGGGACTGTTGGGGTGCTGAGTCATGGCCGGAGTCAGAATATCTCCTAAGTCCCTAGGAGTTTTTGTGCTAAGCTTCCCAAGTTGAATTGATTGGGTAGGATGGTACTGTTTAAGAAGAGATCTACCTATCTGTGGATTTCCCTGTGAAATATGCTAATCTCAGTATAAATAAATGGGCTTGGATGGAATACACATGTGGTCTAAGGGTCTGCAGATGCAGGTTGAATGTACATATGATGGTAATCAAAACATGTCTGTAAATATGCCTTTCCTTTATCACCATGGGTACAATACTGGCTAGGACATAGATAGTTTTTAGGACAGAGAGAAGTATTCCTACTGGGGCTATTGGCACAAAATAAAAAATACTCATTATCCACCTTGGGCTGCTCTGAATCCCTGTATTTCCATCAAAATAGGAATCTTACCACTCCACTTACTGACCATGAACCTCAACCTCCTAAAATCAATCAATCATCAATCAATCAATCCATAAAATGGAGTAAGTTGAGGACCTTTTCCTGTAATCCTTGACCTCATCTCCGGAAGGAAGAGTAAGAATCTGTTATGGTGGCCTAAAGTCTCTACCCAGAAAGTCAACTAATACCCAAAGCCCTCATCTTTACATTACTTCCCTCCAACTTATTCCCATGTTTCTTATCTCCAGAGTAGACCTGCCTGCCTTAGTGTGGAGCCCTCAGTGATTCTTCCTCCAGTCTCCTTTTTGCTAAGTGAGGTCTGGAAGGCCCAGGATGACTTTCATGGTCTCTCTTTTCTGTGTTCCATTATGGTGCACATTTTAAACATTTTAAACATTGACCAAAATATATTGAGCACCTACTGTATGCCAGACTCTGCTCTGGATACTTAGGGCACATCATCAAACAACACAAAATTCCTTACCATTGTGGGGCTGACCTTCTAGCTGCTTCTCGGTAGTCTCTGCCCCTCCATAGGGAACAGGTTGAGGAATTCTAAGCTTCAAATTAGTGTTCTTCTAACAAATGCAGGTTTTATCTCTCAGTCCAAAATCGTAATTGAGGAATAGTTGGAATTCAGGCATATTGATATATTAACTAAATTACATTCTCTTCCACCTTAAGGAAACTGTGTCCATGATAACAGGAGTTGGTTTTCAGTTTTATCATTTTATTATAGTATTTATCTGTGCTATTTCCTATGGTTGTTTTGGACATTAGCCGTCATTGTGGGAACCATGTCTTTTCTACTTTACATTGATTATTGGCGATAGCTGCTATGAAACTTGGATTTTAATCCCTCTGCAAGAATTACAGCAAAACAGAAGTTGCAAGATTATATGACAGACTCATTACATATAAAAAAAAAACTAAATTTAATCTGCTTATACTCTTAATTTTCACCCTAATGCCATGCATTTGGGAAGAGGGAAAGTTATTTGACTAAAAATATCTTTATTTTATCTTTCCTCTCAAAGGACAGTTTAATTAGGTTGATATTTATTTTCCTTGGCACTTTACTTTCTCAGTCAACATTTCATATTAATTTCTTAATATAGATCCAATTCCCACTTGATATTCAGATTTCTCCAGTTACTCAAAAATGTCTTTATAGTTGCTTTATCTGCAAAGTAGCAATTAGATATTGAGGTCTGAGGGTTTCCTTTAGGCAGGAAGAGAGCAGGAATACTTTATGGCTAGATGCTGTGTGTGTCCTTTTGCCTTGTATCAAGAAACATGTACTGTCTGGCTGGCATACTTTTAAAGATACTAATACTGGCCAGGCCAGTGGGTTTAGATAACTATCAGCCCAATTCCTCTTTTATAAAATCCTGGAAGATTAGAGGGGAATATTTTTTAAAGTATTTTTTTCTGAATATGTAAGTAATGTGTGTTTATTTCAAGAATAAAAATATGTACTATGAAAAAACTGAAAATTATCCACACTTCCACCTTCCAAATGTTTACGCACAATGTGCAGTTTCATAGTCAACTTTTTTCAGTTAGCTTCAACTCATGACCTGTTTAGATGCACTCGTGCTATGCAACAAACAGGAAACAAATAACCTCCTTGGCAATGGTTTTATGATCATGAGGTAGCAGTGGCCCAAAGAAGCTAAGCAATATGGATATCAAATATAGAACCAAAAAAACGTAGCTCAATATTATGCTGAAACCAAAGTCAGTGACGCTGACAGATAATCTGTATATTTAAATTGCAGGAAACCAAATAACCCCATACCGCAAGCCAACATGTTCAGACACCCAGAGGGTCATTGTTTGGCCATGGAATTGAGAATCCATAGACATACTGCAGAAGATTTCTGTGGGTAAAGCCAATGTCCTAGTAACATCTGTCTTGAAAATATTCCAGGCCTGAATCAGCTGTGTCCTGCTGTGGTTGTAGAACTGTAGGCTTCTCTGCGCCCATAAGAAGAAGTCTCTCCAGATCCTCTAGAGGATTTTTCTTAACTCATGTTAATTTATCTTGCAAATTAATAATTCCATAGACCAATTAAGAAGATAGATTTAGACCGAGCGTGGTGGCTCACATCTGTAATTCCAGCACTTTGGGAGGCCGAAGTGGGCAGATCACATGGTCAGGAGATTGAGACCATCCTGGCTAACATGGTGAAAACTTGTCTCTACTAAAAATACAAAAAATTAGTTGGGCATGGTGGCACGTGCCTATAGTCCCAGCTACTTGGGAGGCTGAGGCAGGAGAATTGCTTGAACTGGGAGATGGAGGTTGCAGTGAGCCAAGATCGCGCCACTGCATTCCAGCCTGGGTGACAGAGCAAGACTCCGTCTCAAAAAAAAAAAAAAAAAAAAAAAAAAGAAGAAGAAGAAGATAGACTTAAATGCATTTTATGTTGCTTTACTATAAAATGTAAAGTGATTTCTCATGACAATGACAGACGTTATTGGCTTTTGCATGTATATTTGGAAGCCACATGCCAAGCACCAGTGCTGCAAAAATGAACTGTTCTGTTTTCTGTGTGTTTTCCCTGGCCACTGAGATTTATTTTGAGAAGATGGAAAAAGCGCGGGGCCCACTTTTTGTGGTGCTTGTGGTCCCATAGTGTGGTGCGATGCCTCTTCATGGATACAAGTCTCCAGTGAAGCTTTGGTACTTGTGCTTGAGCCCATTGTGAGGAAATCCCTGACTCATGGTTCAGGGGAAGCTTTTTGGTCCCCTTCAAGTGAGGAAGGGTTGGATTCAATGCACAAAAGAACATTGGTCATCCTTCTCTGGCTTTCTGATAGAACGTCAACCACTCCACCCGCTCTGCGGATCTCCAAAGTGACATTCAACGCATACCCTCTCAGCCCTCCTTGCCATTGCTGGAGTTAACTAGAGAGATTTTAGATTGCTTAGAGTGAGAAACACTCTATGTATTCTGCTACTCCATAGGTCTTAAGATCTATCCTTGAATCAAGTTTTGGTTTTCCCCTGGAAGACTCTGTCTGAAGTACTCCAGTAGTGGGGAGGCCTATAAAGAGCTGCTCACTGCTGCTCTGCAAAGTTGTGCCTTTGATTTTAGCACTTGAAGAAGGGAAAAGTAGAGGATAGCAAACTGCTGTGGATTTGTTGTAATGTTGTCAAGGATATTGTCTACAGGACACAGAGTATAAGGTTCTACTTGAACATCTTCATTTTGGTTTGAGAGCCAGGATAAATAAAAAGGCTTCTGTGCATTCAAAGTGATTGGTCCAAGGCAAGGAGCAAAGGAAACTGGAAGGGACTTGTTTCCATTTACTTCCTACTAGCCAGATGTTAGCCTCATGGCCATCCTGTCTACACAGGAGGATGAGAAATGCTTGATTTAAAGGAGAAAAGGAGAATAGATATTGGAGGATAGCTAGAGTCTCTGCTGGAATCTTCCCCTCTGGCCATGTAAGTATCCACATGCACCCTTCTTCCCACATGTAGGACATTCTCCATCAGGCTTAAAGTCCAAAATCCACACAATGTACAATCCTCTTCATTAAGTCTACATCTAACTCCTATGATCTGGTGACCTAGAAAATAAGAGACAAGTTATCTTCAACCCCACTTTCCACCCAAAATACCACAATAAACAAAGCTTTATGATCATTTTATTGTGGATAACCACAATAAAAACTATTCAAAAAAGTGAAAAATGATGAACAGACAGCAGCCACTGGTGCAGAGAAGCTGTCAAACCCCACTGGGCAGGAATTGCAGACCCTATGCTCTGGCAGTGCAGGCTCCTTGGTTAGATCCCGACTCTGGGAACAACTCCCTTGGGCATCTATTGTTCTCCCTGGCCCTTTAGAAGGATTTTCCTTGTCTTTTATTCTTCATGGCCACACATGAAGTGGGCATAACCTATTGCCTGCTGGTGAAGGTTTAGAAGGCTGGGGATTAGTTTAGGGTTCAGATAGCTACAAAGTTTTGCAGGCCAGGCTTATGGTTTCTTTGGCAATACAATTCCCTTAAAACCTAATAGACTTAAAATCCAGTTGCTTTCCGTCAGTTCCAGATGCCAGTAACCACTGCTGAAGTTCTCATCTATCAATAAATCATCAGCCACAAGATTCTGTTCTTTCATTTCCTGGTCTCCATGCTCAACATACCTCTTTCTTTCATATTGCCAGAGACTCCCTAGAGGTCATCAGAAACAATAGATTTGAGTGAGAAGGCAACACACTTAATCTTTACCTTAGGAGTGGCCTATTGTCTAGTAGAGAGCACATAGTATTAGGTCTGAAGAAGACTTGAGGTTACAGTTTCATCTTTCAGTGTATTTAGTGGTACAAAAGCAGTACTTTTTTTCAAACCTACGAATTACCAGATTTTCATTAAATTTACATGCAGGCTTCAGGCAAGAGAGAGCCTTTCTGAGCAGAGGTCTGCTTGCAAACTTCTATCACCCGAGTTCACCACTCTCATAAGTTTTTGCTAAAATTGGCAATTACCAGTCATCTATCACTGGTAGTAGTTTTACCAAATGTTTACCATGACATGACAACTATCAATATCTTTACAAATTTCAGTATCTTTGTCCTCAATGCCTGTTGCCTGATATTAAGGCACTGTTGTCTATTTTAGGGTTTCTGTTTTTCCTATAGGATTCCACTTCTAGACACCAGCTTTTATATTGGTAGAGTACAGTCTAAGCTGATAAAACAAAATATCCCAAACTACAGTAGCTTCAGCAAAGGAATAGCCCAAAGGTCAGCAGTCCAGGGCCAGTAGACAGATTCTGCCATCCTTACCACACAGCCTCTCTGGGTTCCAAATACCTGCCCCAGCTCCTACCATCACACCTGCATCTCAGCACATCCATTACACTAAAAGGTATGGCCTGTGAGTTGCACCTATCAATTCTACTCATATCCTGTTGGCCAGAGGTTAACTGCATGACTAGGCTTAGCTGTAAGGAAAATTTGAAACATCATTTTTAGAAAGAAGTAGGCCTTGGTGAGCAGCTGCAATTTCCACTATAGAATCAAATAATCTTGTTTTTCTTTTGTCCTGGGAAGTCAGGAAGCTCAAAGTCAAATTTGTTTCATTCATGTACATATATGTACACATTCGTGCTTGGGAATAATGCTGTCAAGAAATGGGAATGCAGATACCTCTTCAGATCTCGATTTCAATTCTTTTGGATACATACTTAGAAGTGGGTTTCCTGGGTCATGTGGTAGTTCTGTTTTCAGTTTTTTGAGAAACCTCCAAACTGTTTTCCATAGGGGGTGCACCAATTTACATTCTTATCAACAGTGTACAAGAGTTTCAATTTCTCCACATCCTCAAAGACATATGATATTTCATTTTTTTAATGATAGCCATCCTAGCAGATGTGAGGTGATATCTCATTGTGGTTTTGATTTGCATTTCCCTGATGATTAGTGATTTCGGCAACTTTTCATATACTTTTGGGCCATTTGTATGTCTTCCTTGAATAAGTGTCTATTCAGGTCCTTAGCCCATTTCTAAATTATGTTACCTGTTTTTTTTTTTTTCTACAGAGTTACAAGTATTCCTTATATATTTGGGATATATTAACCCCTTATGAGACACATGGTTTGCAAATATTTTCTCCATTCTGTAGGCTGCCTTCTCAGTCTGTTGATTATTTTTGTTTGCTTCAGAAGCTTTTTTTTAATGTTTGATATTGTCCCACCTGTCTATTTTTGCTTTTGTTGCTTGTGCTTTTAGTATCATATGCAAGAAATCATTGCCAAGACAAATGTCATGAACCATTCCCCTGTGATTTATTCTAGAAGTTTTACACTTTCAGGTTTTATGTTTAAATCTGTAACCTATTTTGTGTTGATTTTTGTGAATGGTACAAGATAAGTGTCCATTTTCTTCTTTTTCTTTCTTTCTTTCTTTTTTTAGGTAGAGTCTCACTCTGCCGCTAGGCTGGAGTGCAGTGGCATGTTCTCGGTTCACTGCAACCTCTGCTTTCCGGGTTCAAGCAATTCTCCTGCCTCAGTCTCCCAAGTAGTTGCGACTACAGGTGCACACCACCATGCCCAGCTAATTTTTGTATTTTTAGTAGAGATGGGGTTTCACCGTGCTGGCCAGGATGGTCTTGATCTCTTGACCTCATGATCTGCCTGCCTAAGCCTCCCAAAGAGCTGGGATTACTTCCTTTCCCCATTATGTGTTCTTAGCCCCTTTGCTGAAGATTAGTTGACCACAGATGCATGGGTTTATTTCTGGAATTTCTATTCTGTTCCATTGGTTCGTATGTCTGTTTTTATGCCAGTACCATACTATTTTAATTAATGTAGCTGTATAATAGAGTTTGAAATCAGGGAATATGATACCTCCAGGCCTGTTCTTCTTTTTCAAGATTGCTGTGGCTATTTGGGGTCTTTTGTGGTTCCATATGAATATTAGGATTTTTTCTTATGTTTCTACATTTAAAATATTTTCTATATATTTTTCCCTTTCCATAGTCTTGATTTTCTATTTTGATTTTATTAAACTCTTTGTATACTTGTATTTTATTGTAAGATGACTCAAGTCCTTTTCAGGAAGGGCTGTGATATAAACAAATGGTTAATGTGACTACGAATAATGAGAATTCTAACATAGAATACTCCCAAGCAACATTCAGCTTTGATTTTCCATCTATGCTGGAAAATGCTAGTCATCTCAAATATACCACGCTTGAATTCCATTTAATTTGCAGTGTGCCTAACATATTACCTGATATTTTACCATTAGCGGGTTTCTCTCTTGGCTAAAGGTTTGTGCCATTCTAAACTGTAAATATTCTTTGGAGGAGTAATCACTTATATTATTATCAGTCATCTCTGCTGTAGTGAGAATTAGCTAAATCGTTGTGTTTCACGGTAATAACTGCTAAGAAGGGTGGGTCTGAGGAAATGTGACACGAGACCAATGAGTATTCATTCTGGGCAGGGCAAAAGTGCAGAAGATGTGTCGCATGGATCACTACAGAAGGCAGCATGGCATCTGGATGGCTTCTGAGGCATGGTGGAAATAGGGGAGAGGGCTTGATGATCTTTCAGTTTTATTTTGAACTTATTTGTGCCAAGCCTTGTTCAAGGGCTTTATGCAAATGTATTACCTTACTTAAACCAGCCCTGGCAGTAAGACAGGAGAAGACAGACCATGTGCCACAAAATGGAATGCAATTGCTAACACTGTCTTGCACTAGTTTACCAAGGGATTTCATAGACCTTGTCTCATCTGATCCTTTAGTAACCCTGTTGGATAGGTTGAGTAAACAGGAGGAAATGAGACCCAGGGAGGCCAGGTAATATATAGGTGATAGAGCTGGGACTCTACCCAAGTCCTCCCCAAAGACTCATTTAACTGCACCATGACCATGCCCCCAATTCCACATCATTTCACAGAGAGTTGGCATCACATCTAAAAACAAAGTTAAAGATGTTTTTAAGTGGGGAAATGGGAAGACTTTAGATGAATAATGGAATAAAATGTTTGGCATGA
Organism: Homo sapiens; assembly: GCF_000001405.40. Classification (NCBI taxonomy): domain Eukaryota; kingdom Metazoa; phylum Chordata; class Mammalia; order Primates; family Hominidae; genus Homo; species Homo sapiens. The sequence continues at coordinate 105,631,404 of NC_000006.12, read as the reverse complement.
AAACACCATAATTCATTACTCCAAAAGCTGAGGAAGAAATTTCTCCTGGGTGGCTGAGGTGTCAGGCTCCTGGGTAGACCAGCCCCTCTGCTGTGCTCATTCTCTCCATCCTGGAGACATTGTGTTTACTCTTTCTTTCTTCAGCCTCTAAACATTTCTAGATCTTACCCATTCTACATGAAGGAAAAACCCTCCAAGTTTTGACCCCTCATCACTCTCCATTCTATTGTCTTCAAACTTCTCAACGAAAGGCACAGTTCTCTCTTCTTTCTCATTCCTCTGAAAACATGTCTTTGCTTCTGACACCTGCTCTCAGTAAAGTTGTTGATTACCCCCCATACAAAATTCGGTGGACTCCTCTCAGTCCCTTCCCTTCTTGACCTTCCTAGGTCACATTTGACATGACTGACCACTCCCTCCCTCCTTCTTTATCTCCTCTAGCAGTACCTTCTCTTGGTTCATCTTCTACCTCTCTGAACATTCTCTCTCAGAATCCTCACTGAATCAATTTCTCTGTCCACCTCTTAAATGTTGGGATGCTTGAGTGTTTTCCTGCTGCATTCCTATTCTCTTCTCACTCTCTCTGCTCTAGCTAGACACCGTTGTCCACCTCCATGTCCATCTTCCTCTCCATCTCCATCTCTAATCTCATATCTCAGTTCCCCAAGCTCCTGAAGAAGCACCTTATCTCTTATTACACAATGGACATTGTCTTCAATGAATGTCCATTACAAACTGAAATTCATTACTTCTGAAATTGAACTTCTTACATTTCCTCCCACTCAGTTTTGCAATTTCTTCCACACTGCCTGTGCTGACTGGTAATCCCACCATTCACCTAGTGTCCCAAAGGAGAAGGAGGACTCCTTCTTCCCTCACCCCACATCCAATCATCCTTCAAACCTCACTGGTTGTGCCCTTTAGCCGTCTCTTGGATCCACTCTCTCCTCTCCATCCTTCCCGCTATTCCTTAAGTTCAGGCTATCCTTGGCTTCTGCCTAGATAGTGGCACTAGATTTCCAATTGGTCTCATGGCCTCTAGATTCATTTCTTTCCCATCCAAACAGCCCATCAAGTGGGTCTCGCTAAAACACAGGTCCAGTTCTTAAAAGCCTCAACAAGTCCCCACGGGCTACCAAATGAAATCCAAACTTTTCCCATAGTAAAATCTTCAAGAGTTACATTCTAGTGTTCTACCTACCTGGCCTTATTTCCTGCTATTTCTTCATCCACTAGTCCTTCCTTCCAATGTCCTCTCCCAATTCCTTTGGTATGCTTTTCTCCTCTCCAAACTCTATAATTCTGTATAATCCTTGCTATCTATTCACCAGATTTTCTTGATTGCTCATAAGGGAGGTCTATTTCATGTACATTAGGACTGTAGAGAAAGGAACAGCTACATCTGCCTAGAGAAATCCATACAGAAGAGGGAAATGCTTGTGCTGAGGCTTGAAAGAGGAGGAAACACTGGCTCCATGAAGCCTTCATCGACCCTCAAGGATTGGTAAGTCCTCCCTCTTTCTTATGTGCTGCCTTTGTGCATTTACTTGTTTGTTTCTCTTGGCGGACTGTGAGCTCTTTGAGTGTAGGGATTAGGTTGTAGCCCTTGTAGTAGCCCCAGTGCCAAGTACAGTGCCAGCGCTTTGTAGGCCTCAATAAACTTAGATTGGACTGAATCAGAGTAGCCCAAGGCTGCTGAGCTCATTAATGGCAAGTGGTTGGTTTAAGAGAAGTGGCACTCCATGCTCAGGTCTGGAATCTTGACCTCATTAGAACCCTGTTCCAACCTAACCTGCCAACTGTCTCTGACCTTTCAAATGTTAACACTATACATCAGCACGTGTGAGATAGCATGTGCACACCGAGTATCAACACGGCATATGGATATGTAGTATATGGAAACTCAACTCATCTCACTCACCAAATTTATGGCCCTTTTAAACCTCCCGGGTTAGTTTTGAATCAAACCCAGATTTTCTAGTGTTTGAGTTCATTTTCTTTTGGCAAACACATCTTCCTGTTGTTAAGAAGAAAGCCTTTACAAAGATTATTTAAAATTTTAACTAGTTTCTTGAACATCAGCTAGTTCTTATAATACAGGATTTTAATGGTATGAGAGTAAATGAATCAAAAACACATGCATTAATATCCCCTCAGAATCCTCAGGCTGTTCAAAAATTTACAAGAGACATTTGAAGAAAATATAGTTTAGGTTCTGTCAGATTCTAAATGCAGAATATTTTAAGATATGCCGTGATTTCAAAGTATGACTTTGCAAGCCTATTGGAGTATCACAATATTGGAGTATCATTGACATTTGTATAAGTGAACTATTTAGTAACTGGAATTATCATGAGTGGCCACAAAGCTCTACTTAAGCAAAGTGACTGCCACCACACAGTGCAGTAGACCTCCGGTTTAAGAGTTTCTAAGTCTGACCCAACTGGTAACAAAGAGAAGATTTCTCTCAAGTTCAGCACAGCAGCCCTTCGGAAGTTGGTGCTCTTTGTGTTTTTTCTTTATCAAGGAGAGTGGGAGTTTTAGATACAGGGAGGCGTGGGTTGCTTGAGTGAAAGGAAAGCAGTGCAGGGGTCCTACCTGCCTCTGTAATGGAAACTCCTCCTCATTATGAAGCTACTGCCTTGGTGGGCACACGACGAATATGGGCTGGGAAGAGCAGGGTGATTGCAGGTCATGATGACCTAGTAGGATTAGCTAGTTTGTATAAACACGTTCCAAGTCCAGCTATGTTTCAGTTAAGCTGCGCACAGACAAATACCAAAGTGGCCTAGCCCTGTTTCAGTGTCACAAACTGTTTATTTATACAAGAGATCCCTAGAAGTCCACTAATTTAGGAGACAGCCATCTTAGGGAATTCATGGAACCCTCTCTGTAGTGGTTATTTTAAAACCAAATTAAACCAGGCCCTTGAGAAAGCAGTGTAGAGAGTGATCCCATATTGCATCTTGATGTAAGCAGGACAGTGAGTCTTTTGAAAGAACTTCCCTATCACGAGTGTCTATTGGTTTCATTTGTTCTACAGGGATGTGAACCATTTGGTGTGCTGGGTTGTGGCTCACACATTGAGATAAGAATGAAGCCTATGTAGGTCACTCTTCTGCGTCTAACATGTTTCTCTTCTTGCCTGTTGAGAAAGAGCTGTAGCCTTCTTGGGGTTCAAGCAGACACTCAAAAAGCTCCTTTTGCATTTTGATACATCTAATAGAGCCTACAAATGGAAGCTACCTTGTGCATTGTTCAGTAAACATTTATGGAGCACTTCCTGTGGGCCAGAGACTGGGTTAGGGATTGGTTACATAGATAGTTGATGCAGATAGGAAAAAGAAAGTTAGATCTTCAGTAAAGTTATAACCTGAGTCTGGAGGCAAAGAGGATGGAAGAGACAGATGTGTAAAGAAACTGTAAACATATAAGTCCTGAGACAAAATCAAGGACAAAGTCCTAGGAAGGTAGAAACTTCACAGGAAAGGAAGCAACTCACTTTTTCTGGGGACATCAAGAAAGCCTTCCCAGGGAAGGTGATTTTGAGATAGGTTTTAAAGGATGGGTTGGAATTTGATAGTTGATCAAGGTCAATGATATCAGTGGAAGAACAGATCCATAGGGAGGTCAATAGGAAAAGGAAAAGGAACTTATCCAAAAGGCCTCAATGGGGTTGACTTTTGATTGGTACCCTTTGTACTTCCTATTTAAAGAATGGTTTGGCTTCTGTCTTTTTGTTTCCTCAATGCCCTGTTTCCCATTTGTCACTTTGATTTGTCTCTTGTATTTTGTCTCCTTTTGCAGTCTTGATTCAATCCAGTTCAGCATTTATTGACATCTTATATTTTTGGTGCTGCGTCAACCCTATGGGAAATATAAGAGAAGGAAAACCCTGTCTCAGCCCTCTGAGAGTGTGTTCTCCAAGGCTTGTGTTGACATGGTCTACATGCACTCACTCATTGAAGTGCTTTGGAAACAGGTTGATGATTATCCTCCAGCCTTTAAAAGCCATCCAAATTGACAGTTGCTCAGCCTCATTTCAATTAGGAGGTAGTGAAAATGTGACAAAATATATTAGGCATGGAAATTAAAGTGTCTGATGGTGTAATACAAATCCTTTCTTATGACAAACACAATCCCCAGGAGTGGTACCACAGCTGATTCATTTTTCATATGTTTTAGGAAAAGCACAATTTTTCGAAAATCTTAAATTGGCTATTATAGGAATACATGCCTAAGGGAGACATAAATGTAGATTTTCCTGGCACTAATATTTCCTGTGCTCTAGGGATAAGAAATCCACAAGATATAACTTTAAAAACCTGCTATGTTGCCTGAAGTTTCTCCATACCTTCTATTGCTTAATTGCTTTTATTTTATTGGCTGGTTAAAGAAGAGAAATGCTAACCTAGTTATTGGTTTGACTCAGCAGTCTCTCATGTCTGAAAAAAAAAGCGATATGAGTGGGAAGAGCCTTGAAACAAATTTGTAGTGAGACTCACTGTTCCTCTCTATCTTGAGGAATAGAAATCAGATTTCATAGAGTACTTGTATTTTTACACCTAAAAAAGTCTTCTGAAATAGAAGGAAAAAGATCATGCCATCTCAGTCAAGGTCAAGAGAGTTTACATTGGGTCTGCAGGTACCAAGATGGGAGTAATGATAAGACTGAGGACTTCTTGTCACTGGCTCAAAGCACCAAACTCAATCCTTCTTACTTCAGACACACAAGAAACCAGGAAGGCTTTCACAGCAATACTTGCCATTCAGGTTGTTCAAAATGACTTCCAGAATGCCCAGCATTATTAGGAGAAAGGTACTACCTAATGAACTTCATGCTAAACACTCTATTGAATCCCATTTTGTTTCTTCCTGCCACAGTTCCAGGAACCAAACTGAGTCAAAAAGAGAATACTGAACTATTTACCAAGTCACATGACTAAACTAAACTTTAATGCTAACTGTAAAAACAAGAGGCCTAATCTCTTGGATGTGTATGTTTGGTTTTTGTCTTGCTTTTTTGTTTGTTTGTTTTTGGTTGTTTTGCTTTGGATTTTTTTGTTTTATTTTCATAGTGGTAATTTCGGCATTTGCCAAGTGACTAATACTCTTCGGTAACATCAGTTTATGCGGACCCAGGATCTCTCCTTTCAGAGCAAGTATGTTCATGATTGTTCAGGTATTTCTGCAGGATTAGCTGGCCCAGTCGCTTAAAGTTCTGTATGGTCTACAAAATACTTTCTCATTTGTTATTTCATATGAGTCTTGAAAGTGACCTGTGAGATAGACTGAAATGTTTGATTATTCACAGTTCACAGATAGGGGCAGCAGACCCAGAGAGCCTAATTTAGATTCAGTTATACTAATTTAAACCCTAGTAAGTAGTAGAGCTGAGATTTAAAACTAAGTTTCCCCTCTCCAAGTTCTGAATTGTTCCCATGGTACAAGAGGTCGTGTGTGGTGAAAGAAATCAGGGCTGGGTATGAGGCCTCTCTGCCAATGGTTGCCTGCCTGGCTTGGTTGTTTTGCCAGAGATAAGACCTGACAGAGACATCAGTGCATCGGGCAGGATGATGACCAGCTTCCCCTTCAAATGGATAGGTTTTAGATACTTATCTTTATTTAGTGAGAATTGGAGAGACTGACTTTCTAATAACAAAAATTCCACATTCCTTTGTTTTGAACAGTATGTCCACCTTCTTGTCCTATGACTCCAGTTTCCCCAAGTCAAAAACATTAATGACCCTTGTAGACTCATATATTTGGTGAAGACTTTAACAAAATCTACTGCTTCCAGAAGTATGGAGGATGATCACACTGCAAATACCCTGCTTCTCATTGGTCACTTTGATTTTTCTCTTTTATTTCCTCTTCTTTGGCAATCTTGATTCAATCCAATTCAGCGTTTATTGACATTATATATTTTTCGGCACTGCATTGGCCCCGTGGGAGACACAAGAGAAGAAAACCCTGAACCAGCCCTCCCACACAGCCTGCAACTTGAGAAGCCCCTTTGAATAGACCCCTTGCCCAAGTCTCTCTCTCTCTCTCTCTCTTTCCCCCCCCCCCCCTTCCCTTTTCTCTTTCAGGCCTCAACCTTCCCAACTCTGACACCGTATTCTCAGGTCTTACACCTCCTGAAATCTCTCTCCCTTTCTTGGCAGAGCAACTTAATCTTACCTCAGCCTCTCTCTCTAAGCTTGGAATCTCCTTCGCAGAATGATATAAACCTTCAGCTATGTCAAAGACCATTTTCCTGAGAATATCAATTTTGTTGAACTCAACAAATCAAAGAACCAACGCTCAGTACCAGACTCTATCTTCCTTAAAAGGCAGTGAGGAAATTGTTAAAATATACGTGTAAACTTCTTTCTGTTGTATGGTTAAATTCACGTAAGAGAGTAATACATGTGCTGAGCAGAAGGGGACCAATTTACACTTTACCAGTTATGTAAGCAACCATGCAATAAAATTATTTTAAGTTAACAAACACCACATTCCTGATTAATTGCAAAATGTCTTAAGTCTCTTTTAAACGATTCTCTGACAGCTACTCAATGGGACTGCCCTTTCATTGGGCTCTTCCTCCAACCCTCAGTTTCCTCATCTGGAAAACAGAGATATCACTTTCATGCACTGATTTGGTAAGAATTAAATGAGATACCCTCATATAACAGATCTAATCACAGCATCTGTTCATAGTAGGCAGTTGGCAAATCTGAGCCACCTCCCCACCTCACCCCCTCCAACATTTGCCCATAATGCTTCTCCTTCCCTCAGGCCCAACTTCCATCAAATATTGTAAACTTTCCTAGGAACAGAACCTTGTCCTTTATTCCCTATGCTTAGAATAATGTGGCAAAGGCTGGGTATAGACAAGTCATTTAATAGTTGACCTTCCATATTAAATTTCCATTTATATCTATCTATCTATCTATCTCTTTCTCTATCAATATTTTCCCTTGAGTCTCTATCTTTATACATATATACATATGCACGCATATAAGTATATGCACATATATATTTTAGCCTGAAAGTTTTTGCATAAATTGTAGCAATAAAAGTACTATCTTTGGAGAAGAGATAAGAGATAAGAAGTCTTGGTTACTCAACATGTTGAGCCATGATTCTTTGGCAAGCAGGACCTTAGTTCTTAGGGTTCCATCTGGAAGACAAAGCGTCCTCCTTTTTGCAATAATGTCTTATCTGTCTATGAAAGATAAAGGGGTCATCTGAAGTGGCAGAGACCTGAAATGTTAGTTCCAAGAAATTTTGTTGCTAGTTTTTATTATTCTTCTCTGGATGGAATGTAGCCCCACAATTAAGTTTGCTATCTGACTCGGGTTTTATTTCACTTCATTCTCAACCCATCTAGAGTAGTTTGTAGATTAGTTTTTGTGTTTTGGAAAAACAAAGAATATTGGAAGATTCAAATAAGGCTTTAAGGAAATTCATCATTAATTTGGTAAATAACATCTTCCTAGAAAGAATGTTTAGCTTTGGCCCTTTCAATATCATCAGTTTTAGGAAGTGTATTATCTAGTTTGGTAGCTCAGTTGTAACTAATGTCTTCTATAATTTCCTCTTACTCACATGCCACAAAGATATTTCCCTGGAGCCTCAATGATTTCACCCCTGGATATAGATGGTAAAGAAGAGAGTAGTACAAAATGAAGCTGAAGAAACAGGCTGTGATCAGATTATGACAGGCCTTGAGTTTTGGGCTTTATTTTGCGGACAAAAGGGAATTTGAGGTACAGAATAGTGTGAGGGAAAGCTAAAAAGCATGAAGAGAATGATGTTAAGGTTTGAATTTCAAGGCCATGGGAAACCTCTGAAGCATTTTAAGCTAGCAATGGTGGACTTGAATATATTTGTATTTTTAAACAACAAAGATGTTTGCCTTGTGAAGGAGGTTGAGGTGGGAATGTGGAGAGAGAGAGGCTAATTAAGAATATGGCCTGTGATGGCCCACATGAGAACTGGTAGATAGTAACCCGGTTTAAGCAAAGGAGATGGTGAGGATAAAGGTCACATTCAAGAGACAGGAATATTTCCTATGTAGGAAATAGGATTCCATGTGATTCTGAGTATGAAGAGAAAGAGGAAGAAAATAAAGATAATACCCAGTCAAAGAACATAAGTTATTTAGAAACTGGGTATAACTGATTTAAAATCAATGTGATTCTGAAAACGGTGGTCTCAGTTGGTTTCTCTTATAATATCACACCCACCACGAAGCTGTGCACACAAGACACCATCTACAAATTATGTCGGCTGGTAGCACACTCTCCAAAGGAAGGCACCGAGGGTGCTTCCAAAAATACAGACCCACCTCATCTGCAAATGTTTTCATGGCAATGGATGACTTACCCTATTTACAAAACTTAATCTACCTGATTGGTATTATTCCACAAAGATTTGATCTGGCGGGCAGTGAATCCAGGTCCCTCAGCTTTTCCTTCTCTATATGAATCCTCCACCAGATATTTAGTAAGACAGTGACATGCAAGAAAAATCATCATTGAGAACTTTGGAACACAGTGGGAGGTTTGGTTGAAGATGAGTTTATAACAGCTGTGGAGATAAAACTGTAAACATTTACTTTTTCAGCTCCTTCCTGTCCTTTATTTCCATTGATAAGAAAAAGCTGTCTGTAACTGATTTCCAGGTAAATCTTAGGTTTAAATCCCCACTTTATTTTTCCTTTTACTCATCCCGGAAATAAAAAACCATCACAGTTCAGTTCAATTCCTATACGTGTATAGCTCAACTTTTTGTTCCTGTTGATGACATTTCATGTCTAATGATTAAGAAAAAGTAATGGGCATATATTTCTTTGACAATCTAGTAAACAAATCAGTTGAAAAACCATGCCCTGTCTATCTCAACTGTTGTTAACATTGGGTCAAAGTACAGGAAGAAAATGAACCCTTCTTCAAATTCCTGCCCTGCTTAGCAAAATCTCAGTTTGGAGAGAGCATATTCAGGGTAAGCCCTCTGACTTGGTTTATATCCCTATTGGCACATCACGAGATATTGGCCAGGTTGCTTAACTTTTCAGCATGAGCTCCCGTATCTGCATAAGGGGCATTTGATGGTGATCATCCCTTTAGCAAGCATTTATTAAACGTCTATTTTCATGTATCACTGTACTAGGTACTATACCAAGATGCCTACCCAAGAGAGATATGGTAAAAAAATCTATGAGATAATGAAAGTAAAATGTTTTAATGTCCTTGAAGTAATGAAACTATGCCAAGCCAAGAGATTATGAATTTAAAATTTCATGAGAGTGAAGAAGGACTTTCACAGTTTTCATAACTTTAAAATTTATTTAGTTGATATGGAGATCGGGATTAATCTCAACAGAGAAGAGTTAGCATTGCACAGAGAAAACTGTTCAGGACCGAGAATATATGTGCAGATCACAGAGTCACAAAGGAGGTCAGGATAAAGAGAAAGCGCCAGGATAATGGGCTGCAAATTTATCATAAGCCCTGGCAAATAATGACATAATTTTGAACAAGATCATTGAGTATAAAGAGTACTATGCTAAACAGATTAATATTTGGCCTTTCTCCCTGCTGGTCTGTCCTGGGAAGCTGAACCCTATAGGCTTTGTTACCCAGGGTCCCGTGACACTGGCTTACATTGAAATTTGTCCAATGAGCAGCACCAGCAGGAGATCGGGGTGGAAGGAGATAGCAATCAGAGTATTTCTTCCAGGGCTCCTACCTTCCCTGGGTGGGTCTCTGACAGTGGCTGTAGCCTCTACTAGCTTACACTGGATTCAAGCAGCACTATTTCCTCCTCTTGTTCTTTAGGCCGAAGTACAAGAACAGCTTCCCACTGTCGCTAGTCTCTGGGTGCCTCAACATCCCTTGTTTGTTTCTTTAACCTGCTTGTAACCTGTAAGTAGGCATTTATCAAACTGTCTTTATGGAAACTTCTGGGGTGGATTTTGTTCTTGCCAGGATCCTGACTAATATATAATATTATAAAATATTTACATAAAGTCCAGAAAGATCCTCATGTAGACTCTAAGATATTTTTCACATGAAAAACAAAAACACCCAAGTTTTTTAATCAATCTCCCCACAAGATGTCCCAGAGATGTTTGGATTTTATTTCTTTGAAGCTCTAGAAGGTCTCACACAGGAGCATCAATATCCTCTGATGAAACAATTTTTAAGCAGAAACTCATTATGAAAATATCTTAGAAAGGGTGAGAAACCCCAGAGGATACTTCATGCATTGTTCTTTTCCTTTACGTGGTTGATGACGTGCATTTTAAGTCAGAAGAAAGGAAAACATTCAGTAATTCTGGCTTTTCTTAGGCAATAATGGGTTTTGCAGGTCTGGGGACAGGATTTTATCTGAGGGGTTAGAGTGTACATGGATCAGAGCTTTGTGTCACACACACAGAACACAATGAGGTGTCAGCAATCTGCAGTCTGGGAGGATGCTCACACGATCCAGCATTGACATTTTGTGACTCACTTTACCTCCCCTCTGCTCTAGTAACAAACATACTACCAAGTGGGGAGCTATAAATGAGTCCATTTCCTGCAAATAAGATTTTAATGAGATTCTTTAGCTGGTCACACACCAACGTGAGATAATAAAAAGTTGATTGTTCATCTCCTCCCCCCAGCGCTAGTGATAGTCCATGTTCTTGAAACATACCAAATTTAATTAAGCTTACAAAATTATAATGGGACAAAAAATTAGGTCAAAATAAGTCTGTCTCCAGTGATGGTGACAGGGACTTTTACGTACAGCCAAGTGATCTCCAGCAGAACGTCACTGCTGCTTGACCTAATGTCACGGAAAACATAACATTTTGTAACCGTCATGCTTCATTTGGCATGGCTTGGCTAACTCACTCATCCTCAGGCTTAAAAATAGGGCATTGAGGTACGTTAGAGAAAAAGGAAGTAACATTCCAACCCTCTCTCCGTGGGACTTAGAAGGTCTACATGGGAAACCATTTGTTTTCTCCCCACAATTTGTCTCTGTCCCTTATTTTTAGACATTGATGGTAAGAGGGGCCTATGGGGCACAGGTATGATCAGGAGCCAATGGGGAGGAGCAAATGCAGGAGGAGGAAATGGGAAGACAAACTATTTTCCCATTGCATTATCTACTCTTCTCAAGGCAAATAATCCGAGTTTTAGTAGCCATTAACTCATAGGGACAACTTCCAAATGATCTTGCTCCTTTTGGAACTTAGCCTGTTGCTTGCAACATCTCTTATTGCTCACGAAGTTGAAGAAAATGGACAGAGATGAGAAAAAAATATGAAAAAGATATGGTTGGACAATTATATGAGCTTTGCTGTTTTTTTTTTGGTTTAAATTAATTATTCATTGATTTTATTCATTCAACAGATATGTACTAGGTATTTATTGTGTGCCAGCTAGTAACATAGACAGTATGGATCCAAGAGTGGAACAATACTAAATACCTACCCTCCATGAGTTTATTTTGGAGTAGGAAAAACAGACAATAAACTAAAAGACATAATCAATACATAATATGATGTCTGGTATCATAAGATGTAATGTGTGGCTGGGCGAGGTGGCTCACGCCTGTAATCCCAGCACTTTGGGAGGCTGAGGCGGGCGGATCACGAGGTCAGGAGATCAAGACCATCCTGGCTAACACGGTGAAACCCCACCTCTACTAAAAATACAAAAAATTAGCCAGGCGCAGTGGTGGGCGCCTGTAGTCCCAGCTACTAGGGAGGCTGAGGCAGGAGAATGGCGTGAACCTGGGAGGCGGAGCTTGCAGTGAGCCGAGATAGCGCCACTGCACTCCAGCCTGGACTCTGTCCCAAAAACAAAAACAAAAACAAAAAAGATGTAATATGTGTGAGACTCTATGCCAATAATTTACTTACACAGCTCTCATCTACTCCTCACAACAACTCAAAGGTAGGCGCGGAGTTTATTACCTGTTTTCTTGTGAGAAGACAAACTCAGAGTGGAAGAGAACTTGTCCCAGGTCACCCTTGGTGGAGGTGAGCTCAGATCAGCCTGACCTCACAACCCAACAAGAAGCAGGTGGGTTTGTTTTGCCTCCTGCCAGCCTACCTACATTCTGCCTGTCCTGAAAGATGCCTTCCTGGGCCTGCCCTCTTTGAGGTCTGGGCACTTTCTGCTTGTAGAATTCACTTGGCAATTAACCATGGACAGCCTTGTGAAAGCTGTTGTCTCTTTTTATTTTGAGCTGCTATTGAAATATTTTATTTTTATTTAGATTTATTAAAAGCTTGATCGTGATTCAAATTTTTGTTCCTAACTTTGCTGTAAACTCCTGAGGGTTAGAAACATTTCAAAGATTTTTGTTCTTTATGGCTCTCAAGGCACTCATATTATGCCTTGCACAACAACAGACATTTAATATGGAGTTGACTTGATTGAGTCCCTATAAGAGACAGCCCTAGGAATTTATTGAAGGATCCTCATTATTATCTCAAGTCATAGACGAGATCCTTGTTCTTGATTTCTCACCTCAGGGCATCTTGGACTAAAACTTAGAACATTCCTTCTTTTAAGCGTGCAGTCTGCATTATAACACTTCTTGGGAATGCAAAAGAAACTGGTACAAAGTATTTCAGTATCATTGGAACATTAAAAGAACTCTACTCTTAAACATCCATGGAAAAGAATTTGTGATTGTTAGACTTACTATTTAAGCTGGGATTAAAAAAAAAAAAAAAACCTACAAAACAAAATGGGACCTGAAAATAAAATGACTTTCCATTACAAAACCATGTTACAGGAGGAAATATTCCTTCAAACACTGGATTCAAACACTGTCCACTGCAAACTTTGCTAACCAAGATCCAGAGCCTGGGTCATCCTGAGTCTACTTGTATCAAGACAAGGCCACCCTTTTACAAGAGGACTCACCCCACACCCTCGCTCACATAAAATATCATTCCATTTCAACATAATGTTTCTTAAGCAAGAATGGCAGAGTCAGGCAGAGGGTAAGTACATATAAAAACAAATAGAGCCTTTATGGATGTGTAACTACTCCAGGGCTCTTCTTCAATCAGAATTCACTGGGGCCCAGGAGACTTGAGCAGAGTGATCCTGAAAGGAAATGTTTTTGAGGTATAATCATGTTTTATTCTCACAAATGTGATCTTTCTGAGTGGTTATATGTAGGTATCCCATAATTTGAGAAGAAAGAAAACTCTGGATGTAAGAGGACTTTCTTGGAGTAATGACTTCAGAATGTGAGGCAGCTCCCAATTTTCTGCAGAGCTGACTTTCAACCCTTTTTTTGATATTTACTTGGTCAGTAACCAGGCTACCTCCTCTCTCATTTTAATCACCTACTTGAGAACTAGCAGCCACAAGAGGCTCTTCTTAGGAGCAGTTTCAGCTGCCTCAAGGTTGAGTTGCTAGCTTGGCTTCTAGGAAAGGGGCATATGGACCATGATTTTGCTGGTTGTACTCATTGGAATCTGTTGGCTCAGTATATTGCCATGATGTGAAACCACAGAGCCCAAGTTCTGTGTGGATGTCCCGTGTCTGGAGAGTGGCTCCAGATACCACTGATGTCTCCTGTGACACCTCTGAAGGCTAGGAATAAACCCAACAGCATTAAGGACTTAGGTGTGAGATACAGACAAGTGTTCAAACTGTTAGTATTAGGATGGTAAAGAATAGATACAAGTAGGGAGGAAAATAAGGGAGCAAGTGATTAGATGCTGATCAGAGTCAGGAAGATGCTTCTTTATTTATTCATTCAACAAACGTTTCTTGACATGTGCCAGGCATTCTGCTAAGTTTTGTAAATAGAGAAATGCCTTTTAAGAGTATTCACAATACATCCCAGCACTTTGGGAAAGTGAGACGGGCAGATCACTTGAGGCCAAGAGTTACAGACCAGCCTGGCCAACAAAGTGAAACCCTGTCTCTACTAAAAATACAAAAAAAATTGGCAGAGTCTGGTGGTGTGCACCTGTAGTCCCAGCTATTCGGGAGGCTGAGGCACAAGTATCGCTTGAACCTGGGAGGCAGAAGTTGCAGTGAGTCGAGATCATACCACTGCACTCCAGCCTGGGGGACAGAGTAAGACTCTGTCTCATTAAAAAAGAGAGAGAGAGAGAGTATTCACAATACAGAAGTAGAGATAGATAAGGCAACAATTCATAGGATTGTATATGAGTTTGCCAGGGCTGCCATAACAAAATACCACAGATTGGGCAGCTTAAACAAGCAGATATGTATTTTCTCACAAGTTCTGGAGGCTGGAAGCCCCATCCAGGTGTCAGCAGGTTTGGGCTTTGGTTTCTCCTGAGGTCTTGCTCCTCGGCTTGCAGATAGTTGGCTTCTCTCTGTGTCCTCACGTGGTCTTTCCTTATGAGGGAGCAGCTCTGGTGTCTCTCCCTCTTCTTGTAAGGGCACCAACCATATTAGGTTAGAGCCCATGTTAACAGCCTTATTTTAACTTTGTCACCTCTTTAAAGACCTTATCTTCAAATACAGTGACACTGAGGTCTTGGGGGTCCTTCAACATAGTAATTTGGAAGAGACACAATGTAGCACATAACAGTCTATCAAAAGCTATGGTGGAAGTTGCCCAGGATATGTGGGAAGCCCAGAGGAAGGGAGAGTTGGAAAGGCTCCACAGGGCATATGAGGCATCACCAGGTCTTACAGGATATGTAGCAATTAGCCTGGTGCAAACAGTGGGCTGTCCCCACAGATGGAATGAGGCATGAATCAAAAGCTCATGAGTACATGGTGACATTATGTACTTTTAGAACCACATCTTAATTTCAGTCCAAAAATTCTACCATGCTATTTGTCCTTCCAAGACAAAGATGCAAAACAAGGATGTGTGCAGGTAGGAAAGAGATCTAGAAACATTAAAGGGTGTTTGCATAGGATGGAAGCTGAGCTTGAAGTTTAATTGGAGCGAAGCAACCATAGAAATATAGGGTTGTAAGCCAGACAGGGTAGAGACAAAGACCAGGAGAGGCCTGCCCATCAACCATTTGTGGATTCTGCACTCTTGGACACTGTGTTAATGCAATTCTATTACACTGTCTCTCCATCTAGGCCCCTACCACCAGGGACCTCTATGTGAGGCATAAACCAGTAGGGAGGGCCCACACTCCATTTTCTCTTATGTGGTCTTTATTGTTCAGCAGATAGATTTTTCTGCTTGAAGGGGGCTTTTAAAAGCCAAAAGTTTTTGCATTTCCAAAATCTGTGGAACCATGTTTGTTGCGGGAAGTCAGGGACCCCAAATGGATGGACCGGCTGAAGCCATGGCAGAAGAACATGGATTGTGAAGATTTCATGGACATTTATTAGTTCCCCAAATTAATAATTTTATAATTTCTTATGCCTGTCTTTACTGCAATCTCTAAACATAAATTGTAAAGATTTCATGGACACTTATCACTTCCCCAATCAATACCCTTGTGATTTCCTATGCCTGTCTTTACTTTAATCTCTTAATCCTGTCAGCTGAGGAGGATGTATATCGACTCAGGACCCTGTAATAATTGCATTAACTGCACAAATTGTACAGCATGTGTGTTTGAGCAATATGAAATTTGGGCACCTTGAAAAAAGAATGGGATAACAGCAATGTTTAGGAAACAAGAGAGATAACCTTAAACTGACCACTGGTGAGCCTGGCGGAACAGAGCCATATTTCTCTTCTTTCAAAAGCAAATGGGAGAAATATCGCTGAATTCTTTTTCTCAGCAAGGAACATCCCTGAGAAAGAGAATGCGCACCTAGGGGTGGGTCTCTGAACTGGCTCCCCTGGGCATGGCCATCTCTTATGGTTGAGACTGCGGGGGTGAAATAGACTCCAGTCTCCCATAGCGCTCCCAGGCTTATTAGGAAGAGGAAATTCCCGCCTAATAAATTTTCGTCAGACCGGTTGATCTCAAAACGCTGTCTCCTGATAAGATGTTATCAATGACTATGGTGCCCGAAACTTCATTAGCAATTTTAATTTTGCCCCGGTCCTGTGGTCCTGTGATCTCGCCCTGCCTCCATTTGCCTTGTGATATTCTATTACCTTGTAAAGTACTTGATGTCTGTGACCCACACCTATTCGCACACTTCCTCCCCTTTTGAAACTCCCTAATAAAAACTTGGTGGGTTTTGCAGCTTATGGGGCATCATGGAACCCACCGACATGTGTTGTCTCCCCTGGACGCCCAGCTTTAAAATTGCTCTTTTGTACTCTGTCCCTTTATTTCTTAAGCCGGCCGACGCTTAAGGAAAATAGAAAAGAACCTACATGAATATCGGGGCAGGTTCCCCGATATCTGGCACCCACGTGGTCTTTCTTTTTTCCTAAATGCATGAGGGAACCCGATTCCCTTTGGTACGTGCAGTGAAACGTCAATCGGCTTGGTCCACAGATATGCGTGTTCGACTCCCCGACGAGTGGTCAGTAGTCTGTGTAAGGTCTGGGTTAACTATGGATCATGCAGAGTGTAAGCATCATGCTTATCTCTGCTATATTAAACTCCTGTTAAAACAGGGTGGTGTTAAGTGCCTATGGAAAATATGCTCACTCTATTCAGGTCAGTAGAAAAATACTGTCCTTGGTTTCCTGAAAAAGGAACCTTAGATGTAGAACTATGGGATCTTGTTGGTACAACATTCAGGGAACTGGTCTCCACAGGAAATTATGTTCCCGTAACTATTTGGGGTGACTGGGCCTTAGTACGTGCTGTCCTGATGACATACCAATCCCGAGACAGCCCCTACAGTTACCACAATTTTCTGAATCTGACGATCCTCCACCTTTTCCTCAACCTTCCTCTCCTGCACAACCTTCATTATCTGAACCATGCTATTTGTCCTTCCAAGACAAAGATGCAAAACAAGGATGTGTGCAGGTAGGAAAGAGATCTAGAAACATTAAAGGGTGTTTGCATAGGATGGAAGCTGAGCTTGAAGTTTAATTGGAGCGAAGCAACCATAGAAATGTAGAGTTGTGAGCCAGACAGGGTGGAGACAAAGACCAGGAGAGGCCTGCCCATCAACCATTTGTGGATTCTGCACTCTTGGACACTGTGTTAATGCAATTCTATTACACTGTCTCTCTATCTAGGCCCCTACCACCAGGGACCTCTATCTGAGGCATAAACCAGTAGGGAGGGCCCACACTCCATTTTCTCTTATGTGGTCTTTATTGTTCAGCAGATAGATTTTTCTGCTTGAAGGGGGCTTTTAAAAGCCAAAAGTTTTTGCATTTCCAAAATCTGTGGAACCATGTTGACTTTCTATTGATTAGCAAAGATGTAGATTGCAGTAGAGAATTAAAGAAATGGGAAGTTGCCTGGCGTGGTCGCTCACGCCTGTAATTCCAACAGTTTGGGAGGCCAAGGTGGGCGGATAACCTGAGTTCGGGAGTTCGAGACCAGCCTGACCAACATGGAGAAACCCCGTCTCTACTAAAAATACAAAATTAGCCAGGCGTGACGGCACATGCCTGTAATCCCAGCTACTCGGGAGGCAGAGGCAGAAGAATCACTTGAACCTGGGAGGTGGAGGTTGCAGTGAGCCAAGATCGTGCCATTGTACTCCAGCCTGGGCAACAACGGTGAAACTCCATCTCAGAAAAAAAAAAAAAAAAAGAAAAAAAAAGAGAAAGAAAGAAATGGGACATTTTCTGGCTTTGTGTAATATCTTTATGATGCTTCTGTAAAAAAGTCCTCCATTTTCCCACCTCAGAATCAGTAACAATGGTTTAGATTTAAAACTAAAACTGTTTATTTTAATTTTAAACCCAAATAATTAAGATTTAATAATTTAGGATAATTTGGAGGTTGTAGAATATGAGGACATTATGAATTGAATTAAAGAGTTATATTCCTCAGAGGAAGCTGCAGGTGGGTAAAACAGTTCATTCAAATTTGCTTTTGAGAATTAAAAGGGGGGAAATTCTGCTTTCTGAGGCACTGAAAAATGTAACCAGTGTGTGATTCAAAGATGTCCACCATATGGGTTTGAATGGATCAGCTTTCAGAGAACAGTGACATCAGAGAATGATTCTCCACTTCTGAAGCCCTGTGAGCCCAGGAAGCAGAGGAGGCTTAAAATGCCCTGAAATTAATTTTCCTGCTTTTATGATTTTAGCCAGTGTTTTCATTTTAGTATTGATACCCAGAAGCAGTTTTTCAAAACTGCTTTTAAAAAAAAATCACGTCAAATAATCAAATGACACTATTCATTTACTTGAATAACTGGAATACAAATTTCAAAATTTGCTGAATTGCATCAGATTCAAATGGCCAGGAGCAAGTTTGTACACATTCAAGTCAACTGGGGGATTTACTCAAAATTATTATAACTGGAATGTGCATTTAAATAAGCTGTAGGAGGAAACAGTGATAAAATATAGAGTTAAAAGTATATAAATGTTTACTTTTTAAAAATCATTTTTTGTCCCTGAAATGCTTTGAGATTTTGATAATTCTCTAAGTCAGACTTAGTTTATCCATTTTAGCTTTTATTATTATACCCTTAAGCTTTTCTGCATTTGGCATAATACCGCAACAATGCAAAGGTCAACTAATTTTTATTTATATGGGACTTTCAATCACAGTGCAAGCAGGAAATGTGTACATTCTATAGTCCATTCATCCAAGTTGACAAGAAGAAACCTCAGGCATGAAGACAGAACAAGCATTTCTCAACAATACAAAGTGATAAAGCGTCAAAATGAGCTTCATATGCGTCTCTTGAGTCCTTCATTCCAGCACCTTCTCCCATCCCCACTCTGGAACCTTTTCCTGGATCCTCCTCCCAGCTGGGTCTTGGTCAACTAGACAGAGGTTTGAGTTAAGGATAGACAGAAAAGAGTGGAGGGCACTATCGAGTTGTGGGATTCACCACAGAGCAAAGCCAAATTCATATGTGTTTTGTTTGAGTTGTAACTCGTTTTTCAATTATTCACATTCCTCCTTCCCTCCAAGAGAGTGAAAGTGAACAGAAAAGGCCAATCATCATTCTAGAATTTCATGCTGGACTGTGGAATAAGAACTATCCTCACTGCTTCTCTATCACAGATATTACAGATATCATGAGCCTTTGCTTGGCCAAAAAGTTCTATAAGAAAAAGGATTTTCATTTGTGGTAGAGGTGGGTGGACAAGTTTCTTTATCTAAGAGAATCATTATTCATCTCCAATTATGTACATAAATATTACTGGGTATTGTGGGGATGTAAAGACAAATGGTATGGTCTCATGCCCACATAAAGCTTACAGAAGTAGAAATGTTAAGATAAAAAGTGTAGCTTTTTAATTAGAAAAAAACCTCTTAGCCATGCTTGCATGTTCTTTTTGCATTTACTGGAAAGTGAAATCCTAATAATTTAGTGGGAAAGGGCATGGTTGGGGTTTTCCACTGGCATCCTACAAGGAAGCATGCACAATTTCAGACAATACAATCACGTTCTTCCAGCAAGAGAGAACTAGTTTGGTGCCTAAAATTGGTTCAAGGCAAAAGTTCCTGAGAGAAAGTAATTTGGGCAAGCCTTAGATCAAATCCTCAGAGACTAGCCTCCCTAGTTGTTTCATAATGCTTGGAGGAAAAAAAAACATTTTCCCTCCCACTCTTCTCCTGACGGAGGTTGCTAGGATGCCTATGACTGGCAGCTAGAGGTAGAAGTGTCATTGCTGCCACTGCCATACCCTGGCTGGCTGCTATTATTTTGGAAGGTGAGATGACTCCTGCCTCTGGGATCCCTCTAGTTATGAAATGATTTACTGAAATGTTTATTTTCATAATGGTAAATGAAATTTGTATTCACGAATATGAAATTTTTACTTCTGAATATGTTGTGCACCATTTTCCATAAACATCTGCCTACATCTGCTGCTGGTGTTTCTCCCACCGTTTCCTGTGGGAGGCTGCATGCTTTTGCCTCTCTCAGCCAAATCATGCCAAACAGAGCCCATTCTCCTCAAAAGTTAGCAACCAACAGTTTCACCTTGGCAGAGTAGGAACCAGCTTTTTTTTTTTTACTTCTTTTTCTTTTTGAGATGGAGTCTTGCTCCATTGCCCAAGCTGGAGTGCAATGGCACAATCTTGGCTCACTGCAGCCTCTGCCTCCTGGGTTAAGTGATTGTCCTCCCTCAGTCTCCCAAGTAGCTGGGATTACAGGCATCCGCCACCACACCTGGCTAATTTTTATATTTTTAGTAGAGACAGGGTTTCACCATGTTGGCCAGGCTGGTCTCGAACTCCTGACCTCAGGTGATCTACCTGCCTCAGCCTCCCAAAGTGCTGGGATTACAGGCGTGAGCCACCACAGCCGGCCGAAACCAGCTTTTAAGTGAGCTCAGCATATTATAAAGGAATGAAAGCAATTAGAGCGTGGACTCTAAAGGTAGGTGAGACTTGCTGTTCCACTTAGAAACATAGAAACATAGGAAACTAAGGACTCGATGGGGACATCAATAGTAGGATGGCTTTTAAGAGGGCTGAAGTGTGTAAATATACACATTAAGCTTTGCAGCAACTCTGTGCCAAATCGAAGTTGTTGCAGACCTGGAATTTTAGTTTGGTAAAGGATAACTGTAGTTATTTTTTAAATAAAATGATTCATTAGAATTCTTTGGTTCTCTCATGATAATTTAGCAAGTTTGTCTCTTTCAGAAAGAAAAGTTTAAGTGGGGTTAATGGGTACAAAAGAATAGAAAGAATGAGTGAGACCTATTTGATAGCACAATAGGGTGACTATAGTCAATAATAACTTAATTGTACATTTTAACATAACTTAAAGAGTGTGATTGGATAAATGCTCAAGGGGATGGATACCTCATTCTCCATGATGTGCTTATTTCACATTGCATGCCTGTATCAAAACATCTCACGTATCCCATAAATATATACACCTACTATGTACCTACAAAAAATAAAAAATAAAACATTACAATTTGCAAATTAGAAAAAATAATTTTTTTTGAGACAGGGTCTCACTCTGTCACCCAGGCTGTAGTGCAGTGGCGTGATCTCAGCTCACTGCAACCTCCATCTCCCAGAATCAAGCAATCCTCCTGCCTCAGTCTTGTGAGTTGCTGGGGCTACACGCATGTGCCACCACAGCCCACTACTTTTTTTTTTTTTTGGTAGAGATGGGACTTCCTACGTTGCTCAGGCTCGTCTTGAACTCCTGAGTTCAAGTGATCCACCCACCTTGGCCTTTCAAAGTGCTGAGATTACAGGTGTGAGCCACCACACCTGGCCAAAATAATAAAATTTTAATCAGTAAAAAAAAAAAAAAAAAGAAAAGTGTAAATGTGTTCATCCAACAAAGCCTTTCTTTCACACATATGAAATATAAATAGATCCATTTAAATACGATATCCAGTTGAACCAGCCCTGAAGGGCTTTCTGAATTGGACATGTTCTGTCGCTACCAGTGGGGCTTCCTGGAAGCTGGCCCAGAGCTGGTCTTGTCCACGCAGAGGATCTGAAAGCACCCTGTGTCCTCGCCATCACCCTGCCCCAGGACAGCAACAGAAAGCACTGTCCCTATCAAAACAGTTCTGTTTAAATCCCGTCTGGAGGACCCATCCTGAGAGTGGCCGCCGGTGGAGTCAGAGGCAGACTCTTGCGTGTGTCTTTCCTTTCCTTTCTAGGGCTGATCCCTCATGTTTAAAGTAAGAGACTCTCAAAGTCAGGAAACTGGTCAGACGTCCAAACGATGTGGTGACGCTGAGGCCCCTGTGAACCGGAAACAGACATTTACTGTATCCCTTTCCAACTCAATCGCTTCCAAAGATCTACCTCTGGTGCTAAGGGGGGTTGGCTGCTGGCCCGAAGTCTAACAGACTATGCAGAGGCAATGCACAGTTCACGAAGGTCACTTTTATTTTTCATTTTTACTGTCTAAAGAGAGAGTTGGGTGTATAATGCTGGCACTTTTACAAGAGGCTGGTAAAGGGAGAGGAAGGAGGAAAAAGTAAGACTGTTTTTAATTCATCAAACTGTGGCTGATTTAGGAATAATAAACACAAGTCTGTTTCCTTGATTATTTTATAAATAGCAAATATTTGGGTAAGGAATTTGATAAGTGCACAGACTATAGGAATTGTTTACCAAAATGATGCGTCAGAAAAGAAAACAAACAATCCCCAAAAAACCCTGGAGTATGTCTGTGAGATTCTTCAGTCTGGTTCCCAAGGCCCTTAGTCATCATTCCCCTCATCTTTTGAACTTGATCAAAGCAACACGGGGGCCTCTGAGGGGAAAGATTGGTTCCATTATGCACAAGGCAATAAGGTAGTGCCCTTCCCAGCAGTTAATAGGCAAGAATGTTGTAAAATTCCATGTGGTTTTCAAATACCAAGGCGGAAGTTTTCTGGTTTATAATCTTCCTAGTCATCTTGACCAGCCTCGTGGCTTTCTCAGGCATTGCTGACTGTTTCCATGCTAAACCAAGCTAACTAGTCCAGAGATCTCCTGCCCAAGGCAGGCCGGACCACTGCCTGAGGCTTAATGAGAGTGGCCCTCAGTGCCCCCAACCCCACGCGTCTCCTCCAGACCCTGGCCGAAGTTCTGGGATTTCCACAGTGCCAAGTTACTGTAAGAGCCTCCGGACTGAGGCCACTGACCCAAACATACGTCAAATTGCATTTAAATGAGCAACACAGGCCCTGAGGAGAATAGGAGGGAAAATATAAACTGTGGTCACTGCATTCTTCTGATCTTTAAAAATTAAAATGGAAATATTTTGTCCATTTGGATTTCTGGGAACTTTAGAATGGGAAAGTTCTTCTGAAGTTCTTGTAAGTGGGGTATCCATTTTTTAATGGAATACCAACAGAAGAATAAGGAAGCGATGTTTTATTTGTTTATTCAACAAATATTTGTTGAGCATCTATAGTGGCTAAGGCTGTGACAGGTTCTGAGGAGAGAGTTTGGCACAGGGAGCTAAAGAAAATAAGAAATACATGCCATGAGAATCATGGTTCTCTCAAAGTGAGGAACTGCCTCACCATGGAAAAAGGAAAATGCAAGTGTATCATCTGCCTCCCAGGCAGCACTACGAGTCGCCCATTCCTTGTGATTAGTTTGTTAGCCTAGAACCTCAGAAAGAGGTCATCAAAGCCCACCCCAACCTTGCTCTGTCCAGTGGTTCCAGACCCTGGGAGTCACCAGAGACCAGCTCAGCACTGCTTGTTTCCATGCCTGAATTAGAGGTCAAAGTGTATTCTCTCTGCATCTATAAAGCACAATGTGCTTTGTGAGGGAAGAATGACTCCAGCCATGCAGCAGGGAAACCATAGCCCTTCAGAACACATGAGACTGTTTTGGTGTGGTCAGCTCTCTTGGAATGCCTCCTCAATAAAGCTTGTGATGTTGGTCCCCAATCCTACATCAAGAAAATATCTGCTTTTAACCACATTTGTCTCAGGGTCTTTGAGTTTCTTGATACAACCTTAATCCAAATCACAGGTTGTTCTGGCAGATTCAAGAACTCAGAACAGCTTAAATGTGGCCCGGGAAGGCAAAAGACTGGCAGTTTTATAACCAGTCAAGGAGAAGCAGGGAGTCTCTGGCAGCCCAGAAGGGGACAGGCACCATGCTGACAAGAGATGGGATATAAATAGAAAGGAAGAGGCTCTCAGTCAACATTCTTATCTTCACAATAAAGTCTTTTAACATGATAGGTATATGTTACACGTAAACCATTCATTTTCTCAAGAAAATAGATTGGATTTATAAAACACCTTTCTTAGTTACTCATTTTGAGTAGCTAAAAGAAAACACACGACTGCATCTAAGACTAGTTCTATTGGAGACCCTCTCTGTGGAAGTCTGACATCATGTAAATTTAAGTGGAGGTCAGAGCAGCTTTTAAACTTTGTAAAACCATGTTATAATTTTACAATACCTTTCATTTGAACATTTCTTCTCCCAGCACTTTTGCATGGGTGTAGATAATTTATGGCTTATTTTATGGGTAGAGAAACTGAAATGGCTAACCATTAACAGGTTGTGTTTTCTCAAAGTTACCCAGTAGGTAATTAGTAGATTTAAGAAAACAATCCAGGACTGCAAATTCCCAGTTTCTTGTTCTTTCCCCTTAGGCCTTTATACTTTAGATGATCCTAAATGCAATGCCATAAGAATGTAAAAAAACCTGTATTAGGTACCCTAAGGCACTATTACCTTCTTCTAAATTCTCAGATAATACCTTAATAGGGCATTTTAATGGCGAGCTTGATAGTTACTGTGTATGAATTTCTTTCCCATTTAATATTGCTCATAGAGTGAGGCAAGAGGGACTCTTGCCCTGGGCCCTTGGCTTTAGAGGACTTCCCATATCATAAGCACACACACTTATTAACCAACAAATGGATACTCAGTCCTGGTATCACACAGCCCAACATCTGACTGTGTGATTAATACTCTTCAGGCCCCAGGGAAACACTGTGGCACTTCTTTCGCCTGATGTCATCAGGACAGAAGGACTGTGACCAAATGCCATGAAGTCTTGCAGGCTGTGCCACTGCTGACAGCTGAGATGGGCGATGCTTTGGGATATGGGGAGTATTAGGTCGCAGGAGCACTTTGGTAAAGAAAAAGACAAATTAATTAACTTGTCAAGTCCTTTCAAATCGCAAAACCAAGTATCACTTCCCAGTAGTGCTGAGCTGCAATTTTCTTGCTCCTCTTCAACTTTGAATTGGTGGTTCCAGAAATATTTAAGAGTTAGTGTGGTATTTACCTTAGTTTCACATGGCGGCTGAGGAACAGTTTACAATATTAAGCACTTTGTGTTCTTTAATTTGTACATATGTATGGTTAAATGTGCCATTAGGGAATCGTGATATTCTTTACTTGAACATAAATATTAAAGCATATATTGTACAGACCTCAATTCATACAGTGGGCCCCACAAATACTATATGTGGATCTGTTCAGAGGTTATTACCTTACTGTGGGGCCTTGGACAGGTCATAACTTCTCTGGGCTTCTGGTTGCCCATTTGTAAAAGAAAAGCATAGGACTAGATGCTCTCTAATGTGTTTTTAAGCTCTATAAATTATTTTTAATTATTCTACTTATTTATAAATAAGCATATATTTCTTATAAGCCTTATATAAACTTATGTAAAACCTACCATAAATCTTATCTAAAACCTACTATAAACCCCATAAACCTAGTATGAAAATATAAACTCTTCTTTTACCTCATGTTGCCTATCCAGCCTCATTTATTCATTCATCAGACATTTATGAGGTACCAACTATATGTCAGATGTGGTGCTGTATTTGGGTGAGAACACAACAATGAATAAGTTACAGTTTATGTGTTCAAGCATGTCATAGACCAGAGGATGCATAATTAGATTACTGTCTTAGTTCATTGAGATTGCTATAACAAAGTATCTTAGGTCAGATAATTCATAAACAACAGAAATTTATCTCCACAGTTCTGGAGGCTGGGAAGTCCAAAATCAAGTTGTCACCAGATTCAGTGTCTCTTGAGGGCTAGCTCTCCAACTCACAGATGGCCGAAGGGGTGAACAAGTCCCCTTGGGCCTCTTTTATAAAGACACTAATTCCATTAATGAGGTTGGAGGCTTCATGACCTAATCACCTCTCAAAGGCCTTACCTCTTAATATCATCAATTTGGGGGTTAGATGTGAACTTTGCAGGGGAGAAAAACACTCCAAACATTGCAGTTACTATGCTCCAATATTCAAGTGCAGTGAGAGCAAAGCCTGCAGGACTAGGGGGCCCACAAGGGGCTGGGCAGCTTACCTACCCTGATGGACAGTGTGCCAGGGAAGGATGTTTGGAGAAGGCAGTATAGGAGTTGAATTTTAATGGATAATCAATAGTTAGGCCAGCCAAGAGAAAGGGGAAAATGTCTCAGGTAGAGAGGGCAACAGAAACGAAGGCACAGAGGTGACAGAGATCATTTAGCATGAGGAATGCAAACCTATTAGCATAGGATGCCCACAGAAGCGTGGGACTGAGCCTGGAGCAACAGGCAGAGGTGACACTGAGAGTCTTAGTTGGACTTCATTCTGTAAGGTGAGAAAAAACTCCAAAAGGTTATAAACGGGAATGACATAATAGGTATGGGTAATATATGGATCACAATTTGACAATGGTCCAAAAAGATAAATTAATGGAAGCCAATGAGAGGGACAATTTAGCAGGGTACAGACATCATCCAGGTGAGAGATCCTAGAGGCCTAGGGTGGGTCAGTGACAGCACAAATGGAGAAGGGGGCAGGACTGGAGATACATTTTGAAGAGTGACATGGACCCATTTGGATGACAACCAAATTCAGTGTCCATTTCTACATTGGGCCATCTGATTTTCCCCATGTGAACAGCAGAAAGAAAACTTTACCAGCTCTGTGTTCACAGATCTATGTCTTTAACATGATACTTACTTATTTTATACATTTGTACAAACACAAACTATTATTTTATTATGATGTGCAAGTTGAAAGAAGAACATGGATACCCTGCATTCCAAGAGGATCTTCATTGATCCTCATCAACTTCGGAAGCTGTTAACAAATTATGTCCAGTTCTCACTTTGTCATTTCTCATTCATCCTAATAGTGCTTTTGTGCAGGGGACGTTTGCACCATTCAACAGGACTCGTGCCATCCACCACACAGGTTTTCAGTTTTCAACAGAGAGAGCCTGTTCACAGCCAAGAATAGCAACAAGTCACTTCAATTTAGGCATCTGCAACTCTGTGTGTAAATAAGTCAGCAGCAGAAAATTGAGTTTTCTTATGAAAGGCAGATGCTTTTAAAATTCAAGGGGCAAGTTCTTGACACAGCAAAGGGGGTGACATTGTCCCGAATTATCTGGAAAGAACTGATGGCTGTTGGCAAGGGTTGGTCAGTCTGGGAAGGCAAGGGTTCCACCAGGGAATCAGCAAGCTGCCTTCAGGAAGCTCCAGAGGGAAGTCAGGTTGCAGTTCCAGCTAGAGCTCTGCTATCCAAACGGCATTTAAAGGGATCTGTGATTTACACAGATTTATGTAAGACTGAAGATACTTTATGAAATTTGTTCCTACAATTACATTTCCTAGGAATTACTAGGGATTAGAAAGTCACTATTCTCAGACACTCTGCCGCATAGTTTTCTGTAAACAGTTTATACAGAAATAAAGGAGAGGGAATGATCAGTTGCCAATTTGTGCAAGCTGTTCTGTGCAGAGTCTCACTATGGCCAATTCCTTGTGATTTATGTGCCAACTGCCTGTAGCCAGCTGGACAACAGTCATCCTGACTCTTTAGTGCTTTCAGAACATTTTAAAAGTAAGCCCTAATAAAAGGCTTCCTTTCTATTATCCCTGTCCTTTGGGATAAGAAAAATTCCCCACAGAAATTGTACACATTTTGCAAAAACCATAAATCCTGAGGGTGACATTTTAATGTCCCAAAGGCAATGCATGATAAATGTCTCTAATAAGTTAGAGCCTTTCTGGGATCCGTTGACCTTTGAAGTCTCTCCAGTAGATAGGTTTTGTCTCTTACTCAAAGCTACCATATATTGATTTTAATTTCTATTAACCCCAAAATTATGATCAAAAGTCTTCTGAAATGTTATTTGGGTTTTTTAATGCCCTGAAATGATGCTCAAATTCAGTGACATGAATCACTTTCTTTTTCTAGCACTAGAGAATTAAAAACCAACTATCACATTAGAAACTGTTTGGTGAGGAAGAGTATTATAGGATGCATATCTTAAATAAATTGTAATTTGATATATTAGAACTCAAATACACACATTATTTAATACTGTTACTGATATATTTCAGCTTACACATGCATGCACACAACTAGTTTTGTAGTTCACTAAAAGAATCCCCTAAGAATCTAAGATTCTTTATTAATAATCTTACTAATTACTAAGAATACTTGTTCTGCTATCAAAGTTGAATTTTCTAATCCAAAGAAGATAAGATGTATTTTATTGATTGCTGGTTTAGGGAGAATTTCAGCAGCACCAAGGGCTGCTGACCTCTTTGGCCTCTTTATTCCCTCCCCAGCCATGTACGTGCACTCCCCTATAGACTTTGGGGCACCAAATTTTTACCATGCTTAGGAATGGGACTCACCATAGCATGACACCTCTAAGTGGAAGTTCACATGGAGATCCTGACATCGAATCCATCAAAGAAAGCTTCTCATGTATCCGTCGAGCGTCTGAGGTCTGGGGATAACTGTTCTCCCAGAGGTTTTCTGACTGGGGCAGAAGACCCTCAAGACTTCCATACGGAGTGTTTGCAACATGTCAGGCAAAATTCACACAGGGATACGCAAGACAGACATGATCTCTGCCGTCCTGGAATGGGTCTTACCTTGAAGTTAAATGCCCTTTGGCCCTAACTGAAAGAACATTTTAATACCAAATTTTAAAAACTGAGCTACAGAACTATATAGTGCAATTCCATTTATGTAAAAAAAAAAAAAATACACAGAAGTAAACAAGTACATATGCGTACCCTTGTGTATGTTTTTGCAAGATTCCAAAGACCACAGTGTTACTGTGGGGTGGAGGACAGAAGGAAAGCACTTTTATTTTTAATAAAGAGTTCTCTGTGTTCTTTATTCTGTGTAAACCTATATAATTTTTAAAGTCTAGTTTTAAAAACTAAACATGATATCTTTATAAACAAACATGGAAAAGTAGTTGAGTAGAATAAAAAAGCAATTTATTAGTATATCAAGGAGATTCTATTCTCATAAAAAATAGATACATAGATAGTTAGATAGATAGATAGATAGATAGATAGATAGATAGATAGATAGATAGATAGAGCGAGCATCTGTGGGGAGAAAACTGAGGATATAAAGCAAATTGCTAATGAAAGTTATTCCTGGGGTTGTGATGAAAGGGAAACCCTCTTGTTTTCTATTACACATTTCTGTAACATTTGACTATTTTTTCAATGAGTATGAATTGATAATCAGAAAAAAACAAATTTTTAAAAATAAAAAATATTGCGATATGTTCTATGCCAAACAAGCTCAGCTAATTTATCTTCATTTAGGTGATAAAAATATCTTATGAAACATTAAAGAGAAAATATATATATATATATGTACATATATGTACATATGTATTTGTTGGTAAAAGGCTGCAAGCATAAACATGGACCCAGTCCTAGTTTTTCCAAATCCTCATGATTCTCTTACACCCTTTAAAGCTCTAAACGAGAAGGATTTCACATAATTCTTCAGGGTCAGTTTGGAGCCAGTCCCTCTGTGAGGTGTTCACAAGGGAAGGGCCTGGGTGAGGTGTGGCCCAGCAGCGGGCATGTGGACCCCAGAGAGGGGATCACTTGACCTTCCTCTGTGCCACCTTCCCAGTGATACCTCTAGGAAAGGATATTTATTTAGGCTGAGGAAAGAAGGTTCCTTTCTGTTTTTAACTCTTCAGCTTGACCTTGCACCCCAAAACTGTTGCCATCTTTTGAACCTCATCGACATGTAGCAAGCAGATTCAGTTTCATTTTACTCTCAGAGCACTCATTTGAAGGTTTTCATTTTGAATTGGCCCGAATCTGGGTCTCAGTCCCACACACAGCAGCAAGCTCTTGCATGATGGAGTTCGCCTTGGCAGGCTTGTCTGTACTTTCACTTCCCACCCAGATTCCTGAGCACAGACCAATGGGAGATTGCGTCAGCTTTGCCAAGGCAGACCAATGAAACAATCCTGAAATCCCCTTGGTGACACAGCATATGTGAAAGACTGTTTGTACCATATCGCATTGCTAAATTTAGAGACAGTCTGAGAAGAGGCAAAGAGAATGCAAGGACTAATCAATCCAAGAATACAGAAAACTTGCCTAGGCCAGTTAGTTAGTCTCCACTTATTTTGTAAAGCAGAGAGAGGAGGTGTTCATTTCAACCTCAGCCAGTTGCAACAAAGTCCTTGTTTCCATAAAGTTACTCTGGAGAAGGAAGTGCCTTCTAGGTGCTAGAAGCTGATGTCTGCCAAAAGCCCACACAAGATGTAAGCCGGGAAGAGTAATTGGTACCCTGAAAAACAAGCCGGTTATCCAACTCTCAGTTACTGACAATATCATGTGAGTGCTTATATGAGGGCAAATAATAAGCATGCACATAAAATCAAGAATCCCTAAAGGGACAAATATCAATAGCTAAAGTATTGTTTTAATTGTACTGAGGACATCATTTATGTTATTAATGAAGTATTTAGAGCACAGGCATCAGA
The DNA here is from genome assembly GCF_000001405.40 of Homo sapiens. Lineage (NCBI taxonomy): Eukaryota > Metazoa > Chordata > Mammalia > Primates > Hominidae > Homo > Homo sapiens. Next base: position 105,601,160 of record NC_000006.12, on the reverse strand, counting down.
GGGACCCTTAAATTCATGTTCAGAAATCAGACCCTTAGGATACGTTATCTCATAAGTTGCTGAAGTTTTAAATGGCTTTGACAGTGAAACCAACTAGAGCAACATTATCCACTTAAGACTGCTTGATATTTTAGAGGGTGTCATAGATTCTCTTTTCCAAGTAAAGATGCAAAAAAACTGTCTGGCCATGTTAACTAGCATTCGCTTTTAGAACAGCCAGTCTTCTCCTGAGTATCTCCAGATATTTTTATTTATAGAATGGTTTTCCCACTCCTTCTGAACTCTGGGACTCAAGAGCTACAATTTAAGAGGGTGTTCTTAAAGCTTTTCACAGTTTGTCATCTCACATTGCTTCACCTGATGAGGAGTCGATAGATAGCACCTCAAAAAGGTAGAAAGAAGCACAGATAGGGATTGGAATACACATGACAAAGGAGAACACAGAATGGAATTCCAAAACGCTTTGGGAGACCTGGAAATCCAAGTTATTCTGAGAGAAGACTGATGAAAAGGAATGCATACAAGCATAAGAACACCCACAAAAAGTAGCCCAGTGCTTAGTGACTGGGTTGCTCTTTCCCATCTACCAGTCAAGAAGGTGCTGTCCCCGGTTGAATACGTATGTACTGAAACAGAGGATTTCACATTCCAGAACCCATAATTCATCTCTGACTTAATCTCGAGCAAAGCATTGACGTGAATTACACAAACAGGAAAAAAGGTGGAGCCCAAATAGAAGAAAAATAAATAGTTCTATCAGTACAAAGGAATCATACAAAGAATCATCACAATAAATTTGATATAATTTTATAGCGTGTGTCTGTGTATTTAATTTTTATAACCAAAGAGATAAAGCATAGCAATTTTATCAATATCCCTTAATTTTTTTTTGGCACATGATTCTTTGAAAAATCAATCTACTCTGAAGTATGGATTTTCAGAAATATCCCTTTGGCATTGTTCTGATTTGCCTTCTCTACCCCAAAGTCCCTAACAATCAAAGACTGGGGTTTCATTTGTAGTTCTGTTGCTTTAGACACATATTTAAAATTAGAAGCAACCAGTGAATGAAATGAATTTGCCAATTTTTAAAAAATGCCATAATTCAAAATATGAGATGAGTCAAAGGGAGGCATTGCCCAGAAAGAACAGACACACATATGCAACACACACACACACACACACACACACACACACACACACACACAGTGAAAAGAAAACTATATCATTAGGCAAGTTTGTTCACTTTCCAACAACAAATGAGTCATTCATCAGTTCCTATGCCACATGTATTACAGGACTTGAGTGTAAAATAGTATTTATCTTTCAACAACAACGAAAAGCCCCTGAGGTCTCACATTACCTCAGTTTTCCTTTACGTGTCTAAATGTACTAAGTCAGCTCTCTCCCTTTCTAATAGCTGATCTGGGGAACTTGAATAGACAAGAAAAAACAGCCAATTGTATTTCTGCTTTACACAAATAACAGCTACAGTTGCTCCCCTTGCCCGAGGCCCTTTCCCCTTTCCCTTTCACTGGGAGCTAGTAAATAAATAAATACATTTTAAGAAATAATGACTCAAAGCCTCTTAGAGAGCCAGGTGTGGGCCAAGGTGCTGCCTAAAACTTTAGAAGAAAGCTTCTAGAAAAACACAGCACATAATGACCCAACAGTTGCCTCAGGGAACGCCCAGCAGCATTATTTTGGGGGTCTGCTGGTTCTGTTTTACTTGGGGAAGGAGCTTGGTAAGGTAAACTTTTCCTGTCAGACCTTTAAGCTTTCTGTTCCCATGTGGTCTGTGTGACCTCACAATCTCTGGCTTCTGGATCAAAAGATCTGAATTTTATGTTATTAAAGTACACAAAAGATGAATAAATGAAGAGATATATCAGCTTCATATTTATTAATATATATAATGCAAAAATAGAATGTGTCCATACTGGTCAATTGTGTGGGATGTACACTCATATTTGTTATATTATCTACTACACCTTTCTATATCTTTTAACTTTTAAAACAAAGACAAATCAATAAAGGGAGCTTCACGTTTCTGTAGAAAAAAATGCTATTTCACTTCATGGATCCATGAAATAAAGATCATTGTATTGTTTCTCCATAATAAAAAGTTTGCCATGAGTATTCCATTCCTAGAACCAAGACAGAAGTTATTCATGTGGAGTGACTGCCAAATATTTGCTGTTTGAATAAAATCAAGTCTTGATCATAAAATAATCAAGTCTATTTAAAAGTACCTAAAGAAAAATTGTACAATAGGATTTAAAAAATCAAATAACTACTAAAATGAAAAAAAAGGAAATCTGGGTTTTAGTCTAAGTTCTGCTGCCAACTTATTATCTGATCTTAGGCAAATGTCTTGCATGCTTCCTCTGGGTCTCAGTTACCTTATTTTAAAAGTGGAGATGATAATGCCTTTTAACTACTGCACTCAGTTTTTGTGAGAGGAAAATGGGATGTGTAAAACTATCTTCAAAGAACAAAGCACTGTTTGAATGCTAGGTAGTTTCATGAAAAAATATGGCACTTACTTCGGATTTCCTTCTCTCACATTTGCTATCAATAAAAATGAGGGTAAGATTGGAAGTAAAAGTACATTTGCAAGAAGACATAAAAATGGTCAACAGGTGTTTGCAAAGGTGCTCAACAGCACTAATCATCAGAGAAATGCAAATCAAAACCACAAGGACCTGTCACCTCATACCTGTTGGGATGGCTACTATGAAAAAGACGAGAGATAACAAGTGTTGGGGAGGATGGGGAGAAAGAAGAACCTTTGTATCCTGTTGGTGGAAATGTAGACTGGTATAGCCGTGGTGGAAACCAGTGTGGAGGCCCCTCAAAAAATTAAAAATAAAACTACCATAAAGGCTGGGCAGAGTGGTTTACACCTTTATTCCCAACACTTTGGGAGGCCAAGGTGGCAGGATTGCTTGAGGTCAGGAGTGCATGATCAGCCTGTATAACATAGCAAGACACAGTCTCTACAAAAACAAAACAAAACAAAAAAACTAACTGGGTGTGGTGGCATGTACCTGTAGTCCCAACTACTCAGGAGGCTGAGGCAGGAGGACTACTTGAGCAGAGGAGGCTGCAGTAAGCTGCGGTCATGCCACTGTACTGTAGCCTAGGCAACAAAGCAAAACCCCGTCTCAAAAACAAAGAAACCAAACTACCATATGACCCAGGAATCCCTCTTCTGAGTACATGCCCAAAGTAAATGAAACCAGCACCTTGTAGAGATATCTGCACTCCTATGTTCTTTGCAGTGTTATTTACAATAGGCACAATATGGAAACAACCTGAGTGTCCCTTGACAAATGAATGGATAAAGAAAATGTGGCATACAGATAGAGATGGATATAGGTATAGATAGATAGATAGGTATATAGATATATAGATGTAATAGAATATTATTTTTGAAAGGAATTCCTTTAAAAAGGAGATCCTGCCATTTGCAACATGTGTGAAACTGGAAGACATTATACTAAGTGAAAGAAACCAGACATAGAAAAATATGGCATAATCTTTCTTACATGTAGAATCTTAAAAAATAAAAAAAGTCAAATACATAGAAGACAGAATAGAACAGTGATTACTAGAGGTGGCAAGGGTTGTGGGAAAGGGGGTGGAATGGGGAGATGTTGGTCAGAGGGTATGAAGTTGCAGTTACATGAGGAAGTCTAGAGATCAAATGTACAGCATGAGGACTATAGCTAATAATATTGCATTGTATACTGAAAATTTGCTAAAAGAGTAGATTTTAGGTGCTTTTACCACACACACACATACACAAGTAATATGTGAGGTGATAGACATGTTAATTGGCTCGACTTGTAGTTATCATTCCAGTTTATATGTATATCAAAATATATAGAGGCCGGGCACGGTGGCTCACATCTGTAATCCCAGCACTTTGGGAGGCGGAGAAGGGTGGATCACTTGAGGTCAGGAGTTCAACACCAGCCTGACCAACATGGAGAAACCCTGTCTCTACTAAAAATACAAAATTAGCCAGGGTGGTGGCGCATCCCTGTAATTCCAGCTACTTGGGAGGCTGAGGCAGGAGAATCGCTTGAACCTGGGAGGCGGAGGTTGCAGTGAGCCGAGATGGCACCATTGCACTCCAGCCTGGGCAAAAAGAGCGAAACTCCATCTCAAAAAAAAAAAAAAAAAATATATATATATATATATATATATATATATATATATATATATATATGTATGTATATACAGGTTGTATATCTTAAATATACACAATAATATTTTTCAAGTGTATTCCTGATCTACACACTGCCAATTATAGTGCAATGGCCACCTGGGAACTTAATGAGTCTTATATGATGCTCATAATCCACTTTCCTACACACAAAAAATTCATTCTCATAAGTCTTTATCCTAGAGGGACTTCCTGTTTCCACGTTGGAATTTTAATTGCACGTGCCATCCAGATGGCAAAAGGCAGAATGTCCTAGAAGTGTTTGATAGATTTACTTTAAATGTGATTTTAAGTGTGTGGTATTCAATGTCCCCTACGCACATTCTAATTCATAGTCTGTTGAATTGGAAGTTGCCCTAACCACATTCCACTGAGTACCCGTCACATACAACAAACTCATACTAAATCCAGCTTTGTTAAACTGTTATTCAATGGGCATTTCAATCACAGACATAGTAAAGTATCCTAGTTCTCAGCTGAGAACCACAGTCAGTTATAACATCCTGGGAAAATAGTCAATTTCATCTGTGATTCATGTTGGAATAATGCAGTGCTTTCTAGTAAGAGATTCCTTGGAGCTGTGTCTACAGTTTAACAGCAGACAAGTTTTACAAGAACAATTTGCTAAACAAAAAGTCCCCTCATAACTTTTGGAAACTGAGTTTGCACAAGTATATTTGAATAGCATAGGCATTACTGAAAGGTGGCCAAATGTAGTGCAGTAATCTCATATCAATTTCCAGTTCTTGAATAACAATATTCAAAGTTGAGGTTGAGATTCCGCTGCTTTCAAATGTAGTTTTTTTGTTCTGAGTTGATCTATCTTCCTCCCTGCAGTTTATCACATTTCACATCCTGAGAATGGAACCACTGATCTCCACTGACATTTTTAATGATATTGGTAGTTTTTGAGATGCTTTATGTCTCATGACTAAGCAGCAGACTTAAATATACAGGCATTGTGGACCAGATTTCCTGTCTTCCCCTGAGATGCTGTGAAAGTTGAGGCAAATGATATGCTACACCCATACCTCAATGTTCCCATCTGTGAAATAGAGGAACAGTACTGATCTACAACACAGGGCCTTTCTCTATCTTTAGGAAGAAAATGTTTACCAGTAGAAAGTGATACTATATTATTAAATCAAAATATTTTATGTTGGGGGTGAAATATTTGTGGAGTCAGTTCTAGCATTTTTGGCACTTTCATTTAGGAGAAAAGTCTTTATTTTAATATAAAAATGTATCATTTAAAAATTCATAGAAAAGAAAAGCATGCTTTTTGCGGTATTGAAGTAACACATAACTGTCAGGATTAGGAATCTATCTATCTATAGAAAATGGCTAACTTTGGAGACATTTCCAAGAGTATTTGTACCTCACATCATTAACACTGTCTCATATGACACTAGCAATTCTGGTTCCTGCAAAACTAAGTAATGTGGAAATTAGGGCTTTGCCTTAATAGATGCTACACAGCATAGGAAATAAAACAAGGAGCAAGTTCTGTTTTCCTGTGTTCCATAATTGTATGCAAATCCCCACACTTGATATTTCATATCAAGTCTTCAAAATACACCTTTTGTGGGCCCTGGAAAGAAAGTCGATCTTTCCTAAGACACACTTAATATTCCCCAGCTGTCACCTCACCACACACATCACCACCCAAGGTGGTTGAATTTCTGTGGTGTGATATACAACATGGAATCATCGTACCCTATCTTACATAAAATTTTGTTCTGCAAATATTAATACATTGGTAAGTATACAATAGGCAGGCAAAGCTATTGTCCAAAAGACACAGATCTAATAGGAGATGTGAGTCATGAATTCCTTCCTGGTTCTTCTCCATCTTAAGACTGGGTTAGGTGCCTTTTTTCTGTACGCCAGAGCTCCTGCACATTCCTTCATCATTTGCATCTACTGCATTGCTTGGTCATTTTGTGCGTAAGTATCTGTTACCCCTTACTAAACAGAGAGAATGTTGCCATAGAGCTAGCTCACTGTGGATACGCAAAAACCATAAAATCTCTTTTGGCTGCTCCTGTCATTAATTTATTCATTCTTTTATCCAACAAGTGTTTTTGGTACACTTGACTGTGTGCTAGCCACCTAAATATATGATCTCATTTCATCTTTAAAACTCTCATTTTAAAGAGAAAGAAATAAGAAGTTAGGTCACTTGCCAAAGTTCCATGAGCCAAAAATAAAAATAAAAAATAAGGAAGGAAACCAGGACTTGAATTTTTTAAATTAGATCTCTCTACAACAAAATCAATGATTTTTCCCCTCCATTTTGCTATTTCACAGGCCTAAGTTGTTACATAAAAAGCAATAGAAATGAAAATGAATGATGTTAAAGGAAGAATATGTGTGGGTTTTTAATCTAGGAGGAGCTGGATGGCAATACTGTAGGAGGTTCAGGCACATATGGTGACTGACAGCAGGACCTACTGAAGGTATTTTGCAAACCTTTAAAAAACCAGCGTGGCAGGTCAGCTCTGTTAACTGGAAGTCACTTCAGAGAAATTGGAAACTAAGCAAGTTTCCAAACTAAGAATACAGTGTAAGGGCTTCAATGAAAGAACCCCAAACATGCAGAGCCTAGAGAAAAGGCTTGAGTCAGGGCTGGGAACCAGGATGCAGTTTTGGGGAAAAGGTTTAGAAGTAAAGGAAAAAAGCCCTTAAGGCTGATCTCTGCAGCTGGAAAAGGAGAATTCAAGACTTACAGGAACAGGTACCAATTAACATTTGGCAGGAAGGCAAGAAAAGCCTCGGGAAAATGCCAAGGATTTCATCAGGATAAATTTGTATAAGAACGTTAAGTCCAAGAGCACCAGATGGCATTTTCTGAGGTACTTGGTATTATAAACAGAGATTTTTGATATAGGCATTTCCTCAGAGACAGAGGAAAAGTCACCCGCAGATTTTTATGTGAGGGCTGATAAGTGGCACCAAAGAAGGCTACACACAAATGACCATGTCCTTGTAGAGATGTGGTGAAATGAACCAGAAAAGGAAGCCAATTCCCTTCTTCTGCCTAGATTTGTTTTCTTTGGCCTACTTGAGGCTTACTGAGGTAATATACAAGCTCAAAGAGATAAACTTTTGGTATCTCTTTTAGGAAACCCATTTTTCATGTCTTTTTCCAGAAATCATCCCTTTATGAGACTGGAAACTCTTTTCTGCTATCTTTTGCCTATCAAAGAAGAGAAGATTAAGATTTTCTCCTGGGTAATATACAGCATTACAGAAAGTTTCTGAAGCTCTTTGAGTTTTTTGGAAAATAGCATTAAGAGAAGTTTATTTTCATTCATGTTTTCATTCATCTTTTCAAGATGCTAAAAGTAGGGCATTTGTTTCTCTACTTTGTACACAAAGGTCTCCTGTCTTTGTGTCTTTCCTCACTCATTTCCTTTTCTCTGTCTCCCCACCCCTCCCCACCCCCTCACCCGGCCCCAGCTGGCAACATCTTCTTATATCTTCTTTGTTCCCTTCCTAACTTCCACCTTGGTGTATTCTTCCATATGGCTTCATATGCTTCAAATAAAAGCCCATTGTCCATCTGACAAGTCACTTTTCTCCTGTCTTTTATATTCCTCCTCATGAGTCACATCCCTTGGAAGCCCATCTTCCTTTCAGAGTGTCTTTCTTTCTAAACCACTTCAGATCCTGAAATGATGAAGATAATCACAACAATGCCACATTTTCCTGACTTCTTTGTCACGTAAATGGTCTCAGAAAACTTCCTTTCCAAAATTTTCCATTCTTTTCCTTTTATGACGTCTTTTGAGGGACTGTTGTGATGAACAAAAGCACATTTATTTATAAAATACATGGACGAGTCAGAAGGAGCCTGTAATATATCAGAACACAGATGCAGTGAGAAAGACCCAGAATAAGCTTGCCCACTGCTGAGGGGAGAGAGACCCACTGCAGATTTCCACCTAACTGAAGACAGAGCAGATAGCAAAGCCACCAAGAGCACTACCTCTGGAATACACAGATCTGGGTTTGAGTCCCAGTTTCAACATTTTCTAGCATGTTAATCCTGCAAAGCCTCAGATTCCACTTCTATAAAATGGGAATCATAATATGACTCATGGCCTTGTTTGGAGGTTTAGTTCAGACAATATACGTGAAATGCCCAGCAAGGTGCCTGCTATACACACTGAATGTTCAATAAGTGGGAATTATGATTATTAGATGCAGAAAGAGCATCCAGGGGATAGGTAGAGGTTTAGGGAGGCAGACAGTGGCACACAACCCAACACAAAGTACTAGGCATGAGAAACAGAGGGAGGCGGTTCTCCACTCACCGGGAGGACAACCAAGTGGCCAGGAGGAATCCTGGGAACAGGCAGGTTACTGGGAGTGACTCAGGCATCCCTGGGTAGGGGCCAGGTCTTACAAGGCAGAAACCCATAAATCAAGAAGTTGAGATCTTGGCCAGATGAGTTTTAGGGATGCCTTAATACTGAGTTCTTTCTGAGTCAGGCCAGGTTTGGTTTCAAGACTAGGAAGGGCTGGTAGGTCTCAGTAGTCAGCTGTGTAGCCCCTTTTCTTATAAGTCTAACAGAACTATTTCTTTATTGCACATGGTAAACATGCAAACAGGAAATTATCCTAAAAGGAATCACTGAGAGATGGCAGTTCAAATTTTCTCCAAGGTAGTTGTGTTTGAAAAAGACTCTTTCCTCAGACCTAATGTTCTTAGGTATTAATATCCTGCTCTACCTAACAACATCCAGGACTTTCTTTCCTTTGTATCTTGTTTGCCTGAGCAACACTCTGCAAACCTTCCTTCTGGATCTGCCTGCTGGTTTTACCCCCCAGTCCAAGAGTTTAAGGCTGTTCCCTTACATTAGATTTAATTCAATTACTCTTTTTTTCTGATTCGGAAACATCAATATAAAAAACTAATATAATTTATGTCTCTTCAAGTGTAATTATTTCTATTAATGTGATGGAGAAGCAACATCTTTTTAAAATACACATATTTAGTATACCGAGTTTTCAAGAGCTTAGTTTTGGTGGCAAATAAATGAATACCAAGTCATAATGTATATTTTTTAAATTTGATATGTGTGTAGCTACATCAAAACAATATTTGATTAAACTATACTCTGGAATATAAACTGACTTGTGGTGAGTTAATATATTAATGAGGTGTTTTGAAGACTTCTTATGCCATATAGATGTTGTATTAGTTGATTCCTGATTGTCTTGAATTTTGCAACAGGCATCTAATCTGTTGGTGGTTGTTGTTGTTGTTTTATAGCCTCCAAAAAACCTCTTCTACCAGGCCCTTCCTGGACACATTGGTCACTCCATAAATACTGTGGATAGATTAGCAAAACTTGAACTGTATATCCATAATGATTCACTTTTTTATTTTGCATCAATTTACTGGCAAAATTTGAGGGATTATCAACTTGGCTTTTACAAATAACAGGGAATAGCCAAGTTGATAGGGGAAGTGCTGAAAAATCCATGAAACAGACCGGGACTAGGTAAGGGCAGAGAAGGAATGAGGGATTTTGCTGGCCCAAAAGGCTCAGGTGTTTCTCTACAACTGCATATGGGGCAGACAAGTTGTCCAGGCACTCAATAGCTGTCATCTACAGACTTAAGAGTAGAAAGTTTGTTTTCAGGAAGTGGCTAGTGGAATTTCCCAACTGCAGACAGATAATCTAGAAGGTGGGGCAACTGAAGAGTTGCTAATAGCCTCTGACTATGTTAGGGAGTGTCTATAAATCAGGCCATTCTTCAGAAGGGGGCATTGGGGGCGGGTCCTAAGTAGCATCTCAGGATTGCTGAGAGATTCACAAGGCTGGAGGGAGACTAGAGATACCTACAAAAGAAACTTTAGTTCTTAAAACCCACCACCCTTTCTCCCTTTCATGCTGGGATAAAGGGAGAAAGAAATGACCCAAAGACAAAAAGAATGCAATTCAAGAACAGGTTGATGGCATCTACAAAATGGAAAGAAGAGATAGCTTCTTCTAGCATCTCTTTATTCTAATCTTTTTTAATGCCTCCACTATTTATTTATTTATTTATTTTATTTTTTTTGAGACAGAGTCTCACTCTGTTGTCCAGGCTGGAGTGCAGTGGCACGATCTCAGCTCACCGTAACCTCCGCCTCCTGGGTTCAAGCGACTCTCCCGCCTCAACCTCCCAAGTAGCTGGGATTACAGGCATGTGCCCATGCTTGGCTAATTTTTGTATTTCTAGTAGAGACGGGGTTTCACCATGTTTGGCCAGGCTGGTCTTGAATTCCGCACCTCAGGTGATCTGCCTGCCTCAGCCTCCCAAAGTGCTGGGGTTACAGGCATAAGCCACCATGCCCGGCCTATGCCTCCTCTTCTTATGCTTGGAAGTGAAGGTGAGCACATTTTAAACCCTTGGTACACCTTATTTGTTGAACTTACTGCTGATGCTCCAGGGTTCCTGAATCCCCAACTTTCCCAGCACCAGCTGCTGAACTCTCCAGGGCTTCTGCGCACAAAGCCTGTTCCCAGGAAGTGGGAGAGCCCTCTCCTTGGAAGAGAAGCCTCCCAGTACTGGCCAGAGGGGAATTTTGAATACTGAAGTAGACAAAACCAAATGAATGACATGCTTTCTCAAAGAATGAAGAAAAATAAAATAGAAAATAAAAAAGTGTCTGTTCCTTTTCTCCTCTAAATGAAACTGTAATTAAACTATTTCTGGGATGTTGAGGTTTTATTCCACTGCTCTTTCCCCTATTCTGTACTCGTACAAGTCAAGGCGGTATGAAATTTACCCATAGAACAAGCTTCACAAAGTGAAAAGATGTGTTAGGATTCCACTACCGGATAAATTCCCCCTACAGGCCCTGAAATCTGCATACTTGCAGCCTAAATGACATTGGAATGGGAGATCTTTGAATATTGATTTCTAGCTCCTAAGGGTATCAGACCTTCCAAAAAATATCTCCCAGGTGAATCATCTTAGTGGACTTTTGCCCTTGACACTGAATTTTCTCCTGCTCCTTTCCCTCCCACAAATATAATCCCATCAAAGAGGGAATTGTTTTATTCCACAGAAGAGACCTAAAATAAATGAGACTTTCTTGGGAAACTCATTTGTGTAGATAGGCGGCCTCCTAGGAGGCTGACCCTTGCTTTCTTTGGCTCTCAGCCTCCTCTTGGCATTTTCAGGGCAGGTTCCTTGACTGTCCCTTTGACCCCAGTAAGGTCAGGCCAGCATATGTTTAAGAGACACGTGTCACTTCTCCCACTGAGTAGCCCAACATAATTCCTATTTCATGCTTTGCTCTGAGTTTACCTTATCTCATCTTTCCTCCTTCTGTTTTTTCTAATCCTACAAGCTTTATTCTTGATATCCCAGCTTTTCCATCTCTCTCTTCTAATCACCCCCAACCCATATTTCATACATCAGTAAATCCCTCCATATATTGGACTGGTGCAAAAGTAGTTGCTGGTTTTGTCGTTAAAAGTAATGGTGTATGTAATCCCAACTTCTCGGGAGGCTGAGGCAGGAGAATCGCTTGAACCTGGGAGGCGGAGGTTGTGCTGAGCCGAGATCGTGCCATTGCACTCCAGCCTGGGCAACAAGAGCAAAACTCCATCTCAAAAAATAAAAATAAATAAATATAAATAAAAAAAGTAATGGTGTAAAAGGTGTAATTCAGTAGCCACTGATAACAAACCACTTAAACCTTCTTCCCTCATTTTCCCCAGGAGACAACTGAATCAAAGAACCATCATGGGCTTTGCTTTACAGGAACCAGAAATCCCAAACCTACCTGCTTCAAAAATGTTAAAATGAGATTGAACCATATAAGGGTTCAAAAGGATCACTCTCTCTAGCTGAGACAATGATTTATTTTCTCCTCACTTATGAGATTATATCTACTTAAAAAAAAAACTTCCAGCCATCTCACCAGATGACTCACTAGTATATTATAAGATATATGAGAACCCCTATATCCTCAACATTCATCAAGGTTTGTACCATATAGAAAATCCTCAGTCTCCCAAGTTAAACCAAAGAGAGAGAAGTTTATTTTATCTGCATCTGTTCCTCTAATCTGTTCAACCAAGTTCATCCTTGAGCTATTATGTATACTGAGGAACTTTATTTTGTCTTCCATCTATTTAGCAATGCATTCTACCTCCCATGAACATAACATTTTTGCTTCCATTGTAACCCTTGATTGGAAACTTTCTATCCCCTGGAGAGAATGGAGAAATAATTGAGCCAATCTTGGCCAGTCTTATAAAAATTCACAGATGCTGCTTTGAATAGAATTGTTCATAATGGTTCAAAAGAGGCTTTCTGCTGTAACTTTCATCTCAACATATGAGGTGGGTGGTGGGGAGAGAGGAAATGGATCAGTGGCCAAAATCAAGGTTGATCCTGGCTCTAACCCAAGCCCCACCCACAAACACCATCTAAAGCAAGACCATTTGTCAGCACTTCATTCACAAGCATCATTATCAAAATTCCACAATTCGCTGGTGGTATCAAAGGTTTGTTTTAATGGAAATGATTTATATGGCATCTTCTCTGTGAAGAGTCAGGAAGGTCCATTTGGAATCTCGACTTTGAACACGGTGGTCTGAGGACAGTTACATGCTGTGGAGTCAAAAGCCTGCTGCAGACTGCGCTGAAATGGATGCTACAGATGTCACCCAGAACCCAGTGAAATGAAGAACTTCAACGAGCTAGGAAAGAAAGTGAAGAGGAACGTTTTCCTTCTGACATTTCTCTAACAACTGTGTCTAACCTGAAAATGTGGCTCCAATCCTTTTCAAAACTATTATTTTCTTTACAGCAAAGTTCTAAAAACTTGGTTTCTTTTGATTTCTCCCCCTGGCAGGAAAATGACACATTTGGGGCCAAGGCATGAAAGCGTGGCCTCTTGGGAGAAGGGGGAGGGCTATTGCTTTCGAGCCCGCAAACAGTTGCAGGTGCAAAAAATGTGCACACAAAAGGGGAGGTCTGGTAGGGGCCCCTTTTCAAATGTAACCTTTTAAGTTCAATACATCTCTTTGCTCTTCCTTTTGTGAGCTGCGTGCTTCCCTCCCACGCTCTAATGCACATCCCGGTCTTCAATGTGGCCTCCAGAAGGAATCTTCATGTTTGTTGTGAAGTTTTCCGTAATTACATAATCGTTGAAGTCTGTGAGTTCGTGTTGAGGTGGCTGAAAAATGCGAGCTTGAGGATTACAGTAACATAATTAGATCGCTTCCTGTAAGAACCCAGCGACTTTTCCCTGGGTCCGTCTTCGATTGGCTGCCCTCCGAGGCCTTCCTCCTCCCGAGTGAATCACAGCCCGCTCAGTGGGCATTTCTGCCGGCCAACCGCTCCAAGGTGTTTCGCGGCATCTGTTTGTGTTGTGGGTGAATTCTACAAACACACTCTGTTGATTTGATTATGAAGGAAGGAGCAACAAAGCCAGAGGGCTGTGGTTTCTTGAATGCCTTTGTGTCTATGTGGTGACAGAACCAGTGCTTAGTTTGTCTGGGCCACGGTACCTTGACTCATCCGGTGGTGTCTAGAAGCCTTGATTCCTTGCCTTGGGGTATAAGGGGAAAGAAGGAAAGAACACAGCTGAGTTTTAGGTTTTTAATAGAATTTGATATCTGACATGCATCACTTATGAATTTTTTCTAAGTCAGCTGGATAGTGAAGATTATATATTAAAAACAAACAAAACCAGAAATAGCTTTTTATTACCCACAGTATCATCCCCTTAGAATACACTTTCCCAGCACCCAGCGATCCTTAGAAATAATTATCCATGTGATCTCTAAACCCTTTCTTGCTCTCCTTTGTTCAGTTCTCTGGGTGTGTTTGCTGCTTAGTTTAATCCTGGCTCATGCACAGACCCTAGTTTTTTTTTTTTTTTTTTTTTTTTTAAGCATAGGTGAAGATGTGACAACAGCTGATTATCTTCTAAATAAAAGTGACTTCACCACATAGGAAAGCTTTGCACAGCTATCTTGTTATTTAGCTGGTTTCCATGAAACTTCTGTTGTCCGTCGATAGTCCAGGCCAAGGGAGTAGCTGTGAAATAAGAATGTCTTCAGGGTTATAGGAGGGAAATCTCCCCACTTTATTTGGTTTTGTAATAAAGAACAGGAATCTGAGATTCTATCATTGATGCCAGAATATAACATCTGATTTTTTTTTAAGTGAAAAGACAGGTGGGTCTCAAGTGAAAAGAGTATACATCTAGGCTGGGCGCAGTGGCTCATTCCTGTAATCCCAGCACTTTGGGAGGCTGAGGCGGGCAGATGGCTTGATCCCAGGAGTTGGAGACCGGCCTGGGCAACATAGCGAAACCCAGTCTACAAAAAACACAAAAATTAGCCAGACTTGGTGGCACACTTCTGTAGTCCCAGCTACTTGGGAGGTTGAGGTAGGAGAATCACCTGAACCTGGGAAGTCAAGGTTGCAGTGAGCTGAAATCATGCCACTGTACTCCAGCCTGTATGACAGAGCAAGCAGAGTGAGGCCCTGCCTCTCTCTCTTTCTCTCGCTCTCTCACAGCCACACACACACACACACACACACACACACACACACACACGTATACATCTAATTTGGGAGAGTGTCAGGACTGGTTCAATTGCCAGTTACTACATTTAGCAAGCACAGAACCCTTCTTTGGAGCAGAGAGTTGATCAGAGTTCGTGGATCCTCAAGTAAAAATGTCCTGGAAGTCCCTCTTCATTCTCCTGCTCTGAGAGACTCCTTTGCCCCGCTCTCTGGAATCCCTCATTGTTGGACATCAAACTGCCCATTTATTCTGTTGGGTTTGCTCCCACAGTTATTCTAGCTTCATAAATACTATGTGCATCAGGAAGTGATTTATCTTTTTCTCTGCTTCCAAAGAGTTTAAACAACATTACTCAATTTTTTTTCTTTTTTTTTGAGATGGACTGTTGCTCCATTGCCCAGGCTGGAGTGCAGTGGCGTGATCTTGGCTCACTGCAACCTCTGCCTCCCGGGTTCAAGCAATTCTCCTGCCTCAGTCTCCCAAGTAGCTGGGACTACAGGTGCGTGCCACCATGCCTGGCTAATTTTTTGTGTTTTTAGTAGAGACGGAGTTTCACCATGTTAGCTAGGATGGTCTCCATCTGCTGACCTCATGATCCGCCCGCGTTGGCCTCCCAAAGTGCTGAGATTACAGGTGTGAGCCACCGCGCCTGGCCTATTTTTAAGTATTTGAAGGACTCTCTTGGAAAGCTAACTGAGTTCTGTGACTTTTGGTGAGGTAGCTTTAATAACATATCTCCTTGCTTTTTGAAAACAACTCTTCTTGATTGTCTTTGCCAATTTCAGCTCCAGATAATAAAAATATTAATGATGTCTATTACATCTAAACTGTAGGTTTTCTAAATGGCCATAAGGTAGTATAAAGATTTGCTTCCTTGCTTTATAAATTGAAAGCTAATATCAAAAATTAGATTTGTTTGGCATTCTCAAATTTTAATGATCTCAAAATGATTTCAGTAGTTCTCCAATTAAATGTATGATAAAAGAAACAAAACCTTGACAAATTAAACAAGAGGTTCAGTTTTTTAAAGTAAAATGTATTACTATAAATATGCTTCTGATTAAAAGGAGACATACTCATGCTAATGCATAACGACTGGTGTGGTAATTGTCAATATAATAACAAGGGGTAAAAAAAAGATAGATTTAAATGTCATTGTCAACTGATGGCATTTGTAATATAATTTATGGACTAAATTAATGATTTGTCAATGTTCTCAGTGTCCACAATATATCCTTACTCCCAGAATAATCAGTGACTAAGTCTCCATCAAATTGAGTATGTATAAACCTCCATAGTAGAGTCACCTATTTTCTAATAGTGTTGTTTATATTGTATATTATAATACAACAAAAATTATTGTTATAAAAATTAATCAAAAGAATTTAATATTTTACCTGCTCTATAGTTATCTATGGCTGTGTAACAAATTACCCTAAAATTTACTAAGTTAAAACAGCAAACGTTTATTATCTCATAGTTTCTGCTGTTCAGGAATTTGGGCATGACTTAGCTGGGTGCCTCTGGCTCAGGGTCTCTCACGAGGCTGCAATAGAGGTGTTAGCTAGAGCTCAGCTGGGAGAGGATCCCATTCTGGGCTTAGCAGGAGTCAGCTCCTTGTGGGCTGTTGGACTGAAGGTCATAGGTACTTGCTGGCTATTGGCTGGAGATACCGTCTCCTTGCCAAGTGGGCTTCTCTATCAAGCAACTTAAAACATGGCAAGTGACTTCCATCAGAGTAGTCCAGCAAGAGACAGAGAGAGGACAAGCAAGAGGAAAGCCATGGGCTTCTTGTATCCTAATCTTGGAAGTGATATCCATCTCTTTCTTATATTTAACTAGTTAGAAGCAAGTCAGTAGATACACTCACATTCAAAGGGAGAGAACTGCACAAAGACATGAACACTAGGAAGTGGCTCATCATTAGGAGCCGTCTTAGATGCCAACTACACACTCAGTGTCCACAGGTGTTCCTGCTTCTTCCTATAATTATCCTGGCTCCAGCTATCATCAGAAATGGACTCTTCTAGAAGAAGCAGTACAAGGCCTCAGCTTTCTGCTGGTTCAAGATTCTAGGTGATTAGCAGACACTCCTGACCAATGGTTGTGGTGCTTCCCAAACCATTACCTTAATAATAAGCAGATATGGGACCAATTCTACGGACTCTGGCAAAGATATGCCATTCATGTCCAAATTAAATGAAAAGGCTACGTGACGCTAGCTATCGAATGTATTAGGGATCTGTCCTGGTATTAGCTACCTGCTGTATTAGTTATCTGTTGCTGTATAACAAGTTACACAAACTTGGTGGCTTAAAGCAAACGAACATTTATTTTCTCAGACGGAGTACTGTAGGTTAGAAATTTGGGAGTGGCTTAGCTAGACTGTTCTGGTTGGTGTCTCTCAGGAGGTTGCAGTTGAGATGTTGTCTCTCAGATGATGTTGCAGCTCATCTAAAGGTTGGACTGAGGCTTCAGGATCTGCTTTCATAGCAGCCACTTGCAGGACGAGCAAGTTAATGCTGGTTGTTGGCAGGAGGCTCGTCGCTACATGAGCCTCTTCCTGGGGCCATTTGAGTGTCCTCATCACATGGTAGCTGGCTTTCTCCAGTGAAGAGAAAGAAATTTCAATTGATTGTGGGGCACATGGAAAATGTTTCAAACTTCCATAATGATCCTGGTCTTACTGTTTTGGCCATGTTGCCAAAAATGTATGATTTCCAGAGTGTGACATTCTACTACTAGGTTCTGTCGTGCCAAATGATTCAACAAATGTTCATCCCCAACAAAAGGACAAGAGCCCCTGTGCTTGTGGAGGTCCATACACAGACAGTAAATAGGCGGACTAGTGGCTAATTAATACTTTGGCACAGCTTCAAGAGAACAAGTACAAATATGAGAAAGCAAACAAAAAGTCCTGGGAGATTTCATCCATGAGACAAACACAATAAATTAGTGCTAAACGGCTCGACAAAATATTTGGAGCTCATATTGGTAGTGAGACTTGGCTTCTAAGTAGCCTCAAGGAAGCGGAGACTCAAAGGCTCTCAGCTGTGGATATCAGCAAGTCCTGGTCCATAGCAGCAAGGGTTTCAGATGAATCTTGATGAGACCTCATTTAATAAAACCCTCTGTCCAGAGACCATCAGGAACACACCGGTAGTGTGGAGGGAAAAAAGTGAGACTGATTTAACCTGTTGCAGCAAGGGAAAATACAAAACAAAAGAACCAGGGAATTTGTTGGAAAAAAAAAAAAAAAAGTGGGAGGGGAGCTAAGAGTAGGCTACTGGTAGGGCCCGGGGGCTGGAATTAGTCTATAAGATGATCTTAGCATGGATTCTTCCAAACTTGCTGGAATAGTCGGTGGTCTCTTCTTTAGCCCTTTAGGGCCTTTGCAGAGTTACTGTTTCATCAACCTGACCATGATCCTATCTTGAAACACAGGGATTCAAACAAATAAGTATTACACAATTTTGACCTTAAATCATTTGTCTGCTTCAGTCATAATGTAGATGGTTTTGCAAGCTTTGGTCTCTGTTTCAAGTCTCATCCTCAAAGGATCGCTTTGTATTCCTTCATGTCTTATATACAGGTCTCTAACCAAGGTGTATGTGATGAAAACACCCCTTCTCTCCACAAATGCTGTCTGATTTTACTAACAAGACTCAATCCCAAGCTTGATGGAAAAGGAATGGCTCAAAACTGGATCAATTCTATCATTGCCTTTGCACATAGTGTTTTCTCTCATCATAATTCCACTGCAAAATTCCACTCTTTCTTTAAAACCCAGCTCAAAACTACAACCTTTAAAATGCATTTTCCAATGTCTTACCCTCTTCTCTTCCACATCATCACCCTCGTCATC
The DNA here is from genome assembly GCF_000001405.40 of Homo sapiens. Lineage (NCBI taxonomy): Eukaryota > Metazoa > Chordata > Mammalia > Primates > Hominidae > Homo > Homo sapiens. Next base: position 105,582,506 of record NC_000006.12, on the reverse strand, counting down.
ATCACCCTCTCTGCCTGTAGGGTAAAACTGTGCTTCCTCTTCGTGTTTCTAGACTCACTAGAGTGCTTGGTATATAGCACATACTTAGTAAATATTTTTGAATTGCAGTGGGAGTATCTAATTAATTTGGCAGTAGGTATTGTTAAAATACTTTAATATTCCTGTGATTTCAGCTCTTTATAATTCTCCTCTCTGAATTTCTGTTGCAAAGTTTGGCATTGTTTTCTTTTTTTTTTTTTTTTTTTTTTTTGAGACGAAGTCTCGCTCTGTTGCCCAGGCTGGAGTGCAGTGGCGGGATCTCGAGTTTGGCATTGTTTTCTGACAGTTTCATAGATGTTTATTTTTTTTTATCCCAACTATTAATAGATTATGAGCTCCTAGAAACAGACACAATTTTTTTTATTTTTTCGCACCCTCCACCCCATTCCCATGGCCCCTCAGATTTAAGACAGTTCTCATACTTCCTAAATGTTTGTGAGATTTGATTATCTTTTGAGATATTGACTTATATTGTCTCTGGCATTATCCTCACCCCTCATTTTCTTCCATTCAAGAAAGCAGCTAGCTCCAAACTTGATGGGCTCAGGGAAGGGTTGGGGCCAGGTGTAAGGCAGCAGTAGAGCACCAGTGGTTGTGGTTTTATTCTCTAAAGGCCTAAACACTTAGGTGAATGGAGTAAGTTTGGTAGGTACATGAATGGGATTCCTAAATATAGACGGAGCAACTGGAGAGGTGGGGAGAGCAAGTGATGGCCAGGCCTCCATTTCACTGCCTCCAGCTAAGAGAGATGGGGTGAGAAATGCAGGGAGAAAACAAAAAGAGGTCTGCAGGTCCAGGAGTAGTGTGGACCCAGGTCATGCATGCAAGGCAGCAATTCCGAGGATGTGGCAAACCCTCCAAGAAAAATGGCTACAAGATTCATCTAGCCACACTGGCCAGCAGTGGTCTTACAAAAAGCCCCTGTCCTCATGGCATTGTCTTAAATTTCTAAGCAATGTCCACTGCATTCTTGAGTATTAAAAGGATTGGGGTGAAGATACTAGAAGGATTGAGAATAATAGAGTTTGGAATCTGAAATTAAAGTCTTGTAACCCGAGGTGTTCATGCTTACCTGAATATGTGGGGTTTTATTTCTCCCACATTTGTTTAATTGATTAATCTGTCAGTTATGTAAACTTGAAAAAATAATTGTCTAACACATCTAACAAGGGGGAAAAAAGCTCAGGTCTCATTACATTAAAAGGGAATACATTGCATAATACTGGATCCCAGCTCTGTTACTAATTAGTTGTATAACTTTGAGAAAATTATTTCACTGTTTTTTGTCCCAGATGTATCAAATATTTTTAAAATAGATAAAATAATGTTAATATTATCTACCTTGTTGGGTTGATGTGAAGATAAATTGAGCTAATATCTATAAAGTACTTTGCAATGGTAGCTATCATATATTAACAGCATAAGCCTTTTTTGAGACTGAAGAACCTTAACATTCATGTTGACTAATTAGTATTGATCATATATTATAGTTTTGACAATAATAAAAAATATTTTTCTTTTAAAAATTAATACTTCTAAGGAAAATTCAGCACTATTTAAGAATAGTCAAAAACACTTCCCCAGTGTTAAAAATTCTCAACTAAAAAAATATAAAATAGGAAGAAATTCATGCATTCAGAGACCTTTGAACATTAAAAAGTGTAGAAAAGATGAAAACACAAATAAGTTATGAGATACTGTCTATTACAACTAAGGTTGAGTTAAATTGTATATATTCACATATACACAAGCCAGAAAAGGAGTCATTTCTCCCAAGATGAATTTATAACCTATATGTCAATGAAATTCAATTTTTTAATGATGGATGGAATGCCATATATAATGATGAGGAATACACTAAAAGCAAGAGCAGTAAATGGCAATCTTCTGACTTACTGTATGTGTCACCAGAAAGAGTGATTATTTCTCACAAGTAGAGGTGAAGTCAGGGACTATTATCGTCCATATTTAAGTGGTTTTGCTCTTTTCTCCCACATCCACCAACATAATTAAATAATGATTTGGCTCACAGGAGATTTGAGCTTGGTGACTTCAAGTTCATTCTCAGTCAAGTTGGTAAATGTTTCTGGTGTTCAGCTTTAGGAAAGCACAGAGATAAGGAAAGGCAACGTGAACTCAGAACCAGACAGGGTCACCCAAGGGGAAAACAGCAATCTCAAGGATTGCTAGGTGAATCCTAGCCACTCCCTTAAGGAGGTTTGCTTTGAAACTCTCTGGGTCTGACTGAGGAAAATCCAGGGCTTGATGGAAGATCCCAGTAGTTTCACAAGATAATCAAGGGAGACAGTTCTCAGGTGGTAGTTGATCAGGTCTTCAATGAGAGCCAGGTGGAAAGTATTAGAGTCACGTTCTTGTTCCATCATTTCAATGGAGAAACATGGGGAGGGGGGTGGTTAGTGATCCAACATCTGTGATTTCAATGGGCATTTTAATTGGTACTTCACTTTGAGGGTGAAATGGTTTGGATTTGTGTTCCCACCCAACTCTCATGTCCAATTGGAGGAAGGGCCTGATGGGAGGTGATTGGATAATGGGAGTGGATTTCCCCCATGCTGTTCTAGTGCTAGTGAGTGAGCTCTCACTGGATCTGATGGTTTAAAAGTGTCTGGAACTTCCCTCTTCACTCTTTCTCTCCTGCTGCCACGTGAGGAAGGTCTTTGCTTCCCCTTCGCCTTCCACCATGACTGTAAGTTTCCTGAGGCCTCCAGTCATGCCTCCTGTGAAGCCTGAGGAACTGTGAGTCAAAGCTCTTTTCTCCATAAATTACCCAGTCTCAGGTAGTTCTTTATAGCAGTGTGAGAATGGACTAATACAGAGTGTGTGGGAAGTAGACAGGTATCTTTTCACCAGGAGGAACAGAAAGTCTTAGTATGGACTAACATTCAAGAACTTCAGAAAAGGTGATTGTCTGAATGTCTTTTTTTCTTTTATTGATCTGTACTACAAGCCGTAGTTACCAAACTTCTGCATTCAGATTTAGGCTTAGGGTTGACGATGTTTAATGTAAACTAGATCCTTCTAAAGAAACCTATCTCAGAAGAAACCAGGTGGAAAGAGTATTGTGGGAAATCAACATATTTTTCTTTTCTCTTTTTCTTTCTTCCTTTCCCTTATTTCTTTGTCTTCTTTCTGAGAACCTGCTGTGTGTCAAATACTAAGGCAGTGCCTATAGTCCTTGTTTTAACGTATTATCTCATTTAACCAATATAAGAGTACAAATGTGATGAGCACGAGTCCTGTTTCCAGGTGAAGAAACTGAAACTGAGAGAAATTAAGTAAATTGCCCATGGTTCCACACAACCTAGTAAGTTGAAGCCATTTGCAGCTAGGTCTAATTTCCATAATCATGCACATTTCTCCACAATTGCTCCCTCCCATAAAACAATGGAAACATAAGCCTTTATGTCAAAGAAGAATGTTATAATTTGACAAAATAATTTCATATGTTTTCATCTTTCTCACTTTACCTATTTTTATTTCTATCCTGATTAATACATTAGAATGAAAAAAAAATATTTCCTTTATTAAAACATTGGGGTTTGACAAGATAATAAGTTAGTGATATGGTTTGGCTGTGTCTGCACCCACATCTCATCCTGAATTCCCATGTGTTGTGGGAGGGAGCTGATGGGAGGTAATTGAATCATGGGGGCAAGTCTTTCCCAAGCTGTTGTCCTGATAGTGAATAAGTCTCATGAGATCTGATGGTTTATAAAGAGGAGTTCTCCTGCAAAAGCTCTCTCTCTTTGCCTGCTGCCATCCATGTGAGACATGACTTTGTCCTCCTTGCTTTTTGCCATGATTGTGAGGTCTCCCTTGCTATGTGGAATTCCATTAAACCTCTTTCTTTTGTAAATTGCCCAGTCTTGGGTACATCTTTATCAACAGTGTGAACACAGACTAATACAGTTAGTCTCAGCTTATAACCCACTCTTCATGACCAGCTACTTATTTTTAGAAAGTGAATTCTGAGATTAAGCTTAGCATTTATTTCTTAGAAATTGCTTGCTCACAGAGACTTACAGTCTCTCACAGCTTTTTCCTATTCCTTTCAAGTTGGTAGACCACACCCTAAAATATGCTTAGGAAAGAACTCTTGCTATTATAGCTTTCCTTTAGTCTTAGGTATTCTGATACACTGATAAGAGGGGTGGAGAATAGATTTACAAAGCTGAATATACAAAATATATAAAAAATGTAGTTCACTTAAAAACATTTCTAAACGTTTGACTCATCTATGTGATGATAAATTTTTCATTTTATATGTCTACAGTTTCTTGACATATCTTGCTAAGTTTTATCACGGTGTATATATGTGTTTTCTGTTATGACAAAAGCCTGTTTTTATTATTTTAAAGTGGGCTATTGATGTGTGTGTGTGTGTGTGTGTGTGTGTGTGTGTGTGTGTGTGTGTGTATATATATATATATATATGTTTTAAAAATTATAGGGAGGGAGATAACTGACCATAAAAGGGAAGCATGAGGGATTCTGTGATGGACTGCTCTGTATTTTTGCTGTGGTGGTAGTCATACAAATCTACATGTGATAAAACTGCATAGAACTAACCACACACATATATACGTACACACATGCAAATGAGCATATGTAAAACTGGTAAAAAGTTGGTGGATATTATTAATGTTAATTTCTTGGTTGTGTTAAATGTTAAATTCTAGATGTTGCCACTGGAAGAAACTGGGTGAAGTGTACACAGGATCTCTCTACACTATGTCTTCCAACTGCATGTGACTCTAGTTTAAAATAAGTTTTTAAAAATTATCTTGACATCATGTAGAATACAGTCTAGTAATAGAAACAGATTATAAATAAACACAAAAAATTGTATAATAACTACTATAATGTAGTTAAAGTATCAGGTGCCCTAGGCACATATAACAAGAGAACCTCATCTGTACTCAAGGGTCAAGAAAGGCTTCTCCAAAAATGTAACATTTAACGTGAAGCCTAACTAAGAGTAGGATTTGGCCCAACAGAAAGAGTGGTGAAAGATAGAGCATACCTTTGAAGGAGTGGTGCCTTGGCATGGACAGAAAAGGTTAATCACCAGGAAGGTTGACAGAAGGTAATGCTGGAGAAATAGCTTGGTGACAGGTCATACTGAACCTTGTGGATTATAGTAATTATGAGGATAATGGGAAGCCACTAAAATGCTTTAAGCAAGACAGTAAAACTATCAAATTTATATTTATAAACTATTAACTTTGACATTTAGGCAGAGAACAGCTTGGTTGAGAAAGGATACCCTAAAGCTTCAGGAAAAAAAACTATTGCAGGGGTCCAGGTTTCTGATGGGGGTCCTTGGAATTGGATGGGAGAGGTATGTTATTGGATTCAGGAGATACTGGGCAAATCACTTTGGTAGTGATTTGAATGTGAAATGTTGGTATCAAAGATTACATCCAAGTCTTGGCATGGACAATTGGAATGGATGAAGAAGCCCTATTCTTAGGTGGGGAGGACTGGAGAAACAGGGGATCTGAAGTGGGGAGGAGATGGTTTGGTTCAGCTTCAAATCTAAGATAAGACACCAGTGAGACTTCCAAGTGGAGACTTCAAGTAGGCAAGGAGATCTCTCCAACTGGAACCCAGGAAAGGAGGCATAAGCCAAGGATAAAGGTGTTAGGTCCTTGGCATATTGTTGATATTGAAAGTCAAGGGGATAGTATGGTCATTAAAGGAGAGTGGGAAGAGAATGAAAAGAAGTGGCCCAAAGGAAATTCCTGATGGACTTGAACATTTAAAGTGCAAGGAGAGGAGAAGGAGATGGCAAGGAGATTCAGAAGGAGCAGTCGGAAAGGGAGAGGAAATCCAGGAGGGGCATGGGGAAGCGAAGGGAAGAGAGTGTTTCAAAAAGGAAATATTTAATAGTAAGCCCTGTTAAATGCTCTTGTGAGGTGTCAAGTCAGACAAGGTATGGAAGTGACCACTGGATTCCACAATATGGATATGATTTATTTATAATGGGTAAAGAGGGAGAGAAGGAATGCAAATGGAGATAGGCTTACAAGGGTGGGTGGAGGAAAATGAAGGAGTTGTAGTCAGGTGACATCTATTTACTCCACAACAATGTAGACACTGGGGAAGGAGGTCAAGGAAGGTATAAGATAGCAGCTGCAAGACAGGACAGTGAGCAGGCTAGAAAAACGTTTCAACTACCTGCTCTCCCCACCTCTCCAATTGCTCTGTCTACATCTAGGAATCCCATTCATGTACCTACCAAACTTACTCCATTCACCTAAGTGTTTAGGCCTTTAGAGAATAAACCCACAATGACTGGTGTTCTACAGCTGCCTTACACATGGCCTCAACCCTTCCCTAGCAAGAAGGAAGCCTGCTGCCTTCTTGAATGGAAGAAAATGAAAGGTGAGGATAATACCAGAGAAAATATAAATCAATATCTCAAAAGATAATCAAATCTCACAAACATTTAGGAAAGTATGAGAATTGTCTTAAGTCTGAGGGGGTCATGGGAGTAGGGTGGAGGGTGCCAAATAAATGAAAGAAATTGTGTCTATTTCCAGGAGCTCACAATCTATTAAAAGTATAAGAGAAAAAAAGTATGAACATCTATGAAACTGTCAGAAAACAATGCCAAACTTTGCAACAGAAATTCAGAGAATTATAAAGAGCTGAAATCACAGGAATATTAAAGTATTTTAACAATACCTACTGGCAAATTAATTAGATACTACCAATGCAATTCACAAATATTTACTAAGTATGTGCTCTATACAAGCACTCTAGTGAACACTAGGAACATGAAGAAAGAGCATAGTTTTTCCCTATGAGCAGATGGGTAAATTTCCTATCCAAATCTTAGGAAGACAATATTGCAAAGATGTTAATCCTCTTCATATTTGTCATTATATTTGATGTAATAATTACAATTATATTTTCACACTTAAAGAGATCTTACCATATGTCAGGCACTGAGTTAAATGCTCATAAAATCCAAAGCAAAATCACAAGTTCAGGCAAACTTGCAAAATGACTGTAAAGTTTATCCAAAAAATAAACATTTGAGAATAGCAAAGAAAATTCTGGGAAAGAAAAACACAAGTGTGGATAAACCAACTGTAATTGTGGTTTGCAACAATAGATAGCTCAATGGAAAGAACTCAAAAATAACCACAAGATTATGGATAACTTCAGTAAAATTGGGGTTTCTAATCAGGTTTACAATAAAAAGTTTTTGGGACACCTGGATAGCCATTTGTGAAACAGTAAAGCTAGATTTCTACCTAATTCCTTATCCCCAAAATGGAGGTAGCAAAGACATAAATGTAAAAAATTAAACTATTAAGAGAACTAAATAAAACTGCACATAGTTTTTATAATATACTGGAAAGACTTTAAAAATATTTATTATTGAGTTGGCAAGAACATACATACTGATACAAACCGTACCCAAAGACACATGTTAAACAGGGGAAAATTATTATCAGTTTTTAGGACCAAAGATTGAGCCTTCATAAAACAACTAAAAATATGAAGAGCCCATTTTTAACAAGAAGGGCAATCAATATAGAAGGAGATGGCTCAGAGTAAAAGGAATATGCATGGTTAATAAATATGTGAAAAGATGCTCAAGTTTTGTCACAAATTTTAAAGAACAAAAATTAAAACAATGTGATATTTTTCACTTAATCCAATTATCATATTTTTGAGCCTCCATTATGTGCCAGGTGTATTTTCATGTTGTCTTATGAGCATATTTTAATATTTCTTGTAGTAATATTGCCCATAATCTATCAATTTTTAACAATATGATCAGCAGTTTGAATGGGAGCAGATGCCTCTGAAGAGCTTGATAATGCTTGAAAGGTGTTTTTTCCGGGTTCTAGTGATTCTCCTGCCTCAGCCTCCTGAGTAGCTGGGACTACAGGTGCCCACCACCACACCTGGCTAATTTTTGTACTTTTAGTAGAGATGGGGTTTCACCATGTTGGTCAGGCTGGTCTCAAACTCCTGACCTCAAGTAATCCACCCACTTCAGCCTCCCAAAGTTCTGGGATTATAGGCGTAAACCACCGCGCCCAGCCCAACCTGACTATTTTAAATGCTTACAAAATTAATTTCCTCTTATGTAATTATACTTTATTGAATTGACAATATTGCTGACAGTAAAAACTAACACTGGAATGTTGAAAACAAACCTAATTAGAATCGTAGCCCCCTGACTCTTCTCTTGTATCCACTGGAAGCAAGAAGAGCAGTTCTTCATCTCTTCATTCTTTCATTTAGTGAGTGTTCATTGAGTGTTTTACTCTGTGCCAGCACAGAGCTAGGTACTGGGGAACACCAAAATGAACAAGAGAGAGCATTAATTCCCTGCTCTCAGATTTTACCATCTAACTGGGTCTACAGGCAAGTAAACTGGCAAGAACACTTTGTTATAAGAACTTGCATTGTATCAAGTAACTGAAAGCCTTCCCGTCACCATCCTTTGCATCTGGGAACAAAGTAGTGCTGCCCAAGGTGACAGATTATTGCTGTGACTATACTAGATACTCATTTGAAGATTATTGGGGTACCTTATTTCAAGTATCTTTCTAAAGTGATACCTAAATGCAGTTAGGTCATAGACTCCCTCAAAATTAATAAGACTAAAGTTTTTGGCAATCGGGGAGAGATTTTCTAGGTCTAAATGAATCATTAGGAATGAGTAAGCCCCAGACATAACAAATGTTCTATAATTAAGAAGATAAAGAAGTATGTTAAGAAGCATAATAAATCTTAGAATAACCCCAAAAGGTGTCCATTTGTCTTTGTCCACAAATACTGGGAAAAAAAAAAAACAAAAGAAATAATCAAATGTGGAATTCCAAATGGTCTATGCCTTTTAAAACCCGGTAAGCTAATATACATTTTCTTAGGGAAAAAAAACCCTCAGTATATACCGAAGAATTAAAAGTTTCACATGTTACTTTATAGAGTTCCTAAATTAGACTGAATCATATGAAATTACTGAAATATGATTTTTTACATATAAAATTGGCACTTTCATGTGGTTCATCCTAATAGCATGGAATCTTTTCAATTCCTAAGAGAAAATGTTTGAGTAATGAGTAATTTATAGAGCTCTCACTATTAGCCAAACACTGTGCTAAACCCTGTATGACTTCAATCCACGATATTTGCCTGGGGTCCAAAAATCTGGGGCTAGAATTGAGGGTTTTTGAACTTAAGTGAAAAAATTTTACATATTATTTTCACTAACCTTTAACTAGAATTTGGCATTTTTTACCATTATAGATACAAATGGTGAACTTTGGTAATGTTAGTGATAATTATGTATGTCTTTGTCACCAATAGAAATTACAAGTATTTTGATATTGTATTACAGTTGTTACAGATATCTCAAAACATCATTTTTTACTCATCACAAACTTGAAAGTTCCTGTTGGTAACAAAACCACTTTTAGATCTTGTTATTTAATATGTTTATTACTAGTTGCAATTTTGCTTATAAAATATCCTGGTAGCAATATGATTGGGTGGCTTTATACTATTAATCTTTTATGTATTTCAAATTTATTTATTCTGATAAGAAGTTCCAAGAGCTTCCCCAGACTGGCAAATGGATCCATGGCACAAAAAGTTAAGACCCCCTGCTGTCCTTTGATCCTGGTAGCTACTCTGTATTGTAGGTAATAGTCTCATCCCCAATGTACAGATAGGAAAGATTGGGTCAGTTGCTAAAGGTACGCAGCTAATAAATAAGACAGCCATGTTTTACAATGGTTCTAGCTTCAAAGCCCATGATTTTACCCAGGACCTACACCTCCAGTTCCTCTAGGAAATTTCCAGGTGACCAATGTAGATCATGACAGTCAAGATACAGATGATCATTAAATAATATTAGTGTGAACTTGAAAATGTTTCCCTTGAGCTGCAGCAAGGATTATACAACAACCCATTTAAAAAGTATCGTCCGTGGTGATCACAAGTTTAAAGTATGAACAAGAAGACATTAACTGAGGAATAAGAAGAGTAAGCCCTAGGTAATGGTCATTGCAAAAAAGAGGGTGAAGACCTCAGAGACTCAGAGAAGGGCCCGTGGGGAGGTGAAAGGAGGCCAAAATGGATGATCCAACACATCCAGTATGACAAGGTTGTAACTAGTGACATTTATTTCTTACTCAATTGGTGACCACTGCCTTCTTTTTCTACATCTTGTGCTATGGTTTGAATGTTCCTCCAAAACTCATGTTGAAACTTAATTGCCATCGTAACAGTATTAACTGGTGGAACATTTAAGAAGTGACTAGGTCATGAAGGTTCTGCCTTCCTGGGTGGATTAATGCCATTATCACAAGAGTGGATTCATTATCACAGGCATGATAAAAAGACAAGTTCAGCCCCCATTTTTCTCTTTTTTGAGCACTTGCTTCCACCTTCCCCTTTCTGCCATAGGATGACCCTCACCAGATGCTAGTGTTGTGCTCTTGGACTTCCTAGACTCCAGAACCATGTGCCAAATAAACTTCTGTTCCTTACAAATTACCCAGTCTGTGGTATCCTGTTATAGCAACAGAAAACAAAGCAAGACTGTTTTTATTCCCCTTTCTTTCCTTTGTTTCCATTCAGTATCTAGTTTAGATTTTTATCTTACTTCTTCACATTCTAGTCAGTCTTCAGCTTGAAATAGAGGGAAATATGTCAGGTTGTATCCAGTGTAATTCAGGCTTATATGTTCATCCATCCATTTGGGCTTTCATAGGTTTTCACATGTGATAGAAAGAGATGAAGGATGCAAAGTAAGGCTGAGATTCCCCAACTAAGCAGGAAAGCACTAGGATTCCACACATATCATTTCTTTCATTTAGTATTTAAGTCATGTGCCAGATCCTGAGCTAGATCCAGGGGATACCCAAGTACCCTTCAGTCTTTCCAGGGTAACCAGATATTAACAAATACAAATACTATCCTCCCAAAATCTACTCTTTTAGTTGTGTAAGGGATGTAGATATGATAGTTGATGTAGATGAGACAGCTGTCTTCATTTTAATTAAAGAACAATGAGGATCTCTAGGACACCTCACCATTTCTGGGATACCACAGCTGGGAAATAGTCCACTAGGGGAATGCATTGGTGAGCTTCTACTACAACTATTCCTTGGCTTGATTCACTGCTATCAGTCTCCCAATGGTGTGGTGACTTGTGTTCATGACTCTTCATTCAGTGACTTGGGTGTAAATTCCCACCTCCACATTCTTAGAGAAAGCCTTGGGCAAGTTAGCCTCTTTGTGCCTTAGTTTCTTCATCTGCATGATGAAGTTGATCATATAATTCTCTTCCTAAAGTTGTTGTCGGGATTCGAAGATATGTAAAATACATGGCATCTGTGGTTTCATAAATGTAGCCATTTTTATCACAACTGATACGAATACCATTACCTTCTCTGCTTATCTGCTTTGCCTCTTAAATCCCAAAACTACAAATAGATTTCATTTCAGTGAGGAAAGGAAGGCTCAGGGATTGATGAAAACAACATTTCTCCTGTCAATTATAGATGTTTTTTGTGGCAGAGAAGATTATGAAACAAATTTCCCCAGCTCTTTGGAGAGACAGAAAAGAATGGCTAAGAAGAGCTGACTCTCTCAGTGACAGAAAGGCATGCTTTCAGCAAGGTACCCTCTAAGGGATATGAAGCTTAGGTTACCAAGGCATTGTAAGTTTTCACAATCGTGCAAACATAAATGATTAACCCATTTTAAAGCTTTGGATATTAGAGCTTTATTCTCATATCATTCTTAAGGCTTATACTCAAGGATCGGTGTAGAGTCAAAACCACATAATGATGATGACCTTCTGATAACCGAAGCTGGTTTGATGGCCACTAGATGGAGAGATTAGAAAAGTAGCTTGTATTGAACTACTATCACTATCAAGCACTATGTGTAGGAATTTTTATATATTCTTGAATCATCACAATAGATCTATGAAATAGGAATTGTAACTGCATTTTGATGAGAAAACTGAATTTAACAAAATTGAATAATTTGTCAAAAAGAAAACCCAGCCAGAAAGGGGCAGCATCAGGATTTGAACACTGGGACATGTGACTGCAGAGCCCACATCCGGTCACATATACCACCCTAGGCACATGGTGTGTTAAATGTGCCACTAAAGTAGCTGTGAGATATTAGCTTCACATGTGAAAAACTGCCTCTCAATCCCACCTCCATCCCCCACATCACAAATTAGTTTATATTCATTATCACTGAATTTCACAAGCCCACATGAGATTAAAATCCTTATTGGTATCATAATCTTTGTTAAACCTACGAAGAATCCATAGCCCCATAACAAAATGCCATGTCAAAGGTTAAGCCGAACTTAGAAAGTGAGTGATTTAACTAAAAAGAACATGCTGACTAGTAGGTTTCTCTGGATAAGAGTAAAGAGGTTCCAGTAGACTCAGAACTTGTCATTTGTCAAAGTTCACAGGAGGGAAGGTGTTATCTTTTTCTGTCTAACTCCAGGTTCACAAGACAAGGCATATTGCCAAAAAAAAGTCAAGAGGTTATCTACCGTCAACATTAGGAGGATCTGAATAGTCAGGGAACAGTGTTTGGGATGAAATTCTCAAAGACCTTATCCTTGGGCCAATGGTTTTAAAAGTGAACTTTTTCTTTCTATTTGACATTCATGAATCATATCATAAATAACTGGCCAGGATTATACTTAGCCTGGGTATTAACCATTTCATAGCTCTGTGTCTGTTTACCCATGAATCTCCTCTTCTCTGAAACAAATGTATACTTTCTGCTGACTTTTCAAATAAAATTCAGGTGAGCTGTGAAAGTGCCTTGCACTCGTTCAAAAAGCTAATCCCGTAAAGTCAACCATAGATAAAAATGTATGGCCTACAGTATTTACCTTCATTGCACATATGTGATGTTTTCTCATCTAAATTTTCTACCTGAAGATACTTTGCTCCCAAGAAAGCAGGTTCTACAATGATGTTTGTGAATTTTTTATCCAATCTATAACCTATTGTTTTCTGGCAATGCCCATGCCAGAGAGGGTTGGCCTTTTGGGGTGGGAGAGGGATACACTACCTGTGGGGGCGCCCACAAGCCAGCTCCCATAAGGACCACCATCCAGACAAACAGCCCTCAAAGTTTGACCAGCAAATGAAATTGCCCCAGAACTGTTCAAATGTGAAGTTGAAAACTCTGGGGACTTTTCTCCTGGGTGGTGAGTATGGGCAAATATATTAACTCACCATTTCAATTAAACAAAAAGAATATTCAAAATAAAAATCTTCCCAACATGCATAACTAAAGAGAGGCCAACTCACTCATCTCTCTGGGGTCAGTTTGCCTTCTGCAAAAAGTAGAACTGAAATAGACTACTTCTAAGAGGCTCAATAATGCTGGTGTTGATTCTAACTTTAGAGTAATCTAATTGCAGAGCAATTTGGAGACTTTACAAGTAGATAAAATGGGAAAAGGAATTTGCTGAAGATTTGAGATAAGTTAGAATTTTAATTCCATTTCTCTGGAGTTTCCCTCGGGGCCTGCTCATTCTTTACCCTCCAATTGGCATTTGGAATAGCACAAGAATCATTTTATAAATAAAGAGCTGGGGAGAAAGGTCAAGTTAACAAGTTAGTATCATACATTATTTCATTCAGTGACTATTTACCAATGCCTTTTATCTACTAGACTTTATGCATAGAAATAAGGTTGATCAAATCATGTTTATTTTTTAAAAGAAAACACACCCAATTTTATCTAATGAAAGGCAAAAATGACCAAATTTCCTTGATATGTATAATCATTCTGTCTTGTTTCTACTTTGAACGTTATTTTTTGGCATGGTGCAGGTAAGGGAACACACCAAAAAAATCATATCATTCCTCTAGAGAACTTTGAAGCAAGAAGAGATCATAGTCTCTAATTCCATCATGTGATGATCAACATATTGACCTGCTGCTCAACCATTATCAAAGTCTTCACCCAGTTTTGAAATCCCAAAGGGCTGCATCTGTCCTTGGCCCAAGCATGCCATTCTCATTAGTATGAGTGGGATATATTCTTACAGGCAAAGGGCAATTTGTAGCCCCAATTCTGCAAGAAAAACCGTGATTCATGTAGACATTATCTTAGTCCTGGCTTCTCATAAGCTAGCTTATCTTATCTACCTTGCACCTTGGCATGTTTTCTGTTTCTACGAGTCTAACTACACAGTGCTTTGTCTGAAACTCTGGATGATAAGGGCTTTTTGTTCTCATAATCTTTTTTAAAAACCATATTCAATAATCAAGTAAATGCAGATAGAACATTTATTTTTAAAACTGCTTAAACAGAGACTGGGAATATTTGTGGACTAATGGTGTTGAGCAAAGACAGTCTATAACAGGACAATAACTACCTGCCCTGAAATGTGTCAGAAAGCGGGATCCACTTCTCCTCCTCCTGGCCCAGGGGGGTTCACATGCACCAGTGCTTCCCTAAATTCTCCATTGAAGGGTATCCCACTCATTAACTGAAATAGATGCTATGGGGGAAAGGAATAGCAGATGGTGTGGGGGAAAGGGCTACTTTGCAAAGATTATACTTAATCATAATTAATAAAGAAAGAGCGACAGAGCCCAGCAAATATGGTATCTCACCTGCTGTAAGGATGTCCAAGTTAAGAAGTACAGTTTTCAATGGGAATTAGTCCGTTTCCAGAAGATAGATGGAAGGAAGGCACAGCAGGGAGAAGAAGGGGATAGAATTCGCATTCAAGAGCTGCTCTGATGGCAGCTCCCAGGGAGGAAGGGTCAAAGTGAAAACAAGACGGTCAGGGCCCGTCAGCCTTCCTAGCATGCTAGCAGGGGCACACTGGCCTCCACATTTGCAGAGAGCGAGGATAGCAATGTCCAGTAATTGTCAAACTCTACAGTTCTTTCACGACCTTGTTCGAATGCCCAATGCAAAGTAAAGTATGAATTAGGAGCTATTTTTTTCCATCTTATTGATGAAAACTCTGAGACAACAGAAGAATTAGTAACTTGTTCATAGTCACATGGCTAGAAAGTGAAAGAGCTATGACTCAAACCCATCTCTTTTGACTCCGTAGTCTACATTCTTTTCCTAGGACCACAGTTGCTGCAACAACTTATTTTGTGAAGTGGTCTAGGGCATAGCATTGATAGGTAACACGTTCAGGTGTAATTGTGAATCTAGTATCTAAGACAAGTAAAGGGGAGGAAGTAAGATGACATTTTCAGTCTTCTAAACTGCATTAATGTGATGACCTTATTCAAAACAGTGGAGGATAAGACATTGAACTAGCAGGAATCAAAATATGGATGCAGGGTGTGTGTATGCGTGTGTGTGTGTGTGTGTGTGTGTGTGTATCTGATAGAGAAGAAGTGATAGGGAAAGTGGTACAATCTCTCTTTTCTGCTTCCTGGTTTCTACAATGTATTCAAAGAGCAGAGAGAGAGAAAGAGCCAGGAATGGATCATCCTTATATTCAAATTCTACATCATGACTAAGAAAAGCATTCTCTGTGTGCACATGTCAAAGTTTACCAAAATATTGTCTCTTTTCCTTCCGCAGCTTTTCTTGTAATCCAGGCAGGGGCTAAAGAGATTGGTGAATCCTTACTGACCACATGCTGATTTCCTTCTTATTTCGGTGTGATCATCTTTTTTGTGTGGGGCAGAAATGCCCAGATAGATTAGCTGAGGTTGCGCGTGACAGCATGCTGTACGGGAAAGGGTAATGATTGTGGCACTGTGGCACGCATCAGCTGACTTGTAAAATTTCCTGACAGCACACTTATTGCATGTTGTAAAACCCTTGGACATGTACTTGGGGAAAGATCTCATTGCCACAATTACACTCTATGTGCCCAAAATTTCTTGTCAGCCAAGTTAGTGGCATCAGTGGTAAAGTGAATTTGCTTCTCAGGGAAACTTGAAGTAAATGCCAGTAAAAACAGATTTTTAAAATAGATAATGTTAATACCGGTAACATTGCTCACCATTATCAAAAGTTCTTCTGCTGAGGACTCCTATAAGTAATTTTTTTCTAGTAAAATAGGGACATTTGGGTTATTCTTTATCATGATACTTCCTCGGTCTGCACGTGGTGCTTCCATTTACTTTTCATTTATGCTTCACCCCAGCACACCCCTATTTTTTCACCTCTCCTCCCTTCCACTCCAGTGAGATGGCTGGCTTCTCAAAGATCACCAGGAATCCTCTTGCTAAGTACAGCATCCTATTCTTAGTTCATGGTACAGGCTTTCTTCCTCACTTGGTATTATAGACTATACATTTCACAATTCTTCTCCAGTCTTCTCAGTGTGTTTGGCTGACTCCTTCATTTTCCAGCCTCTGAATTTGATGATGCTTTACCTTCTGGGCCGTGTACCTTTGAGAATCTGATGGAGTTATGGAAGCTTTTCCCAGAGGACTGTGGATATTTCTATACACAGAAAAATTTGACCCCAGTGAAATACCACACACATCTATTGGCTAAAAATAATAAAACTAGTAATACTAACAATATCAAGTGCTGGCAGGAAGAGTAACTAGAATTCTCATTCATTACAAATGGGAATGCAAAATGGTACAGTCACTTTGGAAAACAGTTTGGCAGTTTCTTATAAAGTTCAATATATACCTACCATGTGACCCGACAATCCCACTCGTAAGTATTTACCATAGAGACAGGAAAACTTATGTTCACACAAAAATTGATATGCACATGTTTATAGTGGCTTTATTCAAAATCAACAATAACTGGAAACAACCCGAATGTACATCAACTGGTTAATGGATAAACTGAGGTCTATCCACAGAATGGAATACAGCTCAGCAGTAAAAAGAAACAAACAACTGATACTCATAAGAATATGGGTGAATGTCAAGTATACTATGCTCAGCAAAGGAAGCCAAACTCAAAAGGCTACATACCTATTCAAAAAGCACTATACTGGGCCAGGCGCGGTGGCTTACGCTTGTAATCCCAGCACTGTGGGAGGCCGAGGCGGGCGGATCACGAGGTCAAGAGTTCGAGACCAGCCTGGCCAACATGGTGAAACCCCATCTCTACTAAAAATACAAAAAATTAGCTGGGCGTGGCGGCAGGCACCTATAATCCCACCTTTTGGGAGGCTGAGGCGGGAGAATCACTTGAAGCCGGGAGGTAGAGGTTGCAATGAGCCGAGATCGCGCCATTGCACTCCAGCCCGGGCAACAGTGCGAGACTCATCTCAAAAAAAAAAAAAAAAAAAATTTCTACCACAGAGCTTCCCCTCTTTGCTTTCTTCCTTTCCTCTGTGCTTTCTTCCTGGGCTCTCATCTTCTCTTATGGCTTTAAGCCTAGTCTCCATACTGGTGACTCTAAATTTTATATCGCCTGAATTCCAATTTAAAGTTTCTGCTGGCAATTCAAAATCACCGTGTCGAAACCCTATACTCTCCTGGCCAGTTTCTTTTCAGAACTGCACCTCCTATGCTTCCCATATACCCCACTTAAACCTCCCTGCTCTCAGGCCACTTTTATTGGAGTTGTCTTTAATTCCTCTCTCTACACTCATGCCTCATTAGTCACTAAATTTTGTTGATTATACTTTCTAATTATCTCTCAAACAACGCTGTCTCTTCCTTTATATTTCCCAAGCTACTTCCCAAACTCTTGCTCTCACCACTCTTCCTTAGACCATAGCAATAGCCCCTTCTGCAACTAAGCCTTTGTCTCTTTGGTCCACACCTCATTAACATGACACAAATGTCACGTTCCCTGTTTCTTTTGCTCAAAAATCTGCATAGCGTCTCAGGCCTTATGGGATACAGTATGATCTTCTTAGCCTGAGTTTTAAGGCTCTGAATGATTGAGTTCAAATGCTTTTTAAAACCTGTTTTCCTGCCACATCTTTCCACACACGCCAGCCTCCAGAATCACCATCAATATACTTGCAGGGCCTTCACAGAACAAGTGCTTACATTCTCCTGGCTTCTGATAGGCTTCTTCCTAAAACATCCTTCCTCTAAAATTGTTTGACTAATGATAAAATTTCCATTCTTTGGATGTGACCCAAATATCACAATCTATAATGAATCTTTCCCCAATCCTTCCTCTCAGAATGAATAACTCTCGTCCTTGACTCATCTTTGGTGCGTGTGTGTGTGTGTGTGTGTCAATAGATTTGATGACAAAACTGAAGTTACTTATATAAATTATTGACCCTATTAGAGAGTGTGCCCCTTCAGGACAGGACCTGTGTCTTATTCACTTTTATGAACTCTACAGCAGACTAGTAAAGGGCCTCTCTTAAAGAAGATAATATTTGCTAAAGTAGGTCGGGTGCAGTGGCTCACGCCTGTAATCTCAGCACTTTGGGAGGCTGAAGCAGTTGGATCATTTGAGGTCAGGAGTTTGAGACCAGCCTGGCAAACATGGCGAAACCCCATCTTTACTAAAAATAGAAAAACTAGCCGGGCATGGTGGTGGGTACCTGTAAGCCCAGCTACTCTGGAGGCTGAAGCAGGAGAACTGCTTGAACCTGAGAGGCGGAGGTTGCAGTGAACCATAATTGTGCCACTGCACTCCAGCCTGGGTGACAGAGCGAGACTCCATCTCAAAAAAAAAAAAAAAAAAAAAAAAAAAAAAAAAAAAAGCTGAACTAAATTTAGACCATCCTCTAAAGTTTAAAAGAATTCTGCACAATTAAAATGGAGCTAAATTAAGGTCTATATATCCTTTAATTAAGACTCTATACCGAATCTGCTATATAGACTGCCCTATTTCAAGTTGCTGTTCAGAGGATGTAGAATGGCCCTTAGCCTAAAATGTCCTAATCCATCATCAGCCTTAAATCCCATCATGTGTAATAAGGGCAAGATCTGACAGAGCAGAAGGGCCTCTGTTGCACATGCCACCTGGGACTGGCCCCCTTCAATAGCAGTTTTTCCATTTAAATTACCTTTAGGCCTCCAATAACAATTCCTTTGTTAAAGTAAACTCTATCTGCCTGAGATTCAACACTAAGGGTTTCTCTATCCATTTCAAGTAGGAATGGGAGGTTAGTTTCCTAGTGTAAATTCTCTAGATGTTGAATGGAAGAAAATGAAATTCAGATTTAAAAACATCTCATCAGTATTTCAAGTCTGTGGCCAATCAACAGGAATCCACTGAGCATTTTCTATGAAACTAGCATTGTTTATGACAGTCCAGGGTGTTTAAAGGGCATTGAGGTATGCTCTTCATTCCCAAGGAATTTTGTGTGCAGAGCCAAGAGAAAGGGGCAGAATTAATGTGTGAAATTATTTAAGAATACCAACTTCAGGGTAAGGGATTATGAAGAGCAGCCTCATCTAGAGAAGAAAGAGATCTCAATGGGTTGGTGTCATGGGTAAAGCCTTCCAGAGCACAGTCTATATGTCTTATTTGAGTAAAGAATGAGAAAGAATCAGTGTATTAGCTTCCCAGGGCTGCTGTAACAAATTTCCACAAACTAGATAGCTTAACACAACAGAAATTTATTCTGTTACCGTTCTAGAGGCAAGAAGTCTGAAATTAAGAGTTCTACAGGGCCATGTTCCCTTCAGAGGCTCTAGAAGAGATTCTGTTCCTTATCTTTTCCAACTTCTGGTGTCCCCAGGCATTCCTTGGCTTGTGGCCACATCATTCCAATTTCTGCCTCCATGGTCACATTGCCTCCTCCTTTTCTCTGTGTCTTCTCTTCTGTGTGTCTGTCTCATAAGGATACATATGATGGCATTTAGGGCCTACCTAGATAATCCAGTATAGATCCATCATCTCAAGATCCTTAATTTAATCATATATTTTGCCATATTCCTTTTTTGTTTTATAAGGTATTAAATATTCACGTGTTCTGGGGATTAGGACATGGACATAACACCTAGGGGACCGCCATTCAACCCACTATTGGCACCTACATAAGTTGCAGGACCTAGTGCAAAATGAAAATACTGCCCTCCATATTCATTCAAAAACCAGGAAAATTGTGTCATTAAAAGTACTGAGAAGCTTGCTTTCTTTGATGGTCTCCCTCTCTTAACTTATCACGATTTTTTTCTTTGTTATTTAATGTCATTCTTTAAAAAAAGGAAATTTAAATTTTAAGCCCTTTGCAAGAATTTGGCCATTTATATTTATATTGTGCAATGCCAGTTTTAAATACAAATATAACAGTATTTAACTCATATGCAGAACCACCAAAATTACACAATTTGTATTTCATAACAAATACATGCCTACATGTTTTATTCTTACCAGAACCATGGAGATGCTGCACAAAACTAACTCAACCCTTTTTATTATATCTGTGGATGCACATAACCTCTTTTTCTTTCTTTTTCTTCTTTTCATGATAAGGCCTTGCTCTGTTGCCCTGGCTGGAGTGCAGTGGTGTGATCACGGCTCATTGCAGCCTTGACCTCCCAGGCTCAAGCAATCCTCCTGCCTCAGCCTCCTGTGTAACTGGGACTACAGGTGTGCGCCACCACACCTGCCTTTTTTTTTTCTCCCTGTGGAGATGCGGTCTCACTGTGTTGCCCAGGCTGATCTTGAACTCCTAGCCTCAAGTGATCCTCCTTCCTTGGCCTCCCAAAGAGCTGGAATTACAGGCATAAACCACAGCACTCAACCACAATATACACACTTTCTACCAACACTCTATCTTTGGCTGAGTGATGATTAAGGAAGGACTGAAAGGAAAAGGAAATCTAGGCTGACCTATCTTCCCCTTTCCTTCCATGTCATCATTTTCCACACAAGTGGTTGGCTAATACAGGGAAGTATTATGAGTAAGAAAGGATATGAGAAGGCCACTTGGTAATACATGGTGCCTAGAATGGCATTGCCTTATTTTGCACTGGAAACAAGTTCTGATTCTGATGAAAAGCATGGCCTTTCAACAGTATCAGGACCCACTCTCACTCACATAGACATTACACACTTAGCTTGTACTCACTGAGTCTCCCTGCATTCCCACACACTGCAGGTCTTCCAGAATTCTGTGCTAGTGGGGCATCATGAATGCAGTTATGTGAATGGGTGGCAAGGAATAGCAGGCATGCATGTTAAGTTTATCTCTGCTCACATACATGTTCCACTGTACTATTGGACTTTACTTCCACAAGTTGAAAGATAAAATTATTAAGAATTTCTAGGCAGGCGGATCACCTGAGGTCAGGAGATTGAGATCAGCCAGACCAACATGGCTAAACCTCATCTCTACTAAAAATGCAAAATTAGCTGGGCCTGGTGGCGCATGCCTGTAATCCTAGCTATCCTGGAGACTTAGGCAGAGAATCTCTTGAACCTGGGAGGAGGAGGTTGCAGTGAGCCAAGATCGCACCATTGCACTCCAGCCTGGACAACAAGAGTGAAACTCCATCTAAAAAAAGAATTTCAAGATGACAACCTCAGAGCATTAAACCAAGCATGAGGTCCTTCTAAGCATTGAGCCCTGTGTGACTATGCAGGTTGCAAGCAATGAAGGACCCGGCAAAGAAGGGCTGTGTGGTATCATTTTTCAAAATGTGGCTTCTAGCTCATTTGTAAATTGCGATCCATTGGTGGTTGTTAAACCTATTTAAATGTGGTCTGTGGCCAACTTTAACACACATGCATACATACACACATAATTTAGAAATAGAAGTGTTTTACAAATAAGGATAAGCCTCATATTGTGAAACTTGTAATTCAAATATGAGTATCTATGTGTCTGTTTCTTGCTGTGAGTCATTGAAACCACTGTTCTAAGGACTAGCCCATGGGCTGTGGAGTCAGACATAAGGCACTTCAATCCCATTTCTATTACTGTCAATGACCTTAAAAGACATCACTTATTTGAGCCCAAGTTTCTTCGTATGTATGAGGTTCAAACTGGATAAGTGATGTGCTAGGTAAAAAATTATTAAGTTAAGTCTAAGCTGATGATTCACTCCAGTAATTTTATACAAATGGCTGAATAAAAGTGATATGTGAATGAAGATTTTCAATCCTATCATCAAATATGGAATGAATTTTTTTTTATTTTAATAGAGCATTATTTCCTGGTTTGCTCAAGTACTTTGAGAGATATAAAGTCTCTCTTCTATCAGAATAAGTGGTTTACATACAAGCCTTTCAAATACAGGTTATAGCTTAATATATATGATAGTAACAAGCACCACAAACAAATATCTGCATATCACACTATTCATGGTATTGTATTGAGAGAATGGTGCTGTGTAGCAGTATACGAACCAGCTTCCCACTCTAAGAACATATATGCCTTTGAACAAATGCCATTTGAGGGTTCCCTCAAATGATTAGAAAAGTAATTTGTAATTGAAAGAGTCATAAAGGCTCATTAAATATCCAGGTTTACATATTAATCAGTGTGAAGTTGATGGGCCATGCTTGCAATAAACTTCTGTAGCATAGTCTAGATACTCTGAAAAAATGGAATGCACCGTTTGAGAAGGAAAGAAAGAAATACTGACCCATGAGTAACCTCCCACAGTCTGGTATTGAAATCCAAAAGTAAGTGTCTCTATAAGGATTTATGAAATATCCTTTGGAAAACTTTAATCATTATGGCTATGGTCTTCCCCGTGATCCTAAGACACTGAAGATAATGTATTTAGGCCATATGATTTTAGATATCACCTCCATTTGGAGGAGGAAGGCCACTGATTGTGGTTTGATCTTATTCACATTATGTAACATATTTGGTTTTAGTTCAGAAAAGGAAGAAGCTTTTCTGAGAGACACATTAGGCTCTTCACGCCTCTCTTAAAATGGTTGACTTTTTTTAAAAAAAGATGTTTTTAATATAACAAAGCAACTGGATTTGATGCCAACAATAGTGTAATAAATCCAAAGTACTTTTCAAATGAGTACATTTGCCCTTAAAAACTGTATGGGTTTTTCCTTTTTATACTCACTTCATTTAGTATTCTATTTACAAAAGAACAGCAATCTCATAGCTACCTCATTCACCAGGCAAAGACAACAAAGATGTGATTTCACTGATCACCAGAGGGTTTGTGGTTTTACCTGCAGACCATCTGACGAAAAGAAACCCGTCTCTGGGTGGGATGAAAACTGAAATGTAGATGGATCTAAAGCGGACAGTTCCATTGCCCTCCCCACAACACGTATGCACTCAGGAAACATATTTCCAACATCCCCGCACCAGGTTGCAGACTTTACGAGTGAAGAGAAAGTGGGATTCCTAAAAACACAAAGTAATTCAGACACATCTTTGGCTGCCAGAACATACTTCAGACAAAAAGCTTAAAGCTCTCAAGAAAGCAGGCAACGGAGTTCCCAGAGGACCAGATGCTGTGGTGAAAATGCATCTTGTGTAGATTTTACTCCAGACATCAATGTATACACTGAACCTTTAGGAAGGTGAGAGGAAGACGTAGGAATTAATAATTTCCTGATTCAATACTTCAAGGCGCAACCAAGTCCACTATTGATTAGTCAGTCTTGATTTTCTCTTCCTGTTCTGTGTCTATGCTAAATTGTGTTTGTAAAATTTGTTTAAATTGTCTGCTGTCCTTTCCCATTATTTTTTCGGCTCCTCTGTGGTGGTAAACTGAGCATTCCCTCTGAATTTGGGCTGAATTTAGAAGAGTGTTGGGTTGACTTTGTAGTTAGCACTATAGAAAACAAACACTCTAATGACTCCTAGTAAACACACAGAGTAAAAATTTGCCCACAAGAGCTCTCAAGAAATTAATTCATAATAAAAAAGAACAATACAATTATAACAGTTTTGGGAATTCAATATGCCATGTGGCTCTCACAGGACAATCTGGCCATAAAAATTGGTTTTCAGCTATTTGTATTTTTATTATTTTAGTTAACAGCACTCTCATCAGAAAACATTTTAAAGTACTTATTTTTATCATAGTTAAAAGTAAGCCACAGACCACAAATCTGTGTATTTGTGTTTTAAAAAGGGAGAGGTCTATATATAGTCTTGTCATTGTGCAAAATGTTAAGAAAGAAAACCAAAATCCACAAATAAACAAAAATACTCACAGATATGTTCTATCTAGCTAGCACCATGTTCTTAAATGAATTTGAATGTCTTTAGGCAGAGCATATATTCCCCAGTTTGCCGAAGGCTGATCATTTCCTATTATTTCCTTATTTCACATTTTACATTGCCCTCCTGGCCAGTAAAGGCATTTGAGTTTACCACCCCTACCCAGATCATCAGGAGACTTAATGCTGTGGCTTGAATATCTGTTCCCTCCAAAACTCATGTTGAAACTTGATCCTCAATACGGTAGTATTGAGAAGTGGGGCCTTTAAGAGGTGATTGGGTCATGAGAGCTCTGCCCACTTAAGTAAATTAATCCATTAATGGATTAGTAAATTATGGGTTACTAGATTAATGAGTTATCACAGGAGTGAGGCTGGTGACTTCATAAGAAGAGGAAGAGAGACCCGAGCTAGCATGTGCTGGACCATGTGATGCCTCGGGACTCAGCAGAGTCCCCACCAGCAAGAAGACCGTCACCAGATGTAGCCCCTCAACCTTGGACCTCTCAGACTTCATAACTGTAAGACACAAACCTCTTTTCTTTATAAATTACCCAGTTTTAGGTATTCTGTTATAAGCAACAGAAAATGGCCTAAGACACTTAATAAAAATATGATTCTTACTATTGCCACAAACTAGTACAGATACTGATCAGCAGTTGATTAAAGGCTGCTGTATGGCCAGGCACAGTGGCTCACACCTGTAATCCCAGCACTTTGGAAGGATGAGACAGGAGGATCATTTGAGGCCAGGGCTTCAAGACCAGTCTGGGTATTATGGCTAGACTCCATTTCAAAAAAAAAAAAATTGTAACTTAGCCAGGAGTGGTGGTGAGTGCTTGTAGTCCTAGCAACTCGGAGGGCTGAGGCAAGAGGATCCCTTGAGCCCAGGAGTTCAGAGTTACAATGAGCTATGATTGCACCACTGCACCCCACTCTAAGCGACAGAGTGAAACCCCGTATCATAAAATAGTATAAAGGTTGCCGTAGTAGCATAAGCAGAACATTCATGCAAATGAGACATGAGTGGAAGATTTTTATAACAGAATGATCACAAGATACTACATGAGGCAAACAAATGACTTTTATAAAAATGAAGTTAGATATATTCTAGAAATCTAGGAGCTGAGCCTGAAGTAAGGTATGAATAAAGCTTATGTACTAGAGATATACAGGAATATCTTTTAAACATCTTTCCAGTTGGATATGCACCTAATAGGACACCACTCAATACCTGCTTGTTAAATAAACGTTTCTAAATACATTTTTTAAATTGTAGGTCAGTCAGATATTTTATGTTTCCAATTTGAAGAAACTTCAAAGGAATAATTTAGGATAAAAGGTGATTGACATTGTTCAGTTCATGTACTTTTGACTGTTGCTGGCGAATCAAACAAACTTCCTCTACACTAGGCTCAAAATAAAGGGATGGAGGAATATTTGCCAAGCAAATGGAAAGCAAAAAAACACAGGGTTGCAATCCTAGTCTCTGACAAAACAGAATTTAAACCAACAAAAATAATTAAAAAAAGGACATTACATAATGATAAAAGGAACAATTCATTGAGAAGAGCTAGCTATCCTAAATATATATGCACCTAATACGAGAGCACCCAGATTTATAAAACAAGTTTTTAGAGACCTATAAAGAGACTTAGATTCCCACACAATAATAGTGGGAGACTTTAACAACCCACTGTCAATATTAGACAGATCAACCAGACAGAAAATTAACAAGGATATTCAGGACTTGAACTCAGCTATGTATCAAGTGGACCTAATGGATATCTACAAAACTCTCCACCTCAAATCAACAGAATATACATCCTTCTAAGTGCCACATAGCACTTATTCTAAAATCGACCACATAATTGGAAGTAAAACACTCCTCAGCAAATGCAAAAGAACTGAAATCATAACAGTCTCTCAGACCACAGTGCAATCAAATTAGAACTCAGAATTAAGAAACTCACTCAAAACCACACAATTACATGGAAATTGAACAACCTGCTCCTGAATGACTCTGGGGTAAATAATGAAATTAAGGCAGAAATCAAGAAGTTCTTTGAAACCAATGAGAACAAAGACACGATGTATGGAATCTCGGGACACAGCTAAAGCAGTGTTAAGAGGGAAATTTATAGCACTAAATGCCCACATCAGAAAGCTAGAAGATCACATATCAACACCCTAACATCACAAACTTGTTCTACACTGAGAAGTAAATGTCTGAATTTTTTTGTATTTGCAATGTCAAATCATTTCCATTTTAATTGAAGAGTATAATCAAAGCTAGAAGGGAGGAAATGAGGTAACAAAGAAATGAGTAAATAACACTTTATTGAAATCTCTAAAGAAGTTCTATTTTAATGTTGGGACAGCAAGAGCATTTAAACTGGTTCCTACTGTGAATGACGGAGTGGGGCTTAGCAGTATCAGGGATTTTTCAGAAAGCCCTAAAACCATTTTTATTTTCCTTCAAGTTTTGTTGTTTGAAACTTCAAGTTTTCTAAAACATTTTCCCCTTCAGCCTTTGTTTTTCAAAGGAAATTTAATTTAAAAAATGTTGTTTTAACTAAATTCAAACTTGTATTATACAAATAAGACAGGTTTTTGTTTGAAATTAATTCTTGTTTGCTTCTAGAACTACTAGGAAAATCAAATTCAAAAGGCTGAGCTAATACATTGTCAGATTTGAAGGCAACAGAAGCTAAAACATTTTAAGTTTTGTTCTCAGTTCAGATTGGAAATCATTTTATTTAAATTATTTATTTGATTTTGGGGATACAAGTAAAAATACGTACCAATAAATAACCTGGAATATTGATATAATATCTAGAATCTAGATATAATGAAAACTTAGTTCAAGGTCACTTTAGGAAGGTGCAAACTGGCAAATCTGTGTCTCTACTCGTGTCCAGGGTTTCTCACTGGAGAATGAGCAGAAGTAGATTAATGCTGCAACATTAGAAACCTCTGCTAAAATGAAAATAGGGCCCAGCAAGACCTGCACTTTTTAGGGTATTACTACTTCTGTTTGTTTTCTGTTATCATACTGTATACATGACTATGCTTTAAAAAATAAATTAAAAAATAAAGCATAGTCATGGATCACAGTTGAACTGCTCTGAGGAAATGTTCTTCTCAAATTGAGAGCCTTTTAAAGCTACTTTATAAATTCCCCTTGTTCCTGCTTCATCCTCAAAGTCAAATGCCAGGTGCTGGACTAGGCACTGAAAATATTGCAATAATTAAGAAGTCCTCTGAACTCCAGAAAGATACAACTCTGTAAGGGAGGTGGGCCTATAAAGAAATAACTTGTCACTAGGGAGAAGTACAACTAGTATATGAATATTTGGAAATGAATTATGGCATCATCAGAATATAAGTGTTAACCTATCACCTGCATAAGCTTATCTCACAAGGTGTCCCGTGAGCTTGCAATGTGCAGATATCAGGGCAGCTCAGCCTCTGCTGCTCTTCTGCAGACCCCATCAGCAGAAACCCTCACTCCTGAGCATGCTCATGTGCCTGCTCACATAAAAGAACCACAAGACACAGCTTTTTTCCTTCCATGGGTAGAGAAAGACAAACTGAGTCACCTCTAAGACAAAATACAGGACAGAAGTTTGTCGTTGGCTTTTCCAGCCTGCCATTTCCAGGAAGTTTGGACGCAGAGACAGACACACATAGAGGAAGAAGGCCATGTGAGCGAGATGGCAGAGATTGGAGTGATGCATCAGCCAGCCAAGAAATGCCAAAGATTGCCAACCAACCACCAGAGAAGTCTGAAACAGTCTCGCTCACAGCCCTCAGAAAAAACCAACCTACTGACTCCTTCATGTTACACATCTAGCCTCCAGGAGTGAAATCAAACATTTCTGCTCTTAAAGTTGCTGGTTTGTGGAACTTCGTTATGGCAGCCCTAGCAAACTAATACATGCACTTTTACCAAACCTAGTTTTCCAGCCTTTCTGACAGTTTTTTTGAGCTACCCAATGTCCTTCTAATACATTCCTTTTCTTAACTTCTTGTTTACCCCTTAGGACCTTGATTGATTTTTTTTGTATCCATTTTTCTCTTTCTCTTTCTCAACAGTTTTAATGTCCACTTTAGGATTCACGTGGTTCTAGGGAAAATGACTTCACCCCAGGATCCTGGGTAGAGCATATGACTTCTGTTTAGCCAATCCACATAGTGATTCCTTTTCCAAGTAGGCAAGTTTCTGAAGATGACCCAATCACAGCGAAGTGCCAGGCCTTTTCTAGGAATGCTGAGGCAAAGATATTCTATCTTTCCTGCTGTACATAAAGATGCCTGAAGCCTAGCAATTCTGACAAGCCTGCCTCAAAGAGAAGTCAACCACACAAGACTAGAAACAAGGAAGGGAAGAAATCTGGTGCTTAGTGGTATCTTTGAACTGCTGGTTCAGGCCACACCTGAAGTCAGCTCTTCCAGTGGACTTGTCATCACTCGAGCCAGTCAATTGCCCTTATTTTTTAAGCTACGGGAAACAGATATTTTGCTCTCTCCAGCTAAAACCATCTGAACTTGAACTCCCCATTTATACTTTAAACATCATTCACAGGATGACATTTTAAGTCCAGAGGGGTTATCATCTAATTCCTGAGATGATGGTACTGACCCTGAAGGAAATAATACTATTGAGGATGAGGATGATGATGACGGTGGTGGTAGTGATGGATTTCACTTCCTAGCTGCCTACTGTGTGTGAGGAACATGTTGAAAGCTGCTGTGAAACAAACGCTGGACCTGGGTCTTGAATGGTACATTGAAGTGTGCTAGGCATTTCAGGCTTTTGGGGATGATAAGCGTCCGAAGCCAAGCTCACATTTCCTGTCTTCGTTTCCTGTGTCTTACCTGCTTGTGCCTGAGTCATGCAACACAGGTACAAATGGTCCTGTAATCATGGACCTGCACATTAATGGGAACAAAAGAAACAATAAATTCAGAGCTCTGTCTGCCCTGAGGGAGTGGGACTGGCCATAATTTCCTCTTTCCAGTGGGGTTTATGGTGTGCCCTGGCTACTGTGTACACTGAGTCATAACTCCTTCCCTTATCTCCTAGTACTTGTTCCTTATTTTGCGTGGTTGGACTTTTATTCTGGTTTCTCATTTGCACTCCAGTCTTTCGTTGTGGCTAAAAATCTCTGAATCTTTAGCCACTTGCCATTCAGGAGGCTCTTTGTAGCACGGAAAGACCTCCTTGAATCTGATTAAATCACCTCCACAGCCCCCACCCAGATATTCCTGCAGCCTTGCCTTTTGTAATCACTAAACTTGACTAAGCTGTTGATTCTGGCCTACCTCAGGTCTGAGCTTAGCCCTTGGCCTCTGGGATGGGGATCCCTGACTACTCTTCCCAGTAGAAAGCCTTGCTATTGTCAGGCTCTTTCTCCTACTACTTGCTCCTTTATCCGTGATTTCAGTCCTTTCCCTAGTCCAGCAAATGTCGCGGACAAAGCCAGATGGATTATGATACTCCTTCCATCTTCAGCCTCTCATAATTTTAGCTTTTCTTATCTCAGATCCTGGGAATCCAGTGTTCATTCTCTTGAAACCTCTCCATTTCCCTTGGACTTTCCCTGTAATATCAGCATTAGCGTGGGTCTCCTGTTGCAGAACGGTAATTCAACAGTTGCCTTCACCCCTCTACCCTGTAAGGGCCACAGTTTATTTTGCTTTGAGTTCCCCCGAACACAATTATTTACCAGTGAATTAAGGAATAAAAGTCTTTGAGTGCTGGGAATCAGAGAATAGATCAAATAAAAATGAGGATGTGAATGAAACATGTGAACGACACACCCAGAGGAGTGACATCTAAGGCATTCAAAATAAGAGGAAACCCAGATGTTGGGGAGGAAAATACTAGATGTATGTGAACATCACTGTGTGCAAAAAATGACCATTATAGTTAAACAGTGCGCACAGAAGCAGGAAAGATCATCCACAGAAATGCTGTCATAGACACTAGGAACAATGACATAAAAGAGGAAAAAAAAATTATGCCATTTTCATGCCAATCTCCTTCATTTCTATAAATTGCTTTATATTAAGAATATTATTAAATTTTCCTATATTAAATTCAAGTTTTATAGCAGTTTAGGATTATTTATAGCAGTTATAGTATGATCAAATGCTCAAATTTAATTAAAGAGACAATTATTTCAGTTACGTATTATATTCCATTGAGAAGAAATCATGCCCGGTATTGCAGAGGTAAATAAGGATGTCTACATGTAACTCCAAAGTGTGAGTACACAGGCCACAATCACATAATGCAGAATACAGGTATGTATCTGAGGATATGAAGTGCTGGAGGTGATATCCAGTTGAGTCAGAGAAGAGCCAGCTTCTGAGATTAGACAGAATTTAGACAGCAGACTTAGGGAAACTGCATCACTTAACTTGTGCAGTAAGCATGCTGGTTTCTATGCTATTTTAGTTTACCCTCACTTTTTCCCCTGTCTGCTACTATTAATCCCTTCTGGAATAAAACAAAGATCTTGGCATTCTCAACACAAGGTTTGGGACTCTGTGGAGACTGATACTTACCATATTTGGCCAACTTTTAACATGTTCCTTTCCCATGCTAAACACGCAGAATAAAATAAATATTTATCATTGACAGAGCCCCCTTTTCACTAGATTCATTCTTATAAACAGTTATCTAACTTGTTTTCTCCCTGGATTTGGGAAACTGGAAAGTTCTTGCTTTTCTTCATTGACTGCATCTTTGTTGGGAAGTCATTCCAGCTTTATTACAAAACAGAGTGACATTTCCCAGAAAGATGGAAAATATTTTGACCATTTGAAGCACTGTCACCTTAGCAAGATACCTCACTCTGTTTTTGCAATATCCACGTCTGGGTCAGGGTTTCAACTCTAAGACCCCACACCAGAAAAAAACGTAGGACTTGCAGATTCTGGCTTTCTTTGTGCTGAATCAGGAAACAAAAATGTCAGTTTTTTATAACTCTGGGTTTATCCTATTCTCTCCTAACCAGATGCACATACTTTGAAAAGACTCTTTTTTTTTTTTTTAACAACCATGAATGTGAAGACAATGCTTGTTTAAATGTTATTAAGTGGAGAATATTGAGTCTATTATGAGCATCCCTTGATGTGGTATGACTTCCTGACAAATGGTCACTAATGAAGAAACTGAAGAAGGAAAACTTATTTTATAACACTGAGAAAGCTTATTGCTGAATAAGCTATTTGAGTTAATGGGTACTTCTGAACCTAATGTTCATGTTGTTATAGGCAGAGTCATTCTTGAAAAGTTTTTCTTCGCTTCGCTGACTTAGAAATAGAAATCTACTTTGTTGTAGTGCCTTGTGTCTCATAGAGTTACTCGCCAAGTTTAATCAGTACTAAACTCTTTCCAGATTCATTTAGTGGATTGTCTATGGCTGACCAAAAGGTAACTTTGAATTGCAAAATGTTCAACAAGTTGTGCTTAAGAGTCAAGCTTAGAATGACACACATGGAATAGAAAAAATAACCTCTTTTTGTCTCTTTATGATAAACAGTTGGCCCAGCACAGTTTTTATGACCAGGCGTGACATTTTCTCTCATCTTTTGCAAATTAATTTCATCTTTTATGTGTGTAAAAACTAGGTTTTTATAAGGTAACACATAAAACAAAAACAAAATATTTGAACACATTAAATAAATACGTATGAAGAGACTGTTATAGGTAAGGCATGGTTGGTGCTGGAGATATGGTGTTGAAAAGATAGGCCCTGTGCCAGGCGCAGTGGCTCACGCCTGTAATCCCAGCACTTTGGGAGGCCAAGGCGGGAGGATCACGAGGTCAGGAGTTTGAGACCAGCCTGACCAACATGGTGAAACCCCGTATCTACTAAAAATGCAAAAATTAGCCAGATGTCATGGTGCACGCCTGTAATCTGAACTACTCGGGAGGCTGAGGCAGGAGAATCGCTTGAACCTGGGAGGCGGAGGTTGCAGTGAGCCGAGATTGCACCACTGCACTCCAGCCTGGTGAAACAGAGAGACTCCGTCTCAAAAAAAAAAAAAAAAAGTCCCTGTGGAACTCGCAGCATAAGGGAGACAGGAGACTCAATGAGCAGAAACAATCAGGTGTAAGTTTGGTTCATTATTCACAAAGTAAACTGAGGAGCAACATTCATTACCAAACAAAAGAATTGTAACTATTCTCTCGGAAGAAAATTTGCACATGAACTTCTTATTCATGTGAAATTTTAAAAGTGTCTTTTCCTTCATTTAATAACGAGCAACTAAGTTTTTATACTTTGTTCAGAATAGTCAAGAAAAATGTCTAAATGATTCATGATTACTGGTTGTGGATGATCACTGAAGGAGATGATTTAAATAAGTCTTTTAGGAATTGGACATGGAAGTAAACTAAAACTTAGTTTCTATCAGAAAAAAATGTAAATACATAATTTAATGAAACTAAGGGTAGAAGAGGAAATAAAGCATGCTTTAATTATATAGCAATTTTGAACTAACTTCTAAAAGCAACTTGAAAATTAAATATTAGCTTTCAGTTTATGTATTGAGTTGTGCTTTATTCAGCAATGGATAAAGGTAAGATTCAGGCTTCTTCAGAAGCTCATTGTTAGGTGGCATAGAAGACAAGTAGGCAATCCTGATACACCACGCTGGGGAGAGAAGACACTTCACAGCCGTCAGAGAACATATGTGAAGCACAGCACAGTTGTTTGAAAGAACATGACTGGTTCTTGAGACCCTGATTCATACAGGTTGGCAGAGCAGAGGGTGTGTGCCGGAAGAAGACTTACAAGTCAGGATAAAAGAGTTTAGATTTTAACATGAAGTTACTGGAGAAGCTCAGAAGGCTTTTAAGCCTTAGGAGTTCCTTTTTAGAAAAATCTTTCGGTTGCAGGGTGGAGAATTGATCATCGAAAGAGAAGTCTGGAATCACAGATAAAATAGGAAGCCTTTGCAGCAATTCCAGTGAGAAATGAGCAAGTCCTGCCCCAGGACAATGGAAACAGAGTGGAGGAGATGGACTGGGTCATTGGTCAGAGGTGAGGGATAAGAGAATGATTCCAGACTGCACTGAATAATGAAGTGGACAACGGGAGCATTTACTGAGACGGGAAATGCAGGGAGAGGAGGAGGTTTCAGTCTAAGATAAAAAGTTGAATTTTGAACAAAAATTTAAGATGCAGCCGGGCGTGGTGGCTCATGACTGTAATCCCAGCACTTTGGGAGGCCGAGACGGGTGGATCACGAGGTCAGGAGATCGAGACCATCCTGGCTAACACGGAGAAACCCCGTCTCTACTAAAAATACAAAAATTAGCCAGGCGTGGTGGTGGGCGCCTGTAGTCCCAGCTACTCGGGAGGCTGAGGCAGGAGAATGGCGGGAACCCAGGAGGTGGAGCTTGCAGTGAGGCGAGATCGCGCCACTGCACTCCAGCCTGGGTGGCAGAGTGAGACTCCGTCTCAAAAAAAAAAAAAAAAAATTTAAGATGCATGTAAAAAGCCTGTGAGTGGAGAATTCTGCCAGGCACATGCAAACACTGGCCTGGAGCTTCAGAGAAGAGATTGAGACTTAAGATTTTAAAAAAAAGTGTGTGAGGGAAATCACCCACCATGAACCTGTGAAGAAAAAAGAGGATCGGGGACACTTAGTCTGGTAAACATAGACATTTAAGGGCTAAGCAGACAAAAGGAATTCTAGATGACCAAGAAGAAGGGAAAATGTAAAACAGGAAAAGATTGGTGTCGTTTTACGGTGGAGAGAATTTCGGGATGGAAAACATAGTGGATAGTGTTCATTGCTATAGAGAGTGAGTGGGGCGTCTCCATTGGGTAACTGTGGCAGGAACAGTTTCAGTGGCAGGACGGGACCAGAAGTCGGCTTGCAGGAGAGTGAGGAGTTAATAAGAGGTGAAGGGCCAGGCATGGTGGCTCACACCTGTAATCCCAGCACTTTGGGGGGCCGAGGCAGGTGGATCACAAGGTCAGGAGTTCGAGACCAGCCTTGGTCAATGTGGTGAAACCCCGTCTCTACTGAAAATACAAAAATTAGCTGGGCCTGGTGGCGCGCCCCTATAATCCCAACTACTCAGGAGGCTGAGGCAGAAGAATCGCTTGAACCCAGGAGGTGGAGGTTGCAGTGAGCCGAGATCGCACCACTGCACTCCAGCCTAGGCGACAGAGTGAGACTCCGTCTCAAAAAAATTAAAATAAAACAATTAGAGGTGAGGGGGTAGAAATCAGAAGTGCAGACTTTTTTGAAGATCTGTCTTCCAAAAGGAGAGAGTGGTTAGTAAACGTGTAGGTCTGTGTGTTTATGTTTTGGAGTAAAAATAATACTCCCTGACACACACACACACACACACCTCCGAAGAGAAACCCCGTCATCTATTCCTCTAGCTTAAGAGTGATAGAGTGATGTTAGCACATAAAATTGTAACAACAGACACCCTACATTTTTTAATATTCCTTCCTCCCTTTTTTCTACCTCCTTCCCTTTGTTTCTTTTCTGCCTTCCTTCCTCTCCTTCTTTAGTAATACAAGAAGAGATAACAAATTATCTTCAGTGAGCAGAAAAAAAAATATGGTAATGCAAAGGAATTAAGAATAGGTACAAAATTTAAGAAATAAATAACCAAAGCTTCAGATAACAGCAATAATTCAAATTCGTAACCTCAAATCCAAGTACTTCTGTTTATTTTGAGTTCTTATCTTTTAAATGAAGGTCTGCTTTCTTAAAAACAAACAAATCTTCTATAGTTATCTTCTGAAGGAAATATATGAAAGTTAAAGTGAATCAGAAGAATGAGAGAACATTCATTGTTATATGAACAAAGGTCCAAAATGTTCTTTAAAAATCATACTTTCATGTTGATTACCTCAGCAATAAGAGGAACTTTAGAATTTATTAGCCCATTTTACAGATGGGAAAACAGGCCCAGAGAGGTCTGGTGACTTGTCTAATTATATGGCCAGGACAAAAAAAAATTATCTCTCAACCTCCATTCAACCACTACTACCCCAAAGGATTTCCTCTTCCTAAACCAAGTTATCATTGGTTTTGAAAGGAATATAATAATGCTGTCCATTTAACTCCCAGAGGTTTCTTGTTCATAACTAGAAGGGCATCCAAAGTGCTTTGAGCTGTAGGAGGATGAACTGTATGCACTGAAAGCATTTGCCTTCTCCTCATTCTATACCTTTGTATTTACATTTACATCTACCTATTGTCTTGGTTGCTCCCTGTATTATTTATTTACATCTATCACCTACCTTCCAGTCATCTTGGTCCCTAATTTCACAGCCACACACTTGTAACTTTGTCATGTAAAAGTATTCCCATTTTCCTATAGCTGCCTGTAGCTCTGCCAGTTGACTGTGTTTACTGTGTCTGTGTCGTGTCTGTGTACCAGCATGCAGATGGTCTGAGCTTCACTCAGAGACAGTCCCTGTCCTCGAGCTGTGTTCCCACAATTCATACAAAGGCCAGCCTCAAAAGGACCACCACTTAAGGGTCCTCTATAAGATTAGAAACAGGAGGTTTTACCCCATATTTTCTGTACTGGTGGCCTTTCTGAGAGCCCCTTGCACATGACATTAGAATTGGAGGTACTTAAGAAAAAAAAGAATACTCTTAAAGCTAATCCTGCTGTTGACAGAAAGCAGAATTCGACTTTGGAAACTATCCATTCCTTAATATCGCATATTGCTCTCATTTGCAGTGTAAAATGATGCAACTTACGTTGTACTTTGTCCAGTAGGGCACTTAATCCTCATGAAAGAAAGAAATGAATCACTGCAGCAAGACGCGCATCCCTGATGACTCTGTCTTATGTTAGAAATGAGTAATTATTATAGGGATAAATAACTGTGAGTTTCTCAGAATAGATAAGTTTCCTCAAGTCATGAGACAGCGCTCACAGGATTCCCTCATCCCAAATCCTGGAAACGCTAAGCTTCGGACACCCCCATTCTTGCGTTCAGGAACTGAGACATTTAAATGGGCATGAGTGGAAAAATCCACATTTGCTCACAGGATATGAATACGGTTTCCTTGCTTCAAGTGGCATCTTAATGGGAATTGTGTTTCACACTCCAATTAAAGAGGCCAAGTCCCAGAGAAAGGCTCTAACTTTCAATAGCTGTGTATAAATAGCATAGGAGAGTAAACAATTGGGGAACCACTTTCCCAGGCCAGCCTTTAAGGACATCGAACTCCAGAACCAATCACATGAGAAATATCACTCATATATTGCCATGGTGGCTTCCATATTAAAAGCTGGTGTTTACCATTCAGTTAGGAGAGTACTGTAATAAAAAAAAAAAATAAGATTGCTATTTTATCTTGATAAAGTTAGTCCAAAGCAAACATCAATGTTTTTGAGAAAACAAATACTGTAAAGCAATTCAGATGTCTTCTAGAGAAAAGTAATTTATCATGTCTCTTCTGAGCTTCAGGTGTTTCCAGGAACTAGGAAATGTTTTGAAAATGAAGCAAAATTGGTAAGCAGACTAATATCAAATAAATTGTTTCCCAAGCCATGATCATAATCCAAAAGCCTGGATAAAGAACGTATTTTTCGGTCATGCACTGTTCTCCTTTGTCTTAGCTTGATGAGTAAGAAGCTGAGCTATGGTTTCTTCACTGAGATCAGCTGTCTCCAGGAACTTGAGTAACTGTCTCCAACCCAGCGTGTGGATGAGGAGAGCAGAAGGACCTTAGGTAATCCAGGATTTAGCAAAACACAAGATTGGCTTCCTGATAATCCATTCCTTGTATATAGCAACAAAACTACGATGAAAAGTGTACCAAAAAATCTCCAAGTAAGAGCATTAAGTTTTACAATAACAAGATCAATACCATGCTGGACCCAGGATGTTTTGTGGGCAATGCTTCCCCATTATCCTAGTTACCTCAAAAGATTCTAGATGAACCACAAGCATTCCCATTTGTCTCTGAAGTTCATCATGGATCTGTCATCCATGAATTCAGCTAACTACTTGAGAAGTGATTTATATCTCTATCCAATAATAAGTAACATATACTATTTACTGTGTGAAGTGGTTTATTCTTGTTTGAACTAAATTTCTGTCTCTTGAATTTTACAGGTGATTTTTCTCATTCAATTAAATCACATTTGTAAACAAATGTGTTTTCTTCCCCCACACTTTGGATAATTTTGTAGATCTCAACCTCTGCTTTTTCAGACTAAAGAATATTTTTTTGTTGTTTTTTTGTGTTTTTTTGGCCATTTTAGTAGGACTATCAAGAAAACCTATAAATGTCAGAATCTCAGAAGTAGAGCAAAGATCCTTTTTGCTTTTTTTTTTTTTTTTTTTTTTTTTTGAGATAGAGTCTCACTCAGTCGCCCAGGCTGGAGTGCGGTGGTATGATCTCAGCTCACTGCAACCTCCGCCTCCTGGATTCAAGTGATTCTCCTGCCTCAGCCTCCTGAGGAGATGGGATTACAGGTGCCCGCCACCACGCCTGGCTAATTTTTTTGTATTTTTAGTAGAGACGGGTTTTGCCATGTTGGCCAGGCTGGTCTCGAACTCCTGACCTCAAGTGATCTGCCCTCCTTGACCTCCCAAAGTGCTGGGATTACAGGCGTGTTTGCTCACTTCTTAATAGGGAGTCTTTGCAGTGAACATGGAGATACATAATGGTCTAGAAAGAAATAAAATGTCCTGCATTGTTTGGAGGAACATTTCCAGAGAGCAAGGCTTATTTGATTTGACTGCACAGGCCAATTCAGCAGTTTTATTAAAGGTTTCTCAAATTGTCAATCTCCCTACCTTACCCCTAATATTGTTCAGGTGAAGAAAATAGTTACTTAGTAATTAGGCTAAATCAGAACATTTAGTCTCTGCCTACATGATCTCATTTCATCGTCACCACACCTCTGAAAAATAGGCAAGACTATCCCTATTTTACAAATAAGCAACTGAGGCTTAGAGAGAAGTTAAAACCCAATACTGGGTTTGAATCCAGTCCTGACTCTAAGTACCCAGATGAGTAGCTGAAATTGCTTTCTAGCCCATCTCATTGGATGGATTCTTACTCCTTTAGGTTGAACCTTATCTTTTAGGGTATGGATATATCCTTAACATTCACAGTTCCTTTATACCAGCTATGCATTTGAAGTATCTTAGGTAAAAACCATAATGACAGGAATGTATCTACTGCATCTGTCTCTGTAGCCATTTTTCTATTTTGGCAGTTCTGTTTGGAATGAGATTATAGCACATTCACTAGCATTAATCCCATACGAGTTAAAGTGAATGGTAGTAATGCTATTAATTAAAAACATGAGATGCTACCAGTTTTTAATGTGGATGGTTGAAATTGTATGTATGGCTATTTTCCACTTGTAAATTCAATCTTTTATCCCCATGAAGCATCTAAAATGAGAGAAATAAAAATACTGTTGTTAAACATTTGGGAGATTATTTTGTAAGCCAGTGAAAACAGAATCTTTCATTTGTTTCACCAATAGTGGGAAGGTTTTCTTTCTAATTTTTCTGTGTATATTCCCTTGGGAATGAGTCCACATAACACAAAATAATATTCTTTTTTGTCCCCCACAAAAAACACTATTAGTTCCACATGGTGACATCCATCTCCCTTTTCAAAAATGCCCTGAGAGCTCCCCGGACAGACTCAATACGACTCAAAAACATAAGGAATGGCTTATTTTAACTTTCGTACTAAAGTCTAAGGCAAGACAACTTTTAAAATAATACACATGGTCGAAATTGAAGACTATTTTCTCTATATCATAATAGTTTCTAAATTAAAACAAATTTCTCCACTTTCTTGGACCTTTGTGAAAATGTGAACCCATTGGGGTACCTGGACCAAAAGGCAGTGCCTCCTCCCTCCCCACAGGCAGGGGGATTATGGTTACAACATGGCAGTCAAGTTCTGAGGACATAGCCAGGGGCTAAAGCAGAATTTTTAACTATTAAACATCTACTAAAGTATCTGTGCTCCTTGAAAAGTATGATATATAGAACAGTTTTCCCCTAAAGTAATCATCTTATCTGACTTGTAGACAATCCTGGACGAATGATTTTAGGGAATTACGGCACATTTTCCTTCTTCTATACTGTTCATATGACATGCTACCATATCAAGGGCCTGCAATAGAGAAAACAGTTGAACGTTCTTTAATACAATGTTTCTTATCTTCTTTGGCAATGGAACTGTTTATCATACAGTATCACATGAAGCTAATATTCCATAGAGCACTTTGGAAACTTAGTCATCAGGAGAAAGGGCTCAAGATCTAAGAAGTTCAGTCTAGCCGGGCGCGGTGGCTCACGCCTGTAATCCCAGCACTTTGGGAGGCTGAGGCGGGTGGATCACGAGGTCAGGAGATCGAGACCATCCTGGCTAACATGGTGAAACCCCGTCTCTACTAAAAATACAAAAAAAAAATTAGCCGTGCATGGTGGCGGGCACCTGTAGTCCCAGCTACTCGGGAGGCTGAGGCAGAAGAATGGCGTGAACTCAGGAGGCGGAGCTAGCAGTGAGCCGAGATCACTCCACTGCACTCCAGCCTGGGCGACAGAGCAAGACTCCGTCTCAAAAAAAAAAAAAAAAAAAAGTTCAGTCTAAATTTCTGTCTCTTAAATTTTACAGGTGTCACTTGGACAAACCATAAGACCTCACCTAGAAAATGTGGGGAGGGAAGAATCCATTTTCTCCCTGTCTCAAAGGGAGATGAGAAGAAGGAAATGAAATAATGGGGTCGAAAGCATTTCTTAAACAGCAGAGTTGCATGTACAGTTGTTAATATTTTATCATCTTTTGTTTTTTAAAGAAGAAAGTAAGAAAAAAAATAAGATGACTTTCTTGTAAGTGGCACAACAGACTCACAAGTCGGGACGTAACCTGTACCAGGGCCAGGGGCTCCTCTGACATCCCATCTTTCTACCCTGAGCTTTTTCTCCCTAAGGATCTCAGTGTGACCTTTGGACATGGTCTCTTTCTCTCATAATATGCCTAAAACAGAATGCCAAAGCGTTCATTTTATACTTTAGCACATTTGTGGGCCAAGGTTCAGAACCACCAGAAACCCAGGAAGTAGCGATACCTCTATCCATTAGCTAAAATAAGAAAGAAAGAAAAAAGATCACCAGCTAAAGCCAAACAGGCAAGATCCCTAAAATGATAGACAGAGTAACTAGTTACTGAATAGAAACTTTGATGTCTGGAGAGTTACTGATATACATATTATTTTGGTTATGTGGCGTGCCAACTAAAGTCTCTCTTTTGAATTTTTTTGAAAAGCACTATTAAATGTGGCTTTCCTTTAATTTGTAAATGATAAGTTCTCCATGTTTCCAGAAAAAGAACGAATAGTAAATAAACCCATAATGACAACTTGGTATAATTCCCTTCCCTGGACCTCTGCCATTGCCAATTTTCATCTATTCTTTGAGTTTGAAAAATATTTTCTGTGTTTATATTCCATAGTACTTTATACTTAGGACTTTATACTGATATGGTACCTTATTGACTTGAAGTCTTGTAACAGTCCTTATAATCAGATGTGTATAATTATTAGCTGTACTTTTCACACTGAGATCCAAAAGAGAAGATTTGAGATATGTGCCTGAGTTCTTTTTTTTTAATATATGCACCAGTTTATTATAAAGGATATTACGAAGGATACAGATGAAAAGATGCCTAGAGAAAGGTATGGGGGAAGGGGTGCAGCACTTCCATGCCCTCCCTGGGCATAACAGGAACCCCCTTGTGTTCAGCTATCCAGAAGCTCCCCAAACCCAGTCCTCTTGGGTTTTTATGGAAGCTTCATAAAGCCAACATTTCTTCTCCCAGGGTATAAAGCTGGACCCTCTCTGGGGAGGATCTTATGACCTACAGTCAGAAAGGTAGGAGAATATTAGAGTCCTGCCTTGGGGCAGGTGAAAGGAAGGTAGGAGAAGGTGAGAGAGATTCCATTTCCTGAGGCCTGCCCCTGAGGCCTAACACACTCCACATTATAGCAAGACCATGACAAGGGCTATGGGAGTTACAAGCCAGGAAACCAAATATATAACAAAAACCAGAATATATGTCATAACACCACAGGTCACACCCTGGTTGTGGACCACATATCCCTTATGGCAAAATGAATGTACACAATTTTTAATAAGTAGTCCAGTCCATCATATTGTCTGAATGTCTCCCAGGGTGAGGCCACTCAAGTTTGTAGACTTTCCTTCAATCTCGTCAGGTTCCAAAAGCAGGAGTGGTCTCGGCAAACACACAGCTTCACCCTTTCAGGCATCTGGAATCACTGAGCTAAGAGATAAGGCCATCTCTTGCTCTGAGGCTATTTAGAGTTGATAATGTAATATTGGATGCCCCTCCATTTATAACCTATTTATTCATTTCTTTACCCTCAGCTATTATTCTTCCTTTTCTCCACTTTTTACCCAAATTTTTCCATCTTTGGGAGAGACACTAGGTTCAGCCACTATGCTGGTCCAGGTTGCTGGTAGCAGTACTAGTCTAGTGAGTGCTGCCCCTTAGTCCATTTCCACTCATTTACAGTAGGGTCACATACGTTCCCAACTAGTGAGCCTGGTTTTGTTTTGTTTGTTTTTTTAGACAGAGTTTTGCTCTGTCACCGTTACCCAGTCTGGAGTGCAGTGGCAGGATCACAGCTCACTGCAACCTCTGCCCCTGGGTTTGAATGATCATCCCACCTCAG
Source organism: Homo sapiens (assembly GCF_000001405.40). Lineage (NCBI taxonomy): Eukaryota > Metazoa > Chordata > Mammalia > Primates > Hominidae > Homo > Homo sapiens. Next base: position 105,540,649 of record NC_000006.12, on the reverse strand, counting down.
TCGCCTGAGTAGCTGGGATTACAGGCACCTGCCACCATACCTGGCTAAATTTTTTTTGTGTTTTTGTACAGACAGGGTTTCACCATGTTGCCCAGGCTGGTCTTGAACTCCTGAGCTCAAGCATTCCACAGGCCTCAGCCTCCCAAAGTGCTGGGATTACACGCGTGAGCTGCCGCACCCAGCCTAGTGAGCCATTTTTATCACCAGGCAATACAGCTGTGTTGATTCTTATCCTGGTGCCTGAGTTCTTAATGGTAATTAACAGGACAAGTGAGCTGAAGTAAAATAATAATAAATGATATTTGTTGATAATATACTATGTGTCAAGTACTATAAATGCATTTTTTACCTAGAAAAATAGGTAATATTTTTCGCACTTTGCCGATGAATTAGCAATTTTTTAAAAAAAAATTTTATACCTCTCATAAGGTCAAGCAGCTAAAGGATGGAGCTGGGATTTGAACCCAGAACTATTTGCCTCTAAGACTGGTCTTTCTTCACTGAGTAGTATTGCCTCTCCAAATTACCAGTGTTGTAATTCTCAGTCATGTCATAGCATTTTATCTTTTCAAAACTATGTTTCGCAACCTTTGGTTGTGTGAAAATAAAATAGCAGAATTTTTAGTATTTAGATTTGAACCTACCCCAATATAGATAGAGAATATTTAAACAAGAATCACGGCCATGCGTGGTGGCTCATACCTGTAATCTCAGCACTTTGGGAGGCTGAGGTGGGAGGACCATTTGAGCCCAGGAGTTTGAGACCAGACTGGGCAACCTAGTGAGACCCTATCTCTACAAAATATTTAAAATTTAGCTGGATATGGTAGCCTGCACCTGTGGTCTCAGCTACCCAGGAAGCTGAGGTGCGAAGATAGCTTCAGCCACGGAGATGGAGGCTGCAGTGAGCCACGATGGCTGGTACCACTGAACTCCAGCCTGGGCAACAGAGCAAAACCCTGTCTCAAAAAAACAAGTATCACCTAATTGGGTACTTCTTTTCATAGTAAAATCCTTCTCACTTCATGGATTACAACAACCATTCAAAGCACACCTTCCTTTTGGGTACTCATGGCAAATCTGTTCTTTCTAAGAACATGTGTACACACTGCAACACATGTTTGGTATAAAAACATACCTTACAAAGTATGTGAATATGTCTTCTCTTTCCTTGCTGATTTACCAAGCTTTTTAAAAATAACATCACATGATTTTTTTTCATTCTAACTTTTCAGTATTCAACATAATTTTTGAAATTTTAATCTTAAAAAATAGCCTTAGTACAAGTGATAATGCCCATTTTTATGGTTTTCAGAATGTATACAGCCATATATTTTTTTTTTCAATTTTACTCTAAGTTCTGGGATACATGTGCTGAATGTGCAGGTTTGTTACATAGGTATACTTGCGCCATTGCAGTTTGCTGCACCTATCAACCTGTCATCTAGGCTTTAAGCCCCACATGCATTAGGTATTTGTTCTAATGCTCTCCCTCCCCTTGCTCCCCACCCCCAGACAGGCCCCCATGTGGGATGTTCCCCTCCCTGTGTCCATGTGTTCTCATTGTTCAACTTCCACTTATGAGTGAGAACATGCCATGGTTGGTTTTCTGTTTCTGTGTTAGTTTGCTGAGAATGATGGTTTCTAGCTTCATCCATGTCTCTGCAAAGGACATGAACTCATTCTTTTTTATGGCTGCCTAGTATTCCATGGTATATATGTGTCACATTTTCTTTATCCAGTCTATCACTGATGGGCATTTGGGTTGGTTTCAAGTCTCTGCTATTGTAAATAGTGCTGCAATAAACATATGTGTGCATGTGTCTTTATAGTAGAATGATTTATAATCCTTTAGGTATATACCCAGTAATGGGATTGCCGGGTCAAATGGTATTTCTGGTTCCAGATCCTTAAGGAATCACCACACTGTCTTCCACAATTGTACAACCATATATTTTGAGGATCTTCCATGTGCCAGGCTTGCTTTGGGGACTGGAGAGAAAGTGATTGATAGTGGAGACCCCTGTCCTGTGGAAACTTACAGAGGGGAAGTAGCCAAATAAATCATAACCATAGTACAGACCGATTAAGAATGTTATGTTAAGTAGAAAGTTAACTAAATTGGGGTATTAAGAGAGAATTACCCAAGGGATTTGTATCTAAGCCAAATCTTGAAGGATGGGTATATTTTGATAAGGCAGGTAGACAGGTAAGAATGACTCAAGCCCAGGTAGATATTAATTTGATACAGGTATGACACATGGGATGAATGGAAAAGGCTCTGCATTACTTGAAATATGTCTCCATCAAGTGTAAGTAATTTTCTCAGTTGCAGGTTTGGGGGCAAAACCTCAATATTCCAATGAGCCCAACACTCTTCACAGCCTTTTCTAGTTAAAAATGAGAAAATGATGGATTTAATAAGGATAGAGTGGGGTACAGAGATAGTTAAATAGCTAATGTAGTAGGATATTTCCTGGAGTCAAATTCCTATGGTCAGATGCATCAGAGCAGCATGCATACAGCATCATCAAGCAGCAGTCTCATTTCTGAATTCTGACAGCTTTTGGGAATTGGCAGATTATTATTTTTATACTTTTTTTTTTTTTTTGAGATGGAGTCTCACTCTATCACCCAGGCTGGAGTGCAGTGGCATGATCTCGGCTCACTGCAACCTCCGTCTCCCGGGTTCAAGGGACTCTCCCACCTCAGCCTCCCGAGTAGCTGGGACTACAGGTGCACACAACCCCCTTGCCTGGCTAATTTTTGTATTTTTAATAGAGACAACATTTCACCATGTTGGTCAGGCTGGTCTCAAACTCCTGATCTCAGGTGATCTGCTGGCCTTGGCCTCCCAAAGTGCTGGGATTACAGATGTGAGCCACCGAGCCTAGCTGGATTGATGGATTTTGAACTTCCATTATATTCTTCTCTCTTATGTGTTTGCATGGTATTTAATTTGCCCACCCATTTTTTTATTGAGAACATGTCCTTGAATCACTTGTTTTTTAAGGAAATTTTTTTCTGCAATGCACTGACATTTTAACAAAGGAGTTACAGAAATAGAGTGCTCAAATGTGACAATTTATTAATTCAAAATTTTCAACTTTGCATAATGGTGTAATATTCTCTTTTCTCATAACTCCCTGCAGTGTGTCCAAATAGTTCAGATTAATATCAACTCATCAATGAGCTATAATACAATGTTCCTTCTGCCACATTTAACATTGCCAAATGTGGAGATACTGTCTTTCACAATTAAGAGAAAATATAACATAATGTAGTAAAGTGGTGAGAGTTTTTTTTTAATTCCAAAAGTATGTTGCCACTATTTTCTAAAGTAGATTATTGAAAAGGGTGGGGGTGTAAAGGCTTTTAGAGAAACAATTCAGATAATCCGCTTAAAGTCTAAGTCTCATTCAGTTGTCTGGAAGCCAAGTATTTCTTACTTGGAAACTCCGATGACAGAGTGTGCAAGTTGGGACTTGGATTACTTCTTTTCACTTTAACTCTAGGCTTTCCCTGGAAGAACTGGTCTGTGATCCATCTACAGCACCACTCCCTCGCCTTTATGCAGTGTCAGTTCAGTTCAGTCATTGCAGTTCTTCAGAAAAACCCTTTGGGGGTGAATATTTTTGAGAGTTGGAAAGATGTTATCCCCTACTTTACTGTAGTCCAAAACAGTATCTTGGTAATCACCTATGTTGTTCTGGAGAGAATATATTGCTATGGATACTAATTGAACTATTATCTGATGCAATTTGGATAGGACCTTTCTTTGTTGGATTTTTATCCTTAAAAATCCTCTTCAAATCCTTCTCACTCCATATTTCAGCCAGTGTGTCTAAATTGAAAACTGTGACCAAGAAACTAAGATCTGTAAGTAAATAAGTCAGTTCATAATTGTGATTCTGTCACCAACTTGCTGAGAAACTATGTAGCACAATCAATTAAAATAATATTTAGAAAAGTCTTAGAGATTCAGAAATTTAAAAATGTAAAAAGAGTTATATGCTTAAATAATTCTGCATTATCAACCCCAGTATAAATGATTAATAAACTTGTTATTCAAGATATTTTGAACCCAATGATCAATAAGGAAGATTATAAGAAAATCCGAAGCATTGTTAATAACTACAGTCCTAGTAGATATATTATGGGGGATAATAATTTCTTAGCTTTCAGAAAGATCCTGTGCCATGATTACAGCAATTAAGTATGAACACAGTGACCAAGTGAGTTCCTGTCAGGGGCTGCCAAAGGATAAAATTCACTCACACTTGTGAAATTTAAGCACATTATTGATGATGGTAATCAATTTCACATTTCAGTTAAACCCAGTAAATGATGACAATGAACTAAGAAGCATTATCCTATTAAATGAATTTTGTATTTTCTCTTTTTTTGTTTTAAGAGACAGGGTGCCTGTCACCCAGGCTGGGCCTGTGGTGGCAGGATCATAGCTCACTGTGACCTGGAACTCCTGGCCTCAAGTAATCCTCCTGCCCCAGCCTCCCAAGTAGGTAGGACTACAAGATGCACATCACCATGCATGACTAATTTCTTTTATTTTTTATAGAGATGGGGTCTCGCTCTGTTGCCCAGGCTGGTCTTGAACTCCTGGCCTCAAGCAATCCTCCCACCTTAGCCTCCCAAAGCACTGGGATTACAGGTGTGAGCCACTGTACCTAGACTTATTTTCTCTACTGTAAAAGGCATTTGCTGGAAGTTGGCCTTCAGATATGAAAATATAATAATGGTGACAAAAATAATTTATAATAAGAGTAATAACTGTATTAGTTGCTATTATGGCTATGCCTAATATTTTATATCATTTAATTCTCAAAGTAATTTCATGTGGCCATATGATGAAGATCTATCACCATAACGATATTTTATTCATATGTATTTATTAAAAACAATTTTATAACCACAGAATGGCTAAAAGTCCAAGGACGTATTTAATTGACATTTTAGTTGAGTTGCATTTTGAGTTCTGTTTTCTCCTCCTAACTTAATACAGGAACATTCAGTAAGCTGTCAAATTAATTCCAAACCAAGTAGCGAAGTTGTTTATTTTTTTAACGTCAAGCTGGTTGTGGTAAAAAGTGAACAAAACTAATTGAAACTCCATATGAACAGTTAAAATTAATTTTATTTGTAGTACAAAAGTGAAGTGCATAGCACACATTGCTCTCCAGATCATAAATATTGGCAAAGTTCCTTCAGCAATTCCAAGGAAATACATTGGCTTCAGGAGAAACTAACCATCATGAACATCTTAACGGATAATATTTCCCATGCTAATATTTTCTATCTAAACTGTATTGTCACTACTAAGTAAGGGACAAAGGAAACTGCCACAGGGTTCAATCAAGACTTAGCAAATACTGGCCAGGAATGGTGGCTCACCCCTGTAATCCCAGCACTTTGGGAGGCCAAGGTGGGTGGATCACTTGAGGTTAGGAGTTCGAGACCAGCCTGGCCAACATGGTGAAACCCCCATCTCTACTAAAAATACAAAAACTATCCAAACATGGTAGCGCTTACCTGTAATCCCAATTACTCAGGAGGCTGAGGCAGAAGAAGCACTTGAGCCCAGGAGGCGGAGGTTGCAGTGAGCCAAGATCACGCCACTGCACTGCAGCCTGGGCAACAAGGAGCGAAACTCTGTCTCAAAAAAAAAAAAAAAAAAAGACTTAGCAAATATAAAATTTAAATGCTTTGTATTTGACTGGGAATATTTTATTTCATCTAATATATTTCTGCAATATCATAATTCAGGTAACATATTTGGGTGAACATTATGGAAATCAAAGTAGTTGACATAATACCCAGAGAAAACCATGGATGGCCATCATGTTTTTTTTTAAAAAAAAGCTAGTTGGCCAGGCATGGTGGCTCCCGCCTGTAATCCTAGCACTTTGGGGAGGCCGAGGCAGGCAGATCACGAGGTCAGGAGTTCAAGACCAGCCTGGCCAACATGGTGAAACCCCGTCTCTACTAAAAATACTAAAATTACCCAGGAGTGGTGGTGCGCGCCTGCAGTCCCAGCTACTCGGCAGGCTGAGGCAGAAAAATCACTTGAACCCGGGAGGCAGAGGTTGCAGTGAGCCGAGATCGCACCACTGCACTCCAGCCTGGGCAACAGAGTGAGACTCCATCTCAAAAAGAAAAAAAGAAAAAAGAAAAGCTAGTATATTATTTGCATACAAATCCTGTGGCAGCCAGGCACAATGATATACAGTGATGTGTGAAATTATACATTTCCTGAAATTCCACATCTTCTATGAATTCTTTTATATTCGTTAATTAGAAGAGGTGACAAGCAAACTAAGAACTATAATTTCCTCTAAATTCCTTTCTTCCCTTAGTATATATGTCATGACACACTTTCTTCATATATAGTTCCACAATGTTGGGCCTGTTAGTTACACAAAGAAAAATAGTTAATCTGAGTCATTTTTAGCCTCTAAGGCTATAAATATGTAAGAAAAAAAGCATCTCGTGTTTTTGACTCTGCTTTTCCCTATGTGCATTCACGTTGATGATGATGATGGTGAGGAAGATGGTTAAAATGTATGAGTAAAAGGATGATGAGAATAAGGTACATATTCCAAGTGCTTTTTGCTGAAAACCATAAGCTATGGGCAAAACAAATAAGTGTTTTTAAGTGAAGTTGTGACAGGCTTTCCTTGACTGGCCCCTCCCCCTGCCCCCGGAGGAGTTCCACCTCCAAGAGGCCATGTGATGGAATCAGATGGTCACTTCTTTAGAGTCCGTGCACTTAGTTATTTGACTTTGGGCAAGTCATTTAACCTTCATGAGACTCAAGGTCCTTGTGATAAACAAGAACCACCTTACAGGATTGATATGAGGCCAAGAACCATCATTAGGCAGATAAATAAAATAATGTTTATAACATTCTTGGTACTGAGTCCGGCACATGATCAGCCTCCATTAAATGAAACCTACCGTTTTGGAGAATTAGGAAATTTATATGTAAAACCATAGAAGATGACATATGATTCAGAGTTAGATTCTGACGACATCTACATTCGATTGTGTTTGCCTTATGCCAACTCATGTTTTTAATAAGCATTATCTCATTCTTTACACTGACACCCTGCTGTGTATTTATTAAGTGGATCACACAGATAATGAGTAAAACCAAAGTGCAAATGCTGGGCCCTGTGTCACCATCCTCTGCTAACTTGCCCCAGAGAGCTTTCACATCTGACTGAAATCTAAAGTCTTTATATTTCTTTTCCTCATGGATGATTTGGCATTATTCTTTAACATTGTCTTGCTCTTCAAGATCCTACCACTAATTCACCATAGGTAAACACAAACTTACACTTTGAAATCCAACAGTTGCATTTTTCTAACATCATCATTAAAGAAGTATTTATAGATTTTTCAAAAGCACGGGCTTTTTTGAAGTGTTCAATTCTACAGAATATTGTTAGTACTTAGAATTGTGTCTGGCACATAATGAGTATTCAATACAGATACAATTCAATACAATACAGATATTTCTGGGAATTCTGAGCTGTATGGTATCTTCTATTCATTTCTACATAATCTCCCTAATTCATCCACCGACATGACTGCCATACTAATTTAATAAGCTCTTTGAACCTCAGTCTCCTCTCCCATAAAATGGGAAAAATTATGTTCTTCATAAAATGTTCTTGTGATGATTAAATGAGATGATAAAACATTTGGAATACCCAGAAAAATGAGTGCCCAACACATAGTTGTCAACTAAAACTGTTGTTATTGTCAAGCACCAATTATGTATTGCTGAATTCTAAATCTCTATCACCAGCCCACACTAACCTTTCTGTCTGTAAACACATGTGTCAAACTCCTATGAGATACCTCCACTTGGATTTTCAACAGTCAGCTCAAACCAGCTTGTGCAGAATGGATTTCAACATTCCCACAGGACTAATCTCTCTCCCATCACCATAGTTTTTACTTCCACTAAATTCTACAGTTGTCTAAGTCAGGAATCTGGGAAATCATTCTTGACATCCTTCTCTTTCCCTTACTCTGGTGTCTAAAGAATCATAAGATCCTGATGATTCTACCTCCTACTCACTCTTCAATCAATCTATCCTTCCATCACTGCGTGTACATCTCCATGCAATGCTTTCTCTCATGACTATCATGAAGAAGCTACCTTTGTGATAGCTGAAGCTCTAGTTTCAGTCCCCTCCAGTTCATCCTCTAGATTGCTTCCAGAGTGAGTTTGTTGAGATGCGAATGTGAGCGTGTCACTTCCCTACTTCAGCCTGAAGTCCTAGTTCCCCACCCTGGACCTTAAGGTCCCGGATTCACCCTTCAGCCTTATCTCTCCCCTCTGAGCTCCAGCCAAATTGGGCTTCATGCACCTCCCCAACGCTGTGTTCTCCCAAGCTTCCAGATCTTTGCACATGCTCCTTTTCTTTAACCACATCCATGCGTATATTTTTCAAAATTCAACCATGTGTTTCTTCTCTAGTAAATATTTCTTCCCAACCCAGCCACAAGCCACCAAAACTGCTATCTCCCCCAACTCCAACCTGGGGACTGCCTTTTTTTTTTTTTCTGTCTCTTCTCTAAGTAATGACTACTTTAAGGGTAGAAATTATTTGCTCCTCTGTATCAGAACCAGGATATTGTCAGAGACATAACCTGTGCTTTGTAAATGAGTATTATAATTTATTACATAAATGAATAGATGCCTCTTTAAGTTTTGTGTTCTTAATTCTTCTTTAATCTAGTGGAAAGAATACAGAATTTGGAATTTGAAGACTTGCACTCAAGTCTTAACTCTGCTACCTACTAATTGGAGGATATTGGACAAATTAGTTAACCACCTTAAACTTGTTTCATCATTGTGAGGATCAGATATAATCATGGATGTAAACCTTGCAAATAGTAAAGGACTTTTGAAACTATAACAAAGATACAGAGATGAAATATAATGTAGCCCAAAACAAACACTATTATTGATATCAACTTTAATAACTGAAGCTGTGCATTCTATGGGTGTCTTTCTTGGGAAACATGGAACAGAAACACCTGCATACAAATTCTATAAATTATTATTGGTTGTATGTGTTGCATATGTTGCTTTAAAGCCTTGGGCCTTAATTTTCTCATCTATAAAATGGGAATGGTAATAGAATTTCCTCACAGGATTATTGTGAAGATTAGATACATGAAGATCTATAAAACACAGCACCTAGAACATTGTAAGTCATCAAAAAAAGTTTATGCTTTTATCATTTAAAGCCCTTGTTTCTTCCTTGGACTCCAGAATAACTATTCTGTTTAAAATTTTTAAGTTATAAGAAACTAATGGTCAAATGTCGCTAGATTGGAGTCAGTGAATGCAGAAGCAGACTGAAATTTCAATAGATGCAACATCCAAGACTCAGAAAATACAAAGATCCCAGTAACTATTAGGAGGATGAGTAGGGAAGTATCCTTATACTAACTCATAGATATTAATTAATAGCTTTACTTGTATTCATTTTCCCCATGTTTTTTCAAGGAATTTGATAATTCACTGCTATGATTTGACTAGTAGTCAGATTCATGCCTAAATTCATTTTAAATTCTGCCACATTGTAAATCTTTCTAAAAACACTATTATTACTTTGTAATTTGCTTTAAAAATGTTTGGTTGTTTCCCACAATGCACAAGACAAAGGCCAAACTTATATGACTTGACAGCCGAGAGCCTGTATCCCTGGATCATCCCCTCCTCCTATATTTTATCGCTCCCAATCTGCATCTACTGCCCCTGACATAACCCCATCAACATACTCTGTGAATTCTTGCATCCTAACCTTTGTTCATTCCGCCCCTCCCCAACTAAATCCCTTCCGAATTCTTTCCTATCACTTCCTGCTTTTCCGAATTTTACCCATCCTTCTCTGACCTTAGAAGTTATTGGTAAGTTATTCCTCTACTAAATCCACCTATTGATAGTTATCATGATGACAAAATGATGTTGATGATGATGATAGTAATTAACATTGATTGAGTGTTTGCCATGTGCCAGGAACCAAGCCAAAGGATTTACTTAAATCTTATAATTACTCTATAGGGTAAGCACTATTATTTTCATCTATATGAAGCAGAGAGAATCAGTTATGTACCCAGGTTGCACATAGAGGACTGAGGCAGCAGAGCCTGGATTTGAAGGAGTACCTGCTGACCTTCAAAGTCCATGCTCTTACCTACTAGACTGTGCTTTCACCTATTGTCCATACAGATTGTCACGATGGGTTTGCAGGGCCATTTTCTATTTTGTGTCATTAGTTGACTCTTCTGTGTGTGTCTTCTCTCCCATTAAGGTGGTTATTCTTTGTTTACCCTCCCCAAATCTATTCTCTGCTTTGCTCTGGGCCTTAAGAGGCCAGCCTTTGGGTTGCACCATCTCCTTCCTTGCCCTCTGGCTTCCAGATGAACTGGGCCAATGGAAGGTATCTGAAATTGGTCAGGTGATAAACCCTCCCACTCCATCACTGCTTCTTCCCTGCCTCATTAAGTTTCTCTACTACCAGCTTCTATTGTGGAGGGGCTTCTTTCAGGGCACCAAGGCCCTCCCTTTCTGATAATGCTGCCCCCCTGTTCATTCAGGACGAGTGCCAGGAATAACTTCCTCCTGTTCCTAGTCCCTTGACATTTCACCATTCCTTATTGATTTCCCTAATCTTGATCATGCCACTATAAATAATTCCTTCTTTAAACTAGTTTCAGTTAAATATTTTAATATGGTATCTGAATCTTTACTGGAACTGTAGTGGATCCATCACCACCTCAAATTTGGAAAGAAAGTTTTAAACATAGGAGCTGTCCTCATATTGGGGAAGGAGAATGCATATGTATGTGTATATAATATAATAAACTCAAACATATGAATCTGTGGAGATGGCTATCTTTCTTCTTCTGAATTTGTTTTATGAATCATTATCAATTATGCCCAGAAATCTTAATCTCTTCTAAGCACCAAGTCATCATAAAGGAGGAATGTGTAAATTATACTTCAGAAGTTTTCATTCAGTGTTTTACAAGTATTTCCTGAAAATTGCCTTTTTTTTCTTTCTAGGTTACTTAATGATATGGGTTCCTATTTATATAAATGAAATATAAATACATTTTTAGATGTAGACTAGTCTTTCATGGAATAAGGCAAGATTTGCCCACAGATCTCCCTGGCATCAGTAGGGGGTGTGTGGTTCTGAAGCTGTGTGTCTATTGTCAGGGGTGTTTCCCCCTGGACTATGAACCACCCTTGTCTGGAAGTCCGTTCTCATGGGTAGTTTTTCGTGAGCTGTTATTCCTGTCAGACACAACTTCATGTTTCATGATTATCTAAAGAGTCTTTCCCCTTCCAGCTTCAATTCCAGGGACATATATGTGTAGCTGCTCAAACTAAATCCATTTTTTTTTTCCATCAGAAAGATAACCTGATTTTAGAAAAGTCAACAATAGCCATAAATGAGTGCAACATTCATCTTTGGAATTAGGAAGGATTTCCAGTTGGCTGATTTTCTTTGATAAAAACAATTCTGATTGCCTTGTTGTATCTAGACAGGGCTGTTAGCACACAAATAAAGCAGATCTATGAAAATGAAAAAATTTCTGATATTTGTGACAGTAAAGCCTTTTTGTAACCCCTAGGTAAACTATTTAATCCACTAGAAAGTAAAATGTTTCAGTAGAGAAAAAAGTATGTGCTTCAAACTAGTTTCAGTCACTTAGAGAATACTTGCTACTCAAAGGTACAAGAAACATTGGCTATTTCAGGTTGTCATTGACGTGGATCAGTATAGTTTTTCCTGCTTCTGCCCCTCTATTAAAGTTTCCAAGGTAGTAGAAGCCGTGTTTTGTTTTGTTAACTTTTATTTTAAGTTCAGGGGTACATGTGCAGGTTTGTTACATAGGCAAACTTGTGTCATGGGGGTTTGTTTTACAGATTATTTCATCACCCAGGTATTAAGCCTGGTATCCATTAGTTATTTTTCCTCCCTTCTCCCTCCCACAAGCCTCCACCCTCCAATAGGCCCCAGCATGTGTTGTTCCCTTGTATGTATCCATGTGTTCTCATCCTTTAGCTCCCACTTATAAGTGAGAACATGCAGTATTTGATTTTCTGTTCTTGTGTTAGTTTGCTAAGGATTATATCCTCCAGCTCCATCCGTGTTCCTTCAAAGGACATGATCTCATTCCTTTTTGTGGCTGCATAGTATTCCGTGGTATATATGTACCACATTTTCTTTATCCAGTTTGTCATTGATAGGCATTTAGGTTGATTCCATGTCTTTGCTATTGTGAACAGTGCTGCAGTGAACACATATGTGCATGTGTCTTTGTAATAGCATGATTTATATTACTTGGGGTATGTATCCAGTAATGGAATTGCTTAGTCAAATGGTAGTTCCGTTTTTAGGTCTTTGAGGAATTGCCACACTGTCTTCCACAATGGTTGAACTAATTTACACTCCCACCAACAGTGTGTAAGCGTTCCTTTTTCTCTGCAACCTCACCAGCATCTGTCATCTTTTGACTTTTTCATAATAGCTATTCTGACTGGTGTGAGATGGCATCTCATTGTGGTTTTGATTTGCATTTCTCTAATGATCAGTAATGTTGAGGTTTTTTTCATATGATTGTTGGCTGCGTATACATTTTCTTTTGAGAAGTGTCTGCCATGTCTTTTGCCTACTTTTTAATGGGTTTTTTTTAATAAATTTGTTTAAGTTCCTTATAGATGCTGGATATTAGACCTTTATCAGATGCATAGTTTGCAAAAATTTTCTCCTATTCTGTAGGTTTTCTCTTCACTTGATAGTTTCCTTTGCTATTCAGAAGCGCTTTCATTTGATTAGATCCCACTGGTCAATTTTTGCTTTTGTTGCAATTGCATTTGGCATCTTCATCATGAAATCTTTGCTCATTCCTATGTGCAGAATGGTATTGCCTAGGTTGTCTTCCAGGGTTTTTATAGTTTTCAGTTTTACATTTAAGTCTTTAATCCATATTGAGTTAATTTTTGTATACGGTGTAAGGAAGGGGTCCAGTTTCAGTCACCTGCATGTGGCTAGCCAGTTATTCCAGCACCATTTATTGAACAGGGAATCCTTTCCCCATTGCTTGCTTTTGTCAGGTTTGTCAAAGATTTGATGGTTGTAGGCATGTGGCCTTATTTCTGGGTTCTCTATTCTGTTCCATTGGTCTATTTGTCTGTTTCTGTACCAGTACCATGCTGTTTTGATTACTGTAGCCCTGTAGTATAGTCCAAAGTTGGGTACTGTGATGTCTCCAGCTTTGTTTTTTTTTTGCTTAGGATTGCCTTGGCTATTCGGAGAGCCATGTTTTAATTGGAGCAAGTCACCCAAAAAGAAGAGTGTGACAACAGAAGGTCTACCTCCCCGGCCACAGCCTTGTCTAGCCCTGGGGGCCCTGACTATCTTCCTGCCTCCCCAGCTTTGGATTTGGGTCAAGAAAGTTTATTAAAGAATTACTTTTAGATAACTGAGGACGGGTGAAGTGCTGATTTGCTGGTATTTCTTTTTCCTATAAGAATGAAAATGAAATCTAAACATTGGGGTTGATCATCAGGAATGTCATAATACATTTCTGATGTATTATGGAACACTTACACACTGTTGGTGGGAGTGTAAATTAGTTCAACCATTGTGGAAGACAATGTGGCAAAGATGGGCAAAGATTTCATGATGAAGATACAACTTTACAAAGATTATTAGGTGTTTAATGTTTTGAATGAAGTGTGTTCAGCCACTTCATTTGTCCTAATAGTTGTAGAGGAGCTGGAAGTTTAAGTAAAAACAACACCAGCATTGCTGGGGAGGGATAGTTCCAGACTAGCATTGCTGAGGAGAGATAGTTAAGCTTGGTACAATCAGTCATCCCTCAAACACAAAAATTAGTCAGAATCAGTCTGGGTTTCTATCCCCATCCACTGGGTAGCTTGGGGTTATATAATATGAGCAAAATGCAGACAAAAACAAGACCTGGCAGATTGGTTAGAGGAGCCCCATAGTGTCCTACATGTGAGTGAGGATACTCTGGGTTTGAGATCGGATCTCTCAATTCTATAGGCTTGGAGCTTTACTTAATGAATGTAACCAGGAGCTATTGCATCTGAAAATAACAATTTTCAACCCAGGTTATGCAACAGCATCAATCATCAGCAGAGGTTTAAAAGTGTATACTCGGCCTGATGTCACCTCCTGAAATTCTGAATCAATGCATGTGGGGTGGAGCCTTGTTGAATTTCTATTTTTTTTTTTTAGATGTAGTCTCACTCTGTTGCCCAGGCTGGAGTGCAGTGATGCAGTCACAGTTCACTGCAGCCTCAAACCTCTACAGGCCTGCACCACCATACCTGGATGCTTGGCTAACTTTTTTTATTTTTTGTAGAGATGGGGTCTCACTGTCTTGCTCAGGCTGATCTCAAACTCCTGGACTCAAGCAATCCTTCCAAAGTATTGGAATTACAGATGTGAGCTACCGCACCCAGCGAAGTCTCTATTTTTAAGCATTTCAAGTAATTCAGACACAACCTAAGTTAAAAAGTACAATTCTAGAGCGTAAGTTTAGACAGCTCAAGGTCTTGAGAATGAGTATGTATGGGAAAACTAATTTAACTAACCTTTCATTCCTTTTCTTCCTCATCTTTTTCCCATACTTTCTTTCCTCCCTCAAATATTTATTGAACACTTACTATGTGCCAGATACATAGGAGACATCTCCTTGACAACAGTTACCTATCTGATAGTCAACATCTTCTCTTTCCAAAAGGGAAATTTACTTGGAAAAGCAAATTAAGGTTAGAAGATTGCTTAATAAACAATAAGTCATTAATTCCTTTAACGAGCATTTGTTAAGTCTTTACTATGCGCTCATTAGAATAAATGTAGCTGAGTGATTTTAAGAGATTTTTATTTCACTACAGTTGCTGGGTGTGTCTCTCTTTACTATTCTGAGATCTTCTCTTCCTGCTAACTCCATCAATACATTGTGTTGGCAAGTGGATATAGCCCTATCTAGAATAGCACTAGAGAAATATGGGCATTCTTCTGGACCTCTTTTACCAGACTATAAGACTACTATTGTTTTGTTTTTATTGTTATTACACTCATACCTACTTTATTTCAAAATAATTTCATAACCTGGTGTCTTTCATAAGGTTGTAAGTCTTCCTGTAATTACTTAGAGAGGAAAGTACCTCAATCATTAAATTATTTGCAAATCATCTCAGTCAGACACACCTATCATATTTTCTTGCATCCAGATAATCTTAATTGCAGGATGAAAGTGCTTAAGGGCCTCAGTCCGGGAAGGTGGACGTTTCCTATGCCAGATGGATCATTCTCAGTCACCTCAGTTTGAAAAAACTGGCACCTATTTTATTTTGGTATCTGTAGCATTCTGTCCAGCTGGGCTACTCCTAAAAAACATTCTACAATAGCAGTGAGTCCCTCCCCGTAGAAGTCAACTATGTCAATCAGTCACCTCAGTCACAAACCAGGAGTTTCACCCATATTTTCTCTACTTTTTAAATGCATTCCCTTTATTTAAACTACGCCTTATTTGATGAAGCCTCCCAATATAAATCCCTACCCCAGAGCTCTTTCCTGAACTCTAGCCACAAATCCAGCTACTTCCTGTCACCTCTAACCAAGTCACCTACATGACCATTTATGTCAAAAAATGAAATTAACATTCCCCCAGTATATGTTCTTCATCTGCTATTTCTGACTTTGGTTGGTGGCAACACCAAGCACCCAACGTCTTAGGACAGAGACTAAGGTTCATCATAGATTCTTCTCACTCCATGCTGTTCTTCCTTTGCCCTACTCATCCCACGCAATAAATCATCAAGTCTCTTTGAATCCACCTTTTATCATCTCTCATATCCACGCAGTTCTTTCCTTTCCACCGCAACTTCCTTAGTCTAGCATCTCATTAACTCTTGTAGCAGGATTGTGATTCGTTTCTCTAACTATCGTCTTTTTCTCTTTCAATTCATCCCCAACAAAACCACAAAAATAGAAGCTTGATTTCTAAAATCAAGCTTTCTCTATTTCTAAAATAGAAGCTTGATCATGTTCCTCCTTTGTTCAAAACTTTCCCTAACTATCACTACTTACAGGAAAAGGTAGAAAATGAAGAGAGCAAAACACACAAAAGTACAAAGGCATGAAACCACATGGAATCTCTGGGAAAGCCATAAGCATTTTGAGGTTGCCCAAGCTCACGTATGTGAGATAAAGGATGGAGAAGACAGGCACAGCCTGGATCATCTGCAGCAGGCCAAGTATCTGTCTGTGCCTTCTTCCTGGGTTGCCTTGCCCTACTCCCTTAACTGCCAGTTCAGGCATGACTTCTGGAAGGGATTCTCTAACACCCCTAGACAGGACTTAGTTATTTCTTCCTCAGTGCTAATGCTTTATCTCATACTGTCACTATTGTCATCTTAATCACACTGTAAAACAATTACTTGTTTGCATGTATCTCCCCTTAAGACTATGAGCTCCTTAAGGACAAGGGCTGTGTCTTATTCATTCCTTTATCTCCGTATACCAAACTGCCCAACACATAGTAAGCCTCCAATAACTGGTCTCTTTCCCTTTACTCTCTACTTTTTTTTATCTCATAAGAATGCAGGCAAGAGATAATGAAATCTTAACTAAAAGTGATGGTAGAAATGTAGAGGTGGAAATACATTTTTAGAGCTATTTAAGAAATTGGATAGACTGTCATTAACTGAAAGGAGGTAAGAAATGATTGTCATACCTCTTCTTTTAAGAAAGAGCCCATCTTTCTTGCTTTCAGTTATATCAGTTTAAAATTTTATTTATTTTGTTCATTCATTCCTTATAGCTTGTGGTGAATCTAATATTAAGTTAGCATCGTATCAGGCCAAATTTAATTATAAACATTTCTGACACTTTCCCAAAGCTTTTGTACTATTTTTGAAATAGTTTTTTTTTTTTTTCTAGTGGTGGCAGTTAAGATAGAATTTAACGGAGTACAGACAAATTTCAAAGCAAGAAAATTACAAGTCAGAAAACAGACTTCTACTAGAATGTTAGCCAAATTTGGACAGATTGTAGTAAGAGTCACCAGAGATAACAGTTGAACGTAGTGAAGAGAATACAGGTGATGACAAGGGTTCTGTTTGGATTGGGGGAAAACTTGTCGTAGGTGATCCCGAGAGTTAAACTGGATATAAACCACATGAGTCAAGCATCAGGTTCCCTTGTAACAAAGAAAGCCCTTGATCTGGAGAAGAACACATGCCCTCCTAAGGGACTGGACTCCTACCACTCCTCCCAGGCAGGGCTGGTAGGAGAAAGTCCTATGTGAGGTGGAGGCCATGGAGACAGGAACAGTTTCTCCTACAGTAGAAGACTGGAATTAGCAACATCTACCACACCTCCTCAGTTTCACTCTGTGAGATTCTGACATACTCATCCAGAGTTTCTCTGTAAGTTATACTTTTGATTCAAGAATGAGTGAGATATGAAATATATGAGCTAAAATGATACATCCATACTGATCTTTCCTCCTTACTTAGAGTACAGCCATTGAGTCTCTGCCAGAAAGAAAACTTTTTTTCCTCCCATCATATCCCTCTGCTACAGAATAATTTTAGGAATTCTTTCAGAGCAAGTCATATATTGATAAACCCCCGGCCAATGGGACAGGTAAAACTATAGAACAACTAGCCCCAATGAGTCAGCAAAATAGATAATAACATCACAGTCATTGAGTCATGACTCAGCATCTCCATGTCAGCATCTGTGTTTACACATTTGTGGGCCTTTCATCACCTACCTATCACGGGCACTGGTTTGGGATGCGAAGACCCCTCTTTCTGCTACTCAGTCAGTTGTCTTTTTATTCATTCCAAATGACTGCCCTGAAACAGAGGATGCAATGATGACCAGGGTATTGCAGGGTCTGTCTTAGTGTCTCAACTCTTACTCCAAACCTACTCAAAATGCCCTCTCCTTTCTGACATCTAGGGGCCAGGAATTTTGCACAGAAGCAGAAAAAAGAAACTTTATTTCTGGATCTCTGTCTCCTCTAGCCTCCCCTTACCAAACTTGTGAAATTACTTAAAAGGTTTACTGAAGGCAGGTCTCTGGACCACGCACAAAGAATCAAACAATTTATTACACACTTCATGATCTGAGTGGTGCATAAAGGAGTGCTGCATAAAACTTACATTCTCAAGCCCTACTTGGAGGTCTCAGGAACACTGAAACAGTGAAACTTGGAATAAAACAATTTTCCACTATATCTTTAGTTTTATCTTCCATTCAATATTATAAATGTACGAGGAAGAGAACTAACTAGATTTGAATGTAACTAGATGGAGCCGGGCACAATGACTCACACCTGTAATCCCAGCACTTTGGGAGACTGAGGCAGGCAGATCACTTGAGGTCAGGAGTTCGAGACCAGCCTGGCCAACATGGTGAGACCCCGTATCTACTAAAAATACAAAAAATTAACTGGGCGTGGTGGCGGGCGCCTGTAATCCCAGCTGCTCGGCAGGCTGAGGCAGGAGAATTGCTTGAACCCAGGAGGTGGAGGTTGCAGTGAGCCAAGGTCACACCACTGCACTCCAGCCTGGGCGAAGAAAAAAAGTAACTAGATGGAATTTTAGCCAATTTAAATAAAAGATCATACAAGGCCTGGCGTGGTGGCTCACCCCTGTAATCCCAGCACTTTGGGGGGCCGAGGCAGGCAGATCACCTGAGGTCAGGAGTTTGAGACCAGCCTGGCCAACATGGTGAAACCCTGTTTCTACTAAAAATGCCAAAAATTAGCCAGGCGTGGTGGCAAGTGCCTGTAATCCTAGCTACTCGGGAGGCTGAGACAGGAGAATCACTTGAACCCAGGAGGCGGAGGTTGCAGTGAGCCAAGATTACGCCATTGCACTCCAGCCTGGGCAACAAGAGTGAAACTCTGTCTCAAAAAAAAAATAAATCATACAAATGTAGAGATGTCATATATGGAGATGTGGCAGAAAAATGTAGCTCTGTAATTTTGTCTGAAATTAATATCGTTTTACTCATAACCCTAGCCACTGTGTGTTTAAAAATTAACTAAATTTGCATTCTGATTTAATATTGATATTATTTGCAAAATTTTTAAAAGTCGGGTAATAGTACCTCATTTTGATAAAAATGCTTGAGCTCTCAGGGCCCCTTGCCCCTTAGCAGGGAGTCCAAATATATGGAGGGAGATGTGTTGTTTATGTGTCCTTGTAACATTAGGGAAAAAGGACATCCTATTCTCATGCTGGGCCTTTGGTGAATGCTGCTTTTGGTGAATGCTCGTAGTATCTGCTGTTTTGCAGAGCTGCCTGTTATCATCTGGAAGCTGTTCATCCTGATGGCCCCATCCTTAGCCTGCTGCTGGAGTAACTTGAGATCTGAGATTCTCAGCTTCCATACAGCCTGCTAGAATGCCCTGGGCTATTGTCCCTCACTTGTCCCTTACCCCCTCTAATAAACCTGTTGGCTCAGCAGTTCACCCCTGCCTGTCTGGACTAGAGCTCCATATTCCATCTCAGTATGTTCTATCCAGTTCTATTCAACCTGCTAATGAAGTCATCAGCCAAAATTTATTTTCAAGTATTACCTTTTTAATTTCTAGAAGTTCTGCCTCAAAAAAAATTCTGCCTTTTCTCTGTTCATATTTTCAATTTCCAACTTATCTTTTTTTTAACATTAAGTATAACTTCTATTTAGCATTGATAAATCAAGCTGGTTGAGTCTTTCGGAGTCTGTGACTATTGTCCGCTCTTTGAAATTCTCCTTTATGTTGCTTTGTGTGTGTGATTTGTGACTATAAGTGGCTCATTTCTCTTAAAACCTTTTCTGCAAAAATTATTTGAGACCTGAATTGAACTTCCATTCCTCTATAGTGGATTCATGTCTACTTCTGCTAGTTACCTGGAAGTGCTACCAAATAAAAATTATTTAATTCAATTCTCAGCTTGAAGGCATGAATTCTAACAGGTCATCTTTCATGGGACTTTAATATGATTATGCATTTTCAGTGAAGATCTTTTTCCCTTCTTTTCAAAACCAAAAGTTATGAAGCAAGTTATTTTGTAGCTTTCCTGAACAGTGGATTTTATTTCTCATTCAGCAGCTTTTCATAGAGGATGCAACCACTTGAGATTCTCCTAACTTTATACAAGGATTCCTCACCTTGGCAGAGGTCTGAGGTTTATCTTTCATTCCCTGAACCTCAAGCAACAACCAAGGTTTCCAGGTTTAATCAGAATTCCCCAGTTTAAGAGCCTCCAGCATCTGGTTACCTCCCAGGGTTGCTAGTTTCCCTTCTTTTATGTGCTTAGTGAATTCCTTACTTTTGTGCCAGCTCAATGCAGCATTTTTATTCTGTCCAATATTTTGTTTTAGTCAGGAGAGCCACCTAGGGTACTACTCCAGCATACTACGGGAAACATAACCAGTCCCTTTTCTACCATAAATAAGAATAAACATTTACATGGTTGAGATATTGAATCCTCGGGCTTTGACACCAGTCAATTTCAGGTTAGAATTTCAGTTATTTGACCTACTACTGTACGGCCATAGGCAAGTTAGATGTTTGTTCATCCATTTGTTTGTTTAATTGTGTCCACAGTGAGGGTGCTACTCTGCTAGGTAGAAAGCCTCGGCCTAGAAGGTGGTTGTCTCTGAATAAAGGGTTTGAGATGACCTCCTGGGTTTGAGGGATCCATGGAGGCGCATAGTGTGACCCAGAAGGGAACATGCCCCACTCCCCTGTTTGGCTGCAGTAAATTTCTTAAACTTTTTTTAAACTCTCCTTTCTTCATTTGTTGAATTGAAATAATAATACCTTACCTCTCAGGTTGATACAAGGATTAAAGAGATCATATTTGTAAAGTACTTTGCAGACTCCCTGGCATATATCCAGTGATTATTAGCGATTTGATTATTAGTGTTATTTTATACATTTTCTCCATGTTCTTAAATTTTTTGTAAACAGAAATTTTACTCAACTAATTAAATATTTATTTAATGACAACCATGTTTAAGCTTCTAGAGTTAAAATAGTGAGCAAGACAAAGCCCCTGCCCTTTGATATTTATGTTCTAATAAAAAAGACAGGTAATAAGCCAGTAAGTAAATAAATATAATATATTATTGTCTTGACCCAGCAATCCCATTACTGGGTATATAACCAAAGGAATATAAATTATTCTATTACGAAGATACATGCATGAATATGTTCATTGCAGCACTATTCACAATAGCAAAGACATGGAATCAACCCAAATGCCCATTAATGATAGACTGGATAAAGAAAATGTGGTACATATACACCATGGAATACTATGCAGCCATGAAAAGGAATGAGATCATGTCCTGTACAGGGACATGGATGGAGCTGGAAGCCATTATCCTCAGTAAACTGACGCAGGAACAGAAAACAAAACACCACATGTTCTCACTTATAAGTGGGAGCTGAACAATGAGAACACATGGACACAGGGAGGGGAACAACATATAATGGGGCCTGTCGGGGGGTCGGGTGGGGAGAGGAAGAGCATTAGGAGAAATAGCTAATGCATGCTGAGCTTAATATCTAGGTGATGGGTTGATAGGTGCAGCAAACCACCATGCACATGTTTACCTATGTAACTAAACTGCACATTCTACACATGTACCCCAGGACTTCAAATAAAAATAAAAATTAAAAAATATATATGTATATAATTTCAAGTACCAATAAATATCACCCCAAAAACACATAAATCAAAGTAGGATATGGAAAATGATTGGATATGGTATAGATGCAATATTATTTTAAATAATATGATCAGATAAGGCCTCTCTGAGGAGGAAATAGTTAAGAAAAGTTTCTGAGTAAAGTGAGGGAATAAGACATACAGATATCAGAGAAGAAAAACCTCCCAGACAGAGACAACTACAAGTACAAAGACCTTGAACTCGAGATGCACTTGCCCTAGTGGAAATGTCAGGAAGGCAAAGATGGCTGGAGCAGAGGGGGAGGAAATGAGTTGGAGAGACTGGGAGGGGCCAGACCATGTATGGTCTTGGGATCCACCGTGTGGAGTATGGCTTTTATTCCAAGTATAATGGAATTGTCATTGGGACATTTTATACAGGGGAATGACATGATCTGATTCATATTTTAATAAGACCATCCTGGATAATGTATGAGGAGCAAACAATAAGACAAGAGCAAATGAGTCTAATGGGAAAAGCCAGTTGGGAGGCATCTTGCTGACTCAGTAACAGACAAGAGACATGGGGTTTGGGACAGGGTGGTAGTTGCAGAGATGCTAAAAGGGTACATGATTTGAAAGTAATGCTCACAAAGTTTGGTGCTAGATTTGGATGTGGAATGATGTAAAGGAGCCCAGGATAATGAATATCTAACATTTTGGGCAGAATGAGACAGGGATAAACGAGATGGGGAAGAATGGGGGAGCACTGAACTTGGTAAGTGAGGAAATCAAGTCTGGTTTTGTACAGATTGAATTTGATATGTCTATTAGTGAAAATGTTGAATAGGACATTGGTTACCCATGATTCTAGAGCTCTGAGGAGCTGTAGATAACATCTGGGTCAGTAGCATATGGACGGTTTTTATTTTGTATTTTTTAGTTATTTTTTTACCTGCTAATAAACATTTTAATTTTTTTTAACACTTTAAAATTTTTTGTGGGTACATAAGTGTATATATTTATGGAGTACATGAGAAGTTTTGATACAGGCATGCAATGTGAAATAAGCACATCATGGAGAATGGGGTATCCATCCCCTCAAGCATTTATCCTTTGAGTTACAAACAATCCAATTACACTCTTTAAGTTATTTTTAAATGTATTATTGTTATTATTGACTATAGTTACCCTATTGTGCTATTAAACAGTAAATCTTATTCATTCTTTCTATTTTTTTTTTTTGGTACCCATTTCCCCGCCTCCCTCACAGCCCCCAAAATACCCTTCCCAGCCTCTGGTAACCATTCTACTCTCCATGTCCATGAGTTCAATTGTTTTGACTTTTAGATCCCACAAATAAGTGAGAACATGTGATGTTTGTCTTTCTGTGCCTGGCTTATTTCACTTAACGTAATGATCTCCAGTTCTACCCCATGTTGTTGCAAATGACTGGATCTCAATCTTTCTTATGACTGAATAGTACTCCATTGTGTATGTGTACCATCTTTATCCATTCATCTGTTGATGGACACTTAGGTTGCTTTCAAATCTTAGCTGTAGTAAACAGTGCTGCAACAAACATAGGCCAGCAGATATCTCTTTGATATACTGATTTCCTTTTTTGTGTCTATATACCCAGCAGTGGGATTGCTGGATCATATGGTAGCTAAATTTCTAGTTTTTTGAGGAACCTCCAGACTATTCTCAATAGTGGCTGTACTAATTTACATTCCCATCAACAATGTACGAGGGTTCCCTTTTCTCCACATCATTGCCAGCATTTGTTTATCACCTGTCTTTTGGATATATGCTATTTTAACCAGGGTGAGGGAATAGCTCATTGTAGTATTGATTTGAATTTCTCTGATGATCAATGATGTTGAGCACCTTTTCACATATATGGATGGTTTTTAAATAATGAAACAGGATGAGATTACCTAATGAACGCATGAATGTAGGTACAGAGGCAGAGTTCAAAGGATTGAACCCTGGCTGCTCTGCCATTCAGATACTTAGAAACCAAGCATGAGAGTCCAATGAGTATAGAGGAAGATATGAAAACAGATATCCAAGAAGCCAATTGAAGAAAATATGTTTTACAGAAGATTTTGTGGTCAACTGCTTCAAATGCTGCTAAGAAGTCTCTAAGATGAGGGTTAAAACTGACCACTGCATTTGACAAAATGAACATTATTGATAGGAATGAAGACATGATGGAAGTAGGTTGATGTGAGAGATTTAATACTGACAACTTTTTGGAGGAGTTTTATTATAAAGGAGAAGGAAGTAATGGAGTGGGTAACTGTCTCCTGTCTTCTGGTGTTGCCAGCTGTCTTTGGCATTCCTTGGCTTGTGGCAGCATAAAACTCCATTCTCTAGCTCCATCTTCACATGGTCCTCTTCCTTGTGTCTATGTTTCCTGTATCTTTCTTCTATTCTTATAAGTGCACCAGTTATTGAATTTAGGGTCCACCCTAATTTAGACTTCATCTTCACTCATTATATCTGCAAAGACCCTATTTCCAAATTAGGTCATATTCTGAGGCTCTGAGTAGACGTGGATTTGGGGGAGATACTCTTCAATTCACTTTAAGAATTGAGGGCATATGCAAAGAAGTGATTACCTCAATGAACCATAGAGTCTAATAAGAAAAGAGATATAGGACATGTAATGGGATGGAGAATGGTCACTGAAAAATGGTAAGGCACATAGATTGGCGTACCCTAAATGGAGTAATGGTACTACAGTAAGTGAGCTGGAAAAGCAGTTGGTGGACAGAGAGTGGGAAGCCAGAAATGTTGGAGGCAGTGCATTAATTGATTATGTAAATTCTAGGGTAAAATCACTGAAGAGGCTGGAAATGGGGTTGTAAAGGAAATGAGCATCAGAACTGAGCTTAGGTTGGGTACGGTGGTTCATGCATAATCCCACACATTGAGAGGCCAAGGAGGGTAGATTGCTTGAGCCCAAGAGTTCAAGACCAGCCTGGACAACATGGCGAAACCCTGTCTCTATAAAAACTACAAAAATTAGCTAGGTGTGCTGGTGTGTGCCTGTAGTCCTGGCTACTAG
The DNA here is from genome assembly GCF_000001405.40 of Homo sapiens. Lineage (NCBI taxonomy): Eukaryota > Metazoa > Chordata > Mammalia > Primates > Hominidae > Homo > Homo sapiens. The sequence goes on along the minus strand of NC_000006.12, from coordinate 105,515,801 downwards.
TGAGGCTGAGGCAGGAGGATTGCCTGAGCCTAAGAGGTCAAGGCTTCAGTGAGCCATGTAGCCTGGGCAACAGAGCGAGACCCTGTCTCAAAAAAAAGAACTGATGATAGCAGGGAACTTTGAAGACAGGACATTAGATGATCACCTATGGGGGTGTTAAAGTCCTAAAGAATGATGTCAGGAGAGGTGGTAGATGGAAAGGTAGGGAGTCACGTGCCAAAACCCTTAGTGAGTGAGAAAGAATAACGAGGCTGTCAGTTAATTACAGCAATAAGTATGAATAGCAGCCAGATTCTTATGGCATGTAAGCATCAAAAGAACTGCAGATTTCAAGAGAGGAGCAAGGTAGGTACCAATGCACCTTCAGGCGCTGTGAGAGCCAGAGGTAAGAAAGCAACAACGTTCTCCTAAGAGGGCCCAGTGGGCTGCGTAATTCTCAGGTACTTTTCAGGTTTCAGTTAGAACAAGGATGTTCCAAGCACGTATTCAAGACAGAGGAGTCTGCTGGCAACAGCCTAGTAGAGGGGTGTGGGAAAGGATCAGAACAATGGGAGACGGAATCAGATTACAGAGTGTACCCTGCCATGCTGGGTAAGAGGCTGGGGAGGAGGTTTGACCAAGGAGACTTCTGCTGGTAGTAGAAGTAAACAGGACAGCAAAGCCCTCTATTGTAGGGACAGACTGTAATTTAGTTAATTTTTATCCTAATTTGAGACACGTGAGAGTCCCTATATTCTCAATATTATTTATAATGGGATAAATAATGGTCACTGAAAAATGGTAGGGTGCACAGATTATTTGTAATACTGAGAATATTTGGTACCCCTGCCCAAGTGTGTTAAAGCAACCATGCCCTCAGATTGTAGGTGGTCCACTGGGCTCATTAATACCACTAGAATGGGAGCCTGAGGTCATGGAGAGATGGGCTTGTGGACTATGTAACTTCTTTATTCACAGCACCTTGCACATAGTAGGAGTTTCAAAATGGTGGCATGAGTTACGGTCATTTGAAAATCTAAAACTAAAGCAGTCCTTGGTTCTCTTCCTCCATGCTTTCCTTTGTCCTTTTTAGAGGTGGAGTGGAGGAGCACGATGTTACGCCAAAAGATTTTTCTACTGTTATAATAGTCTTCCAGCCTGTTTACTTGTTCAGGGCACATTGTCACCATGTGACAGGACGTGTGGGCTCTAAAAGGACAAAGTGTGTGGATCCTAGCCAGCGGGGTCAAGAAAATACTTCATAAACAAGGCTGTAAATAACATCTGGGCTGTCCAAATACAGGAGGACCTGGTAGCTTTCCTTTGGTTGTTGTTTTGTTTGGTCATGGCCATCTCCCTGTAGATCCAAACAAGTCAGAGAGCCACAGTAACAGCCCCAAATTACTTCAGGCTAATTCTTGTTGCCGAGACTATATGGCAGGCTGTCAATGGGAAAACCAGACTCTCTGCAGAGTGAAATGACAGGAAACCAATGAATCATAGCATCGAAGAAGAAAGCCAAAAGATCAGATTAATCAAGATAAAGACTTTGAACTGTGAAGGGGAAATAAAGCTTATAAACATTTTTTATCTCAGGGTACAGAAAATATTTAATGAGAAGAAGAATAATAATTGAATTTTTTCCTCTAAATACCTCAAGCCAAAAATTTTCATGTAGATATTAGTCAACGTATGCATCCAGTACTCAATTTTCTTTCTTCTGCAATTGATTTGCAGATTATTATAAAAACATCCTTTATCAGTAGAAATGACTTGAAATAAAAGATAAATATGATTTTTAATATCTTGAAGGAAAACTACATTGTAAATATGCACTGCAGAAAACTCTGCCTTGGCTACAGGTGCAAAGTTCCCAGTTACCTCAATTATTCACATGATGCTTGCATCTTTGATGGATGGCATAACCTGTTCAGAAATCAGGGTGAGCTCTGCTCAGGCCACCCTTACAAATGAAGGTAAGTTTGAAGGGAAAAACAGTGGGAAGGACCTTCTATGGTGGCTTCTCCCTTTCTCTGTTTCAAAGGGGAGGCCCAGGAAAAGATCTTTTGCCAACATCATCCTGAACCTCTACTCAGCCATTGTTAGAATGACAGAATTGAAAAAGAAAAAAAGATGTCGTGATGGCTAGACTGGGAAGGGCTCCAGCTCCCCGCCACTGGCTGCAGATGCCATCTAGCTGTGTCTGTGGAAAGATCACCTAGGTGCCCCAGTGAAAGATCACCCAGGCATCAATGTCTGGGAGCCCTGTTCTGAGAAAAGGTGCCACAAGGGCGGCTTTCTTCACCAGTGCTCTGGAAGCACTATTTTGTCTCTGATTCAATTCCTTTCAATGGATACTAATTGAATAACTACTATGCACATTGTGAGGTGACAAGGGAATAGCACTGGACTTGGAATCAGGAAATCTGAGTGGATAGCCAGGTTCTATCACTGACCACCTATGACTGTAGGTCAACAACTTGGTCTTTTTCTCAATGTGTCTCTCCATCTGTGAGATGGGTTTAATGTGAGCACTAAATGCCATAAAGCTTGTGCTGCTACATGGCCAACTGTTACTTTTCTTCCTATCTTCTGGATTTGCTGTTGCAGGAAACATAAAATCAGTTTAAGTCAGTGTTGTGGCTCTCTGTGGAGAGATACTAGCCTAACTCCTGGGAGAATTTTGCACATGTACCTGGAGATGACATGAGGGACCCACCCTAGGGCTGTGAATCCCGATCTCTGTGGTCCAAGCAAGAATATTTTTGCTCCCCAAACTTCCCAGGTGATTCTGCAACATTCTACTGCAAAGCTGGCCTCAGTCTTCCTGAACCCCACAAATGCTGGCATTGTCACAGAGATTCCTGAAACGTAAGACCTTATAGGCATTCCAAAAGTTATGTTACACCCAATACTTTAGAGTTGGGGGACTGGATATAGGGAAAGAAAGAAAGGGAAGCTTTCCCCTTAACCTTCTCTTCCACTATATAATATATGAGCTCTGACCACAAAGCTCACATAGCAATTTTTGTTTTCCTCTTTCATGCTACAAACCCCTTTCTACTTTGCATTGGAAATTATATATAATTTATTCTCTCCATGGATTACCTTGTATTCCTCAAAGTGCTTGGCACATGACAATGAGAAATCATTGTTGAGGTGAATTGATAGGTGAATGAATTCAACAGTGAATTCAGTCTTCTCAACTTCTATACCTGCTGAGACCCAAAAGGAAGGGGGTGATTGGACTAGGAAGAGAAAGGCAGTGTCGGTATCTCTGAAGCTGCCTTGACCAGAAACAAAGCATTTTTGACTCATGAGGGACCATTTCCCCAGGGATGAGAACAAGTGCACCTTTTCCTGTCTCTCCAAGCAAGAAACGAATGCTGAGATCTTGAAATGCCTTGCTGTGCTCTGCCAAACTCACAAACACACCATATGAGATGCTGATGAAATACTTTTAAAGAAAAGAAAAACTGGCCGGGTGTGGTGGCTCATGCCTGCAATCCCAGTACTTTGGGAGGCCAAGACAAGTGGATCACCTGAGGTCAGGAGTTCAAGACTAGCCTGACCAACATGGCAAAACCCTGTCTCTACTAAAATACAAAATTAGGTGGGCGTGGGGGCAGGCACCTGTAATCCCAGCTACTTGGGAGGCTGAGGCAGGAGAATCACTTGAACCCGGGAGGCCAGAGGTTGCAGTCAGCCAAGATCACCACTGTACTCCAGCTGGGGCAACAGAGTGAGACTCTGTCTCAAAAAAAAAAAGAAAGAAAGAAAGTAAGAAAAACCATAATTGAAGTGGGTTGTCCTCCAGTGACACTTAGTGCCCCCTAAAAATCTAAGCGACTGTGGTCTCAGGCTTTCAGCAGGCAGGTTGCTCTTGTCTCATGCATGCAATTCTGTGTGGTGGAGAGCTAGAATAGGCTGATAAGCAGAGTTTATAGTGAGGAGGTTTCTAAAACCAAGAAAACTGTATAAACATAGAAAACTAAAAGAGGAAGAATCAACAGAACCAAGAGCTTATTTGTAATGTCTCATGTACCATGTGGGAGGCTTCCAGGTTTGAGTCGCTTATTTGAAACCTATCTTGCTGAGGGCATATATTAAGGTGTATTCTCCAAATCCATTGTGGGGGCATCATTTCCAACAGCCAGGCAATTTCAAGGCCAGGTTGGCCAAGATATCTTGGTATTTCACAGTGGAACATGTTCTTTGAAATGCAAGAATGAAAAGCAGGGTCTCAGGTGGTGAGTATGGAGGGTCAATCAAGTGAGTATGGAGGGTCAATCAATTACTGTTAAAGTCCTTGATGGGGTCTACACAGATCTGCTGTTATTGAGGGAATAACTTCAGTTGGAACAGGTAGCAGTCACTTAACCTGTCAATTGAGCTGTTTAGATGAGTGGCTCACAAGATTCACTGCCAACCTGAATTAAATGTAAGTGTACACCCAGACTGTTTTCAGCATCACTTGCACAAATATATATATTTCCACCTCCACCTCTGAAGAAGCCAATTCAGTAGGACTATGATAAAAGAATAAATACTTTTAAAGGTCCTGATATGATTCTGGGGCCCAGCTAGATTTGGGGAACAGTACTCTCCATAATTAATAGAGTGTAGGTGTAGCCCAGGTATGGAACAACTCCAAGGCATCTTTGGAGTAGTTACCAAATAGGAAGGGCATTTCCATTCTTCAGTGCATTTTTAATATTGAGAAACACTTTAGGTAGTGAGTTAAATTGTATGGAAATATTCATGTGCTCTACACACACACACACACAGACACACACATATACTAGTGATAGGAAAAAATCTAGATTTGATTCATCCTGTTGCTAGCCAAATTCTTTCCATCCACTGAACTTCCTCAGAGTTCTTTGAAGTCAACAATTACTTTGTTCTCAGAGGAATCATTCTGTGGCAAGGAAAATGTTGAAAGCTTAGCAGTGGTATTAGGACTTTCCCAATCTGAATCATTTCAAAATATTTATCTGCATTTTGTTTATTCTTTTTCAGTATTTAGACTTCACTCTTTCTATTAACCAAATCTACTGATATTAGTCACTTGGAAGGCATAGTAAAGACAGCAAATTTGTCAGTGTTGATAACAAAAGGCAGCTACCAATAACTGATTTCCTTATTAATCTACGCTGTCCTCTTTCAGAAGCACAGGTTTGGTGACTGAATAGAACCTTGAGCATAGAGCCTGAAACAGAATCATTTCATAGTAAATATGAACTATAATTTGCATTATTCTTCTTTCATTACCTCATTAGCCAGCCCCACTCCTCCTGACAGATTAGCAGCAATGTACTGAGGGAATATTTTACACACATCCTATTCCTATCTTTTAGCATTACTGTTCTCTGACGTCCTGTTCTGCCTGTCATATGTTTGTCCCTGGCACTTACAGAGTGAGAAATCTGGGTAACATCTCTTTATAGTTGAAACAAGTGGCTTTTTTAACACTTTTCTCTTAGATTCCCCGTTGACAGGAAACCATAGACACTAACGTCAATTTCCTATACTGCTGGAGTATCTCAGGACACAGGGATTGCACTTTTCATGATCCCTCTTCTTTCTGCATAAACCCATCCTCGCAGAGATGCTCACTGTAGTGTCTGAACACACACTGACCCCTAACTGTGGGCGCGGCTGCTCCCACCCATTTCGACTCCACAGCTCCACTCTGTGGCCCTCTCTCAGCCGGGCCCTCCAACTCCAAAGGATACTGAATCATTGCATTACACCCAGTCCAGATCCCAGTTGGTAGCCTCTGTGTTTTTCACTATGTAATGGATGAAGTGTTGATATTTATAGAGGCTTAGTTATTGATAACCCAAATGATAAGATCACTTCAGTGTCTCCCAAATCATTTCTGTTCCTTCAGTGAATGCTTCCACTGGATTCTCTCATCACAGCACATCATCAATCAGCCTCTGCAATCACAGGGAAATTCACAAAGCCAGAGAGTGTGTGTGTCTGAGCCTTTGCAAGAGATACGCAAATTACCCCAAAAAGGGACATTTTAAATCTGTTTTTCTTTTAATGGCCTTCCACCTCCCCACCCCACACACACACACATGCACACACACACACACACACACACAGCTTCTGTTTTTCCAAGAGCTTTTGAAATTTTGCTTGGCTTATACCCCTGAGGCCAGTAGACAGGAAATGAGAATTGGATAGGAAAGGAGTTGAAAACATCTTTTGCAAATTTTTTGTTCTGTGGGGTATGATAATTTTCCGTCTAAAATGTTTTAAAAATAGATTTACCAGGAAATATTGTTTTATATAGGACTGCCATTCTTTAACATTTATATATGGTTATTATTATCGCTACCAGTTAAAATCACCATATTAATAACCTCTTGAATAATGACTTTCATTTGACCACCTGAAAAGTTTAGAAAATACTGAGATAAATTTCCCTGCAGTCTAATTTTAGGGATGATGTTCTAAGAACAGTCTTATCCTATTGAAGGAACATGTCCCATAGAATTACAGTAATTGAAGGGGCAGATTTTTTTAAAACCCTTAAATCATTCGCTCTTTTAACTTCACTTACTATAAAGGAATACTGTCAAATGATTTTTATCTAAACACAGCAAATGACCCTTCTGATTTTATTTAAGATTTTTAGATTTTCTAATTCCCTTCATCTTTGTTATCAATTATGCATTTTCTTCCCAATCTATATGGAAAAAACAAGATAAAGACAATGTACGGAGTTTTTCCATAAAGATTTGTTCTTTAGTTTGAGTTTATTTTCTACTTACTATTTTTATGTTCAAATGTCTTTCTTTTTTGAAGTTATGAATATGATAAAAAATGATTATTGTTCTCATTTGACAAAATTAAAAGTTGATGCTTCCACATTGGTCCCCAAATTTAATTTTGACATTTCATTTCTGAATGAAATAGAAAACTCCTGAAATAAGCATCTGCCTTTAGAATTCCGCGAAGACAGAACACCACTAAATGCCACCATAGTGACTGCAATAAGCCAGAGCACGTAGGGATGCCTGCTGCAGACTTTGCCGCTATAACTTAAGAAATAGATTAGGAGACTGTTGCTGGTGTCCCAGAGGTCATAATTCTTCTTCAGATATTTCAAAAGGATAAGGTAATTAAGTTAATAATCCCTGTTGTTATAAATACTAGATGTGGCATTGTTCATTTATTGCCTTCTAACATCCATGATATCGATTTACACAAGAATAACTTGGGGGAAGCTCTGGTATTGAAGACTCTAGAAAAGAACTAGGATCAAAGACTCCTAGATTAAAGGGTTGATTTAGGATAAATGTTTAAAGGCATAATGTGAACAACACACTTATTTCAAATGAGAAATCCCTGGCTTACCTAAGGTTCTCTCTGGTGACAGGGATTTCACTTCCTGTAAAAACAAAACAAAAATGGATGCATAACTGAGTGAAGTAAATTGTTACTTGTGCAACTAACATAAAAGTGCTTGTATTTAGATACCTTTAATTTACATTTAAAATGCAGTTTAATAGTTAATGTAAGTAGGGCCACACAGGAAGAAAAAGTTGACCTCTCAATATATACATGTTTAAATAACATGTATAGTTAATGTGCATATGTTTTGCAACCCTAACAAGTGCACTTATCTATCTGTTGTATTTTGAGATCATAATATTTAGTGTCTATATCTGGCCTCTTTTGAGAAACTCCCAAAGTACAATTTAAATAGCTAGATGGCCCCACTTCATAAACCACAGACATCCAAATGAGCATAGTCTCATAGGCTCAAAGAAGACAAATTGGTATGTGGTCAAAGAAGAATTTTAGTAAAACATGAAAATACAACCTATGCCAACTGTGCAGTATTTTTGCAAACTACTGGTTGTCAGTGTCATGTTATATGTAACAACTGCTATGACAAATGGCTGCTGAGAAACTTCTGGAAAAAACAAAAACTTTTGCAGAATAGTAGAATTTCAAATCTATCAGCCAGGTTGACGTAGCAGGATCATTTCATAGACCATTTCTTTAAGTCTCAATTTTCCCACTTATGTCCTATTCCCTGGGCAATTTGCCAAACCTACTACCACTTTCCAAAGGCCCTGGGTGGGTGTTTGTGTTTAGCATCTGGCACTGAGAAGAATCTGTCTTCATACCTCTGTGATTGTCCATCATGCCCTGCAATTAAGTATGCTCTGTTCTCTTCCATATTCAACTTTTATTTTAGATTAATTAACATATAGAGTTCTTCCATAAGAAGGGCCACAGACTATAGTCCACAGGCCGAGTACACCCTACCACTTGTTTTTGTAAATAAAGTTTATTGGTCCACATGGATGCCCACTTGTTTATGTGCTGTCTATGGATGCCACAGTAGTTGAATAGTTGCTATAGAGATTGTATGGATACAAAGCTTAAAATATTTACTATCTGGCCCTTTACAGAAAATGTTTGCTGACCTTTGGTCCACAAAGAAGAAAACAAATGTTATAGGAGGCAATTATCCATCACATGGGTTTGGGTGCTAATTCCTTATGATCGAACATTGCAAAAGAATATTTGATTTAAAGTCATTGCCTTTCAACTCACTGAGAAAAATATGCAAAGACAGATGCCTATCCATGTTTATTTATTATTTTGTTTTTTTTAGTAGCTGGAGTGCAGTGGTGCAGCGGTGTGATCTTGGCTCACTGAAACCTCCACCTCCGGAGCTCATGTGATTCTCCTTCCTCAGCCTCCCAAGTAGCTGGGATTACAGGCGCCTCCCACCACACCTGGCTGATTTTTGTATTTTTAGTAGAGACAGGGTTTCACCATGTTGGCCAGGCCAATCTTGAACACCTGACCTCAAGTGATCTACCCACCTTGGCCTCCCAAAGTGCCGGGATTACAGGCGTGAGCCACTGTACGCAGCCCCACCTTACTTTTTAATACTTGATCTTTGTGTAGATTCACAGTATGTGCTGAAGGAAGAGGAAATATTTTGAGCAAGCATGATCAGTGCTGAAGCAGACATGTCTTTGGCAAAATGTGAAGAACCCACCTTTGGTGTCTTTTCACCATCCCTTTTCTTCTGCCATCCTCTCTACCCCTCCTTTGTCCTTGGCATACTCTGGGTCCTATCCAAGTTCCTCTTGTATCTGGCTTAGCTCTCAACTAATTCCCACAGGACTCTTATCTGATAGTGACTTTGGTGTTACTCTTCCCATGGTATTTGTATTTTAAAGATGAATTTCTGAAGCTGATGAACTATAGCCAAAAAACAGAGCTTGTCAATCGGGGCTGACTGTATTGGTTACTGTCATGCCAAGGTATTGATTGCCACTGGGCAGCCCATGGGCCAGTTTCTTCCCATTGGCCGCCTTGCCTCCAGAGGCAAGGAGCTTCTGTCAGGATGACACTCCAACATTACTTGCTATCATGTCATGAAATAAAAAAGATTGGGAAGCATTCACCTCCAGGAATAAATCATTGTGTGTTTCATTTACCCCAAAGGTAACCGATCTTGGGAAATCAGAGTTAATGATGACCACTTCATATTTCCCGGAAAGTTTGAAGACTCTGTTTATAAGTAAATCAATAGTCTATAGATAAAATTAGATGAAGGAGTGTAAGTTTAGGTCACTTAATTCTCAATCAAGAATAAAGTCAGGTTTTACTGATTAACTGATCAGGACTGTATACTGAGTATAAGAATGTAAGCTACACCTCTGTTCTTTTCTCCTGTATCCTCACCACCTTACCCAATGCCTGGTCCATACAGGGAGATTAATATTCTATGATCACACTACCTCTAATGTGATCCATGGACCTGCAGTATTGTCATTACCTGAGAACATGTTAGAAATGCAGAATCTCAGGTGCACCCTAGCCTCCTGAGTCACAAGTTGCTCTTTAGCAAAATCCTTTGAGGGATTCATATGCACTAAAGTTTAAGAAGCACTGGGTAGGAGACCAAGTGAGACTAGACCCTCCAATGAAACTTGGCTGTGCCATCCGAAATTTAGAAGATGTGAAATTAAAAATAAATGTTTTAGGAAAGATGAAAAAAACAACAAAGTGAACATAAAAGGGAAAAGTGTTGATGTTGTTGTATTGTTTGGTAAACATCTATGAGGGCAGAGTGCCATTTTGTAAACTCAGTCATCACCGGGACAGGCTTTATGTACCACATAGCAGATGGTCAGGCCTACAAAGAGTTAAGCAGAAACCCTGACTTGGTCTCTAACTTGTATCATGTCCTTTAAAATACTTGGAGGGGTGAAACCTTGATGTGTCAAGCTTAGTTTAGGCTCTATTTTTCCTGGCAGGGAATTTCATTAGCTTAATGCTCATGTGGGGGGTTCTGCGCTTACAGCCGGAAGGCTCAGCAGGACACAGGGTTGGTTTAATGAACCATGCAAATCTCAAAAGTGGAGCCCACTCCTGGAATAGAAAAACGCACCTGATTCTTAGACTGCCTTATCATATGGCCAAAAGGAAGGATGATCTTCTCTATGGTTTTGTGAATTTTTAGGTGCTTTCTGTCAGGCCACTCTGACTCCCAAAGGAAATAATTTTTAAAACCATTGCCAAGCCAAAATGGAAGGTGGAATTGCCTAATATTTTAGAGAAAAGAATCACACAACTCTATAGAATATGAGGTATAACTTACAGGCTTGGCTTTGATCCTTTGCCATCTTTAGAAATAAATGTTTCTGGAGCCAGAGGCCAGAAATAAACACCATGTTTTATCCACAGGGAGAACCATATTCTGCCCTGTCCCTTATACACAGTAAAATGCTTTGAACTTTTCTGGACATCATTAGGGATGTGTAAAGCCAACATTCTGACTCTGTAAGAGCATCACGGGACATCCTTCTTTTAGATTTACTCCCATGGAAACAAATGCAGAATCCAACTAAAGGGAAAAAGTCAAGGTGGCCTGAGGTCACAGGCATCCTTGTGGAGAGCTGGCAGGCCCTGCAGCCCTGTATTTGGACTTGGCTAGAGCTAGTCCCTGCACATGAATGAGTCAAGGCATTAAGAGCTGAGCAGAGACAGAGCAAGTGGGATGCTAAGGAGGAGAGAAGAAGAAAAGTGGAGAGAAAAAGCAGCTAGAACCCACAGTCTACAAGTACAAGGCAGCACAAAGTTTCCAAAATCTCTCTAGATATCTTGGCAGGGTACTGAAGGCACTCCGTAGCCTGTCCTTAACCCTCCTGGCCAGCCTCAACCTATGCCATGTTCTTTGGCAGTGCAAGTCATTGCCCTGCAATTTCCTTTTCAGTCCTTTCTCTCTCACCCTGCACAGTAAACTGAAGGTCCTTTTTTAAGACTCAGGTCCTGCAGTATTTCCTTACCAATGTATTCCCACCCCTGCCACGGCCAGGAAGGCCAGCTATATCCCATATGTCCCTTGTTCTTTGGATTCCCATTATAGTACTTGTCATATAATTCCTTTTTAGAACTTGCTACCTTGTCCTTTGATTTCTTATTTATCACAGACACACCAACATTGTTCCCCAAAGGGCCACCATGTCTTTCTTGTTCATTTGATATGCCCAATTCTTAGCAACAGAGCATGGCATGTAGTAGGCATTCAATATTTGCCAAATTTGAACAAAAATATTATTTCACTTCTGAATACGCTTTAATCTCTCAACTTCTTTAATTTTTCTAAAAATGAGTGTGATGTAGCTATACTGTAGAAATCATTTGGAAAAACATGAGAGGTATTAATGACCCAAAGTCCATTGCAAGTCCTCATCTTCTATGAGCTTTTTTTTTGCTGACAACTCTGTTCCCTAGGGCTGTCTCCTTTATCCACAGGGCAGTCAGTACCAAACCATGTTTGAGGTGTGCTGTCTCTTATTGCTCCTTAATTGTTTCATATCTATAAATCTTATCTCCTCAGACATATTGTAGTTCAAGTCAATTCAAACATTCAAATCAGCAAATGGTTATTGAGTGATGGGTATCTATGAAGATCTGTGCTGCTTGGGTGTTGGCATCAGTTCTTGTTTTAACTTCACTTAATTCCTTTAGTAAATATTTATTGGGCATTTACTTACACATATGATCACTGTGATAAGAGAGATTACCAAGAAAATTGCCAGTATTGAACAAGGTCAAGGGAAAATTGACCCGGCTACTGACCTGGCGACTGACCAGGACCAGTGAATGAGCCTAAATGTAGCTTGAAGCCCCCAAGCACAATATAAACCCACGTGCAACAAGATTGCATGAGATTCAGGTAACCCTTGGCATCAGAGGCCCTTCCAGGGGTTGAAACATTGTGGAAATAGACTTTGAAAAGCAGTCCATGTCAGAAGTCCTGTCATCCATAGGTTGTAAGATCTCTGCCAGGTGGCAGGGGCCTGAAAAACAAAGCCCTGCCCTGGGGCGAAGGAATACTGTGGCCCCAATTCTAGAGAACACCTAAAAACCACTAAGAAAGGTAGCAGGCAGAAACTTGGGACTATTAGTGGAACCCTCATAGACTCTATGAACCTCTGATGAGAATGCTGGCAAGGTAGCTCATACCTAGAAGCCCAGAGCCTATATGTCCCAGGCTGCAGAGGAGGCTGGAGGGTACATACAGGAGCTCAGAAGTTCCAACTTAGCCACTGAGTTCCAGATCTGGAGAGCAGAACTCAATTCTAAGTTCTCCCAGATGGTGACCTCAGGCTGCTGACCTTTCATCCTGCCATCTCCCCCACATTGAGGGGCGAATGAGCCCGCCCTTCCATTGAGTAGAAGACTCAATGTCAGTTTAGTAAGGGAGAGAAGAAGGGGACCTGATGGGACCAGGAGCAGGGAAGACCAGAAGGGCTCAGAACCAGAAATTTACCCACCAGGTACTATTATATAAATAGCTCCTTGTGTTACTGCTCTTATGGCACTATATGGAAATTACTGTCTGACTTGTTTGTTACCCTTACCAGGCACTAAGCTGAGTATGACTGTGAGGGCAGAGCCTGGGTCTTACCTTGTTCATGATTTTATTCTCAACACAAAACACAGTGCCTGCCACAGAGTGGGCACTCAAGCTATGTTATCCGATAAATAAATTAATGTCAGGCATAGGATCAAGCACAGTCAGTCAATTAAAGAAAAGTCAAAGTGCTGAAGATGGAGAGGTACTACAGGCCAGAGAAGCAAGGCATCAAGCCTAGAAGAACAAAGCGAGGCGATACTGAGTAGTGGTCACTGTCTAGGCTCTAGAGTCAGTCCTGGGTTTGAATTCTGGTTCTGCTTCTGTTCATTTCTATTTTGTGAGCTTCCTCAAGTTGTTAAATTGCTCTACATCTCAGTTTCTACTCTGCAAAATAGCAGTTTACAATATTAACCTCATGTGAGGATTAAATAAGATAGTAAATTTAAAAGGTCAGCTCGATGCTAGATCCTGTATTCAACAAGTGGTTGCTATTAAAGTGGGTAGGAAGAAGCAAATCCTGTAATTCCAATAGATAGTAAGAATCATCCAGAGTTAGGGAGATTGAAGCTCAGAGATAAAAAATGGAGTTTCCAAGACTAAGTTAATGATGAGGGACTCAAATGGAGACTAAAAACACAGGCCAAGGATTGAGGTGTCAAGGAGTAAGATCCAGGCAAGGGATCTTGTATGCCAGGCATGAAGGGAAAAGAGGAAAGAGTGTAGCTTGAACCCGTTCCAACAGCATTTGGAGGCCAGGGATCCTTCTGTGCCATACAGCAGGGCTGTTCACAGTGAGTAGGCAGGTCTGAGCTCATCAGAGAAGCTAATAGGTACACTTGGCAAAGAGCAGGGATGAGAAGGGGTGTGAAGTCAGACAGTTCATGACAGCTAGGTGCATGGAAGGTGGTCAATAAATAACTGTTGATAATTTACTTTCATCATTACCACAATTGTTCCAAGGTGGAGGAGTGAATAAGCCTTCACTTGGATTGTGAAACTCTTTTTTCAAATGAGGCAAAGTTGAGCATCTTACTTGCTCAATTTTATTTGCTCAAATATTCTAGAAAAAATGGTGATTCCTAAACCATCCCTATTGTTTCATTTGTAGAATCACTGGTGCATCTTATGGAATGTTTGACCATTTATCATTAATCTGCATTAAGTGGTACAAAAAGCACTACCTGGAAACAATATTCCATGGCTGCAATGAGGGTGAGCTAAATTGAGAGCTATTAGAATGGATCTGGCACTTTTAGCACTCTGGAGGCCTTCTTCTCTCTCCAGCAACCACCTCTTCTTACTGCAGTTATGTGGTGATTTTCCTCACAAAGACAATAGTGAGTCTGAAATTCTCCAGCTCCTTCAAGCCCTTGCTCAAGCATGTGGCCTTTGGGGCTCGGTTTGGGCTGGTTTTTTCCTGAGTAACCAATCTGTTTCTCAGCATAAGAACAACAGGCATCACACAGAATGCAAAGTTTTCTTGTAAAAATGTCAGTTGCAATAAAGGGAATCTGGAGCCAGCCTGGCAGCCTGGGGGCTGTTACAAGATGAAGTCAGAGCCTCAGCTTGTGTCTACAAGACACCAAACATCCACTTAAAAAGTGAAAAACTCAAGCAGTCATCCAGATGTTTTGTCTGCTTGATGCCAAGCATCCTGATTTTTCAACTATCCAGATGTTTGGCATCAGGCAGACCAATATCCAAAATCTGGAAATATCTAGGTGTTCGGTATCTTGTATTGTAGTCTTAGTCCACTGGAAAGTGAGGGCCAGAAGCTTGGACATCATTTTTCCTGACTGCTGGGAGGAACTGTGAGTCTCTCAAGACCTTCATGGGAATCAGACTATCTAGTCTAAAAAGTAAAAAGAACTTGGAATCAAACACATAGGTTAATAGGGCTTTGCCAGAGGGACTGAAACAAGGAAAGGAAAAACACAACAAAGCCCACTGCAGTTCAAATGGCTTTGCAGTATCTTGCTCAGTCAAGAAACCTCTTTATATGTCCATTCCTCAAACCTCTGGGAAGGGGCAGTAGAGAGCTCAACTCTGAAGGGAGCCAAAGCTTGGGTCTAATTTTGTATTGACATCAGGCATTACTTATTAAACTGGGCCCTCTGCTTCCTGAAAGTGAACCTGAACTTCTAGACTGACTTCAGAACTTTTTCCATGTTCTCATGGCCGACCTGGTCATGCTGGAGTTACTTAACCTTCAAGTTGGCCTATTTCTGCATATGTCCCCTAAGTGTGAATGTAAACAAGAATTGAAGTGGCCTCTAAAAAGATGGAGAGAAAGAACTGGGTTTTTCTAGGGCATATTATCTTATTCAGATACTCTTTACCCTGCTCCCTTAGATTCTGGCTCATGATCTATGCCTAACTCTCCTCTCCCTCTTCTCCCAAAAATCCTGAGAAATGACAAGTGCAGTTGAAAGAAACGAGAGAAAGAGAGAGAAGAAAGAAAATGTTCTGCAGATAGCATGTGCAGGGGAGTTTAAAAACAACACCACAACAACATAAAAGAAACAATAAGAGCAACCCAATAAAGGGATGAAACACAGTCATGCAACAGAGAGAATCTGAACATCTGCACTTTTTCTTATTTATAACCATGTCAGGAAAACAGGAAAAACAGTGTGCAAAACCTTAAGCAGAATTTTCTTTCTGTTCCAATTTTGCTAGTGAATTCCACTAGGAAGAAAGTGACCGTTTTGATTGTCTTCTATAGGCTTGTAATATACAATTCATCATTGTCTCATGCATCCTATGATTGTGAGTCGTTAATACTCACTGTTATGTGGGGGAAATTCCTCTCCTACTCACATCTGGACTTTACAGCAAAAGATAGAAGTGGAGCCCGTCTGGCCCTTTATCATTTCTGGATTTGATGCATCCATTTCTCTTCTAGGATGGCTTCTTTGCTATTGTTTTGTTATTGTTGTTGTTTATTATTACTTGGTTGAGTCAAATGTTTTAAGAATTTTATTGTGACAATGGTAATGGCAATGATTGCACTCAATTCAAATTAGCTCATCAATACCATCATTGTTAAATCAATTGAGAGATTAGCAATAGCTAATATACCCATAATTTGATCTCCTTAAAGGAGACAGACATCTGTTTTCCTTGGCAGCAGTCTGTTTCCAGGCCCTTACTTGATACCATGTGCATGCCTAACTCCTGTTCACAATAGCTTTTATCCTTGAGGTTTGGTAGTGTAGTTAATTAATGCCTTTATCTTTTCATGAGAGATGCCAGCTCACATCAACCCCTCCCCAAAAAAAAGAGGGGAAGAAAAAAACACACAACTACAAAGGCTTGGCTTCATATCTGCTGTAAATAAAGAACCTCAAAGCTGGATTCAGTATTAGAGAAAAATAAAGGTTGCTTTCATCCACATAGCTGAAAATTTGCCTGTATCCTCTAATTTTTCTTGCCATCATTGACAATGCAATGAGTATTTGGGTCTGAATATTAAAAATCTGATTGTTGCTTTTGAGAAATACAAATGTCAATCAAAATAGAATAGAAGAGTAGCAACATGTGTGTTTCTTGGACGAGAACAGCCCTTGATGCCAGACAGCATGGTAGGAACCATTTCGTGTTGTGCTGGGGAGGGAGAGGCCAGCTGCCTTGTCTAGAAAGAACTGAAGTGTGCATTTTTATAAATGCTTAAATAAACCATAAGGTTTTTTACTTTGTTTATTTGTTGTGATACTGTACAAACCTGCATATTGAGAAAAGAATCACTCATGTCCTACTCACAGAAAATCAAATTCTTTAGTAGGTCAGTAATTCTGTTGTCCTCAGAGAAGGGTCTAGGTTTCTTATATAAGAGAAATTAATGCATTAAGAGGATAATTATTTAGTCATTCATACCCTCAAAAAGTATTTATTGAGTACAAAAGCAGTATATGATGTTGATGAGAAAAACTCCAGACTGAAAACTGGGTGATTCAGGGTTCTGGTTCAGTGTAGTTGGGAAGATAAGTACAGGAAACATTTAAATGAAGGTAAAAACAATACACAATTAAATACCTAAATGGGCATTTGGTAAGATAAAATCTGCCTAAAGAAAAAATAAAGCTTTACACTTCCAGGATGTAGGATAAGAAACACTTGTCAGGCGGGGTGCAGGGGCTCACGCCTGTAATCCCAGCACTTTGGGAGGCTGAGGCAGGCGGATCACAAGGTCAAGAGATTGAGACCATCCTGGCCAACATAGTGAAACTCCATCTCTACTAAAAATACAAAAATTAGCCAGGCGTGGTGGCAGGCGCCTGTAGTCCCAGCTACTCAGGAGGTTGAGGCAGGAGAATCGCTTGAACCTGGGGGGCGGAGGTTGCAGTGAGCCTAGATCACTCCACTGCACTCCAGCCTGGAGACAGAGCGAGACTCCAACTCAAAAAAAAAAAAAAAATTTGTCAAAACATGTCATTAATTGTTTTCATGATTACTTCTTATCATTATTGATACTTAGTCTCAAAACCTAAATCCAGATATTTTTCCAATGTGAACACAAAAATGAGCATCAAGACTTAGTGTTTAGATAGCCACTGTACTAGTAGTTTCAATTGTTTTTTCTTTCAAATCCAACTAGTCACAGGTATATTTTAATAGTTATATTTTTCTTTTTAATTATTATAAGTATACAAAAAACAGATCAATAATAAGCACTGCTGTATACACCCAGCTTCATTAAATCTTAATCTTTTGCCCTATTTCTTTCAAATCTTTCTTTAAGGAAAAAAAGACATTCATATTTAGTTGAAACTCCGTATATATCCCACTCCTAATTCCACTCTCCTTCCTCCATCCCTTTTAGAGTTAACCACTATTCTGAATTTGGTGTTTTTCATGCCGGTCCTTACATTTTTATATTATCTGTTTATATCCATAGCTATATATTGTATGATTTTAACTTTATTTTTTATCATACTATATTATGATTATGCAATTTGCTTTTTCCCTAAACATTATGCTTTTGAGACTTATCCATATGAAGCTTTGTAGATGTAGCTCATTTATTTTCATGTTTGTATTTGAATACACAATCTATCCTTTCTCCTGCTCAGAGACACTTGGGTTGCTTCAGATTTTTTACCACAAAGCTTCCATGAATATTCTTGAAAAAGCCTCTGTGCATATGTGCTACAGTTTCTCTAGGGGTAGAATTGCAGGATCATACAATATGTGCATCTTTTCCTTTTCTCACTATCGTTGAATTGCACTTCCAAGAGGCTGTACTGATGTATATACCCGTAAGAAGTATATGAGAATTTCTGTTTCTCCACACCTTTGACAACACTTGCTATTGCAGGTGCACATTTGAAAAAAGTATTATCACTGTCTCTACTCTCAAAATGCCTGAAATACTACTAAATATATACTACTCAATAAATTAAAAATGTATAATTGCTTCCTTATTGAAAATATTGTACATTATCACTGATGCCATAAAAGAATCTCAAATGCCTACAAGCCTTCTCACTAGGGAAAAGTTACCCAACAGGCAAAGACTCTTTCTCTTCCTGAGAGCTTTCAAGGTGTTCATCCAAGCCATGATCAAGTTTTAGAGCTAGAAAACATTTTAGAAATCATTCTATCCAGCAGTATCATTTAAACTAAAAAATCGGAAGAGTTACGCCCAAAGTCACTCAACTATGACAATGATCATAATATTATCATTAATTTAGAACCTATTATGTGCCAAGTACCTTTCTAGATGCTTCATAATTTTTTTTTTACAGATTGGCCTCAAACTCCTGGGCTCATGAGATCCTCCTGCTTCGGCCTCTGGAGTAGCTCAGACTAGAGGAGCATGTCATCATGGCCAACTGCTTCACATATATTTTTAATCCTCATGACAATAGCCAAGTAGCTCCACAAATAGTTTATTCTCCAAAACACATTTCCATGGCTACTGAGAACGAGCCACCATGCTATTAATCTGGTGGAACAAAATTGTACCAGAGACAGCTCCTATTTTCAGAGGCATAAAATCTGGAAAGGAAAGTGACACCAAAGCATAAATGAGCATGTGAGGAAAGCTGGGTGATGGCTCAGACCAAGCCAGGCTACTGCCTTAGATCTTTCTCCAGCTATGATCATTTGGGAAAATGTCCTAAAGAAACTTATATGGGAATTAGGCTTTAGAGACCAGGGAGAACTTGGATGGGCACCATCTTACCTTGGACGTGTTATCTGGGCAATGCCCACTTAATGACCATGAGAAAGACAGTGATGGGAATCCAAGACCCTGCCATCAAAATGGGGCACGTCCAGGGGGAACGAGGAAGGACAAATCAAGCCAAAAGGAACTAGGAGCACGTAAGCCAGACAAACAGTGCAGAAGATCTGCAGAGCCAGGCAGCTGGCAACTGGGGAAAATCCAACAAAACTACTTCTCAGGAACACAGCAACAAGGTCTCCCCTGCTCTGGCCCCTGCTGCCCTACTTTCTTTACTACTCTCCCCTCCTTTGCCCTGATCTGCTGGCCTCTCCTTGGTCTCTGGTGATTACAGTAGGATCTTTCACCTGCAGTTTCCTCTGCTTGGGACACTACTCAGCTTTACACATGGCTGGCTGGCTCCTTCTCGTCGTTCCAATCTCAGTTGAGATGTTATTCCTAAGCGCCCCATCTAAACCAGCTTCTGCCAGTCCCTGCCTCCATCTCAGTAGCCCGTTTGACTCTCCTCATAGTCTTTCTCACTCCCCAAAATTACTTTGCTTCTTTATTTAACCACTTACCCCAATGAGAGAGTGAGCATCATGAGAATGGGGAATAGTTCTTGCCATGTGTTATGTGGTCAGGCCCTGGCATACAGGAAGGCTCCAGTAAACATTTATTGTTGGTGAATGAATGAACCATAATATTCCAGTTTTCAATGAGGCAGGTAGGCTGTTAGAATCTGCAAAAGTGTTTTGGGACCTTGGGGTCTCAGTCATAGGGGTGGAGTTTAAGGGAAGGATTATATGAAGGGGATGCTGAGTTCAACGTGTGAGGTAAGGGGTCCCTAAGAGGGACGCAGAAAACAGAAATGAGGCACAGGCTCAGGTACCAGAACTGAGGGTGAAGATGGGCCTCAGAACCAAAGCAAGAGCTGAGGGGGGTGAACAGGCTAAATTGTCACAAAGGGACTTTCTCTACCACAAAGTGTCAGGCTATATACTATTTAAATCCCTCCTGCCCCAGATCCGGGCAAGACCTGACCACAGCAGTGAAGTGAGTAAGGGACATGCGTATCTCCTGATCTGGCCCCGTGGTGGAGGCAAACAACTCCACGGTGGTGGAAAGCAGAAATATTTGTGTAGAGAAGTGTGAAGATGAGCTATTCCCAGCAGAAAGGACAGCAAGGGCAAGGCAGGGAGGTGAGAGAATCACTGTGTTGGGAAACAGAATAAACAGAATGTATTGGGTGCAAGGCTGAGCACCTGCTGATGAAGAGCAAGGGAAAAGGGAAAGTGAGGCCAAATGGTGGAGGAACTTGATTTCCAAACCAAGATTTTGCCATTAAATTGAGGAAATAGAGAATCTTTGAATATTACTTTACTGCTTTGGTTGGCTTTAACCAGGGAAGTTATGTAGTCATTTTGGACACTTTAGCAAGCTTCCTTAAGGCAGGAGTCTTGTCTGTTTATTCAGTGATGTGTCTCCAACTTAGTGCCTGGCACACAAAAGAGCACAGGAAAAAAAACAAAAACAAAACAAAACAAAAACACTGTCAAAGGCATTGAATTTCAACTTTAATCTGGTGGCTATATTCAGGACAGCAAGCCTAAAGGTGGGCCAACTCATGGGAAATTTATTCCAAAATATGGTTTTAGAAATTTGATTTGTTGCAGCAGGAATCGGAAAGAACAGATTTGGCAAAGGGAATCAGCAGGACTTAATGACTAACTGCATGTTTGCTTGGGGCAGGGGTTGAGGCAGGAAACAGTGCGGGAAAGAGGGGAGTAAAAACTGATCCTGAGCTAGTTTAGAGTGTGGGTGACTGAATGACACCACTATGGAGACAGAGAAGTTGGAATGCAGAGCTGTTGAAGTGGGACTGGGAAGCTCAGTGTAGGTATTTGAGATGCGTGAAGGCTTAAGCAAGTAGGGATATTTAGAAGGCAGTCGAAATGAGACTGGAGTTCTGTAGAGGCCTAAAGGAAGGATGTATATTTGCATGTAAGTACTTCGATCATTTTCAGAGACAGATTGGGAATAAAACTAAATAGAATTGAGAATATCAACCGCATAGCTAGGATGCAGTGAAACCTAACTTACCTGGCCTGCCTCGTATTCAACAGTAGAATACTAGGTTCCATTTCTAAAATCGAACATGCTGAGTGGCTTCGCACCAAAACTCAATTCCTACTAGGCCTTCAGGACCTAATGTCCTTGAAGCTAGGCCACTCACTTTTTTTAGGAGGTGGTATTGCCAAGTAGTTAAGAGTATGGCAATAGAGTTAGAATACCGGGGTTCAAATCCTGACTCTGTCACTCACTAGCCAGATGACTTTAAACCAGTTACTTAACCTCCCTCTTTCTGTCTCTGTAAAATAGAAGTAATAGTCGTACCTACCCCTAGCAGACTGTTGTGAAGACCAAATGAATCAATGTATATAAAGCATGTAGCATAGTACTTGGTAATAGCCAATGCTCAACAATGGTCCTTGAAGCTTTGTACTGAGGACTGGAATATGTGCTCTTATTTTCATTTATGAATAGAGCGTGCTTTCCCTGAAAATCCCTGGGATATTGTAGAATATTTTCAGCAAAATAGAAAAAAAAAAACCATCAATGTTCATTCTACCAAAAGAGGTCACCTCCTTAGATTTAGATTAAAAAATATACCACTTAGGCATGCTGCCACTATAGTGAGTCTAGCAACTCAGGTGCACTAAATTCTCACAATTGAAAAAGCTCTGGGATAATTTCAGTGCTATTGTTTTGGAGACTTCCTTTTACCCTGCTTTGAATTTGTCACCGTTCCAATTTTAGACAGTAAATTATAAGTCTTTAAAAAGAGAGTTCCATTCAATCTTGAGAAAAGGGAAAATGAACCCCTGAACTGGATGTCAATTACCAGTCCCTGACTTGGGCAACGTCTGAACTCTTCAGGTTGGTAAATTCAACCATGGGGTGTTGTGTTTTTTTGTTTTGCTTTGTTTTGTTTTGTTGGCTTCTTTGTTTCATTTGCAAATTTTTTTTTTTTTAACAAGAAAGTTTGTTTCAAAAGAGCCTTTCTGTTGTATTCATAGTTGTCAGACCATGGCAAGCAGTGAGGCAGTGGAATTTATTTGAATTGCCACTCTTCCTTACTTTTTAAAAAATGCTCCCTTACAATAGTAACTCTTACAAGGATAATCTACCAGCAAACATCAGTAGGCCAGACATACTGGCAGTCCCCAGTCAATCTGTAACTGAAAACTAAAAGTATAGCAGGAAATCCTAATAATGAAACTTGCAGGATTAGAGAGCTGATGAAGCAGAAAACAAAAAGTAGGTGATAACTGCTTAGTACAGCCTTGCTGGGTGTCAGGACTTTAAGGATTTTCTTAACATGTGGGTGGATCTTCATCTATTTTTGACTTCACTTTAGCCATCCAAAACAAGTCTTGGCTCTGGGTTATTTTCCATCCTCTTCCAAGATAACCCCACACAGCTATAATCAACAGAGCTATTCCAACAAGCTTTTTTTTTTTTTTTCTCAGTAGTCTTTCCCAAAGTAATAGAGAGTTCAGGTTATCATATCTTAATGTCATGTGGTACTAAATCACACACTCCAAGGAGAGATAACAAGACTGCCCAAGGAGGGTGGGTGTGGTGGGTAGGGACTTTGTCCCAGCCAATGTTCCTTTCTCTCTAGGGGGCTAAATATGTCCAGCTTATGTATGGCAAGAGGTATCAGAGCTGGATGGGGTCAGGCAAAGAAAATAAAGAAGACAGCTCTGCCAATGGCTTAAAAATGCCTAGGCTCATCTTGGTTCCATAGTTGGAAATGGGATGATTTCATCTTGTTTTCCCAGTGAATCACAAAGTGGCCTTGAGGGATCACATGCTCCTAGCTTGCTTTCCTTGGAAATAGAGACCTTTGCATTCATCTGTCAAGTGCAGAATGTGGGGATTTGTCAGGAAAGCCAAATCTTCATGTTGGTCATACCAACTGTTTTCCAGTATTCTACAAGGGGTCTTAGGACCTCACTGTCCCCCACCCGGACAGGGTCATGTATCCTAGACCTTGCATTCAGCCACACACAGGTTCTGGTTGCAGAATAAACTAAAATGTAGACTGGATCAAGACCTATAGGACATACTTCCTGGCTTTGCTAACTTTGTTGGCCTTCATCTCACCTCATATTACCATAGTCCACATGCCTGGAGATCCTACAGATCTCTTACTGATGAAAACTATACAGAAACCATGGCTTCAGCCAGTAATTCCCCTAATCCTCCTTTGGCAGTCTCAGAGGGCAGAGGACACATCTACGGTATCTTCCCAAAGGCCAGTGAAAAAACAGTTGATCAGTTGGTAAGACTCAAGCCCTAGTGGAGACACTACAGGCACCAAGTACAAAAATAATCCCTTTATAAGAACTCAAAACCATTTATGTACAATTGGAATCCACTCTTACCCACTCACCCACCTATCTACACTGTTGAAGTCATTAAAGTGTGGCAATTATTAAAGGAATATATTTGTTTATAGAATTGGAAAGTGCTATGGTTTTATATTTTATTCAACGTACAATGGCTTTGTGGCTATGAATTAAGACAGTATGTAAGAAAACAGCAAGAAAACACAAATAAGGGCCTAGAAAATGTGTCCCTTTGCAGCATCTCAACATCACCAGCTCCCAGAGAAAAACAAGTGTACCTTTTGTGCGGGAGGAAAAATGTTTTAGTAGTGGTTATGAAGGTGATGCTTTCTGCCAGAACTCAGACTGTTCTTGAGTGCTCACCATCTCAGCCTACTCAGGCTTCTAAAGAGGTATAAGACAAAACCAGCACATGTACACCAAAATCCATCTGATCTTCAGCATCCCCAGCCTCTAGGTTGCTGGGGCTGTCATGGAGCCAACCTAGGTTTCCTTTCTGTAATAAACTGGGTCACCACTGGAGATAAGACCAAAGAACCAGTGGGTGAGGCTTGAAGCACCCCAAGCTGCCTAACCATCCCTTCAAATAGATGAGCCTCTTGGCCTTGTTTTTAAGAACTAGAGAAATCTGAGGGTCCTGCAGAAATTTTTTTACATTCAGATAGGAAGGGAAAAGCCTCTCAGGTAAACTGCCTGCCTCAGATCTTCTCTTGAAATGAAGACCTGGAAATAAAAATGTCCAGTGGTATAGGAAATATATCAGGAAAAAAAAAAAAAAAAAAAAATATATATATATATATATATATATACACACACACACACAGTAACTGCACATACAAAATACAATGTGTTGTATCCTGTCAAATTGACATCTTTGTTCATGTTCTTTAAACAATTTTTAAGTTTTCTGTTAACATTGTCCTAAAGCTGGTGTTTTCCTTCTCATCTCACATGTTGGTTTGTTTGTGGAGGCGCTTTCCCCACCTTAGAATGTATATTTAGCCAGGCACGATGGCTTATCCATGTAATTCCAGTATTTGGGGAGACCAAGATGGGAGGATTGCTTGAGCCCAGGAGTTTGAGACCAGCCTGGAAAACAAAGTGAAATCTCACATCTACAAAAAATCAAAAAATTAGTTGGGCACAGTGGCATGTGGCTGTTGTCCCATCTACGTGGGAGGCTGAGGCAGGAGGATCACTTGAACCCAGAAGGTTGAGGCTGCCATGAGAAGTGTTCACACCACTCACTGTACTCCAGCCTGAGGTACGGAGCAAGAACCTGTCTCAAAAATAAAATAAATAAATAAAATTTTAAAAAAGAAGGTATATTTTGCATTGGACCTCATGTCATTACTCATTTTCTATCTTTCTCTAGACCTTGGTGAGGACATTCTGTGATTTCGGAATATGTGCTTCACATAACACGTCATCTTATTTCATAAGTGCTTATCGTAGAAGACAGTTGAAAGCATAAAGAACAGAGTTCTTCAAATCCTCAAATGTTTAAACCTCAGTTTCTTCTATAACACCCAGGCCCACAGTACCGTGTCTGAAACCAACAGGGGGAAAAACAAAAATGTTATTCCTTGGATGTCCCTAAATGTGCCAGGGTTCATTTAGACCATCCTTTTGCACACATGTCCTCTAAATACATCTTAATGTGTGTTTATGTTAAGGTAAAAATATGGCCATTTGTTCAGCTTTACTTTGAAGGAGATCATAGAAGAAGTCTTTTTTTTTTTTTTTTTTTGAGACAGATTCTCCCTCTGTTGCCCAGGCTGGAGTGCAGTGGTGTGATCTCGGCTCACTGCAACCTCTGCCTCCCAGGTTCAAGCAGTTCTCCTGCCTCAGCCTCCCAAGTAGCTGAGATTACAGGAACCTGCCACAATGCCTGGCTAATTTTTGTATTTTTAGTAGGGACAGGTTTCACCATGCTGACCAGGCTGACCTCAAACTCCTGGCCTCGAGTGATCCACCCGCCTCGGCCTCCCAAAGTGCTGGGATTACAGGCACGAGCCACTGCACCCGGTCAGAAGAAGCCTATTTTGGCCTTCTAAAAAGAAGGCACTCACACAGTCACTTCAGTGAGTGAATGAAAACTATGAAAGGACATTTCAGAATAGTTTAATTATTGTCTTGATTCTTAACTCAGTGATTTTAGTACATGGTTCAGAAAAGGCTCTTGGTCACTCATCAGTCGATACAGTAGCAGCAGTGGGACCTTGACAGTGATAAGCCATGTCTCTCTGAATGTACACATCTACATAGGTATACACAGGGATATAAATAAACATATATGCCTGAATTGACCCATATCCACCCTCAATATCATGTGATTTCAAGAACACTTTGAAGACATTTTACTTCCTCAAGGATCTCCCCAGTAGCATAAGTTCCACAATCAGAGACTCATTCCTTTACCTTAAAGTTTCTTCTGTTATATTACAAATAACCCTGGGATAGTGCTAACATTGAGAACTGTGCCCCAGTGCAAGCAAAGTTATTGGATCCTCTGCTGAGAGCTGTGTTTGGTTTCCAGGAAAGCAGAAAGGACAGATGATACTGACTGCCCAGGGGACCCCAAGATGGGAGAAAGGAGACCAAGAAGAGAGGATAGGTTTGCTCCAAGACAATTCTCACAATTGTCCCTAGGGCCAGAATGGAAGACATGTTTCAAAGCAGAGATGACTTAGCTAGTGAAGTCAAAAGAGGCCTTTAATCTCAGGAACAAGAGAGAATGAAAAAAGAAATAGAAATGTCAATAAACAAGAGAGGTACACCTCTCTCTCAATGACCCTACGCCCTCTCCCTCAAAAGGCCTCTGCGTTTCTCTGACTTCTTGTTTGTGGGCCCCAAACAAGATCTAGTTGCTTTTTATACATTCAGATTGGCCATAGACCAAGGCCTGCATTTCCCTTGTTAAGAAAAGGAATTAAGCCCCAGATTGCAAAACATTTACAAACAAATGAGCTTGGAGTAAACTTTCAAAACTAGCCTTAGACAAAAGTGACAATTATAGATGGTCAAGATGGTGAAAGTGAAACCAAACAGGACAGAGAGAATAACAGGGTAGAATAGAACCCCCAGCCCCAGGTCCAAGAAGCCTGGACACTAAAGATGAAACATTTCTGATCCATTATTGGATCTGGCTGATGTTTCACTGTCTGAATGACAGGTCTCATCAGCAGGGTTTATGTGAAAGGAGATGATTTCAATTCCTCCTTTTATGGCACAAGGACTTTGGCAAGGTCACTTGACATGTCACGTGTGCGCCTCTCAGAATCTTCTCCAAGCATTTGTGAGAGACAGAACAGCAGATTTTAAATGTAAAGATTGGGCAAACTGTGCTGTGTCCAGGAAAATGCTGCCACGGTGGGCTTATTGTTGTCATTATGACCATTATTTTTCCGCCAACATCTTTCATTGCCTCTCGGTGTTTTTGTGAAACAAAAGAACCCAGCTGAGACTTCCACAAAGAAGAATGCAGGGAAAGGGGAAAGGGGAGAGAATACCTTGAGCAAGAATAGCTTGGAAGGAGCCAAAAGTGGAAAAGGAAGTCTAATTCTGTCCTAGTCCAGGGGGAAAAAAGTTTTTTGAGAAATGTAAACAAATCAGGAAATCCTGGCACTTACTCCAGTTCCGATCTGGGGAGACACACAGGTCCTTTCCCGAGGAGGGAGCTGCTGTTTGTGAATGAAATCCAGATAAAATTATTCATCGAGCCCTGCCAGCCCCACAGTTTCCAGCTTTCTTTTTGCCTATGGCATAGCTCAAATCTTAAAATAATAATAATAAAAAAACATATGCATGTTATTAATTCTCCATATTCAAATGGAAATTCAATGCTATCATAAATCTCTCTTTTCTAATGTAAATTCCATTCTTCAGCATGAAGCTACGGGAAAGCCATTGTATCTGAGTAATCTAAACTTGAAAGAGAATTTTTGTTAAACTAGTTATGATAGGAGAAACATGTTTTTCACCGAGTCGAAAGATTAAAGTTGGTTGTAAAAAGGGGTGGGGGACTGAAGGAGAATTATTGGTTGCTCAACTAATGATTAGATACAGAACTTCAAGGACAAATTAAGAGGCACAAAAGAAAGAGTCATGCAGATAAGTGAAAACAGTTTCAATGATATTAAATAAAAGATGCATTGTTTATGTTAGGTTGTAATCTCTATTCCCATATTCATCTAAACAACCCCCACCACCCCATTAGCTACCCCAGGTAAATTCCTAACTCCACTGCACAATGCATCTGCAGACTGGAGTAGTATCTACCGTTCCCTTTCTCACTGCCAGACCATCCTCCCTATCTCTAGTTTCACTATGTCTAAGCCCCTCTTCCTTTCCTTTTTTTTTTTGAAACAGAGTTTCACGCTTGTTACCCAGGCTGGAGTGCAGTGGCGTGATCTTGGCTCACTGCAACCTCCGCCTCCCAGGTTCAAGTGATTCTCCTGCCTCAGCCTCCTGAGTAGCTGGGATTAAAGGCATGCACCACCACGCCCAGCTAACTTCTGCATTTTTAGTAGAGATGGGATTTCACTATGTTGTCCAGGCTGGTCTCGAACTCCTGATCTCAGGTGATCTGCCCATCTCAGCCTCCCAAAGTGCAGAGATTACAGGTGTGGGCCACCACACCCGGCCTCTAATCCCCTCTTTTAATGAGGCCTTGCTCCAAAAGAATGTAGACAGGAGGTCTAAAAAAAAAAGAGCTGAGGTAGCCTTTTTTTGTTGTTTTGAAAATATGTTGTGAATCCTTTGGTTTATTTCAAACGATTTTCACCCAATACCGTATATCATCCCTCATCTCAAATCGACTCCACTAATTTCTTTTGATTTATCACTCTTGTCCAGCCTACCAACCCTCTTTCCCGCTCATGCCCACTGTTAAATTAAGTGTAGCCTAAAGCCACCTCCTTACATATTTTAAATTCAGCCCAAAGCTTTCTCTATATAGTGAACTATAACCTAAGTGGATGTGTAAACAGACCGTAACCTACTCTAGTGACAATCACCAAGTTTCAGCCAATCAAGGGTGGCCAACTATTCAAACCATGTTCAAATAAGGCTCACTCCAAGCTGTAACCAATAAGGCTGTTTCTGTTCCTCACTTCTGTTTTCTGCACATCACTTTCTTTTTCCTGTTCATAAATCTTCTTCCACCACATGGTTGCACTGGAGTCTCTGAGCCTCTTCTGATTTGGGAGGCTGCCCGATTCACATACCGCTCTTTGCTCAATTAAACTCTGTTAAATTTAATTTGTCCAAGTTTTATCTTTTAACATCACAAACCTACCCCAGGTCTCTCCTTTGAAAAATTATTATTTTGAATGTAGAGTTGGTCTGGGCGTGTAGCAACAAGAATGTGTCTGTGCATTACAGAGATACAGGGAGCAAATTTAAAGGGCTTCCTCAAGCTCTGATATCAATAGAGGCTCAGGTAAGAGACAAGTTTCCCTTGGAGGGAGGAGATGGGGTGCTGGGAAGGACTGAGGTCCAGGATATACCTCCCCTTCAAGGGGCCTGGGCCTAGGCCCTCACTGCCTATGTTTGCATGGAAACCTCCAGAGCGGAGCAGGGTCGGGGCTTCAATCCTCAAGACAAAAACTTTCTCAGCTGACTTTTAGAACAGAGGGCAAAGATATACAGATAAAATATATCCCTCTGTATCAATGCAAAGCATTATCTCTGTCCCAGAAGAGTATTTGCGGTAAAAAGAAACACTGAAATCAGAATAGAAATAGTCATAGCAGGAGTCAGGTGCGGTGGCTCATGCCTGTAGTCCCAGCACTTTGGGAGGTTGAGACAAGAGGATCACTTGAGGCCAGGAGTTCAAGACCAGCCTGGGCAGCACAGCATGACCCTGTCCCTACAAAACAATTAAATATTTGTTTAAATAAAAATTTTAAAAAATATTAACAGAAGGACGGAACTTGACTCGTGCAGGTATACAACTAAGGGTTTGGCTACACATGCACAGGCCTGCTGTCAATGTGTTATTAACATTTAGAGCTGAAATAATACAACTTAGAATCATCTTAATGAAAATACCAGAGCCAACCTCTGCAGCTGCTTATAACATAGTCACCTTGCCTCAGGACCAATTTCTCCCCTGAACTCTTATTAATCTTCAACATTCAAGATAGAAGATTTAATGTTCTCTCTGGATTGTTCAGAGATTTATGACACCTATAGAAATGTTCATAAAATTTGAGGCTATGCAAGCCTTTTGGCATCTGTCTCATTGTTATCGGAACCATAAAAGTCATCACCATCTTGTCCACAGCCAGTCTTTTCTTCCTAGATAATCCGGGGAAAAATAAAGTTGCCTCTGAGTCTCTGAGTATCTGCTTGAAGCAGGCTCTGTTGTCAGGTGTGTGTGTGTATGTGTGTGTGTGTGTGTTGAAGGAATAGTGGTGTCATATCAGGGAAGGGAGAGAGAGAATAGCAGATCAACCTGTATGTGTTTGAGGACTTAAAGGGGAATTTTGAGAAATTGTTTCTAGAGCAACTCATTTTATCTGTCAAAAGGATGCTGCAGTATGTACGTCGCTCACTTCAGCCTGGTTCTCTGGCCCAGCCTACCCAGGAGTGGTAGTCTCCGGAGTGTACACAGAGAAGGGAAGCAGGTGCTTCAACTCCCCCAGCATCTGGTTTAGATGACCACAATGCTGAGAACACCTGCAGCCTGCATTTCAGCCAAGTCTGGCCTCCCATTGTATTCGATTGGACTTTCTGCCTTGAGCAAGAAAAAGGAATTGTTTATCAGATTTGCCAAAGGATCTCCGGGGAGGTGGAGAAAGACAGGATAAACAAACCTACAACAAGCAAGGGTAAGCAAAGCACTGGGAGACTTGGATTATTTGTGACTGTCCGAGGTAATCTTTCAACCTGACACAAAGTAAGTAAAAGCTGAGAGAGAGAAGCAAATGTTAGCATGGACCAAGTCAGTTTCCCAGCGGTTCATGAGGGAACCGATATTAGATCATCTTGTCCAAACTCTGGTCCTAGGCTGACACAGAAATCAAATTCTCAAGACTGGAAAGACTTTCAATCAAACAACAAGGGTTTAAAAGATGACTGTCCTAGAAAAATCTTACAAAGAAGATGGTCTTACCACTTGCGTAGCAAATGTTCCATTGCGCACTTTATAATTTCATATTTTGTAATAACTACGCAATGGGTAAGCTGGTTACCTGCAAATCATATCAAAAGCGATAATCTTGGTTTTACTTCTCTAACCAATGTAAGCAAAGCAAGCACGTCTGATATAGCGATATAATACAACTTCATGGTTGGTATATAGGAACAAAAATTAAATTAACGCGCTTATTTCCAGGGCCTCAGAAAATAGTTTAGCGGTATCATATATTGTGTTTTCTTAGTAAATAATTCTGCAGGAACCCCTTCTTTTTCTTTCCTTTGTATAGAGCCCCAACTAGTGGAATATTGGAAAACTGCACTTAAAGAGAAAACATTTAAATAGGAGATGACCACAGGTCTCTCTTCCTCAGGTTAAGAGCCAGTAAGATCGTACAGACACTGCTCATTTTGGGGTGTGGAGATATGGACAAGGCGCTGAATTAAAAGGGGAGGGGTGTGTGAAACTGGCTTATACTTAGCTCCTCACAGGCATAAAGGGCAAACTCGTACTGATGAAAACAAGTGCAATCTCTGGCATTTGAAATGAGTCAATGGGCTATATCTATCACTAGTTTGAGAAAGGAAAATATTTATTGAGTTCAGAACTTATCTTCTTGAAGATATCTTTTCCAAAGAAAGAGGAAGATATCCTGTGACACAAGATTGTATATGTTGGAGGAAAGAGACCTGGTTTCACAAATTAGATGAGAAGGCAGTTGGCAACATTGTCCCACTGGTGCAGAACAGAACAGAACAGGTAACACTGTGCCTGTGCTGGGGTCGGTGAGAAGGAAGGGAGAAAGCAGGTGGAGGCAGCAAAGTGAAGGGAAGGACTCCCACACAAACAACTAAGAGTCAAATATAGACACCTGGAGAAGTGATTTATGACACAGATTTTCCTGAAGGAATGAAATCTTAGGGGTTCTCGGGCTTTTAACTTTGTTCCTTTCTTTGTTTGTTACCTCTCCATTTCAAGGAATCTCATGCTTGTAGATTTTTTTAGGAGTCTTGGCTCCCTTGCCAAAAAGCACCAATAAAATGCAGGCAGCCTGGAAAGGTTATAAAAATGCAAGATGAATTCATCAATCAGACAAGGTCTTGTCTGTACGTGCAACAGGGGGTTCACAGACAGGCTTCAGGGACTTGGTGGAGCTCCCTAACAAGATGTGTAACTTCTGTGTGTGTGCATTCTTCTGGATTTTATAGCTTTTATCAGATTCTCAAAGGGGCCTGTAACCCAAAAGAAGAATAAGGAATATAACTGTATAGAAATCTGCACACAGACCAAAAAAAAAGCAAAACTCACACTCACATTTTAATGGATGCCCCTCAGAATGATCCCAGACTCCATGAAATTCTGCTCTTAGAGAAGCCAAACAGAGATATCAGATTATTTCAGTACATCATGAGTCAGACTGTAGCCTTCTCTTTTATCATGCAATGACTCTTTGAACAGAGAGCTGCAAGACGTTTTTTGTTGCATTTTGCACTGCTGTGATGGCATAGGGCACCCTTCTCAAACCTCAACGTGCTGTCCTTGAGCAGGTTCCAAGCTGATTAACCTCCATTAACCAGCTTTCTTCACCGTGCATTAAACAAACAAGATGAATTACGCTCAAAGATCCAAAAGCAGCAGCAATCATTTTTGTTAGTTTTTCTTAATAGATTAAGCAGTGGAAAATAGAAAAAAAAAATGCTGAACTTTGGGACTTGAAGACTTACTCAGCACATTTGGTTGTTATCAAAATTAAATCATGAAAGCAGAGTTTTTTATACCACTTCATGTTTGTGGTGGTTATTAAATAAACTCTCCAGTTTTTCATTTCTTTTGAAAGGGGATTTGTTTAAATACTACTTATTTGAAGATTATTAAGTCTCCAGAGTTCAGGGATAACCAGGGCGATAATGCCATGGTGATGCTATCTAACTTCTTTTATGGCATCAGCTTTCCCATAGATTTTATTCAACAAATGACTTGGTTGTGAAGAAAAGCTGTTTATTAATCTGTCTGTCTTAGCCTTCACCTCCCAACCAGACAGTTAATCGTCCAAGGGGAGTTTGAGGGATAACTAGAGAACACACATCATCTATAAGTAATCCCCTCGTCAGATGGCATGTGGTCCAATGTCACTATGATTTTCCTTCTGAGCTGTTAACTCCCATTCTTCCTGCCTCAGAGAGGCATAAATGTGTTTTTAAAATTCATGAAAAACAAGATGTGTAGCTAATCTAAGAAATAATGTAAAACTTGCCTGCATTGGAGGAGGGGAGTGGGGGGGGGGGCCTTCTGTTGCTTTTGAGACTATAAGGAATTTATGTGATTGGTCGATGTCTTTGTGTCCTTATTGGAATGATTAGACAGGTCTTCAGGAAAACAGTTTTCAAAAACTGAGGTTTGGCATTTTTTGGTTTTTTAATTTGACTCCCTACCCAAGACCATTTTTAAAAAGTATTTCAAATATAACCACAAACTGTTCAACCAACTGAAAATGAAAGTAGGCCACTTAGAGGTTTTTGTCTAAACTAAAGCAAAATGTCTTGAGCTAATAATTTTAACCATTGGGAGTTTGCTGGTCATAAAAGCAGTTACTTTGGAATTAAGAAATAATAATTTTAAGTATTACATCAGAATTTGTAATTTTTCTTTTACGGGATATACAGATTATAGTTGGTTTTGGGTCTTTTGGGTTTTTTTTTTTTTTTCTTTCCTTCCCCTTAGGACTAAACTGACCTTCCTGAGCAGTGAAACCCCAGACTTGGACTTGGGCCAGCTGCCTTTCAGCACATCATTAAGAACTTGTGGAGATGCTGTTTAAATGTGAATTTTCCAGCACTCCTTCACCAGACAGATAGACAGTGCTAAAGCAGTCGGGGCATGTTTGACACATCCAATTTTTAAAAGCAAGAAAAGAGAAAAAAACTTAAAAAATATGTATATCAAAGTGAAAGTTAATGAATAATGAGGCCATTTGTCAGATACGCACAACACCTTTCAAGACGCTCTAGATAATAGCAAATCTGCGAGTCAATTTAAAGGATGAACAAGGCTTCAAATAAAGATGTCTTCATGATTTCCGAAGAAAGCAAGCATTCCAGAAATAAAGGGAGACCACTCACACCCCCTATATTCTGATGACTTAGGATCCCCTCAGGTATTGTCGAGGTCCACTATGGGACCTGATTAACCCAAAGAGTATTATGATACATATGCATACCAAAAAAAAAAAAGAAAAGAAAAGAAAAAAGAGAAGGCAGAGAAAGGGAAAAAAATGAAAAATCTGTATTTCCATTAGGTTGATAATGACATTTTAAGCCCGCTATAGGTCAAGACATGCAGATAAAAATAATAAGGTCAACTCATGAGCAGTGTTTTGGAGGTGAGCCATACCACCACCCAAGTGAATGGTGAACTGCACTTCAGCTAGCAGGTCTAGTCTTTGATAAATAATAGCAGCTTTCCTCTATTGTAGTCTGTGATGGCAGTTGAATATCTAACCATAAAATAAAGCAGAAGCAGCCAGGTGATTTGAGGCCATTTCTCTCATTTCACAGAATTATATCAACATGTTCAAAAACACAATGTATGAGCCCATATTCACAGCCAATTCTCAATTACCTGTAACTATGTTCCCACCTCCACTGCTAACCCAAAGTAATATCTAATTGATTTTGGAAGACATTTCAAATTGCTATACCTTCTGCCATGCATTGTGCCTAATTTCATTTTACTACCTTAGCACACTCTGATGGAATTGGAGGACTAAATGATAATCAACAATAATGACTGAAGAAGTGGCCTGAAATGCTTAAAGTAATGATGAAAGTTTACAAAATAGACGACCAATACAAAGATAATGACACATGCAAACATTTTGTTTTTACTGCTTTATTTTTTTATTATTTTTATTTTTTTTTTAGGTGGAGTTTCACTCTTTTTGCCCAGGCTGGAGTGCAATGGCACCATCTCAGCTCACCGCAACCTCCATCTCCTGGGTTCAAGCAATTCTCCTGCCTCAGCCTCCCGAGTAGCTGGGATTACAGGCATGTGCCACCACCCCGGCTAATTTTGTATTTTTAGTAGAGATGGGGTTTCTCCATGTTAGTCAGGCTGGTCTTGAACTCCCGACCTCAGGAGATCCACCCACCTCAGCCTCCCAAAGTGCTGGGATTACAGGCATGAGCCACCACGCCAGGCCTGCCTTCTTTATTCTTAATTTCTTTCTAATGACAGTTATGCCTTTTCAAATAACTTTCCACTGTGATTTTTCTCAATGATTTCCACAATGACAAAACGTGCTAAGTAAACTATTCTTAATTTTTTGTGGCAGAAGTATATACCTTGGGAGTATTACTATTGTTAAAAAATAATTGATAGTTTTTTCTACTTACAAACCAGGGTTGAGTTGGTGACAGTTTTTAAAGAAATTGACTTTTC
The DNA here is from genome assembly GCF_000001405.40 of Homo sapiens. NCBI lineage: Eukaryota > Metazoa > Chordata > Mammalia > Primates > Hominidae > Homo > Homo sapiens. The sequence continues at coordinate 105,480,741 of NC_000006.12, read as the reverse complement.
ACATAGTACAAGTTTTCTTAAGGTGAGTTACCTGATAAACACACTTGGCCTTTGTGATTTCCCTTTGAAGAAAAATATAGTCAGATCAACACACACACACACAAATATACAGATAATACTAATATTGATTATTTCCATTTGTTTAAAATGTATCTCCATATTGCAATAGAATTAATAAGATAATTTTGTGTCTCTTCTCTTGCAACTTGTACAAAATCCTGAAAAAGAAACTAAAAACTGATTCTGAACAAGTCCCATATGCTTGAAAATTTTGAGTTTTGCTTATTTAACAGTAGATAACTTTTAGCAAATCAATTCAAATATGCAAAGAAAACAAAGGATTGCTTTAAACAAGTTATTAACAAAGGTATAAGTATAAAGGCAAGTTGCTCCTCCTTGAATAAATGTATCTTGGCTTTGGTAAGTCTCTGTGTCACGTCCACAGCAGATAGAAGTATCAGAATGTCAGTTCTGTTTGTTAATGGCAAGATTCCAATTTTAGAATTTTGACCTCGTCTGTACTCCTTTATACCTAATTTTAAAGAAATATGCCATTATTATCTGGCCCCAGACTACATATTTTTTAAATTTAAGTTTTTATTGATGTATTTCTTGCAATATACTTGGGAAGGATGCCAAAATGTTAACATTGACATCAATAAAAAATAATATAAATGCTTTAAATGAAAGAGTGAAAGAAAAGAAGAAAGATAAACCATTTCATGTCTGTAGCCATATTATTGTCATCATTAAAGTAGAGATACAGTAAAAGTAAGAAGAGATAAAAGAATGGCACACACATGTATCCAATCATATTTATCTCAAAAATATGCCAAATTTCCATTTAAAATGTCATGGCATTTATTATTTTTAAACCATTCAAAATTTCTTCTTACTGAGGTTCTTGAAGTGGGCTCCTATAATTTGAGTAGTTGAAGACATTATTTGCCTAATATGAAGTTTTCAGTTATTAGTGTAGTTAGAATGTAATTTCTCTTAATTTGCACTAAAACTTATAAAGTTTGATACTTTTTTGCAACCTAAAACTAGGCTTTATGTTTATTGTGATGTTTGGGATCCTTAAATAATTTCTTATTACTAAAATATCTTTATACATTGGGAATCATTTAAATATGTATTAGGCTAAAATTGGTACTATGAAATCAGTGTCATACTTTTTACAGGACACATTATAACTGAATAGAGTTTCAAAGAAAGGAGTAAATAGTTATTAGAACTTTACTGCATATTCCTGCCAATAATATTGCAAAGAAATGTTCTTGTGGGAATTGAACAAGATGGACTTTTCTGTTCAGCTACTCCCCCATTCCAATTTCTGAAAAAAAAAACAAAAAAGATGTTCCTTAATTATATTAACCTTTCATCTGAGACAGGGTGTGGTGGCCCACACCTGTAATCCCAGCACTTTGGGAAGCTGAGGCGAGCAGATCACTTGAGGTCAGGAGTTTGAGACCAGCCTGGCCAACATGGTGAAACCCTTTCTCTACTAAAAATACAAAAATTCACCAGGCCTGGTGGTGTGCTGTGGTCCCAGCTACTCGGGAGGCTGAGGCAGGAGAATCGCTTGAACCCGGGAGGTAGAGGTTGCAGTGAGCCAAGATGGCACCACTACACTCTGGCCTGGGCAACAGAGCAAGACTCCATCTAAAAAAAAAACAAAAAAAAAAAATTTTCATCTGAGAGCAGGTAAACCATTGCAAAGTCATGCCCCAATCGTTGTACAATATCCATTTCCTACAGTTGACATAACAAATTCCAAAAAACAGGTCACCTAAAACAACAGAAATTTACTCTCTCACAGTTTCGGGGCTAAAAGTCTGAAATCAAGGTACCATCAGTGCTGTGTTTTTGCTGACAGCTTTGGGGAGAATCCTTTCTTGCCTCTTCTAGCTTCTGGTGATACTTGCCAGCAATCCTTGGTATGTGTGTTGGTTTGTAGATGCTCCACTCCAACCACGTGGTCACCTTCTCTCTGTGTGTCTTCAGGTAGTCTTCCTCTGTGCCCCTCTCATGTCCACATTTCTCCCTTTCACAAGGACACCAGTAAGATTAGATTAAGGTTCATCCTAATAATCTCTTTGTAACTTGATTACCTCTGTAAAGACTCTGTTTCTAAAGAAGACTACTTTCTGATGTACTAAGGATTAACACTTCAACATATCTTTTTTTCATTTTTTGGTGAAGGGGAGTGTCAAACAACTAACTTGTTGCTTATTTTTTTCTGTCCCAGACAAGAGAGGGTCTTGTTGCAATACAGAAAAAAATAGAAATCATTTATAAATATTATGGCAGGAAGGAGAACCTGAAAGTTGAAAATTAAAACTATGAAATTTCCTTTAAAAAGTAAATAATATAAAGTTGAATTCCATAATATAAAATTATGGAAAATTCCAACCATTTTTTACCTATAAAATGGTAAGTTTATATGCTCCAACTTAATAAATTAGTAGAATGAAAAGACTAGGTATTTACACACAAACAAAGAAAACGTCTTCAGCAACAAATAAATGGGTTTTATATTTTTCAGTATGCTGGCAATAGCAGGAGTCTACCTTCCTGATTTCTGAGAGAGTCCTAGAAGTATTTACATTCAAGGACTTAGTAGTACCAATACAAGTACCATTTTCATAAACATCATTAAATTATTGAGTTTGAACTACATCTGAAGTTTTAGTATTATAATAATTAATATTCTTTCAGTTGCAAATAACAAAAACTGAACTCCAAAGAGCTAAATCAAAAAAAGAGAATGTATTGTCTTATGTAAGTAAACAGACCAGGTAAGACTTGATTCAGGATTCGAACCATGTCCCAAGGAGCCTAATGTTTTTGTTCTCCAGTTTGAGATTCCACTTTCCCAGAGACAGTCCAAATTTTCCTCTGATTGGTTCTTCTTACACCATAAGTTCACCCCTGAGCCAATCACTGTGACCAAAGGAATACAATTTAAATCTGGCTCACGTGCTCTACTCTTAGGATCCAACCACAAAATTAAAAGAGAAGTGAATTTTAAATAATAAAAAGTGACACCTTTCAGATCACCTGAGCCCAGAAGGTTGAGGCTGCAATGAGCTGTGTTCACACTACTGCACTCCAGCCTGGGCAACAGAGTGAGACCTAGCCTTTAAAAAAAAAAAAAATGGAAAAACTCTCAAATAGGAAAGGAAGAAGTGAAATTGTCTCTGACCACATGATCTTATATATAGAAAACCCTAAAGAAGCCACCAAAAAACTGTTAGAACTGATAAATTCAATGAAATTGCAAGATACAAAATCAACACACAAAAATCAGTAATTATATATACTAATAACGAACTATCTGAAAAAGAAGCTAAGAAAACAATTCCATTTAAAATCACATCCAAAATGAGACACACCAAACCTCAGTGACATGTAATTTACCCATGTCTCTGGGTAAATTTACAAACCTATACATGTACCCCATGAACATGAAATAAAAGTTGAAAAAAAAATACTTAGGATAACCAAGGAGGTAAAAGATATACATACTGAAAACTATAAAACATTGAGGGAAAAAATGGAAGATGACAAAAATAAATGGAAAGATATCCCATGTTCATGGATTGGAAGAAATATTGTTAAAATGTCCATACTACCCAAATATACAGATTCAATGACATTCTTATCAAAATTCCAATGTCACTTCACAGAAATAGAAAAAGCAGTCATAAAATAAATATCACAAAAGAGCTAGAATAGCAAAATAAATCTTGAGCAAAAAGAACAAAGCTGGAGGCAACATACTACTTAATTCCAAAATATATTACAAAGCTATAGTAATCAAAACAACATGGTACTGGCATGAAAACAAACGCATGGACCAATGGAAAAGGATAGCCCAGAAATAACCCCCCACACCCAAGCTCAATTGATTTTCTACACAGGCGCCAAGAACACACAATGGGGAAAGGACAGTCTCTTCAATAAATGGTGTCAGACAAACTGGCTAGCTACATGGAGAATAATGAACTTGAACCTTTATCTCACCCCTTATACAAGAATCAACTCAAAATGGATTAAAGATTTAAATGTAAGACCTGAAACTGTAAAACTACTAGAAGAAAACATAGGGGGACATCTTCATGACATTGGTCTGAGCAGTGGTTTCTTGGATATGATCCCAAAAGCACAGGCAACAAAAGCAAAAATAGACAAACAGGACTGCATCAAACTGGAAGGATTCTGCACAACAAAGGAAAGAATTAATAGAGTGAACAGACCACCCACAAACTGGGGGAAAATATTTTCAAATTATATACAAGATAAGGGGTTGATATCCAAAATATGTAAGAAACTCAAACAATAGCAAGAAAACAACCCTATTAAAAGGGGACAAAGGACCTGAATAGACATTTCTCAGAAAGAAGACATACAAATGGCCAACAGGTATATGAAAAAATGCTCAACATCACTAATCATCAGGGGAATGCAAATTGAAACCGCAATGAGACATCACCTCATATCTGTTAGGATGGCTATTATTAAAAAGATGAAAGATAACAAGTGTCGAAAATAGTGTGGAGACAAGGGAACCCTTGTACACTGCTGATGGCAGTGTAAATTAGTACAGCCATTTTGGGTTATGGTAAGGAGATTCCTCAAAAACCTAAAAATAAAATTACTATATGATTCAGCAATCCCATTTCTAAGTATGTATCCAAAGGACTTGAAATCAAAGAGATATCTGCACTCCTATGCCAAGATATGAAACTAATCAAAGTGCCCATCGATGGATAAATTGATTTTTTAAATGTGGTATATATACACAATGGAATACCATTTAGCCATTAAAAGAAGGAAATTCTGTCATTTGCAAAAACATGGGTGAATGCAGAGGACTTTATACTAAGTGAAATGAGCCAAGCATGGAAAGACAAATACCACATGATCTCACCTGTATGTAGAATCTAAAAAAGTTGGACTCACAGCAGAGAGTAGAATGGAGGTTACCAGAGGCTGACTGAAAGGAGTGGTAGACAGGGAAAAGGGAGTTGTTGGTCAAAGGGTACCAAGTTTCAATTAGGAGGAATAAGTTCTGTTCATCTATTGTACAGCACAGTGACTATAGTTAATAATGATTTATTGTACTTTTCAAAATTGCTAAAAGAAAAAGTGCATTTTAAATGCTCCTACCACAAAGAAATGATAAGCATGGGAGGTGATGGATATGTTAATTAGCCTAATCTGACCATTATACAATGTATACATGTATTGAAATATCACATACCCCCTACATATATGCAATTATTATTTGCCAATTCAAAATAAAAATAAACTTTTTTTTTTAAAAAAATAGCAACATCAAAATAAGCCAGTCACAAAATAATGAATCCTGTATAATTCCAACTATATGAAGTACCTAGAGTAGTTAAATTCATAGAGACAGAAAGTGGAACGGTGGGTTCAGGGACCAGGGAAGGGGAATGGGGAGTTAGTTTTTAATGGGGACAGAGATTCAGTATAGGAAGATGAAAAATTTCTGGAGGTGGATGGTGGTGATGGTGGCACAACAATGAGAATGTACAAAATGCCACTGAACTGTGCATTTAAAATGGTTAAAATGATTTTTTTGTTATGTATATTTTACCACAGTAAAAAGAATGGGGGGGAAAAGCAGCATCAGTGGAAGCCAGATGATGGCGGAATGATTTTTTTTTTTTATGATGCCTTGCCAGAAGAAGAAATGCAATGTGGTGAGGCAAGCTCTGTCAATTTGTTTGAAACACAAACCAAACAGATAGAAATTACAGGAATCTCTGTCAGATAGAAAAATTGTGTTTAAATCAGGTTGGTCTCTTAACCTAAATAATGCTTTTTTATTTTGCTTTTGATTGTGAAGGTGGTAAATTCAGTCAAAACTGAAATGGGCAATTTGGGGAATCCTAAAGGTTTCACTCTCAAACAATTTGGGGGCTGTTGCATAAACACAGTTCCATCATGTCTCAGGTATCATTTGAAGGCATAATCCGCACACCTTCCAGCACCTTCAGACTGCCTGGGAAGAGATTTCTAGCATAGCCAGGGCCAGAGAGGGACCCATAAATGAGGCTATTGATGCATAACTCTATGGATTAAGTTCAACACCTTGAATTACATGGGAAATAAGCAGGAGCTGGGGGCAGCTAAGGGAACACAGGTGTGGCGTGTCCAGAGAAGCCCACATTCCTGAGTCTACAGGCGGCCATATTCTATTCAAGCTGCATTCCCCGGGTGGTCCAGCTAACAAAGCTTCCTGTCATAAAGCTATCGCTCAGTACAAGGCAAGTGTATTGTGAATGCCAGGTTCAAAACAGTTCATTGAAAACTTCTTGGTTATGTAATTAAAGCAGTCTGAGCTTTGGGAAATCCTCCAGGAGAGAGCTCATTTTGAGAACAGCTTTCCAATTCACATGTTTCATAAGCCAAGGGTGAGCTTAGTTCAGATGAATAACACACACACACACACACACAAATCGTGGGATTTAAAAAGTAGAAGTGAGGTCAAGGCAAGACCACAGCAGAAGTGAATTGGCTTCAAGAAAACTAGATATTTTGTCTCCAAAACCGTCTGTTTATTGGATTGTTTTGCTTGATTGCCACTACTGGTATCTCCAGATACAAATCTATATTGGAAAGATTGCAGGTGAAGTTGCCTGCCTACCAACCACACAGCTCAGCTTTTTCTCCCCTTTGGGCAAAAACCAAAAAATAAATTATATATGTTTTAAGTGAATGAAAGGCAAGCAGAATTTTATCTTCTGCCAACCTAAAAGAATGAAACAAAACAAAATAAAATGGTATCATTGTTCCTAGAAGTGTTTAAAAAGAGAATGGACAAACTATTTCTCCTACAAACTGTCCTTTGTCTCAGGTCAGGTGACTAGAAAGATAATTTTTCAAAGTCCTGTCCATTCTGTTATTCAATGTTTTTATCGTATATGTGGTTGTGTATTTTACTTTTTCAGTTTGCAAAAATTGCCTTTATGGACCGGGTGCAGTGGCTCACACCTGAAATCTCAGCACTTGGGAGGCCAAGGCGGGCAGATCACTTGAGGTCAGGAGTTCAAAACCAGCCTGGCCAACATGGTGAAACCCTGTCTCTACTAAAAATACAAAAAGTAGCTGCACATGGTAGCACAGGCCTGTAGTGCCAGCTACTCAGGAGGCTGAGGCATGAGAATTGCTTGAGGGAGACAGAGGTTGCAGTGAGCTGAGATCATGCCACTGCACTCCAACCTGGACGACAGAGTGAGACTCTGTCAAAAAAAAAAAAAAAAAAAAAAAAAAGCCTTCATGGTACTTCCATCATTCTCCTGTAATTCTGCTGTAACAAAGTACCACGAACTCAGTTGGTTAAGACAATGTAAATTTATTCTGAAGTCAGAGGTCCAATATCATTTTACTAGGTTAAACTCAAGATGTCAGCAGAGCTGGTACCTTCTGGAGGCTCTGAGGGGAAAATCTGTTTCCTTGCCTTTTTCAGCTTCTAGTGACCACCTGTATTGCTTGGCTTGTGGCCCCTTCCTCCATCTTTAAAGCACATCACTCTTATCTCTCCTTCCAGGATCACATCACCTTCTCTGATTTGACTCCTCCCGCATCCTCTTATAGGAACTGTTATGATAACAGTGGGCCCACCTGGATAATCCAGAGTAATCTTCCCATCTCAAGATCCTTAAATTAATCACATCTGCAAAGTCCCTTTTGCCATACAAGTAACATTCACAGGTTCCAGGGATTGGGACATGGACATCTTTGGGATACCATTATTCAGCCTACCACAGTACTTCAGAAAATTGGGTTGATGTCATTCTATGACATTGTTCTCTACTTTCAACTTCTAAAAAAATAGCCTACATGTACTAAACACTACTAGAACTGTTGTTATATCTTGGAAATAACAGGGTATAATCTATGCCTTTGGGGAGTTTGTAATCAAGTTCAGAAGACCTATTCATGAGCAGATTAGAGAAGTATTCAATAGTAAATGGAGGTGGTGTACAATGCTATTGAGCATCCACTGCGTGTTAGGCACTATAGGAGATGCTCAGTGTGAAAGATGAATGATTTATGGTCCCTAACTCTGAGTGGAATAGCAGTGCAGAGTGGAGAATTAAGTATGGGAGGAAAGCCTTTGTTTATAGAAAAAGATTGCAGGTGTACACTCACAACTAACTTATAGATGGGATTGGTGTGATGGAAAAAGCAGGTGATTGTCATAGTCCAGAAATCTGGGCTTTTCCAACAACCTGGCAAAAATTAGTTCTATATCCTTGGAAAGATCATGTCTCTTCTCTGATTGCTCTGAATTTTAGCAGCTTCCTGGTTTTAATAGTCAGTGAGTTCTCTGAATACCTTTCAGAATTTTAATAAAGAACTATTGTCAGTACTGGAATTGATGAAAAACACAACCCAAGGAACTCAAGGTAGAGAAAAGAATTCAAGATTGTTCGAAAAAAAAGGAAGGCAACAAGAATAGTTATAGTTACTGGGATAGTAAAGAAGCAAATGGATTCATAAAGATCAAGCAGCTACGGAAAGCATTGCCCTTCCAACCATAATAGAACTTGCATTGCTGAAATGATCAACATGTGTTCAGTTTGGTTTTGCTTGTCTTACTTGTCTACCACCGTAATCCACAATGTGAGGCTTACCTTTAAGAAACTTAGCACTCCTGATTGTCGAGATGTCTAAAGAACTTATGAAGTCAGTTGTTCCCTGGAGATAAGCATTAACCGCTGTGTAAAAGCTAGGACTTTCTGGCAACGGGCACAAAGTTTTCTAGCCTGAATATTCCAGAACATTCATGAAAAAAATTTTTAATTTATGTATTTTATTTATATATTTGAATTGTTTTTAAAATTTCCTAATCAAGGGATCTGTGAGAAAATACATCTTCACCTAGTTTGTGGTGAAAAACATGAGCTCGAAGTAGTCAATGTTTATTCTACAATTTAAGGCTTTTAACTTTCCAATAGCCCAACTTTAAAGTATCCCTGAACCTTTTCATTCTCCCTGATGTGGGGTTAGGGGTGAATATCAGTGAATAGGAAAAGAGGCCCTAAAAGAAAAAAAGAAAATCCTTTCTCACGAATAGCCTGAGGTGAAAAAGTGTTTGCCATTACTCCGGGGGAGTTGTGGCTGGCTCCTTCTAGTCTTGCATTCTGAGTTTTAAAGGCTGCTGTTGTTGGTTGGTAGCATTAATGTGCTTCAGGAGAAAAATAAACAGCTTTCCCCTGACCTGTTGATATTTATGGCAAAGGTAGAGGGGCTTTCTTTTTAACCCCTAGAGTAAAAGGAGAAAAAAATTGGCTCATTTGAGGGAAATGATATAACTTGTAAATGGTGTTTTCGGAAGTTTCTGATGTGGCCAACAGAAATTTTGGGTCAGCTTACAGATTTTATTTTTTCCACAGTTGTAGAAATGAGGAAAGTACAGATTTCACTGGAAATATAAATAAAAATTAAATAGAAATGGTTCACCTGGGGAACAGAGTCTTCTCCACTAATCTCCTGGGAACAAGCTACTCAGCATTTGGTAAGATACACACACAAAGAAGCACAGTGCCCAGTGTGAAGAGAGGTGGAATAAATACACGCACCGTTTGTTGGTTTCTTATAATGCTTGTTGCAGATCTAGAATTGACAGTCCTCAAACACAAGGCCATTATGTGTTCTTGTACAGTTGAGGTCTGTTTAAATGCACGGCCTTAGAGTACAATAAATTCCACCGATTTCCCTAATGGATTTATTCTTCTTAAGTTCTTTATGTGAGAAACATTACACCATTTGAACCAATGACATGAAACTGTTGAAGAGAAGATTTATTCACTTAACAGGTTAATTCATGAAAGTGTGGTTCTAATTGTTGAATTTAGCAAGTGGAAATACAACATTTGAACAGCGCTACCCATTTCCTTTCTTAACAGCAGGCTAAAATAGATTGATATTTTTCAGCCCCACTTTCATTTCATGGGATTTACACCCTTTTACTAGAGCAATCAACAGCCTTTGATTGATGGTGATGCCAATTAATTCAGATGATCTTATCCCAGGAGTTCATGGAATTTATCATTGCTGCTCATAAAAATTACCTTTATACTCTAAACTTTTTTCCTTCTCTTCCGTAGACTTTTCTCAGGACCAAGCACCTAACTAATGATTGATCACCTTTCTAACTTTGGATGATTGGTAAAACTGACATTGTCCTACTTATATACACAAAAAATATATTCCATTTCAATACTTTAATGTGTATTCTACCTCAGTGCTATTAGAACCACAAAATGTTTAAAAGTGGAACATCCTTAGTTATTTTTGTTACCTAGGTTGCAAAGTTCAGTCAACATCAACAAATATGTATTGACATATAAATGCAATGAAGGATTTTCCATGGTTAAACTAATTTTTTGCCATTTTTAAAGCACTTTTATATCTATTATGTCATTTAGTCCACACAACAACCTGCAAGTTGGAAAGGGCAAGTATAATTTTATCACTGGAAAAAGACAGAGGTTAAATGTCTTGCTAAAGGTTGCACAAGTAATTACTAGCAGAACCAGATCTTCAACACGAGCCTTCTGGCTTCTAATGCAGGGTCCTCCCACTCCACCAGGGTGTTCAAAGTCTATCCTGAGAAGCCTCCTCTGAGTCTACCTAAAAGAAGCATCGCAGAAAAGGAAGACAGGGACACTGGACCCCTTTCCAAGTTCCCTCAGTTTTTATCTGTTTCACATGTTGGGAGACTGGATAAATTTTTGTTTAAACAAGGAGATCGTTGGCAAAAAAAAAAAAAAGAGAGAGAGAGAGAAAAGAAAAAATAGAAAACCGGTGCACATTATACTGCCTCAAAACGCATAGGAAATCCTGGCACGGTGATAATGTCAATTCAGTCATTTTTTTCCCTAGTACTAGCAACTGATTTAATCAGTTTAAGAGAAAAGGGCCAATGTAAGGAGAAAAATATAATCATTGTTATCCTTAAGGCATTAAGAACCTGGTTGTCTGTTAACACCAAATTAGATCCTTTTTTAAACATTGTGTGTGTACCTTCTACAAACGTATGTATTAAGAACAGCAAAATGATGATTTGGGTGGACACAGAGATCTGGCCATAGGTGCGAGCAGTGTGGGATGAAAGCAGGGAGGATGTGATACACGTCAGCCTTCATCTCTTTAGGGTACCCGGTTGGCCATTCATCACCCAGGCCAGCACTGTGCCTCTTTAGGACACTGTATTCTAACACCATTGAATGGTTTGCTTTTCTTCCTCCAGAGAGATTTCCTGTGAGGCACATTAAGTTCAGTTTGACAAATAAGGTTTTAGGAGATAATACATGCATTGGGAGCTTTTAAGTCATGAAAGAAGAAGGATTTGAGTCTGGGGCTCCTAGTGATCATCATGCCTCTTTCCCCTCACCCTCCCCCGATACACAGAGAGGAAAGCCCTCTTCAGGAGGAGAGACAGGAGCCAAGCAGAGACGGGTCTAGCCCAGGCAGCCTCTTCTCAGTTCCCATCACCAATGTTCTCAGAACAACCCTGGCTTCTGCAGACCTTCCCGTTATTCTATGACTCTTCCAATAACAATCCTCTTTAAGGCCAAGCTAGTTTGAGTTGGTTTACCATCACCTGTGCTAGAAAAGAAAAGCCCCTAACACTGCAGTAGCTCAAAGTGGTAGAGACAGCAAAAACAAACAACTCTGAATTTGAGTCATGATAATTCCAGCCACTTAAACTTGGGTAAACTATTTAATTTCTCAAAGCTTCAGTTTCTTCTTCTATTGAGTGGTAATATTAATAACACCACTGTCACAGAGTTATTGCCACGGCTAAATAAAGTTACATGCGTGAAAATCCAGCTGTTCTTTCCTGGTGCTACCTTCAGTAGGAATATTTCTAAGGTCCCCAGTTGAGTAATAGTTCATTCATCCAACACTTATTTATTAGTCAAGTATCAACCACATGCCCAGCATATCGGGCATTGCAGCGTGAAAGTTAAAAAAAAAAAGAAGAAGGATATAGGGTCTCTGACCTCAAGAAGTTTGTAGTTTCATTGGAGAAACATACAAACTATAGATTAACTGGCATCAGAACAATTTTTGGCATAAATATGAATGGACAGAACATGAGGGGGTAGCCAAGGTGGAGTATGGCATATCAGAAAAGTTTCTTAGAGGGAGGAGAATTAGAGCCAAGTCTTAATAGTAAAAAAGGGTATGCAATAGATTACCAGAGGGACACTTGTAAGATGAAATGTCCTTCCTTGTCTGTCAAAACGTTTAGATACTTGGTCTTTCTAAGTGAAAATTTTAATATCAAATGACACTTCTGGCTTGTGATTTGAGTGACTATACTCTCCAAAGAGTCCGCTATTTGACTATCCGCGTCAAATTTAATTCTTACCTAAGCACCTGACAGTTTTCACTTTTCTGATCTAAAATTCTCTCCAAATTTTACTTTCTAAAAATGCCTTGCATGGATTACTCTAAATGAGTAAAGGGTAGATAGAGAAGTACAAAATATTGTTTTCAGATTTCCTCTAACAGCCCGTGGACTGTGAGGATGCCCATGGCATCCCTTCTGTCTAATTGGGTTCAGATACCATGAGGTTTGAACTAATAATAAAGTGACATCAGCTGGTCATAATTCAAAATCTGTCTAAAGAAATAATAATATATGATCAATATGCAGAAACGCTTGCTTAAGGAGCAGACATTAAGTGCATTTCTAAGAATTTGTAAAAATATCCTTGATTTGCCCCAAAATCCACACATTTATTGGAAAAAAGAAATTAGAAAATAGTAGTGGTTAAGAATATGGCTTTGATGTCAGGTGGACCTGATTAATCTCCCTAAGCCTCAGTTTCCTCATCTGTGAAATGGAGATAAGAATAGTTGTATCTCACAGAACTTAGTGAATACAAAGTGAGGGGATGTAAAAAGGATTCACGGTAGTGCTTGGCACACACTGTGGTAGGCATTTCATAAATGACTTACTTACGATAACTGTTCCTCAGCCCTAGATGGATGCTAGAATCACCTGGCAAGCTAAAAAAAAAAAACAAAAAAAACAATTCAGACCCACCACAGAGATTCTGATTTCATTGGTCTGGAAAGAAGCCCAGGCACTGGTAATTTTTATACACTCTTGAAGGGATGCCAGGGATGTTCCCCTGCCTTAGACTTTGGCATCATCAATACCTACAACTCCTCCATAATCTTTTTTTCCCCAAAGAAAAAAAACTATTCAATTTGATTATTTTAATTTTTTAATTACAAATAAAAATTGTATAGGTTTATAGTGTACAACATGATGTTTTTAAATACCTATACATTACAGAATGGCTAAATCAACCTAATTAACATATGCATTACCTCACATCCCTATCATTTGTGATGAGAACACTTAAAATCTCTCAGCACTTTTCAAGTATATATATAACACATTGTATTTAACTATAGTCACCATGTTATACAATACATCTCTTGAATTTATTCCTCCCGTCTAACAGAAATTGTGTACCCTTTGACCAAAATCTTCCCAGTCCTCCCCACCTCCCGGCCGCCTGCTCATGGCATGATCCAGTTTTAAGCATCCTACTTCCCATGTTCTTCCTAACTTTCCAGTTCACTCTCTCTCCTATCTCAATAAAAATCTTTTCAACTCCATGAGGACCCAGTGATTCCATCACCTTTACAATGACCCTCCCCCAACTTTTTAAAAGTGTCCCTTACTCAGCTTAAATTCCATGCTTCATCATGAAAATCACTCTCTTCATATTTTCTCAGCTCCTTTGCCCCCTTCTACTTTACCCACCTCATCTGAGGTGGTATCTGTTCTTCAAAGATAGCTCCCAATGAAACACACCTCCCAGTATTCATTCCCTTTTGTAGACCCCCTTTCATATTGAATCTGGTTGACCTGTGACTCACTTTAACCAATAGAGTGCAGTGGAAGTAACACTGTGCCCCATCCAGGACTGGCAGCTTCTGTATTTGCACTTCAGTGAACCGTAAGCTACCATGTAGAAATTCAGCTACCATGCTGGCAGGACCATGTAGAGACACTATATGAAGAGACCTTAATGGAGAAGAGATGTCGTCATCCCCAGTTCCTAGCTGAACCCAACCTTACATCTGTCTCTGCCAAGACACTAGCTCAGTTAAGCCCAGATGGTTGCAGCCCTAGCCGATACGATATGAGTCAAAAGAACAGCTTGGTCAGCCCCCATAACTGTGAGAAATAATACATTGCTATTGCTTTAAGCTATTAAGTTTTGAGGATCCTTGTAACATAGCAATAGACAAATGTGATAGAACTTGGTTCCTACAAGTGCAGTGCTGAGATAACAAAAACCTAAAATCAGTGACATTGACTTTGGGACCAGATAGAAGCTGGAAAAGCTTCAGGAAGACTATTAGTGAAGACAGTAAGGGCAGTGAAGAAATTGCTCTTGGAGGCTGGAAAACAGGGGGTACCTAAGTTACGTACTGACCAAAAAATTAGCAAAAACTGTTATATCATCGGAAAAAGGGTCCCTAATGAAGGGTGAGTTTGGCTATGGAGGCTTCTGTCTAATGGAATGGATTGTAATTTGATACACAGGAACTCACAAAGTTTTTAAAGGAATTATATCCACTTCTAGCCATCCAGAAAGACATGTGAATGAGCTATTGTGAACATTTCAGCCCAGTCAAGTGCACCATATCACTGCAGCCCAGCCTCACGCCTTGTGAAGCAGAAGATCAACAGGTCAAACCATAGACTCGGAAGAAACAATAAACTGTAGTCGTTTTTAAATGACTGCATTTGGAGATTTGTTATGTAGCAATAGATAACTGAAACACCTCAATTCTAACTGAGTACAACTCTTCTGTGCAAGTGTGCAAATGTGGCATAGGTGCATTCCCAAAGCTGAATGAGGCTGGAGAAAACCACATGTTGACAGGTCTTTAAATCATGACCAAAACTTCAAGTAAAATCTTAGTACTATAGAATAATAATACCACATGTCCTGAGTTCATACAGTTATTTACCTATGCCATCTTTTTCTCAGTTTTTTTACCTTACCTCTTCCAAACTGCCAATATCCTATTCTCCATCGTCACTGTTAGCCTACGACTTTTGCTCCTTCTTTCACTGTTAAAATAGAAGCAATTAAAAGATGGTTTTCACAAGCTCCCTTCATATCTATTCATCTACCTGTACTGGAGGCCATCAACTCTGCTTTTCTTTCCACTACCACAGGCAAACTTTCCATGTTCTTATTTTGTGCCAACCCCTCCACTTTTGCATGAGATTTCCTTCTCTATCACTTCAGCCTCTCTCATCTCTGCTTCAGCATTTTTTCTCTCTCTCCTGGGTCATTCCATAAGGGGGAAAAAAATCTCCCATCTTAAAACTATCCTTCTCTTCATCCCACTTTCCCATCTAATCACTATCAATCACATGTCAGTACTCTCCTTTATAGCAAAATCTCTCAAAAAGGTTATCCAGAGTGTCTCCAATTTCTTTTCTCCTATTCTTCTCTAAATTCACTCTGATAAGTATTTTACTCCTAACCATTTCACCAATGCTCTTCATACAATCACCAATGACTTCCCTGTTGATAAACCCAAAAGCCAATTCTCAGTCCCTATTTTATTTGAACTTTCAGCAACATTCGACATAGTTGCGCACGTCCTTTTATTTAAATCACTTCCTTTATTTGGTATCCAGGACACATGCCCTTTTGGATGATTTCCATTATACCAGCCCCTGCTTGTAGTCCCCTTTACTGGTTCATCCTCATTTTCACAACATCAGAAGGTCATCCCATGACCTGGGTCCTTGGACCTCTCCTCTTTCATCCATTACTACATACTTGTAGATATTATCCAGTCTCATAACTTTAAAAATCATCTATATGCTGCTGTTGACTTCAAAGGTATATTTCTAGTTCTAATCTCTAAAGGACAAACTCATAACTGCTTACTCAATCATAGGTATATCAAATTTAACATGTCTAAAGTGAATGTTTTCCCTCTTCCACCACAACCTATTTCTCTCATTTTTTTCCGGGCTCAACTCTGTTCTGTACTGTTGCTCAGGCCACAAACCTTGGAGTCATCTTAGACTCTTTTCTTTCCCTCATACTACACATCTAGTCAATCAGCAATTACTGTTGACACTCTGTATTAAATGTGTTCAGAAGGTGGCCACTTGCCACTCCTCCACCATGGCTACCTTTGTCCAAGCCATCATCATCTTTGCATAGATTGTTGCCACAGCTTCCTCACTGGTCTTCCTACTTCCCTACAGTTGTTTTCAATACAGCAATCAAAGTGACCATTTGAAAATGTGAGTCAGGCATGTCACTCCACTGCTCAAAATCTCCAATGGCTCCCAACTTACTCAAGTTAGAACCCTTACACTGCTTACAGGGACTAGAAAGTCTGTACCCCCTCACCACCACCCTTCCTCTCTGACCTCACTCTCATTCCACTCCAGCCACTCTGGGTTTCTTGGCCTCTCCTGGCAGGAACTAGGGCTTTTGTACCTGCTTCCACCTAGAATGCTCTTTTTCTAAATATCTTTATGTCTTCTCCTTCAACTCTTTCAATACTCAAAAATGAACTTCCAGTAAAATTTTCCCAGATAACTTTTTCTAAAGTTTCCCAAGAAGTCTCTAATGCCCATTGCTATAGCAATTATACCATTTGTGTGTACATATAGGAAGCTCTTACTTCCTGTCTCCACTAATATGCAAGCTCCATGAAAGTAGGGATTTGTCTCTTTTTATTCACAGTTGTTCCATCATCAAGAACAGTGCCTAGCACATAATAGGTACTCAGAATATATATATATTTTTTTGGTGGGGGGATGGGGGGGAGAGGGACAGAGTCTCACTCCGTCACCCAGGCTGGAGTGCAGTGGTGCAATCTTGGCTCGCTGCAATCTCCACCTCATGGGTTCAAATGATTCTCCTGCCTCAGCCTCCAAAGTAGCTAGGCTACAAGCATGCACCACCACACCCAGCTAATTTTTTGTATTTTTAGTAGAAGTGGGGTTTCACTATTTTGGCCAGGCTGATCTCAAACTCCTGACCTCAGGTGATCCACCGGCCCTGGCCCCCCAAAGTGCTGGGATTAGAGGCGTGAATCACCACGCCCAGACTCAGAATATATTTCTTAATTGAATGGATGTAGCCTTAATAAAAATACAAATTCTAGAGCTACCAATACACACAACAACACAGATAAACCTCAAAAACAATGCCAGGCACGGTGGCTCACACCTGTAATCCTAGCACCATGAGAGGCTGAGGCAGGAAGATCACTTGAGCCCAGGAGTTCAAGATCAGCCTGGGCAACATAAGGAAACCCCATCTCTACAAAAAATACAAAAACTAGACAGGCATGGTGGCACATCCAAGCTACTCAGGTGGCTGAGTTGGGACAATCGCTTGAGCCCAGGAGGCAGAGGCTGCTGAACCAGGATAATGCCACTGTACTCCAGCCCAAATGGCAGAGTGAGACCCTGCCTCAAAAAAAAGGTTGCACTAAAGAAACCAGACACAAAAGAGTACATACTGTGTGGTTCTATTTACTTAAAACCCTAGAAAAAAAAAATAAAGCTAATTTATAAATACAGAAAGCAAATCAGTGATTGCCAGAAGCTAGGGGTGGGTGAGGAAATTGACTGAGAAGGGACACAAAAGAACTTCTGGAGGTGGTGAAAATATTATTTACCATGACTGTGCTTTGCTGTATATAAGTTATACCTTAGTAATTTTTATTCTATATATCTGTATTTATAAAAATACAAATTCTATAGTTAGGACCATATGTCACCAGGTTATGTGAACAAGTGCCAGAAACATAAAGAGTTAATTTATGTGTTTGGAGTAAAAAGACTCACAGTGATTTTGAAAGAAAAAAAGATAAATCTCACAAATCATAACCTATAATAAACACAGTATTTAGAGACTGAAACATAAATGACACTTCTCTCACCACAGTGCATTGTGTCTTTAGGAGATGTTAGCCAAATGTGTCATGCCTTGGGTTTAGTTCTTCACATTTTTTTTTCTTTCAGCAAGATTCATTCATTTCTACCTCTTACTAAATAGAACATGTAACTCAACTTCAGTCAAAATAAAGCCAAGATGGGAAGAAGACAGAGCACAATGCCCCCTGTCTCACTCCAGGGCCTATCAGGAAACTCAAAATGGGAATTTAATATAGGTAACCAGTATGAGCCAACACTAGTGGAACAGTAAACGTAACTCTTTCAGAGTACCTGAAACGTAACTCTTTCAGAGTACCTGAGAAAAGGATACTTTTTAAATCCAAGACCTTTTGAGAACCATGCTCAACAAGTATATTTCCCATGCATTTTAAAAGTTGGGTAGATCCATAACACATTTATTTGTATATGTTATATAAAAATAAAATTTTAAAAAACTTATAAGAACTCAATAAAGAAAACAGCAAAACATTTCCATGGGACTTTTAAAAAGACTAATTGATGGAGACATTATGGCCTCTCCTAAATGGACCTATTCTCTCTAAGTTAATCTATAAAAGAAAGAATTGTTGATACAGCAAAAGGTTGAATTAATCGCCAGATAATTATGCTAAGCAGAAAAAAACAATCAAAAGTGTTATATACTATATGATTCATTTCTATAATATTCTTGAAATGGCTAAATTATAGAAATGTAGAACAGATTAGTGGTTACAAGTGGTTAAGAAGGTGGGTGGGGGCAGGAGGGAATTGGATGTGACTATAAAGGGCAGCAAACAAGAGGGATCCTTGTGGGGCAGAGATGTTCTGTATCTTAACTGTACCAGTGTCAACATCCTGGTTCACATCGTTCTATAGTTTTGCAAGATGTTATCACTGGGGGAAACTAGGTAAGGGGTACACAGGATCTCACTGTATAATTTGTTACAACCGTATGTGAATCTACAGTTATCTCTAAATTAAAACTTTAATTTTGAAAAAGTGAAGCAATTACTTAACCACTGGGGGAAAAATGAAATCATATCCCTATTTCAAACTTGACATCAAAACTAATTCCAGGAGTTTGAAGAGTTGAATATAAAAACAGCTCATATCTACCATATGTTGGGCAATTTCTACGTGCCAAGTATATTCATAGAATGGGAGAGTTCCCCAATCCCCTTGGAGAAATTGCAATAAGGGTGTGGCTCATTTGCTCGGGTCACCATGCACTGAAATGCCTTATGGGAGGGGTAGCATGCAGACGGGCAGGTGCAGGAGTCAGGGCAAGCGTTTTTGGGCTCTGGCCCCATGGTAGCATCTAAGGGTGTGTTACAATTAATATTCTTTTAGCAGTTGCCATCCACGGACAGCTGAGTGTTAAACCAGCTTAGCGGAGGGTCAGGGTGACAGCCTTTTACACCCTGCCCTCTGCCCTCTTGGTACTCGACTCCTTATCCAGCATCCAGAAAGAATCAGGTCACATGGACTTGAAGAATGGTGAATGTGAGGATTTTACTGAGTGATGGGGGTGGCTCTCAGTGGGATGGATGGGGAGCTGGAAAGGGGATGGAGTGGGAAGATAATCCTCCCCTGGAGTTTGGCTGTCCTGTGACCAATCTCCTCTCTGTTCCCAGCCGAACTCCTCTCGACATTCAGACGCTCTTTCTGTTCTTTCCTTCTCTGCTGTGCCACTCTGCCACTGTTTTGCTCCTTTGCTCTTCTGCTTGTGGAGCCTGGGGTTTGGGGTTTATATAGGTACAGGATGGGGGGGTGTGGCAGGCCAAAAGGCAACATTTGGACACAAAAACAGGAATGCCCATTCCCATTTAGGGCCACAGGTTTCCAGGCTTGAGGGTGGTGCCTTTGCCGAGGAACCACCCTCTTCTACCCAGTATTTCCCTGCCTCCTGTCCATGTCATTCATATATATTCTCATGTTATTCTTCCAAGAAATTTGTGATAGAGGTATTATTATCCACATTTTAACAAAGAGGAATATTAGTTCTTTTCCTAAATTTGCACATTAAAAAAGAAAAATCTACACATAAAAGAGAAATAATACACAGCAATGTGTTAACCTTGATTTGGATGAATAAGAGTCTAAGTGTTTTGAGATTTTTCTTCTGTAATTATTTATATGCACTGGGTTTTTCTATAATGAACATGCTTTCTTTTTAAAAAAAATTTTAAGATTATGCGAAAATAAAGGAAGGAATTTTTATCGGGGACAGGAACAAGTCAGTAGGAAGTATGGCTCACACAGCACAACACACAAACCCAGGTTAATATAAACTATGTTCTGATAATTGCATCTAATTACAAGGGAGAGCTAAGCACTAATAATGTTTAAGGTGGACGTTTTTAAAATAACAATTAGCAATTACAAAGGAGAAATTTGGCAACATTTGAGAAATGACTGAATGGAATAAATATAACATTTCTTAAAAGGTGATTTTATAATTACTAATTACTTTTGCTCCAATTTCAATCTACTTGGAAAAAAAAAAAAAGATGGGCAGTCCTGAAGCCACAGGACTGCTGTAGTTGTCCAGGCAAAGAGTAACCAGAACCTGAATTGGGGGATAGGAAGGAAGGGGCAGAGATCAGAAAAGTTAAGAAGGAAGTGAATAAGACTGGTGATTCATTAGCAATAAAGAACAATGGGCAGAGAAAAGCCAGAGTGTGATGTAAGAGACAAAAACAACATTGGCTAGTCTTGGTTTTGCCACAATCCAGTTGTAGATCCTCAGGACAGATATTTAATGCTCTCTTAGCTTTGTTTTCCTCATCCCTACAATGAATGTGTTCCTCTATAACTTCTCAGGTCCCTCCAAGATCTAACGTTTTGAGGCTGAGTGACCAGAATGATGAAGGTAACATGAACAGAAGTCCCACAGAGGAACCTGATCCCAATTTCTGGGATTTAGATGATTCTGTTGAAGCTGTTTGACCTTGGACAAATTACTTAACCCTTCTGTGTGTCCATTTCCATTATAAAATGGTAATAATAATAATAATACTGCCTACCTCGTAGAGTTGTCCTACATAAACCTATAGGGGGGTGCCTAGCATATCATTAAGTCTCAACAGATGTGAACAACCAACAAAAATGCCATCTGTTCTTAAAACTGATCACAACTATGCCTCACGGTTTCATCAGAGAGACTCTCTAGACAACAAAACTTTTGTCATAAAATCCAACTTTTATGACATCCCCTCATATATATTATAGGAGCAGATGTTGGATGTTTATAGAAATGTGACATGTAGGATTTTGAGTAGCTGAGTCACTAGACTTTCAGAGTTGAAGCCTTCAGATACTACGTCCTAGAGTGAGTGCTCGTTGTCACGTCCACTCTTCCTAGCCCAGCACCATCACATCCTAATATTTGTCATAGGTATTACCCCAAAGCAACAGAACATGAAGATCTGAGTCATTATGAAAAAATAAGTGTTGATCCAGCTGCCGTAACTGTCAGAAACAAACCACTCTGAGCACAACGGATGCCAGTGCACCAGATTGTGAGGGTGTGTGACTGACCTCCCAGTCAGTCCTTGGCTCCGTTGCCGTCACTTAAAGGATTTGCAACAAGAACATGGCGATATGGCACATTTATGCACGTATGTGCTTCCCTCCCTGCCCAAGCCTGTTCTCACCTGAATCTCATAATAGGGATGGCAGTTCAAATAACGTCTGCCAACCAAAAAAAAAAAAAATAGTAATTATTTGCCTGGGACTCCAGGAGGAAAACTAAGTACAAGAGTGTCAAACTTCAGGGGAGAGGATACCAGTGAAGAAACATTATTAGAACATATGTCTTGACACTAAAATTATAGGAAACATCTATGCAAAAGATGCAGAGAAATTTTTGCTATTATCATTTAAGATTCCATTGAGTGAATTTTGTAAAACTTGTGATTTCAGAGCCAACTTTCAATTTCAACTCACATAAAGCTGCATGAATCAGGCACTCTCTAGGTCACCATCTAGAACAATGCTAAGGGTACTTTCCAGTGTAAAGTCAGGGTAATTCTCTTCTATCCAGTTCCCTCAACTTCACTTTAATGGCCACCAAAATTGCTGGTATGGAAATTCCTATAATGTAAGGGGAAAATGGCGGTTAAATGATTATTCCTTTGTTTCTCTCTATAGTGGTAAAAATATTTTTGTTTTATCTCTGGCTTAACATTTTTTTCATCTTTGTCAACATTATATACTGACTAGGCAGAATGTTTATATCAAACCTTAGAGTCTCTGGTTTGCAGGTTCATAAATGAAGAAAGTGACTCTGTTTGTTTTTCCTGATCACCTGAACACAAAACAGCCCTATCAGCCTCAGGAGCTAAAACCCAACTATCATGAGCTCATCCCTTACACCTTGAACATTTGATCTTGTAACACATTGCAAGTTCTCATCATCTATCCTTTTGTCTACAGGCATTAGTAGAGATGATCTGTAGTTTTGGTTTTTTCCTTTTTTTTTTTTTTTTCTGCTGACAAAGCTGTGGAGAGGAGGGTGGGTGTTGAAGAAGCTGCTGAAGAAGCACTAGCAGTTTGTCCTTAAACTCAAAAATTTCAGTGGTGCCTACAGCTCTTCCAGTAATTTTTAAAGGGCCTATTTCCCTGAGTTAAATCCTTTTCTTCTTCAAATACCTGGAGGTATTTCTATTTCCAGTTCTGAACATAGACTGATAGTTAATACCATTGGTCTAGGACAATGACCCTTAGGGATGGTCCCGACACACCATTTACAAAGCGAATTGGTTTTTCTGAGGTATAAAAATACACATTGAAATTGGTTTTCTGGCTACCTTACTTTTACTAAGCTGAGTTCTTTTTATTGGTGTTTTTGTTATTCCTGCTCTCCTAATTATTGAAAAATCAGTGAATAAACATAAACAGCACAGCCAGGAATTCTTGGCTCATGCAAAGGGATTTTTCTTAATGCTCATTTTATCATCTACTAAATAATTGAAGGGATGATGATATTCATGAATCTTGGTGGGATCGTGGAAGCATTTGAATGAGAGCTATAAAACTAGTGATAAAATGTTTACTGATGGTATATAATTTGCCTAGACTTTACAGAACACCGCAAGTTGTCACTTTTCTATTATCACGACAGTTTCAAAAATAGGAAAATTGAAACTCAGAAAATTTTGGTCAAGGAAAACGGCAAGCAGCTAAACAAAAACTCAAACCTCGGATATTTGGTTCCAAACACCATGCCCTACTTTCTACCCCATACTACTCCTCTGTACATTAGAGATCAGTACATTAGAGATCAGACCTAAACATTTTAGGCAGTATTTATAGTGTACACACACACACACACACACACACACACACACACGTATGTATGTTTGTATATGTATCAAGAGGCACAAAACTCTTTTTTATCACTATTTTTCTTGATTTAAGAGGCACAAAACTCAACCTTGATTGTTCAGGGTCATTAGTTTTTAGCCATTTTTCTTATTAGAGTAAGTATTTTATAATATCAGGATATATTTTATCTTGATTCTAAATATATATATACACACACATTTTATACACATATATTTATATGTGTATATATATGTATATATGTGTGTGTGTGTATGTTCCTTAACCTCTGAGGTTTGGTTAAATACTGACCTTCACTTCTGGATTGCGAGGAGTATAGGTCATATTAAGGCTTAATGTTCCAATTCTATTTTTAAATTATCCGTTTATAAATTAAGCCACTTTAAGCCTGATGCTCATCCTCGTAGTTCTCTTTACAGCTCTCTCTCCTCTTTAAGTAATCAGTTTCTTCTCTTTCTCTTTTATGTCAAAAGCCTTCCTGAGATAATGAAGGTCAATTCTTTCTCCGTTAGGGATATCTCAAATCTCTCCAAGGGCTTCTTCAAATCTCTCCGAGGGCTTCATTTCCTATGCAGAGTGTGCTATCCTTAATCACTTGAAGAATCTTTTGACAGAGCCTTTTGTAACGTTTTTGTAGTTTCCTGCTTTACAGAATTTGCAGGCTTAGTAAAAGCATGGATAGAACCAGAGCCACTGCAAGCAGAGCCAAAGGTGGAAGGATAGTGAGGCAGATCCTTGACCTCAATGCTCCCTAAACTGGAGAGAAAGTGGATGAAAAACAACAAAATATTAATTCTCCTGTTCACTTATTTCTCTTTTGCTAGTTGAGAATTAGCTGAAATACAAAATCTTCACTATGTTACTGAAGACCAGTTATGGGGATTGTGTTCTATTGTTTCAGCTTGCTACATGTGATTTTTAAAAAATCATTAAATAACATTTTAGAATGTTTTTAAGTACTCTGTGTTATACAGTGAGAGAAGTTTTTATCTCCCAGTATAGGGTTTTCTCCAGGTATGCCTTACCTTCCCCTCTCTCACCCAGATTTGGATGCATAAAAATAAAAGAAATTGCCTTCAAAAAGCCAACTGGCATGCAAACCTTGGAGGCATAGCAAATACATTGGATGATGGAACCTGGGCCAAAAAAGGTTATGACAGGCTTGAACTATGAACCAGAACCAACAAGGGAAAAGTAAGTGATTCTTCAAGCAAAAGCCTATACCTGTGCACAATAAAACACCTGTGGAGGTTGCTGATTTTACTGAGTACCTTCTTGGTACTGGTCCCTCTTTAATGCACTTTTGCTTGAGTTATCTTGTAAATTATAGTAAAAAATAAATAAATAAATCACCGTATAATACTGCAGTGGGTAAGTTAATGCAATGTTAATGAGAACGGGGTTAAATGGGAGTTGGCTGAATCATATTTGAGTTCATGTTATGAGTGGGTGCATTATTTCCTGGTTTTATTGGAATAAGTGTAAGAAAATGCAGGACTTTGGGCTTTCAGTAATCCCTATACTGCTGATGAGCAGTATATGTGGAACTATAGCACTAGAGCTAGTAAGATGGTAACGAAACCACCTTCTGCTGCTGAGACCACATGGGGAGTCCTGCTTCCACCCATAGAGATTATTCTCTAAGTGAGAGAGGGCAAGTAGGACCATCTTCAGAAGAAAACAGAGCAGCATCTCATTTTAAGTGGGCCACAAATTCTAAAGTCATCACACTAAAATTATGTATAGTCAACTTTATCTTTGAACATTTTTTTTTGAGACAGTGTCTTGCTGTGTTGCCCAGGCTGGAGTGTACTGGTGCGACCTCGGCTCACTGCAACCTTCACCTCCCAGGTTCAAGTGATTCTCGTGCCTCAGCCTCCCAAGCAGCTGGAACTACAGGCGCACACCACCACACCTGGCTAATTTTTTGTGTGTTTAATAGAGATAGGTTTTCACCATGTTGGCCAGACTTGTCTTGAACTCTTCGCCTCAAGTGATCTACCTGCCTCAGTCTCCCAAAGAGCTGGGATTGCAGGTGTGAGCCACCACGCCGGCCTCTTTGAACATTTCTTAAATCAATTTTATGACCGAGGACCTGGGTCATAAGGTCAAAAGGCATAAATTAACTCCTTTTGTTTTCCTGTGTATGTTTTCTATGAGTTCCCTTTCCCTGGATCACCCTTTCTCTAGTTCATGAATCCAGTGGGAAAGGTGATTGTGAAAGGGACGAGAAAAATGCCACTTCAAACTACGCCACTTTTGCATACTATTTTGAGATGAAAACAATTGAGAAACAGCAGCTGCAAGAAAGGATCTATGCCCTTTCCCTTTCTGCTTAAAAGAAGGGCATATTTCCCATGAGAAAGTTGCCCTTCTGATACCAAGAAGAAGAGAACACTCTTATCAGAGACAGGACTTGGGGAGGAGATGGTGCAGAGATAAGTCTGCACAAACAAACCTTACTGAAATAACCCTTATCTTCCATTAGTTTCTCTCATATATTTTCTAGTCACTTTCCCACAAATTACTGCCCCTAGGACCTTTTTGGACACCCTTCCTTTGTCCTATCATTTCTCCACAAATTTTTTGCCCTTTGTTAAAATGGTATATAACCCCTGAGTCTAACTGCTTGTTTGGGGTTTTCGCTTCTTTCCTATGAAGCCCCTCATGCCACATAAAAATATTTACATCAAATAAAATTTGTATGCTTTTCTCCTGTTAATATGTCTTTTGTCTGCTTGATTCACAGGCTCAGCTACAGAATCTAGGAGATTAGAGAAAGGTTTTTCCTCTCCTACAAGTGTAAATGGGAGGAAAGGAATAGGGGATTCTTCCCTCACTGTTGTTGTTGTTGTTTGGTGCAACACAAATATTACTGAATTTCTATGAGTTAAATGAGGTTTTGTTGCAACTTAAATGTAGGTTCAAAACCATGTTATAGAACTCAAGAAATTAGAGATATTAGCCTTAGAATTATATATTCACAGAAGACCCCAGAGCTATCTTAAAATATTTAAAGGACTACCCATTGACAGAGGAATTAGAACAGAGATGGCCATTTCAACAACTAGTCATGGCTGTCTGGAGCTCTGAATTAAAAAGAATGTGAAGCAGTATCCAAGCTCAGTGGAAAAAATTCTGCTTGACAATGATGTCTGTCAAAGCTTGAAAGAAAGCCAGTACCCATGTGTTGAGAACAGAATGGCTATAGCTGACAAATACTAAGCATTTGAAAGAGGAGTTTATGTGGGGTTTGGAATGCCATTTTCTCTCATGCACACTAAGTCAAGAAAGTTTAAAGGGGAGAGAGAAAGAGAGAGAGAGGGAGAAGAATAGAACGATTCTTCAGAAATGAGAGCACTTACAATTATAAACAGCATTCTCTTTCATTCCTGGTAAGTTTCCACTTCCTTTTGCATTTTCTCATAAAGAAATCCATGTATCCTTACAGTAAATTTTCTTGTTTAGCTTTAGCTAGTCATCTAGATTTCTGGTTTTTGCAGCCAAACAACCCCTAAGAGATCTATGTCTTAGTGGGGCCAATTTCAATCCCAT
The DNA here is from genome assembly GCF_000001405.40 of Homo sapiens. NCBI lineage: Eukaryota > Metazoa > Chordata > Mammalia > Primates > Hominidae > Homo > Homo sapiens. The sequence goes on along the minus strand of NC_000006.12, from coordinate 105,453,830 downwards.
TTAATTCAATTCAACCGATGTTTATTGAATACCTATTGTGTCTCTTATACCCAATAATTGGGGTTGAGTCTTGAATCTGGCCTATGACTGGAATCTATGAAAGATTCAAAGGGAAAAATAGGCATAGGTTATGATGAGCTATAAAAAAAGAAACGAGACAGAACATAATGTAGAGTTCTTAGCTCTCCCCACCCAGATTTATGTTCTGAGTTTTCTTTAACATTCTGTCCAATCGAGTGCGAGTGGGCTGAGACGTGGGTGGCAGAGCTGAGACACGGCCCCTCTAACTGTCTCATGTACAAACTTGAGGGGTAAGAGGAAGTTTGACACAGGAAATAACAGCCAGCAGCCGGGCTCTCTGACGAACACTACCCAGTGAAGCCTTTTAATTAGGCAAGATCATTTTTGTTAAATCTGCTCAGAAAATACTGCCTTAATCTCTGAAGATAATAAACCTCATTTAAAGTCCTGAGTTGACTCACTGTCCATAATGACTGAGATACAAATAGAGCTTTTATCCTGCAAAAACCATTACCAGGACACAGCCAATTAAGAAATTAACCAAAATCTCCATCCCCAGTTAGAGTGCTTACCTCTAGGAAAAGCCTGAGGGGAATTATAAAGACACAGTTTCTATGTGTGTTCTAATGCCAAGGTCCAAAGCAAAGGAAACCCAAACCAAATCAAAAATTGAGAAGGAAACTGTTTTAATTGATCATGAGCCGCCAAACTTCCTCTTCTGCATTATCTGTGTTTAAGTAATCCAATTAGTTTGACCTCATATGAGCAAGAGAACCCAAGTGCACATCTTTTGAAGTGGTTGTTTGGGGGTATCCTGAAAATTCTTAATATCAATCCCAGGAACATCTAAATGGTATTTTCCCCTGCACTCCTACCAGCATAGTGGAAATATCAATACCACAGGTGGGGTGCGGGAGGAGGATATTTGCTTTTTGCTATTCACTATCACGTATACACACACACGTACTTTTACCCACATTATGGAATTACTAAAAACAATGTGTGGCTCAGACTAACCATTCCACGTTGCAAATAATATCAAAATGGCTCCAAGTAGCAAAGAGAGCCAAGCGTGAGTGTCATGTATGAGCTGATGCTGCTGGTAAAGCCTTGCTTTTCCATACATAGAATGTATCACAAGAATCTGGCCTGGAGGTGCCAAAGTAATGGATGACTCTTACTCCAGCAGAGGGTCTTGGCCATTTACAGCTGAAGGAATGTGCTAGTGGCAATGCTGCCCTCTTTTGGAACAGGGTACAGAGATGGGTCTAATTACCAGCTACTTTTGTGAAAAGCAGTAATAATAAATTAAAGACGATGCAGTGATTTATCCTCACCAATGACTCCTCTATCTTTTCATCAAGACAGTAGTGGTCCAGAGTCTCTAGTGGTTTTCTTTAAGTGTTGGAATAGAGAGTGACTAAAAGTATACATGAATAGCCCTCAGGAATAACTCGTCTGAAAGGCGAGTTATTCTCTTTTTTGCTCTTCGCATCTATAGCTTAGCATGCAGCCATTGATTACATACTTACTGCCAGGAATTGGTGAAAGAGTGCAAATAGAGGGCCATATTCTAAATGTCTAAATAGTTAAAGGTTATAAAGCAAGCTAACAAACTGCTAAAGAAAACAGATTCTATCCTTCTGCCTCGACAAATTTACCTAAGTGACCTGGGGGCCTGGGTTAAATTTAGAATTTTTGGATTCCTTGGAATTTTGTACCAGAACATTCTACTTGTACTCTACTACCTCTCTCCTTCCATTTCTGATATTGTGCCACACAGAGAGGGGTCCTCCATTCATGCATGTGGACACTGATCCACATGTTCACGCTCTATCCAATGCTTCCCTCCCCAGATAGCCACTCCTCAGTCTTCCCTCAGGCTTACAGGTCTGCACACTTCTGTGGCTATCCACCTTTGGAGGAACAGCCAAGGGAAGGCCTTGTGCAAGCCCTGAAACCAGGTTTAGGGCCATTTGGACATAGAATTCCAGAGTTCCAAGGACCTGGAATAGGCTCCCTGGGAAGGAAGAGAGCAAAGTTTGTGTTATCAAGCAAGTTACTAGTTGGACAACTGGAGCTTAATCCCACTGGGGAGCTCTAAGAGGCTATGGAGACCTAACCACAGAGTTACCCCAATCAAGGGCCAAGGGAACTGGGGTATCTCTACAGGACTCCCCCAGTCATTGGTTGGGGGTGATTCCCAGAAAGAGTTAATTCCTTGGCACTTCTGGCCTGCTCTATGCATGGACAGAGTCGGCTCTGATGGCCAAAGAAAGCTTTTAAGTGGAGTCACAGATGTTGCCAGTTGGAAATCTGGCTGAGTGCAAGAAAACAGTACTAAGGGAATACGGACCAGCATCGGCATCATCTGCCTCTTGCATGCTCAGATCCACTCATGCTCCACATTAAATTGACCCTATACTGTCACAAATTCTTCATGGTGGTGTTAGAAATAATAATAATAATGAGGATTCGTGAGTTACTGAGACCAGTTACAGTCTCCAGTGTTGCAATTGGCCCCCAAGGCTGTAACTGGCATTCTTTGTTTCTTCCTCCATCACCCAGATTCACTCTCGTCTTCAGCCATACTGTGGCTGGTCTAGGATGCCTGCCTGGTAGAGTAATCCAGACCATCATTGAGAAGGCCAAGGCTTTGGTTACCAATTCTTGTTGCTGCAATCACTCATTTATGATTATCAGCAGGTATGGGAAGCGCCATGAAGTATTCGCAGGGAATTCCTGAATTTCGGATATTTTCCTCCCTGCCCTCATTTTGCAGGAGCAACTTTATCTCCTAATAATAATCAAGGTTAATTGCATCTTCCAGTACAAATACTTTTTCCTTTGCCTGCCTATCTACTGGCCAGAGGATCCCAAAATGACCAGTCAGATGCAGACGTAGTGGAAACTGACATGTCCTCTGTGTTAAGAACCTCAAGAACCAGAACCTCTAAGTGAAGTAAAGGCAGAAGTTGCTGGGACAGTAAACGTAAGTGAGTTACTGGGAGTGATGGTGAGTAAGGCAACTTCTACTTCCCTCCCCTTGACCTTGGATCCCAGATTCATGTATTCTACACATCCGTGACAGCACCATATATGGCTGATGACTGAAAGTATATAACACCTCTTATCCCCACCCTCATCTGACCACCCCAGGAGAAAAAAGCACAGAAGTAACACAAGGTGATCTTCAGCTTTATTAAAAGGGTCCTTAGTTGCCAATAACAAAAACACCTCTAATTCAAGCAAGAACAAAAAATAACTAAAGAATATTAGGTGGGAATCTTTGGTAGGGCAAGAAAGTTAGGCTCAGAAATGGCACGGTCAGAGAAAATACCCAATCCACACCATGGACTCTCTGACCAGATGCAAATGCTAGGCCTTATATAGCTGACACAGAACCAGCACCACTGCTGTCCCCACATCAAATGCCTCTGCTGCCACTCCCATCAGAAAATGGATTCTGCAAGGCTCTTCATGCTGCTTATCTGAATTGAAGTCTTGTACAATATATCAGATCAGCAGAGCCTGGGGCACATGCTTAGGCCCTTCCTGCAAGAGATGCTGGGAAAACAAGCTATTGCCTTTACTCATGGGAACCAGGAGTCACAAAATGGGACATTCTCCACCTGAGGAATGTTGTTGAAAAGATTCCCATCAGCCACAAACATGCAAATGCCCATTATATCACTCAGAGGGTTTATTTCCCAGACCTAAAATCCAACCAATTAAAACCCTAGTTTGGCAAAAGACTGCCAACCCTCTCCAAGGAACAATTCTCACCTTCTTCTTCTTCTTCTTAGAAGTGTAACTCCCTCCAAGTTGAACCAGGCACATGACCACCAGTTAGAGACTACATTTCCCAGCCTCCTCAGCAGGCATTGTATGTGACTACTTTCTCACCAATGGCATGTAAGAAAAAATGTATTGTAGCTCCTGGGTCTTTTTCTTAAAGATGAAAGTTTCTTAGCCTATACTTCCACGTTTCTTCTTCGTGCTGGCTTAGAAATGGCAACAATTGGACCAGCTGCCTTGGGCCTAGATATGGATGCATACATTGACCATAGCAGAACCAACCCACAAACCTGGTTCCTGGATGAACTCACAGACCAATGGTGCCTTTCTAGCCCAATTAGAGAATCTTTGGACTTTTACAGTAAACAGAAATAACTTTTCTATTATTTAAGTTGATTTATTTTTACAGTAGCTTAGCCTTCACACTCAGTAATGTGCTTCATCATTCAAGAGACAGCAGGAATGTCTTTGTGGCTTTTGAGAATCCTGAAGTGCTGGAGGTAGGCTCAGAGGCCACCGGTATTCTGGTTGCCTTCTCAAATAATGCATAACCAATAGGAACCCTGTGGTAAGCCTCAGTGACATAAATCTCCAGGTCTGGCAGGGCGCAGTGGCTCATGCCTGTAATCCCAGCACTTTGGGAGGCCAAAGGGGGCAGATCACCTGAAGTCAGGAGTTTGAGACCAGCCTGGCCAACATGGTGAAACCCCGTCGCTACTAAAAATACAAAAATTAGCCGGGGATAGTAGCGCACGTCTGTAATCCCAGCTACTTGGGAGGTTGAGGCACGAGAATCGCTTGAACCCGGAAGGCAGAGGTTGCAGTGAGCCCAGATCGGTCACTGCGCTCCAGCCTGTGCAACAAAGTGAGATTCTGTCTCAAAAAAAAAAAAATCTCCAGGTCAATGCAATGGAATATTGTAGGCATTTAATAAATGCTAGCAAGTCTTCTAACCCTTCTTTCTCAGGAACCATAGCAGCTGAATGTCCTGAAGGAATATTATTGGGCTTTGGGATGTTTCAAAAACTCTCACAGAGAAGATGGTCCAATTGTCATCAGAGCTAGGTTCCAGCTTAAATTTACTCAGGTAAGAACTGAGCAAAAAGGAAGGAACTTGATTTGAGTCTGAACCTACGTATTCTCAAAACATCTAACTTGTTTAGGTGGAATGCTTGAAAAGATGGGGTACCTGGTTTCCATTTGAAACCTTTTAGAAAAGAGGCCTAGTATAATACTTGAATGGATACTAACCAAGAAAACTGCTGGGTTTTTCATCCATGGCGACTGGGGGGAAGGAGAACATCTTGCTTAGATAAATAAGACTAGTGGCAAAAGGAGGTTCTTCAGCATCACAGGGAGCACATGATGCTGAATGAATGGGGAAATGAGGAGGATCATGGTTTAGGAGAACAAAGGAACCATCAAAGGACAGAAGATGAGACTTCTAGCAGTGACTATACCATAATATCTGTGAATCTGTCCAAGACCTCCGTTAGGTTGAACATCCATTCATCCATTTATTTATTAGTTTACAATGTTTATTGAGCACCAACCACATGTCAGAAACTGGGCAAGGCGTTGAGGACACAGCTGTGCATTAAACAATATAAGGGAAGAAAATTAAAATAAGGACAGGAGATGGTAAGTGACAGAGGATGCTCTCATAGATAGGATGCTGGGGAGGCTCTCTGAGGAGGGGGAATATGAACAGACACCTGAATGAAGTGAGGAGGGGAGCCCTGTGGGTGTATATCTGGGAGTTCCAGGCAGAGGGAGTGTAAAGGACAAAGGATCTGAGAAGCATCTTACTTAGCAAATTTAAGGAACAGAAAGGAAGCCAGGGGCTGAGCATGGTGGCTCATACCTGTAATCCCAGTGCTTTGGGAGGCTGAGACAGGCGGATCACAAGAGTTTGAGACCAGCCTAGGCAACGTGGCAACAAGCCAGGTGCATTGGCGTGCTCCTGTACTTTCAGCTACTCGGGAAGCTGAGGTGGGAGGATCACTTGAGCCCAGGGATTTTGAGACTGCAGTGAGCCAAGATTGCGCCACTGCACTCCACCCTGGGTGACAGAGTGAGACCATGTCTCAAACAAACAAACAAACAAATAAATAAATAAATAAATAAATAAACTGGAAAAGGAAGCCAGTATGGCCAGAGCATAGCAAGGTAGGAGAAAAGTTGTTGGAAATGCAGGTAGAGGGGGGCCTGGGGCTAGATGATACAGACCTTACAGGTGATAGGAAAGGACCCAGCTTCAATCTTCACAGAACATTCCTTGGCCACTGAGCACAGGGGTTAGGTCTCACTCACCTCAAATGCCCTGTAGTGCCTAGCACTGTGATTTTTTTTTTTTTTTTTTTTTTTAGACGGAGTTTCGCTCTGTCGCCCAGGCTGGAGTGCAGTGGCGCCATCTCAGCTCACTGCAAGCACCGCCTCCCGGGTTCACACCATTCTCCTGCCTCTGCCTCCCGAGTAGCTGGGACTACAGGCGCCGGCCACCATGCCTGGCTAACTTTTTGTATTTTTAGTAGAGACGGGGTTTCACCGTGTTAGCCAGGATGGTCTCCATCTACTGACCTCGTGATCTGCCCGCCTCGGCCTCCCAAAGTGCTGGGATTACAGGCGTGAGCCACCACGCCCGGCCAGCACCGTGATTTAATACTGTAGATACTGTGCAAAGAAACTGAAATAAACTTCAGGTAAACTCTGGAATAAACTGTAAACAGGCACATTAGGGATACCCAGCCACAAAATAAATACTTATATAATGTTTAGTTGGAGGTTTTGGCAATTCTCTGCACAAATAATCTTGTCTTTGGCAACCAATCAGTTACACTTGCTATAATAAAAGAGTAATCATTTTTATTTCAATATAACTGCTGATCTTAGAACTTAGAACTTAGAACTGGTGGAACTTAGAGGGCATCTGCTCAAAATAATATGGCTGAAGTGTCATAACACCTGGAGCAGCCATGGCAAGAGTCTATTTTGGTCATCATTTTGGCACTCGATAGAAGCATTTTTTGGACAATCCACTTCTATATTTTAGGAAAACCGAGTTGTAAGAAATTACCCAGGAAACACAAAGGAATGCTGCCTGCCAAAAAGACTCTACCTTCCACTAGTCTACAAGTGGTAGAAACATTTTTCACAGACAGATTCTCTAAGGAAAATTATGAAATGGGATTGCTTAGCCTAGAAATTTTCTTCAGTGTATATTAATGTATTGTTTCTGTTAAAACTTCTCCCTTTCCTTTTTTAAAGGAAGATGCTTAAATGAGGGGATTTGCTTTTTATCCTGGGGCAAGAGTGGCCTTTGACTCAAGGTTAGATAAAGATAACTCTATAAAAAAACATTGAGGGCTCTGTGATGGCAACAGGAAAAGCCCAAGAAAAGAGAGAACCTTGCTGAAGGATCCATCCTGGAGGGGGAAGGGCGGGCTCTGATGGGGGAGGAGGGAGGAAGGCAAAGAGTGAAGAAGATGAAGGAGACCTGGAAGTGACTATTATTTCAAGAGATGGCCCTGATAAGCTTATTGTGGAGCATGGAGCTTGGTCAGTGACCTTTAACTGGACTCGGGTTACATTAGCTGTCACTACTCAGTCATCACAAAGATAGTCCTGTCCTTTTGAAAGACACGTACAAGGTATAGTTCAACTGAAACTATGTCTGTAATAGCATTAGGATGTTCACCTCTTCTGTATAACATCCATATAGGTATCTAAGGCAACTCTGCCTTCTAATCACCTACCAGTTGCTATGCCAAGTGGGGTACTGAGGTTCCCAATCTTAGCATAATAGTGGTGGATGCTCAATTATAGAGCTAAGGACTGTTGCAGGCTGTGGGGAGGCAATACGAAGAGGACAGGGAAAGGATATGTATGGGATGGGTTTTATTTCACTGAGACAATTTCTTAGAGATTATACTATCTTTATGTAAGTTTTTATAGTAGTTTACAAATAGTATTTTTTTACAAATAGTTCTATTTTTAATAGTTTCTTCATTTTGTTTTCTCTTTTTCTTCAGAAGAGATGCCATCTCTTATTTTTAAAATCTCTTTTCAAGAATCTAATTTTATATTGCCCTCAAGACCAAAAACATGTCAATTTAGCAAGGGAAGATGTTTAATTGCTTCAGAACATCCACATTTTGAAGAATAAACATGTTTCTTTTTCTCCTTGGTCAACTTGGCAGCATAAAGTAACTTATTTGTGGCTGTTATTTGTCTCCACAATTTCCCTTAATAGCAGGTTTCACAGTCTTTATATTCATGAAGTATTTCCTTATGTCTGGACCAAATCCCTTTTTGCTCTAATTTGAGGCCAGTGACTCTGTGGAGCTGCTCACAATTGTCTACTGAGTAGACAAACACTTGGAGTTTGTTTTGAAAACTCACTTTGGCCTTCTCTTTACTAGAATAAACAATCCCGAGCTTCCACAGCCTTCCTCAATGGCATTATAATGCACTCATGAAAATGTGCTCATGTCCAAAACTGGACATAGTTCAACAATCTTAGGACTAGTTCAAGAAATGCAATACAGAATTGATTTAATTTAATTTAATCCTCTGATCCCTTGTATTTGAATGGTACTTTAATTTACAAAGTACTTTTACAAACAATAGCTCATTTTATCTTGATAACAAATCTGTGAGATATGTATTAGTTTTCTTTTTCTTTTCTGATAAGGTCACTGAATCTTGGGCCACACTGCTAGTAAGTGGGAAAGCAGAGATTCAAGCCTCACTCCTCTGAGACAAGGTCTGTGGAATTTCTACTACCTAGCAGCTGCCTACTATGTGCAAAGCCCTGTGCTGAGTGTTGGAAAGGCTATAACTATATCCTATATATAAAGGATATAAAAGAGGTCTTCAAAGAGTTCATGGACAGCCTGGCCAACACAGTGAGAGCCCATCTCTACAAAAATTTTAAAAATTAGCTGGGAATGGTGGTGTACACCTGTAGTCCCAGCTACTTGGGAGGCTGAGGTAAGATCACTTGAGCCCAGGAATTTGAGGCTGCAGTGAGCTATGATCATGCCACTGTACTCTGTCTGCATGATAGAATGAGATGCTGTCTCAAAACAAGAAAAAAGAAAAAGTTCATAAAAATGCATTTTATGAAAAAACTGTATGTGTTTTTTTTGCACCAAAATAAACTTGAACCGACATGTTATAATATGTCTGAACAAGATCTTGTTTGAGGCACTAAGAAGAATAAGATATCAGTTTGAAAAGAACCCCTATCAGAGTAACATGAATTCTACCCAAATTGAAACAAGAGCAAACATCAAATTTATGGTAAAGCTTGGGTGGAAGAATGGTGAAATCACTGATGCTTTACAAAAAGTTTATGGATACAATACTCCAAATAAATCAACAGTTTACAAATAGATAACTCATTTTAAGAAAGGACAAGACAGTGTTGAAGATGAAGCCCACAGCAGCAGACCATTCCACATAAATTTAGGAGGAAAAAATTAATCTTGTTTGTGCCTTAAATGAAGAGGACTGACAATTAACAGTAGAAACAGTAGCCAACACCATACATATCTCAATTGGTTCTGCTTACACAATTCTGACTGAAAAATTAAAGTTGAGCAAACTTTCCACTCCATGGGTGCCATAACTGTTGCACCCAGATCAGCTGCAGACAAGAGCAGACCTTTCAATAGAAATTTTAAACAAGTAGGATCAAAATCCTGAGGCATATCTCCAAAGAATTATAACAGGAGATGAAACACGGCTTTACCAGTATAGTCCTAAAGACAAAGCACAATCAAAGCAATGGCTACCGAGGGGTGGCCGTGGTCAGTCAAAGCGAAAGTGGACCAGTCAAGAGCAAAGGTCATGGCAACAATTTTTTTGGATGCTCAAGGCATTTTACTTGTTGACTTTTGGAGGCCAAAGAATGATAACATCTGCTTATTGTGAGAGTGTGTTGAGAAAGTTAGCCAAAGGTTTAGCCGAAAAATGCCTGGGAAAGTTTTACCAGAGAGTCCTTCTCTACCATGGCAATGTTCCTGCTCATTTCTCTCATCAAACAAGGGCAATTTTGTGAGCGTTTTGATGAGAAATCATTGGCATCTACCTTGCAGTCCTGATTTGGCTCCTTTTGACTTATTTTTGTTTCCTAATCTTAAAAAAGTCTTTAAAGGGCACCCATTTTTATTCAGTTAATAATGTATAAAAGACTGCATTGACATGGTTAAATTCCCAGGACCCTTAGTTATTTAGGGATGGACTAAATGGCTCAGATCATCACTTAAAAAAGTGTCATGACCTTGATGGTGCTTACGTTGAGAAATAAAATTTACATTTTTAATTTTTATCTTTTAATGTCATGTTTCCATGAACTTTTTGAAGTCCCTTTGTGTAAACAGTCAATTCCTGCAGACCTGCTTCTAGAGACAAGGAAAAAGGTCTTGGGAAGAAAATAGAATGAACTGGACTCTGAGTGTTAAGTAGGTTTCAGGTATGTGGAGAAGAAATTAAGAACATTCCTGATATGAAGAACAGGCCTCCATGAAGGCATGTTTTGCAAGATCATTGCATAGTAAGCTTATGTTCTTTCACAGTAGAAGGAATAAAGGTGCCCTCTTTGAGAGGTGATAAAGTTTCATGATTAAGAACTAGAGCCATAAGTCTAGCGTGGTGGCTCACACCTATAATCCCAACACTTTGGGAGGCTGAGGTGGGTAGATCACCTTAGCCCAGGAGTTCAAGACCAGCCTGGGCAACATGGTGAAACCCCATCTCTACAAAAAAAAAAAAAAAATTACAAAAATGAGCCAGTCATGGTGGTACATGCCTGTAATCCCAACTATTTGGGAGGTTGAGGTGGGAGAATCACCTGAGCCAGGGAGTTCAAGGCTCCAGTGAGCTGTGATCACACCACTGCTGTCTAGCTTGGGCAATGAGAGTGAGACCTTGTCTCAGAAAAAAAAAAATAAAAAAAGGAAGGAAGGAAGGAAGGAGGGAGGGAGGGAAGGAAGGAAGGAAGGAAGGAAGGAAGGAAGGAAAAAGACAACTGGAGTTACAGAGTTACAGCTCATTCACAGGCATTTAAACCTAACCCTGAGTACTCCCAACAAAATGTGTCATGCATGTGAAAGCTTTCTACCATGTGTTCTTACCTATTCAGGGGACAGTGAGGAGAGCTTGTGTTGGAGAAGTGGAAGAGGCAAATATATTTGGCTGTGAGGTTGATCAGTGTCTCCATTTTGAGGTGGAAGAATATAGTATCACTAATCATCTTCATTGCCATGGGCAAATATAATCATGGTTGTGGTTTTCTTCCTCCAATGGGCTACTTAGTGCAATAAGAGGAATGTCATTGTTGAGTAAATGTATTAGTTTCTTATGGCTGCAGTAACAAGTCTCTGCAAAATTTGTGGTTGAAACAATGTAAATTCATTGTTTTATAGTTCTATAGAATAAAAGTCCAACATAGGTCTTACTGGGCTAAAATCCAGGGGTGGGCAGGGCTGCATTCCTCTCTGAAGGCTCTAGGAGAGAATTCGTTTCCATGCCTTTTCCAGCTGCCAGAGATTTCCCTCATTTCTTGGCTCCAGGTCTTCTGCCCTCTCTCCAAAGCCAGCAACAGCAAGCAAGTCATTCTTATATCACATTCCTCTTACCTACTTTACTGCCTCCCCCTTCCATTTTTAAGGGCCCTCGTAGTTACATGGGCCCACATGAATGATCCAGGATAATCTCTCTATTTTAAGGTCAGCAGAGTAGCAACCTTAATTCCATCTGCAACCTTAATTCTCCTTTGCCATGTAAGGTAACAGATTCACAAGTTTTAGGGATGAGGACATGGATATCTTTGGGGACCCATAATTTTGCCTACCAGAGTAGACAGTGATACCCAAAGACATTCCCAAAACCATTTGTTCAACGGATCCATTGATTAGTTAAGTTGTAAGGCTCTGTTTTGTCCAAAAATATCTATTAAAAATGGTCAAGCCTACCAGACACAGACACTTGGTGCTGGCATTTATCTGGAATAGCACCTCTGCCTACTAACTTGGAGAGAGGCAAGGAAAGAAGACAGAGAACATCAAGGTGTTGTATGCTATGCTTATCTTCTGCTGCCCAGCTTATGTTCTTTGCCTTTATTATGTGCACTTAAGGGCTTCTGCTCAGAAGGACCATTGGCCCACACTCCAAGGACTACTGAGAGCTTCTGTACAGAGCTCCGATGAGCTCTACCATGTCCATTTGCCATCTCCTTATTACAGCTAAAATGGGCTCCCAATAATTCCAGGCTTATCTTTTATTGGCTTTCCCTCTTTTCTAAGTATTGAACTTTCATTTCCAAAATGCCTCAGGACACCAGAACTCAAACTCTGACCTGATTTAAAAAAAACGAATACATTCAAACGTATTTTTAAAATTCAAGTCATGACTCAGCCTATACAGTTGAGTTGAGAATCTTCAGAAAGGAGTGGCCCTCTCCCTTCTCCCCACAAAAAAATAGGTTATTAGAGATATTTCAAGAAAGTTAAATTTAATTATAAAATTGTAGAATATAAATATACTTTAAAAATTCTAAAAGAACTTAATGATTTTTCCTCATTTATTCCTCTTCTGTATCAGAGAAACAATCAAATCACTTACATCAGTACGGGTGCAGTGGCTCAGGCCTGTAATTTCAGCACTGTGGGAGGCCAAGGAGGGTGGATCACTTGAGCTAAGGAGTTTGAGATCAGCCTGGACAACATGGTGAAACCCCATCTCTACAAAAAATACAAAAATTAGCTGGGCATGGTGGTGGGCACCTGTGGTCCCAGCTGCTCTGGAGACTGAGGCAGGAGAATTGCTTGAACCCAGGAGGTGGAGGTTTCAGTGAGCCAAGATTGTGCCACTGCACTCCAGACTGGGCAACGGACTGAGGCTCTGTCTCAAAAAAAAAAAAAAAAAAAAAAAAAATCACTTACATCAGAGGAAATTGCCTTGTTTTGATTTTAAGATTTTCATCCCATCAGAGGATACACCTCCACAAATTTTCTTGGCAATATATTCTGAAGTTTAACCGTTCTCCTGTCTAAAATCAATTCCTGGTCTAACCTAGTTTAAATCTATTTATTCCTTTATATTCATAGTAGAAATGTAGACAAATCTGGTTTTAAACTTTATCCAGAGGATGTATAGATACTTGAAGATGTTTATCACTGTTCATCTTTGCTAGGTTTGCCAGAATTTGGTACATATTTTGACAAAATTTGTGTTAACGGTAATGCACTGTAGTGTCTAATCTGGGCACAAATACTACATGTGTGAGTGCATGTCAGCAAGTGAGTGTGTGTGAGTGTGTGTGTGTGTGTTGTTGTTCTTTTAAAAACAGAAGAATCCCATCCATATGGAACATCTGGGAACCCTGTCAAATTCCTTTCTTTCCAAATCAAATAATCCCAGTCTCATTTAATTTTGTTTCAAAAAATTGTACTTATAAACCTCAAAATGAACCATTAAAGGAAGCAAGAATCACACTGGCACTCATGTAGATAGGCACCTAGGGCAATGATGTCGAGTCAAGCTTTCCTAGAAACAGGAAAAGAAATAAATAAGGTTTTTTTGTTTGTTTGTTTGTTTGTTTCTAGCATTAGAATTCTGTGGAACAGAACCAAGTATACCAACAGACATTTGAGTATCCAATAGATTTGTAGCACTGACACAGGATCTGTGGAACAGACAAGTAAAGAGTTTTGTGACCTGCTTGAAACATGCAAATAGAACTTATCTCAGGGGTGACAGTTCAGTCATTGACTGGGAATTTACTCAGGCTTCCCATTCACCCAGGACTTCAAATGTGAGCTTTTGGTGATTTTCCCCAAAGGGAGTCTCACAGATACATACGCATGATTGACAGAAGATATTTATCATTCAGTTATAAGCTTCTGTCCCATTACAGGCATCCTGCCTATAGTGCACTTTAAATTAAATACTTTTTATAAGTCATGTAATTATTTTATGAAAAGCCCAATTATATTGCATTAATTATGTACTTAAAGCATTAATTCATTAACAGTGAACATTTAAAATATATCACATTTTTTATAACCTCATTATAAAATTGGGAAGTAGCCTAGTGCCTCTCTCAACCTCTGGGAGACCCTATTTATATAAAATTCCATCTTGGCTTCTGAGCCTTTCAGTAAGAACCTGCAAGCTCCCATGTGTGGCGCTATGTCCGTGTCCTAAAAAAGCAGGATCTGGCTTTATTGGACTGACGCTTTGATGGCCTTTGATCAGGTCATTGTACCAGAGCAGCCAAGATATAAAGCAAGATGTGGCCTTTCAGTAACCTTCCTTTCTTGTGTGAGAGTAAGACAAGTTAATTGGGCTTGACAGTACAGATGACCCTTTCAAGTCAGGTAAAATGAGACTGTTGTGCTTATCACAGGTAGATAACCATTAATATCGCTTGTACTGTCTCTGGGAAGAGAAAGGGGCTTGTTTGTTTTAAATGTTTTTCAAGGAAGGCAACAAAGATTCCCGGGAAGGTTGCCTGGTCAGCTCCATCTAAGGAGACAATAGTGCCATTTGAAGGGTTCAAGACCCATTGAAAGGCAGAGAACACACTCCCATTGATAAATTATTATTATTGATAATCTCTTCTTTGTCCTTTATTTTGCATAATTGTCAAAGTTCAGACTGCGGGCCCTAGCAGATTATTTTAGACCTGTCTTTAGAAAGCTACCTCTGAAAAGGGAGTCTTTTTGTATCCTAATAACAACGAAATGTCCCAGGCAATCTAAGTTGATATTGTACTTTATTCAGCAATTTGTTTTGCTCACAATATATTATGGGACTGTTTTTTCCTTTGTATTAGTTCGATTCTCTTTATGATCAACAGCAGTGATCACACAAGTGTTCACTGAGGGAGAGGGCGGTCATAGGGGAAATCTCCCTCAGCAGAATATCATTCACTCTTCCACTAGGCAAAGTTCCCAGGGATGCAAGATGGCACCATTCTCTCCGCTTCCCTGCAGAAAACCAAAAAATTACAGGCCACTCTCAGGGAATCAAAGGCCCTTTGAGTTAGTAGGACGTTGGTACTCACCATTCTATTGTCACCAGTGTTGGCCCTGTTCCAGTTTCAGCCATTCAGAATCTAATTTAGAATGAAAGAAAGGGAGCCGGGTGCAGTGGCTCACACCTGTAATCCCAGCACTTTGGGAGACCGAGGCAGGGAGATCACCTGAGGTCAGGAGTTCAAGACCAGCCTGGCCAACATGGTGAAACCCTGTCTCCACTAAAAATACAAAAATTATCCCGGTGTGGTGGCCCATGCCTGTGTAATCCCAGCTACTCAGGAGGCTGAGGCAGGAGAATCACTCGAACCCAGGAGGTGAAGGTTGCAGTGAACTGAGGTCGCGCCATTGCACTCCAGCCTGGGCAAAAAGAGCAAAACTCCATCTAAAAAAAAAAAAAAAAAAAAGGAAAGAAAGAAGGGTGAAGAAGGGTGAGAGGGAGGAGGGAGGAAGGAAGATAATGAGGCTGGCCTAAGTCAAGTTCTTAGGCAGAGCCTACAGTGCGTTTCTGCTGTCTGTGAACACAGTCCTGTTATTAGGAACATGATCTATGGATTGATATCACGTGCCTTATGTTAGTAAAGGGAGATTTCTAAATTACTCCAAGATTTACCAATAAAATCAGAAATAAATCTGAGTTTTGTTGCTTACCACGAAGGGAATTACGTCATTATAGTATTGGCAGGGGGCTTCAGAAAAAGAGGTTCATCCATTATCATTCTAGGTTTTGTCAATTGGCAGCATTTCTTTTGAACAACTTGACAATGCATATCAAATACAAGGCAACATGATAATCCTATTTTTGGAAATATATCTTCAGGAAATAATTCAAGAGGAGAAAATGATATTACTGGAAATCTCCAAATAAAGAGAGATGCCTAGAGAAGCATTATACTATCTAAAACTGGAAAAATCTAAATTTCCAACAATAGAGGATAATTGAATAACAAAATATCAATGCTGTGGAATATTAGGCAACCATGAAAATAGTGTGATGATGTACATGGAAAAATATTTATGAAACATATAATGAAAAAATAATGTAAAATTCTATATACACAGAAGACTACTATTATGAGACATTTCATGTGTATCAAAAGGGTCTGTAAATAAATGAAAATAAATTATGAGTTTTTTTGGTCTTTCACAATTTCCTGATATAATACTTCAAAGCTGATTTAATCATAAATAATTTACATTAAAATTAGTTCCTGTTTAGTGAATGAGTGATTGTTGGCAGATATACATTTTCTTATATCATTACAGGTAGGAAAATAGTAGGAGATTTGTTTAGGCACCAAACTTATTCCATAAAAATTCTTTCATCATCAAAGCTGTACTTGATATGCTTGAAAAGATTAGGATGATAGATTCTGAGTCTTCCCTTCTTGGCATGATCAGAGGATAAAATCTTTTTTCATCATCTTAAAAAAACAGAACTACCATGTGCAGTCTCAGAAAAATGGTGAAATTGTGTTACATAGTTAAACGAACCAGTTCACACTCATTCTGAAAATTAGCTCAGAGCTTTTTGTTCCAAATTTAACAAACTAAATAAACTAAAAATATACTCTGAGTAGGTCATAATCATATTAGCCAAGCAAAAATTAGTTTTCAAGTTCTACATGTGACAGATGTGCTTGGATGGAAGACATTTGTTAACTTCTTTGTCGTTTATGGAGGTCTGTCCCTCTGTATCTGTACCATGGGTTCCTCTGAGGACAGATAATTTGCTTTTGCATCATGTATACCCCTACATTTCTCCAGCATCTAGAACATCATTTGCTAGATAGTTGATTAAATAAGTAACAAGTTAACAGTCCAAGCCAAATTTCAAACATGTCTTTTCCCCCATTTAATTGCTACATACTACGTTATAGTGGAGCATATTTAATAAAATAACACTATCATCTGTGATAGAAAGCCAAAAAAACAACATTTAATAATGGAGTCAATTCTACCACATGCAGAGCCAGGGAAGACTTCTACTTTTACACTTTATGTACTTCTGGATTGTTTTAACTTTTTTTACTTTAAAAAAACATATATTACTTCTGTAATTTTAAAAAAAATAGAATGAAAGGCTGAGAATATTTTGTTTTGTCGTAAACATTCACGCTTTAGGAATTTGTTGTTCCTAAAAGGGTGGGGACCAAAGAAAGTTTCAAAGATGCTGAAGCACAAAAACTGTTTAATGTAAATATTAGGATTCACATAACTACAACTTGGAAAAATGCTATTGATCCAGATCTCCCGCAATCCTTTGCTAAAGCAATGAAAAAGAAGCATATTTTCTTCCTATTTTAAGGCGATAGATTGTTTTTGCTAGACTGTGGGGGATGGGGAGAGAATCATGTTGTTTTGTACTTAAGTGTAAGTGTACCTTATAACTCCCTGCAAAAGAAGGGATAAAAAAATATCAAAGAAGAAGGACAAGTCATAGCCCTTTTCTTTTTTCCCCCAGAAATTTTATTCCAGGTTAGTAAGAACTTACAGGACAGTTTGCCACCAAACTTACCTAATAGTCTCAAAGCTGTGCCTAACATTAACGAGATTTTACTCTAAAATTCAATGGATGGTGACTTAAAAATGAGTTAAATCTTCCCATGTCTTAACAGTGGGTTGTGTAAAGTGATTTTCTTCCAAAGACTACTGAAAGGAGAGGGGGGATAAAAGTAACTTTACAGCAGAGACACCTGACAAACACTATCCTGACCAGATGCTCAAGGTTAACAGCAACAGTGATAAGTCTGGCCGATGGCGTGTACCCTTGAGATGAGGTGATGAGTGGGCCATCTCACCTCTGTGGTCTTTCTCCCCCAAACCCATTACTGCAGCCTAATCATAAGAAAAATGGGCAAATCCCAATGGAAGGACTTTCTACAAAATAGCTGACCAGCACACCACGGAACTGTCAAAGTTATCAAAAACAAGAAAAGTCTGAAAAACTGTCACAGCCAAGAGGACCCTAAAGAGACATGACAGCTAAATGTAATATAGTATCCTGGATGGGATCCTTCCTAGAACAGAAAAAGACATTAGGTAAAAACTAAAGGAAATCTGAATAAAGTATGGACTTCAGTTAATGTCAATGTATTATTATTGGTTCATTGTTATAACAAATATACCACAGTAAATATAAGATGTTAATAATAGGAAAAAATGGCTACAAAGTATATGGGAGTTCTCTTACTCTCCTTGCAACTTTTCTGTGAGTCCAAAACTATTCTGAAATAAAAAATGTTTGATTTTGTTAAAGTAAATGAAGTAGGAATAAGACCTGAACAATTTAATCTTCCAGTGGCAGGAATTAAAGATTTCTTTAGTAGGAGGCAGTGGTACACATCTGTAGTCCCAACTATTTAGGAGGCTGAGGTGGGAGGATCTCTTGAACCAAGGAGTTTGAGGCCAGCCTGGGCAATATATTGAGAACCCATCTCTAAATTAAGAATTAAAACAAAAAAGTTTTAAGATTTTTTTCAAGCATGCAAGTTCTGATTGTTTAATAAATATGCACCAGTCTTTGTGGATTACTCTAAAAATACTCTTTTATGATATACTCTTAAAATAAATTTTGATAAAACCATAAAAAGCTATATCTGAAGAGTGGAACAGATCTTTGAAATAGACTCATCTTTATTTTATGAATGAGTTAGTAAGAAGCTGATAGGCAGAGCAAAAAGGCAAACCCAATTCCCCTAACTCCACATCCCCAAAGTACGAAGACCCCTACCACAAAATACCAACTGAACACAGGAATCTATTTCTAAGATATCTATCACTCCAATCACAGTCTGCCAGAAATTTGGTATAATTGCCCAATATTTTCCAATGACTTAATTTAAAGTAATTCTAGATATCAGCATAGCTGAATAGAATACTTTAAAAATCATGTCTATGTCTCAATTCTTTGCTTTAAGGCTGCTCTATAGCCCTGGAGTATCAGAGCAGGTACATCCAGACTGCCACTGCCTCAAAGTGTGGGCAAGTTTTTGACTTACATCCGGGAACATCCCAGAGAGAGAACGTTCTTACCATACCTTTCAGCCATATGTGCCCTGCCTCAGTGACCACAAAGGGATGTCAGATACAGTAGTAGCTACAGGAAAAGAACATGCTTTTTCACTTTCCCATCACTTCTTAGAGTAACTGAGAATCTCTCATGATGTAACTAAAATGGCTTAATCAAGTCCATCTCATAGGCAAGATTACTAGGTTTTATAACACCTCAACTCAAGAGCTGAGCAAATCCATTCTAGAGACAAGTCAGGTTTCTTGACTCTCAATCTGGTACTCTGGATACTAAGTTGTACCCAGAGTTTTATTCATTTAAATTGTTGGAATCATTGTTATTGAATCCAACATTTCAAACAAATTAAAAATAAATCCAACCATTAAGTTTCATGAAAAATATGCACAATATCAAATACTGCATTCAAAGATAGAATATGTTCACCAATAACTACATCTGAAATATTAGAACTATCCTGCCATTCAGCAAAGATGTATTCATCCTTACTGAGAGATTCTCTCTAAATTATTTTAGCCCATAAAAGGGGATAATAGTGTCCTTAAATCTTATTCTAGAATATTATGCCAACACAAAATACAGTTGTCCTTTGGTATCTTCAGGGGATTAGTTCCAGGACATCCTTGGGTACTCAAATCCACAGGTGCTCAAGTCTCTTATAGAAAATGGTATCGATATCATATTTGCATATAACCTACACACATCTTCCTGTATACTTTAAATCATCTCTAGATTACTTATAATACGTAATGCAATGTGAGTGCTACGTAAATAGTTGTTATACTGTTTTGGTTTTTATTTGCATTATTTTTTATTGTTGTATAGTTATTTTTATTGGGTTCTTTTCCAAATAATTTCAACCCACAGGTGGTTGAATTCATGGATGTGGAACCCATAGATGCAGACGACTGACTGTAATGTAGTATTTTCACTGAGGAAAGACACACTTCAATTTAACATTTTTCCACAACTCCCGGCCCTGAGGGAGAATAAGTAGCCACTCTGAGTTGGCTGACTCACCACAACCATTCTAAAGTAGAAGAAATAGTCACATTGACAGGATTCACTCATGGATCAAGGAACAGGTACCACACAGAGTCCACTATGATTGTGTGTCCTGTGCCCCAGCTTCTTAAATACAGGCAGTCAAGACCGTCTGGGAAGGAGAGGGTCAAAGAGTAGCTTATTATGCTACTGCCTACCTTTTCTACTTGACGGCACACTGTCCAGTAGTAGCTAGATATTTACAGTTTATTTGGTCCAAAAAAACAATAATGAGCTCCCTCTAGGTAGAAGAAAAAAATTATTCTATATCAGGCAATGAAAGTTAGCTTAGGAAAGAATTTCAAGAGACATTTTCTTTCAATGGTATCATAATATTGTATTTCTTGTGATATACTGTAGCCACTTAATAATTACCATCCTCAACTTTACTACCCAAAGAGAAATCACTGGCTGAGAGGAGCAATTTGAAAGCAAGTGTGCAATTTCCTACCAATGTGTATTTTATATGTTTGAAGTTGTAAAAGTTGGGCATTATATACAGAAAAGATGGCACTTGGACAGGTAGATAGCCACAGTGTTCCACACTCTAGACCAGTGTTATCCAGCAGAACTTTCTGTAATATTGGAAATGTACTATATCTTTGTTGTCCAATCTGGTAGCCACTAGTCAAACATGGCTACTAAGGACTTAAAACGTAGCTGAAGCAACTGAAGAACTAAATTTTATTTGTATTTAATTTCCATTTGAAAGCCATAGTGGCTAGTGGGTACCTCACTGGGCAGTGCAGCTACAGACCAATGGGTTATAACCTCTCTGCAAGAAGTAGGAGGAACAGTCAGCAAGGATCAGGGTAAGAGCCAGTTTAGGTACAAAATACCAAATGTGAAGTCCGGAGAATGTGGGGCTTTGTGCCAGTCATTTCACCATTAAATCTCTTCAGCTGTAAAATAGGAATTTGTGACTCATCTAAGAAGAATGTACTTACTTCTATAAAAGCTTAGGAGCATTTTTCAGATTTTTGTATGAATCATACAAATTGACCAACAAGATCGTATCTCTTATTTTTTCCACTCTTTGTCTACTATAATGTTGATGATTGATGATGGTGGTTGATTTAGACTTATGCGATTTTTATAATATAAAGAATTTTATAAACATTGCTAATAAATAATGTAATTAAATCTCCAGATCAAGGGATCTGATATCTTAGTAAATTAAAGTTATTTGTTCACATAAATTTCTCTTTTGTCCATACTAAGGCTAAGTAGAGATGTCAAGGAGGCAGTTGAAAGTACAAGTCTGTAATTCAGGAAAAGCTCAAGATGATAGCTTGTATACCCTCTCCAGTTTTAATAGAGTAACATAGTATCTAGGTATTCACTTTATTAAAATTATAAATTCCTGTAAGAGACTATGCCTGCAATATAGCTCCTATCTTAGTCTTTTCCATAGCACTTTTCTCAGTTTCATATATCATTGTTTTGCTCACAATATTAAATGAAATGGAATCAAGTTTGCATTGACAATTTAATAACATATCCGTATATATTTTTACATTTGTGTTCTAGTTCATTGCAACAAAACCTTTGGCTAGCAAAAACTTTTCAAAGTTCCAAAAACAGCCCATTCATTTCCAACTGTTAAAATTAGAAAAATGCTAACAAATAAAGTTTTACATTTTTCAAAAGTTCTTTGGAATTCATTTAATGTGATATGAGCTATGGTAAAATGTAAAATGTAATGATATTGTAATGTTGCTATGTATGTCAGCTTTTTCTCAACACCCTTTACATAAGAAACTGCTGCATGTGGTGGCTCATGCCTGTAATCCCAGAACTTTGGGAGGCCTAGGTGGGTGGATCGCTTGAGCTCAGGATCTCAAGACTGGCCTGGGCAACATGTGAGACTCCAACTCTGCAAAAAATACAATTAAACTCGCCGGGCATGGTGGCATGCACCTGTGGTCCCAGCTACTTGGGAGGCTGATGTAGGAGGATTGCTTGAGCCCGGGAGGTTGAGGCTACAGTGAGCTATGATTGCACCACTGCACACCAGCCTGGGCAACAGAGCAAGACCCTGCCAAAAAAAAAAAAAAAAAACTTATACAACACTTAAAAAGGAATTCCTGAAGTTGTTAGTTTATCCTTCCACATTTAACTTAAAAATAGATATAAAAGACCTGTTCTGAAATATCACTTAATATGGCAGTTTTACTATCCTAAGACCTCTACCCACATTCAAAATGACTGGAAGAAAAGTATTCAGCTCAATGGTTTATGAAACATGCCCATTTTAAAAGCCCTACTTTTCAATTCACTTGATAACATATATTGTACATACAGTCTTTCTATCATGAAGCATCTTTAAATATGGAGATTATGGTTTTTTCATCATATTTAAAATGAATACAATTAATTAAATGTTCTCTGAAATTCTGAGGATTAATCAAAGGCAGCTAACATTCTTTTCTTGTCACTAAAAATTGGGTTTTTGCTGCCACCTGTTGACAGTAATTGCAAATGATAAATCTTGTCTCCACAAATCGCAAACTTGCATGCTTGAAAAAGTCCTTAGAAACATACTACTTCCTTCATTCTATGCATGATAAAAGGGCCTAGCAGGGCCAAGTGACTTTCCCAAGGTCACTCAAAGGGAGACAGATCTGAGGCAAGAACATAGGTTTGGGGGTTCGGGCCTTGGAGTGCAGTGTTGATTTTCCCATGCCCCTTATTATCGAACTTATGTAGGTGGCAGAGCACCTGAAGTGCTCTTTACACAACACCATGAAATACTGACGTGTTTCAATCCATTATATTAACTAGTAATATTTTTTTACCATATTATGAAGGAACAATTCTATGGCTGTCTAATGTGACATTCAAACAAGTGCGGGTATGTCTGGCCGAAGGGGAAGGTGGGTCCACCAGTTGGCTGTTTGCATGAGCAATTGAACAGCCTTCTGGGAAATAACTCATCTCTATGAGAGAAGAGAGTTCAGGCCCACAAGTCTGACCCAAGAGGACACAGAAGAGCCTGCGCAGAGGTTAATGTGTTTCAGAGTGGCTGAGGGCTCATGATTGAGTCTGAATGAGAAACAGCTGGAACAAGAGTCAATAAAAACTAAAAGAGTGCTTCACACTTCTTGAGGATACTGTGGGTGCTGGCTTCCTAAGTGAAAGAAGATAGCTCCTCTGAGGCCTCAGTGGATTTCACAGGCACCATCATCACTCTGGGAAGGGCATAAGTTCCTTCAACAGCAGCATCAAAGGGTGGCTTACTGGGGACTGTTACCTTGGAGAGTCAGGGCAGGGACAGAGCACGCATGGCACCTGGCTGACCACATTTATTAGTACATAGTAAGCATCCTTGTGACTCCTGGGATTAGTTCAGATGGAAGACTCTGAAATGGGCTTAGACTTCTCTCAATTGCTGATGGTGACATAGCTGGACAAATGCTGTTTTGTTTCTATTACTCTGAACACCAGATCTGTGCCACAGAATTGGTGCTTATCAATTTGCACATTACAAAATATAATGCTGAAAATTTGTAGATTTAAAAAAAAAAAAAACTGGTAATCATGATTAGCTAATCTAAAGGAAAGTTCTTTGACCTTAAAAAAAAAAAAATCTCTCTAAGCCTTGGTTTCCCTATATATAGAATGAGTAAATTATTAACCTACCCTTCCAACCTCCCTGAAATGTCTGAGAGAATGTTTTAAAACTGTGATACTTACTCATATGGACGGGAGTGTTTGTTAATTTAACCTATCCTTTGCTGAAATGTCTGAGAGAATGCTTTAAAACTGTGATACTTACTCATATGGACGGGAGTGTTTGTTAATTTAACCTATCCTTTGCTGAAATGTCTGAGAGAATGCTTTAAAACTGTGATACTTACTCATATGGACGGGAGTGTTTGTTAATTTAACCTATCCTTTGCTACTTATTGATATGCAGTTAATTGTGAACATGTGTCTTCCTTTGGCCAAAAAAACATGAGCAGAGGTGACACACCACTTCCAGATAGAAGCTTTCCAAGTCAGTATGTATTTCACCACGTTCTCTTCACTCTAACAGGATGCTTACGGAACACATTAGGATGGAGCCTCTGTGGATCTGGATCTGGTCCCTGAGTGACTCCACATGTGCTGAGCCACACTGGACCTGGAGCACGAAGGAGAAACACACTTTTGCTGATTTAAGCCACTGAGATTCTGGGATCATTACCTCAACATTACCTGGACTATCCTGATTGGTCCTAGGGCCTTGCCACATCTGGGATACAAATGTAAAATTTAAAGAAATAATCCCAGTCAAATCGAGGTGAATGAAAGAGGGCTTCTTAGAATAAATGTTTTAGTGAAATCCTTAAAAAAAAAAGACTAAGAATAAGAGATGGCATTACTAATGGAAGAACTACTATTTCATATGGCTAGCTTAATTTGAAATATGGCTAAGAATCAGGTGGTCAATAATAACAACACGATGTTTTTAGACAATATTAAAATGCAAATTTCTCATATACTATAATGCTTGAAATGGCTTTAGAGGAAATCAAGTCCTTACCTGTATTTCTATGAGGCTTATATATTACATGAAGACAGAAATAAAAAGCCCTAACACTCAGAATTCCTTTTTATTTATTTTTTATTTGTTTATTTTCCTTTTCTTCCTATTTTGCTTATCATGACAGTGAAGATCTCTATAAATCATGAGCGTAGACATATGAGTTTTAAATGTCTGGATTTGGACAAAAAGGAAACAAACCCAAGGGACATACACAAATAAATACAAATTCATCAACAAATTCCCCATCCCTCCTCACCTCCGCTCAATGTCGGTTTTAAACTCTTGGTGAGGAGTGGTATCTCCAACTCTTGATTCTAGCACTTTCATCCTCTCTTTAACAGCATTATAAAAATGACCCAGAAGACACTGCTGAGTGAAAGCGTACCTTAGCAGAGTGACACAAGTGAAAGAAAAAAAACATCCAAACAATGAGGCCTTTGATGGAGAGCCCTGAGATTTCCTAATAGCAAATAGGACTAATCGGTGGTTATGAAAGTGGTAGCCTCAACTCCCATTAGAAAGAAACAACATGCAGGCCTCTTTCTGTAACTCCCAGAGAGAAACCCTGGGGAGAGTGGTTCACCGGGCTCTCCAACCCAGACAGGTCAAACTTCTTTGCCCTTCCTGAGTGCAGTATGAAGAAAGCATCAACACAAAGGAAATATTTTTGTTGGCAGTCAGATCAGAGCATGCTGACATCCCTGTTTTTAACAATTCCCTGGTCAGCCTGGGTGTGGTTACTCTTTTGAAAGTTTAGTCTTGAGGAAATAGGTCAAGGGAGCCAGTGTTGTTGTGTTCTCCTGAGCGTGACTGAATCCTTGCATTCATTACGTGTGTGTTGCTTTGGAATGAGTGTCTTGCTGAGTGCCACCTACCAACCAGCATTTCTGGCTTCCCCAACTGACCAGCAAGGTCGGACTCTCTCCTTAAAACAGGCTGAGCTGGGCAAGCAAACAGCCTGTTGTGCTGAGAGTCAGAGGAGATTGATCAAACATGAATCTTAGTTGAGGAATGACAAGTAGCTAGGGTTGAGATAAATAATCCAAGAGGCCCTGTATGTATTTGCATAAGGGAAATGGAATTGAAAGAAGACCAGGACTACGAGATAAGCAGAGGCAACTAGAGAAAGGGCTCTTAGAAGGAGTGAGCAATGGTTCTGATTCATAGCCCACCAGCTCTTCCCTCCAGCACTGTGGCAGACACTATTCCCCAAAATCCATTTTCTCTTCTTCCTGAGCACAAAACTGGGCTCCATTTTCCAGGGTACTTTGCAATATGGTGTAACCATGTGACCGGTTTCTGACTAATGGAATGTGACAGAAGCAGTACGTGCTACTTTCAGACCTGGCCCATAAAAGCCACTTACTTACAATCCCGTTTCTCTTTCTAGTTTCCTGGGGTGGTGATGCTAGAAACAATGGGTTAAAGATAGCACAGCTGCAGTCAGCCGGGGTCTCTGCAAAAAGCAGAGCCCACCTTCTCCTCTTCCCATTTCTAGCTGCTGACTTGAAACCACTCAGTCCTATGAAGTGAGAAAGAAATAAACTTTCTGTTCTCTAAGTCATTGAATTTGTAGATCTTTGTTGCAGCAGCAAGGCCTACCCTGCTTATAATTTGTATCATGCCTGTGACATTATCTGACTCACACACTATAGGAGCCATTTACTATAAAGCCAGTGCATATCTCTCCTAGTTCCCTATCATCAATGAATATAGGAGACTTGCATGATTTGACCAATTTTCCTCTCCAGCTTCATCTCTCCTGACTCCTACATTGCTCTGTAGGCTCTGATATGGTTTGGCTGTGTCCCCTCCCAAATCTCATCTTGAATTGTAGTTCCCATAATCCCTATGTGTGGTGGGAGGGACCCAGAGGGAGATAATTAAATCATGGGGGCGCATACCCCCATGCTGCTGTTCTTGTGATAGTGTGTGAGTTCTCACAAGATCTGATGGTTTTATATGGGTTTTTTCCCCTTTTGCTCTGCACTTCTTCCTGCCACCATGAGAAGAAGAATGTGTTTGCTTCCCCTTCTGTCATGATTGTAAGTTTCCTGAGGCCTCCCCAGCCATACTGAACTGTGAGTCAATTAAACCTCTTCCCTATATAAATTACCCAGTTTTTGGGTATGTCTTTATTAGCACCGTGAGAACAGACTAATGCAGGCTCCATCCATACCAAACTCTCACACTCCTTCACATACATCCCTTGTACACAGCCCTCAGCATTTCCATAGGGTGCTCCCTTAAACTCTGCACCTAGCTGCTCACCCCCGCTACTTCTGATCTGTACCTCGTTACTTCTTACTCATTTCTCAAATTCAATTTAGACATTACTACCTTGGGTCACCCTTCTCTATCCCTCCAAGACGAAGTTAGATGACATCTGTGCTCCCACAGCATCCTGTCCTATAGATCCAACTGCACTAGATTAGAGTTACCTCCCAAATCCAGGCTCCATAAATCTCTAGCTTCTAGCATGGTACCTGGAATGTGGTAAGCACTCAATAAATATTTATTAAATGAAAGACTTGCTCCTGAAGTGGCCATCGAAATCCTAATATAGTAATCTGAGATCATGTTTGAGCACAAGTCAACATATGTTCATCTTTTTATAATTCCATGTTTAATTCAGTGTCCTGTGTATAGGTGTTACCCATATATATCTGTTAAGTGACTACCTTTTTTGAGAAAGACTTATATTTTTGTTTGTTTGGTCAGTTGGTTCTTGAGACAGGGTCTTGCTCTGTCACCTGCGCCTCAACCTCCCAGGCTCAAGTGATTCTCCCACCTCAGCCTCCTGAGTAGCTGGGACCACAGGCACATACCACCATGCTAGGCTAATTTTTTAAAAATTTTTATAGAGACAGGGTCTCCCTATGTTGCCCAGGCTGGTCTTGAACTCCTGGGCCCAAGTGATCCTCCCATCTCAGCCTCCCCAAAGGCTAGGATTATAGGCCATGCCTGGCCATATTTTGTTATTAAAGGGAAAACTCAAAGTGAAATTTTGAGGCCTGATGCACTATTTGCATTTTATCCTTAAAATGGCTCTTTTATCCATTTTCCAACATGTACTTCCATATGCATAAGAAGCATGATTTTTCTTATAAGTGATAATTAGAAAAACCCAGAAAGATCAATTTAAATAAAACAATTAAATACATATAAGAAATGGACGTGCCTTAAAACTGATATGAATAAATCAGAAATATTTTAGGCAAACAGAGTAACATCCAGTCAAGTTTAGAATTGGGGGCTAAAGTGTTCATCTGAAGGATAGAAGATTTTAGTGGGATGTCAAATCCTGTAGGCCAGCAAAATAAAAAAAAAATCTAATCAAGAATTCTTAGACTTGTGAAAGCTTGTTGGAAAGAAGCTAATGGCAATGATGGAAAGGTATGTAGGTATACAGCCACAAACACACAAAACCAAATGTTCTAAGAGAATAGATTCTGAAGAGGTAAGTCAAGAAAGGTAAAAAAGGAATAGAGGGCAAAGAAAATTCTTTTTTTTACGTTTTTTATTTTATTTTATTTTAGGTTCTGGGGTACACACGCAGGATGTGCAGGTTTGTTACATAGGTAAACATGCGCCCTTATGATTTGCTAGACCTATCAACCCATCACCTAGGTATTAAGCCCAGCATGCATTAACTATTCTTCCTGATGCTCTCCCTCCATCCATGCCCTCCACCCTGCCAGGCAGGCCCCAGTGTGTGTTGTTTCCCTCCCTGTGTCTATGTGTTCACATTGTTCAGCTCCTATTTATAAGTGAGAACATGCAGTGTTTGGTCTTTCTGTTCCTGTGTTAGTTTGCTAAGGATAATGTCTTCCAGCTCCATCAATGTTCCTGCAAAGGACACGATCTTGTTCCTTTTTATGGCTGCACAGTATTCCATGGTGTATATGTACCACATTTTCTTTATCCAGTCTATCATTGATGGGCATTTGGGTTGATTCCATGTCTTTGTTATTGTGAATAGTGCTGCAATGAACATACACATGCATGTATTTTTATAATAGAATGACTTATATTCCTTTGGGTATATATCCAGTAATGGGATTGCTGGGTCAAATGGTATTTCTGGTTCTAGATCTTTCAGGAATTGCCACACCATCTTCCACAATGGTTGAACTAATTTACACTCCCACCAACAGAAAAAAGTGTTCCTATCTCTCTGCAGCCTCACCAGCATCTGTTGTTTCTTGACTTTTTAATGATCACCATTCTGACTGGCATGAAATCATATCTCATTGTGGTTTGGATTTGCATTTCTCTAATGATCAGTGATGTTGAGCTTTTTAGATAATCCTATTCTTAAGACTTTGAAGTTTTATGGCAAATTTTGTGGTGCCAGATAAATCCTTAATAACACACCTTGTGTTTGTACTGTACTGTGATGAGAGATTGCCTTATTAGTAGATAATATTTTTAAAAATATTTGTACGTGATTTCTAAAGCAGACTGGAAGCAGACAGTCCTGGGTTAAACACACAGGATGAGTGATCTTGGCAGTTGTAGGTGGTATGCACCAGTGATTTCATAGGAACAGTATTCATCAGAATAGACTGGAAGCAACTGGTATCACTGCAGACTTCTAGGGTACCTCAGGGAATGGTTTCCTAACTCTTTTTAAGGATCTGGGTGACATATTGGCTAACGTACTCGAGGACCAAGAAAGGATCCATGGCTTAGAAACAAGAGTAAACATCAGATATTGGCCGTAGAATTAAATGTCACTGAAAAGATTAAGCCAGGAGCCAGGGAGTAACCTTAAGCAGAGAAGTCTCCCTTTCCAAGAGCCTCATGCTACATTTGCAGAAACTGTCCAAGAGCCTAAGCATCTCTAAGTTCTATATGAATAGGAAACTTCACCAGATAAGGAAAGGAAATCAAGTGCTATAGAGATTGATGAAGCCGTTTATCTAGGGTGAACTTCAAGTACTTGGCAATGGGAGCCCCCCATTTTAGGGTAAATCCGAGTTCAGACCAGCAGAGGGCAGTGTAGCAAACTTTGAAACCTCAAACGGCTGGGACTTAAAGAGAGTATGAATCCAGTACTGAGGGGCTGTTAGTGAAGAAGGGATGAAGGACTATCTGTGGGATCAGGGCTGCCTTGAAAAGATAAAGAAATGGTCAGCACTGCACTCCAGCGTGGGCAACAGAGAAAGACCCTGTCTACAATACAGTACAATACAATACAGTACAATACAAAACACACAGAAATGATCAGGAGTGAACCTACACTTGTGATGTGTAGGTATGAGAAGTGGAACAATTAGGAATTAATCTCCACTTCATTTCAAAGAAGATGGATCAGTAAGCAGCTGGTCCCTTTTTTCTGACTCCAGGAACAGGAAAAGGACCACAACAAGTCACAGTCACTCTTTCGGGAATCTGCAACTGGCACCCCCGATTCTTCTGCCCAGGTGAAATCCTAACACTCAGCTTTCTCCTGCACACCTCTTCTTGATATAGGCTTGACAGGGGGCTGGCACTGTGGTGCTGTGGATCATGAGAAGCCCTTACCTCCCCATCTGCTGCCAGCCCACATAAATGGAGAAATAGCCCACCCTGTTCCAAGGTGGAGAGGACATAAAAACATTGCTTCCTTCCTTACCCACTGGAATTCAAATCATTAGGCTTCCACTTTTAAAAGTGTTGGTATATTATGAGAAATTTGTTTTGTCTCCATATGTGGGTTAGAGAAGGGGACAAGTGAACTATTTTTACTGTGAGTTTTTTCTTTGAGTTTATTGCCCAGTCTAAGCTGTAAAAAGAGGTCCTAGGGGGCATTCAGAATTGCTGTCCCTTAAGCCAGTAGATGGCAAGTGCTGAGAAACACTGCAACTGTAAGACACCAGTATAAACCCAGAAGCCTCACTCCACTAACTCTTGGAAAGAAATGTGTGCAGAAAGACATCCTGAAGACCTGAGTGACCGCTCAGTGAGGGGTCAAAGGAGCTTTCCTACTGGCAGGCTATGGAATACTTTGTCTATAAAAATGGAGATTTCCTTACATTACATGGCAGTTAGCATGCTTACTAGTGATCCACCTCAAGCTTTTACTACTGCAGAACCACCTGTGCCTTGCTTTCTTGCTGGTCCCTAAATAGCATGTCATGGCAGATTGTGAATGCTTTAAGTTCTGTGAGCAGTAATTACTCAGGACCTTCTCCAAGTCCCTCTTTTCTGTTTTACAGTTCACAATTCACAAAAGCTTTGATTTTCCAGGCCCCAAACTCTGGATCTCATACCCTAAATTTGGTGTCTGCCTTTGGAACTTTCAGATTTGGCAGGTTTCAAACCCTAACCAGGTTCTTGGATCTTGGTCCCATAGCATGGCTTTAAGTATTGTCTCCAACCTAAAGGGTGTCCTATTGCCTCCAAGGAGGGCCCCTCGTTCCCTCTGCCACATGTAACTGGCCAATGAGACCAGCCTCTGGTCCCCAAGACCTCCAAAGGGAACTTTGAATTGTCAGCAGCTCAGCGGGGTATCTAGAGAAAACATCCCCTCCATTATATGACAGATAAGTTGACAAAACAGGCCCACAGAGTAGTCTTAGACCACTTGTATCTCTGATACCAGGGTTATGCCAGAAAATTCAAGATCAATTAAACATGAATTTAAAACAATCCATGTCCACCATGACTTTCTGAGTGGACAGAAAATAAGAAATCAATAAATACTGTCTGAGGTTTAAACTTGTACTTAAGTAAGAACACACACATGCACACACATAAGAACATTCCATAAAGACTATAGCATTATGATTTTATATGTACTATTATTTATTAAACTGATGCTCCTAAAAAAGTAGAGGAAAATGCAGTTCTGTTTACTTTTCATAATATTACCTCCAAAGAGCTCTTTTGAGAACTAACATCTCTAGATTTTTTTTTTTTTTTTTTTTTGAGATGGAGTCTCACTCTGTTGCCAGGCTGGACTGCAGTGGTGCGATCTCAGCTCACTGCAACCTCCACTTCCCAGGTTCAAGCAATTCTCCTGCCTCAGCCTCCCAAGTAGCTGGGACTACAGGCATGCGCCATCACGACCAGCTAATTTTTGTATTTTTAGTGGAGACAGGTTTTCACCATGTTGGCCAGGATGGTCTCAATCTCTTGACCTCGTGATCTGCCCACCTCAGCTTCCCAAAGTGCTGGGATTACAGACATGAGCCACCACTCCTGGCCTAACATCTCTAGTTTTAAAGAAAAGTCTATCTGAAGTTTCAGCAATTCCATCAGTTTTACTTTTTCTTTTTCTTCTGTTAAAGTCAAGCAAATATCAATACAGATGTTCCTCAACTTACCATGAGGTTATCTCCTGATAAACCTGTCATAAGTCAAAAATATTGTAAGCCAAAAATGCATTTAATACCCAGATATACCCATTGTAAAGTCAAAAAATGATAAGTTAAACCATCATAAGTTGGAGACCATCTGTAGTTATTATTTAAAAATAGTGTGTATAATATAATCCATTGTGTACATACTCAACAATTTATTCAATCTACTATTGGTGGACATAAGTTTGGTTTCTAGTTTGGTGCTATTATGCACAAATGCTGCCATAAACATTCTTGTATGTATATCCTGGTGCACATGCCCATAAGCTTCTCTTAAAAATACCTGAGTGGGATTACTGATGTAACATATATGAATCTTCAACTTTACTAGGCAAAGCAAAACTGCTTTTCAATGTGGTTTTACCAATCTACATTCCTTCAAGAAGTGCATGAGAAGAATCTCTCTTGTTATACATCCTTCCCCTATACTTGGTATTTTCGGAATTATTGTATCTTTTTTTTTTTTTTTTTTTTTTTTTTTTGAGACGGAGTCTCGCTCTGTTGCCGAGGCTGGACTGCAGTGGTGCAATCTCCGCTCACTGCAAACTCCACCTCCCGGGTTCACGCCATTCTCCTGCCTCAGCCTCCCGAGTAGCTGGGACTACAGGTGCCTGCCACCATGCCTGGCTACTTTTTTGTATTTTTAGTAGAGACGGGGTTCACCGTGTTAGCCAGGATTGTCTCGATCTTCTGACCTCCTGATCTGCCCACCTCAGCCTCCCAAAGTGCTGGGATTACAGCTGTAGCCACCACGCCCGGCCCAGAATTATTGTTTCTAATCTAGTGGATCTGTAATGATACCACACTGTGGTTTAAATGTGCATTTCCCTGATTCCTAGTGAAATTAAGTACTTTTTCTTTTATTTTTTTAATTATACTTTAAGTTCTAGGGTACATGTGCACAACGTGCAGATTTGTTACATATGTATACATGTGCCATGTTGATGTGCTGCACCCATTAACTCGTTATTTACATTAGGTATATCTCCTAATGCTATCCCTCTCCCCACCCCCAACCCCACGACAAGCCCCGGTGTGTGATGTTCCCCTTCCTTTGTCCAAGTGTTCTCATTGTTCAATTCCCACCTGTGAGTGAGAATATGCGGTGTTTGGTTTTTTGTCCTTGCTATAGTTTGCTGAGAATGATGCTTTCCAGCTTCATCCATGTCCCTACAAAGGACATGAACTCATCCTTTTTTATGGCTGCATAGTATTCCATGGTGTATATGTGCCACATTTTCTTAATCCAGTCTATCATTGATGGACATTTGGGTTGGTTCCAAGTCTTTGCTATTGTGAATAGTGCCACAATAAACATACGTGTGCATGTGTCTTTATAGCAGCATGATTTATAATCCTTTGGATATATACCCAGTAATGGGATCGCTGGGTCAAATGGTATTTCTAGTTCCAGATCCTTGAGGAATTGCCACACTGTCTTCCACAATGGTTGAACTAGTTTACAGTCCCACCAACAGTGTAAAAGTGTTCCTATTTCTCCACATCCTCTCCAGCACCAGCTGTTTCCTGACTTTTTAATGATAGCCATTCTAACTGGTATGAGATGGTATCTCATTGTGGTTTTGATTTGCATTTCTCTGATGGCCAGTGATGATGAACATTTTTTCATGTGTCTGTTGGCTGCATAAATGTCTTCTTTTGAGAAGTGTCTGTTCATATCCTTCACCCACTTTTTGATGGGGTTGTTTGTGTTTTTCTTGTAAATTTGTTTGAGTTCTTTGCAGATTCTGGATATTAACCCTTTGTCAGATGAGTAGATTGCAAAAATTTTCTCCCATTCTGTAGGTTGCCTGTTCACTGTGATGGTAGTCTCTTTTGCTGTGCAGAAGCTCTTTAGTTTAATTAGATCACATTTGTCAATTTTGGCTTCTGTGGCCATTGCTTTTGGTGTTTTAGACATGAAGTCCTTGCCCATGCCTATGTCCTGAATGGTATTGCCTAGGTTTTCTTCTAGGGTTTTTATGGCTTTAGGTCTAATATTTAAGTCTTTAATCCATCTTGAATTAATTTTTGTGTAAGGTGTAAAGAAGGGATCCAGTTTCAGCTTTCTACATATGGCTAGCCAGTTTTCCCAGCACCATTTATTAAATAGTGAATCCTTTCCCCATTTCTTGTCAGGTTTGTCAAAGATCAGATGGTTGTAGATGTGTGGTGTTGTTTCTGAGGCCTCTGTTCTGTTCCATTGGTCTATATCTCTGTTTTAGCACCAGTACCATGCTGTTTTGGTTACTGTAGCCTTGTAGTATAGTTTGAAGCCAGGTAGCATGATGCCTCCAGCTTTGTTCTTTTTGTTTAGGATTGTCTTGGCAATGCGGGCTCTTTTTTGGTTCTATATGAACTTTAAAGTGGTTTTTTCCAACTCTGTGAAGAAAGTCATTGGTAGCTTGATGGGGATGGCATTGAATCTGTAAATTACCTTGGGCAGTATGGCCATTTTCACGATATTGATTCTTCCTATCCATGAGCATGGAATGTTCTTCCATTTGTTTGTGTCCTCTTTTATTTCCTTGAGCAGTGGTTTGTAGTTCTCCTTGAAGAGGTCCTTCACATCCCTTGTAAGTTGGATTCCTAGGTATTTTATTCCTTTGTAGCAATTGAGAATGGGAGTTCACTCATGATTTGGCTCTCTGTTTGTCTTTTACTGGTGTATAAGAATGCTTGTGATTTTTGCACTTTGATTTTGTATCCTGAGACTTTGCTGAAATTGCTTATCAGCTTAAGGAAATTTGGGGCCGAGATGATGTGGTTTTCTAAATATACAATTATGTCATCTGCAAACAGGGACGGTTTGACTTTCTCTTTTCCTAATTGAATACCCTTTATTTCTTTCTCTTGCCTGATTGTCCTGGCCAGAACTTCCAACACTATGTTGAATAAGAGTGGTGAGAGAGGGCATCCTTGTCTTGTGCTGGTTTTCAAAGGGAATGCTTCCCGTTTTTGCCCATTCAGTATGATATTGGCTGTGGGTTTGATATTATTTTCAGATACGTTCCATCAATACCTAGTTTATTGAGAGTTTTTAGCATGAAGGGCTGTTGAATTTTTTCAAAGGCCTTTTCTCCATCTATTGAGATAATCATGTGGTTTTTGTCATTGGTTCTGTTTACGTGATGAATTACGTTTATTGACTTGTGTATGTTGAACCAGCCTTGTATCCCAGGGATGAAGCCGACTTGATCTTAGTGGATAAGCTTTTTGATGTGCTGCTGGATTCAGTTTGCCAGTATTTTATTGAGGATTTTTGCATCGATGTTCCTCAGGGATATTGGTCTAAAATTCTCTTTTTTGGTTGTGTCTCTGCCAGGCTTTGGTATCAGGATGATGCTGGCCTCATAAAATGAGTTAGGGAGGATTTCCTCTTTTTCTATTGATTGGAATAGTTTCAGAAGGAATGGTACCAGCTCCTCTTTGTACCTCTGGTAGAATTCAGCTGTGAATCCGTCTGGTCCTGGACTTTCATTGGTTGGTAGGCTATTAATTATTGCCTCAATTTCCGAGCCTATTATTGGTCTATTCAGCGATTCAACTTCTTCCTGGTTCAGTCTTGGGAGGGTGAATGTGTCCCGAAATTTATCAATTTCTTCTAGATTTTCTAGTTTATTTGCATAGAGATGTTTCTAGTATTCTCTGATGGTAGTTCGTATTTCTGTGGGATCAGTGGTGATATCCCCTTTATCATTTTTTATTCAGTCTATTTGATTCTTCTCTCTTTTCTTCTTTATTAGTCCTGCTAGCAGTCTATCAATTTCGTGGATCTTTTCAAAAAACCAGCTTCTGGATTCATTGATTTTTTTGAAGGGTTCTTTGTATCTCTATCTCCTTCAGTTCTGCTCTGATCTTAGTTATTTCTTGCCTTCTGCTAGCTTTTGAATTTGTTTGCTCTTGCTTCTCTAGGTCTTTTAATTGTGATGTTAGGGTGTCAATTTTAGATCTTTCCTGCTTTCTCTTGTGGGCATTTAGTGCTATACATTTCCCTCTAAACACTGCTTTAAATGTGTCCCAGAGATTCTGGTATATTGTGTCGTTGTTCTCATTGGTTTCAAATAACATCTATATTTCTGCCTTCATTTCATTATTTACTGAGTAGTCATTCAGGAGCAGGTTGTTCAATTTCCATGCAGTTATGCAGTTTTGAGTGAGTTTCTTAATACTGAGTTCTAATTTGATTGCACTTTTGTCTGAGAGACAGTTTGTTGTGATTTCTGTTCTTTTACATTTGCTGGGGAGTGCTTTACTTCCAATTATGTGGTCAATTTTGGAATAAGTGCGATGTGGTGCTGAGAAGAATGTATATTCTGTTGATTTGGGGTGGAGAGTTCTGTAGATGTCTATTAGGTCTGCTTGGTGCAGAGCTGAGTTCCAGTCCTGGTTATCCTTATTAACCTTCTGTCTCATTGATCTGTCTAATATTGACAGTTGGGTCTTAAAGTCTCCCATTATTATTGTGTGGGAATCTAAGTCTCTTTGTAGGTCTCTAAAGACTGGCTTTATGAATCTGGGTGCTCCTGTATTGGGTGCATATATATTTAGGATAGTTAGCTCTTCTTGTTGTATTGATCCCTTTAGCATTATGTAATGGCCTTCTTTGTCTCTTTTGATCTTTGTCTGTTTAAAGTCTGTTTTATCAGCACTAGGATTGCAACCCCTGCTTTCTTTTCTTTCCATTTGCTTGGTAGATCTTCCTCCATCCCTTTATTTTGAGCCTATGTGTGTCTCTGCACATGAGATGGGTCTCCTGAATACAGCACACCAATGGGTCTTGACTCTTTATCCAATTTGCCAGTCTGTGTCTTTTAATTGGGTAATTTAGCCCATTTACATTTATGGTTAATATTGTTATTTGTGAATTTGATCCTGTCATTATGATGTTAGCTGGTTATTTTGCCCATTAGTTGATGCAGTTTCTTCTTAGCATCGACGGTCTTTAAAATTTGGCATGTTTTTGCAGTGGCTGGTACTGGTTGTTCCTTTCCATTTTTATTGCTTCCTTCAGGACCTCTTCTAAGACAGGCCTCATGGTGACAAAATCTCTCAGCATTTGCTTGTCTGTAAAGGATTTTCTTTCTCCTTCACTTATGAAGCTTACTTTGGCTGTATATGAAATTCTGGTTTCAAAATTCTTTTCTTTAAGAATGTTGAATATTGGCCCCCACTCTCTTCTGGCTTGTAGAGTTTCTGCTGAGAGATCTGCTGTTAGTCTGATGGGCTTCCCTTTGTGAGTAACCTGACCTTTCTCTCTGGCTGCCTTTAACATTTTTTCCTTCATTTCAACCTTGGTGAATCTGACAATTATGTGCCTTGGGGTTGCTCTTCTTGAGGAGTATCTTTGTGGTGTTCTCTGTATTTCGTGAATTTGAATGTTGGCCTGCCTTGCTAGGTTGGGGAAGTTCTCCTGGATACTATCCTGAAGAGTATTTTCCAGCTTGGTTCCATTCTCCCCATCACTTTCAGGTATACCAATCAAATGTACATTTGGTCTTTTCACATAGTCCCATATTTCTTGGAGGCTTTTTTCATTTCTTTTTACTCTTTCTTCTCTAAACTTCTCTTGTCACTTCGTTTCATTAATTTGATCTTCAGTCACTGATACTCTTTCTTCCACTTGATTGAATCGGCTAATGAAGCTTGTGCATGCATCATGTAGTTCTCATGCTGTGGTTTTCAGCTCTATCAGGTCATTTAAGGTCTTCTCTATGCTGTTTATTCTAGTTAGCCATTCGTCTAATCTTTTTTCAAGGTTTAGCTTCCTTGCGATGGGTTCGAACATCCTCCTTTAGCTTGGAGAAGTTTGTTATTACTGACTTTCCGAAGCCTACTTCTGCCAACTCGTAAAAGTCATTCTCTGTCCAGGTTTTTCTGCTGCTGGCGAGGAGCTGCAATCCTTTGGAGGAGAAGAGTCACTCTGGTTTTTAGAATTTTCAGCTTTTCAGCTCTGGTTTCTCCCCATCTTTGTGGTTTTATCTGCCTTTGGTCTTTGATGATGGTGACCTACAGATGGAGTTTTGGTGTGGATGTCCTTTTTGTTGATGTTGATGCTATTCCTTTCTGTTTGTTAGTTTTCCTTTTAACAGTCAGGTCCCTCAGCTGTGGGTCTGTTGGAGTTTGCTGGATGTCCACTCCAGACCCTGTTTGCCTGGGTAGCACCAGCGGAGGCTACAGAGCAACAAATATTGCAGAACAGCAAATATTGCTGCCTGATCCTTCCTCTGGAAGCTTTGTCTCAGAGGGGAACCTGGCTGTATGAGGTGTCAGTTGGCCCCTACTGGGAGATGTCTCCCTGTTAGGCTACTCGGGGGTCAGGGACCCACTTGAGGAGGCAGTCTGTCCATTCTCAGAGCTCAAAGACCACACTGGGAGAACCACTACTCTCTTCAGAGCTATCAGACAGGGATGTTTGAGTCTGCAGAAGTTTCTGCTGCCTTTTGTTCAGCTATGCCCTGCCCCCAGAAGTGGAGTCTACAGAGACAGGCGGGCCTTGTTGAGCTACAGTGGGCTTCACCCAGTTCAAGCTTCCTTGCTGCTTTGTTTACCTACTCGAGCCTCAGCAAGGGTGGACGCCCCTCCCCCAGCCAGGCTGTTGCCTAGCAGTTTGATCTCAGACTGCTGCACTAGCAGTGAGTAAGGCTCTGTGGGCATGGGACCCACTGAGCCATGCACAGGATATAATGTCCTGGTGTGCCATTTGCTAAGACCATTGGAAAAGCATAGTATTTAGGTGGCAGTGTCCCGATTTTCCCAGCACAGTCTGTCATGGCTTCCCTTGGCTAGGAAAGGGAAATCCCCAGACCCCTTGTGCTTCCCGGGTAAGGCGATGCCCCGCCCTGCTTCAGCTCACCCTCCATGGGCTGTACCTACTGTCCAACCAGTCCCAGTGAGATGAACTAGGTACCTCAGTTGCAAATGCAGAAATCACCCATCTGCGTCAATCATGCTGGGAGCTGCAGACCAGAGCTGTTCCTATTTGGCCATCTTGGAATGGACCATAATTGTTCTTTCTAATTCTGTGGAGAATGTCATTGGTATTTTGGTAGGGATTGCATTGAATCTATAGACTGCTTTGGGTAATAAGGACATTTTAACAATATTGACTCTTCCAAGTCATGAAAATGGAACATCTTTCCATTTTTGTGTGCCCTCTCCAATTTCTTTCATCAGTGTTTTATAGTTTTCATTGTAGAGATCTTTCACTTCTTTAGTTAATTCCTAGGTATTTTATTTGTGGCTATTGTAAATGAGATTAATTTTTAATTTTATTTTTCAGATTCTTCACTGTTGCCATATAGATACGCTACTGATTTTTGCGTGTTGATTTTGTATCCTGCAACTTTGCTGAATTTGTTTATCAGTTCTAACACTTTCTGGTAGAGTTTAGGTTTTTTAAAATATAAGATCATATTATCTGCAGAGAAGGATAATTTGACTTCTTCCTTTCCAATTTGCATGCCTTTTATTTCTTTCTCTTGTCTAATTGCTCTAGCTATGACTTCCAGTACTATGTTGAATAACAGTGGTGAAAGAGGGCACTCTTGTCTTATTTCAGATCTTTGAGAAAGGCTTTCAGTTTTTCCCCATTCTATGATACTAGCTGTGGGTCTGTTGTATATGGCTTTTATTATGTTGAGGCATATTCCTTCTATTCCTTGTTTTTTGAGGGTTTCTATCATGAAGGGATGTTGAATTTTATCAACTGCTTTTTCAGCATCAATTGAAATGATCATAGGGTTTTTGTTCTTCATTCTGTTGTTATGATGTATCACATTGATGGGTTTGCATATGTTGAATCAACCTTGCATCCCTGGGATAAATCCACTTGGTCATGATGAATGATCTTTGTAATGTATTGCGGAATTTGATTTGTTGATATTTTGTTGTAGATTTTGGCATCAATATTAATCAGAGATATTGGCCTGTAGTCTTCTTTTTTTGATGTGTCTTTGTCTGGTTTTGGTATCAGAGGAATACTGGACTCATAGATATGAGTTTGGAAGTATTCCCTCCTTCTCTATATTTTAGAATAGTTTGAGTAGCATTGATATTCACTCTTTAAATATTTGGTAGAATTCAGCAGTGAAGTCACAGGGCCCCAGGCTTTTCTTTACTGGCATACTTTTTATTACACCTCCGATCTTGTTAACTTGTTATTGGTCTGCTCAGGTTTTGGATTTCTTCATGGTTCATTCATGATAAGTTGTATGTTTCTAGGAATTTATCCATTTCCTCTAGATTTTCCAATTTATTGGTATATAGTTGATCATAGTAGCCACTAACGATCCTCTGAATTTCTGCAGTATCAGTTGTAATGATTGTAATATCTCCTTTTCATCTTTGATTGTATTTGTTTGGGTCTTTTCCCCTTTTTTTTCCTCATTAGTTTGGCTAAAGGTTTGTCAATTTTGTTTATCTTTTCAAGAAACTAACTTTTTGTTTCATTGATCTTTTGTATTGTTTTCTTCATTTCAATTTATTTATTTATGCTCTGATCTTTATTATTTTTCTTCTACTAAATTTTGCTCTTGGTTTGCTCTTGGTTTTGCTTAGTTTGCTCTTGGTTTTCTAGTTTTTTAAAATGCATCATTGGGTTATTTATTTGGAGTTTTTTCTCTTTTTTGATGTAGGCACTTTTAGCTATAACTCTCCCCCTTAGTACTGCTTTCAGTATATCCCATAGGTTTTGGTATGTTGTGTTTCCAACATCATTTGCTTCAAGAAAATTTTCAATTTCCTTCTTAATTTCTTCATTGACCTACTGGTCATTCAGGAGCATATTGCTTAATTTCCCCACGTTTTTATAGTTTCCAAAATTCCTTTTGTTGGTTTCTAGTTTTATTCCATTGTGGTCAGAGAAGATGAAGATGCCAGACATTATTTCAATTTTTGAATGTTTTGAGACTTTTTTTTTTTTTGAGACAGAGTCTTGCTCTGTTGCCAGGCTGGAGTGCAGTGGTGCCATCTTGGCTCACTGCAACCTCCGACCCCCTGGTTTAAGTGATTCTCCTGCCTCAGCCTCCCGAGTAGCTGAGATTACAGGCACATGCCTCCACACCCAGCTAATTTTTGTATTTTTAGTAG
The DNA here is from genome assembly GCF_000001405.40 of Homo sapiens. Taxonomy (NCBI): domain Eukaryota; kingdom Metazoa; phylum Chordata; class Mammalia; order Primates; family Hominidae; genus Homo; species Homo sapiens. Next base: position 105,412,922 of record NC_000006.12, on the reverse strand, counting down.
AGACAGGGTTTCACCATGTTGGCCAGGATGGTCTCAATCTCCTGATGTCGTGATCCACCCGCCTTGGCCTCCCAAAGTGCTGGGATTACAGGTGTGAGCCACTGCACCCAGCCAAGATTTGTTTTGCAAACTAACATATAGTCTGTCCTTGAGAATGATCCAGGTGATGAGGAAAAGAATGTGTATTCTAAAGCCTTTGAATAAGAAGTTCTGTAACTATCTATTAGGTCCATTTGTTTTATAGTTCAGATGAAGTCTGACATTTCTTTGATGAGTTTCTGTCTGGTAGATCATTCCAATGTTAAAAGTGGGGTGTTGAAATCTCCAGCTATTATAGTATTGAGGTCTATCACTCTTTTTAGCTCTAATAATAGTTGCTTTATATATCTGGATGTGCCAGTGTTGGGTACATACATATATTTATAATCATTATATCCTGTGCAATAATGATAAATGATCAACCTCTTTATCATTATATAATGATCTTCTTTGTCTCTTCTTACAGTTTTTGTCTTAAAATCTGTTTTGTCTGATGTAAGTATAGCCACTTCTGCTTTTTCTTGTTTTTCATTGCCATGGGATAACTTTTTCCATCCCTTTTATTTTCAATCTATGTGTGTCTTTACTGGTGAAGTGTGTTTCTTACAGGCAACAGATCACTGAGTCTTGCTTCCTACCACCGCCCCCCAGTCCACCAGCCCATTCAGCCATGTTTTGGTTGGAGAGTTTAGACTATTTACATTCAGTGTTATTGTTGATAAGAAGGGACTTACTCCTGACATTTTGTTATTTGTTTTCTGGTTTTCTCTTCCTTCTTTTCTTCCTTCCTGTCTTCCTTCTAGTGAAGATAATTTTCTCTGGTGTATCATTTAATTTCTTGTTTTTTATTTTTATTTATCTGTTGTATATTTTTCAATTTAAAGTTACTGTTAGGCTTATAAATACTATCTTATAACCCATTATTTTAAATTAATGGCAACTTAACATTGATTGTATAAACAAACATGCAAAAAGAAAACTGATAAAAATTCTACCCTTTAACTTCTTCCCCCTGCTTTTTAACTTTTTGTTATTTCTCCTTATGTCTTATTCTACTGACTAGATCTTGAAAAGTTGTTGTAGTTACTATTTTTGATTGGTTCATCATTTAGTCTTTCTACTTAAGAATGTTTACACACTAGAATTACACTGTTATAATATTCTGTGTTTTTCTGTGTGCTTACTATTACCAGTGAGTTTTGGCTCTTCAGATGATTTCTTCTTGCTAATTAACATCCTTTTCTTTCAGATTGAAGAACTCCCTTTAGCATTTCTTGTAGGACAGGTCTGATGTTCATGAAATCCTCCAGCTTTTGTTTGTCTGCAAAGGTCTTTATTTCTCCTTCATGCTTGAAGGATATTTTCACCATTCCAGGGCAAAAGTTGTTTTCCTTCAGCATCTTAAATATGTCATGCCACTCTCTCCTGGCCTATAAGGTTTCCACTGAAAAGTCTGTTGGTAGATGTATTGGAGTTCCATTGCGTGTTATTTCTTTCTTTTCTCTTGCGGCTTTTAGGATCCTTTCCTTGAACTTTGGGAGTTTGATTCCTAGATGGCTTGAGGTATGCCTCTTTTGGTTAAATCTGCTTACTGTTCTATAACTATCTTGTATTTTAATATTGGTAACTTTCTCTAGGTTTGGGAAGTTTTCTGTTATTCCTTTGAATAAACGTTCTACCCCTATCTCTTTCTCTACCTCCTCTTTAAGGCCAACAACTCTTAGGTTTGCCCCTTTGAGGATATTTTCTAGATCTTTTAGAGGTGCTTCATTCTTTTTTATTATTTTTTGTTTTGTCTCCCCTGACCGTGTATTTTCAAATAGCCTGTCTTCAAGTTCACTAATTCTTTCTTCTACTTGATTGATTCTGCTATTAAAGAGACTCTGATAAATTCTTCAGTATGTCAGTTGCATTTATCAACTTCAGAATTTCTGCTTGATTCTTTTTAATTATTTCAATCTGTTTGTTAAATTCACCTGATAGAATTCTGAATTCCTTCTCTGTGTTATCTTGAATTGTTTTGAATTTCCTCAAAACAGCTATTTTGAACTCTCTAGAAAGTCAAATGTCTTTCCTTCTCCAGGATTGGCCCCTGGGGACCTATTTAGTTTATTTGGTGAGGTCATATTTTCCTGGATGATCTTGATGCTGGTAGGTGTTTGTCAATGTTTGGGCATTGAAGAGTTAGGTATTTATTGTAGTCTTCACAGTCTGGGCTTGTTTGTGCCATCCTTCTTTAGGAAGCTTTCCAGGTATTCAAAGGGACTTGGGTCCCAAGCCCAATATCACAGTGGTTTCTGCAGACTCATAGAGGTACCACATTGGTGGTCTTCAATAAGATCTAGAATAATTATCTGGATTACCAGGCAGAGACTCTTTCTCTTTTCCCTTCCTTTCTCCCAAACAGACCCTCTCTCTCTATGCTGAACTGCCTGGAACTGAGGGTGTGGTGAGGCAAGCACCCCTGTGGTCACCACCACTGGGACACTGCTGGGTCAGACCTGAAGCCAGCACAGCACTGAGTCTCATCCATGGCTCACTGTAACCACTACCTGGCTACCACCTATGTTTACTCAAGGGCCAAAGGCTCTATGATAAGCAGATGGCAAAGCCAGCCAGGTTTGTGTCCTTCCCTTCAGGATGGTGAGTTCCCCCAGCCTCCAGGTGTGACCAGATGTGCTATCTGGGGGGCCAGGGATTGGAGTCAAAAACTTTAGAAATTTGCCTGATGTTCTACTCTATGGCAGCTAAACTGGCACTCAAATTACAATACAAAGTCCTTCTTGCACTTCCCTACCCTTTCTACTGGTAGAGGGGCCTCTCCCTGTGGCCACTACTATCATCTGCCCACAGAGGGTGGGGTGGTTCTGCCAGGCCACTACCAATGTTCACTTAAAGCCCAAAGCCTCTTCAGACATCACAGGCCCACAGGCCTAGGAGGAAAGAATGGTTTTGTGGGCCAGGCCCAGGGCCCCGCTGCTCTGCTCAGCCTCAGGACACTGCTTCCTGCATCTAGGCCACTTCAGCTGCAGCTTTGGCTCAAAGATCCCCAGATACAGCTCAGGCCACTGCTTCAGATGGTATAAGCTGTAAGCCTTGGTGGCTTCCACATGGTGTTAAGCCTGTGAATGCAGAGTTGCAAGAGTGAAGGAGGATTGGCAGCCTCTGCCTAGATTTCAGAGGATGTATAAGAAAGCCTGGAGGCCAGGCCTAGTGGCTTATGCCTATAATCTTAGCACTTTGGGAAGCTGAGGTGGGTGGATTGCTTGAGCCCAGGAGTTTGAGACGAGCCTAGGCAACATGGCAAAACTTCATCCCTACTAAAGAGATAAAAAATTACCAGGGCATGGTGGTGTGTACCTGTAGTTTCAGCTACTTGGGAGGCTGAGGTGGGAGAATCACCTGAACCCAGGAAGTCAAGGCTGCAGTGAGCCATGATCACAGCACTGCACTCCAGTCTGGATCACAGAAGTGAGACTAAAAGACTTTGGGGGACTATTGGGAGGATTTGATTCTATTTTGCAATGTGAGAAGGACACGAGATTTGGGGGGCTAGGGGTACAATGATATAGTTTGGATGTCCCCTGTAATTCTCATGTTAGATGTAATCCCCAGTATTAGAGGTGGGGCCTGTTGGGAAGTGACTGGCTCATGGCAGCGGGTTTCTTGTGAATGATTTAGCACCCTCCTCTTGGTGCTGTCCTCATGATAGCGAGTTCTGAGGAGATTTGGTTGTTTAAAAGTGCGTGGCATTTCTCCTCTCTCTTTCTTGCTCCCGCTCTTGCCACGTGATGTGCCTGCACTAGCTTCACTTTGCACCATGAGTAAAAGTTCCCTGAGGCCTCCCCAGAAGCAATGTAGATGATGGCACCATGCTTCCTGTACAGCTTGCAGAACCATGAGCCAATGAAACTTCTTTTCTTTATAAATTACCCAGTCTCAGGTATTCCTTTATAGCAATGCAAGAACAGCCTAATATACATGCAGACCTCATGAGTACAATACTGCTGATGCAGTGTGAGCACCACTGTTATTATTCTGGTTACTGCTGCTACTGCATAAGAAGCTCAACTAGCTCTGCAAGGTCCTGGAAGTCCACAGGCCATTTGAAATTGCTGAATTAGCTGCTGATGCCTCTGAGGCCCCAGGTTCCCCACTGCCAATCCAACTATGCTCCTATTGCAGCAGACTTCAGTGATTTGAAGGGTCCTGCCATTGCCGGAACCTAAGCTAAAAGAGAAAAGCTTCCTCTCTTCCTCCCCATTCTCATCTTTATTTTCTCTCATTGGTAGAACCTAGCCAGAAATGAGCCGACAATGGAGTTCAGGAAATGTTTTTAGGCTTGCAGCCCTTTGCAGTACAGAGGATAGCAAAGTGATGTGAAAATGTTGCTGGATGCTAATAGACAAAAAGCCAATACGGTGTCCTTGCATGATCTTTGATCGTGATTTAAATCATGGTTGATTTAATCAGTAGAAAATCTCTGAGCCTACGTTAGGATGCTTTCTTTCAAAGATGGCCACTTATGATTGACAACTCAGATGCAGTCATTTATTTTCAGGGCAACCTTTCTTGAGTACAGGGAAACTACATTCACAACTCCAGAGAGTACCACTTATATGGAATATCATGTAAATAATGTCCTCTGGAGTTGTTTTGTTTTGTTTTGTTTTAAATCACAGGGACCCTATTGCTTCTCAGTCTTCTGTTTTGGGCACATATTTTTAAATGGCTGATCTGTTTGGAAGGAGTAAGAGTGTAAGGAGTAAGAGTAAGAGCAACGTAATAGCAATTCTTTCTTTTAGCAGGACCTGTCTAGTCCACCTTACTGCCCACACTAAAAACTTCCATGTAGTACTTTGACAGAAACAATAAAGCAGTTTTTCTTTCTCCCTTCCCCCACAAAAGAGGAGAAAAATGGTAAGGCCACAGGAGAGTTGGGAATTCTGTCAGTTATCTTTCAATGGAATTTGAGCTACCCCAAAAGAGGGCTTAGGTACTTTACATTGTCTTAAGGATTGGGGCAAATCCCTAAATCGGCTTGGCACTGGACTTTTTGAGTTTTACAGAACACTGACTCTCCACAGTGCAGGGGGTAATGGACTGAATAAAGACTAAAACTTCCCAGAACATATTACTTCGCAGAGGCTATAATGCTACATTGTGGTTTACAGATAAATGGTTAAACTATAAATGCCAAATAAGACCAGCAGAGTAAACTTTAATATAGGCTTAGTTCTTTCTAAATCAAGATAGCAGTGAGTACTGCATGAGAGAAGCAGCAGCAAATGGAAAGGCAATCTGGTTGCTACCCAGTTAACTCCAGAGAAAACTGGAGATACTGATCAGGGTGAAGAACCTGGAACATGTAGGTCAGATATCCTGCTTAGTTTACATTAATTAGAAAAGCACCAAGAGAGGCTGGGTGCAGTGGCTCACACCTATAATTCCAGCACTTTGGGAAGCTGAGGTGGGTAGATGACTTGAGGTCAGGAGTTCGAGACCAGCCTGGCCAATGTGGTGAAACCCTGTCTCTACTAAAAATACAAAAATTAGCTGGGCACACTGGTGGCACCTGTAGTCCCAGCTACTCGGGAGGCTGAGGCAGGAGAATCGCTTGAACTGGGAGGCAGAGGTTGCAGTGACCCAAGATTGCACCACTGCACTCCAGCCTGGGTGACAAAGCAAGACTCTGTCTCAAAAAAAAAAAAAAAAAAAAAAAAAAAAAAGCACCAAGAGGTAATATCGGTAATATCATTAATTATCCTAGAGTTTTACAAATTCCAATAGAACTTAAAATTTGTAACAATATCCTAAAGGCCACAAGATGAAATGTGGCTCCATGAAACTCTTTGCAGTTGTCCAACCCTGATTTTCTGCATGTTTTCATGTGCTTATCTGTCTCCATACTATCTTTTAGTACTTATCTTTACTTTTCTTGGTGTGAGCAAATCTGTGATGCTGTGTGTCCATCTTGCTATGTCTATCTCGCTTTCCCCCTTTCTTTTCCTTCCTAATCTCCTACCTCTCTAACTTTATACCCAATCATTTTGAACTGACACATTTTCTATTACATGTTGTATTTATTGAATAGTTTTAAGTTCTCAGTTCTCCATTTAAAACAGTGGATGAATAGATCATTTCATCTTTTTCTACTTAAATGAAACATTTTTCATGCAGGGGGCCACACCTGATTTTTCTCCTACAATCGGCCTAAGAAAAAATATTCCTCTCTCCTGATTTAAAAACATTCCTATCTTAGGAACTTCATTAGAAATGCTTTAAATAAGTTCCATGAACTGAAGTAGAAAAATACTTCAGATTCATTCTTGATTTACTTTCTCTGCCCACATTTTTAATCTGGATTGAACTCAGCCCTATCCTCTCATATTAGTGCTTAATTCAGCCAAGCATTAAACTGAGAAGGGGAAGAATGAGGTGGAGACCTAGATTTCACAGCTGTAATTCCAGACACTTCACATCTCCTTTTAACCATATGCCCATGTTGAGAGAAGGGTATTAGAAGGGAACAGTTATAGCTCCTGAAAAGGTCAGATCCATGCATTTAGTATGGACTACAGGCCCAACAATAGTCCCTAGAGCCAAATCTTCTCTTGTGAATGGTTTGAAAACAGAAGAAAATTATGGAGAAAGTCTTTTCAGTAGACAGACAATTACTGCCCAATCTTACCTGCATCTGTCCATAACGTTTGGACAATTCTCCCTCAGGATAATCTTATTCTTAATTCAGAGTTAGTTTTGAGGTTCCTGTATCTCCTGTTCCCACTCAGAATTAAAGAATCTTAGATTCTTTTGAAACCACCTAACCCAACTGTCTCAATTTCTAAATAAAAATATTGATGATATGATGGACTCATTCAAAGTTAGGAAACCAGTTAGTGACAGAGCCTGAAAGAGAATCTTACTCTTATCCTAGGTGCTATTTCACACTTCATGATGCCTTGCAAAGATTAGATATACAAGAATACATAAGAATTTCCATTAAAAGTCACACTGGAAAAAGCAACATAAATCTTTGGGGAAACATAGTGTGAAATGACTGCACTCCACCAATTAGTCAGTATGTTAGCTAGCTACCTGGAAACCAGAGTCAAATTAAAAGGTGGATTATCCAGGCAGCACTCAAAGCATCCATCTCTAAGGGGTGCTAACAAGACAGCACCCTTGTGTGAATTAGAAAAATATCCTTTACCCAGGAAGGTGCAGTCCCTTGAGAATAAGACACCCCTTCCTCCAGGTGAATGTGCCAGCACCTGTCTGCAGTGTGGCAAGTGGAGAGTGAGATGGATTTCAGTCCCCACTTCGCCCCTTGGGTGGGCATCCTTGTGCATTTACCAGAAATCCTCTCTTGGAGACCATATGTGGGTGGGGGTTGCTTTGATAAGCAACTTGAGGTGGGGTAGAGACAGCCAAGCAGCAGTAAATGATCACTAGCCTGCCTTCTTCAGAGGGTGACTCTTCTTAACTGAGTGGGGCACAAAGTTTGAGGTCAGAGGAGAGGCTGAAGGCTGCCCTGGAAGTCCTTCTATGTCTCTGCTCACCCTCATTCTCCCAAAGGCCTAGGGTTCTGAATTAGAGCATGAGTTATCACAGTGTAAATTCTACAATTCCCCTGAAAACAGTCTACAGTGTCAGAGGTCAAAGAGTGCTCTGGTATTTATTCTGGAGGTGGCACTTCCATTCTGAGATAGTTCAAATACTTCCTTTCTCTGCATTGTCTATGGAAAAAGTTGACTTTGCAGTCAACTTATGAATATGAATCTTGTATTGTCTTAGCTGTGTGATGACTTTGAACTCATTCCCTTAAAGCTGCTGAGATTCTTTTTCCTCATCTGTAAAATGGTCTTTGCTATAAGGATTAAAGGAGACAACACATTGGCAAACAAAAGTGCAACTAACGTGGTCAATAGGAGGGGAAAGGGTGCTCTCCCATCTTCCCTCCCACTCCATCTCACTCCAGATGCAGACAACCTACTGCTGGGAGCCTCTTGCACTGTCTGTGCCACTACAAACCTTTACCTCTCAGGGCCCAGAGGAACTGGGCACCAGAACGGCTGACTGAAAGGGAAGAGAGGATGATACCTAGGTTTGATTTGTCCTTTGGGTACCACAATTCCCACATTTTCTTTAGGTCCTGCTAAATTGAAGTTTTCCCTGCAAATGGGTGCCCTGTAGACTCTAGAGTATCTCTACTTATTTATGAGTAGGAAGGCCGTCAGAGTGGTTAAGAATGAGCATTGGTATTGGAGAGACCTAGGTTGGAATCCTGGCTCTACTTTTTCACTTTTTGTGAAGTCCTGGGCAAAAGTCAGCCCGTTTTCCTTAACTATAAAATAGGGACATTAGTTCTAGATAGTTTCCTGATACACTGAAAAAAACACTCCATAAGCATTAATATTATCATTAGGGGGTCTGCTGGGTCAAGTGCTCCTGGGTTGCTCTTTAAAAAATCCCTCACAGTGGCAGAAGGAGGAGACAATGCCTGCCAGTCCCTGCGTCAGGTGACAGCCAGGGAAGGCACGAGGTGGGAACTGGAATTGGGACTTCTGGGCTGTAGTGGGCTATGCCCCCGTGTTTGCACAAAGTTTGTTATCAATAGCGTGAGTTCTCCCAGAATTGAGGATTCTCAGATTGCCCCAGGAGGGGGTATCTGGGATCAGATGCAGAAAATGATTATGACACATCACTATGAACAGAAATGGTGAACTAAGGGTGAGGCATGGAATTGGGACCATATCACAAAAGAGACGGAGGACACAAGTTTATAATAGTTACCATATCCACTTAGATTCCGGAGGTGAAGGACTTTCTGGTCACACCTATTCTTTCTTCCAGGACTTTTTGGAAGCCAGGGATAGAAAACACACTGGGCACACACTATACCCCTGATGGCTGGGGCTATAAAGTCTCTTCTGGGTGGTCCAGGAAGCAAGACCAGAACACATACCGCTGCTGGCCCGAGGATGATGACATGTAACTATTAAATTTTCATGGGTTTGAGGTCAAGTATCTTGTCTATTATCTTTTCTTCCCATAAACAGTAGGTGCTCAATAAACAAGCATGACAGCAGGAGAGGAAATGAGGAAAAGGCAGGATAAATAAAATACCCCTGATGAGTTCCAGGCCTCTTAATCTTGGTTCTTTCTCAATCGGTAAATATCAAATAAGGGCTCAACCGTAGTCCTGCCAACACCTCCAAAGCATCTCCATAGTCCGGATGCTAAACCACCCAGTGTCCACCAGGGGTCCTGGGATGAAGGGAGACGTGTTTCTTTCACGGTCATCATGATCGATTACTTCTTCCCTTCAAGTCCAGAGTCGCAGGCAGTGGACATAAGGCCACCTCCAGCCCTCTGCTTCCAAGGCTGGGGAGAGGCAAGGTCTCCCTTCGCCGCCGTAACCAGCCCGGGAACAGGAAGGCTGGGGAAGGTGGGGGACTCCATCAGCAAGGAAACCCTGGGGCTTCACTCTCCTACAGGCGGTCCTGCGAGCGCGGCCAAAGAGAGGCAGGGCGCTAGGGAAGGCGCGGGGACCCGGCCTCGGTGGAAGGACTTGTCCCCGGCGCAGAGGACGGGCGGGCGGCCGGGCGTGGGCGAGCGCGTAGCCGGCGTGCTCCTCCGTGCGCCCGGGCGGCGCGGGCGCGGCCGGCGATCCTGCAGAGGGAGCTGTGCGCCGGCCTTAGCGCACGCTCGGTGCCGCCCGCTCCCTCTTGCCGCCGCCGCCGCCGCTGGGCCCGCCCGCCGGGGAGGGGCTCCCGGCCTCGCAGACAGCGGCTTCCTGCTTTCTGCACGTCCTCGCCGCCGCGCCGCCAGTCCGTTTGTGCTAGCTCTGGCCGTGAGCCGGCCGCCCGCTGCCGCCGGCCGCCCCGCAGCTGCCTGCGCCCCAGCCGCGCCTCGCGGCCAGCCCGGCTAGCTCAGGTCCGCTCCCGGAGCCCGCGCCCCTCCACGCTGCCCCCTGCCTGTCCCCGGCCATGCTGTCCCTTCAGTACCCCGACGTGTACCGCGACGAGACCGCCGTAAGTATCTCTGCCTCCGCCCAGAGGGCTCCCGGGCAAAGGTGCCCAGCCTGCCTGACCCGTGGCACCCGCAGCTCCTCTTCCTGTAGGCCTTCGACCCCCGCGTCCCTCCCCTCCCCCTCGGCCTTTGTTTGGGAGAATTGGGCCGGGGGCGCGGGGCTCCTCTGCAGCGCTGGGGTCCCGCGGGCGGTCACTCTGCTAGTGCTGGCGGCGGAGCCTGTGGGCAGCGCCGCCCGGCCGCTTCCTAGAATCAATGGGGTCAAGGGCAGACGCCCGGGTAGAATGGGTGTCTTCAGGGAGTGGGAAGACAGACGGTGTCACTGCTTTTTTGACTGGCGAAGCCTCTTGCTTAAATATGGTGGTAGGAGAAAGTGTCCGCTGGGGTGTGTGTGTGTGTTTGTGTGTGTGTGTGTGTGTGTGTGTGTGTGATGTCACATTTAAAAACGAAAACAAACTTTTAAAACTTACACTTTAAAGTCCTTAGAGTTGAAGCATATTCGTTCGATTTTAAAAGGTGTGTTGAGCGCCTACCCTGTCCCAGGTCGGATGAGGCGCACTGGGCCCTGGGGATGCCAGAGACCCGGACAGAAATGGGGAAGGCGGAGCAGTGACCCCATAGTGTGGCCGTGCTGATCCATGTTTTCTTAAACAAGAAAAGGAGTTGAGAGAGGGTGAGAGGAGGTCTTAGAAGGGAGAGGGGTTGACCTTTTTCAGAATGAGTAAGTTTTGTCTAGTGGCGGAGTTGACCACCATTTGCCTAAGCTGCAGATGAACTCAAGGTAACTGTTGAGATCCAGTAGGCGGAATTCTGGGCAGACACCTTTTTTGTGTAAACGTGAATTTGACGACTTAGGAACTGGATTGCATCCACATGTTGTGGCCGTGATTCTCTTACTAATAGCTACATTTCTCAGATTACTTAAAATATAATCAGAATAAGTATGTATTTGTGTGATACAGTTTTAATGTTTTTCTGTTTACTTTCCCAATTTATGCCAGAAAGTGTTTACTTTAAAGCACGTGCTACATTGGGGTAAAGGGTGCTGACGCTTCGGAGTAAAGGACATACTGTTTTAAATTAAGACTTCCAAGTGACACTGATGCATTCATTCATGGTTTCTTTGACCAGTGGCCATCTGGTAACCATGTTTTCTCAGTCTGCTCAGCTGCTTGCTTATTAAATTTACCCTAACAGCTCAAGAAGCTCTATTCCTGTGGTTTAAAGGTTGTTTCCTTTGAATATGGGAGTAAAGTGATCCTGCTGGAATGGAGAAAGAGGCTGGACTAAATGAAAAGACCAGAGCGCTAGTTCTGGTTCTGTCATTCACTAGTTAGGTGACTTTTAGCAGCTCTTTTACCTGTTATGGGCCTTTTTTCTCATATGAGAAATATTTGGACTGACCATAGGGCTTACTTGCTTCTGCAGTAGGAATGTTGTCATTCATTCATTCATTCATGTGACAGTCTAGCTCTGCAGTGTTCCAGACTAGTAATGGGAAGCCAGGTGACTCTCTTGGTTCTGGTTCTTGAGGATCAGAATATAAAGAATTACCCATTCTGTGGTTTGATAAGTGCAGTTTTAAGTTTGTTTTTAGAGTTACTTGTTAGTTTTTCACCACTGTGGGTGCCTAAATCCTACAGTTTGTTTATTTATGTTTGATATTTCATGAAAGGTTTAAGTGAGGATTTTATGAAGACGTCTAAAAGATTATAAACAACTCGGAAGGGTATACTGTGGATTTTAATACACTCCAGTTCCTTCTCATTAAGCAACTCATGCTAACTCTAAGCCTCGTGGCCAAGGGAATGTAGCTCTGGCCCAGTCTGGATCTTGTTGTGTGGCTCCTTGATAGCTTACGGTGGAGTATCTTTTTTTTTGCATTAAGGTTTTGGTTACTAAGCCCTAGGCTTGACTTAGGTATTTGCTTAAATGGTAGCCTTTGATTTCTAGGATGGGTTTGTTTCTCCCCAGCATCAGCTGGGCATTGCGGTAGCTCTCTGTCTCTTTCACTTGAGCACCTTCAGCCATATGCTCAGTACTCTCCTGCTGAAAGCTTTGGAGCGTTGAGACCATTTTGGTGGAGTTCTGCCTTTTTGGGCAGAAATTTGGAAGCCATGACACTTCTTGTGCAATACCATCGACCATTGCTTAAGAGAGTTGCTATCAGGAAATTCAGGCCTGTCACAGGGGACTCACACTCTGATAGAAGAGGATTTAGGGTGAGAGGAGAACACAGAAGAGGATGGGACTAATTTCCATCAGGAGGGGGAGGCATTATGTGAATTGAGTCTGGAAGTTGACCAGTTGGGTAAGGGACAAAGGACATTCCTGATCCTGTGACTAAAGTAAAGCCATAGCTATGCAGGCCTGGATTGTTGTGGAATTGCATTTGTTTGTAGGGTGGCAAGAAGGCGATTCTGACCAGACCATCAACAGATGGATAAATTTGCATGGGGCTGGAAAGATGAGCAGGGCAGGTTTGATGGGTCCTGCCTGCTGTGTGTACGAGTCTGCACTTTATCCTGAAGGCAGTGGGTGAGTTGTTGAACAGTACAAGTAAAATATCGAACAGGATTAAGTAGTACAGTACCTTATCAGGGCTCTATTTTTAAAGCTTCTTGAGGAGATCAAGAATGATTAGCAAACTTAAATCAGGTGGAAGAATTTGATTCAAGGGAAGTGGCTATAAGACACATCCACCTCATTTGTAGGGTATGGTCTTAGAAAAAATTGGAGGTGGAAAGTTGTGGCTCCTGGGATTAACTCTGGAATTGTCCTGGAGAGAATGTTTCTTGTCCTAGTTAAAAATATCTGATCAATAACTTCCATCTGCTGTAGATGATGGTGCCCGGTCTGGGCAGATAGGGCTGCTTGGTGTAAAATTCTAGATATGCCTGAATTTAGTAACATAATCCAGGAACATTTTTTAAGTGTCTATTCTGGCCCCTCTGATGAGTGTTTGGGGAAAAGGGTGGGCTGACTGCTTTAGTCCCAGGTCTGGTTCTGAACTTGATATGGTTCTGGGCATGTTACCCAGCCTTATCCCTGCTGTTGCTCCTAGAAGTGCATGATTGAAAGATGCTTTACAATTCAAAATTTTCTGATTTCTTAATGCTAGGAAAAGCAGATTGTTATTTTAAGCCTATTTTATAACCACTTCAAGGTGTGTAAAACGTAAAAGACTTGCAGATGAGAAGAAAAGATGAAAAGCTGTTGTTCGGTGGTGACAATCTGCTAAAATTTAGAGAGGTCAGAATTGAAAATTGGTAACTTTATGAAGACCCATCTGGAGAGGCTTTAGTCGGGTTTTATGTTCCTTGCTCTTGTTTTTACGTCCCTTGCTCAGTCAGTTGTTTAATGAAAATATATACAGAGTGTTCTGGCTTACCTGCCCATTTATCCAGTTGTGCATTTCCCCAGGAGTTCTTTGACCTGGCATCAGACAAGGACAGATGTGGAAAGCCCGGTGTTGTAAGGGCCAAGGAGATTGTTCTCACCCAGCCAGAGCCACACTGGAACTAGAGCAGCACTAGGTTTTCTTTAGGAAATAGCCCTTACCTTCTGGCATTGTAGAACAAAGCAAGGAGACAGATTAAAAAATTCATCTGAGATAGAGGTAGTCTTCCCAACAGCTTTATACAAGAAGCCTTAACTAGAATGTTGGAGTGGTTCAGAGACTTGATTGGCAAGACATTGTCAGTGTGGTTTCATTAATGGGGTTAATCTTTTTTTTTTTCTGAGATGAAGTCTTGCTCTGTTGCCCGGGCTGGAGTGCAATAGGCGTTGTCTCAGCTCACTGCAACCTCTGCCTCCTGGGTTCAGGAGACTCCCCTGCCTTAGCCTCCCGAGTAGCTGGGATTACAGCACCTGCCACCATGCCCGGCTAATTTTTAAATTTTGAGTAGAGACAGGATTTCAGCATGTTGGCCAGGCTGGTCTTGAACTCCTGACCTCAAGTGATCCGCCTGCCTCAGTCTCCCAAAGTGCTGGGATTATGGCTGTGAGCCACTGCACTCTGTCCTAATGGGGTTAATCTTGATGGTATCAGGTGGAGAGATTTTGTAATGATTTTTACTGCTGGATAATTTCTTTTGGCATAATCACTTGAGGAGTGGTGAAAACTGTTTCTACTTGCTCCTTCAAACGCCTTCAAGTGGCTTCTAAGGCCAGGCCTTAGAAGCTCCAGAAAGCTTCCTTCAGCCAGGTTCTACTTACACTAAGCAGTTTTATTTCTTCCAATATCATGGTAACCTGAATGGGTGATGCTTTTGCACCTTCTTTTTGTAAACAGTGGAAAAAAGCATTTCATAACAGTAAATAAAAAGGAAGAAAGGCATTAGTTTTAAAATGTTTTGCCATTGCATTTAAGTCAGCTTTTTGAACTTATGTCAATTAGAATCATTATACTACATATTAGTAACTTGCTTTTTGGCAGTTTAGACATAAAAGCAAACCTGGGCTATATTGCAGGGAGATTTTCTAATCATTGGGAAGCTCAGCGGAACAGGAGAATGAGCACGTGTGTGTTAGCCCCCTCCCTGACGTGCCCTTCTTGTGTGCCCACTGTATTGTCCACTGTATTGTGTCATTCTGTGCTTGGCTGCTGACAGCACGTTTTCAAGTTTCTTTAGCACAGTGGCAGGTCTTTGTTTTGTGTTGTAGGGACAGAGCGGTTTCCTGTTCTGACCTTTCATCTTTCTTTCCTCTCTAGCTGAAACATTCTTTTCATGAAGGGTGGCTTGACACCTTTGAGAACCTGCCAACTTTGGTTCATGTGGTAATTTGGGCAGACACGTTGCCAGTGAGCCAATTAGCATTTTTGTCCATCCCTTTCCTATTTCTCCATTACATTAAAAAAATACCAGTTTTAATTGGGGTTAGAGAGTAATTATCTAATACCTCATTTTGTTTTTTACAGGTACAGGATTATCATGGTCATAAAATTTGTGACCCTTACGCCTGGCTTGAAGACCCCGACAGTGAACAGACTAAGGTAATTTGGTTTCTAATTAAAGATAAGGCAGCCTTAGTAGCTAGCACCAAACTCTAAATGTCAGTAACTATAGCTTTTCCTTTCTGGTGTTCTCCTGTGTTTTCTGCCATGGGATGGTGAGTATACCTGTTGTTACCACTACTTTTTGTCAAATAATTTATGGGAAAAAGACAAAAGCATGGCTTAGTCCCAGAGAAGATCACCTAAGTGTTTCAGATAATGTTTATGGTTCATAGTGACACTGATGAGCTATTTTAAATGAAAATATCAGAAAGAAAACTGATTTTTGCCAAAAGAAAAAATGAAAACCTAGATAGAAATGATGTTAAAGGAAAAAATTGCCTAAATATTTTTTTCCAAAGAAAAGGAAATCTTGTATATGAAATGAATATTAGGTCATGAAAACTGAACACTGTCCTTAAATTGCTTATTGATGTCAACACAACAACAGTGAAACAAAAGCTAAGTAGTGAAGGGGCAGGGGGGAGCATTTTCTGCCCTAAAAACATAAAGCTTTCATATTCTTTTGGAGAAACAGTATTTCAAGGATCCTGCTGAAGTCCATTCAGTAATGAAGGTGGCCCTAAGTCCTATGTCCCACAGACATTTTTCCCTTTTTGGAGTGCCTAGGACTTGTCACTTATGTATACTTTTTTTTTTTTTTTTTGTAGACAGAGTCTTACTCTGTCACCCAGGCTGTAGGGCACTGGTGCGATCTTGGCTCACTGCAACCTCCGCCTCCTGGGTTCAAGCAATTCTTGTACCTCAGCCTCCCGAGTAGCTGGGATTACAGGCATGTGCCACCACACCCGGCTAGTTTTTGTATTTTTAGTAGAGACGGGGGTTTCACCATGTTGGCCAGGCTGGTCTCGAACTCCTGGCCTCAAGTGATCCTCCCGCCTCGGCCTCCCAAAGTGTTGGGATTACAAGTGTGCACCATCGCGCCCAGCCCATTTATGTGTACTTTATGTAGTTAATTAAGTTTGCTTGGTTGGGGGAATAGTGTTTCTCAAGTTCATCTTAAGTTCTTGGATTCTTCTATTTATAACCATAGTACATAATACTTAGTACATATTTGCAGTTTCTGATATGTTCAGCATCCCAAAATTTATTCGAGCTTCTTTAGAGTTGCAGGGTACGTTTCCCATTTAAAAAAAAAAAAGGTTAAATGGCACTCTAGGTAGTTTTTCAGGCCAGTCTTCAAACGCCTGTGTCTTAACTCCGCCTGTTTCTTGCAGTCCCTTTCCACCGTATATACCAGTGTTCTCTGGAGACCTGAATTCAGATTTGCCAGGAAAGCATCCCTTCCTGATGTAGAATTGCCCATCTCCCCACTGGGACAAGGAAAGGGATGGAGTGAAGAGCTTAGCCAGAGCATGATGGTATATGGAGAAAAGAGAGAAAGTAGAGGCAGGGGAGTAAACCACATGATCATCTCTTTCTTCTTCCTTTAGTCTCAAGCACTGGCTCACCTGCTTTCTGCTATCCTCACCTGTTCTTTGTGAGTAGTGTCTCTCCTTTGCCCACTGCAAAGCTCTTACAACTTCTTTTTATCCTTTGTCCCTAAAGTAAGCACACTGCTATTTTGAGATTTCCTAATGGTTTTTACTTTTATCTGCAATCCTACATTCTTTCTCTAACTCCCTTCAAGAAAGACAAAGATCTCATGGATGAGAATGGTTGATATTTGGGGTTTAATTTTTCTTTCCAGAAGCACTGGGTTATAGTAGTGGATGGGCAGAAATTCCAAAGTGAGAAACACCTGAGTATCTTTAGGAATGGTGAAGGCTGTAGCTCTGCAGGTAAGTCTGAGGGGACAGAGAACAGGTGTGGGGTTACCTCCCCACTTCATCCCTGCCATAGATTACCTTGATTGTTCAACACTGGGCTGACTGAGACAGAGGGATTGGGTCTGGGAGTGGAGAGTCACATGCACCTGCATAACCTGTACTGGCTAGAAAGCACCAGGGAAAGGATGAAGTTCCTGTGCATCTCTTGGAAAACTGTCTCTAAGGACCTGATGATTTCTTCACCTGAAGTATCGGCTATAACCTGGATTTCTACAGCCTTTGATGGTGATTGAGTGATTTAGCACTGTCAAAATGACCCAGGTTTTATCTGTTAGTGAATGTATACTTTGCTGTTCCTTAGTTGATAATGACAGGTTCGTGGATGACAAGCCACTTATTAGTGGATATCAGGCTTCCAATTAGTGGATGAAACTGCTAATTAATGATCTTATAGTCAGCACTTGATAGAAACTAAGACATTGGAGTATACACTATTTTTGTGGTATACATTTCTTGGATGGTTACCATGTGCCAGGCACTTTACCGGGAGTTCTGCATTCCCTGTTTCATTTAATTCTCAAATTCTGAAATATATCTTTTTATTTCCCCCATTTTACAGATGAAGAAATTGAGGTGCTGAGTGATTAAATATGTTGTCCATGGCTACTCAGCTAGTAAGTGTGTAGTCAAGGGTAACCCAGGTAGACGAGGTGGTTATCAATTACACATTAAAAAATAAGTAAAAGTAAAAAGACTGGGTGTAATACTTTGCAGATGCGAGCTAAAGGAATGTATTCATGTCTGTGCTTGCCATGTGCCTTTGTAGGCCCTCAGGTGTGAACCCTGGGCCAGCCCCCACTCCCATGCTGACCTGTTCTTTTTTAAAATATATATATTTTTTAAATTGTAATAATTCAGAGTACTGTGATCTTACATCCTTCTCTGACTTCATATTCTACCATGGCAATTTTTCATGTTAGAAAGCAATCTTTGCAGCCCAGAATTTTAATAGTGATACTATTTCATCAGGCAGATGCACTATATTATGCCTAATGACTTCTGTTGGAAATGATTGTTTTCAACTTTTCACTATTACAAATAATGTCCCAAATGTCCCAAACAAGCACTTTTCTAGATCTCCACATTTCTGACAATGACATGATTACTTGTTGCAGTAGCCTTGAAATCTCTTCTCCATTCTCAGGTATTTGCTTTTTGTCGTTGCTATCAAATGGGTTCCTTTTTCATTATTGATGGCATATACAAGTGTTACTGACTCTTTTGTTAGAGACAGGGTCTTGCTGTTGCCCAGGCTGGAGTACAGCCATCTTCTGGGCTCCAGCCATCTTCCTGCCTTAGCCTCCCAAGTAGCTGGGACTACAGGCGCACACCACCATGCCTGGCTAAACTAGCTACTGCTACCGATTTTATATTTATTTTGTACCTAGTTCCCTTACTGAACTCACCAAATTTTCAGTTATTTCCCTTAGATTTTTAGATACATAATCATATAACATATAATCAAATTTAGTGATAATTCTATTTTCTCTTCTATCAAACTTTGGTTATTTTATATATTTTGTACCTAGTAATTTTTTTGAACTCACAGATTTGAATAAGTTTTCAGCTATTTCCCTTAGGTTTTCTAGATACATAATCATATCATCTACAATCAATTATTATTTTCTCCTCTACCAAATTTCGGTTCAGGTCTTATTGAATTGGTCAAAGCTCTGCAAAACATGTAAGAATAGTAGTGAGAAAGAACTTTCTAGCCTAGTGTTTAAATTGTTATTTTGAATGATATTTGTCATCTTGTTTAAGCATTGTTATTCCTACTTTTAGTTTTGGATTTTGATTTCTTTTTAATACCAATCAGGGTAATTATATAGCTTCACTAATATATTAATATTAAAATGTCCTTGAATTCCTGTGATAAAATTCCATTTTTAATCTGTTTTTATGTTCCTTACAACTATATTTACAAGAAAAGTTGGTCAATATCTTGTTATCCAATATAATAACCACTAGCCACTTGTAGCTCCTGAGGACCTGAAATGTGGCTAGTCTGAATTGATTACATGTTGTAAGCATAAAATACATGCTGGATTTCAAACACTTAGTTTGAAAAAAAAAAAAGTAAAATACCTTAATATTTTATATGGATTACATAAAACCAGTCAGGACATTAGAAACATCTGTAGCTCTCTTATAAGATCTGAAATAGAGTTTCGATTTAATCTAGTATTTAATACAGGTTGGCCAATCCTGCCACTGCCTAGCATTTAAGGCTATATCCTTTATAAAACAAAATCAGAGAAGACTTGTAATGGAAAATTCTCAAAAACAGAGTTGAAATGATTTGTGTGTAGTGGATTAAATAAAATATATTATTGAAATTAATTTTTTTTTCCTTAATGTGGCTACTAGAAATTTTTAAATTGTATATGTAGCTTGCATAATGTATCTACTGGACAGCGCTGCTCCTCTGTTTCTTTACAAAATATCTCTGTTAACATATTTCATATCAGCGTTAGATTTGCTTCAGAGAATCAACTGAATTGTGTGTTGCCTTGTACAGTCTGAAGCATTTGCTATAAAATAGCAATATGGGCCTTGACAGCTAGAAAAGATTCATCCAGATTCAACTCTCCCTCTACCCCCTGCCCCGCCCCTGTTTTTGAGAATTTTCTGTTACAAGTCTGCTCTGGTTTTGTTTTATAAAGGATATAGCCTTAAACGCCAGGCACTGTCAGAATTAGCCAACCTAAATTAAATACTAGATTAAATCCAAGACCTACTGGTAGCATTTCAGATCTTATAAAAGAGCTACAGATGTTTCTCACTTCTTGAATGGTTTTTATTGGAAATGTAATAAGCAGCTTTTTGTTTTAGAAGCTCTGTAAAGATTCTCCTCTTTACAGCAAGGTATGGCTAATACACCTTTGTGTATATGCTAATAATGTGAATAGAAAATGTTCATGCTGCTTTTCTGCTCTTGTGAAAAACCCACCATACCTTTTCAGTCTGGGACCAAAATTTAACTCATCAGATCCAAGATGATAGACTCACTGGCATCATTAACTGCTTAGAGACGCATGAGAGGTATGCATGGAAGATGCACAGGAAAGGCCTACGTTGCCCCCTCTGACACCTGAAGTATGCTGTCTGAACAGGTCAGCATGGGGCCGGCTGCGGTGGTTCACACCTGTAATCCTAGCACTTTGGGAGGCCGAGGAGGGTGGATCACCTGAGGTCAGGAGTTCGAGGCCAGCCTAGCCAACATGACAAAACCCCATCTCTACTAAAAATACAAAAATTAGCCGTGCATGGCGGCACATGCCTGTAATTCCAGCTACTTGGGTGGCTGAGGCAGGAGAATCGCTTGAACCCAGGAGGCAGAGGTTGCAGTGAGCCAAGATCATGTCACTGTACTCCAGCCTAGGTGACAGAACGAGACTCTGTCTCAAAAAAACAAACAAAAACTACATTTGTAAAAACTGGTCTGGGAGACCTATATGGAAATACAAACTAAACGCCAAAAGTAAGGTAAAGGAAAAGCTTTGAGTTAGAAATCCTTCAGATTCCTACTAAGTATAATATGCTGTTTAAGTGCACTTACCACAGTGTAATTTCACTGGTATAAATGGGATATCAGAGTAACCATGGTAGCGTTAGCATGAAGGGCCAGAGAAGGAGGTTTGCAGTCCCTAAAAATGATTTGAGACCAGGCGTGGGGGCTCACGCCTGTAATCCCAGCACTTTGGGAGGCCAAGGTGGGCGGATCACGAGGTCAGGAGATCGAGACCATCCTGGCTAATACAGTGAAACCCCATCTGTACTAAAAATACATAAAATTAGCCCAGCATGGTGGCGGGCACCTGTGGTCCCAGGGAAGGCTGAGGCAGGAGAATGGCGTGAACCCAGGAGGCAGAGCTTGCAGTGAGCCAAGATGGTGCCACTGCACTCCAGCCTGGGTGACAGAGCCAGACTCCGTCTCAAAAAAAAAAAAAAAAAAAGATTTGAAGACTAGATAAGTAGGTCCCAATAATCAGCCCATGTTTCCCATTCCGCACACATTTCCAGCTTGTCCTTTGTAACTTGGAGAAGGAAGTTTGGTGCAGTCTTGCCGTACCCTGTTGTTTGGTAACTTGAGCCTCCAGTCTGTAAATAACATGTGGTTGACTTCCTAAACTTTACCTTTCTAAATTTCCCTCTGGTATGTGTACTTGTTTCCCCTGGCAAACAAACAAGCAAACCCCAAACCCCACACTTTGCCTTAGCTCTTCTGAACCACCTTCTTCCTCTCAGTCGGTCTCCCGGTCCCTTAGGGCGTGTGCCCTGTTCAGATCTTACTTTATCATGGGCTCTCTCCCTCTCTTTCCCTGCCTATCCACAAGCCACTTTCTGCATGCCTGTTGATATAGTTGAAACTACCCTTTTCTTTGTACTACTCCCAGTAACATCTCCCATTAGCATAAACTATTTTCTTCAAGATCAGTGGTGGCCCAGTGGCCAAATCCAGAGACTTCCAGAAATCAGGCTAGGCACAGTGGCTCACACATATAATCTCAGCACTTTGGGAGGCCAAGATGGGAGGATTACTTGAGCCCTGGAGTTTGAGACCAGCTGAGATGACATAATGAAACCCCGTCTCTTTATTTTATTTATTTGTTTATTTTTGAGACAGTCTCATTCCATCACCTAGGCTGGATTGCAGTGGCACGATCTCAGCTCACTGCAACCACTGCTTCCTGGGTTCAAGCGATTCTCGTGCCTCAGCCTCCTGAGTAGCTGGAATTACAGGCGCCCACCACGATGCCCAGCTAATTTTTTGTATTTTTAGTAGAGACGGGGTTTTGCCATATTTGTCAGGCTGGTCTTGAACTCCTGACCTCAAGTGATCCACTTGAGGCCTCAGCCCTCAGCCTCCCAAAGTTCTGAGATTACAGGTGTGAGCCACCGCACCCGGCCTTTGTCTCTTAATTAAAAAAAAAAAAAAGTGTGTGTGTGTGTGTGTGTGTGTGTATAAAACCAGAGACTTAGATAAATCAGCATATATTCCTCACTAGGGAGATGGGCCTCATGTCCAGGGAGAATTGTATAGTTGGGATATGCAGGCAAGGAGAATGCTCTTCCTTCAGCCCTGCTTTTTTACACTGCTTTCATCATGGAGGCAGCATCTCTCCGATCGCTGGGGGAATGCTAAATTAGCATTTATTCTTCCTGGCCTCTTTACCCATGTGGTACCAGGTAGTCTATATTGCATAATTTGCTCCCCTTCCTGATAGTGATACTTTCTTCTCTTTACTTTTCTGGCTTGGTTTTGCAACCCAGGGGTCCAAGTAGAAGTAATATTCTTGTAATCTCAGTCTCCCCATCTTACTCCATCTTATTGTGTCTTCACCCTTTTAGCTGAATGTTCTAGAAGTTGTTACTGAGTTGCTGAAGAAGAAATACACAAAAGAAAAATTTACACCTTTCAAGGGGTAGCTGCCTTAACTGTAACTGATTGTCAGGTCTGGCTTTCACAGAACTGTCCTGGAGCTTGGGCACATGAGTTAGCTAAATGTAGAATATCAGTGGCATTTATCTAATAACTTCTTATTCTCCCTGAGTGCCGCCCTGGGCAAAATGAGAGTAACAACAACTCCATTTCCTTCACAGACCTTGAGAAGAGAACTCTAACAGGATTGGAAAAAAGTATTTTTATTTATATTCGTTCCTTCTGAAAAATAAGATAAAATAACAATTTGTTTCAGAGAGGATGAAAGGAATATAAATGTAGATTTCTTTTCTGGGACATGTGAGTTCCCACTTTCCATTCTCTCACTGACTAGCTGGAAGTGACCCCGTTACACCTGCTGATTAAGAGGCTATGGCAATTAGAACAGAAATCCTTCAGGATTGCAGGATAAGAATCCTGGAAATGTCACCACCTTCTCCGCCTGTCTCAGTACTGTTTCTTTCCTTGGCAGGAAAGATTTAAACCTTAAAGGACTTCTGATCATCTCTAGGATATTTAAATCCTAGGATTTCTATGTAGGTATTTTAGTGTCACAGAGATCAGCGGAGAACAAAGTTTGTGTAGGAAAACGTCTGCTTTCCCAGGTGCCCTTCATTGTCTGTCCTGAAGTCTTTTTGTTTGTTTGTTTCTTTGCTTGCTTGCTTTTGTTTTTGGTCTCTGGGGTTAACCTTAAAAGTGTGTAGCATGAGGAGTTTCTGTTCTTTCTGGTGTCAATTTCGGTGTCGGTCTAGCCTAGGACTGCCTGGATCATGTGCTTTCCCTAGCCCGGATCCAGAGGCAGCCTCTGGAAGAACTGGTGCTGAGCTAGGCAAGCAGGGACTGATCTGTCTGATTGCCTTTCCCCATCTGGCCACTACGTTTTCAGAGCCATTGGGGTGGAAGCTTGCTCCCAGGAAATTGCAGTACGTGAGGGGTTAGTTAAATGTCTCTAAGCCAAAAGCCAGCAGTTAAAGCTTACTGATGGAGCTGTTGATCCCCAGAAATTACAGGTATAAAAGGCTGGTTTTGGTGTACAGTGTTCTTTGAAAACTTTATAACAAACTGGGGATATCTGTGTGGATAATTCCTTCATTCTGTGAGTTGGCAGGCATTTCCGATGTTGCTTCTGTTGCAAGGCAGTGTGGAGGAATGAAGTATTTGCTGGATGGTACCAGAAGTCAGAAGATACAAATTGCAGTCTTTGGTCTTCTGTTTTCTTGTTCTATGACCGTAGCAAGCTACCTGATCTAGTATTCATTTTCTTCATCTATAAAGAGTTAAAGTAATATTCATTAATTTAGCTCCCAGTTATAACAACACCCAAGTGAGAAAATGTATGTAAAAATCCATATACAGCAAAGCTCCAGTCAAACGAAGATGGTGCTGCTTGGGCATTGCACCTTCCATGTATCAGGGTACATACTTTCTGACTCTAGTCTCCTAATTGCTTAGTCAGAATGTTTGACTTTAAAGACTCTTATCTGTTTTTATTTTTATCCACAAAACTAAGTCGATTTTCCTTTTGAATTCTAGATTTTTCATGAAAAGATACATTCTGAACATTGTTTTTTCATTGGAACTGTGACTTGTAAGTGTGGTTTTATTGTTCCCAAGTGTAGTGATGAAACTAGGCCAAAGATTACTTAAAGGCAGTAGCCTTAAAGTAGCGTCTTTTTAAATTGATACCTTGTGAACCCCACTGGCAGAGCTGGCCTGTGAGACACCTTCTACCCATTCATTCATGTCCCATATATGGGCCTGGATTGAGAATTACTGGTGTATGTATCCCTGCTGTAGTAGACGTGGGAAATGTGTTTAGTAACTATTTTACCACATATTATCTCAGTCTCTAAGACTTCTAAGGTCTTAAACGTGTTACTACCTTCTGTGGGAATGTTTAGCTTTATTACAGTTTGTAAACATACTTCTCAGAAATTCACAAGTGAAATATGTATTTAGGGAACACCTTCCTTCTGATCTCCGGATGGGATAATTGTCAAAAGTATGAGGAAGTTGCTGGTACTGGGCTACTCCTAATCACTACGTTCCCTTTTCTCCCCACCCCCACCCCCCAATCTCCTTTCTCTTGCTTTCTGTAATACGGTTTTTGATGCAAGCGGCAAAAACTGATTCTGGGCAAGTTAGGCAAATGGGGCATTTATGGCAAGGATATGAAGGCAGCTTGGAATGGACCAAGGGCCAGGCTCTGAGCAGGCAGGAATGTCACTTTTCACCCAGCATTGCTATGGCTTCACTGATCTCCAGTCATTCAGCCTGCCGTCTCTTTTTCAAGTGATGGTATCCCAACAGAAGGAGTCTTGATTGGCCAAGCTGTGGGTGTGTGCTCGCCCCTTGGCTGTATTGCAGCAGTTAAGAGAAGAGATTTGGTAGAAGCCCCAGGGACCCTCTTTGGCTTCTGTAGTGGCAGCACAGCTACCTGCTCCACTTAGAAGGGAGGGCGCTACGGAGGGAGCATGGATGCTGGCTACCCCAATGCCACATGCCTGCAGGTTTCATTCTCTCTCTTTTCTCCATATGTGCTTCATTTCCTCCTACTTCTTCACCTTTCCTCCTCTCTCCTTAGTTTATCTAGGTGCCCACTGTGCTGAGTATTGGGTTAAATAAGGGGGATGCGGTGTCATAAGTAAGACAGATGCCTATACCAGCATGGAATTTGCCTTGTAGCTTGGGAGGACCAGAGATTGAAGATGGGCATGCCACTTGATCTCTGAGCTGCTAGAGATTGGAGCAGAAAGGAGGCCAAGCCACATCTTGTAGCACAAGCTTGTCTAGCCTGCGGCCCACCGGCCACATGTGGCCCAGGATGGCTTTGAATGTGGCCCAACACAAATTCATAGACTCTGAAAACATTATGAGATTTTTTTTTGCGACTTTTTCTTTTTCTTTCTTTTTCTTTTTCTTTTTTTCTTTTTTTCTTTTTTTTTTTTTAGCTCATCAGCTATCATTAGTATTAGTGTATTTTATGTGTGGCCTGTGACAATTCTTCTTCCAGTGTGGCCCAGGGAAGCCAAAAGACTGGACACTGCTGTTGTAGAGGCGAAGACTCCAGCCCCATTGGTTCACTATCAGGGAAAGCTCCATTTTAGAAAAGCACACTGTAAATCATTGATGAATTGTTTCAAGTACTTGTATACATTTAATGTTACTGTTTTCTCTGTAAGCAGTTACTCAGCTTTGGTTTCAGTCATCTGCAGTTTTTCAGTGAAAAATGCTGGCATCAGATACGGTATTTTTGGGAAAACAGCAGTTAAAAAGTGAACATCTAAAGAACTGCGATAACTGATTTCTCTCAACTTCTTTTTTATTTTGTTTTTTTTTTGAGATGGAGGCTTGCTCTGTCACCCAGGCCGCAGTGCAGTGGCAGATCTCCACTGCAACCTCCACCCGGCAAGTTCAAGCAATTCTCATGTCTCAGCCTCCTGAGTAGCATGAGTAGGTGGGACTACAGGCATCCGCCTCCACACCTGGCTAATTTTTGTATTTTTAGTAGAGACGGGGTTTCACCATGTTGGCCAAGCTGGTCTTAAACTCTTGACCTCAAGTGATCCGCCCACCTTGGCCTCCCAAAGTGTTGGGATTACAGGCATGAAACACCGCACCCGGCCTTAGCTTCTTTTTTTCCCCCACCATGTTTAGGTGCCTAATTCACCATCCCATTCTGCCATGTTCAGGGGAGAAAGTGCTTAGCCATAAAAATCACTGGGGCACTTGTTAAAAATACAAATGCTGAAGCTTCAGTCTGGAGCATTGGATTTCAGTATAAATCTGTTTTCCAAGACCCCTATTCCTCACCCTCAGGTAATTCTTCAGACCCAGAAAGTTTGGGAAAACTGCCCTAGGGAATACTTAGATTACTTGATTAAAGAACAATTATAATACCTTTCATTTTTTTTAGGGCCTATTCATAAGCAGCTAAGTTCTAATAGATGCCTCACTGTTGTTTATAGCATCTTTGTAAATTAGTGTTAATGGTTCCAATTTTTTTCATTGGGGGAAATCAAGGCATGTGACAAAATTTCTGGGACTCTTCCAGATCCTCTGACCATTTGAATCAGCTCTTCATTTAATCATATACATGACTCTCTGGAGCTCCAGTTGTACCTCCATAAAATCTCATGACTTTCTACTTGCGCTCTTGTCTGTGCCAACACCTCCCTGGGTCTCTCATACATTGCCACTGAGCTAGATGTTCAGTAACTTCCTAACTTGTCTCTTTTCTTCCAGACTTTTCTTTTTACTCTGCTCCCTCTAGCAACTAATGAGAACCCTTAGCAATGTTGGAACCTCTGCCTGTTCATAGGAAGGCAGTGCGTATAGTTGTTAAATGAGCAACTTTAGAGGTAGAAAGGCAGGATTGAATCTTAGCTCCACAATTTTATTAGACATTGGTCATGTTGGTTTTTTTCTTTCTTTCTTTGAGATGGAGTCTTGCTCTGTCACCAGGCTGGAGTGCAATGGTGCTATCTCGGCTCACTGCAATCTCTGACTCCCTGGTTCAGGCAATTCTCCTGCCTCAGCCTCCCGAGTAGCTGGGATTACAGGCATGCGCCACCACGCCCAGCTAATCTTTGTATTTTTAGTAGAGGTGGGGTTTCACCATGTTGGCCAGGCTGGTCTCGATCTCCTGACCTCGTGATCTGCCTGCCTTGGCCTCCTAAAGTGCTGGGATTACAGATGTGAGCCACCACACCCAGTCTGACAATTGGTCGTGTTTTTTAGCCTCATTTTTCTGACTTGTAATTTGGAGAAAACCACCTCATATAATTGTTAACATTAAATGATAGTGTTTTTGAGCCATTTAGCAAAGTAGCAGGCACATAGTAAGTGCTTAATAAATGCTCACCATTGCACTCATTATTGAGCCATTTAAATAATATGGAAATTATGGTTTTTGATAATTTGAAAAACTTCATCCTTAGAGTTATCTGGGACAAGTTCTTTTATTGCAATTAATTCTTGGGTTTTTTCCCCCCATTTTGTTTCACAGTCATTGCTCTGTTCAGTTCTGCTTTCTTTTTGGATCAATTTTAGTCCTTTGTATTTCTTAGTAAATTATTCATTTCATTGAGATTTAAAAATTACTAGCATGAAGTTATGTGTAATATGCTTTTTAAATGACTTTATTCTCCCAATCCGTGGTTATATTTGTTTATAATTTCTAAATTTGAGTATCTGTAGCATCATCTTTGCTTGATTAGTTTAGCCAGAGCTTTGGCTAAATGTGCTTTTTTTCTTTTTTTTTTTTTTTTTTTAAAGCAGATCTAGGAAGTCTAAGTTTCATGCTTAAAAGCTTCTAGTTCATTGATTTCTTATTTTCTCTTGTTATTTTAAAATTTTTTATTTTAATGCTTAAAGTTTATTCTTTCTCATAAAACACCTTTATTGTAGAGAACTTGCTCAGTCATCCCCAGCCAGCCCTGGAGCAAGCTTCTGGTCAGCTCTCCTCTTTCCAGCCTGCTCATGGTCATCCAGTCTCATCTCGTTCAGAAAACCAGAGGCTTCCAAGGAAAGCTGTGTTAGGACACTTTATTACTGGTACCTGAATCCCAACTCAGACCAGCTCACATAAAAAGAGGAGCTGAGTGGCTCACGTTATTGGGGTTCAGGGTATAAGTGCCTTTAGGCACAGTCTGATCCAGGAGTGCATGTGGTATTTTTGGGAACCTGTCTTTTTCTCTTAGGTCATCTGCTTTTCTCTGATAATTTTATTTTTCCAGCAGCCACTCCTGTGTGGCAGAGAAAGATGGGTCTTGTCTCTTTGGGTTTCTCACAGTCCTTGTAGCCCCAAGTGTCTTAAGTTGAGATAACTTCTCCCTTCAAATACTCATCTCTGTCCCTAAAAAAGGATTCTGATTGTTTTGCCTGGGTTTACTACTATTACTATTTTGTTGACTATTGCCTGTGGGTTAGAATTGATGGAAAGACTTTGCTTATGAAAATGAACAGGGTTTACTTATATAAACAACGTGGAAGGGAGTTAGCATAGTTAGAATACAGACAGAGGTGTCTGTCACATTATCTATGACAGATGGAGGTACAAGCGAGCGGTACCAAGAATCCTCACTGAGAATGCTCAATTGCAGATGATACGATCTGATGGAGAAAGAGGGTAAACCTCAAACTTTCTGAAGGTATAACTGTCACCGTTCCAGCCAGATGTTCCTCATCAGTCACAGTGTGATCACTGCCCTTCGGTACCTGGCATAACCAAGCATGAGCACTCAGTCTCCCAAGCCTGCTTCCTGTACACTCCTGAATTCAGTAGTGCAGGACTGGAAGAGGCTGGCTCCCTGATGGGTGAGTCATGCCAGCAAGCCCTGAGATGAGCCGCAGCCTCACCTGCTTGAGGTCCTGCCCAGCCGTGGTCTGGGGGAGGGACATTCTGATTGGCCAGCAGCGGTCACACCCTTTCCCCAACTATCAGTGGGACTTCATATGGCACCAGAAAGAAATAGATGTCAACTCCAACAGTGTTTGCCACATCCCATGAAACTTAATGTGTGATAGTCTTGTTTTTCTTATTTCTTCGTATTTTCTAAGTAATCTTGTTACAGTTTGGATTTCCTCATTGATACAGAATTATTCAGGAGAGGGAGGATATGAGTGTGTTTAATGTCCTCACGATCAGATATTTAGTTAGGTTTGGATTTGAGGTGCAAATCACCTCTTCACCAGGTTTTTGGTCAGGAAAGTATACACCAAAGAATGGAGCCTAATGGGGTTAAAATTTCAGTTTTCCCTGGTCATGACGAGTATTGAGAACAAGGCTTGAATATCAGGTCGGAGTGACGGTTTCTGCTTCCTCCCTAATTGATAGTAACTAGTCCCAGTGAGGGAACGAGTTGATTTACCCACACGGGGACAAGCAGAGAGGTGGAAAGAGGCCTGACAGGCTTCTAGAAGGCTCCGCCTAGTCTGCTGATCATGTGCAGCAGGAAGCTTACTATGAGCCCTTTTCACCCAAGAGCAGATGGTCCCAGAGAGAAGAGATGGGCCCACTCTGGGTTTTTTATGTTAAAGTTGAGCCCAAAAGATTTTGGGCTCTCACTGATTGAACTAGAATATTTCTCCACCTTGAGAATGAGTAGGGGGTTGCTTGTGGGCCAGGAAAAGAAAGCACTTCATGTGGTGAGGTTAATGGCATTGTGGTCAAAACTGTGACCTGAACAAGCTTTTCTTTCTGGGGCTTAAGATTCCCCCTTTGTTGTCTGATGGGCTGCTGATTTTTGTAAATATTGAGTAAGTCCTGGAAAATTACGAGCACTCTTTTTTTTTTTTTTTTAATGGTAGAGATTCCTTGGCATAGATATTAGCCTTGGAAAGTACATTATTCCAATCTTTTATTGTTTCCATTTCTGGACGTGTTTCCTGAAAAGCAGCTGCATCTAATTCTCTTTTGTGCATGACCTACCTTGACTGTCCTGCCCTCCTGGCCCTAAGTCCTACAGCCTCAGGGTGAGCGCCTCTTGGCTGCTTTTTGATGGGGCTGTCCCTGTACTTGGAGAGTCATTTCCAAATTCCAAATTCTGCTAAAGTGAGAGGGGATCCAAGTGTGCCGCCCATGCCTTTCACTTAGGCTGGGATTATGGTTTTTGCCACTTTCTCCAGAAGCCCCTGATAGTTGCTTAACCAAGTCCTATATCTGTTATTTGTAACAGATGCTCCTCAAAGCCTGTGGGATGTAGATAGCACCACTCTTAGTTTTCATTGGTATTTCAGAAGAGGGGAGGTTGATACCCGGGCCTGAGCCAGTCTCTACCTGGAAGTCCCTCCTGGTCGTCTTGCCTGCCTGCCAATGGCACTTGCCCCAGCCCACCCTGCCCTGCCCTGGAAGTAGCTTCCCCTTTATTTGTTCTCCTCTAGCACATATCTTTATCTTTCATTCATCTTGTTAATCACCATGGTGCACATTGTAGTGTTTTGTATAAATATTTATTTAATGAGTAATTCTAGGCATAATTTTTATTCATTTATGTAAGAATTGTAAAAAGATGAGTTTTTTTTAAGTGAACAGTATTTTTAATTTACACTTCCATTTAGAAAGGGAAAAGTTAAGGCAATCAGTAAGTGAGCCTGTATCTGTATTTCGTAAGTCAATTTTTCAAATTGACAGGTGAAAATTGTATATATTTAGGTGTGTAGCACGTCATTTTGATATATGTAGAAATTGTGAAATGGCTAAATCAAGCTATTTAACATATGTGTAATTACCTCACATACTTTGTGTGTGTGTGTGTGTGTGTGTGTGTGTGTGTGTGTGTGTGTTGAGAACGCTTAAAATCCCTCTTAGCAATTTTCAGGCAGTTACCATGTTGTACAATAGATCTCTTGAACTTATTTCTCCTGTCTAACTGAAACTCTGTGTCCTTTTACCAACATCTCCCCCAACCCCCGCCTCTGGTAAACACCATTTTACTGCTTCTGTGAGTTTGACTCCTTTAAATAAAACATATAAGTGAGAGCATGAGGTATTCATCTTTCCGTGCCTGGCTTATTTCGTAGGACTGCAGTATTTTGTGTATTAAAATAGAGTACATGAGGGCACTTTGAAAAAAATTTTCTGAAGACATTAGGAGTAAAGGAATCTCAGCTCCCAAATTAAGCCACCCCTTTCCAAATAGCTTTTCTTTTTCTTTTTTAAATTGCAGTACGAACACTTCACATGACAGCTACCCTTGTAACAGATTTTTCTGTGCACAATATAGTATTGCTAACTATAGGTACAGTGTTGTACAGCAGATCTCTAGAACTTAATGATCTTGCATAACTGAAGCTTTGCTTTGCTTTTAAGCTTTCTAATAGTCAAGGCACATGAGATATAAGTAAGATTTCTTAGTTTTGAGCAGCTACTCTTTGCTAGGAAAATGTGTTCAGATTCATCTATGGATATAAAATCTAAACTGTTGACTCTCTTTAGAAGCTCAGCTGCGTGCATCAGGGCTTTCATATTTCAGTTATTTTAATACATCCTAGAATGAGACTGCGGGTACTGAAACTCCTTGAACAACAAGGAATTTGTGTTTTCCTCACCCTGCTTCCTTATCACCATGTAACACTTCCATTTTCTTTTTCTTTATTTTTATTCTTTTTCTCCCTTTTCCCCAATTTTTTTTTCTAATATTTAGATCAACCAAGATGATATACCTGTTAAATACATAAATGACCAAGAAGGCATTTCCCTGGTTAAAATATCAGAAATATTATTGGCATTTATGTAACCCTAAATTTAACAAAGCTTCTTTACAGAAATTTTCTACCACCTTCGTGAAAAGGATTTGCCCGAGTTATAAAGATGTGTGTTATGAAAAAACTTGAGACTTTTAGGAATTTGGACACTCTGGTTTTACATCTAGATATTTGACTTGGAAGAGTGCAGTCTTTAATGGTCTATTTAAAGTAATTAGCTAACATTTGTGGGTAGGAGGTGACAAAATTGGATGTACTAATCCTAGAATTATTTGGTAGCATTTTTATGCCTGGCATAACAGTTTTATGAAAACTTTATATGTGAAAAGCCAGTGTGTCTGCTTCAGGGTGAGATGAATTATGTTGCAGTAGTTGTAATTATACCATGAGACATGTGAAAGAAGCAAAGCAAAATAGAGAAACAGCTGGAGAACACAATTCTGCTTTTCCAAGGAAAATGAACTGAGCAATCTGTTGAGCAGCCTCTGACCCTTGGACCCACCGTGGGCCTAAGTGCAGCCTCATGCAAATCAGAAGGATCAGGGAAATGACATCTTCAGGGTACCCTCCTTAGAGAATCCCTCCGTGGAAGTGCAGGAGCCAGCCAAGACCCTCAGCATGCTGGGGTCTTGTGTGGAATCCTTCTTAGGGCTCTGACTAGAATGTTCTGGTGAGGCCCTCTGGGAAATAGCCAAAACTGCAAACTAACATGTGCTGTGCCCATTTTCTCTGTTTCCACTCCCATTATAATGGTTGTTCCTGCCCCTTTTAGAGACCAGCCATTCCTCTTGGCCTTGTCTCTCACCCGAACCACTGTCCCAGCCTCCTAACTGGCCTGTCTGTCTCCACTTTTGCTCCCCTATAGTCTGTTCTCTGTCCAAAGCACGGTAATCTTTCAAAAAGTAAATCTCCTTACCCAATCATGGCTTATTTGCACTTCGATGAGAGATCGAAACATCATATCTGCCTACCAGGTGCCGCCTGCTGTAGCTCATGTCTGGTCGTCTGGCCTCAGCTCATTCCCAGCCTCACTCACCTCCTTACTCTTCTTCACACCTGCCAAGTTATTCCCCCTGCCAGGACTCCCACACCTGCTGTTTCCTCTGCCCAAAACATTCTGCCCCACCTTGCATGGTTGCTCCCTCTCAGTCCTCAATTTGAAACCTCCTCAGAAGGGCTTTTGTGACCACCCTGCTTAATTAGGTGCCCTCTTTCCCAGTGATTTTCAAGATCTGCAAGGAATGGCTGGTTTGTAAATTTCCAAACCATTTGTGGATTGAGGTTTTTCCAAACTATAATGAAGATGCCATAGTAATGTCAAATTGCCATAAAGGTTTTCAGCACTCACTCTTGTTTTCTGCACTCTTCTCATTGTGGGCTGGTAGCAAACAGTTCAGGCCAACACTGATCTGTAGTTGACACTTTGGGTATCAAGCAGCATTGCTCTGCTGATTACCCTGTGTATGTCCTTAGAACCAACCATTCTGCAACCCTCTGGCTTTTTGTGGGTGTGTCCCCAGTAGCATGAGCTCCGTGATGACAGGGATTTTAGCTTGGACTTGTCACTTATCCATCCACAATGCCACGATCAGTGTAAACACACACACAAGATTTGTGTTTAGTCCACGTGGATGCTTCAGCTCCCTGATGTTCCTACCCAGCACAGCCCAGTTCATGCAGAAGAAAATCATAGGAGGCCCAGGTTGCGTCTTCCTTCTTTCCTGGGTGGATCTGCTTCATCTCCACATCCTTTTTCAGTCTCTGAGTGATTTTGCTAACTCACTGCATGACCTTAACCAGGGGACTTTAATACCACTTGCCTCCATCTCCATATCTGTGAAGTAGGCATGGTGTTTTCTTCCACTGTAAAATGAAGTAGTGCTTTTGGACACACTTGGTGATCTCCAAAATGCTCCCCTGGGTGGTTTCTCAGATAGGCATTGATTTTATAACTAAAAAGCAAAATCCAATTTCCTCCTTGATGTTTTTAATGAGGGAAAGTGCAGTCAGCAAACTTCCTGTAAAGGGCCACATAGTAAATATTTTAAATGTTGCAAGCCACATAAGTCTCTGTTGGTTTTTCCCCTCTAGCTCTTTGAAAATACAAAAACCATTCTGATCTCCAGAGCCACAGGAAAGCGGGCCAGGGCGAAGATTGCCAATCCCTAGTGATAGTTGGAATTGTATTTCTGTGGGACTCAGTAAATTTTATTTTCTGTTTAAATGAAATCAGAAATGTGACCTGTAACAGTTTTATTTTTCTTGAACTGGTCCTCTTGCAAAAATGTTAATTACTGTATTCATACTTTACATCCCTTGTCTCTTGTTTTTAAATGCATTGTAATCAATGAGCTTTGGAACAGTTTGTCTCACCACAAAATCATGGTTCTGCAGAGTGGGATTGGTGGTTTTTGTAGGGGAACCCAAAGCATTGTTGCACATTTGAAGACCATTGTGAGCTTGGATGGGCCCTTAGAGTTTGATGATATATCCAAAAGTGAACTCTGATAATAATGCATTTTTCCCTGCCATTCAAAGTATATTATGGTCTTAATTTCCTGAAGTTTTTCCCTGATGATTTACTTATTTATAGACATCTGATGAAATCTTCTATTGAATTTAAAGCTGATACAATGTTCTTGTTTCATTTCTTGCTAATAGCC
The DNA here is from genome assembly GCF_000001405.40 of Homo sapiens. Classification (NCBI taxonomy): domain Eukaryota; kingdom Metazoa; phylum Chordata; class Mammalia; order Primates; family Hominidae; genus Homo; species Homo sapiens. Next base: position 105,378,686 of record NC_000006.12, on the reverse strand, counting down.
AGATGTGAATTACTAGTAGCCAAGTTTTTATGGTATTGTCAACTTTTTAACTGGTTAGTTACAAATAGGGTGTGCTTGGATACAACTCATCTTTTGTAAAAGCCCCTTTTCCTGCCTTCACTACCAGTATTTCCTGATGGCCATCTCTTGCCTTTCTTATAAACCATGTTGCTGATATTCTTCTGCAATGCCACTTGTTTCAGGTGTTTTTTGTTTTTGTGTGTGTTTTAAGACAGTCTCCCTGTGTCGCCCAGGCTGGAGTGCAGTGGCACGATCTTGGCTCACTGCAACCTCTGCCTCCCGGATTCAAGCGATTTTTGTGCCTCAGCCACCCTGAGTAGCTGGAATTACAGGCACCCACCACCACGCCTGACAAATTTTTGTATTTTTAGTAGAGACAGGGTTTCGCCATGCTGGCCAGGGTGGTCTCGATCTTCTGGCCTCAAGTGATCCACCCGCCTCAGCCTTCCAAAGTTCTGGGATTACAGGCATGAGTCACTGCACCTGGCCTCCAATGTTTTTTCAATGTTCTTTGGTTGCAAATTTTAGCAAAGTTCTCTGATTGAAATTAACATGGTAGTAGGTCTTACAAAGCCAAAATCGATAAAATAGCGCCTGGGTATCCCTAACTTTCTCTCTTTGACTCTGACTTCTCTTGGGATGGCCAGGTGCTGAATAAGAATCCCGGAACCATGGCACTGCGTAAATGCAGATTATTGGCAGTGTGTGATCTGAGCTACAGTATAGTGTGTTTGTTAGGAGCGTGGATCTGGGAGCCAACTCTGCCATCTGCCACTTCCTAGCTGTATGATGTCGGGCAACTTTTTAACCACTCCAAACCTCAGTTTCCCAATCTGTAAAGTTGGCCTAATAAAAGGACCTTCTCCATAGGATTATTGTGAGTTCTAAATAAGTTAATACTTGCCCTGTAAGCATTAGCTGAGTTAGTACCATGTAAGCATTGGTTGTTACTACATATTAATCAGTCACTTGGCAGGAGCTGGGCAGGTATGAAGAAGAGTAAGGAGGTGAGAGAGGCTGGTAATGAGAGAGAAGAGGCACTGGCTAAGAGACAAAGTGTGCTTTTTCTGATACATATTAGTGGATAATATTTCACATGGAAAATTTTATATTTAACTTGCTTTGTCCATTTTAATTTCTCCACAGGCCTTTGTGGAGGCCCAGAATAAGATTACTGTGCCATTTCTTGAGCAGTGTCCCATCAGAGGTTTATACAAAGAGAGAATGACTGAACTATATGATTATCCCAAGTATAGTTGCCACTTCAAGAAAGGAAAACGGTGAGACTGCTTTTACTGAATTTCCTTTTTATTTTCAAAGTAAATGCTTTCTTAAATTGTAAAATACAAATTCCAGATAACTTGTCCTTGTATAAGATTAATTCATTATAAGGAATTAATTTCTATGCCTGAATATGAGAGTAATATTTTTGATCTATTAGGTATTGTCCAAATTGTTAAAATAATAGTTAAGAAATTTAGTAGGGATAGGTCATATAAAGAAATCTAGATTATAGGAAATCGTCGTCTTATCGGTAGTAATTGGTGAGATAGGATGATTCATAGACAGCAGTGGAGGTTTGTTTGCCTCCGAAGTTAATTATCTTTGATGTATACTACTTGGAAACATTTAATTCTGTGTTTTTCTTCTGTCAAAGAATGGTGAAATGGGTGAATTCACTTCTCTTGTTCCTGTCCCGTTAACACCCACTTACAGATGTTTTCTTGATCTTTTATTAAATCTCTTTGGAGCCACTATCACACATTTACTTTAGACTTTCTTCAGCCCTCTGCCATTCTTACAGAGATCGGCAACGTACAGTCTGCCTACCAAACCCTGGCTGCCTACCTATTTTTATAAATAAGGTCTGATTGGGACACAGCCATGCTTATCGGTTTACGTATTGTCCATAGCTGCTTTTGTGCTGCAGCTACAGGCCTGAGTATTATAGTGACAGACTGTATGGCTCACAGAGCTTGAAATATTTGCAGTCTTGCCCTTTACAGAGAAAGTGTACTGACCTTCCACCCTAGCAGCCTTGCTAGGGAAAAGAACCAGAATTTTATTTTAGAAAAGTCTGCTTTCTTCTTCATTTAAAAGAAAAAGTTACTGCTTTATTTGAATATCAATTTTTATTTTAACACATAAAATGGTCTTTATTTGCCTCTACTCGGCTAATGTGCAGGATTACAATACAGGATTTGAATATGGAAGCAATTCTGTTAACAAGCTCTAGGTAGAGAGAAATGATGGAACCTTTCACCCATGTCCCCACGTCCCTGCGATGGCCAGATTACAGTGGTACCTTTTTAGGTCTTTGGTTTTGTTTTGGTTTTTGCTTGTGTGTGTTTGGTTTTACTCCACAAATAGAAAACTCCACAGCTGAATAAAGACCATCTCTGTTCCCCAGGTATTTTTATTTTTACAATACAGGTTTGCAGAACCAGCGAGTATTATATGTACAGGATTCCTTAGAGGGTGAGGCCAGAGTGTTCCTGGACCCCAACATACTGTCTGACGATGGCACAGTGGCACTCCGAGGTAAGTGCTACACAGAGAGGCCCGTGGAACTCCTAAGACCCTCACTTGGAGCTCTGAAGTTAGTGCAGTTGCTTTACCTCTGAAATGCCAGGCAGGGTGTGGACCATATTGTGGAACAGATGCACATACAATATCAGGAAAGCTAATTTTTGCACAGTATATTTAGAATACATGAATAGTCACATTCCTCTTTTCCACTCTGATGGCATGAAGCAGAACTGGAAAATAATTAACACTGGACCCAAATTAGCTTCTAGGGCTTCTGGAATCTTGACATATCATCATCATTTCCTCCAACATCCCTGAGACCTACCTGTGATTAGAAAAAAATAAGTCGTCTTCTATAAGAAGTTTAAGCTGTACAAAGATTATTCCAACTATAATATTAAACAGGAAAGAATGTTTATCAGATCAGTTTCCCTCTTGGGAAGGAGGCGATTAGAGTTTTAAAAATCTAGTTAATTGTCAACATGTTAGAATTACAAGTAAAAACACACAAATCTTGTAGAAATTGAACAGCTGGGTATCCTGTTCCCTGAAGATGGAGGTTTAAAGACTAAGTTTGTCCACAGTTGCTGTACATCTCCTACTTAACTCTGCCCCTAAGATAACCTCCTCCGTAGGCCATAGAGAAGATTATCCAAGGTTTCTGCAGTAAGCAGAGTTCTAGGGTAAGGAACTAAGTTATTCTCCAGTTCTGTATTTTAATAATTGTAAACTCTACAATGATAATGATGTTATAGATGACGTTGGCTCAGCATTTCTCCTGTAGTACCTTCTGGTTTTATAGAAAAAACCATATGATTAGTTATGGCCCTCTAGAATTGAGAAATTGAGACATTGAAGTCCTCTGTAATCAATAAGATGGGAGTTATAGAGCCCCGTTCCATCAGACCTGTGCAAAGACCCTTTTTTATACAAACACTTCTAACCATGATCCAGTCATTCGGTGGTCCACCTTCCCCTCCCTCTGAATAGGCTGTGTATATAAACAATGATCCTTTATCGAACCAGTATCGAAAATAAGACATCACCAGCTCAGATTCTTCCATGAATCTGAGCTTGTAGTTTTCAGTGAATTTAATACACTGGTTCTGTTGAAGTAACATATCCCATATAGGAATTCATTTAGTTTCCACAAGGATCTATCTTGCAGCCCATCCAGAGGGACAGGGTCTTAACTCCCACCCCGATAATGCATTCTTCTAGTGACTTCTTTATGGAATGTTTGCTATGGACAAAGCCTTGATGGGCGAGAAGCTAAATTAGGCATGAGACCTGCCTCAAACAGTCATTGAGTTTTCTAAGAGTGGTATTATAGGGAAGTTATCACAAAAGGAGTAAACATTCAGATTATTTTTGTAGTATATGATTTTTAAACATACTTTTCAAATCAAAATGTTTTATTTAAATTTTTCTGAAAATTTTCTGATATATATATATATATATATATATATATATATATATATATATATATATATATATATATATAAACAATTCAAACACTCCAGTGCTATGTAGAATAAAAGGTGAATATGTTTCTTTTTCCTATCACTTTCTAGACTCTTTTCTGCATTTACATACATATGAGCCTAGATACTTTATAGGACCTACAATGGTTAATGAGTAGGTTCTGTGAAATTTTAAACAAATGAAATTCCACGTAAAAGAATAGGAAACCTCTAATAATAGTTGAGCTTCTTAAAATTTTCATTACCCAATAACGTTTAGCAAACAGCCTAAGAGGAAATCTCTGGTGTCAGAGTCTCCAATAGGAGGTGTTGTATTGAATGCTTTACATACTTCATAATTAAAAAAGCTAATATGAAACACAAGTATTTGCCAGGAAACATTCCATAGTGATTAGAACATTCTGCCAGGGCCCTAAAGGACTGTACATGGCACGACAGTCTATAGACATGTTGCTTTTCCTTTCACAATTTCTTGTGGAATGTGCACTCCGGGCGCCTTCACTGCAAACCCTCAGGCTTTATTTACCTAGGCTTGTAATGGTCAGACAGTGTGGACATTGCACAGGTAATGCTTCAAAAATGAGGCTGTAACAAGGGATTTTAGATAATTTGGAATCAATCTCCCAAATTACCTAATGACTACAATTTAGTTCTATTATATGGTATGTGTCATAATTCAGTCATTACTCTAAAAGCAGTTTCCTTTTTCTCCTTATTCCCTTTAGAGTATAAATGAAATATGACAGAAGTCCCAGATGAGCTCTGCTTTTAACTGAACTGCCTATTGCATTATAAAAATTTCAAAATGAAAGCATTTTAGTAGGCATATAATCTAATATTTCATTTTATAGACAAATTAAGACCTGGAGAGGTTAGGAAGCTTGTCTAAGGTTATAAGGGTAATTCCTGTAAAACTTGGGCTGAGCCCCCGGGATTCCTCACTACCAGATTCCTATTCCTTTTATTGCCACATTCTACCTCCGTGTTATGAAAGAGAGCTTTGTTAGATGGCATAAAGGACCGTGGAGTTGTGTTCCGTGTTTGTCACTGGATGATTTCTCCTGTGTCCCATAGGTTATGCGTTCAGCGAAGATGGTGAATATTTTGCCTATGGTCTGAGTGCCAGTGGCTCAGACTGGGTGACAATCAAGTTCATGAAAGTTGATGGTGCCAAAGAGCTTCCAGATGTGCTTGAAAGAGTCAAGTTCAGCTGTATGGCCTGGACCCATGATGGGAAGGGAATGTTCTACAACTCATACCCTCAACAGGATGGAAAAAGTGATGGTGAGTGAAGACTTCAGATGAAGCACATTTTTCACAAAATGAAGTGTGACTTCAAGTGACTGAAAAGAGATGCTGAACCCTACATAGAGGTTGTGTGGTCCAGAACCATGTTTCCTCAAAGGATGTTGTATCAGTTGGCTTTGCTGTGTAATAGACCCCACCAAAATGTAGTAGCTTAGAATAATAAACATTTGTTTTTGCTATGAGCCTATGGGTTGGCCAGGTAGTTCTTCTGGCCTTGGCTGAGTTCTAACATGTATCTGTGGTCAGCTGCAGGTTAGTTGGTTCATCTTGGCTTGGCTCTTTTACATTTCTGGGCCCTCAGCTGGGACGACTAGCAGACTAGCCTGGGCTTGCTCACATGGCAACTCAGTAGAATTGCAAGACGGGGAGCTGAATGACACAGCCTTCTTAATGCCTAGGCTTGCTCCTGGCACGTCAGATTTGCTGCATTCTGTTGGCTAAAGCAAGCCAGAGGGCCAGCCCCTTTTCAATGGGTGGAGAAATAGATACAGGGAACTGCGGAAAAATGAGATCATTATTACAATCAATCAGTCCCTTATAGATGTGTTATATCTCCTAAGGAGATTATGGAGAAGGTGAATTTTTAAACCGAACCAAGCTATTTGATTATGTTGAGTGATTATAAAACTTTACTGCTACAGTAATCGCATATTCTCCTCTGATCAGAAGTTATAGGTCACCTGTTGGTTGCCATTTATCTTGATACTTTTCTCCTTGTTACTTTCTGGACACACCTTTATTGTTCTTCTCTTTAATTGCACAAAGATCCTGTTGTGTTCAAGGGGTTCCTCCCTCTTTGCTCCTTCACTTCTAAATTTTCCCAGGCAGGAAGGGCTATGTACCTTGTACCTTACTGGTACAATGTGTCATTTTCTTCCTTTTGCTACCCCACATTTCAACGTGGTATGTAGCATTTTCTTGTTATGTTGGTTGGTCTTTACAGGTAAGTTTTACAATCCCTGTGTTAGAGATTAGGAGCTTGGGCACAGAGGCTCAGTAATTTGCTGGAGGGCTGGGATCTGGCAAGAAGCACAGCTACTCCAGTGCTTTCTGCTGTACCTGTTGTCCCCTTATCATGACTTGTTGTATCTTTGTCATCTTTAAATATCCTTGCTTTCTTTTCTGTTTTTTTTTTTCCCCCACAATTGAATTGAGAATAAGGCTACAGTGTTTTTCATCTCTTGGCTATGTTTAGCTTTTTCTGCCTTTTGATTAGGCTACATCAAGACCTTTTTTATAAATTCGCCAATGAATTACAAGATGAGCTAAAAGTAGGTTTTTTATTCAAGGATGTTGGCTAAAGAAAGATGTCTGCGCTCTGGAAACGAAATTAGCTGCTTGTGTTAAGAGTGCCCCAGAGTTAGAAAATGTTAGTTATTTCCACCTTCTGGGAAACAAAAAAAGTATAACTGGCCAATTCATGTTAGAGAACGTTATTACATTAACTTGTAAAAAACAAAAGTTATTATTTACCATCAGCTTTCAGTGGCACAAAATAATAATAATTAGTAATTGTGATAGATATAAGAAAGCCAACATCTCAGTAGCCTCTCAGACTGTGATGGGAGCCTTACAAATGAAGCTAAGCAATTCCTACCATGTGCTTCTTACCAGTGTCCCTGAAAGCTCAATGACAATCACTTAAGTGCCATGAAGCTTTTTTTACATTCTGGTATTATCTTATGTTTTTCCCTCCCTTGCCCTGAAAGCTTGGTACGTCATCATAATGAAAAAAAGAAGTTCAGCCTCAAAGAAGCCTCCAAAATCAGCAAATATGAGTTAATTACTTTCAGTTTGATATTCAACCAATGCTTAACCTTTTTTTTTTTTTTTTTTTTTTTTTTGAGATGGAATCTCACTGTGTCACCCAGGCTGGAGTGCAGTGGCGTGATCTCAGCTCACTGCAACCTGTACCTCCCGGGTTCAAGTGATTCTCCTGCCTCAGCCTCCCAAGTAACTGGGACTAGTTAGCGCCATGCCTAGCTAAATTTTTTTTGTATTTTTAGTAGAGATGGGGTTTCACCATATTGGCCATGCTGGTCTTGAACTCCTGACCTTGTGATCCTCCCACCTCGGCCTCCCAAAGTGCTGGGATTATAGGCGTGAGCCACCACGCCTGGCCGATACTTAACTTTTTAAAAAGTAAAGTTTAGTTTTTAGAACAGTTTTAAGTTAACAGCAAAATTGAGAGGAAAATACAGAGACTTCTCATGTGCCTCCTGCCCCCACATATTCATTTTACCTCTCTTATTATGAACATTCCCCACCAGAGTGGTACATTTGTTTTTCATTGGTAAATCTACATTGACACATCATTATCACCCAAGTTCATAGTTTACTTTAGGGTTTGATTTTGGTGTTGTACATTCTGAAGGTCTGAACAAATGTATAGTGACATGTATCCAGTGTTGTAGTATCATACAGAGTAGTTTCCCTGGCCCTAAAAATCCTTTGTCTTCTAACAATTCATTCCTTTCTCACCCCAATCTTTGGCAGTCACTGATCTTTTTACTGTCTTTATAGTTTTGTCTTTTCCAGAACATCCTGTAGTTGGAATTAGACAGTATGTAGCCTTTTCAGATTGGCTTTTTTCGCTTACTGATAATACATTTAAGTTCCCTACAGGCCTTTTCCCAGCTTGATGGCTCATTTCTTTTTAGTGTTAAATAGTCATTGTTTGAATGTGCCACAGTGTATCCATTCACCTACTGAAAGAATGCTCAGTTGCTTCCAAGTTTTAGCACTTATGAATAAAACTTCTGTAAAAAATCTGTATGCAGGTCTTTGTTTGGACACAAGTTTTCAACTCCTTTGGGTAAAGGAGCATGACTGTGGGATCATGTGGTTAAGAGTCTGTTCAGTTTTATAAGAATCCTCCAAAACTTCCAGAGTGGCTACACCATTTTGCATTCCTGCCAGCAATGAATGAGAGTTCCTCTTGTTCCACAACGTGGACAGCATTTGGTGCTATCAGGGTTCTGAATTCTGGCCATTCTTACAGGTGTATAGTTATATCTGAATTTTTTTTTTTTTTTTTTTTTTGAGATGGAGTCTCACTCTGTCTGGGACTAGTTAGCGCCACGCCCAGCTAATTTTTTTTTTGTATTTTTATAAATATCCAGGCTGGAGTGCAGTGGCGTAATCTCAGCTCACGGCATCTTCTGTCCCGGGTTCAAGCAATTCTTGTATCTCAGACTCCCAAGTAGCTGGGACTACAGGTGCATGCCACCCCACCCGGCTAATTTTTGTATTTTTAGTAGAGACGGGATTTCACCATGTTGGTCAGGCTGGTCTCGAACTCCTGACCTCAGGTGATCCACCTGCCTCGGCCTCCCAAAGTGCTGGGATTACAGGTGTGAGCCACCACGCCCGACCATATCTGATTGTTTTAATTTGGATTTCCCTAATGATATATAATGTGGAGCATCTTTCCATATGATTATTTGCCATCTGTGTATCTTTGGTCAGATGTTTGTCAAGGCCTTTGGCCTAGTTTTTAATCGTTTTTTTGTTTGTTTGTTTGTTTGTTTGTTTTTCTTATTGCTGAGTTCTTTGTATATTTAGGAATTTTATAGTTTTATGTTTTACATTCAGGTCTGTGATCCATTTTGAGTTAATTTCTGTAAAGGGTGTAAGATCTTGTCTGGATTCATATTTTTGCCTGTGGATGTCTGGTTGTCCCAGCACCTTTTTTTAAAAAGGCTACTAGGCTCTCTTTCCTGTTCCATTGATCTATTTGTCTGTTGTTTTGCTAATACCACATTATCTTGATCACTGTAGCTTTATAATAAATCTTGAGGTTAGGTGCCAGTCCTCCAACTTTGTTCTCCTTCTGTATTGTATTGGCTAGTCAGTATATTTTGCCTTTGCATGTGAACTTTAGAATCAGTTTGTCAATCCACAAAATATGTTTCTGGGATTTTGTTTGGGATTTCATTAAATCTGTAGACAAAAATGGGAAGAACTGATATCTTGACAATGTTGAGTCTTCCTATCCATGAACATGGACTAGCTCTTCATTTATTTAGTTCTTCTACTTCTTTCATCAGAATTTTGCAGTTTTCCTTAGATAGATCTTACACATATTTTGTTAGATTTATACCTAAATATTTCATTTTTGGAGGTGCTAATGTATTGTTTCTAATTTCAAAATCTACTTGTTCGTTGCTGGTATATAGGAAAGTAATTGATTTCTGTATGTTAACCTTGTATCCTGCAGCCAGCTACTTGTTAAATGTGTCTAGCATTCTGCAATATGGGTGGAATTGATTTTCTTAAAATTATCAAGTACATTTCAGTGTACATTTTTAACTCCTTCAGGCACAGAGACATCTACCAATCTCCACCAAAAGCTCTACTACCATGTCTTGGGAACCGATCAGTCAGAAGATATTTTGTGTGCTGAGTTTCCTGATGAACCTAAATGGATGGGTGGAGCTGAGGTATTGTACAGCTGTGAAATTTTACCCCCAAAGACTGTGTTTCATGGATGTGTGTATAAATATTCTTATTATGTGGTGACCTTTATGGATGGCAGAAGTCCCATGAGTGAATATTCTTTTGTTAAAAATATTGGTATTCAGATTGACTCTTAATAATGGAGGTGATAAACCTTTAACTGCAATCTCAACCTATTACTCTTAATATTAAAAGTAATACTTTGAGGGTAAAAAAGTAATTTTACTTCTAGTAAAAACTATAAAAGTACCTAGTAAGGTAAAACATGAACCTTTCAAAACTCAGAATCCTGCCTCTCAGAGGTGAGTGTGGTAGCCTTCCACAAATTTTCTTTGTACATACAAGTGAGAGTATGGGGGAAAGAGAGTGTGTCTTTCCCTTTTTTATACAACTGTGCTCTTTTCATGCATATTGTTCACTTGTTTTTACATTAAAATGAGTGTCTTTTATACATTTTCTCATCAATATTCATATATTCCTTGGGGGTCTTGACAGGGACCAACCTCTTGAAGTGATAGGTTTTTAAGTTACTGGCCTAGAATTTAGTCTGTATTTTGAGAATCAGCTGTGAAGAAACTTAGGGGTACTTGGAGTAAAATTTTGACTCTGGTTAGTTCATTCCTGTGTACTAAGAAATACTTCTTGTTAGAGAAGCATTCTGAATATGTTTTAATATGGGTGGGATGTTATTCCATTTTTAGTGGGAATGAGAAATGTACTACAAACTTTTTAGCTCATTGAGACACCTCTTCAGTTGAAAAACAATTAGCAGTTTGTTAGGAAAGGGACATTTTCAATTTTAACTTACGTTCCTCTGTCTGCTTCGTTGGGGGACAAAACAGGAATCTATGGTATTTTATTCCATGGGAATTGATCTTCCGTATTCCAAATTGTCCTTTTATTTATTTGGGTTTTCTAGACCAGGGGTTAGTAAAAAAAACTGCTGCCACTGGGCTGGATCTGGCCTGCTGCCTGTTTTTGTAGATGGAGTTTTTTTGTGGCACAACCACACCCATTTTCACCTGCTTTCAAATTAGAACTGCAGAGTTGAGTAATTGCCACAGAAGTCCGTATGGCTCACAAAGCTGAAAATATGGACTATCTAGACCTTTATAGAAAAAGTTTGCCAGATTTTAGTAGAATGTGTTAAAAATAAATTTATAGGACATTTTGTTACCCTAAAATTTGTCCGTTTTTCTTTTTTTTTTTTTTTTTGAGACGGAGTCTCGCTCTGTCGCCCAGGCTGGAGCGCAGTGGCGGGATCTCGGCTCACTGCAAGCTCTGCCTCCCGGGTTCACGCCATTCTCCTGCCTCAGCCTCCCAAGTAGCTGGGACTACAGGCGCCCGCCACTACGCCCGGCATATTTTTGTATTTTTAGTAGAGACGGGGTTTCACCGTTTTAGCCGGGATGGTCTCGATCTCCTGACCTCGTGATCCGCCCGCTTCGGCCTCCCAATTGTCCGTTTTTCATGCCTTTTCTTTCCCATCTAACTTCCCACTCTACCAGCTTTTCTTGTGCAATTGCTATTGTTGTTTTTCTCACGTATTTGTTTTTAATGGCTTTTCTGAGATCTATTTGGAGACTGTTTCTGCCAAGTTTTCTATCTACTACATCTTCTCCTCATACATAAGGCTTCTGCGTACCATAGATATGAAATAATGTACATTTTTTACCTTCATCTGAGTGAAATAGGATTAAGATAAATATGCTACCAAAATATTATATGATATATAATCTCATAAAATTGACCATTATAACCATTTTTAAGTGTACAACTTACAAATTGTACTTAAGTGAAGTGTACTTTAAGTGAACTTACAAGTTCAGTGGCATTAAGTTCATTGACATTGTTGTACAACCGTTATCATCAATCCTCAGAACTTTTTCATTTTGCAAAGTGGAAACTCCACCCTGTGAACAATAACTCTTCATTTCCCCCACCCCTCTCCACCCACCACTGCCATCACCTGGCAGCCACCATTCTACTTTCTGTCCCTTTGTATTTGACTGCTCTGGGTACCTCATACACATGTCGTCTTACAGTATTTGTCTTTTTGTGACTGGCTTAGTTCATTTAGCGTAACATCTTCAAGCTTCAGCCATCTTGTAGCGTGTGTCGGTTTCCCTCCTTTTTAACGCTGAACAATATTCCATGTGTGTGTGCCACAGTTTATTTATCCATTCATCCCTGGGCACTTGGGTTGCTTTCCACAGCATTGTTATGAGTAATGCTGCTGTGAGCAGCTAGTGTTTACAAATAGAGTGGAAATATATCACATGCATTAAACATATGTATAGTCACTTCTGCTAGCTAGGCAAATAAAAAGAAAAGCAAATTTAAATAGTTCAGATGATCCTTCTACCATTCTTTCAATAGATGTACACTCTGCGTATCTCATCCGATATAATCTTTACTACAGTCTGAGAAGGAAGGAATGCATAAAGAAAATAAAATACCTACTAGGGTAATTATCTTGCAAGTCCATGCTGGAACTGCCTGCTGGGTCTGTTAGGGTCACAGCCTGTATCTTCTTAACCACTGTGTACACTGTTTCCCTGATCAAGAGGAAAGGGCACACAAAAATTGAGTAATGACTTTATTTATGTTTTATTTATTTATTTATTTTTGAGATGGAGTCTCGCTCTGTCGCCCAGGCTAGAGTGTGGTGGCTCAGTCTCGGCTGACTCCAACCTCCACCTCCCGGGTTCAAGCGATTTTCCTGCCTCACCCTCCTGAGTAGCTGGGATTACACAGGCATGGACCACCACGCCGGGATAATTTTTGTATTTTTAGTGGAGACAGGGTTTCACCATGTTGGCCAGGCTGGTCTCAAACTCCTGACCTCAGGTCATCCGCCGGCCTCAGCCTCCCAAAGTGCTGGGATTATAGGCGTGAGCCACCATGCCCAGCCTAAGAGTAATGACTTTAAAGAATAGCAATAAATAAAGGGATGCATCTCTACTGCACAGAAGTAATAAATGAAGTTGTTTAAAAAAAAAAAAAAGCTAAAGGAACAATATAAAGTGAGTCCTTTATATTTGATCTTTATTGGATCAGGGCCCTATTTAGTGAATTACGCAGAGGAAGTCTGTAAGAAAACTCGTGGGCTCCGTAAACAAGAAGTGGGCGTAGACTTCCCTCAAGCAGTGTTCCAGAACTTGGGTGGTCTTGTTGTGACTGGTGTCATCCCACCAGTTACCATGGCTGGTCAGGCAGGTCTGGCTGGCTAGGTAAGTGCTCCTTCCTTCCTCCTTTCCCAACCCAGCTGTATGTGATCTTCTGAGCAAAAGGACCATCTTGCTACATGGAGGAGTACTCTTGTCACTTAAACATGAACTCTAGAGTTCTGCTGCTGTGACGCCTCAGAAGCCTCAGGTCCAATCTGAATTGATGGTCCAGTTCCAAGTCTTCACTCAGAAAAATCTGGATCATGAAAAAAATCTTGAGGTGGGAATTTCTTGTGCCCTTCAAGAAGTGTGATAAAGCCAGGGGAGTCCAAGAAGCAGGTGCACTGTAGAACTAGCTGGGCCAGAAGCACCCATGGCTGGTGGACACATTAGCTCTCAGGCTATTCACTGGAAATGAAGCAATTTCTTAACAGCCTTTATTTAGTGATTTGCATCTTAGAGAAAAGCAATAAATGGAATCCCACTCTGTCACCCAGGGCGGAGTGCCGTGGCATGATTTCGGCTCGCTGCAACCTCCGCTTCCCAAGTTCAAGCAATTCTCTTGCCTCAGCCTCCCGAGTAGCTGGGATTACAGGCTCATGCCACCATGCCTGGCTAATTTTTGTATTTTTAGTAGAGACAGGATTTTACCATGTTGGCCAGGGTGGTCTCAAACTCCTGACCTCTGATCCGCCCATCTTGGTCTCCCAAAGTGCTAGGATTACAGGCGTGAGCCACTGTGCCCAGCTGTAGTCCTCTTTATAACCATGTACCAAAGGCATGTGCTGCAATTGTTGCTTTTATTTAATTGTTGCTTTTGTTATAAAAGTACTTGCTTTTAGTCCAGTCATAGAACCTAGTATTTAGATAACAGTTTTTACAGTGTCTGTGATGAGAGAGCCAGTGTTAGAGTGGGAGGACTGTACTGGAACAGAAATTTTTATTCTAGTTCGGTCTGTGGCCTTGGGCAAGTCACTTAATCTGTTCAAGGTCATTTCCTTTATTTCTTCCAGGGCTTTTTCAGCTCTGAAACTGGACGGAGGATTTATCACAGCATCTCTTAGCCTCCTGGGAGAGAACTTAGCTGCTGGGTGTGAGAGAAGCAGGACACAGGGCAGGATGCGGGCTTTGTGGGTGTGGGTGGAGGAACCCTGTGGGCAGAGACTGGATGTGCTTGTGGACGTGTGCAGATTTCTCTGGCTTGCTGTCGTCAACCTCCCCTTCGGCTGCCGCAGTCCAAGTTCACTGAGAACTTCTCTTTATATCCTAGATGCTGTCTCCTCGTGACTCATCTTCCTTCTTCACAGATACCTCCTCTGCCTTCCTGCATGGACAGGTCTGTCTTGCCTTGATCAGGCAGATCTCAGGAAGTTCCAATCAGGAAGCAGCTTTAGTTTCCCCACTGTTGCCCTCCGTCACGCTGTGACAGCGTGTCTTCCCGGGACGACTGCCTTCAACCTGGCAGAACTCCTTGCTTTCTGGACACTTTTGGTTATTGGAACTGCTATTAAAGGTTCATTGCAGTCCAGAACAAAATATCACTCTCTCCAATTTACATGCTTTCGCCCTCTACCCAGCTCAAGTTTGCCAAGCCCCTCTCCTTGCCTATTCACCCTGTTAGTTTTCCCAGTAGCCACTCAGGGAGGAGGAGTAAGACAAGAGAAACTGGAGTTTTGCTTATTGGGAATTGTTTGTTGGTCTATCATTGTTGGCCTCTCTTGGCTGCTTGCAATGAGGATGTATGTCCAGGTTCCAGCTCTCCTTATGCCATCCTTTTTTCAGAGACATCCCCTCGATTTTAGGAAACTCTGTACTTTGCTGTTCCCTGATGTGGGTTATAAACTCTCTGGCTGCCCTTTTGCACCACCTGCCTGCCCCAAAGCTTTTGATCCCAGAAGCATTCCCTCGAGATTCAGACTTCTCTGCCTTTCCTTCCTCCACCCTTTTTCATCAGGGACCTTTCAAGATGTCTCAAGGCCAGCTGTCTTCCTGGTAGCTTCCTGGGTACCTCTTGCTCCAGGGGAAGGCATATCCATGGGTTACTCTGTTCTGGAGGTACAGGATGTGTTCACTGCCCTCCTCACTTTCAGCCAGGGACCTCGGGAAGCCTCCCACATTCAGTCCCTCCTGCACATGTCCAAAATGCTGGGCTCAGGAACAAGAGCTCCCTTGTGCCCCTGGGGTGTAACATGAAACAGCTGCCATTGGGCTTTGATGGGCAGAGGTGCCAGTTATTTAATATAGACTGTGAGGCTTTACTTGAAGGACAGTTTCATGGCAGGAGAGAAATTGTCAGGTTCTATTGGACCAAAAAAACCCAAAAACCCACAAAGCTCTGTTTTAAAGTGAATTGTGAGCATCTGGGGAGAAAAAAAATCCTAAAGAAATCAAACACTTTGTGGCACTGTTCCCAGCAGAGGGTGCTCTAGAATGAAGATTGTGAAAATGCATCATCCCTTTAGAAAGGATTAAGGAAAAAATGCCCAGCTTCTTTGTGATTATCTCCCTAAATCCTATATTGAGAACCTAATTCTGTTATACCTAATTCTTGAAAAGTTTTTTTTTCAAAAGTAATCCTGAATCTTAGTATCTGTTGTGTCTCCATAAGCCATTTTTATATGTTCACCTGTGAACCCTAGTAATTAAAAACATATGTATTACACATATATTAACATATAAAGTGTGTTGCCTGATGCTTGACTTATAGTAGGCATGCAGTGAATGTTAATTTCCTTACTCTTCCCATGTCCCCTGTGGAAGTTCATGCACATGAAGACCAGCAGGGTCTCACCTTCCAGAACAGACACAGAAAAGTCCAGTGGTGTTCCTGGTGGGGGGTCCCTGCCTCCTCTGCCCCTTGCTGGTTGGCTGTTTTTGACTTGGACCAGTAATTGCTCAGTAGCCCTCTTCCCAGTTGGCACAGTCCATATTTATTCCCCAAGTACTTAGCCCTTGCCTTGTGTCCACCACTGTTTCATTAGCACTGCCTTATGTGATAATATTCACCGTGCTGATAAGCACACAGGAAAATCTCAGCAGCATGGTTGGGAAGGCAGAAAAGTCAGAAAGCCAAGCTAGAGACGTGGATGTGAGTAAAGCAAGAAGGCTGTGCCGCTCTTCATACATAAAACAATCCTGCAGAAGAGAGTTGTTTTTAGTAGACATGTTGGATTTGTTGATCAATCGCTTTTCTTACAGAACACTTGTTTTTCTCAGCAAGGAAGAAAATAAGACAAACCGTAGATACTTTCTTTGTGAGATGGAGTCTCGCTCTGTCGCCCAGGCTGGAGTGCAGTGGTGTGATCCTGGCTCCCTGCGACCTCCATCTCCTGGGTTCAAGCGATTCTCGTCCCTCAGCCTCCCGAGTAGTTGGGATTAAAGGCGTACGCCACCAAGCCCAGCTAATTTTTGTATTTTTAGTAGAGACGGGGTTTCACCATGTTGGCCAGGCTGGTCCTGAACTCCTCACCTCAAATGATTCGGCTGCCTCGGCCTCCCAAAGTGCTGGGATTACAGGCTTGAGCCACCACACCCAACCCCAACAGTAGATTGTTGAATAACCAAATTTATCAAACAGACAACCAGCTAACTTAGAAACAGTAGTGCCTATATCATGTCAAGTCCTACATTATTTATTTTATTTTGTACGTGTTTTGTTTTCTTAGAATTTTCTGTTTTATCAGTTTCTGGCATACCGAGCAACACAACACACAGTATTTGGATTGATTTCTTTTTTTCTTCTATTGCTGTTGTACCACACTGTACTGGGAAAGCTGGGTAACTTTATTTGTTAAAATTATTAATGCATACTCACATGTGCTTATGGCTCCCCTGTATGTCTGTTACTGGCATTGCCCCTTATTTTTATTACAAATCCATAAATGAGTTTCATATATGAAAAGTCATCATTGTAGGTGGTTAGTTTTAAAAGTTTTCCTAAGTGTTAGAAAAATAATATTAAAGGGATGTTGCCATGATTCACAACTATTATGAAAGGAATTCAAAAGATTTATATAAAATAAATTTGATAAAGTCTCCTGCTCTGAGAATAGCATGATTAACTCTCAAAGCTATTAAAATCCATTTTCACTCCTTTTGTTCATTTCCAGGACAATTTCAAGTGTCACTGCTTTTTAGAATGCTTTTTTTACGTGCAACTAATTCTTTTATTATAACATATAAAAGAAAATACCTTCCTCAGTTTGAAAGTGCATGTAGATTCAAATAATGAAAAAACTTTCTTTGCCTTTTTTTGGTTAGGTTCTAAGAGAAAAAAATTATACTAAAGAAATTTCATGGCCATGAAAATTTCCTTATTAATACACCACCACACGACTGGAGTGTAGTTGCTGTAGCATAAAATAGCTTTTGAGTTTTTCTTTGAAAATATGTTTGATGTAAGTCCACATATCCTGTATATATATAAATATTAGGTTTTGTGTTCTGTTGTTTTTAAGGACAAATTACTTCATACATAGTTAAATTATTGAGAGTTTAAAACATGAAATGCTTTTCTGTTAATTGTCTCTTAATATGAAGAAAGGCTTGTTTACTTTGGTCATTTGGAAAGCTCAGGTATTCTTTGCATTATATGGTATTGAGACTGAAAATAGCCAGATTCAGTTTAATATTAATAATATAGGTTTATTGTTTAAAATATATACCCATTTTCCAGAGAATTCCATATTGAGATGTTAGTATCTATTTCATACTTACCCTGAAGACTCATACATGTATGGTATGTATATGTGTGTATATATATGTGTGTGTACATATGTATGTGTGTGTGTAAAGCCTTCAAATGACCCAGTGGTAGAGCCGATGACCTTGTGAAGTGGAATTGTTTGATCAAGACTCTGGTCTGAGTGAATCACATCACACCTAGGTGAGGCATTAACTGAAGACATTTTGTAAAAACATTTATTTGGGACTAGATTCCCTTAAAAAGACTCCAGTTGCTACTTGTCCCTCTAAATTCTGTGATTTTTATAGGAGTTATTTTCCTGAATATGCTAAGTTGTCCGAATTACACGTTTATCAGACAAGTACATGTGAACCTAATAGAGTTAAGTATAAAATATGTATTTTATACATATACTCTAACAATTTGAACTATGTCTAGTGAGAGTTTTCTTGGACTTCCTTAGTGTAGCCTAGAACCACAGTATACACAGTAGAATTGTTAATGGATTAATGTGGCTTCTTTAATGAAACTATAAAATACAATACCCCCATACCTTATGTCCTACCTTTTGATAAATGTAAGTTAGAATGATAGCTGTTACTGGGTTTCGTCTTCAAAAGTAGAAGCCAAGACTTAAAAAGGTTTCCTCAGGCTAGCATAAAATATGCCAGGGTAAGAAATCACCAAGATGGAAGGGGAACACTTCTTTCCCCATTTTTCTGACCTCCCTGCCAAGGAATTTCATTGAATCTTGGTTTCTCAATGACTAGAAATGAGAGAGGTTGGGAGTTCACAGATTAGCTGACTCACAGCACAAAGCCACATTCTTAAGTGTGTACTTATTCAGCACTAAAGTTGAGATCTCGGTTCTCCATCTGTTGACTCTTGTTCTGTTTCTAGTTGATTCAGACCTGAGGCGGAGAGAAGTGAACTGTTTGTTGGGCCTGGCGAGGACACTGAGTGGAAGAACAGTGGCCGTGGGCTGTGTTGTACACACTGCATATTTACAGGATATTAGCGATGCCTTACATGCTGTCACAGATCAGTTTCCCTGGGAAGCAGACTCTGAGATAGAAATTTGTGTGCTAGAAGTTTGATGGGAGAGCTTTCAAAATCTCTGCCTGTGTGACGAACGATCGCAGCAGAGGGAGAACTTCAGCTGTGATGCAATCATCACAGAGGTGTCAGACAATCCTACAGGAACCCTCAAGCTAGGTGAGCCCTTCAGCATTGTCCTAACAGGAGGGAGAGGGGTCCAGGCCTTTATAAACCTACATTAACCAGTTGTCATATGTGGATGAACCCAAAAGAATGCATGACCTTGGGAGAGGTGCCATCTTCAACTTGAGGATGAGACCTGGAGAGATTCTCGTCTGAGAGCTGTCTGCTCCCAACACCCATCAGCTGGGAGATGAGGGCTTCAGCCCTAGAGGGCAGCCCAGCACAGCACCCACTACACATGCTGATGTCTGTCAGTGAGATATACACTTGAGAATGAATGTACGTACTTGAATATATGTTAAACATAGCTCTCTGTACCAGATAACATAAACCAGTGTAGCCTTTGAGTTTTAAGCATGGACAATTTCAAGAAACTAGGGGAATTCTACTTCTTTAATCATCATTTAGGAGTCATCACTTCCCAAAAGCCTTCTCAGAACTCATTTTTCCGTCCAGCTCACCACCCTGTAGATGCCCCTCTCTGGCACTCACATCATACATTGTACTTCTTGCTATTAATGTTCTACAACATGGCCTTTTCTGTGTGTGTCTGTATCCTTTAGTGTATCTGTCTCTCCCACCTGAGCATGAGTTCTTGAAGGTTCTAGCCTATTGATCTGTGTGTGCCTGAGCCTGATTCAGCAGCCAGCACTTGGTAGACTCTTGATAAATCTTGGGGGAATACACACCCCAGCTGTGGCTGCCCTGAATAGTGGACTGCAGTGGTTGATGGCACGTGTTAAATTGTGTCTTTGTTATGGGAGGTGAGAATTTGGCTGGGGACAGGAAGTTGACCGAAATTTTCCTATTAAGATCAGCCACTTCTGGTGATAGTAGCTTTGTCCAACCTCATCCACCTGGGCACAGGAATACACTTTTATGAAAAGGCTTTTGCCCTTGAGCCTGTGGTAGTTGACTCTTTTGGAGAACTGGGCTGGACCACCCAGAAGATCCATTTTACAATGACGAATGGCATAACCAAGTACCCTTAACCAAAGCAAGCTGAGTGACTTCCCCCTTTCATTGACGACCTTGATTCCACTCTGGTGGAAAGAGAAGTTAAATTCGAGGAAACTTTGCCAAGAAAGAGTAGCCAAGGCAAGGGGGAAGAGTGAATTACTCCCTGAAGCCTGGAGGTGAGTGCTCCTCCCACCTTCAGGAGACATGTCTTTCTGCCAGCCACCAGAGAAGAAGCATGGGGGTGTGGCTTTTGGCTGTTTTTTTAATAACCTCCCAGGTTTTGTCTGCTTATAGAAAATGAAAGGCTTAGTACCAGTGAATGACCAAATGTTATTTAGCCCATCTGTAGAATACCACACTCTCTCTACATCTAGATTTTTTCCTCTTTCCAAATATATTTATCAATACAGATGTTAGTACTTTCTTCTCTTTTAATATTTTCTAATTATATTTAATCAGTACTCTAAATATAATTCAACAGGTGACTTTGCAGAAGTAGACTGTCAGAGTAACCTACATATTAAAAATTGACAGTAATAAAAATGGTAAAGAGTTTTAACCTTGATGTTTATTGTTATGATTAGGAATGCAAGTAATGGATTTAATATCAGCAATGTAAATGTTTCATTTATAGTAATTCTTTTAATTTTGTTTTTGTTAATGTTTTATTTACATAAATGGTAGATTTTTATGAAGTTAAGTCATTTTTACTTAAGGAAAATTTGTTTAAAATAATATAGATTTAAAATAGAAGGAAGCCATGAAAGCACAAATTTAGGAATTTGTAAATTTAGGAATTATTTCATAATTGGTCAGGCTAATATTATTAGTTTTTGCAAAAGAAAAAATCAGTGCTTGCAAATCAGATTAATTGCTTCTGGAGAGCACAATTATTCTAGCTGGGATATCATTATCACTTAGAGAAAAAAAAAAAAAAACAGTATTGTTGAACCGGAATTCAAACTGTTCCACGAAGGCCTAATGGGCTCTTGGCTTGCCTGCTTTTCTACTTTTCTTTTTTTAAATCTGGCTTTTAGGAAAGTAACTTTATTCTGTTCACAGTCACATGCCCTCCACATCAACAGGATTTATGTCTTCCCCTCCCAATGATTTACAAAATTCATCTTTTAAATTGCCTTGAAATAGTCTGGGTGTGGGGCTGTCATTAAGTGTGTGTTGTTTAAATTTAAGTGGAAGAAGGTATATTTTTAGTCTGTACATTTTGGGGCAACAGTGACTTACAAATGATTTTGAGGCTTGTGACTTTGAGCATTTGAAAATGCAACGTTGTTTTCAGTTTAGCAAATTTTAGTGGCTATGGAGCAACTCCAGATTGTGATGAAGAGAATTATAATGAAGAGGACTGACTTAATTGGCGTTATAACAGCAATGTACCTTGGGACTGCCTGCTTCAGATTAAGTATAAACTGCTACAGCTATTTAGCACAGCTGGAAATGCTGAGAAAAACTCATTAGATGTGCTTGAGACAGCTGTCATCAAAGGTTTGGTGTGGTTCTTGCAGTGAATGTTACTGCCCTATCTTTCTGATGACTGAATCACTACAACTGAATTAGCCATCATTTATGATTGATGTAAGCTGTAAAGAGTCTGTGTTTATTTAAAGGACAAGAGAACAAAAGTATGAAGTAGTATTAATGATGTTGCTTTCAATTATATTAATAAGATTATAATTGTGAAGTTGTGGATAATCTTAATATAGGATGGTTTAAAAATAAGATGGAACCAAAATTCTGAACAGTTTTGTTAGCCATGTATATTAAAAGCTTAAGGATAATAGAATGTATAATTCCCAAATCAAAGAAGGAAAAATATAATACAAAGAGGAAAGACACCGGGGAAAGCAAGATAAATAAAAGGTTCAAAATTTAAAATGTGGAAGCCAGTACCTCAGCAATAAAAATTAGTGGATATGGAATACAGATTTTTAGATTGGATTTTAAAGACTAGATGTGTTCAAATTGTGTTCATTTGCAAGAGACTTGTTTAAGACATAATGATAGATTTTTGCTTCTGGACATGATGATATAACTGGTACTGGACTAGTCCTCCTGCTGTACACAGCTAGGAAACTATGCAAAATAGACAAAGCAGCTGTTTTCAGATATTGATCAATAGGCTGCCCCAGACTGATCCAGGAAAGAGGTAAATCCTACAGTTGCCCCAGCTTTCTGCCTGGAGTTATTTTTTGGCCTCTGGCACAAGGAGGAGGAGCTCAGAGTATCGTAGTCTCACTGAGCTAATGATCCAAAGATTGGAAATCAGGGAGACTGAAGCCACTGGAATTTGCAGGGCAGAATAACAAAAGGAGGGAACTGCCCACTAAGAGTTTCAGGTATCTGCCTTGGAATCCCCTCATGTTTTCGGCTAACTGTTAAGCAGTGTGTACGCTGACTGAGACTTTATGATTCAAGCTAAGAACTACTAGGGGGCTGTAAGCTGACAACTCCCAAAGGTTTAAAACAGCTGGGAGACGTTCACATTCTGACAAGTCAGAGGGGAAAGACTTTGTGAACACCCAGGGTATTCACTTAGACCTCAGAGAAGCTATGCCTTAGCAGTGGGGCTGTATACCTTACCCAACAAACCTTTGAAAACAAGTCTTGAATGGATCAAGCTGATCCGCCAATGAATTAACTGCCGCAAAATGTTTTGCAGGCAGACCAGAAAATAAAAGAAATCCAGACAACATTCAAAAGCCCAGAATCCAGTTAAAAAATAAATAGTTATTAAAAAAGAAGCAAAAAAAATGTGACTGATAGCCAAGAGGAAAAATAGTCAATAGAAACAGATCCAGAAATAACAGAGAGTAGAATTAACATATAAGGACTTATAAAAAGCTATCATAAAAAAATACTTTTTAGAGATCTTTACTAAGTGTTAATATAATGAACAAAGAAATAGAAAATATAAAAATGAACCACATACTCTTCTAGAGATAAAAAATAAAACTCTGAGATGAAAAATTATCTGTTTATAGCAGTTTAGATGCTATAAAAGAAAATGCAAAAGTTGAAGACAGGACAATCAAAACTAAACCACAAAGAGAAACTAAGACAAAAATGGACACATTTCATTGACCTGTGGAGCAGTACCAAGTTATGTAACAGTATGTATTTGAAGTTCTAGAATAGGGGTGAGAGGACAAAAAATATATACATGAGACACAAGTGGCCAAAAATGTTACAAATTTGATAAAATACAGAAATCAACAGATTCAGGAAGCTCAATTAATCTCAAGCAGGGTACTACATCAAAGCCTGTTACAGAATAATCAACGTTCAGAAAGCCAAAGATAACAAAATACTAAAAGCAGCCAGAGGAGAAAACACATATTGCATATAGGGAAACAAAGATAAGAAATGACACCAAATTCCCAGTGGAAACAGTGCAAGTCAGAAAACAGTGGAAAGATGCCTTCTTAATGGGGTTTACCTTGATTGCCATATTTAAAACTACAGCCTTGGCTGGGCGCAGTGGCACTTTGGGAGGCCAAGATGGGTGGATCACCTTGAGGTCAGAAGTTCAAGACCAGACTGACCAACATGGTGAAACTCCGTCTCTACTAAAAATACAAAAATTAGCTGAGCATGGTGGAAGGCATCTGTAATCCCAGCTACTCGGGAGGCTGAGGCAGGAGAATTGCTGGAACCCAGGAGGCAGAGATTGCAGGTTGGAGTGCCACTGCACTCCAGCCTGGGCTACAAGGTAAAACTCCGTCTCAAAAAAAAAAAAAAAAACTACAACCCGACCACCATATCCTGTCTCCCTTACTCAGACCTGTTCATGTTTTCCATGGCATTTATCATAATATACTACATAATTCCATATTTATGTATTCCTCTCTCTGAATAGATGTAACATTTTTTCTTGATTTGTTTACTGATGTACCTTTAATACCTAGAAAAATGTCTTGCACAAAATAACTGCTTAGCAAGTGTTTATTGAAGGAGCAAATGAAAGAATAACAGCTATTAGTCAGGGTTTACTAGAGAAAAGAGCTAATAGGATGTGTGTATGTATGTATATATATACATAGAGAGGATTTGTTTAAGGAATTGGCTCATGTGATTGTGGAGCCTTGGCAAGTCCTAACCCTGCAGGGTAGGCCCACAGGCTGGAGACTCAAGGAAGAGTTCTAGTTGAGTCCAAAGGCAGTTGGCTGGCTGAATCCCTCCTGTTCAGCAGAGGTCAGTGTTCTGTTAAGGCCATCAACTGATTGGATGAGTCCCACCCACATTATGGAGGGTGGTCCGCTTTACTCTAAGTCTGCTCATTTAAATGTAATCTTATCTTAAAAAAAAAAAAAAACTTCACAAACATCTAAACTAACATCCAAATATCTGGGCACTATGGCCTAGCCAGATTGACATATAAAATTAACCCTCATAATAAGGGTATGGAAGAACAGGAACTCTCATACGGTATTGCTAAGTAAGAGTGTAAGTTGGTACAACCACTTTGGAGAATAATTTGGCAACATCTCATAAAGTTGAATATGTGCATGTCCTACCACTGAGCAATTTTACTTCTAGTTATATACACTGGGAAGCATTTTAGGTCACAAACATGTTCAAGAAATTTTCTAAAGAAGTATGTAATAGTAAGAAAACAAATAATATAGATGTTTATGGGTAGGATGATGGATCAACTAATGGTGGTATATTTCTGGATTGTAATACTATACAGCAGTTAAAATGAATGAACTAGATTTACACATATCAACATGGACTAATTATAAAACATTGAATGAAAAAAATTAGTTGCAAAAGAATATGTATAGTTTGATACCACATTTTTTGTCAACTCAAAACAATAATACATTGTTTGTATTAGATTTTTTTATTAGGATTCTTTTTGCTACCTAACATTCTGCTGTTTATACTAACAAGGAAAGTCTCTGAGCCTAAGCCATTCATTTCTGAGATCTTGCAGTAGAAGGGACTAAAAATATGCATAAGCAGTTGTTCAGTAGAAACTTGTCAATGTGACCAGTGTGAACCATAGTGAATTTCTTGCGTCCATACCCATTTTGCTAATTCTTTTTTTTTTTTTTTTTTTGAGATGGAGTCTCACTCTGTTGCCCAGGCTGGAGTGCAGTGGCACCGTGTCAGCTCACTGCAACCTCCGTCTCCTGGGTTCAAGCAGTTCTCCTGCCTCAGTCTCCCGAGTAGCTGGGATTACAGGCGCCTACCACCACGCCTGGCTAATTTTTATATTTTTAGTAGAGACAGGGTTTCACCATGTTGGCCAGGCTGGTCTTGAACTCCTGACCTCAGGTGATCCACCCCCACTCGGCTTCCCAAAGTGCTGGGATTACAGGCGTGAACCACTGCGCCCGGCCCCATTTTGCTAATTTTTATTGAGAACAACAAACTTTAAATTATGCAACCCATGAGGAAACTTTAAAGTCAAGGATATTATATTCAAAATGATGGATTTCACATATTTTCAGTTTAAAGAATAGACTAGAAATTAAAATAAAAATTACATTGAAGTTATGACATTCAGTTACCTCTACTGATATTTTCAACTAAAATAATTCACTGTGTTTTGTTAAACTGTGATTATGGGTGAAATAAGATAAAATTGATGTTCATCTTTTTATTCAGATAACTTTCTTATCAGATCATGAGTTTGGGGCAGAGACACTGCCTTTGAAAATTAACCTTAATTTTTTAACTTAATATTCAATAATGTTCTCACAAAAATAAATTCTAATTAGTCCCCTGCACTATTTTTTTTTCTTTTTTAGTTATCTGATGATGGCCGCTATGTCTTGTTATCAATAAGGGAAGGATGTGATCCAGTAAACCGACTCTGGTACTGTGACCTACAGCAGGAATCCAGTGGCATCGCGGGTGAGTTATTTTTTCAGACACAGATAGTTATTCCAAGAAACTTCATTTAAAAAGTATTATTGTGGTCTATTAATTGATTTCCCAAGACCCTCTTCCATTCTACCACATCATGTCAGTTCATCTGATTTTTTTTCTTTTAGTACTATTCCATAAAATGAGGGAAAATGGAATGAAACTGTTGGCTTTAGCATTTTCTCTGTAGATTGAGATTAGCCATACTTTCTGCACATAGTGTGAAAATATCCCGTGAGTATTGCACATGAAGAGCGTGAAGGAGAAGCTGATCCTTTTGGTCTGTAACTATTTAGATTTAATGGTGCAGCCGGGCATAGTGGCATCATACCTGCAATCCTAGGGGCTCAGGAGGCTGAGGCAGGAAGACAGCTTGGGGCCAGGAGTTGGAGACCAGCCTGGGCAACATAGCCAGACCCTGTCTTTAAAATAAACAAAAAAGGCGTAATGTTGCAAACTGTCACAGGCAAGGGTTATTAGACCAATGGGAATTGGCTAGATTAACGTAATCAGTAGAGTGGCCCTCAGTACTTAGGAAAAGAACAGCCTGTGTTTGCTTGCCAAAGCCTTACATATCATGATAAGCATAGAACCAGCCAGTTACAAATTCTGGAGATGGCTTATTTTAAATGTTGTTCTCTTCCACCATCTCTATCATACCAGCACTATCATCAAGCACAAAAACTTTTCAGCTGCACAATTTACTATGCTGAAAATTCCCAGACCCAGAAATCCTATCAGACATACTGGCACCCCGATAAGGACAGACACTAAGCTAATTACATTATCTTCTAGTTAATGCAAAATAAATAATATTTTAGAGAGGGTTGACCTAGATTTTCAAAATACTAAGTGCATTTCTGTAATAATGTATTTACCTCATTATTAGTTTCTAATCTGTGTTACATTGTGATACGAAAATATTTGTCTGATTGAGCATCGCGCCATTTTTAAACTTCTCTGAGCAAGATCTGCATCCTAACATTAGATACTACAGAGCACCATTCACACACATATACCAGGGTGAAGTCAGCAACTTTTTTCCTAGAGTTAAATATATATCCATTTAATAAAACTGAGTATTTTTTTCTATTAAGAAAAAGAGATACATCCATCTTGGTGTCAAGAAACCAGCATTGGCCACATCAGTGTTTGCATTCTCTGTCAGGGCAAACCACCATCCAGGAATTGTTTGCGTGAGTTGCAAGCATAGGTCTTCATAGAACTGAGCAAACCTTTTAAGATTGAGCCTGAACGAATCAGTGACATCAGACATTATGGTGCTGTTATCCTGCACACATGTTCCAAATATAGAGAATAAAATTCTGTCCACATATTTATATACCAGACTGCTATTGCTATATCTGCTTTAATAAGGCGTAATAATATTTTGAGTGAAACTTTCAAGTGCTGGCAAAACTCATGGAAACCCTCTTTGTTTTCCCCCAACCTCTCGGTCCTTATCTTTCCCCTGCAACCCAGTTATTTTATTATTGCAGCGTTAGCATTTAGAAAAGAGAGTACTCAAGAGATTGGGATTCCAAAAGGAAGACAGTACAGAGGTGCACTAGGCTCTCAAAAACCAAATTCTAGATAGTGTAGCTAAGAATGAATATGAGGAAGAATAAAGGGGAGCATCTAAGAAACTCTTAATGGCCATGATCCATTCAGAGCTCCAGGGAAGCCTCAGCTCTGCTCTTAAGGCCTTCCAACTGATTGAGTCAGGCCCACTCAAATTATCCAGGATAATCTCTCTTCATTAAAGTCAATGGATTATGGGCCTTAATCCCATCTACAAAATACTTTCACAGCAACACCTATATTTGTGTTTGATTGATTAACGAGGCATACTAGCCTAGCCAAGTTGATAGCAAAAAGACCATCACAGTGAGCTCATGGAACAAACAAGTCCAGTGGTACTAACCTGATCTGTCAGTGTTAGGGCTTTACTGATGCGTTTGGCAAAGTATGTCATATCCTGTGGACCAGAAAGCAGAATATGAAGAGAATAACATAGGATAGGTGGATTTGAAGCTGTTGAGCGGCATACTGATGAATTGGATCAGCATTCTCCAGTGGTAGCTTCTGGGTTCCAGGTGTAGCACTGAGCCCGTTATCTTTTTTCTGATTATTGCTTTGCTAGCATTATGTTTGTGGATAACATAAACTTCAGAGTAATTCTTTTGAATGGTGGCCCTGGGATTCTGAAAGTTCTCAACAATTGCAGTTATTCACCAAGTGGATATCAGTTTTCATTCTTAGGTTCAAAAATCAATGGTGCGGGACAGGGTTAGAGAACTCTTGTTTGTTTGCTTTTTAATTGATCACTGGTTTCATTTTGAATCAATGATCATGACTATTTAGAGAAACAAGTATTTTGTGTGATTGTTTTACTATTGAAAAGATTAAGTAAATTTAGTCTATAAAAGGGGAGACACAGCAGATTCAGATAGGGATCATTAAATTAAGAAAAAAAATGGTTCCTGTTAGTTACAGTTGGATATATTGGGATAATAACCACAGCCTTTCAAATCAGATTTGAATTTTACTCTCAGCTCCGCCACTAAATAACTGGTTACCCTGTTAAAGTTTTTTTTTTCTCTCCCTTAATATTTCCATGTCTGCAAATAAGGAAATAATATCTACTTCATAGGGAATTGTGAGGAATAATGAAAATGCAAAGAAAAGGACTTAGCAGGGTTTCTGGCATGCAGTGAGTTCTCAAGTATTCCTTCTTTTTTTCTTTGTTTCTTGACTGAAAGAGGAATATTTAGAATCACCGTACTTTAGTTTTAGGTAGCTTAGAAAACTAGATTGAGGACACCAAAAAAACAAAACAAAAAAAAGTCTATCTGCAGATTCAAAGCTGCTCTAAATACAGATTTTCAAATTAACTTGTTTTCTGCAAAGCCAGATTCATAATCACAAAAGAGAAGACTGTGAGGGAACATGTCTAATTGTGCAGGTTGGTAATTGAAAATTCAGGGGTCTGTATGCCCGGTTGATGACCATGACTAACTCCTAGGATCTTTTTTGCTTTTTTTTTTTTTTTTTTTTTTTTACCTGCTTCCCCAATTTTGTTATCCTCTTTACACTAAAAATAGAATAATTAACATTTAACTTAAATGCTAAATGCACTAGTTAACTTGAATGTTAGATGACTTAGACCTGAACAACTGGTGCCTGAAAACTCAATCCATGTTGTGAAACCTCCAATTTCATATTACTAAAATCTATACCTCTTTTGATATCTTAAAGCCTTTCTGCTAGGATTTTAAGCTGTTTTCCCTTAAAGCCAGGGGGAATTATCAGCATTTTTGTATAAATTAATTATTTATATATTTAGGATACCACTCAGTTGTCTTTTTTGAGGACTAAAGAATTTCACTTGGGTGGCTCATGTCACGTTGCCATCATCTGTGTCTCCCAAGAAAACCTGCCCACGTGCATTTTGAAATGAGAGCACAAAAAGCCCCCTGAAAAAGGCCAATGGCAATTTAATATCTTTTTAAAAAGCACATAGGGAGAAAAAACTAAATTAGCAGGATAGAAAATATCTTAGCAACTTGAAAGTTAAATGCGATCTGTATGAATTAAAACTGGATTCATTTTGTCAAATAAGTGTGGACTTCTGTTCTTTTGCTGCCTTATGGGAGTGCTGTCTCTGTTGTTCTCTGCCTCTCTTTGGACAACCTCATTTCTGCCATTTACATTTGCAGTATTTTCACTTAAGAATATGAACACATTTGTTGCAAGCTGTGGATCACATCCTTTACCCAGTAACTGCAGTTGAGGCTGGCAATTGCTCCTTCTTACCTTTTCTGAACAGGTAATTTCCATGACTCACCTCATGCATCACTGTATAGAAATGGAATTAGGCCTGTCATCTGGGCTTTAGAAGCTTATATATAATAATTTTTCAGCTGTTCAGAACAGCTAAGCAGATCGTCTCCAAAGAGTCATGTCCTATTCTCCACTGGCTTACCAGAGAAATGTGTGGAGTTACTACCTTCTTGCTTTGGGAGAAGAGAGGTCCCTGTCAGGGGCTACCAGGCTTCCTTGTACTTTTTTTTTTTTTTTTGAGACGGAATCTTGCTCTGTCACCCAGGCTGGAGTGCAGTGGCGTGATCTCAGTTCACCGCAACCTCCACCTCCCAAGTTCAAGCAATTCTCCTTTCTCAGCCTCCCAAGTAGCTGGGACTACAGGCGCATGCCACCATACCTGGCTAGTTTTTGTATTTTTCATAGAGATGGGTTTCACCATGTTGGCCAGGCTAGTCTCGATCTCCTGACCTCATGGTCCATCTGCCTCGGCCTCCCAGAATGCTGGGATTACAGGCGTGAGCCACTGTGCCTGGCCTTCCTTGTACTTTTGATAGATACCTTTCTCTCCAGAGTTGCCCCCTCTCCTCCTTTCCCCCATTCTGATTTCCATTTCTCTCCATACAAAAGCACTTTGTGTGAGGATCCGTGAGCTGCATGAGATTAGAGATGTTGCCTGTCTTGTTCCCCATGGAGTTGCCAGCACCTAGAGCAGTCCCTATTGGACTCACAGCAGGTGTGTACCAGCTTGTCTCGAATGACGTGTCCCTTTAGGGATCCTTGTGCTCAGGTGGCCTTGCTTGATAAGCCCCCCTCCCTCTGTAACGGTTACTGCCTTCTGAGCATTTTGAATCTTTATCCCTGTGGCTTCCTAAATATTTTTTCATTAAATTTTTGTCCTTTATTAAGCACTGAGAATGATGGGTTCTTTTTTTCATTCCTTTATATTGTGTGAGCAGAAGATTTTTGATTCTCTTATTCTGTTGCTTAACATCAAAAGTGAAGAAGTATCAAGGTAACATTAAAGACACCAGGCTAGCATGACGTTTTTTAGTTCTGGAGTAGAAAAGACAGCTGAGTCTTGACTCCTATGATCCTTGATGTGGTTCATGCCCACAGATTTGTTGAAATTAATTATCCTGAACCTTACAAGAAAATAATTTGTCTGGATTTTCTTATATTTTCTATACCTTCCTAATCAATATTATTTATTTTGAAGTATGTATATACTTTGTTTCCTAAGTTTGCTATAACCCTATTTTATTTATTTACTTTATTTAAATATAAAATAGAGATGGAGTCTCACTATATTGCCCAGGCTGGTTTCGAACACGTGGGCTCAAGCAGTCCTCCTGCCTCAGCCTCCCAAAGTGCTGGGATTACAGGTGTGAGCCACTGTGTCTGGCCTTATTTTTAATATATAAAAAGTTGCCTTATATACTTTAGTTACATAGACAAAATTCAGAATAAATTTTTGAATATTTTCTGCAGTATGGGTATCAGAGCTCAGAGCTGTCTCTTTTCTCTCAAGTCTGTGGACTTTAAAAATTTACATGAAAACTTAAGTTTCTGCCTTAAAAATATAAATACATTTAACTCAGGGATACATTTCTAAATAATTTTATTAGAAAAGCAGAAGATACTAATAACTTCTTTAAAATTTAACTTTGGTTACTTTTGTTGTCTACATTATAAACAACTGTATGTAAGGTTCAGTTTAAAATGTAGGAGTACCTAAATCATATATTTAGTTATGAATTAGACATGCATTAATGTCCTACCCTGTGCCAGGCACTGTGTTGGGCACTTGTAATGACACGTGGTAGCCCCTGCCCTTCAAGTGCTCCCCATCTGCTGGATGGTAAGATGTGGATATCATCAGTTTGAGGGAGTGTCTGACGGGCTGTGGCCCAGCGCACAGATCCATGCTCAGACTTCCTCTCTCTTCTGTTTTCTTTCTTTTTTTCATTTTCTTTTCTCTTTGGTTCTTTAATTTTCCAGTAGAAAGTCAGGTACTTTATTCCCTGCTTTATAGGATAATAGCAGCAAAAAAGGAGCTGACCATTAGTCCCTGTTCTGAATACATTTTTTTTTTCTGCACCTTCCGCCTCCTGGGTTCAAGTGATTCTCCTGCCTCAGCCTCTCAAGTAGCTAGGATTATAGGTGCCTGCCACCACACCCAGCTAATTTTGTATTTTTAGTAGAAACAGGGTTTCGCCATGTTGGCCAGGCTGGTCATGAACCCCTGACCTCAGGTGATCCGTCTGCCTCAGCTTCCCAAAGTGCTGGGATTACAGGCATGGGCCACTGCACCCGACCTACATTTAAAGTTAATTATATCAGAGATTTTTAATAGAATTCTTAAGAAGTGATTGTTAGGCAAAAAGAACCGTAAGTCTGAAATCTTTTTTGTTAGTAACTTAACAACCTCCTTCAATATAGGCATCCTTAAAACGGGCCTAGAGCGGTCTTTTCTCATGTCACAGCATTTATGAGGAGTTTAGGGAGAAAAGGTGCATGGTGGTGACATGCTGATTTCTATAAGGAAATATCAGCTTACCTGGGATTTGCCCAGACTTTCACTAACCTGTCTGTGCTTTTTCCTTTTTTTGCTAAAAGTTTGATTGTTTTAGATTGATAAAGTATTCAGTACCTACCATATTTTTATTTTAAGGCTTTTGTGTCATTAAAGAAAATTGGCTTTTTCCTGCATTAGGAATTAAATTTGCATTACATGCTAACACATAACCATAAAAGGAAATCTGGTATTTAGCAGACATGTAGATTGGTCATTTCACCATCTCTGACTAATGCAGCTCTTATTTTTAGGTAGCAGAGATGATACTGACTCTTTTGTTCTTGCCTGACAGGGCTGGACATTCTTTGGGCGTAGAGTGGAAAAGGGGAGATAAACATTCGAGAAGCTTTAAGCAAAGGAGCTGTCCAAAGCTTAGCAAAGTCATCTGAGTGCTAAAAGCAAACCTCTCTGAGGAGGGCCTCAGAGAGAAGACAGGGAGTTTGTAGGAAATCTGTGTGTCAGAGTGGGAATGCAGAAAAACGAAAAAGAATTGGGACATCAAAAGACAGTATAAAAACAAGACCCAAAATAGGAAATCTGATATAAAAGACAAAATACTAGTGATAAAATGAGTATTTATACTAATTTTAAAATGTTCGGTTTACTTTTGTCACTTGAACACTGGGGTTATTTGGAATAATAGTTAATACTGTTTATGTAACATTTCCTGTGTGTCAGGTTCTGAGCTACAAATGTAGGCCTCTCATTCAGTCTTCTCAACAGCTTCCGAGGAGCACGGATTATTATCCCCAGGAAACTGAGGCTGGTGAGGCCAACTAGCTTTCCTAATGCCATTTAAAGATTTGGATCCATGTCAGCTTAACTCCCAAGCCTGTGTTCTAACTGTTAATCATGTGGCAGACTGAGACAGAAGGAAGTCATTCAGGACAACAGCAGCCCATGCGCCCTGCAGCCTCAGTGCCTGACCACTCCTTGCATTTGTTGTCGTGACATGTCCAGCCCTTAGAGTTTTTGTAAAGTATAAAAGCACTTTAGCTGCCATTATTAGGGAGCTTGCACAGCATTTTCTATGACATGTAGTTAATATAGTTTAGTTGATGATTTTTCAAAGAAAGTAATAAAAGTATGACTTTGCTCTAGGAAAAGCATAAGACAATTTATTTTAAACTAATCTTCACTCAATAAATGAATCAGTCCCCACCAAGAAGCAGGTTTATAAAAAGTAATTTTAACATTTGAATGCAGAGAGGTTTGGGAATTGAAATTTCTTTTGGCTTCAGAGTGAATAATGCCACTTTATAGACAAAAGAACCTCAGAGAAGGTAGGCAAAAAATGAAATGGTTAAAGAGTTAAATCATGTTTCTTTTTAAAAAGTAATTTTCCTGTTTTCCATTTAAATCAACAGTGTTCTAACTTGTGAGTAGCAAAAATGAATGAGCCCCATTGTTGAACTGAAATACCTTTTCTCTTGATTTATTTCTCTACCAAAGCCCTGTAGAACAAGGTTTCAGGAGAGCAAAAGAATTTCAAGAGCTCTCATTTAAAACATCCGGCCCTGTGAGGGCCTATACTTTGGACTATTTTTCCAATTTTATAGCTAGACTTTTGTGAATCCAGCCACATTCCTTATTCTGAATGAGCTTATGACTTGTAGTATGTATTTATGGCTAAGGTTAATGCTTCAGAATTTGGTGGCAGACAATAATGTACACCGTTCTGTTGTTTTTTGTTCATTGGAGCTTGAATGATTTTTTTTTACTTTTTATTAAATTATACTTTCAGTTTTAGGGTACATGTGCACAACGTGCAGGTTTGTTACATATTCATACATGTGCCATGTTGGTGTGCTGCACCCATTAACTCGTCATTTACATTAGGTGTATCTCCTAATGCTCTCCCTCCCGCCTCCCCCACCCCACGACAGGCCCTGGTGTGTGATGTTCCCCATCCTGTGTCCAAGTGTTCTCATTGTTCAGTTCCCACCTATGAGTGAGAACATGCAGTGTTTGGTTTTCTGTCTTTGCGATAGTTTGGTGAGAATGATGGTTTCCAGCTTCATCCATGTCCCTACAAAGGACATGAACTCATCCTTTTTTTTTTTTTTTTGAGACGGAGTCTCACTCTATCTCCCAGGCTGGAGTGCAGTGGCACGATCTCGGCTTACTGCAAGCTCCACCTCCCAGGTTCACGCCATTCTCCTGCCTAAGCCTCCTGAGTAGCTGGGACTACAGGCGCCCGCCACCACGCCTGGCTAATTTTTTTGTATTTTTTAGTGGAGATGGGGTTTCACCATGTTAGCCAGATGGTCTCGATCTCCTGACCTCATGATCCGCCTGCCTCGGCCTCCCCAAAGTGCTGGGATTACAGGCGTGAGCCACCGCGCCCAGCCGAACTCATCCCTTTTTATGGCTGCATAGTGTTCCATGGTGTATATGTGCCAGATTTTCTTAATCCAGTCTATCATTGATGGACATTTGTGTTGGTTCCAATTCTTTGCTATTGTGAATAGTGCCGCAATAAACATACGTGTGCATGTGTCTTTATAGCAGCACGATTTATAATCCTTTGGGTATATACCCAGTAATGGGATGGCTGGGTCAAATGGTATTTCTAGTTCCAGATCCTTGAGGAATCGCCACACTGTCTTCCACAATGGTTGAACTAGTTTACAGTCCCACCAACAGTGTAAAAGTGTTCCTATTTCTCCACATCCTCTCCAGCACCTGTGGTTTCCTGACTTTTTAATGATCACCATTCTAACTGGTGTGAGATGGAATCTCATTGTGGTTTTGATTTGCATTTCTCTGATGGCCAGTGATGATGAGCATTTTTTCATGCGTCTTTTGGCTGCATAAATGTCTTCTTTTGAGAAGTGTCTGTTCATATCCTTCACCCACTTTTTGATGGGGTTGATTTTTTTATTGTAAATTTAAGTTCTTTGTAGATTCTAGATATTAGCCCTTTGTCAGATGGGTAGACTGTAAAAATTTTCTCCCATTCTGTAGGTTGCCTGTTCACTGTGATGGTAGTTTGTTTTGCTGTGCAGAAGCTCTTCAGTTTAATTAGATTCTATTTGTCAATTTTGGCTTCTGTTGGCATTGCTTTTCGTGCTTTAGTCATGAAGTCCTTGCCCATGCCTGTGTCCTGAATGGTATTGCCTAGGTTTTCTTCTAGGGTTTTTATGGTTTTTGGTCTAACATTTAAGTCTTTAATCCATCTTGAATTAATTTTTGTATAAGGTATAAGGAAGGGATCCAGTTTCAGCTTTCTACATATGGCTAGCCAGTTTTCCCAGCACCATTTATTAAATAGGGAATCCTTTCCCCATTTCTTGTTTTTGTCAGGTTTGTCAAAGATCAGATGGATGTAGATGTGTGGTATTATGTCTGAGGGCTCTGTTCTGTTCCATTGGTCTATATCTCTGTTTGGGTACCAGTACCATGCTGTTTTGGTTACTGTAGCCTTGAAGTATAGTTTGAAGTCAGGTAGCGTGATGCCTCCAGCTTTGTTCTTTTGGCTTAGGATTGTCTTGGCAATGCAGGCTCTTTTTTGGTTCCATATGAACTTTAAAGTAGTTTTTTCCAATTCTGTGAAGAAAGTCATTGGTAGCTTGATGGGGATGGCATTGAATCTATAAATTACCTTGGGCAGTATGGCCATTTTCACAATATTGATTCTTCCTATCCATGAGCATGGAATGTTCTTCCATTTGTTTGTATCCTCTTTTATTTCGTTGAGCAGTGGTTTGTAGTTCTTGAAGAGATCCTTCACATCCCTTGTAAGTTGGATTCCTAGGTATTTTATTCTCTTTGTAGCAATTGAGAATGGGAGTTCACTCATGATTTGGCTCTCTGTCTGTTATTGGTGTATAGGAATGCTTGTGATTTTTGCACACTGACTTTGTATCCTGAGATTTTGCTGAAGTTGCTTATCAGCTTAAGGAGGTTTTGGGCTGACACAGTGGGGTTTTCTAAATATACAATCGTGTCATCTGCAAACAGGGATATTTTGACTTTCTCTTTTCCTAATTGAATACCTTTTATTTCTTTCTCCTGCCTGATTGCCCTGGCCAGAACTTCCAACACTATGTTGAATAGTAGTGGCGAGAGAGGGCATCCCTGTCTTGTGCCAGTTTTCAAAGGGAATGCTTCCAGTTTTTGCCCATTCAGTATGATATTGGTTGTGGATTTGTCATAAATAGCTCTTATTATTTTGAGATACATCCCATCAATACCTAGTTTATTGAGCGTTTTTAGCATGAAAGGCTGTTGAATTTTGTCAGAGGCCTTTTCTGCATCTATTGGGATAATCGTGGTTTTTGTCTTTGATTCTGTTTATATGATGGATTACGTTTGTTGATTTGTGTATGTTGAACCAGCCTTGCATCCCAGGGATGAAGCCCACTTGCTCATGGTGGATAAGCTTTTTGATGTGCTGCTGGATTCGGTTTGCCAGTATTTCATTGAGGATTTTTGCATCGATGTTCATCAGGGATATTGGTCTAAAATTCTCTTTTTTTGTTGTGTCTCTGCCAGGCTTTGGTATCAGGATGATGCTGGCCTCGTAAAATGAGTTAGGGAGGATTCCCTCTTTTTCTATTGATTGGAATAGTTTCAGAAGGAATGGTACCAGCTCCTCTTTGTACCTCTGGTAGAATTCAGCTGTGAGTCCATCTGGACCTGGACTGTTTTGGTTGGCAGGCTATTATTGCCTCAATTTCAGAGCCTGTTATTAGTCTATTCAGGGATGCAACTTCTTCCTGGTTTAGTCTTGGGAGGGCGTGTGTGTCCAGGAATTAATCCATTTCTTCTAGATTTTCTAGTTTACTTGCAAAGAGGTATTTATAGTATTCTCTGATGGTAGTTTGTATTTCTGTGGGATCAGTGGTGATATCCCCTTTATCATTTTTTATTGCATCTATTTGATTCTTCTCTCTTTTCTACTTTATTAGTCTTGCTAGCGGTCTATCAATTTGGTTGATCTTTTCAAAAAACGAGTTCCTGGATTCATTGATTTTTTTGAAGGGTTTTTTGTGTCTCTATCTCCTTCAGTTCTTCTCTGATCTTAATTATTTCTTGCCTTCTGCTAGCTTTTGAATGTGTTTGCTCTAGCTTCTCTAGTTCTTTTAATTGTGATGTTAGGGTGTCAATTTTAGATCTTTCCTGCTTTCTCTTGTGGGCATTTAGTGCTGTACATTTCCCTCTAAACACTGCTTTAAATGTGTCCCAGAGATTCTGCTACGTTGTGTCTTTGTTCTCATTGGTTTCAAAGGACATCTTTATTTCTGCCTTCATTTCGTTATGTACCCAGTAGTCATTGAAGAGCAGGTTGTTCAGTTTCCATGTAGTTGAGCAGTTTTGAGTGAGTTTCTTAATCCTGAGCTCTAATTTGATTTCACTTTGGTCTGAGATACCGTTTGTTATAATTTCTGTTCTTTTACATTTGCTGGGGAGTGCTTTACTTCCAATTATGTGGTCAATTTTGGAATAAGTGCAATGTGCTGAGAAGAATTTATATTCTGTTGATTTGGGGTGGAGAGTTCTGTAGATGTCTATTAGGTCTGTTTAGTGCAGAGCTGAGTTTAATTCGTGGATATCCTTGTTAACTTTCTGTCTCGTTGATGTGTCTAATGTTGACAGTGGGGTGTTAAAATCTCCCATTATTATTGTGTGGGAGTCTAAGTCTCTTCGTAGGTCTCTAAGGACTTGCTTTATGAATCTGGGTGCTCCTGTATTGGGTGCATATATATTTAGGATAGTTAGCTCTTCTTGTTGAATTGATCCCTTTACCATTATGTAATGGCCTTCTTTGTCTCTTTTGATCTTTGTTGGTTTAAAGTCTGTTTTATCAGAGACTAGGATTGCAACCCTGCTTTTTTTGTTTTCCATTTGCTTGGTAGATCTTCCTCCATCCCTTTATTTTCAGCATATATGTGTCTCTGCACGTGAGATGGGTCTTCTGAATATAGCACACTGATGTGTCTTGACTCTTTATCCAATTTGCCAATCTGTGTCTTTTAATTGGAGCATTTAGCCCATTTACATTTAAGGTTATATTGTTATGTGTGGATTTGATCCTGTCATTATGATGTTAGCTGGTTATTTTGTCTGTTAGTTGATGCAGTTTCTTCCTAATATCAATGATCTTTACAATTTGGCATGTTTTTGCAGTGTCTGGTACCGGTTGTTCCTTTCCATGTTTAGTGCTTCCTTCAGGAGCTCTTTTAAGGCAGGCCTGGTGGTGACAAAATCTCTCAGAGTTTGTCTGTCTGTAAAGGATTTTCTTTCTCCTTCACTTATGAAGCTTAGTTTGGCTGCATATGAAATTCTGGGTTGAAAATTGTTTTCTTTAAGAATGTTGAATATTGGCCCCCACTCTCTTGTGGCTTGTAGAGTTTCTGCCGAGAGATCTGCTTTTAGTCTGATGGGCTTCCCTTTGTGGGTTACCCGACCTTTCTCTCTGGCTGCCCTTAACATTTTTTCCTTCATTTCAACCTTGGTGAATCTGATAATTATGTGCCTTGGAGTTTCTCTTCTCGAGGAGTATCTCTGTGGCGTTCTCTGTATTTCGTGAATTTGAATGTTGGCCTGCCTTGCTAGGCTGGGGGCGTTCTCCTGGATAATATCCTGCAGAGTGTTTTCCAACTTGGTTCCATTCTCCTCATCACTTTCTGGTACACGTGAAAAATCAGACCACATTTGATCTTTTCACATAGTCCCATATTTCTTGGGAGCTTTGTTTGTTTCTTTTTACTGTTTTTTCTCTGAACTTTTCTTCTCGCTTCATTTCATTCATTTGATCTTCAATCACTGATACCCTTTCTTCCACTTGATCGAATCGGCTACTGAAGCTTGTGCATGCATCTTGTAGTTCTTGTGCCATGGTTTTCAGCTCCATCAGGTCATTTAAGGTCTTCTCTACACTGTTTATTCTGGTTAGCCCTTCATGTAATCTTTTTTCAAGGTTTTTAGCTTCTTTGCAATGGGTTCGAATATCCTCCTTTAGCTCGGAGAATTTTGTTATTACCGATCATCTGAAGTCTTCTGCTCTCAACTCGTCAAAGTCATTCTCCATCCAGCTTTGTTCCGTTGCTGGCGAGGAGCTGTGTACCTTTGGAGGAGAAGAGGAGCTCTGATTTTTAGAATTTTCAGCTTTTCTGCTCTGGTTTCTCCCCATCTTTGTGGTTTTATCTACCTTTTGTCTTTGATGATGGTGACGTACAGATGGGGTTTTGGTGTGGGTGTCCTTTCTGTTTGTTTTCCTTCTAACAGTCAGGACCCTCAGCTGCAGGTCTGTTGGAGTTTGCTGGAGGTCCACTCCAGATGCTGTTTGCCTGGGTATTACCAGTAGAGGCTACAGAACAGCAAATATTGCAGAATGGCGAATGTTGCTGCCTGATCCTTCCTCTGGAAGCTTCATCTCAGAGGGGCACCCGGCCTTATGAGGTGTCAATCAGCCCCTACTGGGAGGTGCCTCCCACTTAGGCTACTCAGGGGTCAGGGACCCACTTTAGGAGGCAGTCTGTTCGTTCTCAGATCTCAAACTCCATGCTGGCAGAACCACTACTCTCTTCAAAGCTATCAGACAGGGATGTTTAAGTCTGCAGAAGTTTCTGCTGCCTTCTGTTCGGCTATGCCCTGCCCCCAGAGGTGGAGTCTACAGAAGCAGGCCTCCTTGAGCTGTGGTGGGCTTTACCCAGTTTGAGTTACCCAGCCGCTTTGTTTACGTACTCAAGCTTCAGCCATGGCGGATGCCCCTTCCCCAGCCTCGCTTCCGCCTTGCAGTTCGATCTCAGACTACTGTGCTAGCAGCGAGCAAGGCTCCGTGGGCGTGGGACCCTCCGAGCCAGGGGCGGGATATAATCTCCTGGTGTGCCATTTGCTAAGACCGTTGGAAAAGTGCAGTATTAGGGTGGGAGTGTCCCAATTTTCCAGGTACCGTCTGTCACGGCTTCCCTTGGCTAGGAAAGGGAATTACCCGACCCCTTGCATTTCCTGGTTGAGGTGATGCCCCGCCCTGCTTCGGCTCATGCTCAATGGGCTGCACCCACTGTCTGACAAGCCCCAGTGAGATGAACCGGTACTTCAGTTGGAAATGTAGAAATCACCCGTCTTCTGTGTCACTCACACTGGGAGCTGTAGATTGGAGCTGTTCCTATTCGGCTGTCTTGGAACCTCCCTCTTGGAGCTTGAATAATTTTCATCTGTGCCACATCTTCAGGCTTACCTGATTAGACAGCAGTACTGAAGGAAATTTCTACTGTGCTTTGCCTTTGGTGCATACTTTAGTGACTTTGGGTAGGGAGGGGTCATAACAAATATCACTGGCTCCAGGACCTTGTCAGGCAGAAACCATAAGGTGGTTATTTTGTGAAATAAAGGTTTCACATCAGGAAATGCTTTATTGTTGGGGGAACATTTAAGGAATCTGACATTTCACTGAGCCAAGATTTTGCGTCTACAAATGTCATAGTCCAGAAAATTGTTTCATTGTTCTTATTATAAACAAATGTACATTTCTTATTCTCTTCAAATTTTGTATTACCAGCTAGTATTTTACTTAAATTGTTTTTCTTTTAAGGAATGGGGATTTTTTTTTAAAGCATTGTTTTATGTACACCAAGATGAATTACCTTTGAGTGGATCACCTGCTGAGTAGTCTTTTGAGGTTAGTAGTTTGTCACTGGATAAACAAAGTTAATTGCAACTCAGATGCAGAGTTCTATGAACCTTTTTTCAAGTTAGTTGAAAATTAGTTGTAACGGTGTCTGTTTCTCAGAGTTTGACAGCTTGTATACTCTGAATAACCTCCCAGTTGAAACAACTGAAATGTAAAAAATTTATAAAGCATCTTTCCAAATACATTGCTTAGTTGGCATGAAAGAAGGGAATCCATAAAGACCAAAGATGAAATGAAAGCAGGAATGCTGGAATGTGAGCTGGATTGTCCCTGAATGTTTCTGCTGGGGAAAGAGGAAAAGGGGGATAGGAAATAAAGCATAATTGGGAGTCGGCTGAGACATACTGTCAATGTAAGGATGACTGATAAAAATAAACTTGCCAGTGGAGAGGCTGGGGATGGGGAGTGAACAGTAAGGAAACTTGCCTATCTTTACCTAGGCACTAGGAGGGGTCGGGGAAGACAGGATGTGAATTCTCCTAAAACATGAGAAAGGCCATCACATGAGTTCAGGTTGACTTGGTTGTACCAATGAGGTCCAAAATCCTCATGCCAAGGATTTAATTATAGTGCTGTCAGGTTGGTTGCATCCCAAGAGGCAAGAAAGGAAATGTGCATCTCTGAAAGACTGCTACTTCAACCCAGGCCTCCAAGAATTTCCACAAATAATGTTTCAAGGAAAATCAGCAGTTCACAGTAAAGTCACAAATCAGATGAAGAAATTCACCAGCATGAGAAATTAGAGCCAGCAGAAACACTGGCTGCTGGCCAGTCAAATGATCAGATTCCTAGTGAAAAACGAATACGGTAAATATACTTACACAGTGTGATGCTTCTTTTAAACAATAAACAAGAAGCTTGGAAGGATGAGAAATAAATAAGATACTGTAAAAAATGACCTGCCAGATTGGGAAAATGACTAAGTAGAACTTCTGGAAATTAAAAAAAAAATGATTATTAACATTAAAAATTCAGTTATTAGGCTAAGGAGGAAATCAGACACAGCCAAAGCGATAATTAGTGAAATAGAATATAGATATATAAAGGAACTACCTAGAGTACAGCCCACCACGAGGTGGACAAACATTGAGTTTATAGACCTGGAAGTTTATAGGCACAGAAAGAGCAGACTCTTTCCAAAAATGATAAACTACAGATTGAGGCAAACCATTTTGCAGAAGACAACTAGAAAAGCTGGGGAAAATGCCTGTTTGAAGGCATCACATAGCTAATGAGAAAGTGAATAATAACTGGTCTAAGATACTACCATGAGAATGCTGTAGCTATTTTAATATGAAAGTAGACTTTAAAGCAGAAAGCATCACTAGAGATAATACTTCAATAAAAGGTTCAATTCAGTTTTATTTAGATGTGATACTTCTTTGTATATCTAACATCATGATTACAAAATACAGGGAGCAAAAAATAATAGAAATATGAGCAAAAACAGACAAATCCACAGGCCTAGAGAAACATTTTTTAATAGACCTTTTATGTGACTGACAGAATGGCTAAAAGAAATCAGTAAATATATAGAAGATTTGAACAATCTGATTAACAACCTAATAGGCATGTTTAGCATATTGACACCCAACAACTTCAGAATACACATTCTTTTCAATAACATATGGGAATATTTTATTTTATGTATATTTTCTTGAGACAGGGTCTCGTTCTGTCGCCCAGGCTGGCGTGCAGTGGTGTGATCTCGGCTCACTGCAACCTCCATCTCCTGGATTCAAGCAATTCTCTTGCCTCAGCCTCTCAAGTAGCTTGGATTACAGGTGTGCACCACCATGCCTAGCTAATTTTTTTGTATTTTTAGTAGAGACAGGGTTTCGCCATGTTGGCCAAGCTGGTCCCAAACTCCTGGCCTCAAGTGATCCACCTGCCTCGGCCTCCCGAAGTTCTGGGATTACAGATGTGAGCCACCATAGCCAGCCTCAAATCACTTATTTTAAATTTGAGTTTTTATTAAGGGGAAGGTACTGATAGTTACTTTTATTTTTTATTTTATTTTTTTTGAGACGGAGTCTCACTCTGTCAGGCTGGAGTGCAGTGGTGCAATCTCAATCTTGGCTCACTGCAAGCTCTGCCTCCCGGGTTCACGCCATTCTCCTGCCTCAGCCTCCCGAGTAGCTGGGATTACAGGCGCCCACCACCACACCCGGCTAATTTTTTTGTATTTTTTAGTAAAGACGGGGTTTCACTGTGTTAGCCAGGATGGTCTTAATCTCCCGACCTCATGGTCTTCCGGCTTTGTCCTCCCAAAATGCTGGGATTACAGGTGTGAGCCACTGCACCTGGCCCTATTTTTATATTTACCTATTATTCCTAGTTTACAGATAAGAAAATGAGGCTTAGCAA
This sequence comes from Homo sapiens, assembly GCF_000001405.40. Lineage (NCBI taxonomy): Eukaryota > Metazoa > Chordata > Mammalia > Primates > Hominidae > Homo > Homo sapiens. The sequence goes on along the minus strand of NC_000006.12, from coordinate 105,335,551 downwards.
GGAATAAAGAGATTGCTCAAGGTCACCCAACTAAATAGTGTTAGAACTGGGGTTTTAATCCAAACATATATGACCACAGAACTCTATGGTGGAATTTATTTCCCTGTTAAGTTTAATTCAGTAACAAATTATATGAAGATATGCTGCAGAGATGAATGAGATAATGAATGTAAAATTGCCTTGAGAGATTCAAGGAATGGAAATGAACTACCCAAATTAGTGTAGCAATTTCACTGTGAAATTAAAAGTAGATAATTGGAGAATAGCTAAGATCAGTCATTGCCTTTTAGTAGTTTAGAAGTCATAGAACTTTTTTGTTTATAGAACTTTTGAGGTGTTCTCTGAACATCATCTGTGTCAAACACATGGTAAAACAGATGTTTTTCCAAGGGATTTTAGTGGTTTCAACTTTATTAAAAGTGGCATTTAGTGAGCTATTTAAATGTTGATGATACGGACGTATTGAAGATTTACTTTAGTGATGATCATCTCTAGTTCTTAGTATTAAAGACTGGAAAATGTCCCTTTTATGCCATGCAAGTTTTATTTTGTATGTTTCAAGTTACCTGCCACTCAGTTTTGTGCCAAGTGTGAAACAGTGAATGAAAAGACAAAAAATAAGCCAATAAACACATAATTGTATCTTAAGAAAGAGCTGGGTGCTAGGTTGTGTACGTGTAGTCCTGGCTACTCAGGATGCTAAGGCAGGGAGGATCTTAGGGGCCCAGGAGTTGGAGGTTGCAGTGAACTATGATCATGCCTGTGAATAGCCACTGTGTTCAAGCCTGGGCAACATGGAGAGACCGCATCTCTGTTGTTGTTGTTGTTGTTGTTGTTGAGACAGAGTCTCACTCTGCTCAGGCTGGAGTGAAGTGGCGCAATCTCAGCCCACTGCAACCTCCACCTTCTGTGTTCAAGCTGTTCTTCTCTTCAGCCTACCAAGTAGCTGGGATTACAGGCGTGTGCCACCATGCCCAGCTAATTTTTGTATTTTTAATAGAGACAGGGTTTCACCGTGTTGGCCAGGCTGGTCTCAAACTCCTGACCTCAAGTGATCTGCCTTCCCTGGCATCCCAAAATGCTGTGATTACAGGCATGAGCCATTGCGCCCAGCCGAGAGACCTCATCTTTCAACAAAAACAAATAAATGAATAGATCTTGAGAGAAGCTCTGTGAAGAAACAAACTGGGTGCCGATTAAAAGTGGCATCTAATAAAGGCCAATGCCAGTAAAGGACAGGAAGTGAGGCAAGTGTTGGAACCATCTGCAGTTGGCTAAGTGGGAAAGGACTGTAGCATGCAAGACCATGGGAAGGAATTTGGATTTTATTTCAAGTATAATGGAGAAGTCATTGAAAGTTTCTAAGGGCACTAACATGGATCACTTTAAAAGATTGAGATACTGTGGTGGCTGCCATACTGAGAAAATCAAGAGTGACAGTGGGAAGACCAGGCAGGAAGCTAATGCTATAGACCAAGAATTCTCAGACTTGGCACTGTAGACCTTTTTAGCTGGCTGCTAATTTGTTATAGGGCTGTCCTGTGCATTGCAGCATCTCTGGTCTCTACCCTTTAGGTGCCAGTGGTAGCCCCACCCTCAAGTTGTGACAGCCGAAAATGTCTCCAGACATTTTCAGATGTTGCCTGGGGGTGAAAGTGTCTGTGGTTGGAAGCCACTGCTGTAGAACACAAAGACTTGGGAGGGAGACGACGACGACTTGGAATGGTGTGATGGCAGGAGAGGTGGAGAGAAGTGCCCAGATTTGAGGCCGGCTCAGTTAGAAGAGGATTTACCAGATCTTGTGGGGGTGATGGGCCGGGAAGAGAGGTCCTTCATTCCCCCGTCCTTGCTGGGTTTTTCAGGGGCTCCTTAGCATTTTTCAATTTACTCACAACTGGTTCTTGCTCCTTTTCATGCCCTAGATCTTCCAAATATCTCTGCTTTATGTTTTGAGGATAAGAAAGATCCACCCTCCCCTCCCTACACACAAAGCAACACCATTTTTAAACATTAGAGAGATGATGAGAATGCTTGGTCTCTTGCCAGGAATCCTGAAGTGGGTAAAACTGATTGACAACTTTGAAGGGGAATATGACTACGTGACCAATGAGGGGACGGTGTTCACATTCAAGACGAATCGCCAGTCTCCCAACTATCGCGTGATCAACATTGACTTCAGGGATCCTGAAGAGTCTAAGTGGAAAGTACTTGTTCCTGAGCATGAGAAAGATGTCTTAGGTGAGAACACATGTGACTTGAAAATTGTGCTCTTGTTTTTGATGAGAACATCAACAAGTTAGTGCGTCTCTCATTCTCTAGTGATCTGTTACAAGGTAAAAAACCTTCAACCTGTAATCATCAGGAATGAAGTGTCTAAATAGTTCATCCAAGTTTTCATTGTGTGATATCTTTGTAGCTTAGTACTATATCATGTAGAAATGCAAGGTCTTCATAAAAATTGTAAAGATAGGATTTCAGACTTCCAAAGTACTGCTTTTTAAACAAATATATCAGTTGTCTTTGTATACTTAATATCTGGTAATAATCATGAACATTTAATTTTTAAAACTGTTTAGATTTAGAATCCTTAGCTTTAAGCTTTTGAGTAACCTTTGGCTATTTGCATTATCCCTGTTGTTGATCTTAGTGTGGATTTAGAGCCCTCTTATTAGAAAAGGGAATAGACTATTGTCAGATTGAATTGAAACCCTTCGCAGTTGCTGCTTTGTGCAGTGAACTACATTAACCTCTTGAGAACGTCACTTCCGTATCAGTCGTGTTTCACAGAGAGCCTTTTTGTTCCCTTTTATTCATTCTCTGTGATTTTTCCAAAAATGATATGCTGCTTTATAAATTATTTATTGCATGAAAGTTGATTTTGACTACAGTAAAACTCATTAATTTGGGGTCAGTTTTTTACACAAAAGAAGAATTCAGTACTATTAGGCCAATGAGGTTACTTGGTGGTGGTGAACTGCTGCTGCTGGGTAGATTGAGGATAAAATAGGACCATTTAGAAATGCAAAATATATGGTATATAATGAGGAAAAAAAGTCCCCTTTGAGATCTGCAGAGTGGCCCTGTCTAAGATAAAGCAGTCCTAAAATGTGTTTTTCCGTGAATTAAAGCACAGGTCTTAGAGTCAGGCAGATCCACGTTCAGGTCCTTGATCAATAAGGAACTATTTCTCCCTTGCTCAAGGTGGTATGCTTTCTGTGCCTGGAAGGTATTTAAACCTAGCGTTGCTTGGGGGTGGCAGGGGAGCAGCTGATTCCAGCTGCTTCTCTCGGGGTCACAGGTTGCTATGGGCACTTTCTGCTGGTCCCTTTTTTCTGCAGGTCCCTTGGCCCTGAAGAAAGCACTCCTGGGTTTTTCTTGAGAGTCTGTTCAGCCCCTGGGCACCTGACTGCACTCTTCAACCCTCTTGTACTTAGATCTCCACACCCCTGTAGGCAGTTCTGTTGGACAGGACCCAAGACAACTGCATGCCTGCTTGAAATTCACATCTGTAACCCTGAGACAGCAACCCATTCCAGGCTCTTCCTCTGAAGTAGTTGGCCATTCTCCTGCCTTTTGGATTTCCAGGCACAGTCCCGTTAACTTGCAGGTTTGGATCAGGCACCGATACTCTGTCTGTGTCAGGCTGGGGTTGGTAGAAGGTAATAATCTTGTCACCCTCCCATAGGGTGGGGGACTTACAGGCAAGAACAAGAGGAAATCTTATCACCTGTCTCCTCAAAACCCTCTGTTCACATTCTGACCCTTATTTATATTTGGACGAGGGACCCACGAGTCACAGAACAGATTTTTGACCATTTATTTCAGTATCTTTGTTTAGTGAATCTGTTTCTAGTCACTTTGATAGCCTGATGGCTTCTGTCCAAACTGAGGCAGGGATGTCCCCCTAAGGGTAGTTACAGCCAGCAGTTAGTGAGGGCTTCCTGCATGCCAGGTACAGCACTCTGTTCATCATGCACTGACCTCATGCGTTGCTGCATCCAAATGAGACTTGGGTGGCATAAGTCTTCATATAGGTGCTCCAGGAGTTTTCCGGCACAAGTCAGGATTAAACAGTGATTCTTGTATAGGACACCATCATGGATGTTGTAACTGTTTCCCAAGGCATCTGAATTTCTGCCATTTAAAGCCAAAAGAGGGGTTTTAACTATGCCTTAAGGTGACATCCCATCTTATAGATGTAATGAAATGCAAATTAATGCTAGGAGATTTTGTTGGGGGGGTGATATATTTGTATAACCTTCCTTCTGAAAGGTTATAAGATTTTCAGACTGGAAAGGGGAAACCTTCAGTGTTCACTAGAACTCATCAATTTAAAGAGAAGCATGGTTGAATTTGAATGTGCCATATATCATTAGCACAGAGCGCCCTATTGAGAATAAAAACTAGAGATGAGTCATAAAGTACAGCGGTAAAGTCAGAGCTTTTATTAATGACAGTCTACAAATCACCTTGTCCTTTTGTTATTCACTTCTGTCTGTTTTATAATTCTGATGTGCTCATAGTTAATACAGATTGATTATTCTTTGACAGCTATAATTTACTTCATTTTTCCCCCATACTTTGGTCTCTTTAAAACATTAAGCCACATGAAATATGTTGCCTGATTGAGGTTTTTTAAGAAAGTGCATTGGAGAATGAGCAAATTACTTTTGGCTGTATGAGTTCTTCTTTATGTCCTCACTTGAGAAAACAAAGTTTGCCATACTAATCTCAGCAGCCCAAGATCAAGGCCCCTGGTGATCCTCAGAGTTCCCTCTTTCCAACATCTTTTCATGTGGGTAAATTCTAGCATCCTAAAAACATGAACTGCTAGTTTCTTGGGTTATAAAAATAAGCAGTGTCAAGAACCCCCCCCTTCCACATGAAACCCAAGAAAGGCTTGTCTGTTCAGCACATGTGACCTGTCCCCTACAGCCCTGTCCTCACTTCCACTTGCTGCGGTGTCTCTCCCTCTGGGTGACCTGGCCCTACCTCAGGCAGACCTCTGTGCTTGCCCTTCGTTTTCTCCTTTCCTCATCACCTCTCACTCCTGCTCTCCCAGCTCTGTCACTGAACGCTGTCACTGAAAGTTGCAGCCCTGGGAGTTAAGAACTCATTTCTCTACCTTACTCTCCATATCCCTGCAGGCATCAAGCCCTGGCTATTCTTCTTGGGAAATACCTTTCATTTGTTTTCTTTCCTGCCCAGACTTTATCTCCCGCTTGATGTGGTGTTCTCCCCGGCTTGTTGCAATAGTGCTCTTACTCTTCTCCCCTCCGTAGACTTCCATTGTTCTGCATTCAGCTGTTAGACACGTGCATCCTTTATTAATGCCATCTTTATGTTGCCCTTGTGTTCAGACAGTGGCTCCACAGTCACAGGTAACTAAACTGCTCTCTACCTGGCTCACTGGATGGCCTATCAGGCCACCACCAGCATCTCCATCTGCCCCAAACTGAACAACACTTCCTCTTGAAAACGGATCTCTCGTTTGTTCTCTTTACCAGTCTTCCTTCTGTCCTTTCTATTCCTTTCCCCTCTCCTCATTCCTGGCTGTGGCCTTCATGCCAGGAGTGGCCTATCTTCCTGCACCTCATCCAGTAGGATGCTGTGCTTTTCTTGCTAGCACCCATTTCCCCTCCATCTCCACACTCCTGCACTTGAGACTCAATTCAGCCCTTGCTTTAGGGCTGTCATTTGTTTTGGATCCTCAACCCACCAGTCACTTATCCTTGTTTATGGTTTATTACTTGCATTTTTATATGATTTTGTCTCACGAGCAGAATCGACCTCATCTTACTACTTGTCTCTCTAGCACTTTGCAGGGAATCTGGTGGATAACAAGGGCTTATTACATTTTTATCTAATAAACAATCCTGTCAGACATGAACCGTGATTTGGCTTTTATTGTTTTCCTCCTTATAGCTCCTATAGCATGATAATAGGCACAAAATAGGAAGGCAGGGTTACTATTCCACACATTATCTAGGTCATCAAAAGCCCCTGGCCCAAGAGTATTTTATTTCCTTGGGAAATAAAACAGTCATTTATTAAAGGAATATGTTGAGAACTAGATAAATGATTAAAACCAATTATAAGGCTGGGCGTGGTGGCTCACGCCTGTAATCTTAACAGTTTTGGGAGGCCGAGGTGGGCAGATCTCTTGAGGCCAGGAGTTCAAGACCAGTTTGGCCTACATAGTGAAACCCCGTCTGTACTAAAAATATAAAAATTAGCCAGGCATGGTGGCACACACCTGTAATCCCAGCCACTTGGGAGGCTGAGGCAGGAAAATCCCTTGAACCTGGGAGGTAGAGGTTGCAGTGAGCTGAGATTGCACTACTGTACTCAAGCCTGGGCGACACAGCAAGACCCTGTCTCAAAAAAAAAAAAAAATGTAAAAGTGACTTTGCAAGTCTCATTGCTGCATAGCCCTATGTGTAGCTCTGGAACTGTTGCTCAATTAAATGTGTTTTCATTAATTTTTTAAATTGCATTAGGTTTTTTCTCTTCTTATCCTTTCAGAATGGATAGCTTGTGTCAGGTCCAACTTCTTGGTCTTATGCTACCTCCATGACGTCAAGAACATTCTGCAGCTCCATGACCTGACTACTGGTGCTCTCCTTAAGACCTTCCCGCTCGATGTCGGCAGCATTGTAGGGTACAGCGGTCAGAAGAAGGACACTGAAATCTTCTATCAGTTTACTTCCTTTTTATCTCCAGGTAAGTGTTTTTTCACTGTTGCTGTTCACTTTAAAAATCCGACTGGTGTTTGGGTTTCTTTGGGGAAATGGAAGTATAATGCTATGTTATTGAAAATCACATATGCTGTATTATAGCCAAAATTACTTAATGGGAATAAAACGGTAGAACAGATGCCCAGAACAAAGGGAAATGTAAACGCCTAAAATGGCACTCTCATTAATCTTATATTCCAAGTCTCTGTTCCTCTGGAGGCAGGAACAGCTAACGTTCTAGATTGATTAAAAATTAGTACCAATGGGCCAGGCACAGTGTCTCACTCCTGTAATCCCAGCACTTTGGGAGGCCGAGGCGGGTCACAAGGTCAAGAGATTGAGACCATCCTGGGCAAATGGTGAAACCCGTCTCTACTGAAAATACAAAAATTAGCTGGGCATGGTGGCGCGTGCCTATAGTCCCAGCTGCTCAGGAGGCTGAGGCAGGAGAATCACTTGAACCCGGGAGGTGGAGGTTGCAGTGAGCCGAGATCGCGCCACTGCACTCCAGCCTGTCAACAGAGTGAGACTCCATCTCAAAAAAAAAAAAAATTAGTACCAATGAATACAACATTTGATTCAGTCTTTGGTCTATATGCATGAGAACACAGTGCAGATACAAAATGTAAAATCTTTAGCTACATCTGACAAAAAATGTTTTCTGGAATAAGCTGAGAATCAATTCTGCTGTTGTTAAACTGAAATAAAATGTAATTCTAAAAGTATAGTCTTACATCATGAAAACATGGGTGTTATTTGGTTCTAGTAGGAAAGGGAAACACTTGTTAAGTTGTGGTTTTACATTTCATGGTACGGGTTAATTTTCCCCAAAGTAAACATAGCTCTCTTTTTAACTTAAAAAAAAAATTGGTCACATTCATTTTGCTTTGTTTTGTTTTTTTCCTCCATTCTGTCCATCTGCACTGTTTTTGTAGCGTCATGGCCATACACACACTGATTTGTCCCAGGAGTCTGGCTCAGTTAGCAGTTTGCAGTTGACCAGGCAGACCCTGTCCTAAAAGCAATCTGGCTGAAAAAAGTCTGCACTTTCCTTATGCACATATGTTGAACTCCTCCAAAGTGCTTTTTGTCCCACTCAGTTTTGCTGCAGTCGTTTGGTCATTAGACAAAAAAAGCAGTCTTAGGGGAGAGCAAGGCAGGTGCTCAAGTGGCCCTGTCCTCCTCTTGGGATTTGGCCAGTTGACAGTGATGTCTCATCACTGTTATTTTGAGCCTCTGAGTCACAGAGCAGGCAATCCATAAGGAATCTTATAGTGGTGGTAGGTTGCTGTCAGGGTTATTAAAACCAAAAGAATGATGTTCTGTAAATAGGTCTGATAGTATACCTTGAAAACCTAGCCAGGCTTTACTTTCCCAAGCACCTTGCAGCGGATCAAGAGAAGCTAGGAAAAGCACCCACAAGAATGTGGAAACCATGCAAGGGCCAGAAGCCAGGAAGTGACCGTTCGAGAATTCGACTTCAGGGTGTCCTGCACCTCCCCCCATTCCCTCTTCCCCCTAGAACCTGGAGTACAGCAGCAGCCAGTGGACAGATGAGGAAAATCATTTCTTCTAGATAGCCATTCTTAGCCCACTGCTGCAGGGCCCACAGTTAATTTCCTCAAATTTACACTGGGTACAGAAGTTTTACTTTGGAAAATTTCGTATCTTAAATAGTTTAAATGGATAAAGGGCAATGAGGAGGGCAGTGAGGGTGACTCACCTGCTCTTAAAAAAAGCTGGAGTCCCCAAAGGCCTGTAAACCTCCTTCAGTGACCGCATGTGACCATTTATGTCAGGAACAAGCTCATCATTACCTGGGGAAGAAAGGGCTTATTGTCCAAGTGTAAAATGCTGGGTTCTGTGCCAAACAATGAAATATTACCCGTGACTGTGGCTGTGAAATTTGAAAAGAGAAGTGTGTTCCTCGTTCTGTACTGCCAGGCATTTTCTGACCAAGCTTTAATTTTCTGACCAAGCTTTGTCTGTCTCCTTTTACTAGTTTTGCCTCCATTTTTCTCTTTTCTCTGCCGAATGCAATTTGATTTCTAAAACCAGAGAATGGGGCTTCCGGATTCAGATCTTGTGAGACCAAATGCAAAAACAGCCATCAGATAATTAGATTAGATCTCATGAAAGCATGGATTGTCAGTGTGGGTATATACACATAGGCTCACAAGTAGTCTTGCACTGGTGTCTGAAGGCTAGCTGTTCACTACTACAGTAAAGAGCAGAGGTACTCAATTATATGTAAAGCCCCAGGGTCACAAATAACTGCAGCTCCAGCTTCCTGCTGCAGACATTTGATAACTCTGGCAGGTGCACACCAGCTGACTTTGTTTTCCTTGGAGGTACATGGTGAAAACACATCTTGAGCCCAAGCCATTTATGACTTACTTTGGCACCTTGAGTCACATTTGGAAAAAAACAGGCAGCCATAGCAGCTTAGAGCACAGTGCACTTATTCTCTGTGGTTCAAACCACTTAGTGGTTGAACCGGTGAACTCTGTACTTGTGGAACCTTGGAGAGTTGCCTAGGGTGAGCTCCAGACCTGCGTGTTGTAATAATCCAGTAGAGCAGTCCCATATGCATGGCTCTGGGAGTCAGGGGTGAGAAATCATAGAAAAACCTTTCACGGATATCAGGGAAAGGCAAAACTTTTTGAGACTTGTTTTTGTTTTTTTCTTTGAATAATGTTAAAACCCAACCTAAAATCAGTTAAAACAAAATCTCCATGGGTTACAAAGTTTGCCGCCTTTTTACATACGTGACTTTTCGGATCCCCTGATTCTTGTTTTGGTAGGTTCTCCTAGAGTTGTCTGTCTTTCTCCTGACTACTCCTACTTCTCCTTACATTTATTTCAGATTACACTGGGAACATACCAACTGATCTCCCTGCCTCCTTCTCAAGTCCAGATACCTTCTCTGGCCTTAAGGGACTTCCACAGTTCAGTTCTCTTTTTTCACCCTTAAACTTTGAAATTTATTTCCTAGCGATCACCTGACCAACTCTGGTTTATGAGTCTAGGATGTTTTCTTCAAACCCCACCTTCCTTGTTCTTATCCTCTGAGCCAAATCAGATGGGACACAAAGCATCATTAGATTATAGGGATTCACATTATGCTGTGAATATGCAATGGGCTAACCTAGATGGATCTATAAACAGAAAGTATCGATAAAATATATTAAGTGCCAGTACCTTCAGGTTTAACACAGCCTCCTTCAAGGTACCACTTCTGGTGCACAGGACAGAAGAATAGGGAGGTCAGGCATTTGAAACTCTTTCCGTGTACAGTAACCAGCCCCTGTTGCATATTTATTTCATTCTGTGGTTAGATTTGATGTCTCAACCTTTCTAGATAAACAGGCATTTAGAGTATATTTCCTACTCATTGTCTTTCACTACAGAACTTGCATTCTAGTACTTTGGTGCCTTGTCTCAGGTCACTGAGCTAGCAACTTTCAGAGCTGGGAATTTTGGCTCCCTAGGCCTTTGTCATTTGCTGTACTACAGGTCGTGGTGATGCCAGGGTGAGGCAGGTGCTCAAATGGTGCATGCTTGGTCTGCACGTTGTCTTTTTGTTGTTGTTGTTTGATTATTTATACTTTTTTTCAAGGATTCACATGCTTTTTGTGTTTGTGGGGGGCACCGGGTACTGATCAAGAAGCTCTTAAAAATTAAAATATACCACAAGAGATAGCCTTTTACCCCAAGATTACATTTATTTAGGCAAGTACAGTATTCATTATATCTGGTAAATTAGAATACATGCTCACAGAATGCAATTGGAAGTATATATAAAGGTATATTCTAACAAATATCCAAGCATAACTTAAACTAAGAAAGTCAATACTTGAGTCATGTTATACATCTTACTGTCAGCGTTAATCGTATACCCTGTTATGGTAACCTTAAAACAGTTTGTCTGCAATCATGAGAATTGAGACAACATTCATAAGGATTAGCAGCTGTGCTGTTCACGGATCTAAATGTATTACTCCTTTCCGGTCGGGGGCAGCGTATTGTTTCCCAGCTGTTAGTGAAGTGCATACACAGAGGAGTCGAGAAGAAAGAAAGGACTGACATTTTAATAATGATTATTCCATTTAAATGTGCTCTGTGGGAGTACCGTTTGGTTTTTGGTTTTCCAGCAAGTACTGATGGGATCACTAAATCAATTTTTCATATACTTGACAGCATATGCTCAAAGTATTATGTGGGGAGGTGCTATTTCCACACCAGCCACTCTGTGGATGACTAATTCTGTTTTATAAACCACAGCAGTGTCATTGTTTTCAAACATTAATGACTTGTCTTATTATTTCTTTGATTTAGTTCTTAAATGTTAGAAAGTAGTAGCATTAAATTTGGGAAATGTTTAATTAGTGTTACATACGCTGGAATTCTTAGTATGTATATTAATCATTTTGTGTCGTGCACAATTACTGGGACAATCCAAATTGGAAAAGCAATTTTGAAATATCTACTGATCATCTTTGGTCCGTGATTGCTGTCCACATGAGTGTCCACAGATAGGTAGGTGCCAGGTAGCAGGAGCCCCAGAGTGTTTGTCAAGAGACCCCTGACTGGCTCTTGACCCTGGGCAAATCACTTGAGTTTTTTGTCAGTCACCTCCCAGGTCAAATGGCACTAGATGAAGTCTACCATTTTTTTGACCTGCATTCCTAAGTGACCCAGCTTGGGGAAGACGAGTTAAATTTCTGCAATTAGGTTTCTCACCTTTTCTCATATTCACAGAATGCATTAGAATCTTCTAAAATGTATATACTTACTAGTGTTATAAAAAAGAAGGCTGCATGAGATGGTGATGATGAGGATGAACACTTACATAGCACCCCTCATGCCAGACTCTGTTCTAAGCACTTGTCTGCAGTGAGCCTTCGACTGTGGTGGGGATTAACCAAGTCCCTGATAAATGATCCTCTCTTGCCATTGCTGGCATTTGGTTGTGGTTTGTGATCCTTGCCCCCTTTGAATCTAGTGAGTCCCGTAGACTAAACCAAGCCTTATTCTACTTTTTAGGTATCATTTATCACTGTGATCTTACCAAAGAGGAGCTGGAGCCAAGAGTTTTCCGAGAGGTGACCGTAAAAGGAATTGATGCTTCTGATTACCAGACAGTCCAGGTATGGAGAATATGATCTCATTAATGTGAGAGTTAGGAAGTCTGACTTTCAGGCTGGGCCATTCACACTGTAGCTTATCAGAAGCAGTGGAGGTAATTCATGACAACTAGTATTTTGTAGCCCCCACGGTTGACGGTCATTGAGCCAAACACTCAGGATTCAGCAGTGAGCTGGCATAGTCGCTGCCCTCCCATAGCCTGCAGGTTCTGCTCCTATGGCTGCTACTCTTGACAGGAAGCTGGAGTTCTTTCTCTTGGGGCTCCTATTGTAACATTTCTGTCTGTGTCAATCTGCTTGCTTGAATATGGTTTGTGTTCTAGCTCAGGTCTTTTGGTGTTGTAAATAACATGGGGATTTGCTCTATGTAAAGTATGGACTTAAGTGCTGTGAGTCAGTGTTTTTAGTCTGAAGTTCATGTGCATTTCTGCATGACACAGAGTAGACACTCAATAAAACATTTGAATGAATAAATTAATTAATTGTCATGTCACCACAAGCTTCGTCTTTGGCCACCATCTTTTCAGGTTAAGAATCTCCTTTTTTGTTTTTTCAGCTCCCCAAGGGTACTGAGTCTTCCAGAAACTGAATCACTGGTTGATTGATGATGACGAAGAATGTCTCTGTTCCTTTGCAATGAGAGGTCACCAATAGGGCACCAGGTGTTTATCAAGGCCCCTCCCACCTGGAGGGCTGGACCACACAGGCCACAGATTAGGAATCAGAACATTGTTTGTGAAGGAAGATGAGAATAAAGAGCGCTGGATGTTCCCCACAATGTTTCTGTGAAACTAGGGCATTATTATAGCTTGGTGAATTACCCTTCAATTGTCTAGAAATGGTCTAGATGATAGGCTACATCTAGATCATGAATAAAGCTTTGTTTACTAAAACAGGTGGTGGGCTGGATTTGGTGTAGAGCTATGATTTATCAGCCCCTGTTCTACATCAGCAGTTGGCAAACTGGCCTCCTGTTTTATTGGAGAACACATGCCCATTTGTTTACATATTGCCTGTGGTTGCTTTGGCACTTAGAGTGGTTGCAACAGAAACTCTATGTCCCAGAAGGCCTGAAATATTTAATATATGGCCTTTAAGAAAAAGTTTGCAGAATCTTCATCTATGTAAATAGCATTTAAAAGTACAACATTCTTGATAGACATACAGGGCCGAGAAGACATACAGGGTCAAGAAGCTCTGTCAGACAGGCCTGAAATCCACGTGGGGCAAGTCATTTAACCTTTCTGCCACAGTTTTTTCAACTGTAAAGTAGAGATTGATAGTATCTGTTTTTTAGGATTCCTGTGGGATTATTAAGAGATAAGGTATATTCAAGATCTGGCAATAGAATATAATCTATTTTTTTCAATCAACGTTAGAAATAAATGTAACAGACTTTTAGTTTCCTATTTATTTGGCTGCTGCTTATTTTGTTTTCATGGTGAGCCATTGCCTGGAGGGAGATCCTGTAGGGGCCTGTAGCCCCTGTCTGGTATTTTCATGGTTCATAAATTCACCCTCATCCTATACCAATTTTCTAACATCTGTTCACTTTTAGTCTGGCATTCTTTGCTCTTTTTTTTCCTCTAATTTGTAGAAAATGTGTCCCTATCAGTTGTGACATTTGGTTTTCTCAGGGCCTTGTTCTGGTCCTTGCCTGGGTATCCCCAGCAAGGATAGGTGTGCCTCTCCTATCAGGAATGTCAGGGACACCCAGGCAGCACCCAGCAAGTGTTCTCTCCTCTGCTCTCAAGAGCACACTCTCAGCTGCCCTAGGTAGGACGGGGTAGGGTTGCACGAGAGAGATCCTAATCTTCTCATGTCTATGAGGGGGCTCAGCTCTGTGTAAAAAAAGATACTGTTTTCCCCTTTTTTCCACTTCCCACAGACATTTAGTACCCAAGTGTATAATTGCCTTTGGAGTCTGGGAAAGGGAAGGACCCCTATAATAATGACAACTGCCAGGGAGGCCGCTTCTTCCAGGGAAATATCTCTTACTGCTTAGTATGATTGGGGTGTTTCCTCTATTAGATGGCTTTTTTTTCCTATTCTGATAATGGTAATATTCTTTATAGATGACAAGCTAGTTACCACCTAATATATATTGTTTTCATTTACAAATGAAAAGATAAAACATGGCAGCTAAGAAAGTGCTTCTGTGGAATACAAACCTAACAGCCACATACATAGCAGCCTGGAATGTCCAGGTTAAACCGTGGAGAACATGCGCTTCGGCGCTGCCAGGTGCCTGTGGCACTGGAACTCTCCCAGAATTTCCCTGTACCTGGCTCTCCACTTCCCAAACAAAAGTTCCGGGCATTGAGCCTCTTAAATACTTACAGTTTTTTATTTGTACTGCTGTAATAGGAGGAATAAAAAGACTCATGATAAATATTTAAACAGTACCTGGATAGTACAGATCTTAATGCGTTGCTCTTCATTTCCATATTTAGAAAATGCAACTTTGCCCATAAACAGGGTATAGCCTGTATGTATAATGCCAATAGAAGATTTGTATCTACTGATTATATACCTCATACACGTAGTACTGTTATTAAAATAGAATTCTTTCGTTGTGTAAAAGGTGCCTTTGAAGCACAATATGATGTCACAACATCATTGACTTGTATGGCTTAAAATCTGTTGTGCAGTGGTTTAGATTCAAGTGTATGTGTGCAGCAGAGCTTTGACATGCAATGAGAGCGTGACAGATGTTCTCACATTTTGATTAGGCTCTTGGCAGTGTTGCCAACAATGACCTCCCATTGTAAAAAGCAGACTCTGGAGAGGGATTTGTGGATGAATGGAAAGCATCCTAAAGGTGTGTAATAGAAGCCACATTTTTGCTTCTATTACATTTTATTTTCATTTTCAATTACTTTAGGATAATGTTACTTTTGATTCCACTTGACCCTGGGGTTTGTATTTACCTCATAGGTGACTTGAAAAGAGTATCTTATCTCCCAGGCTATGTTTCATTTCTTTGTTCATTCCGTGAGGCATATTATCATTTTGATGTGAATACTGCAGCACAGATTACTGTGCATGGTTAGTCAACACTATGACCAAGAACCTCTTTTAATGGCACTGCCTACCTGGTGGTGTAGCTGATAAAATAGACCAGCCAAGGAGAAGGAGAAGGGCCAAAGAAACATGGCTAAATGAGCCACAGAGTGCTCCTCTTTGTGTGATCTGTTAATATATTCCCTTAAGACCCTGAGCATCTCGACTGGGAAGGTGAGGGATCTGGTGTCATATTTTACAGACAGACACAAAACAGAGCTGCTCTCTACACAGCCTTCATCCATTCCTGATTATAGCTGTGGGTAGAAAATTGATCTGTACCAGAAATACAGTTTTGAAAATCTGATCCTAGAAACACTGTCAGTTTATCTTCCAATCTGGAACACAGATAAGAATTCAGTTTTAGATAGGTTTATCAAATCTGCAATTGATTCATCTTTTTCCTGCTTTTTATTGTGAATGATACAACCACGTAATATTGATTAAAATTTGTGTGCCATTGTCTTTTAAAAAGAAGTTGAAATATTGAACATAGAAATTATATTTGTAAAACAGATTTGGTGGTAAGTGAATTTACCTGAAAAATCTGTCTACATTTACAGTCAGCAATATGTTTCATTTTAAACAAAGTGAAGTAATAGGGAAATGATAGTTAAATGTTGCCTATCAATAAATATTCATAGTATGATATGCAACGCCAGGTACTGTTTGAATACAAAGAAATTCCAGACATAAGCACTGCCCCTGACTAGAAAGTTGAAACATACAGATGTGAAAAGATTGAAGAACCCAAGGATGTTATCACAGTGGTCAGGGGAAAGGCACAGGCTTCGGTCAGTGCTGTGGTGGTCAGAGGCCATCCTGGCTTGGGTAAAGGAGGAAGCCTTCACAGGAGGGATGGAAGTTGGGCAGGGCTTTGAGGGAATGGGTGTTTTTTAATGCCCAGTTCCCCACTGAGATTCCTGAACAATTTTACCACTGCCCTTTGTTCAAAGACTGCTTCTGCTTTTTTGTTACAGTAAATTCAAGAAAATAATAATCCTACTCTCAGTACCCTGTGCGATGGTTGCCTGGGGCACTTCTCAGTTGATGGAATAGTGTACTGTGGTTGAATGTGGTGTCACAAAGGAATTTAATGTAGCAAAAATACACTTTGATTCCTCAGTGTTTCATCATTGTTCAGCCAGCTAGAGATTGGCTTTTCTTCTTGCAAAATGAAAGACAAAATTTATAGACCTGAAAAGAACACTTAACTGAGTCTATACCCTGAATCAACTCCATTAACAAGCATCTACATTTTATAAAAGTCAGTATAAATTAAGAGAATCCAAGTACTCATATTTTAAGAAGGGGAGCAAACTTAATACAAAGGAAAAATAATAAAGATTTTATAAGTAGTTAACATTGATTTTATTATCTTTACTGTTGTTCTCTTATACTTAATAGGAATTTGGCTTTTCTGGGGATTACCTGCTATAGTACATATGAAACATCAGTAACATCCCTAAGGCGGTTTGCTTTGCAGCCGAGCCAAAATGCTAAAGTAAGAAGAATCTTTGGCTTTACCAACATGCCTTGGGGTGGAGGGAGTGGGATTTTTTTTCCCTTTAATTCAGATTTTTCTAATCTTAGTGATAGCTGATTTGTGCTTGCTAGCATATAGGCTTTGCCATTCAAAGAACATATTTTCAGAACATTAATTCGTGTTTCAATACTCATTAACTTCTGCGCCAAGTTCATGACACATGCAGCTTTTGAGTGTTGACTCATCCACATCCTTGGTGAGCTGACTAGTGAACGAGTGGCAGTGTCTTCCCATAGCAGCGTGTTCGTGTGATTGGGTATAGGTCAGAAATTTTCAGAACGTTTTAGTGAAGAGTGAATGGGGCAGCATTTTCAAAAAGAAACTTTCTGAGGGGTCACTCTATTTTCATATGGTTAGGAAACTGCTTGAATTGGTATCGGTTCTTGCTGATTTATTGCCTGAGCATTTGTGTTATTTCTGATATTACGCTTCATGGCAACATATTTTACTTTAGAATTTCCCCCATCATGCAGGCATTCTAGCTTGAGAGCGTAGTGTTCATATTCAGAGTGTACATACTTGTATCCCTTTCTCCTTCTCTGGATACCAGCTGTGTGACTCTGGAAGATAAGTCTGTTTTCTTGCTGTCTTATAATAGAGAAGTAAGTTATGTGGCTGAAGTCTGTAGTTGCTGCAGTCTCTGCTCCACTGTACATAAATTCTCTACCATGTCTAAAAGAGGACATTACTCTGCAGCAACCTGAGACTACATAACCTATGATATGGTGAATGGGTATGTGTCAGCTGGCTTATAAAGATGTTTGTTAGGAAGTGACTTGCATCCTCTATCTGCTTATGTCTTATTGGTGAAAACATACTCACACTCGGTTGCAAAGAGGTTTTGAGATGTAGTTTTATTCCCAGAAAAAAAAAATGTGACTAGCTAAAAATTAGGGCCTTTTTATCAAGGAAACAGGAGGAATAGATAGATATTGCGGGACAACTAGCAGTCTGCCACACAAGGCAAAAAAAGGCCTTTGGCAAGAGCTTTTTGGTGTAGACCCTGAGATCAGGGCACCCAAATGCCACCTGGTGGCCAGGTACCTAAATCTCAGGATCAGGATTGGAAAAATGAAGGCTCCTAAAAAATAGAATTTTCAGATACTGTAATTGTTGACAGCAGAAATCACATACTACAAAGACAGAAGCACCTGTTAAGGAGGCACTCCTCCCTTGGAGAAAGAAATTTAATACTGTTTCTAGAACATGAAGCGTGATGCAAGCGTATGGGAATATTTGGGCATTAGGATGGACTCTGAGGGATTGCCTGGCACGGTGAGGAAGCTGTGTAAGCTAGTGTCCAGATGGCTCTCCAGGTGTTTGATTCTCTGCTAAGTCAGCATCTTGCCTGGGGTGACCAACTCCCAACTGCCCTCCTTCACAGTCCCTGAGCAGGATGTGGACACAGTCCATCCTTGGGCCTGGTGTTTGGAATGGAAGCATGGCACGAACCCACCTACAGAAAGGTAATCAGGTCCCTAATTTCATAGCTGCCTCCTTTGCTTTTTCCTAGGTGGTATGTTTTTCCACTAATATGATTCTGGCCTCAGGACAAGTTATATGCCTTCCAATTGCACGTACATTAGAGTTCATCTAATGGAGCCCTCTTATTTTACAGACAAGGAAACTAAAATTCAGTCAGTGTAAGTGTATTAACAGAGGTTACACTGTTAACAGTTGACAGAGCCAAGACTAGAACTTACAACTCCAGATCTATGCTAATCCTGCACATTTTGTTATCAAGATAAGTTATTCTCGCTATAGCTCAGGATTTTTTTTTCACCTCTTAAATAAACATGTTAGCCAGGCACAGTGCCTTATAGCTGGAATCCCAGCACTTTGAGAGGCTGGTGCAGGGAGATCACTTGAGACCAAAAGTCCAAGACCAGCCTGGGTAACATAGCAAGACTCCATTTCTACAAAAAAATATATATATTTTTTTTTAATTAGCCAGGCACGGTGGTATACAACTGTAGTACTAGCCACTCAGGAGGCTGAGGCAGGATGATCATTTGAGCCCAGGAGTTCAAGGTTACAGTGAACTATGATTGTGCCACTGCACTCCAGCAAGACCCTATCTCTAAAAAAAAAAAAAAAAATTAATTAGACTAAATGGCCTCTAAATCCCTAAGCTTTCTTACCTCTAAAAACTATAGTTTCTACACCATGTAAGTATCTTGTGATTACTTTGTAGATCCTTACAGAACCTATTAGATAACAATACTCAGTGTAAAAGGGAAGACAATGAGGGACCACAAATTTATATTTTTATGATTTGTAAATATGATTTATTTAATGACTTGTTTTATAAATAGTTTTAAATACTAAATATTTTATAATGAATGTTAATGTTCACTTCTAGTCTCCTTGTTACATATTAATGGAGATTTTACTGCCTTTTCCATTAGTTTATTTATGTCATACAGGCATAACTCGTTTTATTTTGCTTTATTGTATTGTACTTTGCAGATTCCTCGTTTTTTAAAAACTGAAGGTTTGAAGCAACCTTGTGTTGAACAAGTCTGTTACCACCATTTTCCCAACAGCATGTGCTCAGTTCGTGTCTGTCACATTTTGATAATTCTCACAATGTTTCAAGCTTTTTCATTATTACATCACAGTGAGCTTTGATGTGACGATCGTCATTGTTCTGGGGCATCACAAATGCGCTCATAGAAGGTGGTGAACTTAACTGAAAAATGCTGTGTGTGTTCTGACTGCTCCATCCGTCAGCTATACCCTCATCTCTCTCCCTCTCGTCAGACCGCCCTATTCCCTGAGACATAACACTGTTAAAATTAGGCCAAATAATAACCCTACAGTGGCCTCCAAATGTTCAAATGCAAGGAAAACATGCACATCTCTCACTTTAAATCAAAAGCTAGAAATTATTATGCTTAGTGAGGAAGGTATGTCAAAAGCCAAAATAAGCCAAAAGCTATAGGTGCCTCTTGCACCAAACAGCCAACTTGTGAATGCAAAGGAAAAGTTCTTGAAAGAAATAAAAAGTGCTATGCCAGTGAACACATGAATGGTAAGAAAGCAAAACAGCCTTATTGCTGATATGGAGAAAGTTTGAGTGGTCTGGATAGAAGATGAAACCAGCTGCAACCTTCCCTTAAGCCAAGGCCTAATCCATAGCAAAGCCCTAACTTTCTTCAGTTCTGTGAAGACTAAAAGACATGAGAAAGCTGCAGAACATTAGGGAGCTAGCAGAGGTTGGTTCATGAAGTTTAAGGAACGAAGCCATCTGCACAACATAAAAGTTCAAGGTGAAGCAGCAAGTGCTGATGTAGAAGCTGCAGCAAGTTATCCTGAAGATCTAGCTAAAATAATTGATGAAGGTGGCTGTACTAAAACATTTTCAATATAGGCAGAACAGCCTTCTGTTGGAAGAAGATGTCATCTAGGACTTTCATAGCTAAAGAGAAGTCTGCCTGGCTTCAAAGTTCCAAAGTTTCAAAGTTCCAAAGTTCCAAAGGACAGGTTGATTCTATTAGGGGCTAATGCAGCTGGTGATTTTAAGTTGAAGCTAGTGCACATTTACCATTCTTAAAATCCTAGGGCCCTTAAGAATTGTGCTAAATTAGCTGGGCACAGTGACTCATGCCTGTCATCCCAATGCTTTAGGAGACCAAGGCAGTAGGAACTCTCGGGCCAGGAGCTCAAGATGAGCCTGGCAATGTGGTGCAATCCCATACAAAATTTATCTACAAAAAATTTAAAAATTAGCCAAGCATGGTGGCATGTGCCTGTAGTTCTAGCTTCTCAAGAGGCTGAGACAGGAGGATCACTTGAGCTCAGGGGTTCAAGGCTTCAGTGAGCCATGATTGCACCAGTGCACTCCAGCCTGGGCGACAGAGCAAGACTTTGTCTCTTCAACAGAAACGAAAAAACAAACAAAAAAAGAATTGTGCTAAATTCACTCTGCGTGTGCTCTAGAAATGGCCTGGATGACAGCACATCTGCTTACAGTGGTTTACTGAATCTGTTAAGCACACTGTTGAGACCTACTGCTTAGAACAATTCCTTTCCAAATATTTACTGCTCATTGACAATGCACCTAGTCACCCAAGAGCTCTGATGGAGCTGTACAAAGAGATGAATGTTGTGTTTATACCTGCTAACACAATATCCATTCTGCAGCCCATGGATGAAGGAGTAATTTTGACTACATTTGTAAGGCTGTAGTTGCCTTACAAATGGATGGATCTGGGCAGAGTAAATTGAAACCCTTCTGGACAGGATTCACCATTCTAGATGCCATGAGGAACATTTATGATTCATGGGAGGAGGTCAAAATATCAACATTAACATGAGTTTGGAAGAGGTTGATTCCACCCTTCAGGAATGACTTTGAGGGATTCAGGACCTCTATGGGGGAAGTCACTGCAGATGTGGAAATAGCAAGAGATCTAGAATTAGAAGTAGAGTCTGAAGATGTGACTGAATTGCTGCAATCTAATGACCAAATTTGAATGGATGAGGAGTTGCCTTCTTGTGAATGAGCAAAGAAATTGGTTTCTTGAGATGGAATCTATTCCTGCTGGAGATGCTGTGAACATTGTTGAAATGACAACAAAGAATTTAGAATATTCCATAAACTTTGTTGATAAATCAGTGGCAGGGCTTGAGAGGCTTCACACCAGTTTTGAAAGAAATTCTACTGTGAGCAAAATGCTATCAAACAGCATTGCATGTTACAGAAGTCTTTCATGAAAGGAGGAGTCAACCAGTGGGCAAACTTCATTGTTGTTTTAAGAAATTGCCACAGCAACCCCATCCTTCAGCAACCACCATCCCAATCATCAGCAGTCATCAACATTGAGGCAAGATACCCCTCCACCAGAAAAAAGATTACAACTCACTGAAGACCCAGATGATCATTAGCATTTTATAGCAATAAAGTGTTTTTAAATTAAGGTAGGTACTTTTTTTTAAGACATAATGCTATTGCTTTGTACACTAGTGTAAACAGCTTTTATATGTACTGGGAAACCAGAAGTGGGTGTGACTTTCTTCTTTTTTGATACTTGCTCTATTATAGTGGCCTGGACCTGAGCTACAGTATCTATGAGGTGTGCCTGTATAGACACACACTTAGATTTTTATTTAAGTCTTAGTGTTGGTCACCATGTGGCAGCTTGAACCCCCACTTGAAATATATTCAGAAATAAAATAAAACTTTATTTACTCTTTTGCTTTTGTCATCTTATCTCTGGTTGACTTCTCTCAGGATCATATTCAGGGATTGGCATTCATGCCAACGCTGGCACCAGCCACCTTCTAACTCAAATTCAGAAGAATATTCACAGATCTGTTTTGGAAATTGTAGCCCAAGACCTCTGCCCCTTGTGCGGTGAGTCTGGATGGCCACTTCTGTACTCATAAAAGCAGGTGATTTTTCTACCTGCAGGGTTACATCTGTCCCAGTGTCTCTCACCCTATTTCTGCCTCCCTAATAGGTGATGGTAGACAATTAATAGGATTAGCAGGCCATCTAGAAACACAACTGTGATCATTGTTTAGATTTGCTCTGCCTAGAGAAGGCTTGGCAGAAAAGAGTTGGGGGTAATCTTTTCCTGCTTTTCTTAAACCCCCGGGGCAACATTTTAGTTTGCCAGCAAAACTCAACTGTTTTTGGCTTTCTGCCATACTGTTTTAGAACAAAAGGAGAGGAGAGACAATAGGAGCTTCGTGTGGGCTGTCCACCTGCTACACAGATTTCTTCCCTCCCCTCCCCTCCACTTGCTTTGCCTGGAGTTACACTGATGGTCGACGGGTGATGGGTGAGTAAAAATAGACCCAGTGCTGGGGATATTCCATTATCTCCCTAAAGGAAAAACCATTACTGGCATTACTGTCATTGGTCTGTGAAGGAGGGAGGAAAAAATTTCCATCTCCACAAGTGTAGTCTTTTGATTTGGATTAAGTGTACCTTGACCTGGTTTTAGGGAGGTAGACTGGATTATTCTCTGTTCACCCTCTGTGCTGACTCAATGTAAGATATAGACAGAAATGTTGTCATAGTTATAAAAATGGTAGTAAAATATTGTGAAGTGGAAGGCATTGTGAGGGTACCTCATAGAAACACATGCAAGTTCCTTGTCATTGTCTGTGTTGGGTACATGCTCCTCCACACAACTTTTGATGCTCTTCTTCATACAGCCGCGCCCCAGTGCCGCCCCGTAGCCCCGGACCACCATACTCAGACTCACCTCTGCCTCGTTTCTCCATGACCCATCCTGGTTCTGCTCATTTTTCTTTACTATTTTCTGAAATTCCACACATCTTTCAATATTCATCCAAACGCCAACTGTCCTGTAGAAGCTTGTCTTCTTGCTCCTGCCCCTGGGAGCTCAGTGTAAAGCAGAAGACGGGGAAAGAGGACATTCAGCTGTTAGTTGAAAATACAGCATGGATGTGTGCTCATGTTCTTCGTACATAAACTCATTGCTTCAAAGTTGAATTGCCCTGAGAAGTGGTGCTGGCTTCTCTGATCAGGCTGTCACAATTAAACAGTTGAGTACTCTGAGGTAGTTAGTTCTGGGTCTTCATGCAGAAATTGATATAAAACACTGTGGCTTTGTTAAGACACTAGAGAAAGCTTCATCATTTATGTTGGTTCATGTCTCAAAAGAAAAATTTAAACCATCTTCTCAGGCTGAATTGACAAATGCAGCCCATTTTAATTCTGTCTTTAAGAGCATCTACCAGTTAGTTCTGAATCAAGTAATAGATGACTCTTTGTTTCCTCCTAGCCTCTATGTGTGTACATTTGTATACATATGCCTGTATAGAAGTAGCCATAAACATTAATATATGCATACAAGCATGTCTTTAAACAGCATGCTTTTTTGATCTCAGTTCAGGTAGAGGGTGATTGTGAAATTGGCTTTCAAATAGAAAATCATTTAGCCTGCAAGTAAAAAATCATTATATATGTGCTACCTACATCTGGAGCCTCAAGTTTTCTGTTTTGCCTAGGATATATCTAATTCAATTCCAGAATTTAATATGTATATAGCTAATTTAAGTATTTGGAAGAGACTTAGAAAGAGTATAATCTGAACTGTGGATGGCATGTTGTTTAAGAATCTGCAGATTTGATTGTGTTTGGAAATGCTTTGACACCATTGCTCAGAATCCTTAGAAATAAGAGCAACGAAGGAGTGTTCTGGGATTCCTAAAGCTCACCTGTTTGGATTTACAATTCATTTATGTCTATGTATGGCTGCCTTTCCTTGCCTTCATCAGAAATTCTCTGTCAGCATTGATGGGTGGAGGTGGGATGGGGAAGAACCCCTTTCATTCATCCCGTCAGTTTGTTTTTATTGAGAATTTGCCATGTGCCAAGCATTGTTGTAAACACTGGGAATGTAGCAGCGACGTGAAGAGATGTTGTCTTTGCCCTTATGAGAAATACAGGCAAAAACAAGTGAACAGAAAATAAATGTCAGCATTGCAAGTTGGGAGAAGAGCTGTGCATGAAATAAACAAAGACTGCAGCCGAGAATGGCAGAAGGCCCTGTGCAGTTGGAGTGGTCACGGGAAGTTCCCCTGAGTTTTCACTTGAAACCTAAAGGCTCAGCGGGAGCTAACCAAGTGAAAATGGGGGACAGGCGGCCCAGAACGTTAAAGCAAAGGCCCTGAGAACAAAGCACTTGGTCTCAGAGAGGACCTAAGAGAAGCCCAGTGAGTAAGGGGGGAGTGGATGAAGGGCAGGGGGAAGGCAGAGAGCCTCATGGCCGTGTTAGGGAATGTCAGATTCATTCCAAGTGTGATGGGAGTCACTGCAGAGTTTTATACTGGAGAGAGACATGGTTTTGATGTAAGAAAATCATTTTCCGTTTTGTGAAGAACAGATTAGAGGGGGTGATAAGGAAGCAGAGAGAGCAGATGGACATTGGTAGCAGTAGACCAGATAAGAGATAAGGTGGCCCAGGCTAGAGTGGTGACTGTGGACAAGGTGGGCTGGTGAGTTTGGAATATACCTAGAAGGTAGAATTGCGAAGACACACTAAGGGATTGCATGTTGGAAGGCTGAGAAAAAAGGATGCCTGAGGAATGACTGAGATTTTGAATCTGAGAAACTGGTACCATTTATCAGTGAGTTGGCAGTGGGTTGTGTAGGATGAGATTAGGAGGATAAATATTTTGGACGTGTTAAGTTTGTGGTACATGTTAAATATCATCCAAGTGGCAGTGTCAAATAGGGAGTTAGATATTTGAGTCTCATGCTCAAAGGAGAGATCTGAGTTAGAGTTTTAAGTGGGAATCTTCAGCATAAATATGTTACTTAAATCCAGGGACAAGGGCAAAGTCACATGCAGAGCATATAAAGAGTGGAGAAGGCTCAGGACTATGCCTGGGGCAGCCCCACATCTAGGGGGGTCAGTTGAAGGAGGAAGAGCTAGCAAAGGAGCCTGAGAAGCAGCAGCCAGGGAGGTGAGAGCTGAACCAACAGAGACCTCACCAGGCAGAGCAGGAAGTCCACGAAAAGGGATTAAAAGGAGGGAGTGGCAGGCAACACCCAGTGCTGATGGTTGGGCAAATGAGGAAGGAAGAGGAGTTACTGGATTTGACAAGGTGGATTATTGGTGATATTGATAAGAGCACTTTCAGTGAGTAGTAGGGCTGATGAGGGCTGAACAGGGTGTATCAGGAAAGACAAGAGAGGAGGAGATAGACGCTCTTATCACAGGTTTCTTTATGGATGGGTGTGATTGAAGATGGGGAGAATTAGCTATGCTTTTACATATTTTTGTATTGCATTTTTGCTAGTTAAAATAATCTTGTATTAATGGTATGATGTGAAAAGCTTATTAAAAATATTTAAATTTTTTAAGAAAAATACAATCCCTGGCTACGTTAATCACGCATCTCTGACTTTTAACAGCTGTGGTTTACATCTTCCCACTCTCTCTCTTCTTCCGATTACTTTTCAAATTTGATGTTTTCTTCCTTTAGAATAACTTGTACAGCTGTGCTAAGAAAACCTATAAAAAAATCAATCTTAATTACATAAAACTTTACCAACAAGGCTTTCCATAGCTTTTGTGTCATTAAGTTCAGGACCCGGGAGAAGGTAGGAGAGGGGAAGAAAATGGGCTCCAGACAATGAAAAGTTGCATGGGGCATATGAGTTCAATGGCATGTTAAGTGAGAGAAACTAGATTGCCTTGGTGCATTGATAGTTTGGTTCTAGAGGGAGAGAATCACTCAGAAACAAGTTCCCTTGAGAAGGGGAAGAGAGCCACAGCCATAAGAAGAAGGATTGGCCTTCAAAGGAGAAGGAGCGTTTTCTCCATTCTGCCAGGAGGGAATGAGTGTGCAAGAGTGTCTGGGGGCGTCAGTGCAGGGAATCCAAGCACCAGCTCCTTGCTCTCCTTCTGTGAGACCTCTCAGGCCTTGAATTCTCCATTTGCTTACTTATTTTATCTTGAGTTTCAACTAAAAAATAAAAAAAGAAAAAAGAAAAAAAGGTAGTTTTCCAGCCTGGCCAACATGGCGAAACCCCATCTCTACTAAAAATACAAAAATTAGCCAGGTATGGTGGCACACACCTGTAGTCCCAGCTACTCGGGAGGCTGAGACAGGAGAATTGCTTGAACCCGGGTGGCAGAGTTTGCGGTGAGTCGAGATCGCATAAACACATTACACCCACAATATTGAGAGTTTGTGTTGGTGTCAGTTTGGGGAATGATTTATATCATTCTTGATGCATTAGTGGGCTGACATCCTGGCTGGGGTCAGTGTTAGCAGGCAGGGCAGTCAGTTCTGAGATCAAAACTAAAACAGTAGGGACTCATTGCCATTTTTTCATAGGATAAAGTGGCTACTTAATAAATAGCCTAGCCCTCGTGATCACATTTGGCTGCCAGTTTGACCAGCCTTGAGCAATGCCCTTGAGACCCCACCAGCCTGGCCCCTGCCCTCTCCCTCACTCATCTCCTGCCACTCTCCCTCACCCGCCTGCTGCAGCCGCTCTGGCCTCCTTGCTTTGCTTGGCATACATGCATGTACTCACCCACTCCACCCCTCCCCTCTGCCTGGACTGCCCCTACTCCTGGCCCTCCATCCTCTACTATACAGAGTCACTTACTCTGCATGGATCAGAGACTCCTTCGCTCTCCATCCTGTGTACTATAGCAGCCCTTCCCCACTCACTTACCCGTATCTCCATTGCACTCATCACCAGCTGACATTAGATTTTCATTCATGTGTCTGTCTGTCTCCCCTTTAGAATGTGGTTTTCCCCACTGCTGTGTCCCCAGAGTCCAGAACACAGAGTAGATATGTTTAAGTACTTGACGATTGAAAGTGGTTGTGATAGATAGAGTCTGAAATGATCTGGTTGTTGCCAGAAACCTATAAAAGTGAAACTTTTTTTTTTTTTAATATTTCTGTGTTGGACCATCTTCCTCTCCTCTGGTAGGGTAATTTGTCCACTAGAAATGGACAAATGTTGCCAGAAAAGTGAATGTTGTACTACGAGTTTTACTTCTGTGAAATTTTTTGTGTGATCTAGCCTTTAAGAGTTATTTTAGGCCATAGTTTATAACCAAAACAGAAAATTATACTATGCCTCCCTTATAGAGCATCAAAGTAAATTTGTCTATTTTCCTAGCATGCTTTTATTGTACTGGAGCCCTCCAACTCTAGGTTGTTGCATGTGTACACATGTTTGGAAATCTTTTAGACAAGTTGACCAGTAAAAAGGCAATTCTACTGACATGTAAATTCAGTTGACCCATTCCGTATTGTGTTTTATGAGAATCTAGGATCATTAGTTTGTATTTATTTTTTTTTCAGCCTCTGGACGGTCAAATCTTCATTCTTTTAGTGGCTTTTGGCTTTTTTAACATCATCTTTTTAAAAAATAGCTTCTTTCATGCATTCAATTTCCTTTTCCTTCTTCACTTCTCAGTATTTGTATTGGTTTATGTGCATGTTTTCTTCATTGTGTTTCTTGTAATGTCTTGAATGCTGCATTAGTCTAAGTGAGGCCCCAGAAGTCACCGTGCCCCATAAAGAGACCAAAGGATGCTAAAGATGGTGATGGTTGTACTGACTAATCCTAATTTAAATAAAAAGGAATTTTCAAGTGAGAAATCACAGTAAGTGTCTAAGAATGACTGAGTGTGGCCGGGCGCAGTGGCTCACACCTGTAATCTCATCAGTTTGGGAGGCTGAGGCGGGCAGATCACCTGAGATCAGGAGTTCAAGACCAGCCTGGTCAACATGGAAAAACTCTGTCTCTACTAAGAATACAAAAATTAGCTGGGCATGGTAGTGGGTGCCTGTAATCCCAGCTACTCAGGAGACTGAAGCAGGAGAATTGCTTGAACCCGGGAGGTGGAGGTTGCGGTAAGCCGAGCTCTCACCACTGCACCCCAGCCTGGGCAACAGAGCAAGACTCCATCTCAAAAGAAAAGAATGACTGAGTGAAAACATTGCTTAAGCAAATAAAAATAATTATTTCACAGATATTTATTAAGCACTATGCACTGGTGGTGTGCTTAGTAAATATCTGTGAAATAATTATTTTTGGGAATATAAGGCAGGTTAGAGTTTACTAGGGAAAATGGAGATGCAATCAAGCATTTCCAGCAATTCAGTGGAGGGAAAACCATATTAATAAGCTGCTCACAGGTTCTGTGGGAACCTGGAGAAGGAGAAGCATCTAAGGCTCCTCTTGGAAACAAGGCCTCCTGGAAAGGAGCTTTGGGCAGATGGAAAGAGCACAAGGAACAAATAATGAAGAAAAGAAATCATACATACAAATTCATACAAATACTGAGGAGTGAAGAAGGGAAAGGAAGTTGAATGCAAGAAACAAGCTACTTTTAAAAACATGATATTAGAAAAGCCAAAGCCACTAAAAGGATGAAGCTGTAAGCATCCAGAGTCTGAAGAAAATAAATCCAAAGTAATGATCCCAGAGTCTCATAAAACACAATAAGGACTAGGTCAGCTGAATTTACAGGTTAGTAGAATTGCTTTTTTATTGGTCAGCTTGTCTAAAAGCTTTCCAAATGTTTGTAAGCATGCAGCAACCTAGAGTTAGAAGGCACCAATCCAGTGGAAATGAATAGCTTGTACAAAAGCAAAGGTGTCCTCACAGTGCTGCAGATAAGCAAGTAGCCTGGTTGGAGCCCCATAGCATGTGAGCCTGGAAAGGGAGACAGATCCAGACCCTTAAGGGCCTGTGTAGGATTCGTATCAGGCCATCTACCTACCAGGTGCTTAGAGAATTAGAGTCAGGTTCCAGGGAAAGTTGTGAAGGGGGTGGTGGGGGCGGGGATGGTGGTGGTGGTGGAGGAGCCCATGGGCACAGCCGAAAACTCCAACAGTGTGTATGGTGGGAGAAGAGGACCACAGTCTCACATTTTAGGGACACAGGAGGAGGAGGAGCCACAAAAGCTGGCATCACAGAAGCCAGAGGAGAAGAGTTTCAAGGAGGATGGTGTGGTATTGCAGAGAAGTCACAGGGGATATAGACTGGGCAGTGCTGGGATTGGCTGTGAGCATTTGACTATGAGAGGGGCCAGTCAATGTCAGGTAGCAGTGGATTGACCATGTGAGGGGTCAGGAAGCCTAACTCTGCTTCTCATGAATGAAGGGGTTCCTTACAGCCCAGGACATGTGTGCTAATTACCAGGTAGTAGAAATATTACTGGAAATGCGCTGAATGAACGTTCTTGCACTCCACATACAGACTTTGTTGCCAGCCTTTGTGTATGCACCCCAGTGCTTCATAATCATCAGTATTCCCCATCCACCATCCTGAATGCCGTCTATCATCAGTAAAGTATACCATGTTCTTTTCTAGATCTTTCGTGAACATGATTCAGTTAGTCATCTTCAGCTTTCATTTTCTTGATTACTGGTGATAATAAAAAGGTATATATAGGGCTGGGCAAGGTGGCTCACGCTTGTAATCCCAGCACATTGGGAGGCCGAGGCAGGAGGATCACTTGAGCCCAGGAGTTTGAGGCTAGCCTGGGACACATAGGTGAGACCCCATCTCTACAAAAAATTTTAAAATTAGCCAGGCATGGTGGCACATACCTGTAGTCTCAGCTACTCAGGAGACGGAGGCACAAGGATCCCTTGAGTCCAGGAGTTTGAGGCTGCAAGTGAGCTATGATTGTACCACTGTACTCCAGCCTGGGTGACAGAGTCAGAACCTGTCCCCCCCAAAAAAAAAAGAAAAGGATATATCTGTAAGATTAAAAGTATATTTCTGTGTTTAGAAACAAAGGAATATGCAAAAATCTGTCTATGATGATAATGCTGGGGCTAGAGTGGTGGGAGGCATGTCTGGGCTGTCAAAAAAGATATATATGATTTGACTGATAAGATTTCTGCTACTGTTATTCCACTGCACAAATATAAAACATTTCACACAGCCAAGTTCAGAATATAAATCAAAAAGAATTTGTTCTTTTACCTTCACAGCAGGATTTCTGCTTTGTGATTTGCCTTCATGTCCCCCCTGCCCCGTTTTTCCCCACCCCACTAGTGAGTTACTTCCCAGTAGCTATTTGTGATACCGCCTCTACGCCTCTAGTTCAGTCTCTTCTAATTGACCACCTCTTTGCAAAACAAAAAAATGGTATTGAACAGTTATGCCAGCTTCCTGATTCTAGGACTTCTGTTGATGCTGTCCTTAATTCGGGGCCACACTCAGCTTCATACAGTCCCATTTAATCCCCCACACTGCCATGAACTGCTTGGTTGCACAAACACTGCTCTGCTTTTTCCCCACTAACATCTGCCTCTCTTTAGTAGTTCACCCTTTTAAGGGGTGAATAGTTACCAGCCACAAATTTTTAAGGCTGCACAGTTCTCTTCTGTTCTATTAATGAACATTCTGACCAGAGTTTGTCTTTTCAGCATTTTGGTTATTAATTTTATTTTTCTACTTACAATAAAACAAGTAAGTGGTCTGCTGTAGTTTTGAGTTAATGAGGATTTGAAATGGATTTCACATATCCTTGTTGGGTTTTTATTATGCAGGTGCAATCTCATGCAGCAAATTACCATAACTAAACAGTTTAAGAACCCATAAAGCTCCTCTGCCCTGGCATTGCCAAATTAATAGATTAACAGCTACACATAAGGAAAATGTCAGATGTTAAATATTTTTCATTAGTAATAAGTTGGAAATTTGTGACCTCAGAAAGCTTATGTAATCTCTTAAGTGCCTGAACCAGAGTTAATTTTATCTTATTATTTTTCAACTTACAAGGATTTTCAGGCAAGACTCTAGGCTGCTCTGTATAAATTTTTTTTTAATGAAACACCATTCAAACTACCTTTTCTGATATTATTTAATTGAAATGTAGGGTCCAGTTTGGGCATTAATTTATGTCTTGATGTAGCATGTTTTCAAAGCACCTACTGTCTTCTGGGTACCTTGCTGGATACAGAGGCAAATAGATGCACAGGCCTAGAACGGGGACACATGGGAGCACAATACAGTGCCATGGTGAGTTCAGGAGGGGCCCCCAGAGGAGGGGGAGGGGATTGGCTGATTTCCTTTTTACAGTGGCTAAGAGCATACAGTATGGAGCCAGAAAGCTTGGGTTCAAATTCTGACTCCATAGTTTACGAGATGTATGACTTGGGTTCCTTACTTAACAATTTATCTGCGTCAGAATGACCCCAGCTGAAAAGTGGGGGTATTCGTAGTACATTCCACAGGGGATTGGTTCCAGGACACCCTGTGGATACCGAAATCTGAGGATGTTCAAGTTTGTTATATAAAATGGCACGGCATTTGCATACAGCCTATGGTTGTCCTCCCACACACTTTAGATTATCTCTAGACTGTGTATAATACCTAATACAAAGTAAACACTATGTAAATAGTTGTTATACTCTCCTGTTCTTTAAATTTTTTATTGTTGTATTATTATTTTTTGTTGGGTTTAAAAAAAATTTTTCAATCCACAATTGGTTGACTCTGCAGATGTGAATCCCATGGATGTAGAGAGCCAACTGTATAGACCTCATATTTGGATTAAAATGAGAGAATATTTTTAAAGCCCTTAGACTAGTGCTTGCTTGTTACATGGTAAGAACTAAATAAGTGTTTTAAACAAGTCAAGTAAAATAAATAATGTGAATTTTGACCAAAGTATGAACTAAAGAAAACTCTGTTGTGAAAAATATAGAAACTAACTGGCAGGTATTTTAACATTTGTTTTTAAATGTATGGAAACTTTAGTTGATAATTAGCTTGCAAGGTTCTGTCACTAGGTTCTGTCTGCAGAACCTTGGCTAACTTTTGTTTCTTTTGGTTTTGGTTATTTTAACATTTTCAGGTAAGGAATAACTTTCTAACAGAGAGGCTCCAAAATGCAATGAATGGCCATTTGTGCTGTTTTAAGTTTCTTTCTTGTTACTAGAAATATTTAAGCAAAGGATGAACCTGCCTGAGATGTAGCTTTGTGGGTGTCTGCATTGGATAGGGGAGGGAGGAGGAGGTCAAACAAGTGAACTTCTAAGAGCCAATAGATTTTTTTTTTTTCAGTCATGATTTGGTTTAGAAAGGCATGTGACATTGGGATTGGGGCTCTGGAGATGCGAAACAGCAATATCACTAGAGAGGCTGGTTGAAGTTGGGAAGAACTGAGAGAAGTTGAAGGCAGAAAGTGGAGAGCTTTAATTGCTGGTCTAAAACGTGGACTTTGGATGGGCTTGGTGGTTCACACCAGCACTTCGGGAGGCCCAGGCAGGAGGATTGCTTGAGGCTAGCAGGTTGAGACCATCCTGGACAACGTAATGAGACCCATGTCTCTACAAAAAATAAAAAATTAGCTGCATGTGGTGGTGCATGCCTGAAGTCCTGGCTACTCAGGAGGCTGAGCCAGGAGGATGAGGATTGCTTTACATACATACATACATACATACATACATACATACATACATACATGGACTTCATTTTGTAGAGAATGGAGAGGCATTGCCTGTTTTGAATAGTAGAGTGACTTAGATTAAAAGGGAGGTTTTACATGGATTAATCTGGTAACAGGTGCTCAGATTGGAAGCAGGAGTCCTGGAAGCCAAGGCCCCTGTGCAGGCAGGCAGGGATAAGATGGTGTGGGAGAGGTAGCTACAATGACTTTGAGCTCCGGACCTGAGGTAAGCTGGTATAGGTATTTGAGGGTCAAAAAGAGAGTATTTAGCCCTCGGAGCAGGCGGCGGGGGCGGCCTGTGCAGCAATGGCTAAGATCAAGTCTCGGGACCTTCACGGGAAGGAGAAAGAGTTGCTGCTCAAACAGCTGGACGACCTGAAGGTGGAGCTGTCCCAGCTGCGCATCGCCACTGACAGGCGGCGCGGTCTCCAAGCTCTCTAAGATCCGTGTCATCCACAATTCCATTGCCCGTGTTCTCACCGTAATTAACCAGACTCACACAAAGAAAACCTCAGGAAATTCTACAAGGGCAAGAGGTACAAGCCCCTGGACCTGCGGCCTGAGAAAACATGCGCCTGCGCCACTGGCCCAGCAAGCACGAGGAGAACCTGAAGACCAAGCAGCAGCCGCGGAAGGAGCGGCCGTACCCGCTGCAGAAGTACACAGTGAACGCCTGAACGTCACATTGTCAATAAAAGAGAGCTGGCCGAAGAGAACAAAAGAAAAGTGTGTATTTAATATGCAATTCTGTATTCATTCAACAAATATTTATTGAAGGCAAACAATGCAGAACTCATAACCCTCTGATGATGGACTCATCATGTGGTTCTCATGCAGGAGCAAAACACACAGCATATGCCTTCCATGTGCAGCATAAATCCCATTGCAGTGAGCCATGTTACAGGGCAGTTTCTGCCTGTACCAAAACAGACGCTGCTTTCTCTGGGCCTCCGCGTGTAGCAGGGTTCCTTCACTTTTAATGAAAATGTCTGATTGTGTGTCTTCATTAACTACAAAGAGATCAGACCAGTGGAACTGAAGATGGCTTTGATGTTCTACAATCAAGTCAGATTTATTCATCCTAGCCCTGTGTGTCTTTCTACCTCAAAACACCAGGTTACTGCTAAAATCCAAATAAACTCATCAAAGTGCCATAGCACGAGATCCAGCTGTGCCTCCTTCACTGCCCTTCTTTCCTTGTATTCAGAACTTCCACTTTCTATTTCGCTTTTGGCTTCACAGTTTGAGACTGGGAAAAGGCGTATTATTCCAAAAAACAGATGGCTGAGCCTTAGAGAGCTGGTGAATTTCTGCAGAGATGATCAGTATAGCACTTAGCACATTGTTGGTGCTCAAGAAATGTACTAAAAGTTAAAACAGATTTTAAATAGACTGACTTTGCTGTAATTGAGGTATCCTAAGGGAGCTTTTAAATCCCCAGTGTTACCAAAATGCCCAGCCATCCTTGGAAAAACTAACTAAAGCAGTCTGGAATAGACTTTCCTTCTGTATTTTCTGCCCAAAGATGACTCTTAAACTCCTCTCTACTCCCCAAAAGTTAAATGCCTGGAACATAGACAAGATGACAACCTTCTAATGCCAGGCTAGCATTTTTCACCTTAGTACAGCACAGAAACATGTAATGCCTCCCTCTAAGTCCTAGGAAGTTCTTCATATGCTCATGTTACAGGGTAACTGAAGCACGGAGTTTGCCCGCCTACTGTCCAGTTCTTTTGGTAATGGAATGTCTTGTTCCTCTGCATGCTGCCTGTGGACTCAGAGCAGTTCTGCTCCTTGTCAGATTTATTTGGCACACGTAGCACAGACCACACAAGTGGCCTCTGTCAACTCTGATAAAAAGGGGGAGCTCAACACCCTTTTATGAACATTCTCCTTTAAACCTGTCAGGCTCTAAAATTAGGCAGGAGTTGCTATCACCAGACATTCTTCTGTCTGAAGGGGCTGCCCTTTGCAGCCTACCTTCATCTTTCATAGATGAGCACATCTCATGACTGGCGATAATGGGAGTCCTGGCATTTGCCTCAGATAGCTCAGTATCTGAACTGCATCAAATGCATTACTGAAGATTGTTTTCAGGAACCTAACTGATTGCACATTCGTGCGTCTTAACACAATTGATTTTATTACTAAATGTACGCATCTCAAGGAGAATAATAATTTCAAGAGAGACAGTTGATCTTTGCACAACTAAGGTCATTGATTTGAAGGAACAGTAATGTTCCATTGATTTGTCATATTTACTTCTCTTTTTTCTTTAAAGGAAGATATTCTTTTTTTTTTGAAATCAGATTTACATGTTAAGGCAGCTAGATGTGTGTTTAGTGATTGCCCTCTTGTGCTAAAACATGCTTCCAGAGTTAAACTGCTTTATCATTGGTGATGCCTCTGGAAAGTTGTGCTTGACAACAGAGATGGGATTTCTGAAACTTTAGACTTATGTACTTTATATAAATGTACACCATTTCTTCAGTAGTTTTTTTTTTTTAACATAAAGCATTCAGCTCAAGGATCTGTGAGTTCTTATCTGTTAAACAATTATTCTTAGAATATGGTTTTAAATGTGCAAAATCAGAAGCTGCTTTAAATTTAATTGATTACTTAAAAAGTTGGGATAGCTTTATGATTTGCTCAAGCATTTTTTTATTTGTGAAATGAATTGTGTCTGTTAAGCCTTAAAAAAATACTATTGAAATGGAATTTTTTTGGTAGAATGGCCATGGCAAGATATAGTG
The DNA here is from genome assembly GCF_000001405.40 of Homo sapiens. Lineage (NCBI taxonomy): Eukaryota > Metazoa > Chordata > Mammalia > Primates > Hominidae > Homo > Homo sapiens. Next base: position 105,300,376 of record NC_000006.12, on the reverse strand, counting down.
GGATTTTTATTGTTTTAATAATCTGTCTTCAAGATGGTAACACTAATGACTGTGTGGAGAAGGATCATCTTTCTAAGCTGACTCATTTTGCTAAAATAGTAACAGCAGCCCCTCTTGTATCTGGAATATCGCTTTTGAAATGTTTGAGTGAGTCTCCTTTTTAAGAAAATAACAAAAACAGTCTGGGCGCGGTGGCTCACGCCTATAATCCCAGCACTTTGGGAGGTTGAGATGGGCAGATCACTGAAAGTCAAGAGATCGAGACCATCCTGGCCAACATGGTGAAACCCTATCTCTACTAAAAATACCAAAGTTACCCGGGTGTGGTGGTGCACACCTGTATTCTCAGCTACTCAGGAGGCTGAGGCAGGAGAATCGCTTGAACCTAGGAGGCAGAGGCTGCAGTGAGCTGAGATCATGCCACTTCACTCCAGCCTGGACAACAGAGTGAGATTCCGTCTCAAAAAAAAAAAAAAGCAGAGAAGCAAATAAGGGATAGCATCTCTGGCAGAATGATATTTGTCCCCAGGATTCCCTAGAGATAGGTGGTCATTGTCTTGGGGAAGAAGAAATGAATGTGTTAAATCTATACCAAAGGCTCTAACACTTTCAACATTTTGTATAATTGCACCCAATAAAGATATTTACAAGGAAGTAATAACTTGAAGTTAATTACTTTGTGATATAGTAGGAAAAAAACACTGAAACAGGGACTTGGGAGACCTTGGTAGTAATGTGCCATAAGCTGGCAGTGTTGCCTTGGCGGGTATTTTTTTTAAAGACAGAGTCTGGCTCTGTTGCCCAGGCTGGAGTGTAATGACGCAATCTCGGCTTACTGCAACTTCTGCCTTCTGGGTTCAAGAGATTCTCGTGCCTCAGCCTCCTGAATAGCTGGGACTACAGGTGTCCTCCACCATGCCTGGCTAAGTTTTGTATTTTTAGTAGAGATGGGGTTTTGCCATGATGGCCAGGCTGGTCTTGAACTCCTGTCCTCAAGTGATCTGTCCGTCTTGGCCTCCCAAAGTTCTGGGATTGCAGGCATGAGCCACTGTACCCAACCCTTGGCAGGTATCTTTATCTTCTTGAATCTTATTTTGTCATTTGTAAAATAAGAGAGGACTGCTAGCTGGATGACAGCCTGGAGTGACAACCTCTCCCTATATCTGAAACATTTTAAAGTCCCAGAATTTACTATTATTATCTTATATCCTCAGGGCTGAGAAAGAACTGACACCAGCTTTTGTTTACCAGGTGGCACAGTCTTGTGGCTGCTCAGAAAATACCCTTCTCAGCCCTCTATCAAGAATCAGTGTGGGCTTCATGAAGGGTGTGGTTCCTTACAGCCTTGCGGTGCTTAATGTTATTGGTTTGGGATGTGGAATAATATTGTTATGCTGCTGTGCGTCTCCACAATGAAGAATTTAAGGTTTTTTGGTTTTTTTGAAGGAGAATTTTAAGTACAGAAACTCAGCAGTATATATTTAACCCAGTTTAGTGGCAAGTTCTTTGACCTCTGCCTTTTGCCACTTGGCAATGCAAGCCTCAGATTTATGACCCCAGACATTGCCTCCCCGGTGACAGTGATCTTAGCATACCCATTATTGTAACTGGTCCTGGTAGCTTCCTCCAGCTTAGCCAGAGCTCATTTGTCTTCCAAGTTAACCTGTGTGCAGGCAACACTGGTGCAGGTCTCCCTGTGGACTAGATGTCCCAGTCTGGCCGTTCCTTTGATGATGTAGTAGGGAACCCCCTTTCATGATACAGGGCAGATGGGAAGACAGCCTGCTGGAAAGGATCCATGTCGTGCGCAGTCACCACCAGTTGAGCCACCTTGTTCTCCCACAAGGTAGCAACAGTGTCAACCCCTGCACCAAGGACAGGTGGTCTCCAGTGGGGACCTCCCCTTTGCTGGCAGCTTTCTTCTCAGCCCGGGCCAGCAGCCATCAGTTCTTCTCTTGCACTGTCTCTGGTCAGTACCTGTGAGCCAGCCTAGGCAGCTGAGTGCTGTTTTGCTGCCCAAGGCCTGGACGAACTGGTTGCTCATGAAGGCACTTTCAGCCATGTTTAGAGGACAGCCCTTTGTCACCGCAGCTGGATGTAGCAGGGTCACTTGACAAAGCAGGTGAGGTCTCTTGGGGCCAGATGTCCTGCAAGTGCCAACATTTCTGGGTCTCTCTCAGGTGATTCATCACCTTGGCTGCTTGCTTCTTCACAACAGGGACTGGGGCCACCGTCTCCAGCTGCCCAAGATGCCAACAGAGTCTAACGTTTAAAGAAGAAGAAAATGAAATTAAGGAAAGAAGCTTTCTTAATTTAGCATGTAACTTCGGTCAGCCGCGGGCTGGCTCACTAATGCTTAGAACTAACTGTGAGTTTGAATCACTGTCGTAATGTTTGGTTTTATCTTCTGTGTCCCTCATGAAGGCTTCATATCGATGTACTCTAAGATAGTCCCGCTTATGAGATCTTACCGATGCTTCCAAAGACAATCTTATCTGTTCATTGTGGATTCTTTGGTGGTGCTTGTAGTCTGTTAAGGTGAAAGGGGGTGCCAGGTCCAGGCTCCTTGTTGAACTGGATCTATTGTACAACTCATTTACTCTGCTGTTGACAAGAAGAAGGAAGACAGGGCTCTGTGTGCCTCACATGATGAGCTGTTAGCCCTGGAAGACAGACAGACTTTTCCTATTACTCAAGTGGGCATCTGTTAGATCCCATGTGAGCACTTTGTTTTCCTGTCCATTGAGGGTCCCATAAAAGCTTTGGCATCCCACTACAGAACTGTGTGCACAGTGGACACTCAGAAAGAATGGAGGTGTATTATCAGCTCTCTCATTGGTTACAGTATGGGAAAAAGGAAAAGGAAGTAATTTTGTTTAACTTGAACCTGAGTACTGTGGTAGCAATAAACTACCAAGTAAAGAAACAACACGTGCATTTAAGCTTTGGCAACTGTCTACTTATCAAGCACTAATGGCTGTTATATAGATGTATAAATGACATTTTATATGTTACTAATAATAGTTTAAGGTTCTAATATTCCTACCACAACTCCACTGTAGCCGATGAGAGGAGTCAGGGAGACTGGTTAGTCATGATGCTAGTGAAGTAGAGAGCTCTGAGCTGGTTTGTCTGTATAAATGACAGAGAAGACACTTGCTTGTGAAACCAAATGACCACATGGGTGCCTGGGTGTAGGGGGCCTTGGCACAAGATGATCCTGAGGGTTGAAAGTAGGGTGGCTGAGAAGAGAGTGTTGCTATTAGCCCAAGCAAGAGGCCCATGGAGGAGCATGTACACAGGTGTGTCTGGGCACGTTGATTTGGAGATGTGAACAGGCCATCTGCCACATGAGATCATGAACCCCCATAGCCTAGGCAACTTGATGGGCTTCTTAACCAGCCCCTCACAGGTGACTTCCAGGAAACACATGTCTGGCTATGGGCCTGCAGATGTGGACATGGAGGTCCTTTGCATAGAGCAGATTGTTGGAGCTCTCTGAGATGGCAAAGAGGGAACTTGAAAAGAGACAGCCAAGTATAGAAAATTGCAAAACAGAAGGAAGAGGAGGCAATAATGGATCAATTAGGAAGGTTGAAAAAGATTTCGAGGAATGAAGAAGAACCAGAGAAATACTCCACCCAGGAAGCCAAAGAAGCAGTTGCCATATAGGGATTGAAAGGGATGAGACCTGGAAAGGAACCATTCAAAAATGTCATTTCTGAACAATGAGAGGAAAAGAACAGATTCTCCAATAAATGGTGTATAATAGTTGGCCATTTGGGGAAAAGTAGTTAGATCCCAGACCATATGTAAACATAAAATATAAATGTAAAAAATCAAGATGAAATTATAGACAAATATTTTTATAACTTGGAGTAGAGAATGTTTTATAAGAGAGGAAGCTAAAAGGGAAAACAGATATTTGGGTACATAAATATTAACACCTTCTTGCACCTCAAGACACCACAGAGAAAGTTAAAAAAAAAAACTGTTGGTGTACTGGGACAAAATATAAACAAAGCATGATAGAAAAAAGGTTACTACCCTTCAATGTAAGATAAATTTCTGTAATCAGAAAGGAGAAGTAACAGAATAAAAGAGCAGGTATACTTTGTTCTCCAAGGACAAAATATAACATGACTATGAAAATGTTTGCTAATAAAAAAAATACAGTAAGGAAATGGCAGTGTTTGCCTATTACACTAGTAAAAATTAAAATCCATTTTAACATCCACTGCTGATGAGGCATGGACATTTAGGCAAACATTGTCACTGGGCACCTAAGTTGTTAAGTTCTCTTTGGAGAATATTTGGTCCAAATTTATTGAATTTTTGGGTGCACGTATACTTCGATTTAGCAGTATCATGTCTAAGAATATATCATACATAAATCATACCACGAGAATACCAGATTTATCTAAAAGGAATTTATTCCATCATTACCAATCACAGAACATAAAGAATAGCCTAAATATCAATGAGAAAATGGTTAAATGTGTGTGCATCTGTAGAATGAAATATTAGGCAGCCATTTTTTAAATGAGATAAATCTGGGTGTTTTACTCTGAAAAGAATTCCATGATAAATTGCTAAGTGAAGAGGAGAGAGAATGAATCATAGCCCAGTATTAGCCCGATTCCATTTATCACTATATAATAATAACTCCTATGTGTATTTGAACATATAAATAGGCGTGTCTCTATGCAATCATGAAAATGTTGGGAAGGACATACACCAACAGGATAGAGGCAGGGATGGAGAGGCAATGAGAAAGACAGAAACGTTCATTGATGACCTTTGAAAGAGCAGGGGTGGGGATAGGAATCAATGGGGTGGGAAAGTGGTGAGCTGTGAGTATGGGGTACTCGGGATTAATGATTAGGAAGATGGAGATGTAGCTTAAGAGGCAGACAGGGTGATACATAAGGTTTTGTTGGCTAGGATAGGAGAAATTTGAGTCTATCTGTATGCCAAAGAAAGGGAAAAAATACAAAAAACAAAAGCTGTAATAATTGAAAGAGCACAGTAGTAGTGGAGGCAGTAAGGAATGGAATCAAGACAGGGCGATCCTCCTTTCTCTGGGGTTGCAGAGGCTGAATGAAGTTAGCAGAAGCTTTACCAGGAGCTACAAGCAGATGGACCCTGTGAGGGATAGGCAAGGCCAGAGGCAGAGAGGGATGCAAATGGTGGTGTCAGAAATAAAAAAAAAAAAAAAAGGAAAACATTGGAAACTACTCTTGAATTGATTTAGGTGGGAAAAGATGGAAGACTTTGAGGAAGGAAAAGACATAAGACCTAAGTTCAGAGCCCAGCTGAGATCAAGTATTCATTTGTAATGAAGCAAGTTGCCATTTCCGGAGTGTCCAGCAGCCTGGGGGAGGAGAAGGAATCCAATGGGTTAGGGTCAGAATTAGAGGAGTTCCGGATTTAGTAACATTTAAAGAGCTGTCCAAGGGTCCCAAGCTGGGCAAGGAAAGCCCAAGCGATGCTGACAGCCTGAGAGAATATAAAGAACTGAACGTCTTCATAAGAGTTTTTTAAAAAAATAAAAGCAGATATTCCAGGGGTAAGGAAATGACAGAAGTGGCGAAAGAGCAAGTTGGAGCTACAAGGTGGGTTGTCCTAGTTCTTTGCAGAAGAAATTCAGGCTCTAAGGGCCAAGGTATAACCAAGGTGATGGGTGAGCGTTGTGCTGTTGGTTTGTCTCAGGAGACTCTTAAGTCCCATGAGGGCAGGGATTATGCAGCTCGCCTTCTTTACATCTCTAGGGCTGAGTGCAGTCCCTGGCACATAATAGACACACAGCAAACATTGGAGGGAACCAGCGGCTAGGGTAGGGTGGAAACTAAGATCTTGGTGTTGAGGCATTCAGGTATCTCTAAGGTGAGGATGCTGGACAGGTTTCACTGTTACAGTCACTGAGGGAAATCACAGGAGACCTAGGTAAAGAGAAGTATAGAGACTTGTATTAAAATGATCAAGAATTGTGGGAAAACTTCTGGTTTTAGTTGATATTAATTGGTAAGGAAAGAGGAAGTGACAAAAGCAGATGGTCTGACCAGTGTTTTGAGCCCAGATCCACCTGCCACAGAGTATGTAGGATATGTATTAAATCTGCACGTTTGGGGGCTCTGCCCTAGACCTGTCGTATCAGAATCTCTGGGGATAAAGCCTGGAAAACTGTATTTTTAACAGTTTCTTCACAGATATGTAGGCCCAGTCAATAAGGCTCAAAAACCACTGGTGTAGACTCTGATGTGGAGCTTCTTGGCCAAGTGTGGGAAGCAAATGGAAGCAAGGAGTTTGTTAGCTTCTTCTCCTGACCCAGCAAATTCAGGACAATGAGAAAGGAAACACTCCCAAAGCCTCTTAAAGAAAAGCTTTGAAAGAAGGAGCTTCTTTGTACCCATGAAAATACAAAGGGGGAAAAACTGGCTTCAGGAGGAAACCAGTTTTGGTTAAATCAAAGAAGTAGAAAGTACGTGATGGAAAATGCCTAGGCTGTTTTGAATGGCTGTTTCGAAAATGTCTACATGGATTCCTTCCATAGTTATCAAAAGACTCAGGTTATTTGCCCTTCTATTGAAGAGGGAGGTTTAGGTTTAGTCTCAATTACCATTCCATCAATGGAAATGGCAGAAAATACTGCTGAGTGTGTGCACGTGTCCATAGAGGAATTTGATAAAATATTTATACGTATGTATATTGTATGTACAGGCATACTTTATTTTACTGAGCTTCACAAATAATTGCATTTTTTTTTTTTTTTTTTACAAATTGAAGGTTTGTGGCAACCTTGAATCAAGCAAGTCTGTCAGTGCCATTTTTTCAACAACATGTGCTTATTCATGCCTCTGTGTCACATTTTGATAATTCTCAAAATACTTCAAAGCTTTTCATTATTATTGTGTTTGTTATGGAGATCCCTCATCAGTGATCTTCAATGTTACTATTGTAATTGTTTTGTGGTATAAGACCACACCCGTATAAGACTGTGAACTTAATTGATAAATATTGTATGTGTTCTGATTGCTCCACTGACCATTTCCTGTCTCACTCCCTCTCCTTGGGTCTCAATTAGGGCGATTAACAACCCTCCAGTGGCTTCTAAATGTTAAAATGCAAGGAGGACTCTCACATCTCACTTTAAGTCAAAGCCAGAAAGGGTTAAGCTCAGTGAGGAAGGAATGTGCAAGAGGCCTGGCTAGCTTTTGGTCTGTCTCAGTACAAGTTACCCAAGTTGTGAATGCAAAGGAAAATAACTTGAAAAAATTGAAAGTGCTACTTCAGTGAAGACATGAATGATAAGAAAGCAAAACTGCCTTATATCTGATATGGGGAAAGTTTGAGTGGTCTGGATAGAAGATCAAACCAGCTACAACATTTGCCAAAGCCAAATCCATAGCAAAGCAGTAACTCTCTTCAGTTCTGTGAAGACTAAGAGAGGTGACGAAGCTGCAGAAGAAAAGTGTGAAGCTAACAGAGGATGGGCCATACGGTTTCAGGAAAGAAGCCGTCTGCATAACATAAAAGTGCAAGATGCAGCAGGAAGTGCTGATGTAGAAGCTGCAGCAAGTTCTCCAGAAGATCTAGCTAAGATCACTGTTGAAGGTGGATACACTAAACAACAGATTTTCAATGTAGACAGAACAGCCTTATATTGGGAGAAGATATCATCTCAGACTTTCATAGCTAGAGAGAAGTCAGTGCCTGGCTTCAAAGCTTCAAGGGACAGGCTGACTTTCTTCTTAGGGGCTAAGCCAGTGTTCATTTACCATTCTGAAAATCCCAGGGCCCTTAAGCATTGTGGTAAATCTACTTTGTGCTCTAGAAATGGAACACAAAGCTGGGTGACAGCACATCTGTTTACACCAAGGTTTACTCAAGATTTTAGGCCCACTGTTGAGACCTACTTCTCAGAAAAAAGATTCCTTTCAAAATATTACTGCTCATTGACGGCACATCTAGTCACCCAAGAACTCTGATGGAGCTGTACAAGGAGGTGAATGTTGTTTTCATGCCTGCTAACACAACATCCATTCTGCAGCCCATGGATCAAGGAGTAATTCTGGCTTTCAAGTCTTATTATTTGAGAAATAATACATTTTGTAAGGCTGTAGTTGCCATACGTTCCTCTGATGGATCTGGGCAAAGTAAATTGAAAACCTTCTAGAAAGGATTCACCATTCTAGATACCATGAAGAACATTCATGATTCATGGGAGGAGGTCAGAATATCTGCATTAATAGGAGTTTGAAAGAAGTGATTGTAACGCTCATGGATGATTCTGAAGGGTTCAAGATTTCAAAGGAGGAAGTCACTGCATATGTTGGGGAAATAGCAAGAGAACGAGAATTAGAAGTGGAGCCTGCATATGTGATTGAACTGCTGAAATCTCATGATAAAACTTGAATGGATAAGGAGTTGCTTTTTAGGAGTGAGCAAATAAAGTGGTTTCTTGAGATGGAATCTACTCCTGGTGAAGATGCAGTGAACATTGTTAAAATGACAACAAAGGTTTTAGTTTGTTCCATAAACTTAATTGATAAAACAGTGGCAGGGTTTGAAGGGATTGACTCCAATTTTGAAAGAAGTTCTGCTGTGAGTAAAATGTTATTAAACAGTGTATTGGTCAGAGTTCTCTTAGAAGGACAGGAGTTTATTAAACATTAACTTATGATCACAAGGTCCCACAATAGGCTGTCTGCAAGCTCAGGAGCAAGGAGAGCCAGTCCAAGTCCCAAAACTGAAGAACCTGGAGTCCGATGTTTGAGGGCAGGAAGCATCCAGCATGGGAGAAAGATGTAAGCTGGGAAGCTAGGCCTGTCTCTCCTTTTCATGTTGTTCTGCCTGCTTTATATTCACTAGAAGCTGATTAGATTGTGCCCACCAGATGAAGGGTGGATTTGTCTTCCCCAGCCCACTGACTCAAATGTTAATGTCTTTTGGCAACACCCACAGAGACACACCCAGGATTAATACTTTGTATCCCTCAATTTAATCAAGTTGACACTTAGTATTAACCATCACAAACAGCATTGCATGCTACAGAGAAATCCTTCATGAAAGGAAAAGTCCATCATTGTGGCATACTTCATTGGTATCTTCATTTAAGAAAATGCCAGTCACTCCAGCCTTCAGCAGCCATCACCTTGATCTATCAGTAGCCATCCACACGAAGGCAAGGCCCTCCACCAGCAAAAAAGGTTATGACTTGCTGAAGTCTCAGATAACCATTAGTGTTTTTTTTAGCAATAAAGCATTTTTTAATTAAGGCATGCACATTTTTTAGATAATGCTATTGCATACTTAATAGACTACAGTCTAGTGTAATCATAACTTTTATATGCACTGGGAAGCCAAAAAATTTGTATCACTTGCTTTATTGTGGTTGTCTGGAACCAAAAAATCAATATATCTCCGAGGTATGCCTGTATGTTTATTTCAAGACTAAAATAAAGAAACTTCTTGTAAGGAGTTTTCTTGCCCACAATTAAGTCATCTTCACAATGTCCTTTCATTTTGGACCGCTTTCAAAATATTGTTTTTAGCATTAGAACCACACCAACTTAAAGCTTGGATATATTTCTGCAACTACAGGGATAATGGGAACTTTGTGCTTTCAATGGTTTTCTCCAAGGATGCCTTTGTCCTGGAGTCAGATAAGAGAGTTGCAGGCTGGCTTTCAGATACTGGAAATCTTACAGATGGTAGCAAGAAAAGTGATATGGGAGGAGGAAGTTGAATTGTCATGAAGCATCAAGAGAGCACTTTGGGAATGATGGAGGGTCTGAGAGTCAGCTGGGATGAGGAGTGTATCAGTCCAGCTGGCTGCATGAAGATCAGGGTACATGAGGAGGGGTCAGCCTGGGGAGAATTCAGCTGGACCTGGATTTGAAACTAGATGAGAAGCTGGGGGTAGTTGGAGGGAATTCGGTTTTTTGAACAGATGATTTTTCGAACAGTGAAGGTAGCATCATGTGAGACGGTTTGCTCGCTTGCTCATTGATGCTGTTGCCTCTGCGGGTATAGTGCTGTGAATTCTAACTCTTGAGTTGAAGGCTATGTATTTTAGCTCACTAATCCCAGCCAGTCCCTTGGAACTTGTTCCTCTTACTCCGTGTTTACTTGTACCTACCCACACAGTTACACTCTGTTGGTGGCTGCTAACTGGCACTAAATAACTTTAAATAAAACTGTATCCCCTCTGATAATTTTGAACTCTGAAGTGTATTCTCCATGATTCGTCAGATGCCAAATTTAAATGTATATCTCAGTATTTCTCTGCAGAGTCCGAAACAAATGCTTTTTATGTTACTGTTTCTTGGCAGGTTTCAAAAAGCTACCAGATTGCAGGCGTTTATCATGGTCCTATAACTCCTATCTCTAAATCTGCATCCCTGCCACTCTCCCCCTCCGCCCTTCCCCCACCATGGTTATTTCTATGGACTTTGTGGCAACTTTGCGCAACAGAACTGCTACCTTAAAAAGCTATGGATAAAATATGGCTCCAGGTCACATGAAGTGTAAAGGCTTATGCCCATGACTGGAACGTAAGGTCAACAAGATGATTCCAAACTGGAGCACTTTCCAGGGGTTGTTTGGGGGTAAAAACACCATGTTTACACAAAGAGAAAGCTATTCACAGCTTTTCCTTTTGGGAAAAAAAGCATTATCAGCTTTTTGTGGCTTATTTATTCTATGGCTTATCAGTTGACTAGCTTTTAATGTTCCCTTCCTTATGGCTTTTTTTAAAATCCTTTATCCAAAAGGATAAGGAGATGTTTACTTTGAACTTGCCAGAGGTAGCCCAGATTCAAGAAGGCTTTATGAACCTTAATTATCAATAGTGGAGAGAAGGGTCTTTGTTTAACCAGGAATAATAGGATTTCTATGATTTTCCTCATCAACTTTCTAAGCTAATAAATTTTGTTGCTGCTAGCATTTGTTTAGTAGTTCAGCATAGAAAAATGACGTCTTGAGCATCTTAACATTTAGAGAGGAAGTTGAATATGAAATTTGTTTTCTGGAATATAAGTCTCACTAGGTTGAGTTGCTTGGCAGGATGGCAAATGTGCCCCTCCCAGCACTGAGAGGGATGAGAAGGAGCAGAGAATGGAAAGCCTGTTTTCTGTGTGCCCCGGGAAGGCCTGGAGAGGTGGGCACGATGGCCACATGTGGGGATGCAGAATTGAGGCTGGGAGAGGATAAACGATGTGTGAAGGGCATCCTGCAAGATAGTTGTGGAATAAGAATTCAAATGCAGGTCTCCCTGTTTTCAAACGCAGCCTCTTTAAACTGTTCTACATTCTCTCCATAAAAACTGAAAGGTGCTTCACCAAATAGCCCTTGAGAGGTACTAGGTTTTCACTGTGCTACTGTACATCATGAAGAGAGAATTTACTATTTTTCCCATTTAAAAGCACGCAGTATCTACTAAGTAATGCTAAATCTTATATTCTGCTTTCTTATATTCTAGATTTTCTACCCTAGCAAGGATGGTACGAAGATTCCAATGTTCATTGTGCATAAAAAAGGCATAAAATTGGATGGCTCTCATCCAGCTTTCTTATATGGCTATGGCGGCTTCAACATATCCATCACACCCAACTACAGGTGAGCTCGGAACGCACTCAGAGTGCCAGTATTTTATCTTTTCCATATAGTGGAAACAAACCAGAGTGCTCTACTAAATCAACTTTCTAAAATACATTACTGGCCAGGCGTGGGGGTTCACACCTATAATCCCAGCACCTTGGGAGGCTGAGGCAGGCGGATCACCTGAGGTCAGGAGTTCAAGACCAGCCTGACCAACATGGTGAAACCCCATATCTACTAAAAATACGAAAAATATTAGCTGGACGTGGTGGCGGATGCCTGTAATCCCAGCTACTCAGGAGGCTAAGGCAGGAGAATAATCACTTGAACCCAGGAGGCAGAGGTTGCAGTGAGCCAAGATCACGCCACTGCGCTCCAGCCTAGGCAACAAGAACGAAACTCCATCTCAAATTACAGTTCTACAAAATTCTTGCTGCTTGTTTTCATAGACGGGCAGGATTATGTGTTAACTATCTGAAATGTTGACCAGGAATTGAAGGATCATTTCAAGCTAATCTTGAAAAACAACCAAAAATGTCCTCAGTGTAACAGGTTGTTTGGGAACTGGATTGGGAGGCTATGGCTGCGTGACTACAGAAGATTTGTATTAATCAAGGTCTTAAAGGAAGCTCCTTTCTTCAGTGTTTGTCATTTGCTGCCACCGCACTACCTTCAGTATTCTCTTCAGAGGGAATGATTTCTTAGCTGATGATATTTTTCACCAGCAGAGTCTTAAAATAGACTGTCTTAACGTTCAGCCATAAATGTTTTCTGTATACTCTGTTACATCATCTATTTTAGACTATTGTGTGCTGTTTCTGTGATTATTTCCCAGATAATTACGTTCAGGGAGAAAATTCTACATTTATATGTTTGCTATTGTTGGTATAAATATCTTCTCTGTTATTTGCAAACTTGATTTTAATATCCCATTGCTAGTATAAAGTGGAATTTGCTTTGAGCACTTTTAATAAAAACAAGGAGTTTCCCACCAGCAAGACTAGCTTTGAGCCAACTTCTAAATAGAACCCCATATGAAATCTGATTCACAGATTCATCCAGGATCTTTTCTGTTTGGGAAGAGATTCATGGACTGGTGACTACCAGGACATAAATTCAGAATAGATTCAACCATCTGTCCTGAAGTTGGATACAAGAACACTGGTACTTTGTTTTGAGCACTCAATATCTGTAGAAGCTCATTATTTTAGATTTAATGAAGTATGAAATATGATGCCTGCCCTCAAGTGATTTATAATGAAATTGTAGACCTCGAATATCTGGCAGAAGAGTTTGCATTTATCCTTTTGTTAGCAAGGAGCTGATGGGAGGTTTTTGTGTAAAATCACGATGTAGAACAATATTTTCGAAAGATATATGTGGCATCATCATATGAGTAAATGAAGGGAAACTAGTTAGAAAAGTGTCATAACGGTTGCTGTTCATTCATTCTATATTGACAGCGCCATATACCAGGCAACATTCCAGACATGAGGACTTCCCATCTCTTTCCAAAGTTTCCCAGGCAACGAGATTTGTTATCATTGTAATAACAAATATGTAATATTAACACATTGGTATCTATGTGTTAATATTACATGCCATATTATTCTTTGTGATTATTAGTCTAAGAATGCAAGCCTCAGGTAGAGCAACCTTGCCCCTTGAAAAAAAGCAAGACGATAAATGTTGGGGTTTATTATATTAACCTAATCCTTATATCACTCAAAGTATTAAAATGCAGGCTTCAGTTTTAACTCACAGTGATGCTCGAGTGTGGGGCAGTGAACACGTGTTTCATCAGTGGACAATGAGTCACCTTGAGCCCCATTCCCTTGGTCCCAGCAGGTGGTCCAGGATCAAGACAACACTGATTCCTGAGTGGATCCTGTTGGGATTCAAGAGATGAGTCCCGGGGCCATTTTCATCCCAGAACCCAGTGCATTTAATAGTAGTCTCAGGAGAGACCATCAGAGATGCATGAAAGTCTTGAAGAGAGGACCAAGTGATCAAACATCAATCTGGCTAATAAGGTGTGGTTGGATGGTCTGATACATCTACCCTAATTCATCTGACCTTTCCTGTTCATCCTCAATATTCAGGAAATTAGCATTCAAACCATTGAGAACCTTCAGTTTATAGAAGCCCATGGTTTCCCCAGTTGCTAAAAGAGTGACACAGTTCTCAGAAATAGTTCTCAAAGCACAGTTAATTTTAGTTAACAGCATGTCACTCAGTACTTTTAGGGTCACAGTGGAAAGAGAAGGGGGAAACAAAATCCAAATTTTCCAAAGGACTTAATGCTCTTTCCTAGAGGGTTTGTGCTATAGTTTCTTCTGCTTATCTCGAGAAAATATCCTCCAGCCCTGAGAACTCTATTCCTGATCTCCTTTACCTCTTGCACACCCTGTGTTGGCTAATTTACCATAGAAATTTCTGTAGAACTGGAATACATGTTTAAAAATCCATGTTCCAGAAAAAGCTTTTTCTTTTTTCCAACTTAAAACAGTTTGGAGAAAGTTACTCAAAAAATGATAAAAGGAACCATTATCAGGTCCTCCTGTGAGCCCAGCACCATTCATGCCTGGGCTGGCAGTGTTTTGTTTTTTCTCTGTTTGTTTATATTATGAATGGTGTAGTGAAATATTTATCAACGTAGAAAAATAAGACACTGAATGCTTGTGAGAACATATTAGCTTTGCCTGAGTGCAGTGGTTCACGCCTGTAATCCCAGCACTTTGGGAGGCCAAAGCAGGCGGATCACTTGAGGTCAGGAATTCAAGACCAGCCTGACCAACTTGGCAAAACCCCATCTCTACTAAAAATACAAAAATTAGCAAGGCATGGTGGCGCACACCTGTAATTCCAGCTACTCAGGAGGCTGAGGCAGAAGGATCACTTGAGCCCGGAAGGTGGAGGTTGCAGTGAGCCATGATTGTGTCACTGCACTCCAGCCTGGGTGACAGAGTGAGACTCTGTCTCAAAAAATATGTATATATATTAGCTTTGCAGTTAAGTATTAACAGGAAGTTATGTGTTTTTCACTTTAATCAAGCAATAAAAGAAATGTCAAGCTCCTATTGAGATGATATTACTCAGAGTGTTGTTGGGCATACACTTTTTTGAGATGGAGAGAGAGGGCATGGTCTTCACTAGGCAGTTAATGGAAGGTTAACTGTTTTTACTGCTTCTCAGTGTTTCCAGGCTTATTTTTGTGAGACACATGGGTGGTATCCTGGCAGTGGCCAACATCAGAGGAGGTGGCGAATATGGAGAGACGTGGCATAAAGGTGAGGTGTTTTCTCTACAGAAACACAAGTCTGACATAATCAAAGCTAAGGTTGTGCTGATCCTTCCTGTTTGAATGAGCTGAAGGGGTTTGGAGCAGGAAAGCTTTTTGGCTAGACGAATGAAAAACAAGGATATTATCAGACACAGGCACCACTCCCCCCTTAAAAACAACTCACTTTTCACATTTTATTTTCCTTTGTTATAATAAATAGATGAAGTACATATTTTTCAGAAGCATTCCTTGTTATTTTGGGGTTTTTTAACAACTCATAGGTTGTGTTTTTAATTATCACTGTCAGGAGTGAATCTCGGAGAGCTTTTTGGTATTTATTCTGTCTCTTGTTAGCCTTGTTTTTATAGTTCAGCATTAGTTGACTGTCTTGAAACAGAAGTCAAGGCAGGTCATTTTCTCTTAAGAGAAAGGAGCAATCTTGGAGCTTTCTGTTCCCAGTGTGGGCATCCTCCTGCTGGTTTTCTCAGATCTTCCCGGCATTGCTGAGGAATCTCATCCTCCTAGCATTGCTGCTGTGACTCTGTCGTGCATTAGTTTTAGACACAAAAACAATCATTTTTCTAGTTTTATTCCGTCTCCATTCTGTGGCCTCCTGAAGCATGTATTCTAGCTGATTGACTAATACCCAACTTTATACCCCAAATGGTCACAATTTTTTTGAATGATCGTCTGTATTTTAAAGCTGCATCTCTTCCATTTCTTTCTATGTGGAGCACCCCTCACCCAGGCTTTTGTGTATCTGAAATTGAATTCATAGACTAACCAGTGGTCTGAAGAGGTTCTTCACTTGTCCTGTGTCTTTGGGGGAGGGAGGACATGGGAAAGCACCTTCACCTCCATCAGCTCTATGCTTCCCCCAGTCTTTTCAGCCATCATTTATCATAAGGCCTACCAGGACCCCAGTGCTTGGGGCTGGTCAGCAGCTCCAGGTGAGAGGGGTCTCCTCAGCATCAGAGACCACCCTTAAGATATCTGTACCTCTCTTCTGTTTCCCATGCCATCCCAAACCAGAGGCCTGAGGCTCTGGATTTTTTTTGCATCAAATCAAATCAGCGAACATGAGGGTAAACCTGTTGTAAAGAGATTTCCATTAAGTACCTGTTAGGTACCATATGCAGGAAAGGCTTAGAAATGACCCCCGGGCATCCAGCATGCACCCCAGGGGCTGACAGCAGACTCCTCAAGTGCACCTTAGTGAAAGTGAGTGCCCCTGGCCGGCCATCTGGTCCATCGTTGCCAGTTATCATCCCCAGAAACTACTGATTGTGACTGTCTTTGAAACTGCAAAGAATTCATTGCATAATTTTGAGCTGATATTAGAGTTTACACTAAAATCATACTGTGAAACTGATATTAAAAGATGAGTGATAAGAGGATAAAATTTCTGTATACCATATGTTTGATCCCAAATATGTATGCTAATTCTGAACCCCTTGACTCACCTGATTTCCTATTTAAATTGTATGTAGTTTATGCACCATACCCCCTACTCATGGTCCCCTGATCCTGGGATCCTCTCCTGAAATAACTGGATTATTCTCCAGAAAACCCCTCTGGTCATCAGATGTCCACCATGCTCTGAGAGGGAAGAGTAATTTGGTCCTAGTCTGCTCTCTCATTTTTTATTAGTTAGAACCAAGTTATTTTCCAGTCTTGGGATTAGGCAGGTTCAAGATTGACTAAGGCTAACAGTAGACTATGTTTAGACTGATTTATAAACTTCCTCAAAATTTAGGCCATGATGAAAGGACCAGAAATAGACCTTTTCCAGTTATAGCCTAGGATATGATACACTGGTAAATCTAAATTCCATTCTGTTAATTGACTTTAAAATTTAATGCTCTTTTTAAAATGTAGTCATATACCCAAAATATTGTTATTCCTAGTAACTAAGTAATCCTAGCTGTTCTAAATTCACTGGTAATTTCTTACTGAAATCTTAATAACATTTGTTTTGATATGAAAAACATTTCAGTAGGACTGCTTTATCTTTAATTAAATTTCAGCAGAAGTGGTTAATCTCAAGTATCTAATTAGATCTGTGTCTGCTCTTTGTTCATTTCAAAGGCCGTTATTTCAGACATCTGTTCCTTTGAGGACATGCTTTTGACTTTTGGCCTTTACTTATAGATATTTCATGGCCCTGTAAATGTTTCTCCAAGTAATTTGTTTGGTTTAATACACTGGAACGATTTGCAGATGATAAAGCCCAGATTCTCTGGGGAAACGTTGAAGATCTTTCATTCTGGAATTGAGAAAACATAATGTGATGCTCTGCCGCAACGCTACCTCACCACCCAATTCCTTTTGTTCTTTCCATTAATAACCGAGGGCAAGACTGGGGAATTTCTTTCTCCCCATCACCGACCATGTCAGACTCCTGCAGAGGTGGGGTGGGAAGCGTGCCTCTGCAGAGCGCTTCCACCTCCGTCTTCGCGGGGAGGGGAGACACGAGCACTCCCACAGCCAGCTCCGGCTCGGGTGCTGGGTGCAACCTAGAGGACTAAACACTGCTGCAGGTCTTGCTTTATATTTGTAAGTTCAGCTTCCCAAAATACAGGTTCCTTGTGATGCCATGCTTCTATCCTTTCATTATCATACATCTCTCATAACCGACCATCTGTTCCCTTTGGGGCATTTCCCGTTTAAGTTCTAGAGGCTTTTAGAAAAATACAGATCCACCATATGGATTAGCATTGTGGTATTGATGATATATTTCCACAGTGCATAACAGAACTTAAATTGAGGCTTTTTTTTAAATGCAGTGTTAACCCATGGTTTTTAAGTTAATCAGTATTTGAAACCGTGCTCTATCATTTGAATTCCCATTAGATTAAACTTATTTTTATGTTTTGTTAATTAACTATCTTCCACTTTGGCACACTGTAGGTGGTATCTTGGCCAACAAACAAAACTGCTTTGATGACTTTCAGTGTGCTGCTGAGTATCTGATCAAGGAAGGTTACACATCTCCCAAGAGGCTGACTATTAATGGAGGTTCAAATGGAGGCCTCTTAGTGGGTGAGTACTGGATTTTATTCATTGCACTTACTAGTTAGCCCTCTTGGGGTTTTCAGATACACCATCTGTAGGCAGCTCTTGACTTAACTTTGTGGATAGGACCACAAAGTGGTATAAGGAGAGCAAAACCCATTTGTACCATTTGTATTTGGGTATCTGATAAATGACATACGAAGAGACCCTATTTATTTTGCCTTGGGCAGGTCCTGAGATCTTGAACAAGTCCCTTAATCTCCCTCATCACTGTGAAAGCAAGTGGGGATGGGAGGAGGGGATACAGGGTTTCCAGAAAGTCCTCAAGCTTTTCAAGATTCACTTTGGGGAGTAAAGCTCCATTACTGATGAGAATCCCCACCCCCTCTGACAGATCTCAGAGTGGGTGGGGAGCTTTGGGGCTATTGGGCAGGTGATTTCTGATGGTTTCCTCTTGTGCTCTGGATAAATGCAACCAGGGCTCTGGAAGCATGTAAGTAAGTATTGCCTTGCCTTGTTTATGTAGATGTTTAATGATAGACTGCCTCCCTTTTCTTTCTACGTTGGGCTTTTAGCTGCTTGTGCAAATCAGAGACCTGACCTCTTTGGTTGTGTTATTGCCCAAGTTGGAGTAATGGACATGCTGAAGTTTCATAAATATACCATCGGCCATGCTTGGACCACTGATTATGGGTGCTCGGACAGCAAACAACACTTTGAATGGCTTGTCAAGTAAGGTTTTATTGACATATATATGTTGTTAGTGGTTTGATATAAAGTTGAACACAGTCACAGCAGGATTAGTGCTTGAGCTTTGTCACTGTCAGGGTCTTGCATTTGCATATAATCTGCTGGAGAGGAGATGGGACTACCTACTTGTCTTTCTTGATTTAATATGGTCTTGAACAAAAGCAACAAACTACAAAAAATGTGGTAGGGCAGAATTCTACAGATGGCCTCCCAAGATTCCTACCCTGGTTATTCAAACACTTACCTAGATACTGCTTGCTGTCAGGGAGCAGGATATTCATCTGCTGCTCTTTGGATTATCTCTTGAGGGGTCCCAAATCACATAAACCCTTAAAGGCTGAGCACATTCTCTGGCTGGAGTCAGGGATGCAGCAGAAAGGGAGGTCAGAGAAATTGGAAGCTTGTAAAGGATTCAGCCTGCCATTGCTGGTTTTGACAATGGAGGAAGGGGGACCTCTAGAACCTGAGAGCAACCCCCAACCAATAGCCATCAAGGAAACAGGACCTAAGTCCCACAGCCGCACAAAACTAAATTCTGCCAACATCCCGAGACTGCAAGTAGGTTTTTTCCAGAGTTTCCCCGTAAGAGTCCAACCAGCCAACACCTTGACTTTGACCTTCTTTGACCTTGGAAGACCCAGAGCAGAGAACCCAGCTGAGCCAACCCAGACTGCTGGCTTACAGAACTGTGAGATAAGAAGTCTGTGATGTTTCAAGCTGCTAAAATTTGTGGTAATTTGTTACTGTAACAATCAAAAGGTATTATTATACTTTATATCAAATATATGGGATTTCCTTTTCTAAATTAAGTAAAGAATATATGCTCCTGAAATGGCAGGTCAAGAGTAGGGGAAGGGGGTGTTGAGTATGGTGGCTCATACCTGTGATCCCAGCACTTTGGGAGGCCAAGGTAGATCACTTGAGCTTAGGAGTTCAAGACCAGTCCTTCATGGGCAATGTGGTGAAATACTGTACTGTCTCTACAAATAATTAGCTGGGCATGGTGATGCATGCTTGTAGTCCCAGCTACTCGCGAGGCTGAAATGGAAGGATGGCTTGAGCCTGGGGGGACAGTGAGCCAAGATCACACCACTGCATTCCAAGACCCTGTCTCAAAAAAAAAAAGGAATATATTCAAATACAATTAAACTTCTTTTATGCTCAATATAGCTACATATGTTTGAAACTGCAAGTTGCATTATTGAAATCTTACACAACTTCCATTGTATCCTGCAACCACTATGCTGATAACAATGAGTAAACAGACATTAAAACTTCTTTTTGGCCCTTCATTCCCCATATGTAAGAGTTTTATTTTTAATCACCAGTGTTTGGCTCTCAGACTGGCACAAGAAGCCTGTTCCTCCTATTAGTAAACTACAAATTTTGATGAAAATAACTTTAGTTTCTAAAGTTTTGTTTTTTTGAGACAGAGTCTTGCTCTGTCACCCAGGCTGGAGTGGAATGGCGCCATCTCGGCTCACTGCAACATCGCCTCCTGGGTACAAGCAGTTCTCAGTTCTCATGCTTCAGCCACCTGAGTAGCTGGGACGACAGGTGCGCACCACCGCACACGGCCAAGTTTCTAAAGTTTGCTCTTTCATTTTGTTTGCTTTTTATGGCTAGCCTCTCCAGTTTGAAATATACTTAAAATGACTGAATTTTTTTTAACTGGATACTTTACTAAACTCTATTCTCTAAGGGGAAACAAAGTTCACTATGAAAGTTATTACTTTTCAGTACATGCAGGCCTCATTGACACACATTGGTAGAAGCTATATATTTGAAGAAGGAATATCTAACTTAGAGAAAATTTGCACGTAAGGAAACAAGTCCTATTTAAACTCATTTGAAAATACTGAGTTAATTGAAGGCAAAAGAATATTAGATGACACCTAATACTTTCAAACTTAATTTAAAAACAAAGAAAGTTCTAAATATTTTTCTCCATGATGTTCCTTCTTCAGTTTTCAAATCTTGCTCTCACAGGGCTGCATTTCACCTGCGGCTGGTAAAATGAGCATGGAACTCAGCCCACACTAGCTAGGAAGGGTCCTACAGGGAGCTCCTCAAGCCCAGCACACCTCCCCGCCCCCTGGGCTGTGCCTCATGGAGCACCATCCAGAATTAGTAAAAGGTGTTTCCCCAAAAAAAGAGCTAGAGCTCCAAGTTTGAATGGCTGGGCGATAAATAAAGCCTAATGTATTTTTTCCTACAGATAATGTATAAATATTGCATGTGAATCTCCAAGGGGGAGATTGTTATTATTAACAGGCAGGGTTTTCCAAACTTGTTTCTTTTTAGAACTAACCCATATTTGGAAGAATGGGGCTGGTCAAAAGACACTCTTAAATGAGATCAGAAAACAGATCTCCATCTTATCTGGTGGGAAACTGAGCCCAAGAATGTTTTGGCCTCACGTTGGTTAACTGAGCAGAATTTTTACTGTTTTCACTATTTACCTACCCTTCAAAATAAAACTCTACTAAAACAGGTGATTTTATTCATTAATAAATATTAAATACATTGAAAAACATGACACCCCTATTAGGAGAATGTAAAGAAAAAATATCCAGATATTTCAACTATTATCAGTCACTGTTAAAATCAACATTACTTTTATACTTAACACCCTTTTTGTTAACTTACCCAGGAAACTTGCCTGGTACTTCGGAAGGTGCCCTCCTCCTCTGGCAAAGTCTGTTGCTTTCTGCCGGACTGAGAGCCAGCAGGAGGCTCAACAGCCCATCCAGGTTTCTCGGTTTACAAAGAAACTAGGCCCAGAGAGGACATGTGCTTTTCCTAAGATTGCAAAACTGAGCCTGGAATAAAGGCTTTATAGATGTTATTAAAGGGGCAGCAAGCCCCTTTATACTGTGGATTTCAAGTTTCTCAACAAAAGAAAGGCTTGGACTTTTTTTGAACCACTGAGTGTGGTTATAATGACAATTATTACTCCACTTTGTAGCAGTAAAAAAAAAGCCTAGAGAATATGAAACTACTCACCTTAAGAGACAGTAAGCATGCCTGTGATTTGGGTTGTTTCAACAGACCTGTGAGCTTCCTTCCTACAGTCTTTCAAAGTTGGAGCCACATAAATGACACAGCTCCCCAGTTTCCAGGAGCCCTTGCCAGTCATGGCCTAAATGGTAACGCATAGGCACAGTCCATGGTGGTCACTCACGTACTAGTTAACTGCAGTCCTCACTGCTAATTAACTACCTAGGTCCCTGTGCCATAAAACTCTACTGTTGCTCTCCAGCCTCACAAAGGTGTTTTTGCCTTCCAGATACTCTCCATTGCATAATGTGAAGTTACCAGAAGCAGATGACATCCAGTACCCGTCCATGCTGCTCCTCACTGCTGACCATGATGACCGCGTGGTCCCGCTTCACTCCCTGAAGTTCATTGCCACCCTTCAGTACATCGTGGGCCGCAGCAGGAAGCAAAGCAACCCCCTGCTTATCCACGTGGACACCAAGGCGGGCCACGGGGCGGGGAAGCCCACAGCCAAAGTGATAGAGGAAGTCTCAGACATGTTTGCGTTCATCGCGCGGTGCCTGAACGTCGACTGGATTCCATAAACAGTTTTCGTGCTTCCTCCTGACAGCGACAGAAAACCTCAAGGGCTTTCCCACGTTGACACCAAGAAACCACTGGGCATAATGCTTCCCCACGGGAACATTATTCCTGCACTCACAGGCTACAGTTGAACAGAACTGCCGTGGGAATTTTATCTTTTTTAGGCTTCTCCTTTTTAGCAAGGCCTTGGTGTTTCTTTTTCCACCCTGTCTAGGCACATGTGGTTTTTTGGTGTTTTTTTTAAGGGCATGTTGGGATAAATAGCTAAATGGCAACAAACACATTGTGAATATTAGATTGCTGAATTAAGGATCATAGTCGGGCATACTTATCTATATCCATAACCTCTATATCTTTAAATAAATGTGAGAACTGTTCTCATGGAGAAGACTTCTTTGCAACAATAATAAATGTTATTTAAGAATGACAGGCTTTTACTTCCGGTTTCTTCATATTGAGGGGCAACTCCAGAAGTGGAGTTTTCTGTGAGAATAAAGCATTTCACCTTTCTGCAACAAGTTAGTTTTCAAGCAGTTAAGTCATAGAATGTTTGTTAGCTTTGAAAATAAGTTGTTCATCCACTCTGTCTCCCTTGTTTGTTTGTTTGTTAGAGGTGATGAAGCTGTCAGAGGGGGTTCACTGTCATAAACAAACACTGACCACTTAGTTGGGTAAAAATCTGATCTGGGGCTCTTTTGGTTTGGATGCCTCCTTTCAAAAATCACTGGGCTGGAAAATTCAGATTATTCACCTATTTGTATATTGATTTGTTTACAAAGTATTCCTAGAAATCAGAGTTCCTTGGATCCAAGGATCCTTGGTTCCAAGAGATCACATGAGTAAATTATCCAAACAAACAGATACATATATCCAAGCATTTCTTACAGTCAGAAATTTCAGCATTTCCCAAGCTGTTTCTCCTGCATAGATCACTCCTGGAAATAGAAATAGTCATACTTACTTACTGGAAAAAAAAAAAAAAAAGTTTTGGTTTGCCCACCCCCAAGATTTTTAAGATATACTATTCCTTAAACTTTCATCCATAAAATTTTTTTCAAGGCATATATTTTAACATTTCATGAAACAATGTTCCTTTGAGTATCAGTTTGGGAAATGCTGATCTAACTTAAAACAGTTTTTTTTCCTTTGTCTTGCTTTATCAGATGATATGATAAAAATTATTATTTTATATAGTATCTTAACCTTATATAAAATAGCTTAAAAGATTACTTCATTATTCCAATAATTTGTACTTTTCCAAGTAAGTCCCATCTTCCAAGTTGTATATGTATGTGCTTTTAAGAGCACTCTCTCATTCTCTACGTTTCAAGTTATGGTCAAAAATTAGACATACCATTTTCTATCAAGCATATCACTGCATACCAAGCATATTGAAAGACAGCTATATGGCTTGGTTTTTCTCTACTGGAATCATGTTTTCCGTTACTATTTAGTACGGTACATAATACAGTTGTCATTGAGTATAAGATTCACCATAACTCCTCTGGAAACAAAGTGTGCCAGTAGCTAGTGTTGCATGCTGAGACTCTGTCGTCATCACCATCTACTCAGATACTGATACTAGCTAGCTTTGGTGTAACTGCTGACCAGCATGGCAGGAAAGAAAGAAAATACATTTGCATGGTCAAGCCAGAGGCAGCCTCTTTCCTAGACTAGCTGTGTGGTGTGAAGTACAAATAGCTGAGTTGGACCCACTGAGTCCAGAGCATTTTCAAGGTTGCACAGAATCTAACCATACTTTCTGAGGTCTGCTTTACAGCAGAAAATACAGTGTGTAGTGTGTGAGCTTCAGATATCAGGACTGGGTTCAAATCCCAAATGTCACTTAGCAACTGATGAGGAGGAGGAGGAATACAGTAATACGTTTTTAATGCCTAGCATGATTGGCCTCCAGTTACGAGTTCTCTTTTCCAACCTAATTTTTGTGTCTAGATTTTCACAGGACAACTAATCCCACCAACTAAAGGTATTTTGGGGAGTAGGGGGAGCTTTAAACATTAGAAATAAGACTTGAGATTGGGCTCCTACCCAGAACTCTAAGGGATTCTTCTCTATTTGATCCCACTTTTCTGTATCCTGTGCTCTGCCCTTTGGCTCTTTCTTATGATTACTCTCTTCTAGCTATTTTGAAATGCACAGTAGATTATTGTAAACTATAGACACCCTACTGATCTAACACTAGGTCTTCTTTCAAACTGTATATTTGTAGGCATTAATCTCTTCATCCTCCCTTTCTCTGCCTGCTTTTTTAGCTCCCACATGAGTGGAGAACATGGGATATTTGTCTTCCTGTGCCTGGCTTATTTCACTTACCATATTGACCTTCAGTTCCATCCATGTTGCTGCAAATGACAGGATCTCAGTCTTTTTCATGGCTAAATCATATTCCATTGTATATATGTACCACATTTTCTTCATCTGTTCATCTGCTGATGGGCACGTGGGTTGATTCCCTATCTTGGCTGTTGTGGATAGTGCTGCAGTAGACACAGGAGTGCAGATATCTTTTTGATATACTGATTTCCTTTCTTTTGGATTCATACCCAGTAGTGGAATTGCTCGATCACAGAGGACTTATATGTTTAGTTTTTTTAGGACTGTTTTGAAAAAGAAAAAGTTGTACATGTTGCACAGGTGGCCTCACTGCTTTGTCACAAGGCCCTGCTAAGCACACCAGAGCATTTGTTACCTTAGCAAGATAAAGTCACATTTATGTTCACTATGGACTTACCTGGAATATTATAAAACTTTCCAATTAATCATGTTTCTTAAATACTCCCACTAAAGCTTAAGCAGCTACACACACATGGTGCTACAAGTTTGAAAAGGATAAGTTTCAACTAAGGAAGCCTGTCACCAGTCTCTCAAGGTTTGTCAGTTTTACCAGCCTCTGGAAGTTCCCAGCAGGCCACATAGCTAATGCCCAGAAGGAGTTGCAAAGACTCAAAGGCAGGTTAAGGACAGGCTGGAAAGCTGTGGAGGTTGCTGTAAAGAGGCAAAGGTCATACTGTTGGGGTGGTCAGGCCAGTGGGATGAGGACTGAGGCCCTTGAAGGAGGAACATTGAGCCATTCTCATCCTCCATATCTCAGGGGCTGAAGGTGCAGAGAGAAAATGTCCTGCCCTCATCCAGTTGATATTCCAGGGAGGAGACAGATGGTAAATTATCTTGCTCATGTTTACCCTGTGCCACCCGCTGCAAGCACTCTGTGTGGATGAATGTTTGTCCTCACACAACCTTAGGAAGCACATAATACCTTTTCCCCATTTGGCAAAGGTCCAAGTTCCCCAGCCAGGAGGTGGGCAGGCAGGGCAGTAACCCCAGGAGCTGGGCCTTGGATACTGCACTCTTTTTTTGGGATGGAGTTTTGCTGTTACGGCCCAGGCTGGAGTGCAATGGCGCTATCTCAGCTTACTGCAACCTCCACCTCTTGGGTTCACGTGATTCTCCTGCCTCAGCCTTCCCAGTAGCTGGTATTACAGGCGCATACCATCATTCCCGGCTAATCTTTTTGTATTTTTAGTAGAGATGGGGTTTCACCATGTTGGCCAGGCTGGTCTTGAACTCCTGACCTCAGGTGATCCACCCACCTCAGCCTCCCAAAATGCTGGGATTACAGGCATGAGCCACCATGCCCAGCCGAAACAGCTCTCTTACTGCTGTTGTCTGAGTGTTTATGTCCTCCCCGAAATGTATATGTTGAAATCGTAAATCCCAAAGTGATGGAATTAGGAGGCAGGGCCTTCAGGAGGCGATGGGTCATGAGAGCGGAATCCTCATGAATGGGACTGGTGCCTTTATATTAGAGCCCAAGGAGAGACCCCCCCGCCCCATCCCTTCCACCATGTGAGGACACAGGAGACGGTGTCACCTATGAACCAGGAAGCAACCCTCATTAGACACCAAATCTGCCAGTGCCTTGATCTTAGATGTCCCAGACTCTAGGACTGTGAGAGAGCAATTTCTGTTGTTGACAACCCACCAGTTTATGGTATTTTCTTATAGCAGCTTAAACAGACTAAGATACCCACGAGTCTATTAACAAGATAATAAACAAAGTATAATTTCAGGAATTAACAAGAAACAGGAATAAAAAGAGCTGTGAAGAAACAAAGTGGGGCAAATGAATAGTCCGTGAGAAGGAATGCTATTTGAGTCGAGGTCAGGGTGCCTCTTTCAGGAAGCAACATTCGGACAAAGACCCGAACGGAATGAGGGGACAAACAATGGGCAACGTTTTGGGGGTTGGTGAGGACAGCAGCAATGGGCAGAGCCTGAGGCAGGAACCAGCCAGGCCTTTGGAGGAAGAGCAGGAAGCCAGTGTGGGGGGAACAGGGAGCCAGGCGAGGCCTGGAGGATACACTAGAGATGGCAGGCAGCTCAGTCAGGTGAAGCCACTGAGAGATGAAAGCCGACAACACTGTGGGAAACTGACAGCAGGAGAGCCTAGGGAAAAGCGGGGTGGTTATTCAAAGAGCAGGTTGCTTAGCACCTTTAAGGAATTTTGGGGGTGGGGGCAGCAGGAACCCACCATCACAAAAATCACTGACATGCCATATCATGGATGAATCTCAAAAACATTATAAGTGAAAGAAGCCAGACACAAATGACTGGGTATAGTCTGATTAAGTGAAATATCCTGAAAAGGCAGTTCTATAAAGATAGAATGTAGATTAGTGGGTACCTGGAGTTGGTGGTGAAGATGGTAATTAACTACTTGGGCATAAAGGATCTAACCGGGATGACAAAAATGTTCTAAAACTGGATTTCAGTAACGGTTGCACAACCTGGTAAATGTATTAAAAAGTCATTGAATTGTACACTTGAAATGTATGAATTTTATGGTTTGTAAATCATAATGTTATCGAAATAATCTCTGGTAGTGAAATAAAGAGAAAAAAGAGCAATGACCCTTTCTGGATGAGTGCCATCCAGGAATAGCCACCTGGAGAACTGCAGAGTCAAGTAAGAAAGGCAGGTGACCAGGGGCAACTGAGATAAAAGCTTGCATATCAGGCTTAGGCAAAGAGGATGAGGGCTATTTTGAGCAGCCGTCTTTAGGTCAGGGTTCACATTTGCAGGCAAAACTGTCCCTCTCTCTCTCTGAGTTTGCTCCTGTAGATCAAATATCAGGCCGGCTGATAGGGTGTCCTGAGAATATGCCCTGCATCCACCTTACAGGCTTTGCTCTGCTCAGGAGCTCAGGGCCTCCTGCAGCCACGTGACCGCAGCACTGAGAAGCAGGCAGGGGGAGGCACGGGCAAGGAGGGTTCGTTCAATGCCAAGTAAGTGACTAAGGAAGCTCTTGTTTACTGTGCAAGAGAAAATGACTTGGTGGCCATTTGTGGAGGTTATTAATGCCAAATAATCTAGAAATTATAAACAAAATATCATAATGGTAATATATGATTTAGAAACTGATTTACATCTAATTGACACAATATTATAGTGTCTTCCAGTTCCAAAGTATGAAAGGCTTTGAGAAACATCAGAGGAAAGAGCTTCCAGTCACCTCTATGGAGAGTCAAACTGAGGTTAACCTGAAAACCAAATCAGCATCAAAACATAACCACCCTAAAACTCCAGAGAAAATGATGGAAGTTAATACAGGTAGCACTGAGTTATTTCCCCAGGACATTCAGGTGTTGGCGCTGTGATTGGCATTTTTCCAGAGGACCAGGTTGCCTGCAACCTCAGGCCCCAGAAGATGCAGGAACCTGAACACCAGGGCCACCCCCTGCTCTGTCACTACTCTGGTCTTGCCTTGGAGTGTGAAATGCTGCAATTCATCCAAGATACAGTCATGCAGCATATAACATTTCTGCATATGACTGCATGTATAATGATAGTCCCATAAGATTATAACAAGCTGAAAAATTCCTATCACCTAATGACATCATAGCCACCATCATGTCGCAGTGCAACACACATGTGTTTGTGGTGATACTGTTGTAAACAGACCTACTGCAGTGCCGGTCATATAAAAGTCTAGCACATACAAGTATGTACAGTACCTAATACTTGATCATAACAGCTGTTCCTAGTTTACGTGTTCACTATATTATAGTTTTTTATCATTTTGAAGTATACTCCTAAAAACAAAAAAAGGCTACCCTGTAAGACAGTCTCAGGCAAGTCCTTCAGGAGGTTTTCCAGAAGTAGTCACTGTTATAGGAGATCACAGCTCCATGAGCGTTACTGGCCCTGAAGACCTTGGAAGGATGTGAAGTGGAAGACAATGAGCAATATTGATGATCCTAACCCTGTGTAGGCCTAGGCTAAAGTGTGTGTTTGTGTCTTAGTTAACAAAAAAAGTTTAAAAAAATATATATACATGAAAAAAGAATAGTTTTGTATAGCTGTACAATATATGTGTTTTAAACTAAGTGTTATTATTTATTTATTTATTTATTTATTTATTTAGACAGAGTTTCCCTCTTGTCACCCAGGCTGGAGTGCAGTGGTGTGATCTCAGCTCACTGCAACCTCCACCTCCTGGGTTCCAGCGATTCTCCTGCCTCAGCCTCCCGAGTAGCTGGGATTACAGGCGCCCACCACCACACCCAGGTAATTTTTATATTTTTAGTAGAGACAGGGTTACACCATATTGACCAGGTTGGTCTCGAACTCCTGACCTCAGGTGATCCACGCCCCTCGGCCTCCGAAAGTGCTAGGATTGCAGGCACGAGCCACCGCGCACCAGCCAAGGTTATGCAGTTTTAGCAAGAATACCCCAGATGTGACATTGTGCTCTTCTCAGTGCATCCTATTGGGGGCACATGGTGTTCATATGTCTTATTCCTGGTGACATCAATTTGGATCACTTGGTTAAGGTGGTGTCTGCCTAGTCTCTCTACTGTAAAGTGACTATTTTTCCCTCTTAAAGATTACCTTAAAATTTAAGGTAAGTTGTATTTTTTGTCTTAATTCAGATGCATATTTAAATACCACTTTTGGAAAAATATTTCAGACAAATTATAATAAAAATTTATATAAATAAGGTTCCTGTGTGTCCTGTCTCAAATAGTTGTTACCATGTGTTCTGTCCCTAAGCCTGGACGATGTCTTGATTTTTTCCTTCTTAAATCCAGTTGTCAGCGAGTTCTACCAGATTTTACCTTCTAAATTTCCCTCAAATGTATCCACATCTCTCTATCCTCACCATGCTTCATAATTGCTCTCCCTGACTCCAAGGTTTATTCCTTTCAGATTCTACTCCAGGGCTTT
The DNA here is from genome assembly GCF_000001405.40 of Homo sapiens. Classification (NCBI taxonomy): domain Eukaryota; kingdom Metazoa; phylum Chordata; class Mammalia; order Primates; family Hominidae; genus Homo; species Homo sapiens. The sequence continues at coordinate 105,270,897 of NC_000006.12, read as the reverse complement.
ATACAAGTGAGTAAGATCAGGTCAACTCCTGTTTTAAGCCTTCTGTGGCTTCTCTTAAGCAGAGACAATCTCTGCAGCAAAGCCTGGGATGGGCCCTCCAGGATGAACTGGTGGTAGAATAATCTAGGCAGCTGAACAAGTTAATCTCCCAGCTGCAGATCAGAATCAGCCACAGAGCTTATTAAAGCTATAAATCCATTGGGTCCTACCCACAGAGATTCTGACTCAGAAGGAACCAAGATCTGCTGTTTAACAAGCTCCCCAGGTGATTCCAATTTGGAGGTCAACTGAGAAATTACTGACTTAACACAGCAAAATGATGTCAGTTCTGATGTTGGTTCCCAGGAGGAACTTTTTCCTCCATTTTTCAACTTTCTGTAATGCTGTTGCAATTCTGCTATAATTTCTAAATACATCTTTAAAAGTTATACTAAAGGTTTTATTTAAAAATCAGCAAAATATGTACTCTTTGCATATTCTAACTTCTGTTGAATTTGCACATATTACAAGAATGTTCTTTTTCTTAAGAATGGTGATCATTTCCTAAGACTCATTATATTTAAATCCCTAGTGATATGCATATAATCCTCTTGGGATCATGATATGTAGTTCTATTGTCCTATTTTAAAGATCCCAGTGTCCAGCAAAGAACATTTACCAAGCTCTGGTTCCCATATTTTAAAATTTAGGTGGAGCCCTGTGCATGGCTGTGGAGTAGACAAATATAGCCATTCACCTAGTGCTAAAAATGTATTTTTAGTCATTCCCAATTTTTTTTTTCTTGAAATGGAGTCTTCCTTTGTCACCTAGGCTGGAGTGCAATGGTGCGATCTCGGCTCACTGCCACCTCTGCCTCCTAGGTTCAAGCAATTCTTCTGCCTCAGCCTCCAGAGTAGCTAGGACAACAGGTGCCCACCACCACACCCAGCTAATTTTTACATTTTTAGTAGAGATGAGGTTTCTCCATGTTGGCCAGGCTGGTCTTGAACTCCTCTGACCTCAGGTGATTCACCCACCTAGGCCTCCCAAAATGATGGGATTACAGACCTGAGCCACCATGACCAGCCCCAATACTTTGAAATTTAAATAAAAATTCAGCAATTTCCAAAACCAATTCTATCAAGCAATTATTTCTATCAAGTTCATTACCTGTGCCAGACTTATGAATGCCTCAGCATAATTCCCTACATGGTAACCTTTAGCCTCATTTCTAAGATAGCAAAATACATGGTCCACCAATGAATTTTAAAGTTCAACTTAAATATATAAAAAATAATATATAATATTAATATATTAATTTATAATATATGGTATATTATATATTAAACATTAAATAATGTGGATTATTTATTATTCCAGTATTAGGATGAGAGGTACACTGAAAGCCCAGAATCCGCCACTATGCAACATATGTAAGAAATCTGTACTTTACCCCCTAAATCGATAAAGATAAAAACATATTTAAATCTATATAGAGATAAAATGTGAACCAATATTTTATCTCCCAACAAAATAAGAGGAGTGGCATCTAATCTGATTTTTTTTTTCAGTCAACATGTACCTCCCTCCACTTCTCCTGATCTCACAGGTTTTGCACTTGAATGCGCTGGGGAAATGCTGGCAGAGAGGAGATGGGGAGTAGAGGAGTCTCAGTAGATATTGGCTTGTGATCGTTTGTACTTCCCAGTTCCCTAAATCCTCTGCTCTAAGTCAGAACCACTGCAGAATGTGACTCTTTTGTAGGTCTAGAGCTAACTCATTCACCACCTGTTCCTTTATATTTTTTCTTGTGGCAAAAATACACACATAGACACACATATGCATGTATTTTTAAGACTATTTTTAAGCAGTATTGGGTTCACAGCAATATTAAAGAGGAATGTAGAGACTTCCCATATATCCCCTCCCCCCACACATGACATAGGCTCCCCCATTATCAACATCCCCCACCTCAGAGGTACATCTATTCTAACTGATGAACTTACATTGACAGATTATAATCACCCAAAGTCCATAGTTTACATTAGGGTTCACTCTTGGTGTTGTACATTCTGTGGGTTTGGAAAAATGTATAATGACACGAACCTATCATTTTAGTATCATACAGTGCATTTTCTCTGTCCTGAAAATCCTCTGTACTCCATATTCATCCTCCCTAACCCTTGGAAACCCCTGGTCCTTTTACTGTCTCCATGGTTTTGCCTTTTCAGAATGCCATATAGTTGGAATTTTACAGAATGTAGCCTTTTCAGATTGGCTTCTTTCACTTAGTAATACACGTTTGAGTTTTCTCCATGTCTTTTCATGGCTTGATAGCGAATTTCCTTTTAGTTCTGAAATATATTCCCATTACCTGTGTGTACTATAGTTTATTTATCCACCCACCTACTGAAGGACATCTTGGTGGCTTCCCAGTTTTGACAGTTATGAATAAACTGCTATAAACACCCACGCACAAGTTTTGTGTGGACGTAAGTTTAACTCCTTTGAGTAAATACCAAGGAACACAATTGCTGGACTGTAAAAGAGAATGTTTAGTTTTGTAAGAAACTGGCAACTGTCTTCCAAAGTGGCTGCATCATTTTGCATCCCCACCAGCGATGAATGAGAGCTCCTGTTGGTCCACATTCTGGCCAGCATTTGTCAGTATTACAGATTTCGGCCATCCTGATAGGCATGTAGTGGTATTTGTTTTTTGTGTGTGTGTTTCCCTGATAACATGTGATGTGGAGCATCTTTTTTTTTTTGAGGTGGAGTCTTTCTCTGTCGCCCAGGCTGGGGTGCAGTGGAGTGATCTTGGCTCACTGCAACCTCGGCCTCCTGGGTTCAAGCAATTCTCCTGCCTCAGCCTCCCAAGTAGCTGGGATTACAGGCGTGAGCCACCATACCTGGCCGGAGCATCTTTTTATATGCTTATTTGTCATCTGTATATCTTCTTTGGTGAGATATCTGTTAAGGTATTTCGCCCATTTTTTATGGGCCAAAGAGGAATTTCTACATTCCTCTTTAATTTTGCTGTGAACCCAATACTGCTTGTTTGTTTGTTTTCTTATTCTTGAATATTAAGAGTTCTTTGTATATTTTGGATTATAGTCTCTTATAAGACTTTTGCAAATATTTTCTCCTAGTCTATGACTTGTCTTCTCATTTTCTCAACATTGTATTTCACAGAGCACTTTCTCATTTTCATAAAGTCCAACTTACCATTTCTTCCACAAATCATGCCTTTGGTGTTATATCTTAAAAGTAATCTCTATCCCCAAGGTCATTTAGATTTTCTCCTGTGTTACCTTCTAGGACTTTTATAGTTTTCCATTTTATATTTAGGTCTGTGATCCATTTGAGTTAATTTCTGTGAAGGGTGTAAGGTCTATGTTTAATTTTTTTTTTTTTTTTGGCCCGTGGAATTCCAGTTGTTCCAGCATCATTTGTTGAAAAGACTGTCTTTCTTCATTGTATTGCCTTTGCTCCTTTGCCAATGTAAGATGACTAGATTTATATGGGTCTATTTCTGGATTGTCTGTTCTGTTCCATTGATCTATTTGCCTGTTCTTTTGGCAATGCCACACTGTCTTGATTACTGTAGTTTATAGTAAGTCTTGAAGTCAGGCAGTGTCAGTCCTCAAACTTTGTTATTCTCATTCAAAATTGTGTTGACTATTCTGGATATTTTGTTTCTTCATATAAACTTTAGAATCAGTTTGTTAATAGCCTCAAAATAAGTTTCTGGGATTTTGATTGAGATTGCATTGAATGTATAGATTAAGTTGAAAAGAACTTTTTTTTTTTTTTTTTTTTTTTTTTGGAGACAGAGTCTCACTTTGTCACCTAGGCTGGAGTGCAGTGGCATGATCACAGCTCACTGCAGCCTCAATCTTCTGGATTCAAGCAATCCTCCTGCCTCCAGCCCCCAAGTAGCTGGGACTACAGGTGCATGCAATCATGCCTGGCTAAGTTTTATATTTTTTGTAGAGACAGGGTTTTGCCATGTTGCCCAGGCTGGTCTCAAACTCCTCAGCTCGAGATCTGCCTGTCTCAGTGTCCCAAATTGCTGGGATTACAGGCGTGAGTCACTGCTCCTGGTCGGAACCAACATCTTAGTGGAATTAGTTTTCCTATCCATGTACATGGAATATCAGTCAATTTATGTAGTTCTTTGAGTCCATTCAGAGTTTTATAGGTTTCCTCACATAGATTTCATACATTGTTAGGTTTATAGCTAAATATTTTATTTGTGGAGGTGTTAATGTAATATTTACATTTGTATTGTGTTTTTAATTTCAAATTCCATTTGTTTGTTGCTAGAATACAGGAAAGCAATTGACTTTTATATGTTAACCTAGTACCCTGCAACCTTGCTATAATCACTTCATGGTTTTAGTAGTTTGTTTTTTGTCAATTCTTTTGGATGTTCTACATAGATGATCATGACATCTATGAACACGAGTTTATTTCTTCCTTCCCAAACTGTTTAAGTTTTATTTCCTTTTCTTGTCTTATTGCATTAGTAACTTCAAGTACCATTTTGAAAAGGAGTTGTGAGAGGCAACATCCTTGCTTTCTTTCTGATCTTAGGGGGAAAGCTTTTTCTCGCCATAAAGCATGATATAGCTGTACATTTTCTGTAGATATTCTTTATCACACTGAAAAGTTCTCCTTTGTTCCTGGTTCACTGAGAATTTTTATTGTGGATGAGTGTGGATTTTGTCAAATGCTCTTCCTGCATCTATTGATATAAATCACTGATTTTTTTTCTTTTTAAGCTTTTTGATATGATGGATTAATTGATTTTCAAATGTTGAACAGGTCTGGAAATAGCTGGGATAAATCTCAGTTGGTCATGGTGTATAATTCTTTTACACATTGTTGGATTTGATTTGCTAATTTTTTTGAGGATTTTTGCATCTACATTCATCAGAAATACTGGTTATAGTTTTCTTGTAATGTCTTTGCCTGGCTTCAGTATTAGAGTAATGCTAGCCTCATATAATGAGTTAGAAAGTATTCCCTCTGGGCCGGGTGCAGTGGCTCATGCCTGTAATCCCAGCACTTTGGGAGGCCAAGGCGGGTGGATCACAAGATCAAGAGATCGAGACTATCCTGGCCAACATGGTGAAACCCCATCTCTACTAAAAATATAAAAATTAGCCAGGTGTGGTGGCACATGCCTGTAGTCCCAGCTACTCAGGAGGCTGAGGCAGGAGAATCACTTGAACCCGGGAGGCAGAGGTTGCAATGAGCCGAGATCACGCCACTGCACTCCAACTGGCAACAGAGTGAGACTCAGTCTCAAAAAAAAAAAAAAAAAAAAAGTATTCCCTCTGCTTATATCCTGTCAAAGAGGTTGTAAAGAACTGATATCATATTTTCCTTAAATGTTTGTGGATTTCACTAGTGAACCCATCTGGGCCTGTGATTTCTGTTTTGGAAGCTGATTATTGATTCAATTTCTTTAATAGATATAGACTTACTCAAATAGTCCATTTCTTCTTGTTTGAGTTTTGCACACTTGCGTATTTCAAGGAACTAATCAATTTCCTCTAGGTTATCACATTTGTGGGTATAGAGTTGTTCATAGTATTTTTTTGTTATCCTTTTAATGTCCTTGGGTATGTAGTAATGACCCCTCTTTCATTTCTGATATAATTTTTTTTCCATTTTTTTAGAGACAGAATCTCACTATGTTGCCCAGGCTGGCCTTGAACTCCTGGCCTCAAGTGATTCTCCTCCCTCAGCCTCCCAAGTAACTAGGATTACAGGCATGTGCCACTGCACCCAGCTTCTTTCAACACTTTAAATATTTCACTCCATTCTCTTCTGACTTGCATGCTTTCTGGGGAGAAGCAGGATGCAATTCTTATTTTTTAATCCTTTATAAGTGACGTGTTCTTTTCCTCTGGCTTATTTCAGGATTTTATCCTTTTTTTCTTTAATTTCTTTATTTTTAGAGACAAGGTCTTACTCTATCACCCAGGCTGGAGTGTAATGGCGTGATTACAGCTCACGGTAGCCTTGAACTCCTGGTCTTCAGCAGCAGGATTTTTTATTTATCTTTAGTTTTCTGTAGTTTGCAAATGATATGCCTAGGTGTAGGTGTTTTGGCATGTATCCTGCTAAGTGTTCTCTGAGCTTCCTGGATTTGTGGTTTGGTGTCTGATGTTAATAGGGGGAAATTCTCAGTCATTATTGTTTCAAGTATTTCTTCTGTTCCCCTTTCTTCTTCTGGTATTCCCATTGCATGCGTGTTACTCCTTTGCAGTTGTCCCATAGATCTTGGATATTCTATTTAGTTTTTTTCAATCTTTGTTTTCTTTCCTTTTCAGTTTTCAAAGTTTCTATTGATATATCTCAAGCTCAGAGATTCTTTCCCCGGCCATGTCCAGTCTACTAGTAATCCTATGAAAGGCATTCTTCATTTCCGTTAAGCATTACTTTTCTGTTCTTTTTTAGAATTTCCATCTCTCTGCTTACATTGCCCATCTGTTTTTGCAAGCTGTCTACTTTACCCAGTAGAGCCCTTAGCACATTAATCATAGTTGTTTTAAATTCCTGATCTGATAATTCCAACATCATTGCCATGCCTGGTACTGATGCTTGCTCTGTGGTGTGTTTTTTGTTTTTCTGTTTTTGTTTGTTGCCTTTTAGGATGCCTTGTAATTTTTTCCTGATAGCTGGACACAATGTGTTGGGTCAAAGGAAGTGCTGTAAATAGTCCTTTTGTAATGTGGTGGTAAGGTATAGGTGCAGGGGCAGCATGCTATAGTGCTATAATTAGATCTCGGTCTTAGTGGTCCTATGACTCACTCTGGGCTGTGAACTTCACAAGTGTTTCTCAGTTTTTTCCCTCCCCTCTTAGGTGGTACAGGATGACTACAGTGGGCTGGAGTTGGGTATTTCCCTTCTTCCACATGAAATGCTAAAACTGACTGGAATTGGGTATTCCCCACCCCCACCTGTTAGGCTTTGATAATATCCCAGCAGATTAGGTTCCGGTCAACCAGTTTCTCCTGATAGCAAACATTGGTATTAAGAACAAAGTGCCCTGGCATATTTCCACATGGTTCATTTTCCCGTCCCTTTGCCAAAAGCACAAGGCGATTTTTCTCTGGTACCTGCTCAAGCTCTTGGAGAGAAATTTCACAATATTGTAAAACATTGTAAAATAGCCCCCACCCCCACATGACCAGGTCCTCCTGGAGCATTTTTGTTTTTTTGGTAGAAAGAGGGTTTCACCATGTCGCTCAGCCTGGTTTCGAACTCCTGGGCTCAAGCAATCCTCCCACTTCAGCCTCCCAAAGTGCTGAGATTATGGGCATGAGCCACCATGCCTGGCCCCTGGAGTTTTTAAAAGTCAGAGCTGTCCACACTACATCTCTAAGAATTCATCGATTACAGTTAAGGTTTTCCTACTGTGGCACTGGTTCCCATGGCAGTTTCCACCTGGGCGTGAGTCTTTGCTCCAGTAAGCTGTGTCTCCCTGTATTTGCCTATCTCTCCATTCTCTCAAACAACAATTTGCCCTGTGTCCTCCCCTCTCACAGACCAAGAAGACTTCTTGACTTTTTAGTCTGTTCAGGTTTTACTGGTTACTAGGATGAAACAGTGATTCCGAGCTCTTTACATGAAAGAGAGGAACCAGGAGTCTACAAATATGTATTTTTTAACTGTTAAGAAAAAATTAATGGATACAAATTATGACAAAATTTTGATTAAGAAATGAACTTTCAGCCGGGCACAGTGGCTCAAGCCTGTAATCCCAGCACTTTGGGAGGCCAAGGCAGGCAGATCACCTGAGGTCAGGAGTTCGAGACCAGCCTGACCAACATGGAGAAACCCCATCTCTACTATAAATACAAAATTAGCCAGGCATGGTGGCACATGCCTGTAATCCCAGGTACTCAGGAGGCTGAGGCAGGAGAATAGATTGAACCCGGGAGGCGGAGGTTGTGGTGAGCCGAGATCGCGCCATTGCATGGGCAACAAGAGCAAAACTCCGTCTCAAAAAAAAAGAAATGAACTTTCTTGTAGTTTGCATGAATGAATGAGGAAAATACACAGTGTGATAAGATCTTTATCGTAGACTCTGACCATAAGCAAAAGAAAGAAAAATTGAAAATTAACAAAGTGCTATGAATTTGAAAAATTCAATATTCTGCTGAGTTTAATTATTACTTTTTAATTTTGGAGTCTAAAATGTAAATCCAATAAGCTCCAAATGAATGAATCATAAAATCAACTGGGAGAACTAATCGAGGGTTTCCCCAAAAACCAATTTTCTACTGTATGGGATTTTCCACTGGGGATTACTACAGCATTTTTATTAAAAGGTGATGGATTGAGTTATTACTATAAGGACAAACCATACTACATTTTATTTGTTTGGAGTATGTATCTCAGAAGAATTATGAACGTCTTTGGAGATTAAATGAGACATCTAAATGTAGAATCCAGAAAAAAATAAAAACTTCAAAGGAGCAGAGAAACTGACGTTAAGCACGTGGGATGAACTGCTGAGGTTGAACACAGAACTTAGCCCTGAGTCTGCAGGCCCCTGGATGAACTTGGGTGAATTACCCTCACTTCAAGAGCCTCAGTTTCTCAGCCAAAAAATACAAATCTCTTGACCTCAAAAGGGCTATTATGTAATACCTGGATTGAGTAAATGACTGCCCCACCTAAAGATACCCTCTCTGCTGGCTGGTTTCTCTCCATCTTCCTTCTAGGGTCCAGCTCATGCCCCACACTGGTGACTGCTGAGGGTCAGCAGGCCCATCTGTCTACCCACTGGGGACAGCATTCTGTCATCCACCGCCTGGCTCCAGCGTGCCAGTCACTTGCTCTGCAGCTTCTTCATCCTGACCTCAGGCTCCAGCTAGTCCTACATCCTCCCAGAATCCCTCAATTTTTTTTATTATACTTTAAGTTTTAGGGTACATGTGCACATTGTGCAGGTTAGTTACATATGTATACATGTGCCATGCTGGTGCACTGCACCCACTAACTCGTCATCTAGCATTAGGTATATCTCCCAATGCCATCCTCCCAGGGGATCCAGAGTGGGGCAGGACACGAACCCCTTTGCTTTTGTGTCCACTGATTTGCCATGGCTCCTCTCCCCAGCCATCAGCCCGTAAAGGAGTGGTCAGGACATGTCTTACTGCCTGCTTCCCCTCCGTCTATCTTCCATCCTCTCTCACACGTTCCTCCTCCCCTGTCATTGGCTACTTCTCTCTGTCCCTGCTGTTTATTATAATCTAGTCCACCAGGACAGCTCTCAATAGATGCTAAAGAAATTCTCTCTCCACAAAGCTTGCCTTTCAAAACTAGCGCTTTTCTGCAGACCCGGAAGTCCTCCTCTAGAAGTCTAAGACTGAATCCTAGACTCGAATCTTTCTCCTTGTATTCCTGCTGCGACTGCCCTAATCCTCCCTCAAGGAAAACTAAACATTCCTGCTCAGAAAATGCAAATCTATACTGTAATATATTTCAAAGAACAAACACTTCTTCAGAATGCCACACCCCTCCCTGTGATAGTTTCTCTCTCCATCTCATATTTTCTCTTTCCTAATTAAAGAGGGTTTAAATTTCCCCTAAGAGGAATCATTTAAACTAAGAAGTTGGAAAGACGGGGCTAGAAAAATGGATTGTTGAGGATGAAGCAAGTCACTGCAGCTCCTTTTCCCTCGCCTCATCAGCTACTGCCTGTAGGTCACGTGTATGTCCTAAGACAACTGGATTCAAACACTCAGCCTCCTTTCCTTTAAGTAAGATTTCAAAGGACATGCATCCCTTGCGATAGGAATTTCAGAACAGATTTTCAAACCTCTCACAGTTATGGATAGCTCTTTTGCTACCCTAACGGCTCTTCACCACCCCTAAAGGTCTGCTCATTCTCAATCCCAATTCTATAAAATATTTTGTGAAATTCCTTATACAGACATTTACTCCACTCCTTCTAGGGCACAGTGCTGCAGGCAGTGTAGAGATGAGTAAGTCAGGGACCCTGCACCCCAGAAAAGTCCAGTTACCGAGGGAGAGGGAGGGGGGAGGAGCAACTACATAGGAAGCTCTGAAACAATGGAAAATGTGACTGAGGTACAAAACGCTCCAGGAGCACCAACCGTGGAGTCTAAGGGGCACTTCTCACATGTGATTTCATATCAGTGACTAAGTCATGTGTTGGAAAATTCCCTGAAAGCTATTTTACAGCCAGAGCAGACAGACTCCATGGGACTGAGTTCTCCAGATGGTTATTAATAAAACTACCTTGACCCGAACCATCATGGTCCAAGTCTGTTGGCTTCTGGTCAAGTGCAGGAAGCTGAAGTGCTAGGAAGACCCACAGCCTAAATGGCACTTCTCTATGCCAAGCTTCGTTAAAAGCTAGAGAGAGGACAGAAGCCAGGAACAGTATACAAGGGCCAGCAAAGAAATCTCCTGCAGTTCTACTTGCAGTTCTAAGTTGCTAATTGAGAGTGGAGATGTGCTTTGGTAACCAGATAAGTGGGGGATAACATTGCTATTGTACCGTGAAACTTGAGACCACTCTTTATCCCCAGGATTTTCATCCAGATGGAAGGCAGAGAGGGGTCTATAGAGAACAGTAACGGAAAGAACAACCAAGTGAAACAAAGAATGCTGGTAAAGGTTAATTATAAAAGTAAATAGGGAGAGTACAGTCATGCATCACTTAATGACGGAGAAATGTTCTGAGAAGCATGTCATTATATGATTCCATTGTTGTCCAATCATAGGGTGTACTTACACAAACCGAGATAGTGCAGCCGAGGTACGCCTAGGCTATGTGGTGTCGCCTATTGCTCCTAGACTACAGATCTGCACAGCATGTTACTGTACTGGATACTGTAAGCAGCTGTAACACAATGGTATTTGTGTATTTAAATATACCTACACAGAAAGCACAGTTAAAAAAAATGGTATTATGAGACCACTGTTGTTTAAGTAGTTTGTTGTTGACCGAAATTTTACTCAGCACATGACTATAATAAAAACTGGAGAGTACTGACATTACTAAATATCGGAGCCAGAATTAGTTGTCTGGCTAAAACTTGAGATAAATCTTTATGTTTTTTGGTTTGTTTGTTTTTGTTTGAGACAGAGTCTCGCTTTGTCACCCAGGCTGGAGCGCAGTGGCATGATCTCAGCTCACTGCAACCTCCGCACCTGGCTATTTTTTTTGTATTTTTAAAAGAGACAAGGTTTTGCCATGTTGGCTAGGCTAGCCTCGAACTCCTGGCCTCAAGTGATCTGCCCGCCTCGGCCTCCCAAAGTGCTGGGATTATAGGTGTGAGCCACTGCGCCCAGCCCAGATAAATGTTTAAAAGAAGGAGAGTCAAGAACTAGAAAAGTGGCTGGGCACGGTGGCTCATGCCTGTAATCCCAGCACTTTGGGAGGCTGAGGCGGGTGAATCATCTGAGGTCAGGAGTTCAAGACCAGCCTGGCGAACATGGTGAAGCCCCATCTCTACTAAAAAATTAGCCAGGTGTGGTGGCAGGTGCCTGTAATCCCAGCTACCCAGGAGGCTGAGGCAGGGAGAAGTCTTCAACCCGGGAGATGGTGGTTGCAGTGAGCCGAGATCATGCCATTACACTCCAGCCTGGGCGACAGAATGAGACACTGTCTCAAAACAAAAACAAAAACAAAAACTAGAAAAGGCCCTTTGGAGGGAAACTATAAATATAGTGGAAGAAATTAAGCAAAATTTAGAATAACCAAGCAAATATTCACTGCAAAAATGTTGCTGGGAACTTGAAAATTAAAATAGATCCACTTAAATAAACATGTTAAGAGTCACTTATTTCACGTCATGTGCCGGTGCTGGCAAAGCTCTATCAGGGTGAGCAGGGTAGAGATCTCGGCCTGGAATGTGGCCGAAGAATGCAGTACTTTACTCCACTGTACCATAATCTGACATGCTGAGGAAACCTGTTCAGCCCAAAATCTAGATAAAAAAGTGAGTCAAAGGACCAGGTGTGTGAGGTTAAGCCAGGCTTGTCCAGGGAAAGAGATACTGATTCTGGGTATTTTATGTTTCCCGTGAAAATCAATAAACTGGTGTTCTGGATTGACATGCGTATCTGATAACCCAGAGAATCTGAAGCAAGAGTTAATAAAGCAAAATGCAAAACCACAAAAGAAAGTGGAGAAGTGGGATTTTATTGAAGAAGTATGCATGGCAGCCAGGCCAGTGATAATTCTTACCACATATTTTGAATAGAAAAAATTTGTGACACAAAAATAAAGCAGAAAGTTTAAAATATAACTGGTGAATTTGGACATTAACAGAAGGAGGCAGGAAAAAATTTAAGTTGCTTGATGTCCACATTCTGTGTGTTATTTCTACATGGTTCGCAGGAGCAAGGGATAGAGATTGGATGGATGGAAACCCTCTGATATAAGGACTAGACTCAGAAAACACTTTGTGACTCTACCATCGGAGGAAGTGGGCATTATTTACACATAATTGCTTCTTGGCTTAATAAATTTATTTAGGGCAGAAAATTAGAAGAACCAGGTGTCAAGGGTCAAATCATCCCCTACACAAAATGATGGAGCTAGAAATGATGGGGTGGTTGGCGGCGGGGGTGGGGGAGGGGGTGCAAGGAAGATGTGCACGACCCAGGAAGACATGTCCTGGAAAAGGTCGTGGTAAGCGGAACAAAGTGAAACGTCATAAAGGACAAGGTTATGAGGACAAATACGAAAATATTATCCCATGGGACAGAAAACTGAGAACAGTGAGAAGGATTTAAACAACCGTCAGGCAGTGCATGCCACCTGTCTAGACCTCAGTGTCACATCTATAAAATAAGGAAGTTAAATAATCTGAAATCAGATCCAGCCTGAAAATTTTATTACCAAATGATATTTAAGAACCAGAAGAACGTAGAAGGATTAGGCCAAAACAACATTATCCATTGAAATGTCTCTTACGACAAATTACATTAAACCAGTTTTTTTAAAAAAATAAAGAGCCTCTGCTCCAAAGTAGAATTTGAACAACAATTAAAAAAAAAATGGAGTAGCATATGATATTTGCACAGAAGACTTTTTGGAATTGCTTCTATGTGATCATGAGGAAGAAGCTACAATGCAAAGATAGATTGATGAATGGAAGGGAGAGAAAGTGACACACAAAGAAAATAATTTGAGGCTTTACATTTAAAATGAATTTATACTTAACATCTTTTACATTTTCATTGGTTTTTGTAGAAGAAATGCAAAATGGTCTCTTATACACTGAGAAAGTTGTGAGCACAATTTCAAAGCCCTTTACAAATAGAGAGTAGTTCATGGTTTCAAATTTCACTTTACAAATATAGAGTAGTTCATGGTTTTGTTATCAACTAACTAGATCAGTCAAGCACAGGTTCTTTGAGTTCCCAGTGCACTCAGCTCTTTCTTGAGTTTGAATACATGCTACAAAAGCAGAAGGTGACAGCCCAAATCATAAGTGGATCCTTATGACAATAGGGCAAAATTATAATCTTGAAATAATGATGGTAAAAATTTAGGAGGGCCAGATAGCTCCAAATGCAAAGGAACAAGTTAATATACAAGAAGAGCTTAAAGTTTTAGTGTATTTTAGGCCATTATTAATATGAATAAAGTTTTTTCACAGTTTTAGCTATGCTCTTAGAAATCTCTCATGCTTTCATCGAGACCACAGAGCAAGAGAGAATGCATTTCAAAACTAAAATAGATGGTCGTAATGCCATTGCCAAGCCTCCTACATATTTGAAAGGTCTAACACTTGTTTCTTGAGAATCTGTTCCAATTTTCTGACAATTGACACTGTCATCCCCTTCCTGTCACCTTTGCCATAGATCATCAATAAAAATGCGATGAAAGTTTTCATGTACTAAAAAGAGAGGGAGTCTAAGCTACCATACTCTATTTGCTGTCATGATAACAGGCAGCTGCACCAAGAAGTAGCCTAAATGTTTAATGAAGCAGGAAAGTCATTCTTCAGTTGCAATGCAGGCCCACTAGACAGTCTGAAAAGATCACCTCTGTCTGTTTTAAACTGGGAATAGGTTGCTGAATATTTAATGCATGCCACAGTATTCAGCTCTGTGAGGGGCCAAGCAAGGGTCAGGTTATGGCTGCCTGCTGTTCCTGCAATTTCAGATTCCCTCTGGTTTGTTAAAGGTAGGAGATATCAAGGTTGAACCAGGACAGTCTTCAGCAGTACCCTTTGTAGGGCTGTATAAATGGAAATAAAAATGGGAAGTCATGTGCCTGTCCTGGGGAAGCATTGTTAAGAATTAGGAGCAATGTTTCAGGAAAAATGAGGAGTAGACCTAGCTTTTATTGCCATTATTCACAAAGGTAGGGAAGAATAATGGTGGTAGGAAAAAGAAGCAATCAATAAGTGTATTGTGATTGCACTAGGAAAGAGATCTTAGAGTTAAATCCATTATTCACTTGTAGTATTAAATAAACTTGCTGAATCATTCTAATCCAAAAAGGAATACTTTTGTAAACAGTCTCCTCATAGCCAAATTTAATATTTAACATATTTAGATTCTGCTGCAATAATATGGGTGAGAGTTGGGCAGTGATGGTAGCAGAAGTTCTACAAAGAGGCATCTGCTGCTTAAAAATGCATCAAGAATGACTCCAAGATTTTTGGCCAGAGCTTTTGAAACAATAGAGGCGCCATTTACTGAGAATGAAAAGCAATGAGAGAAGCAGTTTTGAGATGTCCATTAGACAACCAAACCTAGAAGTCTACTAGACTGTTGGGTGAACTGAACTATCATTCTGGGGGGAGTTATTTGGAATTCATCATAGTAGAGATGGAATTTAATTAAATAAAATCACCTGAGGAATGTAGACTGGTAAACAGAAGAGTTCTGAAGACTGAGCCCTGAGATGCTCCAACATTTTAGGCACTCCAGCATTTAGTGGTCAGGAAGTTGAAAACGACCCACAAAAGAGATTGAGGAAGAGCCCCAATATATGTAGGAAGACAAATAAGAGAGAAGAGTATAGAAAGGAATGACTAAAATGTTTTAGTGAGAGAGTAACAATTGTGCCAAATGTTCTTGATGGGTTAAAAAAAATGTATGCTGAGAATTGGCCATTGGATGCGGTAACATGGAAGTCATGGGTGACTTCGATAAGCATCTCTGAAAAGTAGCAGAGACAAAAGCCTGAATTCAGTGAAGTCAAGAGAGAATGAGGAAGTAGAGTGAAGAATGTGAAGTATAGAGAAATATTTCAAAGAATTGTGGCATAACACAAGCAAGGAAATGGAGTAGTGACTGGTCTGGGAGATGGAGTAAACAAGATTTTTGGGCCGGGAGCAGTGGCTCATGCCTGTAATCCCAGCACTTTGGGAGGCCAAGGTGGGTGGATCACAAGGTCAGGAGTTCAAGACCAGCCTGGCCAATATGGTGAAACCCTGTCTCTATTAAAAATACAAAAAAAATAGCCGGGCGTGGTGGTGGGCACCTGTGGTCCCAGCTACTCTGGGGGCTGAGGCAGGAGAATTGCTTGAACCCAGGAGGCAGAGGTTGCAGTGAGCCGAGATCGCACTACTGCCCTCCAGCATGGGCAACAGAGGGAAACTCTGTCTCCAAAAAAAAAAAAGAAAGGAAAAGAAAAGGAAAAAAAAAAAGGATTTTGTTGTTCTGTTTTGAATGGGAGATATTGAACTATATATACAATGCTGGTGGGAATAAGCCAGAGAGAGAAAATAATCCAGAGACAGCAAATGATGACAATGAACAAAGAGAGCGTGATGTCCTTGATTAGGCAGAAGAGGATGGAATCTGTGCACAAATGGAGGGGTAGTCCTTGAGCAGGAGCTTGGACAGTTTGTCCACTGTAACAGGAGGAGAGTAAGGTATAGGTACACAGGAGATTACTAGTTGTTTTTTTTTTTTTGTTTTTTTTTTTTTTTGAGGCAGAGTCTCACTCTGTTGCCTAGGCTGGAGTAGAGTGGTGTGATCTCAGCTCACTGCAACTTCCGCCTCCCAGGTTCAAGCGATTCTCCTGCCTCAGCCTCCCAAGTAGCTGGGACTACAGGCACCCACCACCACGCCCGCCTAATTTTTGTATTTTTAGTAGAGACGGGGTTTTACCATGTTGGCTAGGCTGGTCTTGAACTCTTGACCTCAAGTGATCCACCCACCTCGGCCTCCGAAAGTGCTGAGATTATAGGCGTGAGCCACCCCCGAGGCCTGGCTAATTTTGTATTTTTAGTAGCGACAGGGTTTCGCCATGTTGCCCAGTCTGGTCAAGAACTCCTGAGCTCAGGTGACCTGCCAGCCTTAGCCTCCCAAAGTGCTGGGATTACAGGCATGAGCCACTGTGCCCAGACTATATATCTTCATATATATGTATACATTAAGAAATTTATTGGCCGGGCGCTGTGGCTCATGCCTGTAATCCCAGCACTTTGGGAGGCCGAGGCAGGCAGATCACGAGATGAGGAGATCGAGACCATCCTGGCTAACACGGTGAAACCCCGTCTCTACTAAAAATACAAAAAATTAGCCAGGCGTGGTGGCGGGTGCCTGTAGTCCCAGCTACTCGGGAGGCTGAGGCAGGAGAATGCCGTGAACCCAGGAGGCGGAGCTTGCAGTGAGCCGAGACTGCACCACTGCACTCCAGCCTGGGCGACAGAGCCAGACTCCATCTCAAAAAAAAAAAAAAATTATTATAGGGAATTGGCTTGAACAACTATGGAGGCTGAGAAGTTCCATGTCTGCCATCTGCAATTTAGAAACCCGGAGAGCCTGTGGTGTATTTCAGACCCAAATACAGAGGCCTGAGAACCGGAGGAGCCAATATGTAGATTCTAGTCCAGGCGGGAAAGCCTGAGAACTAGGAATGTCAAGGGCAAGAGAAGATGGATGGTCCTGGCTAACCAGTCAGGCAGGAAGAGGGGGATTCCTCCTTCCTCTGCCTTTTGTTCTTTTCAGGCCCTCAACGGAGTGGATGATGCGTACCCACAATGAGGAGGTCAACCTGCTTTACTAAGTCCATTGATTCAAAGGCTAATCTTGCCAGAAGTACTTTCACAGACACACCAGAAATAATGTTTAATCTGGGCACTCCGTGTCTAGCCAAGTTGACACACAAAGTTAACTATCACAATGAGGAGCAGTGACATTGCTCCTCATGTGTGTCTCATTTCCTAGCAAGCAACTTTCCCATTCAGCAGACTTCCCCTTAGCCCCAGGCAGGGATTCTGTCACATACTTAGGTTCCTGATGGAAGGTAGGCTGTCAAAGAGAGCATCTATGTTCTTCCACACCTTAGCGGGAGGCAAACTACCACAAGGAAAGGATGTAGATGGACCTTTGGGATGGCCGTCAGCAGTGCCATTCCCAAAGGTATAGATACTGATTAATTGTAGACAGAACTAATGACTTTAAAATTTTAAGAATAACTACTAAAAACAGAAATAAAATAAATAACCTCCTTATTTTAAAGTGAAGGGAAATTAAGAAAACAGATCCAGAGAGGGGAATGACCTGTCCAATCTCAAGCAATTAAGAAAAAGTGAGAACAAGAACTCACAGATATGAAAGCCTTATTTGGTACTCTTTCCACAAAAGTAGCTGGTCCTTTAATTTATTTTTCACAGAGTTATACCCCCATGGTTTAATTACTAGTATAGTCTTTGTGTTACACACACATACAGAGACCAATTTCCTGACTCATTATCATAAGGTGTTTATTTTTCAGGAGAAGTGATAAACATGCATTGTTCTGTCAGTACTCCCTCCTGTCTTCCTTGGACTCAAACCATCATTCACAGTACTCAACCAGGAGTAACAGAAGAGGCAGTGGCCAGGCACTAGAGAAAGATGATAGGCCCACAGGGTCTATGACCTTGGTATTGGCTTTACCAGTCATCAAATGACCACCACCCATCTTGTTCTCCAGGTTTATCTCAGAGTCACTATTCAACTGCCATTTATTCTTTTTTTCATCATGGTTTTTTCTTTTCATTGTGGTAAAATATATATAACCTAAAATTTACCACTATAACCATTTTAACAATTCAGTGGCATTAAGTACTTTCACGATGTTGTATAACCATCACTACTGTCTATCTCCAGGGCCTTTTCATCAACCCAAATGAACCCTGTAGTCATTAAAAATAACTCCTATTCCCTCCTCTCTGTCCACCTCTGCTAACCACTATTTTATTTTCTGTCTCTATGCATTTGCCCTACCTCATATAAGTGGCATCATACAATATTTGTCCTTTTGTGTCTGGCTTATTTCACTCATAATGTTTTCAAGATGCATCCATATTATTGTTGTATGTATCAGCAGTTTCATTCCTTTTTATGGCTGAATAGTCCACTGTATGGATAGACCACATTTGATTATCCACTCATCTCTCAAAGGGCACTTGGGCTGTTCCTATTGTTTTGCCCTTCATTCTTCATATTGCCAAGACTAGAGAATTTGTCTTCCCTTTTTTTATTCTTAACATCCAGCACCTTTTTGTCCCTGGCTTGTTTCCCTACAAGGCTCTTTACTGACCTTCCTATCTGCAAACTACCCCTTGGCTTCTTTAATCATTCCCATTCCCTCACTCTCAGATACAGGACTCTCCTTTCTTACATGCTTTTGAACACCTCATCTTCCAACTCAAAAGATACCTCTCAGTTGCTTCTCAACCCACATGTCTAAGAACAACCAGTGACAAACTTCCCTACCCCTTCCCCTAACTCAACTGATTTCAGTCTATACGCTCATTCATGAAAACCAAATAGTTAGCCAATATTCCTGTATAACTTATCCACTCTCCTAAAATAGATCTTTCTACCCAGTTAAAATCTCTGTTGCTCTCTTTCCAGTCATCTTCTCAAATGTTTCTAAAACATTTCATTGCACGTTCGTCAGTGATTTTCCTTAGGAGTCTATGAGAAGTCCCAGTTGACACCAACTTTATCAATCCTTTGGTCTTTGTAGATGTGTCTGCCTCTGTGTGGAAATCTGATCAATGGAGACAAATGAGGATGACAGTAAATGACCACATAGTGGTTGTGCAATAAGAACTGGGACTAACAGTATAGTAATCATGTGTATATATTATGATGTTTTGACATCTTGGGGGCTTTGCTGGCCAGAGAGAGACTGCCTTTTCCCAGGGCTAATTCCTAGAGATAACAAGTTGCCTGAAAGCATTTCTTTCATATACAAACAAATCAGTCCCGAGTTCATATTCCCAGCCACCCCTACTTTATCTGACCCTCACACACAAAACCAATAATTATCTTGTCTTAAATCAATCCAGAGCCAGGTACCAGACAATCAGAAACCACCCAGATCCCGCCAACATTGTTCAAACTAGCTAATCCCAAGCTGTGGCCCATGCCCTGCCTTGCCTTTCTCAAGAAAAACACAATAAAGGCTCTACTTTCCTTTTACTTTTTCTGCCTCCTGACCAAACCTAGTGCTTACCATGTGGCTCTGTGTGGCATGCCATGCTCCCACTCTCTTGGGAACTGTAAATAATACATTCTTTTTTCAGTGGCATTAGCCTATGTGGTCAATCACCTCCATACATTAAAAATTCTTTAGGTACGGTGGAGATAAAGGGCCAGTCAAAACCACCAGTAGTGCCCATACATTCTGAAGGAGTGAGAGTGGTACAAAAGTTCTTCTGTCCATTTGCCCTACTTAAACAGAATCCAAAGCCATGCCGTGCAGAAAAGAGTTAATGTTCAAAGTCCTGCTTACAAGGTTGGCTCTTGGCTGGTGTCTTGGGAACTTAGATTTTGGGAAGATTTCCATCATTAACCGGTAAGTGTGGCTCACTGCATCTAAACTATTTGTCCACACAGTGTGGTTTACGATGAACAATACTTTCCTTACAGGAATCTGGAACTTGGGTATAATACCAAGCAGAGGGTGCTTACATGATCAGCCCCCAGTAAGAACCCTGGACACTAAGTCTCTAATGTTGGTAACGTTTCACATGTGTTGTTACAACTCATGGCTGGGGGAATTAAGGGAATCATGTGTGACTACCCTGGCAGAGGACCCTTGGAAGTTTGTGCCTGGTCTACATGGACTTTGTCCCATGCACTTTTTCCCTCTGCTGTGCTTGTCCTTTCACTGTAATAAATCATAGCCATGAGTACCATTATATGCTGTGTCCTGTGAGTCACGGTAGCCATTCTTCCAGTTCAGATGTTGTAATCATTCTTTACTTTTCTAATCAGAGCAAATCTGGTCTACATCCATCATTCACCAAGGCTGATTTATACATACTGTCATCATTTTCAAGTTTCCTTCCCCTCCCCATAATTATGGAAGCATCCTGCAAGAAGCTTTCAGTCTGTGGCTGCTGTTATTTCACTACTGTTTCTTTTCTTTTTTTTTAATTATTATTATACTTTAAGTTTTAGGGTACATGTGCACAATGTGCAGGTTAGTTACATATGTATACATGTGCCATGCTGGTGTGCTGCACCCATTAACTCGTCATTCAGCATTAGGTATATCTCCTAAAGCTATCCCTCCTCCATCCCCCGACCCCACAACAGTCCCCAGAGTGTGATGTTCCCCTTCCTGTGTCCATGTGTTCTCATTGTTCAATTGCCATCTATGAGTGAGAACATGCGGTGTTTGGTTTTTTGTCCTTGTGATAGTTTACTGAGAATGATGATTTCCAATTTCATCCATGTCCCTACAAAGGACATGAACTCATCATTTTTTATGGCTGCATAGTATTCCATGGTGTATATGTGCCAAATTTTCTTAATCCAGTCTATCATTGTTGGACATTTGGGTTGGTTCCAAGTCTTTGCTATTGTGAATAGTGATGCAATAAACATACGTGTGCATGTGTCTTTATAGCAGCATGATTTATAGTCCTTTGGGTATATACCCAGCAATGGGATGGCTGGGTCAAATGGTATTTCTAGTTCTAGATCTCTGAGGAATCGCCACACTGACTTCCAAAATGGTTGAACTAGTTTACAGTCCTACCAACAGTGTAAAAGTGTTCCTATTTCTCCACATCCTCTCCAGCACCTGTTGTTTCCTGACTTTTTAATGATTGCCATTCTAACTGGTATGAGATGGTATCTGATTGTGGTTTTGATTTGCATTTCTCTGATGGCCAGTGATGATGAGCATTTTTTCACGTGTTTTTTTGCTGCATAAATGTCTTCTTTTGAGAATTGTCTGTTCATGTCCTTTGCCCACTTTTTGATGGGGTTTTTTTTTTCTTGTAAATTTGTTTGAGTTCATTGTAGATTCTGGATATTAGCCCTTTGTCAGATGAGTAGGTTGTGAAAATTTTCTCCCATTTTGTAGGTTGCCTGTTCACTCTGACGGTAGTTTCTTTTGCAGTGCAGAAGCTCTTTAGTTTAATTAGATCCCATTTGTCAATTTTGGCTTGTGTTGCCATTGTTTTTGGTGTTTTAGACATGAAGTCCTTGCCCATGCCTATGTCCTGAATGGTAATGCCTAGGTTTTCTTCTAGGGTTTTTATGGTTTTAGGTCTAACGTTTAAGTCTTTAATCCATCTTGAATTAATTTTTGTATAAGGTGTAAGGAAGGGATCCAGTTTCAGCTTTCTACATATGGCTAGCCAGTTTTCCCAGCACCATTTATTAAATAGGGAATCCTTTCCCCATTGCTTGTTTTTCTCAGGTTTGTCAAAGATCAGATAGTTGTAGATATGTGGCGTTATTTCTGAGGGCTCTGTTCTGTTCCATTGATCTATATCTCTGTTTTGGTACCAGTACCATGCTGTTTTGGTTACTGTAGCCTTGTAGTATAGTTTAAAGTCAGGTAGCGTGATGCCTCCAGCTTTGTTCTTTTGGCTTAGGATTGACTTGGCGATGCGGGCTCTTTTTTGGTTCCATATGAACTTTAAAGTAGTTTTTTCCAATTCTGTGAAGAAAGTCATTGGTAGCTTGATGGGGATGGCATTGAATCTGTAAATTACCTTGGGCAGTATGGCCATTTTCATGATATTGATTCTTCCTACCCATGAGCATGGAATGTTCTTCCATTTGTTTGTATCCTCTTTTATTTCCTTGAGCAGTGGTTTGTAGTTCTCCTTAAAGAGATCCATCACATCCGTTGTAAGTTGGATTCCTAAGTATTTTATTCTCTTTGAAGCAATTGTGAATGGGAGTTCACTCATGATTTGGCTCTCTGTTTGTCTGTTATTGGTGTATAGGAATGCTTGTGATTTTTGTACATTGATTTTGTATCCTGAGACTTTGCTGAAGTTGCTTATCAGCTTAAGGAGATTTTGGGCTGAGACAGTGGGGTTTTCTAGATATACAATCATGTCGTCTGCAAACAGGGACAATTTGACTTCCTCTTTTCCTAATTGAATACCCTTTATTTCCTTCTCCTGCCTGATTGCCCTGGCCAGAACTTCCAACACTATGTTGAATAGGAGCGGTGAGAGAGGGCATCCCTGTCTTGTGCCAGTTTTCAAAGGGAATGCTTCCAGTTTTTGCCCATTCAGTATGATATTGGCTGTGGGTTTGTCATAGATAGCTCTTATTATTTTGAGATACGTCCCATCAATACCTCATTTATTGAGAGCTTTTAGCATGAAGGGTTGTTGAATTTTGTCAAAGGCCTTTTCTGCATCTATTGAGATAATCATGTGGTTTTTGTCTTTGGTTCTGTTTATATGCTGGATTACATTTATTGATTTGCGTATATTGAACCAGCCTTGCATCCCAGGGATGAAGCCCACTTGATCATGGTAGATAAGCTTTTTGATGTGCTGCTGGATTTGGTTTGCCAGTATTTTATTGAGGATTTTTGCATCAATGTTCATCAAGGGTATTGGTCTAAAATTCTCTTTGTTGTGTCTCTGCCCGGCTTTGGTATCAGGATGATGCTGGCCTCATAAAATGAGTTAGGGAGGATCCCCTCTTTTTCTATTGATTGGAATAGTTTCACAAGGAATGGTACCAGCTCCTGCTTTTAACTCTGGTAGAATTCGGCTGTGAATCCATCTGGTCCTGGACTCTTTTTGTTGGTAAGCTATTGATTATTGCCACAATTTCAGATCCTGTTATTGGTCTATCCAGAGATTCAACTTCTTCCTGGTTTAGTCTTGGGAGAGTGTATGTGTCGAGGAATTTATCCATTTCTTCTAGATTTTCTAGTTTATTTGCATAGAGGTGTTTGTAGTATCCTCTGATGGTAGTTTGTATTTCTGTGGGATCAGTGGTGATGTCCCCTTTATCATTTTTTATTGCGTCTATTTGATTCTTCTTTTTTTCTTTATTAGTCTTGCTAGCGGTTTATCTATTTTGTTGATCCTTTCAAAAAACCACCTCCTGGATTCATTAATTTTTTGAAGTGTTTTTTGTGTCTCTATTTCCTTCAGTTCTGCTCTGATTTTAGCTATTTCTTGCCTTCTGCTAGCTTTTGAATGTGTTTGCTCTTGCTTCTCTAGTTCTTTTAATTGTGATGTTAGGGTGTCAATTTTGGATCTTTCCTGCTTTCTCTTGTGGGCATTTAGTGCTATAAATTTCCCTCTACACACTGCTTTGAATGTGTCCCAGAGATTCTGGTATGTTGTGTCTCTGTTCTCGTTGGTTTCAAAGAACATCTTTATTTCTGCCTTCATTTCGTTATGTACCCAGTAGTCACTCAGGAGCAGGTTGTTCAGTTTCCATGTAGTTGAGCAGTTTTGAGTGAGTTTTTAATCCTGAGTTCTAGTTTGATTGCACTGTGGTCTGAGAGACAGTTTGTTATAATTTCTGTTCTTTTACATTTGCTGAGGAGAGCTTTACTTCCAACTATGTGGTCAATTTTGGAATAGGTGTGGTGTGGTGCTGAAAAAAATGTATATTCTGTTGATTTGGGGTGGAGATTTCTATAGATGTCTATTAGGTCTGCTTGGTGCAGAGCTGAGTTCAATTCCTGGGTATCCTTGTTGACTTTCTGTCTCGTTGATTTGTCTAATGTTGACAGTGGGGTGGTAAAGTCTCCCATTATTATTGTGTGGGAGTCTAAGTCTCTTTGTAGGTCACTCAGGACTTGCTTTGTGAATCTGGGTGCTCCTGTATTGGGTGCATATATATTTAGGATAGTTAGCTCTTCTTGTTGAATTGATCCCTTTACCATTATGTAATGGCCTTCTTTGTCTCTTTTGATCTTTGTTGGTTTAAAGTCTGTTTTATCAGAGACCAGGATTGCAACCCCTGCCTTTTTTTGTTTTCCATTTGCTTGGTAGATCTTCCTCCATCCTTTTATTTTGAGCCTATGTGTGTCTCTGTATGTGAGATGGGTTTCCTGAATACAGCACACTGATGGGTCTTGACTCTTTATCCAACTTGCCAGTCTGTGTCTTTTAATTGGAGCATTTAGTCCATTTACATTTAAAGTTAATATTGTTATGTGTGAATTTGATCCTGTCATTATGATGTTAGCTGGTGATTTTGCTCGTTAATTCATGCAGTTTCTTCCTAGTCCCGATGGTCTTTACATTTTGGCATGATTTTGCAGCGGCTGGTACCGGTTGTGCCTTTCCATGTTTCGTGCTTCCTTCAGGAGCTCTTTTAGGGCAGGCCTGGTGGTGACAAAATCTCTCAGCATTTGCTTGTCTGTAAAGGATTTTCTTTCTCCTTCACTTATGAAGCTTAGTTTGGCTGGATATGAAATTCTGGGTTGAAATTTCTTTTCTTTAAGAATGTTGAATATCGGCCCCCACTCTCTTCTGGCTTGTAGAGTTTCTGCTGAGAGATCAGCTGTTAGTCTGATGGGCTTCCCTTTGTGGGTAACCCGACCTTTCTCTCTGGCTGCCCTTAACATTTTTTCCTTCATTTCAGCTTTGGTGAATCTGACAATTATGTGTCTTGGAGTTGCTCTTCTCGAGGAGTATCTTTGTGGCATTCTCTGTGTTTCCTGAATCTGAACGTTGGCCTGCCTTGCTAGATTGGGGAAGTTCTCCTGGATAATATCCTGCAGAGTGTTTTCCAACTTGGTTCCATTCTCCCTGTCACTTTCAGATACACCAATCAGACGCAGATTTGGTCTTTTCACATAGTCCCATATTTCTTGGAGGCTTTGTTCGTTTCTTTTTATTCTTTTTTCTCTAAACTTCCCTTCTGGCTTCATTTCATTCATTTCATCTTCCATCACTGATACCCTTTCTTCCAGTTGATCGCATCGGCTCCTGAGGCTTCTGCATTCTTCACGTAGTTCTCAAGCCTTGGCTTTCAGCTCCATCAGCTCCTTTAAGCACATCTCTGTATTGGTTATTCTAGTTACACATTCGTCTAAATTTTTTTCAAAGTTTTCAACTTATTTGCCTTTGGTTTGAATTTCCTCCTGTAGCTCGGAGTAGTTTGATCGTCTGAAGCCTTCTTCTCTCAACTCTTCAAAGTCATTCTCCGTCCAGCTTTGTTCCATTGCTGGTGAGGAACTGCATTCCTTTGGAAGAGGAGAGGCACTCTGCTTTTTAGAGTTCCCAGTTTTTCTGCTCTGTTTTTTCCCCATCTTTGTGGTTTTATCTACTTTTGGTCTTTGATGATGGTGATATACAGATGGGTTTTTGGTGTGGATGTCCTTTCTGTTTGTTAGTTTTCCTTCTAACAGAAAGAACCCTCAGCTGCAGGTCTGTTGGAGTTTGCTAGAAGTCCACTCCAGACCCTGTTTGCCTGGGTATCAGCAGCAGTGTCTGCAGAACCACGGATTTTCGTGATCCGCAAATGCTGCTGTCTGATCGTTCCTCTGGAAGTTTTGTCTCAGAGGAGTACCCGGCCCTGTGAGGTGACAGTCTGCCCCTACTGGGGGTTGCCTCCCAGTTAGGCTGCTCGGGGGTCAGGGGTCAGGGACCCACTTGAGGAGGCAGTCTGCCCATTCTCAGATCTCCAGCTGCGTGCTGGGAGAACCACTGCTCTCCTCAGAGCTGTCAGACAGGGACATTTAAGTCTGCAGAGGTTACTGCTGTCTTTTTGTTTGTCTGTGCCCTGCCCCCAGAGGTGGAGCCTACAGAGGCTGGCAGGCCTCCTTGAGCTGTGGTGGGCTCCACCCAGTTCCAGCTTCCCGGCTGCTTTGTTTACCTAAGGGAGCCTGGGCAATGGTGGGCGCCCCTCCCCTAGCCTCGCTGCTGCCTTGCAGTTTGATCTCAGACTGCTGTGCTAGCAATCAGCGAGACTCCGTGGGCGTAGGACCCTCCCAGCCATGTGCGGGATATAATCTCCTGGTGCGCCATTTCCTAAGCCCGTCAGAAAAGCACGGTATTCGGGTGGGAGTGGCCAGATTTTCCAGGTGCCCTTTGTCACCCCTTTCCTTGACCAGGAAAGGGAACTCCCTGATGCCTTGCACTTCCCGAGTGAGGCAATGCCTCGCCCTGCTTCAGCTGGCACATGGTGCACTGCACCCACTGTCCTGCGCCCACTGTCTGGCACTCCCTAGTGAGATGAACCCAGTACCTCAGATGGAAATGCAGAAATCGCCCATCTTCTGCGTCGCTCACGCTGGGAGCTGTAGACCGGAGCTGTTCCTATTCAGCCATCTTGGCTCCTCCCGCTACTATTGTTTATTTTCCCATGGCCCAGGCACTGGGCAATGGTGCTTCTCACAGTGGGCCTTCCAGCTGTCCACTGGCTGACATACAGACATCCCACTTTACCCTCTCCTATCCCCTGTACCAAAGTCCAGACAACTCCAGGGTAATGTAGTTTCTAGAGATTCCATCTCAGCCCCTTCCTTTCTTGAAGAATACAGGCTTGCTCCCTCCTGCTTTCAGACAATCAGTTTACAATCTTGTTCCTCAGAATTTGGCCCGAAGTCACTGATAATTTCTTCCAGGGGCTAGAGATACCAGAGCTCAAGAGCAAATATCTAATACTCAATATATGGAGGTGAGGGTGTGTGTGTGTGTGTGTGTGTGTGTGTGTGTGTGTGTGTGTGTGTGTGTGTGTTAAGGAAGTAGGGGAAGAAGGAGAAAGGATGGGTAGGAATTAACTCTTTATTCTTTGAATCTTCTACAACAGTATAAATAAAACATAAAAATAGTATCTTAACAGGTTGTCCTGCTACAAAAATAGTAAAGTTAACTTTTTTTAAGGAACATTCTGACCAAAGTCATCTACTTCATAGTAACAGTCAGCAACTTTTCTTCAATATTATCTCTCTGCTATTAACAGCAATTCACTCTTACTCAATAATCTCCACGGCATCTCCAGTCTATTCTTTGTTTATAACATCCACAAACAACAATTTGCAACGATTTATGACTCACAAAAGAGATTTCTAACTGAAACAACTGTTGGCAATAGAGGCATTAAGATAATTCCACAGGATTGAGAATCACAGATAACAAAGACAAAAACCTATTTGACTTAGGCACCCCAATTGCTGTTGAAAGACTGGGCAAAAGAATTTGTATTCCCCTGCATCAATTCTGAAAAACCAAGACGTGGTAACCCTGTCACTTGACACACAATTTCAAACCCTCTGGATCCATGCCCTGAAGCCCCTTGTAAGGCTTCCTAATACTACTAACATTTCATTCTCTCAGTCTGCACCCAAAGTGATTTCATTTGTGCCAAAATTTTCTCTGCAGAGAGCACTGCTAAGGCTTCCAGAATAATATTAAATATAAGGTACAAGTCTCTGATGAAAGGCACCAGGGCTTCTTGAATAAATGGCTGATCATAGGGCTGCAAAAGTACAAGATAAGCCTGGAACATCTCTCAGTGCCTGAAAGAAAGTGCTCAAAACATAAATAAATGCATAAAAAGTTTAAAAGATGAGGCATGTCAAAGGGAAACAAGAGTGAGCCTAAAAGAGCTCCCAGTGGGCAAAGCTGGAACAATTTGAGCAATGAAGTAAATAGCATTGGATTGGAATCCAAAGTATCACATAAATATCCACAAGTCCGTACTGATGTAAATAAATTATGAAGAAATAAATGTGGGAGAAGAGACAAGTCCTCCTTACAAAGAACTACAAATAATGTATATAGCTCTCCACCCTCGAGTAGGTAGAACTTAATCCCCTTCCCCACTTGAATTAGTAACTTGCTTGCAAAGGACAGACTGCAGCAAATGGGAAAGGTAACAGCAATTTGGCAGTGGATAAAACCTAGCAAATATGACCTTGACCAGGTGATCAAGGTTAGTATCACTAGTGATAAGTCATATTCATCATGTATTTTCCTCCATATAATGTGAGGAGAATGGCACTTTACCTCTGTAGTATTCATCTCCCAAACTGCTACCCCATCAGAAAACATCTGAGAAGCCAAACAGAGGGGCATCTACAAAGTACTTGACCAATACTCTTCAAAATTGTCAAGTTCATGAAAAACAAGGAAAGACTGAAAAACTGTCACAGCCGAGAGGACACTAAAGAGACACTACCACTACTTGCAATATGACATCCTGGATAGGACCTTGGAACAGAAGAAGTACAGTAGTGGGAAAGCTCATGAAATATGAATAAAATCTCTAGTTGAATTAATAGTATTCCCATGTTATTTTCTTAGTTTTGACAAATACATCAATATTATATAAGATGTTCACATCAGGGGAAGCTGATGAAGAGTATATAGGAACTCTCTCTACTATATTTGCAATTTTCCATACATCTAAAATTATGCCAAAGTAACTAAATATATACACATATACAGATTATATATATATATATATATATATATATATATATATATATGTATATATAGCAATGGATACTTACTCAAGCAAATAGAAGTGTCCTATCTTATCGGTGTTTCTATTTTATTTATCCTGAATTTGCTTTGCCTGGAACCTGAAACCTGATTCCTTAAAAATCAATCAGGATAAATGGATTTGGAAGAAAGCTGTCTCCTCATGAACTAAAATGAGTATAAGAGAAACACTTTCAACCCCATGAGTAGAGCTTGTGATGCCCTGGAACAGCATTTGCCAAAGATGACTGAATAAGAGCTATAGGTCAGCATCAAGAAGGCTTCATCTCCACCTTTTGTGATTAACAGTTTGCTTCAGTGCCATAATTCAGCGTAAAAGAAACCACACAGGAACCCACAGTGTCTGCCATTAGGAATTGATATCGAATGTGTTGTCTGCAGCTATTAACACTTCTCTGTTGTGATCTTTGGTAATTACTTCTCTGTACTCCAGCACTGCCTTCATTTTTCACTCCAGTTCTTTCTTTTTTAAAAACAATTAATTAATTTATTTTTCCATAAGTTATTGGGTTACAGGTATTTGGTTAAATAAGTTCTTTAGTGGTGATTTGTGAGATTTTGGTGCACCCATCACCCGAACAGTATACACCACACCATATTTGTAGTATTTTTTCCCTCGTCCCCCCGCACTCTTCCCTCCCATGTCCCAAAAGTCCATTGTATCATTTTTATGCCTCTGCGTTCTCATAGTTTAGCTACCACATATCAGTGAGAACATACAATGTTTGGTTTTCCATTCCTGAGTTACTTCCCTTAGAATAATAGTCTCCAATTTCATCCAGGTCACTGCAAATGCTGTTAATTCATTCCATTTTATGGCTGAATAGTATTCTATCATATATCTATATCTATGTATATCTCAGTTTCTTTATCCACTCATTGATTGATGGGCATTTGGGCTGGTTATACGATTTTGCAATTGTGAATTGTGCTGCCAATAAACATGTGTGTGCAAGTATCTTTTTCAAATAATGACTTCTTTTCCTCTGGGTAGATACCCACTAGTGAGATTGCTGGATCAAATGCTAGTTCTACTTTTAGCTCTTTAAGGAATCTCCACACTGTCTTTCATAGCAGCTGTACTAGTTTACATTCCTACCAGCAGTGTGGAAGTGTTCCCTGATCACCACATCCACGCCAACATCTACTGTTTTTTTTTTATTTTTTGATTATGGCCATTCTTGCAGGAGTAAGGTGGTATCACATTGCGGTTTTGATTTGCATTTCCCTGATCATTTGTGATGTTGAGTATTTGTTCATATGTTTGTTGGCCATTTGTGTATCTTCTTTTGAAAATTATCTATTCATGTCCTTAGCCCACTTTTTGTGGGATTTTTTTCTGATTTGTTGGAGTTCATTGTAGATTCTGGATATTAGTCCTCTGTCAGATGTGTAGATTGTGAAGATTTTCTCTCTGTGGGCTCTTTACTCTGCTGACAGTTCCTTTTGCCGTGCAAAAGCTCTTTAGTTTAATTAGGTCCCAGCTACTTATCTGTGTTTTTACTGCATTTACTTTTATGTTCTTGGTCATGAAATCCTTGCCTAAACCAATGTCTAGAAGGGTTTTTCCAATGTTATCTTCTAGAATTTTTATAGTTTCAGGTCTTAGGTTTAAGTCCTTAATCCATCGAGTTGATTTTTATATAAGGTGAGAGATGAGAATCCAGTTTCATTCTCCTACATGTGGCTAGCCAATTATCCCAGCACCATCTGTTGAAAAGGGTGTCCCTTCCCTGGTTTATGTTTTTGTTTGCTTTGTCAAAGATCAGTTGGCTGTAAGTATTTGGGTTTATTTCTGGGTTCTCTATTCTGTTCCATTGGTCTATGCGCCTATTTCTATACCAGTACCATGCTGTTTTGGTGACTGTGGCCTTGTAGTATCGTTTGAAATCAGGTAGTGTGATGCCTCCAGATTTGTTCTTTTTGCTTAGTCTTGCTTTGACAATGTGGGCTCTTTTTTGGTTCCATATGAATTTTAGAATTGTCTTTTCTAACTCTGTGAAGAATGATGGTGGTATTTTGATGGGGATTGCATTGAATTTGTAGATTGCTTTTGGCAGCATGGTCATTTTCACATTGATTCTACCCATCCATGAGCATGGGATGTGTTTCCATTTGTTTGCATCATCTATTTCTTTCAGCAGTGTTTTGTAGTTTTCCTTGCAGAGGTCTTTCAACTCCTTTGTTAGGTATATTCCTAAGTATTTTATTGTTTTTTGTTTGCTTGTTTGTTTTTGCAGCTATTGTAAAAGGGGTTGAGTTCTTGATTTGATTCTCTGCTTGGTTGCTGTTGGTGGATAGAAGACCTACTGATTTACGTACATTAATCTTGTATCTGGAAACTTTGTTGAATTCTTTTATCAGTTGTAGGAGCTTCTGGAGGAGTCCTTAGGGTTTTCAAGGTAAATGATCATATTGTCAGCAAACAGGGACAGTTTGACTTCCTCCTTACTGATTTAGATGTCCTTTCTTTCTTTCTCTTGTCTGATTGCTCTGGCTAGGACTTCCAGTACTATGTTGAAGAGGAGTGGTGAAAGTGGGCATCCTTATCTTGTTCCTATTCTCAGAGGGAATGCTTTCAACTTTTCCCCATTCAGTATTATGTTGGCTGTGGGTTTATCATAGCTTTTGTTACATTAAGATATGTCCCTTGTATGCCAATTTTGCTGAGGGTTTTAATCATAAAGGGATGCTAGATTTTGTCGAATGCTTTTTATGCATCTATTGAGATGATCATGTGATATTTCTAATTCTGTTTATACGGTGTATCATATTGATTGACTTGTGTATGTTAAACCATCCCTGCATCCCTGGTATAAAACTCACTCGATGATGGTAGGTTATCTTTTTGATATGTTGTTGGATTCAGTTAGCTAGTATTTTGTTAAGGATTTTAGCATCTATGTTCATCAAGGATATGGGTCTGTAGTTTTCTTTTTTGGTTGTGTCCTGTCTTGATTTTGGTATTAGGGTGATGCTGGCTTCATAGAATCAATTAGGGAGGGCTCCTTCTTTCTCTGTCTTGTGGAATAGTGTCAAAAGGATTGGTACCAATTCTTCTTTGAATGCCTGGTAGAATTCTGTTGTGAATCCATCCGGTCCTGGACATTTTTTTGCTGGTAATTTTTAAATTATTGCTTCAATCTCACTGCTTGTTATTGGTCTGTTCAGGGTATCTAATTCTTCCTGATTTAAGCTAGGAGGTTGTATTTTTCCAGGAATTTATCCATTTCTTCTAGGTTTTCTAGTTTATGTGCATAAAGGTGTTCATAGTAACCTTGAATGATCTTTTATATTTCAGTGGTGTCAGTTGTAATATCTCCTGTTTTGTTTCTTAGTGAGGTTGTTTGGATTTTCTCTCTTCTCTTCTTGGTTAATTTTGCTAATGGTCTATCAATTTTATTTATCTTTTCAAATAACCAGCTTTTTATCTTTTGTATTTTTTTGTTTCAATTTCATTAAATTTCATTTAGTTCTGCTCTAATCTTGGTTATTTCCTTTATTCTGCTGGGTTTGGGTTTAGTTCGTTCTTGTTTCTCTAGTTCCTTGAGATGTGACCTTAGATTGTCTGTTTGTGCTCTTTCAGACTTCTTGATGTAGGCATTTAGGGCTATGAACTTTCCTTTAGCACCACCTTAGCTATATCCCAGAGGTTTTGATAGGTTGTGTCATTATTGTCATTCAGTTTGAAGAATTTTTAAATTTCCATCTTGATTTCGTTTTCAACCCAATGATGATTCAGGAGCAGGTTATTTAATTTCCATGTATTGTGTGGTTTTGAAGGTTCCTTTTGGGGGTTTATTTCCAGTTTTATTCCACTGTGGTCTGAGAGAGTGCTTGATATAATTTCAATTTTCTTAAACTTATTGAGGCTTGTTTTATGGCCTATCATCTGGTCTATCTTGGTGAAAGTTCCATGCACTGTTAAATAGAATGTGTATTCTGCAGTTGTTGGGTGAAATGTTCTATAAATGTCTGTTAAGTCTATTTGTTCCAAGGTATAGTTTAAATCCATTGTTTCTTTGTTGACTTTGTCTTGATGACCTATCTAGTGCTGTCAGTGGTGTATTGAAGTCCCACACCATTATTGTGTTGCTGCCCATCTCATTTCTTAGGTCTATTAGTTATTGTCTTATAAATTTGGGAGCTCCAGTGTTAGGTGCATGTATGTTTAGGATTGTTATATTTTCCTGTTGGACAAGGCCTTTTACCATTATACAATGTCCCTCTTTGCCTCTTCTAACCACTGTTGCTTTAAAGTTTTTTTTTTCTGACATAAGAATAGCTACTTCTGCTCAGTTTTGGTGTCCATTTTCATGAAATGTCTTTTTCTACCCCTTTAAGTTTATGTAAGCCCTTATGTGTTAGGTGAGTCTCCAGAAGGTAGCAGATAGTTGGTTGGTGAGTTCTTATCCATTCTGCAGTTCTGTATCATTTTTAAAAATTTGAATATGATTTTACTAAAACATACATCATTTCAAAGCAAAAGTAGTTTATGTTGTCAATTCTAACATATAATACATTTAAGTCATTATATAAACTTTTTATTTGTGTATTTCACTGTAGTACTGGGACAACAAAATGACACCTGTGTACCACAGCATACATACATCAACAGTAAGATGTAATTTTTCATTACATCACCACTGAATATTTAGCTTTGTGTAATGATAAAAAATTAAGATTATCTAAGGAAAAAACAGAAAATTATTTGGTTCTGTATCTTTTAAGTGGAGCTTTTAGGCCATTTAGATTCAATGTTAGTATTGAAATGTGAGGTACAATTGCATTTATCATGCTCTTCGTTGCCTGTGTACTTTGTTTTTTTTTGTTTGTTTTGTTTTTGCTTTTAAACTTGAATTTTTGTTTTATAGATCCTGTGTGATTTATGCTTTAAAGAGGTTCTGTTTTGATATGTTTCCAGGATTTGTTTCAAGATTTAGAGCTCCTTTTAGCAGTTCTTGTAGAAGTGGCTTGATAATGGTGAATTCTCTCAGCATCTGTCTGAAAATGATTGTATCTTTCCTTCACATAGGATGCTGGATACAATATTCTTGGCTGACAATGGTTTTGTTTGAGGAGGTTGAAGATGGGGCCCCAATCCCTTCTAGCTTGTAGGGTTTCTGCTGAGACATCTGTTAATCTGATAGGTTCCACTTTACAGGTTACCTAGTGCTTCTGTCTCACAGCTCTTAAGATTGTTTCCTTCATCTTAACTTTGGATAACCTGATGACAATGTGCCTAGGCGAGGATCTTTTTGAGAAGAATTTCCCAGGTGTTTTTTGTGCTTCTTGTATTTGCATTTCTCAGTCTGTGGCAAGGCCAGGGAAGGATTCCTTGATTATTCCCTGAAATATGTTTTCCAAGCTTTTAGAA
The DNA here is from genome assembly GCF_000001405.40 of Homo sapiens. NCBI lineage: Eukaryota > Metazoa > Chordata > Mammalia > Primates > Hominidae > Homo > Homo sapiens. The sequence goes on along the minus strand of NC_000006.12, from coordinate 105,236,832 downwards.
TTTTCTTCTTCCTCAGGAACACCGATTATTCTTAGGTTTGGTCATTTAACATAATCCCAGACTTCCTGGAGGCTTTGTTCATATTTTCTTATTTTTTCTTTGTCTTTGTCAGATTGGGTTAATTTGAAAACCTTGTCTTCCAGCTCTGAATTTCTGGTTTCATTTTGTTTTGTTGTTGTTGTTTTTTTATTAGATGGAGTCTTGCTCTGTTGCCCAGGCTGTAGTGCAGTGGCGCTATCTTGGCTCACTGCAACCTCTGCCTCCCAGGTTCAAGCAATTCTCCTGCCTCAGCCTCCCTAATGCTGGGATACAAGCACGTGCCACCACATCCAGCTAATTTGTGTATTTTTAGTAGACACAAGGTTTCGCCATGTTGGCCAGGCTGATCCCAAACTCCTGACCTCAGATGAGCCGCCTGCCTTGGCCTCCCAAAGTGTTGGGATTACAGGCGTGAGCCACTGCACCCAGGTGGAACTCTGAATTTCTTTCTTCCACTTGTTCAATTATATATTGCTGAGACTTTCCAGAGCATTTTGCATTTCAAAAAGTGTGTCCAAAATTTCCTGAATTTTTGATTGTCTTTTAAGCTATCTATTTCCTTGAATATTTCTCCCTTCACTTCCTGTATCAATTTTTGGATTTCCTTGCATTGGGCTCTGCCTTGCTCTGGTTCCTCCCTGATTAGCTTAATAACTAACCTCTTGAATACTTTTTCAGGTAAATCAGGGATTTCTTCTTGGTTTGGATCCATTGCTGGTAAACTAGTGTGATTTTTGGAGGGTGTTGATGAGCCTTGTTCTGTCATATTACCAGGGTTGGTTTTCTGGTTCCTTCTCATTTGGGTAGGCTCTGTCAGAGGGAAGGTCTAGGGCTGAAGACTGTTGTTCAGATTTTTTTGTCCCACAGGATGTTCCCTTGATGTAATACTCTCCCCACTTTTCCTGTGGATGTGCTTCCTGTGAGCTAAACTGGAGTGATTGTTGTCTCTCTCTTCCGGGTCTAGCCACTCAGTGAATCTACCCAGCTCTGGGCTGGTACTGGGGGTTGTCTGCACAGAGTCCTGTGATGTGAACCATACCAGTGCTTGTTCCGGTGGAGGTGGTGGAGGGTGCAATGGATTCCATGAGGGTCCTTAGCTTTGGTGGTTTAATGCTCTATTTTTGTGCTGATTGGCCTCCTGTCAGGAGGTGGTACTTTCCAAAAAGCATCAGCTGAAGTAGTGTGGAGAGGGATCAGTGCTGGGTGGGGCTCTAGAACTCCGAAGACTATGTGTCCATTGTCTTCCACTATCAAGGTGGGTAGGGAAGGACCATCAGGTGAGGGCAGGGCTAAGCGTGTCTGAGCTCAGACTCTCCTTGTGTGGGTCTTGCTGCAGCTGCTGTGGGTGATGGGGCTGAGATTCCCAGGTCACTGGAGTTGTGTACCTAGGAGGATTATGGCTGCCTCTGCTGAGTCATGCAGTAGTGAAAAGCCGACAGTCACAGGCCTCAAACCAGCTCCCATGCAAACCACAGGGCTGGTCTCACTCCCACCATGCCCCTCTGCAACAGCCCCGAGGTCTGTTACCAGGCAGAGGGGGAGACAGGCTTGAAGACTTGCCCTAGGCTACTGGGGCTGTGAAAGAAAAGGGCGTTAGCTCTTCCCCTGCCTGTGAAGTCTGCAAGTGGGATTCGAACACTCCTCCAACTTCTGGCCAGGAGGCTTCTCGCCACATTTAAATTGTTACAAAGTTCAGCTAGAGATTTCCTGCCCTCTGTGGGGTTTTACCCCCTGCTCCTCTGGCCCCCCTCCCGATGGATCCCTGTGGTGCCAGGCAGGAATGGGCTGACTGGGGACCCCGCGAGCTCCCAGGGGCTTCTTCCTCTACCCCTGCATTTCGCTTAGCTTGACTCAGCTCCAGGTAAAGTCAGAAACTTCTCCCACAAATAGACGCTCAGCTTCTCCAGTGGGAGTGTGTGTTTGGGAGAGGAGGATCTCCCTTTCCCAATTCTGCAGTTGGGGCACTCACAGTATTTGGGGTGTCTCCTGGTTCTGCAGGAGCAGTCTGCTTCTTTCAGAGGGTCTGTGAATCCTCTCAGGATTGCTGATTTGTTCTTACAGTCAATCTGGAGCTTAGCTTTGTCTTAATATATTTTTTCCTTGTACCTTTGCTCATTCTTAAGACATGTGTAATCAACGCTTTCCTCCTTCCCCATTTTCTTCTTTATTTATCCCACTGTGAAGGGCCCACTCCAGTTCTTTCGAAAGATCTCTTAGACCACACAGAATATTTGAATTAATTTTACCAGCAAAATCAAATTTTTAAAAATGTTATTTAAAACACCTTTGGGTCATTTCCTAAACTAATACATATTTGAACAAAATATAATTCCTGGGGAGGGGCCAAGATGGCCGAATGGGAACAGCTGTGGTCGGCAGCTCCCAGCAAGACCAGTGCAGAAGGTGGGTGATTTCTGCACTTCCAACTGCAGATGAGGTACCCTGTTCATCTCATTGGGACCAGTTAGGCAGTGGGTGCAACCCAGAGAGAGCAAGCAGAAACAGGGTGGGGCATCGCTTCACCCAGAAAGTGCAAGGAGCCAGGAGACCTCCCTTCTCCAGCCAAGGGAAGCCGTGAGGGACTCTGCTACCCGGCCTAGGTACTATGCTTTTCTCACAATTTTTGCAATCCACAGATCAGGAGATTCCCTTGTGCGCCTACACCACCAGGGCCCTGGGTTTCAAGCACAAAACTGGGCAGCTGTTTGGGCAGACACTGAGCTAGCTGCAGTATTTGTTTTTGTGCCCCAGTGGCACCTGGAACCCCAGCAAGACAGAACTGTTCACTCCCCTGGAAAGGGGACTGAAGCCAGGGAGCCAAGTGGTCTCGCTCAACAGGTCCCATTCCCATGGAGCCCAGCAAGCTAAGAACCACTGGCTTGAAATTTTTCGCTGCCAGCACAGTGGTCTGAAGTCAACCTGGGATGATTGTGCTTGGCGGGGGGAGGGGCGTCTGCCTTTACTGAGGCTTTAGTAGGCAATTTTCCCCTGAAAGTGCTAAGGAAGCTGGGAGGTTTGGACTGGGCGGAATTCACCACAGCACGGCAAAGTGGCTATGGCCAGACTGCTTCTTTAGATTCCTCCTCACTGGGCAGGGCATCTCTGAAGGAAAGGTAACAGCCCCAGTCAGGGGCTTACAGACAAAAGCCCCATTTCCCTGGGACAGAGCACCTGGGGAAAGGGGCGGCTGTGGCCACAGCTTCAGCAGAGTTAATCATTCCTGCCTGCCGGCTCTGAAGAGAGCAGCTGATCCTGACAAGAGGGATTCTCCAGGCACAGCTCACCAGCTCTGCTACCGGACAGGCTGCCTCAAGTGGGTCCCTGACCCCTGTGCCTCCTGACTGGAAGAGACCTCCCAACAGGGGTCGAGAGACACCTCATACAGGAGACCTCTGGCTGGCATCAGGCCAGTGACCCTCTTGGATGAAGCTTCTTGAGGAAGGAGCAGGCAACAATCTTTCCTGTCCTGCATCCTCCACTGGCGAAACACAGGCAAAGAGGGTCTGGAGTGGACCTCCAGCAAACTGCAGCATTTCTGCAGAAGAGGGGCCTGACTGTTAGAAGAAAAACTAGGAAACAGCAACAACATCAACATCAAAGAAAAAGACCCCCACATGAAAACTCCACCCAAAGGTCATCAGCCTCAAAAATCAAAGGTAGATAAATCCACAAAGATGAGGAAAAAACAGTGCAAAAACACTGAAAATTCCAAAAACCAGAATCTCCTCCAAATGATTGCAACTCCTTCTCCAGCAAGGGCACAAAACTGGATGGAGAATGACATTGATGAATTGACAGAATTAGGCTTCAGAAGGTGGGTAATAACAAACACCTTTGAGCTAAAGAAGCATGTTCTAACCCAATGCAAGGAAGCTAAGAACCTTGATAGAAGGTTACAGGAACTGCTAACTAGAATAACCAGTTTAGAAAGGAACATAAATGACCTGATGGAGCTGAAAAACACAGCACAAGAACTTTGTGAAGCATACACAAGTATCAATAGCCAAATTGATTAAGCAGAAGAAAGGATAAGAGAGATTGAAGATCACCTTACTGAAATAAGGTGTGAAGACAAGATTAGAGAAAAAAGAATGAAAAGGAATGAACAAAGCCTCCAAGAAATATGCAACTATGTGAAAAGACCAAACCTATGACTGATTGGTATACTGAAAGTGATGGAGAGAATGGAACCAAGTTGGGAAACACACTTCAGTATATTATCCAGGAGAAATTCCCCAACCTAGCAACAGGCCAACATTCGAATTCAGGAAATACAGAGAACACCACTAAGATACTCCTCAAGAAGAACAACCCCAAGACACATAATCATCAGATTCTCCAAGGTTGAAATGAAGGAAAAAATGTTAAGGGCAGCCAGAGAGAAAGGTTGGGTTACCTACAAAGAGAAGCCCATTAGACTAACAGCAGATCTCTGTGCAGAAACCCCACAAGCCAGAAGAGAGTGGGGGCCAATATTCAACATTCTTAAAGAATTTTCAACCCCGAATTTCATATCCACCCAAACCAAGTTTCATAAGCGAAGGAGAAATAAAATCCTTTACAGACAAGCAAAAGCTGAGAGATTTTGTCACCACCTGGCCTGCCTTACAAGAGCTCCTGAAGGAAGCACTAAATATGGAAAGGAAAAACCAGTACCAGCCACTGCAAAAACACACCAAAGTATAAAGACCAATGACTCTATGAAGAAACTGCATCAACAAATTGTGCAAAATAAATAGCTAGCATCATGATGACAGGATCAAATTGACACATAACACTATTAACCTTAAACGTAAATGGGCTAAATGCCCCAATTAAAAGACACAGACTGGCAAATTGAATAAAGAGTCAAGACCCATCGACGTGCTGTATTCAGGAGACCCATCTCCTGTGCAAAGACACATATAGGCTCAGAATAAAGAGATGGAGAAATATTTAGCAAGAAAATGGAAAGCAAAAGAACGCAGGGGTTGCAATCTTAGTCTCTGATAAAACAGACTTTAAACCAACAAAGATCAAAAAACACAAAGAGGGCATTATACAAAGGTAAAGGGATCGATGCAACAAGAGCTGACTATCCTAAATTTATATGCACCTAATACAGGAGCACCCAGATTCATAAAGCAAATTCTTAGAGACTTACAAAGAGACTTAGACTCCCACACTATAATAATGGGAGATTTTAACACCCCACTGTCAATATTAGATCAACAAGACAGAAAATTAACAAGGATATTCAGGACTTGAACTCAGCTCTGGACCAAGTGGACCCAATAGACATCTACAGAACTCTCCACCTCAAATCAACAGAATATACATTCTTCTCAGCACGACATGGCACTTATTCTAAAATCAACCACATAATTGAAAGTAAAACACTCCTCAGCAAATGTAAAAGAACGGAAATCACAAGTCTCTCAGACCACAGCACAATCAAATTAGAACTCAGGATTAAGAAACTCACTCAAAACTGCACAACTACATGGAAACTGAACAACTTGCTCCTGAATGACTACTGGGTAAATAATGAAAATAAGGCAGAAATAAAGAAGTTCTTTGAAAATAACAAGTTTTGAAATTGAGGGAGTAATTAATAGTCTACCGACCAAGAAAAGCCCAGGACCAGACAGATTCACAACCAAATTCTACCAGAGGTACAAAGTGGAACTGGTACCATTCCTTCTGAAACTATTCCAATCAATAGAAAAAGAAGGAATCCTCCCTAACTCATTTTATGAAGTCAGCGTCATCCTGATACCAAAGTCTGGCAGAGACACAACAAAAAAAAGAAAATTTCAGGCCAAATCCCCGATGAACACCGATGCAAAAATCCTCAAGAAAATACTGGCACACTGAATCCAGCAGCACATCAAAAAGCTTATCCACCACGATCAAGTTGGCTTCATCCCTGGGATGCAAGGCTGGTTCTACATACACAAATCAATAAACGTAATCCAGCATATAAACAGAACCAACAACAAAAACCACATGATTATCTCAATAGATGCAGAAAAGGCCTTCAACAAAATTCAACAGCCCTTTATGCTAAAAACTCTCAATAAACTAGGTATTGATGGAAAATATCTCAAAATAATAAGAGCTATTTATGACAAACCCACAGCCAATATCATACTGAATGGACAAAACCTGGAAGCATTCCTTTTGAAAACTAGCACAAGACAAGGATGCCCTCTCTCACCACTCCTATTCAACATAGTTTTGGAAGTTCTGGCCAGGGCAATCAGGCAAGAGAAAGAAATAAAGGGTATTCAATTAGGAAAAGAGGAAGTCAAATTGTCTCTGTTTGCAGATGACATGATTGTATATTTAGAAGACCCCATCATCTCAGCCAAAAATTCCTTAAGCTGATAAGCAACTTCAGCAAAGTCTCAAGATACAAATCAATGTGCAAAAATCACAAGCATTCCTATACACCAATAACAGACAAGCAGAGAGCCAAATCATGAGTGAACTCCCATTCACAATTGCTTCAAAGAGAATAAAATACCTAGGAATACAATTTACCAGGGATATGAAGGACCTCTTCAAGGAGAACTACAAACCACTGTTCAAGGAAATAGGAGGGGACACAAACAAATGGAAAAACATTCCATGCTCATAGATAGGAAGAATCAATATCGTGAAAATGGCCATACTGCCTAAAGTAATTTATAGATTCAATGCTATTCTCGTCAAGCTACCATTGACTTTCTTCACAGAATTAGGAAAAACTACTTTAAATTTCATATGGAACTAAAAAAGAGCCCATATAGCCAAGACAATCCTGAGCAAAAAGAACAAAGCTGGAGGCAACAAGCTGCCCGACTTCAAACTGTACTACAATGCTACAGTAACCAAAACAGCGTGGTACTGGTACCAAAACAGATATATAAACCAATGGAACATAACAGAGACCTCAGAAATAACACCACACATCTACAACCATCTGATCTTCAACAAACCTGACAAAAACAAGCAATGGGGAAAGGATTCCCTATTTAATAAATGGTGCTGGGGAAACTGGCTAGCCATATGCAGAAAATAGAAACTGGACCCCTTCCTTACACCTTATACAAAAATTAACTCAAGATGGATTAAAAGACTTAAATGTAAAACCCAAAGCCAGAAAAACCCTAGAAGAAAACATAGGCAATGCTATTCAGGACATAGACAAGGGCAAATACTTCATGACTAAAGCACCAAAAGCAATTGCAACGAAAGCCAAAATTGACAAATGGGATCTAATTAAACTAAATAGCTTCTGCACTGCAAAAGAAACTATCATCAGAGTGAACAGGCAACCTACAGAATGGGAGAAAAATTTTGCAGTCTGACAAAGGTCTAATATCCAGAATCTACAAGGAACTTAAATTACGAGAAAAAAACAATACCATCAAAAAGTGAGTAAAGGATATGAACAGACACTTCTCATAAGAAGACATTTATGTGGGCAACAAATATATGAAAGAAGCTCATTATCACTGGTCATTAGAGAAATGCAAATCAAAACCACAATGAGATACCATCTCATTGAGATACCATCTCATGCCAGTTAGAGTGGTGATTATTAAAAAGTCAGGAAACAACAGATGCTGATGAGTCTGTGGAGAAATAGGAATGCTTCACACTGTTGGTGGGAGCGTAAATTAGTTCAACCATTGTGGAAGACAGTGTGGCGATTCCTCAATGATCTAGAACCAGAAATATCATTTGACCCAGCTATCCCATTACTGGGTATATACCCAAAGTATTATAAATCATTCTGCTTTAAAGACACATGCACATGTATGTTTATTGCAGCACTATTCACAAGAGCAAAGACTTGGAACCAACCTGAATGCCCATCAATGATAGACTGGATAAAGAAACTGTAGCACATATACACCACGGAATACTATGCAGTCATAAAAAAGAACGAGTTCATGTCTTTTGCAGGGACATGGATTAATCTAGAAGCCATCATCCTCAGCAAACTAACACAGGAACAGAAAACCAAACACCACGTTTTCACTCAGAAATGGGAGTTGAACAATAAGAACACGTGGACACAGGGAGGGGAACGTCACACACCAGGTCATGTCAGGGTTTGGGGGCAAGGGAAGGGAGAGCATTAGGACAAATACATAATGCATGTTGGGCTTAAAACCTAAATGATGGGTTGATGGGTGCAGCAAACCACCATGGCACATGTATATCTATGTAACAAACCTGCACATTCTGCACATGTGCAGAATCTTAATTCTTGAATTAAGAATCTAATCTTGGCTCACTGCAAACTCCGCCTCCCAAGTTCAAGTGATTCTCCTGTCTCAGCCTCCCGAGTAGCTGAGACTACAGGTGCGTACCAACCACACCCGGCTAATTTTTCTGTTTTTAGTAGAGACGGGGTTTCACCATGTTGGCCACACTGGTCTCAAACTCTTGACTCAAGTGATCCACCTGCCTTGGCCTCCCAAAGTGCTGGGATTACAGACGTGAGCCACTGTGCCCAGCCAATAGAAGGGATTTAGTTTGGGCACAGTGTCTCATGCCTGTAATCCCAGCACTTTGGGAGGCCAAGGCGGGTGGATCGCAAGGTCAGGAGTTCCAGACCAGCCTGGCCAACATGGTAAAACCCTGTCTCTATTAAAATACAAAAATTAGCCGGGTGTGGTGGTAGGCGCCTATAGTCTCAGCTACTCAGGAGGCTGAAACAGGAGAATCACTTGAACTTGGGAGGCGGAGTTTGCAGTGAGCCAAGATTGTACCACTGCCTTCCAGCCTGGGCAACGGAGACTCCATCTAAAAAAAAAAAAAAAAGAAAGAAAGAAAGAAAAAAAATAGTGGGGATTTAAATGTACATCTTTTGACTCAGAATCCAGGGAGAGTTCTTCCTACTTTTTGACACTGCTGGTACTGTCTGGAGCATCACATGAAATGATTAAATTCTCAGCTTTCCTCCTGAATACAAATATTGTTTCTCTAAAAAGCACAAATGAGAAAATCTGGTCATGATAATTGGAAGCAACTGCTGGGGCTAATGGAAGGACATGGCAGCCTTATTTGATTTCAAGTTATATTTCAGGGTTTTTTTCTTATATTGAAATTGTTCATTTCAGTGAAAGACCGCATAAGAATGCCATACAGGGAAGAAAACCCAACTAAGAGCTCATTGTTCCCTAGGCCTGTATTTTAAGAGGGCAATATGCATATTTAATTTGTGTGTGTGTCAGAGAACAGCCCAGTATGACTCTCCCTTCACTTTCATTTATGAAGGAAATATCGAAGCAGCCTTAGAGTGCTTGCTTGATTATTCCTTGCCCCTCTAGCCTTTCGGCTAAAGCAGATTATATCTCTCTGCTTTTAGTTAATTCTATTTCATTTGCTTGAGTATTGAGAAGAATATTAGGAAATGAAAATTTCCATCTGCAAAGACACTGGACACTTTCAGTCAGGTAAATAAAAATGAAGGGCAAATCTCATCACTCACAAACAATTAGTTTTTCCTTCACTATCCTTGAGCTCTTTGACCATCTAATGTTGTCATGTCTGCAGAATAAACTGCAGTTTTATCATAAATGTACTGTGATTATAACTCTGCTCTCAGGCTGCCCGTGCATCTTGCCAACTGCCTGGACTCATTTATTATCCTATATCTCACCCACTCATCGGACAGGAAAATCTGCAGCACAGTGATTCAGCCCAGCAAGATTGTCTTGGCTGGAATAATGTGAGACTGGGATTGAAGCATCAATTTCTTCTCACCAAAACAGGAAGAATTAAACAAGTCGATTTTAAAGAGACATAATCTGGTCATCTCGTTCACTTCCAAAGTCACAAAAGTGGAAAGAAAAAGTCGACTTGTACATTCTCCCCTAAATAAATAAATAAATAAATAAATACTCAGGAAATTCTGGGAGCAGAATTTTTCAAGTACATGCTGAAGGGAAGAATGCTGTGAAGTTCAGATCTGGAAAGCCTCCTGGACACTTCTGAGTACGCTTCACCTGATTGGGTGGCCACCAGGAGTCTCTGGGAGGTGTGTGAGGGGACTTTAGATAGAGTAATGTGGCAGGGACTGTGATTTGTCTGCCAACATCTGCTCCCCGCTCTTTGAAAGTAATAGAATTGTAGCTTTGTATGTGGTTGTCAGGCAAGATTACATTTCTCAGATGTCCTTGCAGTTAGGTGTAACCATATAACCAGGTTTTCACCCAAATAATGTAAGCGGAAGTGTTATGTACCATCACCAGGTCTGGGATTGAAGACATCAAGGGGGCCTCCTCGCTGTCCCCCAACCCCAGCCTTCTCTCTTCCCTGCAGGTTAGAACCTGAATGTGGCAGTCACAGCTTTGACAGATGATAACACTCTAGGGTCTTGCTACTCCAGTGTGGTCCGGGAACAGAAGCATTGCATCATCTGGGAACTGTTAGAAATGCAGAATCTCAGGTCCAGTCACAGACCTACAAAAATAGAATTGTAAGATTTCCAGGGGAGTCAAACATGCTTGAAGTTTGAGACACCCCGGCCAAAGGCTGGCAGAGCCCAGACCTAGAACAAACCTGGGTCCTCGTGTGAACAGAGCTGTCCCACCAACCTGCAGCACTCACTTTGGAACTATGTGTGTGTGTGTGTGTGTGTGTGTGTGTGTGTGTGTGTGTGTGTCTGTGTGTGTGTGTGAGAGAGAAAGAGAGAGAGACATTTTATTTATTATTCATTACTAAAGTCATGGCATTTTGGAGTGTCTTTGCTACTGACGCTTAGATGTATCTTGATACAAGTAATGTGACACTGTTCACAGGGTCTCATTTATCAGAACATATTTTAAACTTGCCATGGAAGTTCCTATCCCAAAGTAGTTCAATCTTAAACCCTGCCACATGCCTGTACTCTAATCAGCTTGCAGATCTACCAGGTGTGACTTCAGGACCAAAAGATATTTCCCACTACTAATTAGGGATCCTCGTCCTAGAAGATACAGCCACTCAGAAACCACCAGCCAAGTCAGGAACTGGGAAAGAGGAAGAGAGTCCCTAATGAATGGTCACCAGTGGAAATTAAGACTAGAAATCAGGAGATGAATTGCAGTGGATGAAGTTAGAACTGCAGGTCTGAACACTCACAGGACCCTTCTGGCTGTCCATAGCAGCCACCTTCTAACTACATTCTGCTTGCCCCTAGCTGACCCCTGCCTTTCGTGGTGGCCACTGGCCTATTCAGAACACTTCAATCTTTGCCCTACCCAACTAAGCCCCAGAACTGTTTTAAAGTCAACATCTTATCTATAAAGAAAGTGACAGGGGCTGGGCACAGTGGCTCACACCTGTAATCCCAGCACTTTGGGAGGCTGGGGCAGGTGGATCACTTGAGGTCAGGAGTCGAGACCAGACTGACCAATACGGTAAAACCCCGCATCTACTAAAAATACAAAAATTAGCTGGGCATGGTGGTGCGTGCCTGTAATCCTGCTACTTGGGAGGCTGAGGATTGAGAATTGGTTGAACCTGAGAGATGGAAGTTGTAGTGAGCCAAGATTGCGCCACTGCACTCCAGCCTGGGTGACAGAGCGAGACTGTCAGAAGAGGAGAGAGGAGAGAAGAGAGACAGACAGAAAGAAAATCACCAAACTATTTCCAAATGATACTTCCCACATGAATTCAATCATGTTTAATGATCTAAACAGCTCAAACAGGTTGGCACAGCATATAACCCCAGACTTTGTTTGACCACTATGTACATCTCCATACTCATCGCCTCCTCATCCCAGACCCACTCCATGTACCTTTTCTTTGTATTCACAAAACACTTTGCCATCCCAAAGGGACATTCCCTTGTCTGTCTCCTTGAGTTTGCACACAAGTTTTCCTCATGCATTTGTCAAAATTTAGTTCTCCTGTTGATAACCTCATTTTTCTATTCTTGAAACCTTTTATTTAACAAATCTGAGACTTGGATTTCCTTGCAGTGTTCTGCCACTTTACAATTCATGCCCAGGTTGTGGCTCTGAATACCATTCCCCACCAAAATGAACCAGGGCTCCTCGCAGAAATGGCTGATGCCAGGTCTGGGTCAGGAAATGTACAAGATACTTTGTCATGCCACAAAGCAAGGAAGCTCTCAAAGACTTCTGGGTCATGTTGGTAGGAGTCAGGAACCAGCTTGTAGTGGCTCCCACTTGCCAAAGAAGGGACAAATCGGACATTTATAAAAGTGTATTTCATGTATGTGAAATATAAATTCCAATGGATTGAAATAAATCCTTATGTTTTTTTAAAAATCCAAAAAACAAAACAAAATTTAGAACCTTCATTATCACTCTTAGAGGATCTATGGAAGTCAACTCTATCTGAAAAGCTGTTTAAAAGAGAAAGTCAAGAACATATCCTGCCTCTTATATGCAGTCTACCTCAAGCACATAAAAGGTAGTTCATGTACCTCTCCATATTTGCACATCCCCACCTGTCGCGAGTTTCCAGCCACTTGTTTAATGGACATCCCCACCACCACCATCACTGTCTGCCCTCCTAACACTGCTACTGTGTCGGCCTCCCGAGTCAAGGGCTGGGCTCTGAGCATGGCTGTGGTCATCCCTGCTGCCTTGGGAACAGCTGCTCTGGTGCCCTGGTCCATCCTGAGGGGGAAGGCACCAAGGTACTGGCTCCTCCCATTACTTCTGGACCCAGATAAAGTGCCAATCATTAGTGCAAGGGATCTGACTTCTCCAGATGCTGCCCTGGCCAGTCTGACAGCTCAGTCTGGAGGGTTAGAGGAGTTACACCTCAAGGTAAACTTTGACCAATGAGAGATAGAATATAGGAAATTATCAGCAGATAAGTTTGCTTCCCTTCCTCCCCTAATGATGCACAGGCAGCCTGAGAGTTGAATTATATTCACAGTATATTTGCAATAGAGCCTCAGTTTATTTTGCCCACTAACAGTAACATTATATGGTCAATGAACTCAAGGGTAGGGAAGGAAAAACTAATTGTTCACGAGTAATGAGATTTTGCGCCCCCATCCCTTTTTTTTTTTTTTCTGGAGACAGAGTCTCACCCTTTTGCCCAGGCTGAAGTGCAATGGGTCTATCTCAGCTCACTGCAACTTCCACCTCCCAGATTCAAGTGATTCTCCTGCCTCAGCCTCCCGAGTAGCTGGGGTTACGGGCACACCCCACCACACCCGGCTAATTTTTGTATTTTAGTAGAGAACAGGTTTCACCATGTTGGCCAGACTGGTCTCCAACTCATGGCCTCAAGTGACCCTCCCTCCTTGGCCTCCCAAAGTGCTAGGATTATAGGCATGAGCCACCATGCCTGGCCTGCCCTTCTATTTTTATTTGCCTGAGTGGAAGTGTCCTCTATGCACTATTCCAAGGTGTATCATTTCACACTGGCCCTCTGGAAAATGTTCTACATAACCAAACAACCAGCTGTGTAATTTTTATGAGGTTGTGCTGGCTCAGTAACATACCACCTTGCATTTGCTTTTCCTCATTCCCTGCCTCACTTACTTTTTCCTTCACTCCTGCTGCTCTTGAATTGCATCTCCCAGTAAAACCTTAGTATTCAAACTTTGCCTTAGGCTTTGGGTTCTAGTTAGTTCATGAAGTAGCTGTGATGGCTAATACTGAATGTCAACTTGATTGGATTGAAGGATGCAAAGTATTAATCCTGGGTAGGTCTGTGTGGGTGTTGCCAAAGGAGATTAACATTTGAGTCAGTGGGCTGGGGAAGGCAGACCCGCCCTTAATCTGGGTGAGTATCATCTAATCAGCTGCCAGCAAATATAAAGCAGGCAGGAAAACCTGGAAAGGTTAGACTGGCTTAGCCTCCCCACCTACGTCTTTCTCTCATGCTGGATATTTCCTGCGCTCAAACATCAGACTCCAAGTTCTTCAGCTTTGGGACTCAGACTCAGACTCAGACTGGCTTCCTTGCTCCTCAGCTTGCAGATTGTGGGACCTTGTGATCATGTGAGTTAATAATAAACTCTCCTTTATATATATGTCTATCCTATTAGTTCTGTCCCTCTAGAGAACCCTAATACAGATTTTGGTACCAGGAGTGGTTCTAGAGGAACAGAATATTAAGGATGGAGTTATTTTGTTGGTTTGGGGGTTTCTGGAGGTGGCTGCTTAAAATGATTAGACCCAAAAATACTAAGGACTGTACTTCTAATAGTATGGAGGATACCAAGAGTCCCTGGCATAAACTGTTTAGAAAGTTAGGCAAAATAAATGTATTTGACACTCCTGATCCACTGCTCGTGAGAGACAAGGAGTTTAGTGACTCTATACATAATACCTTTGACCATATGCGGAGAACCAAGGAACATAATGAAGCTGGTTGGTTGCTCCTAAGTTCACTAGACACAGTGATGAAAGAAAATAATGAACTCAGGGATTCTGTCTCCCAGCTTCAGAAGCAGATATTGAGCCTCAAATCTTCTAAGATTGCCCTGAGTGAGAGTCTTATCTCCTGTGGAGAAAGAGCTGAAATTGTGGAAAATCACACACAAGCTCTTATCACGCAAGAGGCTGACCTGCAATGAAAGGTGCATGCACAGCCTCACCAGGTGTCTCCTGTTAAAATGAGGGCAATGATTAGAGGAGAATGGGACCCTGCAACTTCGAATGGGGACGTGTGGGATGAAGCTGGGGACACTGAGCTTGTAAACTCTGGTGAACTCTTTTTGCCAGAAGAAACGGCTTCCCCATCACCAGTAGTGGCAACATTCCCTCCCTGACCTACACTGGCATCAGCCTTTCCACCTTTCTCTGAGGAGATAAACCCTGCACTGCCTGAGGCAACAGTGATGGCCTCCCCTGAGCCAGTTGCCAGGCAAGATAATGTTGATTCTCCTCAGGAGCCACCCCAATACTCCTGTTTGCTTCTGACCTATAAGTCCTGGCAGGGCCCTAGAAGTGAGGTTGAGAGTGTGACCCATGAGGAGGTACACTACACTCGAAAAGAACTGCTTGAGTTCTCTAATTTAAATGAACAGAAATCTGGAGAACAGGCATGGGAATGGATATTAAGGGTGTGAGATAATGGTGGAAGGAACAGAGTTGGATCAGGCTCAATTTATTGATTTGGGCCCACTAAGTAGGGATTCTGCATTTAATGTTGCAACTTGGGGAGTTAAAAAAGGTTCTAATAGTTTATTTGCTTGGTTAGCCGAAATATGGATTAAAAGATGGCCCACTGTGAGTGAGCTGGAAATGCCTGATCTCCCTTGGTTTAATGTAGAGGAAGGGATCCAAAGGCTTAGGGAGATTGGGATGCTGAAGTGGATTAGTCACTTTAGACTTACTCATCCCAGCTGGGAGGGTCCAGAAGATATACCCTTGACCAATGCTTTGTGAAATAGATTTGTGAGGGCAGCAC
The DNA here is from genome assembly GCF_000001405.40 of Homo sapiens. NCBI lineage: Eukaryota > Metazoa > Chordata > Mammalia > Primates > Hominidae > Homo > Homo sapiens. Next base: position 105,221,427 of record NC_000006.12, on the reverse strand, counting down.
CTGCATTTTTTAAGAGCCCTGTAATTGCTCTTCTCTGTATGTCAGATCTAACAGTGGGAACCACAGTCACCCGACTACAAAATTTAAATACAATGGGAATAATTGGATCCTGAGATGGCACGGACAACTTGGCAGCACCCAGCTGTCAAAGGAAAGGTGGGCACAGCTACCATAATGGACAGCAGAGGCAAAGCAGCAATCACATAGTCTGACTCACATAGAGCTCTGGCATTGGCTAATTAATGATGTTGTTCTTAAAAGTGAAATTGATAGGAAGCCTACTGCATAACTTCCAGGTCAAATGAACAAAAGACTAATTTGAACAGAGAATCATAGCCCCTCAGTCAATTTCCAGACTTGAGCCAGTTTACAGACCTGGAATCCCTTGAATGAAGGGGGGCCCAGGTCCCATTGAGGAAGAACCCCACTACACTACCAACAATTTATGCTAATCTTTCTCCCATCCTTCCCCAAGGACACATCCAGCCTTTTACCAGAGTGTGCAGTGGGGAAAGGGAAATGATCAGACATTTCAGGGACGACTGGACACTGGCTGTGAGCTGATGTTGATTCCAGGGGACCCGAATTGTGGTCCTCCAGTTAAAGTAGGGGTTTATGGAGGTAATGGAGTTTTAGCTCAGGTCCTACTTACACTGGGTCCCCGACTCATCTTGTGTTCATTTCTCCTGTGCCAGAATGCATAATTGGCATAGACATACTTAGCAGCTGGCAGAACTCCCATATTGGCTCCCTGACTGGTAGGGTGAGGGCTATTATGGTGGGAAAGGCCAAATGGAAGCCATTAGAACTGCCTCTACCTAGGAAAATTATAAATCAAAAACAACACCGCATCCCTGGAGGGACTGCAGAGATTAGCGCTACCATCAAGGGCTTGAAAGCCACAGGGGCAGGGGTGGCGATTCCCACCACATCCCCATTCAACTCTATCTGGCCTGTGCAGAAGACAGATGGATCTTAGAGAATGACAGTGTGTTATCATAAGCTTAACAAAGTGATGACTTCAATTGCAGCTGCTGTACCAGATGTGTTTGCATCGCTTGAGCAAATTAACATGTCTCCTGGTACCTTGTATGCAGCCGTTGACTTGGCAAATGACTTTTTCTCCATTCCTGTCTGTAAGGCCCACCAGAAGCAATTTGGCTTCAGCTGGCAAGGCCAGCAATATACTTTTACTGTCCTACCTCAGGGGTATATCAACTCTCCAGCTTTTGTCATAATCTGATTCAGAGAGACCTTGATCAGTTTTCACTTCCACAATATATCACATTGGTCCATTACATTGCTGACATTATGCTAATTGGATCCAGTGAGCAAGAAGTAGCAAACAGACTGGACTGATTGGTGAGACATTAGCATGCCACAGCATTGAAAATAAATGCAACTACAATTCAGGGACTTTCTACCTCAGTAAAATTTCTAGGGGTCCAGTGGTATAGGGCATGTTGAGATATTCCTTCCAAGGTGAAGGATAAGTTGCTGCATTTGGCCCCTTCTACAACCAAGAAACAGGCACAACACCTAATGGGCCTATTTGCATTTTGGAGGCAACACATTCCTCATTTGAATATGTTCCTCTGGCCCATTTATTGAGTGACCCAAAAGGCTGCCAGTTTTGAGTGGGGTCCAGAACAGAAGAAGGCTCTGCACCAGGTCCAGGCTGCTATGCCAGCTTCTCTGCCACTTGGGCCATACGACCCAGCAGATCCAATGGTGCTTGAGGTGTCAGTGGCAGAAAGAGATGCTGTTTGGAGCCTTTGGCAGGCCCCCATAGGTGGACCACAGCAGAGGCCTCTAGGATTTTTGAGCAAGGTCCTGCCATCTTCTGCAGATAACTAATCTCATTTTGAGAGACAGCTCTTGGCCTGTTACTGGGCTTTGGTGGAAACTGAACGTTTGACGATGGGTCATCAAGTCACCATACGACCTGAACTGCCTGTTATGAACTGGGTGCTTTCTGACTCATCTAGCCATAAAGTAAGTCATGCACCGCGCCATTTCATCATCAAATGGAAGTGGTATATACGTAATTAGGCTCGAGCAGGTCCTGAAGGCACAGTTAAGTTACATGAGGAAGTGGCTCAAATGCCCATGGTCTCTACTCCTGCCACCCTGCCTTCTCTCCCCCAGCCTGCACCGATGGCCTCATGGGGAGTTCCCTATGATCCGTTGGCAGAGGAAGAGAAGATTAGGGCCTGGTTTATAGATGGTTCTGCACAATATGCAGGCACCACCCAAAAGTGGACAGCTGCAGCACTATAGCCCCTTGCTAGGGCATCCCCAGAGGACAGTGGTGAAGGGAAATCTTCCCAGTGGGCAGAACTTCGAGAAGTACACCTGGCTGGGCACTTTGCATGGAAAGAGAAATGGCCAGATGTGCGATTATATGCTGATTCATGGGCTGTAGCCAATGGTTTGGCTGGATGGTCAGGGACTTAGAAGAAGCATGATTGGAAAATTGGTGACAAAGAAACTTGGGGAAGAGGTATGTGGATGTGGACCTCTCTGAGTGGTCAAAAACTGAAGATATTTGTATTTCATGTGAGTGCTCAGCAACAGGTTACCTCAGCAGAGGAGGATTTTAATAATCGAGTGGATAGGATGGCCTGTTCTGTGGACACCACCCAGCCTCTTTCCCCAGCCACCCCTGTCATCACCCAGTGGGCCCATGATAAAAGTGGCCATGGTGGCAGTGATAGAGGTTATGCTCAGCAACATGGACTTCTACTCACCAAGGCTGACCTGGCTACAGACACTGCTGAGTGCCCAATTTGCCAGTAGCAGAGACCAACACTGAGCCCTCAATATGGCACCGTTCCTTAGGGTGATCAGCCAGCTACCTGGTGGCAGGTTGATTATATTGGACCTCTTCCATCATGAAAAGGGCAGAGGTTTATCCTCACTGGAATAGACATTTACTCCAGATATGGATTTGCCTATCCTGCACACAATGCTTCTGCCAAGACTACCATCCGTGGACACACAGAATGCGTTATCCACCGTCACGGTATTCCACACAGCATTGCCTCTGACCAAGGCACTCACTTTATGGCTGAAGAAGTGTGGCAGTGGGCTCATGCTCATGGAATTCACTGGTCTTACGATATTCCCCATCATCCTGAGGCAGCTGGATTAATAGAATGGTGGAATGGCCTTTTGAAATCACAATTACAATGCCAACTAGGTGATAATACTTTGCAGGGCTGGGGCAAAGTTCTCCAGAAGGCCATGTATGCTCTGAATCAGCATCAAATATATGGTATTGTTTCTCCCATAGCCAGAATTCACGGGTCCAGGAATCAAGAGGTGGAAGTGGATGTGGTACCACATGCCATCACCCCTAGTGATCCACTAGCAAAATTTTTGCTTCCTGTTCCCCATTACATTCTGGTGGCCTAGAGGTTTTAGTTCCAGAGGGAGGAATTCTGCCACCAGGAGACACAACGATTCCACTAAACTGGAAGTTAAGACTTACACCTGAACACTTTGGACTACTCCTACCTTAAGTCAACTGGCTAAGAAGGGAGTTACAGTGTTGGCTGGGGTGATTGACCCAGGCTATCATGATGAGATCAGTCTACTGCTCCATAACAGAGGTAAGAAGAATAAGCGTGGAATACTGGTGATCCCCTGGGGCGTCTCTTACTATTACCATGCCCTATGATTAAGGTCAATGGGAAACTACGACAGCCCAATCCAGGCAGGACTACAAATGGCCCAGACACTTCAGGGATGAAGGTTTGAGTCCCTCCACCAGAAAAAAAAAAAATCTGCTGAGGTGCTCACTGAAGGCAAAGGGAATACAAAATGGATAGAAGGAGGCAGTCATCAATACCAGCTACAACCATGTGACCAGCTGCAGAAATGAGGACTGTAATTGTCATGAGTATTTCTTTCTTTTGTTAAAAACATTTGTGGCCAGGCGCAGTGGCTCACACCTGTAATCCCAGGACTTTGGGAGGCCAAGGCAGGCGGATCACAAGGTTAGGAGATCAAGACCATCCTGGCTATCACGGTGAAACCCCGTCTCTACTAAAAATGCAAAAAAATTAGCCGAGCGTGGTGGCAGGTGCCTATAGTCCCAGCTACTCGGGAGGCTGAGGCAGGAGAATGGCGTGAACCCAGGAGGCAGAGCTTGCAGTGAACAGAGGTCGCACCACTGCACTCCAGCCTAGGCGACAAAGCAAGACTCCGTCTCAAAAAAACAAAACAAAAAAACACATTTGTACATGTAAACTTATACTAAGAAAATAACTTCGTTTTATTTCCTTTTCCTTTATCATGTGACATAACATTTATTGATTTCATATCAGCATTTAAGTGTTGTTAACTTTATGAAATAGCATTTGGATTGGGGATTGGTGCATTTCCAGTTGTACAAAGGATAGTTGTATTATGTTAGGCACAATTATGATCTTATTATTGTCTTTATTTGAAGATTCTGTATGATCTCAGGAGATGTGTTTGGGTTCAAGTTAACAAGGGGTGGACTTGTGATGGCTAATACTGAGTGTCAACTTGATTGGATTGAAGAATGCAAAGTATTTTTCCTGGGTGTGTCTGTGTGGGTGCTGCCAAAGGAGATTTACATTTGAGTCAGTGGGTTGGGAAAGGCCAACCCACCTTTAATCTGGGTGGGAACCATCTAATCAGCTGCCAGCAAATATAAAGCAGGCAGAAAAATGTGAAACGGTTAGACTGGCTTAGCCTCCCCATCTACATCTTTCTCCCGTACTGCATGCTTCCTGTTCTTGAACATCAGACTCCAAGTTTTTTGTTTTTTGTTTTTCTTTTTTTGAGACAGAGTCTTGCTCTGTCACCCAGGCTGGAATACAGTGGTGATCTTGGCTCACTGCAAGTTCTGCCTCCCGGGTTCACGCCATTCTCCTGCCTCAGCCTCCTGAGTAGCTGGGACTACAGGCGCCCGCCACCATGTCCAGCTAATTTTTGTATTTTTAGTAGAGACGGGGTTTCACTGTGTTAGCCAGGATGGTCTTGATCTCCTGACCTTGTGATCTGCCCACCTTGGCCTCCCAAAGTGCTGGGATTACAGGCGTGAACCACAGCACCCAGCCCAGACTCCAAGTTCTTCAGCTTTGGGACTCGGACTGGCTTCCTTGCTCCTCAGCTTGCTGACAGCCTATTGTGATCTGGTGATCATGTGAGTTACTACTACTTAATAAACTCCCCTTTAAATACATATATCTATCTTCTTAGTTCTAACCCTCTATAGAACTCTAATACAGTAACCAAATGGTTGAAGAAGCAAACATCTGACATTATTTTAGTTAATAGATGAAGAAATTATAGAACTAGAATGCCACCATTTTGTAATCTCTTATAATAGATTATTTTTCATCTATCAATGGCTGATAATATCACAAGAAGACAGATAAGTAGACATCTATCACAAGGTGGTGTGTTACTGAGCCGGCACTACCTCACAAAAATACACAACCCATTTTTTGATTACATAGGACATTTTCCAGAGGGCCAGTATGAAATCCTACACCTCAGAATAGTCCATAGGGGATACTTCCACTCAGATAAATAAAATGGAAGCAGGCAGAGAGAATGTCTCCATTGTCTGTGGTGGGAGGAAAGATCTTTCTCCTTTTCCTATCTCACTTTCTAATCCACTTACTTCCTTATTACTCTAAACACAACCACCATCCCTAGTTAATTACTGCATTTATCCGAAGACTGGAAACAGACAGATGTGTATGAATTTGTGTGAATACGCACGCAGTGTATTCCTATGTTTCTTATGTAATCCTAGTTACAATTTGCATTCCTTGAGGGCAAAAAACTTCCTCCAGTGTTTCATCTCCTGATCCTCCAGAGCACATAAAACAGGTTTATATGGACTGTGGGTGGACACTCAGTGAAATTTATGAATTAACTGGGAAAGTTACTGTAGAGAATGTCATCATTTGCTCAGTCCTTCCAGGAAATAAGGATTTTTATGAATAGGGTATATTAATAAAAAGCTGCCTCGATGGGTTTCACATTATTTTCTTCACTTTCACAATCTCAAAACACAATTCTCCACATTTAATAAGAAACAAATGGTAAAAGATTTAAGAGATTATCTTTTGTTGCATGAAACAATTATCTTACACAGGAATTCCATTTTGTTATGAGCTGGAAAGGATCTCAATCCATGTAAAGAGATCTGTACAAGATTCAGTGGTTTTTTTGTATTGACACAGGTATCATCAGAATTCAGGCATGCCTTAATTTCCTTGGAGTATAAAAGAGGCAGAAATAGGAACCTGGATTTGTCCTGTTGGAGAATAAACACATACACACATGTGTTTTACACTGGGCTTTTCAAGGAAAAATATTGGTATAGGTAGCATGGTCTTTCATTGCAGATACCTCTGTCCTGTCCAGTGCTTATAGAATCAGTGCTTGTGCCAAAACATTTTGTTTCATGAAGCACTTGGACTTTTGCCATAATGAGGATCTATGAATCTTACAAGGTCAGTGTAAAGGTTATCAATAAAGACCCAGAGTCTGCAAATCAATTGTAGCCAACTGAGTTGTAGGATGGCTATTAGAAGAATACTGTTGTCAGCAGAATTGTAACTAATGAAGAAAAATAATGACTTTCTCAACCTGAGTGCAAAAAGTGACTGGCTTGTTAACAGGCTGCACAGAACCAGTATGAATTGTGATTTCCAAGACTTCTCAGAAAGGCTGTTTGTTTTATTCTTTACTATTGACTGTGAGGTTCACAGTATAAACAACTGCATTTGGACATTTTCCTAGCTATTTTTCTCATTAGCCTTATTTTCTAAATGTAATTTCAATGCCTACCTGCGATAAGAAAAGGACTCGTGTTCAATGAGTTATTTGTAATAACACAAAGAGATTAATATGGAAATCAGCATTCACCAATCTGCCCTATTCTTTTAATGGATATTTAAAATCTATGTTTATATATGAAATCTGCCACTTCTATTTCTTAGCAGATAAGAATAAACCAATGACAAAGGTGTGTTCAAAGGCTTTCAGTAACATTTAGGTGTGGACACTCATATCAGGCAGATCCTAAAATTCACTGAATAACAAATAGTTTGATAAAATATGGCTAATAAATCATTACTGGGAGTGTTAACACATAGTAGGAATACATTTTAACAGATAATGCAATAATTATTACATTTAATGAGGCTTGGAATTGTTTTGATGAGAAAAGTAGGTAGAATAATAAAAGTTTTTCAGAAGACAGACTTAATATCTTTTTGAAATCAACTTTAAAGTATTATTTACAGACAATAAGGTGTACCCATTTTAAATGTAGTTTGATGAGTCTGACAAACATATACACACATGTGGCTATCACTGCATGGAAGTGATGAAACCTTACCATCACCCCAAAAAGACTCCTCATGCCATTTTGCATTTACTCCTCCTTCTCACTGGCAACCAGTGATCTAACTTATGTCCCTTTAGATTATTTTTTCCTTTTCTAGAATTTCATTTAATTGGTGTCATACAAATGTACAGACCGTAACTGTCTTTTGTTCAACTTAATGTTTTTGAGATTCATCTATGTTTTGGTATGAAAAAGTGCTTTATTCCTTTTTATTGCTAAATGGTAACCATTGGGCATATCTTTCAAACCTATTTGACCAGTTGTTTCTGACTCAGAATGTAGTGAACTCAGAATTTCCTACTTTATTAACAGTTAGTTGCTGACTTTTGATTAGGTGCATCCAACTGTCATCACCATAAGAAGGTCCAGATGGTCAGACTGACCATGATTTTGGTTAAACTGATACAAGAAAATGATATTTCAAAGCTTAAAGAATTGGGTAAAAACTAAATTGGTATGATTATAAGGGCCAGTGATTTATCACCACTATTATGGCAGATACACTGCTTAAAAATGTTTTTCTTTTGTAAAAGTCATTCTTTATTTACCTTATCAGATAAGCTTTCTTTCATATTTAAGCATTTTTCATGCCTCATTGAATATGGTGAATAAGAAACCATCTTCCTATCAACTTCTGGCTTTTTATTTCCTGTCCTTTGCAAGTTGGCATGGTCCTTTTGTGTTCCTTAGGGACACTTAATTTTTTAAATAATTATTTTAAAGTTAAAACACTGAATATTTTTACCACTTTAAATGTTTAAAGGTTTATATATTTAAAACATAAAATAAAAACAAAAAAATTATGAAAAAAAACCCAAATCCCTAGTCTGAGAAACTGATATATGTCATCTACATTTGTCAGCAAACCTCTACAATTAACTTAAAAACTGAAGTTCATCCATATAGATATGAATTGGATCCCAGCAGGGAAAAAAGAAAAGGAACTAGTTAGAATAGCAATTGTGGAAGATTTTTTTCATTTACTCTTTTTATATCACCAATAAGTTTGTGTAATAAACATAATGTTTAAAAATATTCTTAGAGATAAAAGGAATTCTCAGTCAAAAAATTAGCACAAAAACATGAGTTAGAATAAAGTCTTCTTGAATTTCTTTTCATGAAAAGAAAATTGAAAAGTAGTTTGTGCTACCAAATCGCTAGTGTTATATTTTTCAGAAAATGAATCAAAATGGTTTAATTGAGTAAGCAGGGACTTGGTGAGGATGTGGTATGCAAAGCAGATTCCTGGTTCCCATTGGCCTCATGTTCCAGTGCATGGTGAGAGACAGAGGCAACAAACAAAATAAAAACCAAATATATCTATTTTATAATGTCAGAGAAGACAAAATGTAAAGCAAGGTCAGCAGGTAGAGAATGACAGGGCCCATCTTAAATAGGGTGGTCAGGAAAGGGCTCTCCAAGGACAGACCTGAGGAAGGGAACTTTGTGAAGATCTGGGAGAGAAGATACCAAGCAAAGGGAAGAGGAAAGGCAGTTTATTCCCTCAGTGTGGCCTACATGATTCTAGCAATTATGGTCCAATCGAGTCTGGATTATGGATTCTCCAAATAAATGAAAATCACATCATCAACCCGCAATCACACACCTAAACACATGCACAGTCCGCACCCTCGCCACCCCAACAAGCTGACCAAGAATGTAACTTAGCTAAATGGTTCTCAAACTGTCATGTGCACAAGAATTGACTGGAGATCCTGCTAAAATCAAAAAGTGAATATGGCAGGACAATCGGTAGTCAGCCAGGCACATCGTTAGCTCTCATTTTTCATTGGGGGTGACCAGGCTTCAAACCTCTTTGAGCATAAACTTTCAGTAAAGGACAGTTTGCTGGTGTGGATCCAGTATTTGCCATACTGTCTTTTTAACTTTTCTATAAATCTAAAACTATTCTGAAATTAAAAGTTTATTTAAAAAGCAAGCCTGCCATTCTGATGATTTCTGAAACTGGGTGTGGTGATCTCCAGCCTCTGACTCATAAGGATTCCCCTCCCTTCTTCCTGCACTGGGCCTTATAGTAGTTTTTATTTGATCAGTTGGTTTTTAATATTTTTAATTCTGAATCCGTGGTCTACTTTTCCTACAACTCAGTTTTCTCCATCTATGAAAGTGAAGGAATCATAGACGACAGTATGGAAAGATACCTTAGGCAACAATGAAAAAGCAATCCTACGTTTGGCAATAAGAACTCGTAAGATTGGGGTCTTACCAACATATACCAAACACCGCCAACAGCAAAAGGCAAATTGGCTGCCCCCAGTCTTCATGTGAAAGTCAAAAACTGACCTGTCTCTGGGTCCTTCTATCAAATCACCTCATTAACTTCACTTTTTTTTTTTTTTTTTTTTTTTAATAATCACCATGGCTCGGCATGGTGGCTCATGCCTGTAAATCCTAGCATTTTGGGAGGCCAAGGCAGGAGGATCCCTTGAGCCCAGGAGTTCAAGACCAGCTTGGGCAACATAGGCAGACCCTATCTTATATAAAAATAAAAATACATAAATTAAATAACCACCCTACCGTACTGGCAATTTCTGAGTCTTCCAGGAAATGTTGGTATTTTATAAGACAGGCTACCAGAAACTCTTGCAAAGCCTTGTCAGGGTATTATCAGCTCATCTCTGAAGCACATAATTTTTCATCTTTGATGTCAGAAAAGGTGAATGGAAAGATCCATCAAGTGACAATAAGGAAAAAAGTAAAAAAGTCACACTCACACTAAGAACCTTTTAAAAAGGTCTATTGTTTTTCTGTCTTGGTATAGCTTTACATATGGGTTTGTCTTCCATAAAAGAGGCAAGTACACAATTAATCAAAGACAAATGAAAAGTCATGCTGTCTAGCTTTGTATCCTAGAAAGCTATTTCCAGCATTGTTTATTTTAGCACTGCTAGCACATGTTGAAATGAATTAGAATACTAAAGATAAGATCTTTAGGGGACATACACCTAATTTTATCCTAAGTAAATATAGTAACCATAGTGGTTCCAAATTACAAGTTGTTGGTGGGGGAGGGGCATATGAAAAAGTATACAGCAGTTATGATGGAGTCAGAAATCTATAAATTAACTTGAGATAACACACTAGAAAAATACAGAGAGCTACACACTTCTAAACTTTTGCTGTTAGAGATATTTATGATAAAGTAGCCTGAAATCTGTGTGAATGTCAAAAGGAATGAACACCTTTTCTGCCTAAAAGTTGTCACCATGTTGTTCCCCAGAAATACTTCCCTGTGTCTGATGAATTCTCTAACTTACAAGTTGTTTGTAAGGTAAAGCTTACCTTCTACCATCCAAGTTGAAATTACCAGATACCCTCAAAGCATTATTTGCAGTTTTAACAACCCAGGCCTCATCAGACAGACATACCCACACCAGACTGTGAAACAGGAGAAGCAGAGGAGCTGGGATAGCAGGGAATCATCTCCAGCAGCAGCACCCAGTGTTTGGGGACTGCAGCAGCACGGTGCTACAATGGAGTGTCCTGTCTAGTACACAAGCTGTAAAATTTAATGTTTGGGATGCCAATGGCAGTGACCTCACCAGATCTACTTTGTGGTAGTTTTAGATGTCTAGTATCCGGATGAATTGGGCTACCCGATTTCAGTGAGGATGCCACAATCCAGCCCTCCTGGTATTTCTGTGAGCTATCCAATATTCTTCCAATAAACTGTTCTTTTAAATCAAGATGGCTTGTTTTTCTTGCAACAGCATTTTAACTGATACGGGAATGACTGCAGGCCATAAACTCCAAAGAAATAGAAAAGAATCTGAGATTGATTACCCAGTCTGGTAGGGATAAAAGGCAATGAAAATCCAGCTAGCACTGAAAAATTGCGAGGGGAAGGGACTCTGGCTGACTCAAGACCAGCAGAGATGAAACAATTGATTTCATTATTTCCCCATGGTCATCTAGAATGAAGTTCCTGCTGAGTCATTATGGACTTAGAGCAGTTTCTCAACCACAGCACTATTAACATTTGAGGTTGGATCATTTTTTGTTGTGGGGCTATCCTGTGTGTTGTAGGATATTTAGCAACATTCCTGGCCTCTGCCCACTAGATGCCAATAGTACCCCCACACTCAGTAATAACAACAACTAATGTCTTCAGATATTTCCAAATGTCCCCTGGAGGGCAAAATTGCCCCGGGTTGAGAAGCACTGCCATAAAGAACACAAAGAAGCTGATGAATTAAAATGACTTTGGAGTGGGTAACTTAATTAAAGAGAATGACAATCCAGGAGAATTTTTAGTACAAGAGGATGGAGAGAAAGACATTTGCTAAAAGACTCCTTTATCTCATACAGCTCTAAAGGTCATCTTGAGCTTGAACCATGCTCCCAACCCAGTGGGGCCAGAGGTACTCAAAGAGCTGCAAATGGGAGGCCATATGGAAGCAGTGGACCCTGGTTTATAGCATTTGCCAATTTTCATACAAGCTAGCTCGTGCATACCACAAGTCATGGCCAATTTCCCCCTTAGCCCCTTTCTGCTTTCTTCCCTTCTTTTCTACAGGTAGTAATCCAAGGAGCACACCCTGACAAAACTCCTACTCTCCAATCTCTGTCTGTCTTAGAGTCTGCTTCCAAGGGAATCCAACCTGCAACCAATGTGACTCAAGTACAGTGAACCCCGAGAAGGGAGGATAAACTCCCATTATTGAGAGAAAATACTTCGCCGTTCAAATCATGGAGAGCCTTGTTCATCATACAAAGTAGTTTGAAATTTATCACATAGTCAATGGGGAGATAGTGAAGTCTTTTAAATAGAGCATTAACAAGACTAAACAGTTTAGGAAGGTTATTCTGAAGCAGAACAGAGAGTAGGGTGGCAATTACTCTTGTAATTGTTCCAGCTGGGACAGCTAGAATGGGGCTAGAGAGGAAAGCCCAGAATAAATTGAGAGGATTTGATGACGAATTAGACATGAGGTTGGGGGAGAAAGAAAGAAGAGTCAAAGATTTAAGATGACCACTAGTTTGGGAGACTGGTCAGATGAGTTCATGGCACAGAATTTAGGAGGAGGATCAATTTTCAATGTGTTGAAATTAAGGTATCGCCACATGGACTATCAAGGTGGAGATATTCAGCAGGGGTATGTGTACAGTCCCAGGCCACGTAACAGCCTTTCTGTCCACAACGGACCACATATACAGCAGTGGTCCTTTAAGATTATAATGGAGCTGATACAGTCCTATCACTCAGTACTTACCAAACTTTTTGTAGTTATTTTAGACTGTACTCCTATTTTTTTTTTTTTTTAAAGCTAACTGGGGCCAGGCATGGTGGCTCATGCCTGTAATCCGAGCACTTTAGGAGAATGAGACTGGAGGATCGCTTGAGCCCAGGAGTTTGAGACCAGCCTGGGCAACATAGCAAGACCCTTCCTCTACAGTAAATAAATAAAATAAAAAGCTAACTGTAAAACAGCCTCAGGCAGTTCCTTCAGAAGGTCTTCCAGAGACATTGTTGTCATAGGAGATGTCAGCTCCTCTGTGTGTGTTTATTGCCCCCAAAGACCTTCCAGTGGGATAAGATGTGGACACGGAAGACAATGGTATTGATGATCCTGACCCTCCGTAGGCCTGGGCTAATATGTGTTTGCATCTTAAGTTTTTAGCAAAGAAGTTTAAAAAGTAAAAAAGTTAAAAATAGAAAAAATCTTATAGAATAAGAATATAAAGAAAATATTTCTGTATAGCTGTACAATGTGTTTGTGTTTTAAGCTACGTTTTATTACAAAATAGTCAAAAAGTTTTCAAAAAGTTAAGTTTATAAAGTAAAAAAGTTACAGTAAGCTAAGGTTAATTTATTATTGAAAATGGAAAAAATTTATAAACAGTGTCACCTAAGTGTACAGGCTTTATAAAGTCTACAGTAGTAGACGGTAATGTCCTAGGCCTTCACATTCACTCACCACTCACCCACTGACTCACCCAGAGCAACTTCCTGTCTTGCAAGTTCCATTCATGGTAAGTGCCCTGAAGACCTTCCAGTGGGACAAGATGTGGACGTGGAAGACAATGATATTGATGATCCTGACCTATACAGGTGTACCTTTTAAAATCTTTGATACCATATTTTTACTGTATCTTTTCTATGTTTAGATATGTTTTGATACAAATACTTACAATTATGTTACAATTGCCTAGGAGCAATAGGCTATACCATATAGCAGAGTAGCGGCGTAGTAGGGCAGCTCATCTAGGTTTGTGTAAGTGGATTCTATGATGTTCACACAATGACGAAATCACCTAACGATGCATTTCTCAGAATGTATTCCTGTCATTAAGCAAAGTATAGCTGTATTTATAGACACAGGCAGCCCTCCTTATCTGTGGCTTTTGCATCTGTGGATTCAAGTGACCATTAATCAAAAATATTCAGGAAAAAAAAGAAATGTTGTGTCTGTACTGAACATGTATGGACTTTCTGTCATTCCCAAGCAACACAATATAACAACTGCTTACATTGCATTTACATTGTATTAGTTATTATAAATAATCTAGAGATTATTTAAATATATGGAAGCACATGCATAGGTTATATGCAAATATCATTTTCTATCAAAAACTTAAACATCCATGGATTTTGGTATCTGCAAGGAGTCCTGAAAACAATCCCCCATGGATACTGAGGGAGGACTATATATACAAACGATTATATAAATAGTCTGTATATACAAAATATATTACATCATATATTACTTATATTCATACCCCCTCCTAGTTTAAAAGCAAGGTTATATCAATTTATACATTACAACAGGGTAAAAAACAGACAAAAAGTTTGGGCAAGGGGAATTGAGGTTAATTTAATACACAAAATACAGATCTTAAACAGCTACAGATAGGCCACCAAATCTGTCCTGAATCTCCTAGTGGCAAAACAGAGGAAAACTGTTACAATTTTCTTTTCTTTTTTTTTTTTTTTTTTTTTTTTGAGACAGAGTTTCGTTCTTGTTGCCCAGGCTGGAGTGCAATGGCCTAGTCTCGGATCACTGCAATCTCCACCTCCCAGATTTAAGCAATTCTCCTGCCGCAGCCTCCCAAGTAGCTGGGATTACAGGTGCCTGCCACCTCACCCGGCTAATTTTTTTTTGTATCTTTAGTAGAGACGGGGTTTCACCATGTTGGCCAGGCCAGTCTCAAACTCCTGACCTCAGGTGATCCACCCGCCTCGGCCTCCGAAAGTGCTGGGATTACAGGCGTGAGCCACTGCGCCCAGCCCTGTTATGATTTTTACTGTTACGGTTTCCATTTTGGTCTTAAAGTTTCTCTGGCAACAGTGGCCATATAAGTCAAGTTAGCTGCACTCTAGGAGGGTCGAAAGTTAGCTTCCAGTGTGATGGTCAGGTGAGACGCAATGGTGAGATCAAACCAAAATGCATGAAACAGAAGAAGAAACTTTATCACTTACAGACCCAGAGAGGTTAGGAGGGCTGACGAAAAGTCTGGAGGCAGCAGGGAGCTCAACCATCGGGTGGTGAGTGAGAGAGAGGCGCTGTGGGATGACGCCTTTATTAAGGCCCATGAGCCTTAGCAAGTGCGTTTTCCCAAGGGAGTTGTGGATTGGCTAATTTAAGGAAAGCACGTGAGAAGAGGGAAACTTATTTGAATGACTGGTGTTGACCACTAGGTTTTATCGAGGTTAGCAGCTGTGGAGGTTTTGGGTGAACAGAATGAGGAACGAGTGGGCTCACTAGTATACAACCACATAGGGAGGGGACGTTTTAACTGGGCCAAGGGTGGTGCAGTACCACTGGGTTTGAAACAACTTAGGGCTAAAAATGGATGCGGAGGCAGCAATGATATTAAAGTTATAACAGAAACACAGTCAAACACATGGTTCACTGAGATTCTAGGTTAAAAGCAAGTCAATGCTTCCAAGAATCACCTGTTTTAGTAGTGAGATCTGAGGGGAAACACCTTCAAGGCAAACCAGCAGTTGCATACAGAGAAAAAGGAGGCTTAGAAGAGGGGCTTTCATTAGAGATGAAGATGTGGGAGCCAAGGAGTATGGGTGCTAGTGATGACCACAGGCACAAGGAGAGTGTGTAACAGTAAGAAAAGGACCAAAGATGGAACCCTAGGCAACACTGGCATTGAAAAGGAAAGCTGAAGAACCAGGGAAAGAGAAAGAATAGGGAAAATTAACCTGCCCAAAGTATCACAGCCATAAGAATTGCAGATATAGGCCAGGCACGGTGGCTTACGCCTGTAATCCCAGCACTTTGGGAGGCCAAGGCGGGTGGATTACCTGAGGTCAGGAGTTCAAGACCAGCCTGGCCAACATGGTGAAACCTTGTCTCTACCAAAAGTACAAAAATTAGCCGGGTGTAGTGGCGGGCTTCTATAATTCCAGCTACTCAGGAGGCGGAAGCAGGAGAATCCCTTGAACCCAAAAGACAGAAGTTGCAGTGAGCTGAGATTGTGCCACTGCACCTGGGCAACAAGAGTGAGACTCTGTCTCAAAAAAAAAAAAAAAAAAAAAAAATGCAGATATACTGTTTGGGAGTACTTGCAAGTATATTTTATTCCATTCCATTGTCTACCAAATGAAAGCAGAAACCATAGTCTTGAAATCTACCAATAATAGCCTTCAAATGCTTGTCTGGGGAAAAAAATTCAGCAGTCTCCTATCTATCTTCAAAAACACAGGAAAGGCCACTGTCATTAACATAACCTCAAATACAAAGGAATATTAGATTATATCAATGATACCATGGTTATTATGATACGACTAAAGTAACTGGCAGTGGCAGAATGTCTATATAAATTATTAATAGTTGCTATCTTAACTCTGATTTTAAAGTAAAAGATTTTATGTTCACTTCAGGAATGACTGAGTCTTCAGAAAACAATATTTTTAGGAATAAGTTTCTTCCACTCTGCTGTCTTAAAAGTATAAAACTTTTGTTCAGTGTTTTTTATTTGCCCCACAGATAAATTCATCTCTATATCCTATATAACAAAAGAATCACTAGCTATATCTATGGATTAGCTGATAAATGAAATCACGTGATCTCTGCCCTGCGGAAATGTGAGACCTGCCTACTCTGAGAAAGAAGGCTTGTGGGAATCAGTTCAAGAGGTCACTGTAGGCTCTGCTTTCTTTTAGCAGTTGGGGATGAGATACCATGAAACACAAAGACATAACATAAATAAAAATGATAGCGCCTCCTTAATCCAAATAGTTTCTGATAAGTCTTCAGCCAATGAAAATGTCGTGGGGAAAAATACACTATTTTACATCAGATTTTTAAATAGAAAATAGGAGTAGGCTGTGTATCTTGTATGAGAAAGGAATGAACAGATGTAAAACAGGCAACCATATGAAAAGCCCATTGGAGAGAACTGGATGATTAATACTGTACAAACAGGTTGGGACAGCATGATTGATCTCCATCTCAGAATGAAAACCTATGATGCAGAAAATGAGGTTAAAATGAAAAATGAAGGAATCCTGACAAACAGCAGAATAATGGATAATCTGTGTTTAAAGTAAGGACATAAATTAAAATGTAGAACTGAACTATTCTTTAAAGGAATTCAAGAATCTACAGACAAGTCTTGGTGAGTAAGCAGACGTGAAATGCTTCCTTAGAGAACTTGGAATTTTTCTCTAGCACAAGACAAACCATAGCTCTTGAATCAAATGACCCACTGTATTTCTTAGTAAGATGATGATGCTTTACTAGGAAAAACGACAAAAAATGTACAGAGAGACCAAAGGCAAGGAATGGAAGCCACCTAGATTTTTCTTTGTGGTAGATGCAGAGGAATAATTTAGGGTTCCCAGGAAAATAGTTGTGCTCAGATGAAATTATTTGCAGAAATTAAATAAAAACAAACTAGAACCAAATGATGTTTGATAATATTCCAATAACATTATTAATAATCAAAAGATCACCGGCCGGGCGCTGTGGCTCACGCCTGTAATCCCAGCACTTTAGGAGGCCAGGTGGGCAAATCACTTAAGGTCAGGAGTTCGAGACCAGCCTGGCCAAAATGGTGAAACCCCGTCTCTACTAAAAAAGATGAAAATTGGCCAGGCGCGGTGGCTCACGTCTGTAATCCCAGCACTTTGGGAGGCCAAGGCGGGTGGATCACAAGGTCAGGGGATAGAGACCATCCTGGCCAACATGGTGAAACACCGTCTCTACTAAAAATACAAAAATAAGCTGGGCGTGGTGGCAGTCACCTGTAGTCCCAGCTACTCAGGAGGCTGAGGCAGGAGAATCACTTGAACCCAGGAGGTGGAGGTTGCAGCGAGCTGAGATTGCACCACTGCACTCCAGCCTGGTGACAGAGCGAGTCTGTCTAAAACAAAACAAAGCAAAACAAAAACACAAAAATTAGCCAGGCGTGGTCTTGCGTGCCTGTAATCCCAGCTACTTGGGAGGCTGAGGCGCGAGAGTCACTTGAACCCAGGAGGCGGAGGTTGCAGTGAGCCGAGATCGCATCATTGCACTCCAGCCTGGATGACAAATTGAGACCCTGTCTCAAAAAAAAAAAAAAAAAAAAAAAAAATCACCTACCAGCTGCCAGGCAGGGTGGTAGGTATGACTTTCCTTTCTACAGATGGAGAAACAGGCTTAGAGTGGACAGTCAATGAAGACAACTGTCAGAGAATAGGATTAATTACTATATGGGTCAGACTTCTGATGGCCTAAAGGGCACAGTGTGCTTCATAATCCTACAGTATATCTTAAAGGGAAGGAGTGTTTTCCTACCCTTAGAAGAATAAGTATCTTCATTTCCCTATTCCCATTTCTCAAGATTAAGACCATTAGCTTTCTGGAAAAAGTTATTAAAAGGCTACAGTTTCATTCTGTTAACACTTTCTGTTAGCACAAACCTTTTTTAAAAAAAATAAGAGCAGCATCAGGTAGATCTTTTCTTTATTTACTTAAATTTTGTGGCTATTATATTTCACTTTAATTTTTTGTAATATAAAATTTTATTGAAGTATATATACAGAAAGTACACACATAAAGGATACAGTTCAACGAATTTTCACAAAATGAACACACATATGTATAAGCTTTCAGATAAAAAAGAAAAATAGAACACAACCAGATCCCCTGAAGTTCCCTTGTGCCCATTCGCTGTCACTAATCTCTCAAGGGTAACAGTCACCTTGACTCCTAACACAATTGTCTTAGTCTGTTTTCTGTTTCTATAACATAATACAACAGACAGGATAACTTATAAAGAAAAGAAATGTACTTCTTACAGTTTTGGAGGTTGGGAAGTCCAAGAGTATGGCATCAGCATCTGGCGAGGGTCAGCCCGTGACAGGAGGGCAAGAACAAGGGAGCCAAAGAGAGCTCGCCTTTATAACAAAGCCACTCCCACACTAACAAACTCACTCCTGTGACAGTGACATTAATCCATTTATGAGGGCAGAGCCTTCAATAATCCGTTAATCCATTCATGAGGGCAAAGGGAATAACTTTCTAACACATCAACTTTAGGGGAACACATTTAAATCAAAGTGACAATAAATTAGTTGTGTCTGTTACTGAACCTCATATAAGTGCAGTTGCACAGATTTACATATTACTATATTGAGCTTCTTTCATTTGATGATCTCTGTATTTATGAGGATTTATGGATATGGTTATAGTTTGTTCATTTTCATTGTTATATGGTATTCCACAATTTACCTATCCTACCATTAATAGATATGTGTTGTTGTTGTTTTCAATTTTTGACAGTTAGGAAAAATGCTGCTATGAATACTTCTATGTCTTTTTGGCAGATATGTGGGAGTCATTTTGCAATCATTCAGATACTTTTGAGGACTTTGAATGGAACTTAAAAGCATACAGTTTGTCTTTTCAATGTGCATTCCTCCTGTGTTATGTACCTAGACAATATATCTTGCACATGGTCAAATGATAAATCGAGGAGTGGAATTATTTTTTTTAATTTTAATTTTAATTTTGAGTTCTGAGGTTCATGTGCAGGATGTGCAGGTTTGTTACACAGGTAAACATGTGCCATGGTGATTTGCTGCACCTATCAACCCATCACCTAGGTATTAAGCCCGACATGCATTAGCTATTTTTCCTAATACACTCCCTCCCCCAACTCGACCCCCCAACAGGCCCCAGTGAGTGTTGTTTCCCTCCCTGTGTTCATGTGATCTCATTTTTCAGCTCCTACTTAAAAGTGAGAACATGTGTTGTGGCTTTCTGTTCCTGTGTTAGTTTGCTTCCAGCTTCATCCATGTCCATGCGAAGAACATGATCTTATTCCTTTTTATAGCTGCATAGTATTAGGAGTGTAATTATTAATATATACTCTGATCAACAACGTAGGAAGGTTTTTTATCATGAATTCAATTTATTTAGGAGTGTTTAGGTATTTCATTTGTTTTTGAGTCAGTTTTGTCAAGTTATAGACACACTCCTAGGAAATTATAATCGTAATTATGACAAGGCTGGCCATAATTGATGGAGCTGAGTGATAAGGTAGAGGTGTTCATTATTTCACCCTCTTCATTTTTGTATAAGTTTGAAATTGTTCATAACAGAATTTTTTAAGGTTCCCAGCAATGAGAACCAAGACTTACATATATTTTATAAGTATACTTTTGATCTACTTAATAGTTAATTTTAAAAATTAAAAAGTGGGCTGGGCATGGTGGCTCATGCCTGTAATCCCAGCATTTTGGAAGGCCAAGGTGGGCAGATCAGTTGAGGTCAGGAGTTTGAGATCAAGCTGGCCAACATGGTGAAACCCCGTCTCTATTAAAAATACAAATATTAGCCAGGTGTGGTGGTGTGCACCTGTAGTCCCAGCTACTCAGGAGGCTGAGGCAGGAGGATCACTTGAACCTGGGAGGATGAGGTTGCAGTGAGCCGACATCATGCCACTGCACTCCAGCTTGGGCAACAGAGTGAGACTCTGTCTCAAAAAAAAAAAAAAAAGATTAAAAAGTGAATTCAGGAGCCAGGTGAGGTGGCTCATACCTGGAATCCTAGCACTTTGGGACACCAGGGCAGGAGGATTGCTTGAGGCCAGGAGTTCCAGACCAGCCTGGGTAACATAGCAAGACCCTGTCTCTACAAAAAATACAAAAATCACATGCCTGTAGTCCTAGCTACTTGGAAGGATTAGGCAGGAGGATCACCCCAGGAGTTCAAGGCTGTATTGAGCTATGATCATGCTCAATGACTACACCCCAGCCTGGGCAATACAGCAAGATCCTGTCTCAAGTAATAAATACATACATACATACACACATAAACTCAGCATTGACAATATAAACTTGATACAACTTCTTAGATAATTTGGATACTTCCCATATCTATGTTTCCAGGGAAATACTTGGCAATTTTACCTTTGAAGATATTTCAAATACTTTTTAGAATGAAGTGAATATGAAGAAATTATTTATGCCAATTGCTAAAACATCATCTAGCAAAGAATTTTAACAGCATGAAAAATGTCAGAATCTCCCATCTTCTTGCCAAGACCAAATTCTTAAGTCCTTTAATGCAAACTCGGCCTCTTCTGAAAATAGACACTAACACTCACAGCAATTCCATGTACAATTTCCTGTCTCGATTTCCCTGCTACATACCCACTACAATGCATGTCACTCCCTTCAGAACCGGGACCTCACTGTATTACCTTTATATTCGTGATCCTGCTAGAGGACCTGGCCCACAGCTTACTGTCCATAAATGGAAAGGTTAAGTATTACATTATGCCAGCTCCCACCTTCTTCACTGGCTTATGCGGAGACTTAAAGGAGATGATGAAAGTAAAGCCTTGTAAATTGGATGTCTAATTGTGCTTACATCTCTGCCCCACGTAGAAAGCAGACAGTTCTCTTCTTTTGATTTTTCTTTTTTTTTCTTTTTCTTTTTTAACTTTCCTATGGTGCTGAAGTTCTTATCTTTTGAAAGAAGTTTCTTTGAGTTGAGGAGGAGGCTCCTTCCCTCACCCAGTCCACCACCACGGGCCGATGGAGAGGCTCTCTGCTTTCTTTCTGTCTCTTTACTCTCGGCTAGTTGGGTCTGCCCAGAATGGAATAAAGAGGCTGAGGTCAAAAGAGCACATGAAAAGCCCGGGCTTGCTGCCACTCATGCCACGGCTGTCTCTGCAGGGACATGTTACTCAGATTATTTTGGCATGAACTGTCACCATGAGGAGAGTGGTGGGAACGCATGGGCAGGTGCTATATCATTACTAAAGGGCATAAAATAATGGGGATTATTCTCTGTGGCCTTATTCAATTTAAGGTACAGCCATACCTTGAAGATATTGTGGGTTTGGTTCCAGACCACCACAATGAAGCGAATACTGCAATAAAGTGAGTCACACAAATTATTTGGTTTCCCAAGCATATAAAAGTTATGTTTATACTATACTGTAGTCGAAGTGTGCAATAACATTATATTTAAAAAAAAAAACAAGGTACACACCTTAATTATCAAATACTTTATTGCCAAGAAATGTTAAAGATCATCTGAACCTTCATCGAGTTGTATTCTTTTTGCTGATGGAGGGTCTTGCCTTGATGTTGATGGCTGCTGACTGATGGAGATGGTGACTGCTGAAGCTTGTAGTGGCTGTGCAATTTCTTAAAATAAGACAAAAATGAAGTTTGCTGCATCTCTTGACTCTTCCTTTCAAAGATTTATCTCAGCAGCTAATGCTGTTTGATGGCATTTTACCCACAGCAGAACTTCTTTCAAAATTGGCCGAGTGCAGTGGCTCACGCCTGTAATCCCAGCACTTTGGGAGGCCAAGGCGGCGGATCACTTGAGGTCAGGGGTTCAGGACCAGCCTGGCCAACATGGTGAAACCCTGTCTCTACTAAAAATACAAAAATTATCAGGCTTGGTGGCGGTCACCTGTAATCCCAGCTACTCGGGAGGCTGAGGCAGGAGAATCACTTGAACCCGGGAGGTGGAGGTTGCAGCGAGCAAAGATCGTGCCACTGCACTCCAGCATGGGCAACAGAGCGAGACTCCATCTCAAAAAAAAAAAAAAAATTGGAGTCAATCCCCTCAAACTGGCCACTGCTTTATCAATTCAGTTTATGGAATGTTCTAAAACCTTTGTTATCACTTTAACAATGTTCATAGCATCTTCACCAGGAGTAGATTCCATCCCAAGAAACCACTTTATTTGTTCATCCCTAAAAAGCAACTCGCCATCCATTCAAGTTTTATTATGAGAGTGCAACAATTCAATCATATCTACAGTTTCCACTTCTAATTCTAGTTCTATTGCTATTTCCGCCCCATCTGCAGGGACTGCCTCCAAGACTCTGAAATCTTGAACCCTTCAGAGTCATCCATGAGGACTGGAATCAACTTCTTCCAAACTCCTGTTAATGTGGATATTTTTACCTCCTCCTATGAATCATGAATGTTTTTTTTTTTTTTTTTTTTTTTGAGATGGAGTCTCACTCCATCAACCAGGCTGGAGTGCAATGGCATGATCTTGGCTCACTGCAACCTCTGCCTCCTGAGTTCAAGCGATTTTCTTGCCTCAGCCTCCCAAGTAGCTGGGATTACAGGCATCCACTACCACCCCCCAGCTAATTTATTTTATTTTTTATTTTATTTTTTGTATTTTTAGTAGAGAGAGGGTTTCACTATGTTGGCCAGGCTGGTCTTGCTCTCCTGACCTCAAGTGATCTGCCCGCCTCAGCCTCCCAAAACGTTGGGATTACAGGCCTGAGCCACTGCACCCGGCTGATTCATGAATATTCTTAATGGCATTTAGAATGGTGAATCCTTTCCAGAAGGTTTTCAATTTACTTGCCAGATCCATTGGAAGAATCACTACCTATGGGAGCTATATCCTTGTGAAATGTTTTTTTGTTTTTTTTTTTTTTTTTTTTTGAGACAGAGTCTTGCTGTGTTACCAGGCTGGAGTGCAGTGGCATGATCTCGGCTCACTGCAATCTCTGCCTCCCAGATTCAAGTGATTCTTCTGCCTCAGCCTCCCAAGTAGTTGGGACTACAGGTGCATGCCACCATGCCCAGCTAATTTTTGTATTTTTAGTAGAGACAGGGTTTCACCATGTTGGCCAGGATGGTCTCGAAATGTATTTCTTAAATAATAAGACTTGAAAGTCAAAATTACTCCTTGATCCATGGATGCTATGTCAGCAGGCATGAAAACATTTATATCCTTATATATCTCTGTCAGAGCTCTCAGGTGTGCGGGTGCATTGTCAATAATCAGTCATCTTTTGAGAAAGTTATTTTTTGCTAAGCAGTGGGTCTCAACTATGGGCTTAAAATATTTAGTAAAGCATGCTGCAAACAGATGTGCTGTCATCCAGGCTTTGTTGTTCTGTTTATAGAGGACAGGCAGAGCAGATTTAGCATAATTCTTAAGGTCCCTAGGATTTTTGGAATGATGAATAAGCATTAGCCCCTAACAAGAGAGTCAAGCTTTGAAACCAGGCATTGACTTCTCTTCTCTAGATGGCATCTTCTTCCAATAGAAGGCTGTTCTATCTACATTGAAAATCTGTTGTTTAGTGTAGCCACCTTCAACAGTGATCTTAGTTAGATCTTCTGGATAATTTGCTGCAGCTTCTACATCAGCACTTCCTGCTGCAGCTTGCACTTTTATGTTATGGAGATGGCTTATTTCCTTAAACCTCTTGAACCATCTTCTGCTAGCTTCACACTTTTGTTCTGCAACTTTCTTTTTTTTGTTGTTTTTTGATTTTTGGTTTTTTTTTGAGACGGAGTCTCGCACTCTCGCCCAGGCTGGAGTGCAAGTGGCACCATCTTGGCTCACTGCATGCTCTGCCTCCTGGGTTCACGCCATTCTCCTGCCTCAGCCTCCCGAGTAGCTGAGACTACAGGCACCCGCCACCACGCCTGGCTAATTTTTTATATTTTTAGTAGAGATGGGGTTTCACCATGTTAGCCAGGATGGTCTCGATCTCCTGACCTTGTGATCCTCCTGCCTCAGCCTCCCAAAGTGCTGGGATTACAGGTGTGAGTCACCGTGCCCGGCACTTCAGCAGCTTCCTCACCTCCCTCAGCCATCATAGAATTGAAGAGAGTTAGGGCCAGCTGTGGATTAGGCTTTGGCTTAAGAGAATGTTGTGGCTGTTTTGATCTTCCATCCAGACCACTCAAACTTTCTCCATATCAGCAATAAGGCTGTTTCACTTTCTTATCATTTGTGTATTCACTGGAGTAGCACTTTTGATTTCTTTCAAGAACTTTTTCTTTGCATTCACAACTTGGCTAACTCTTTGGTGCAAGACGCCTGGCTTTCAGACTATCACACATTTTTTTGAGACTGAGACTTGCTCTGTCGCCAGGCTGGAGTACAGTGGCGCCATCTCAGCTCGCTGCAACCTCGCCTTCTGGGTTGAAGTGATTCCCCTGCTTCGCCTCCCAAGCAGCTGGGATTACAGGCATGTGCCACCACGCCCAGCTAATTTTTTGTATTTTAGTAGAGATGGGGTTTCACCATGTTGGCCAAGACAGTCTCGATCTCCTGACCTTGTGATCTGTCTGCCTTGGCCTCCCAAAGTGCTGGGATTACAGGTGTGAGACACTGCCCCCTGCCCCTATCACAAATTTTGACATGCCTTCCTCACTAAGCTTAATTATGTCTTGTTTTGATTTGAAGTGAGATATGTGACTCTTCCTTTAACCTGAACACTTAAAGGCTATTGCAGGATTATTAATTGGCCTAATTCCAATATTGTTATATCTCATGGAATGAGGAAACTGGAGGAGAGAAAGTGAGTCAGGGGAAAGGCTGGTTGATGGAGCAGTCAGAACACACACAACACATTAAGTTCGCCATCTTATGTGGGTGTGGCTTGTGGTACCCCAAAACAATTGTAATAATAACATCAAAAATCACTGATCGCAGGTAACCATAACAGACATAATAATAATGAAAAAGTTTGAAATATTTCAAGAATTACCAAATGTGAAACAGAGACAAGAAGTGAATACATGCTGTTGAAAAATGATGTCAATAGACTTGCTTGAAGTAGGATTGCCACAAACATTCACTTAAAAAAAAAAAAAAGGCCAGGTGCAGTGGCTCACACCTGTAATCCTAGCACTTTGGGAGGCCAATGCAGGTGGATCTCTTGAGGCAACCTGGCCAACATGGTGAAACTCCGTCTCTATTAAAAATACAAAAATTAGCCAGGTGTGGTGGCAGGCCCTGTAGTCCCAGCTACTTGGGAGGCCGAGGCAGGGGAATCGCTTGAACCCAGGAGGCAGAGGTTGTAGTGAGCTGAGATTGCACCAGTGTACTTCAGCCTAGGTGATAGAGCGAGACTCTGTCCCCTGCCATAAAAAAAAAATGCAGCACCTATGAAATGCAATAAAGTGAAATACAGTTAAGCAAGGAATGCCTGTATCTTCTTCCATGTTCAATCTTTACATAGAAATACTACAAATCTCTACATCTCAACCTCTCTGATCCCTTTGTTTTCTTTTGTTCTTTGACAGGTCTCTTTCTGTCACCCAGGCTAGAGTGCAGTGGCATGATCGTGGCTCACTGCAGCCTCGATCTCCCAGACTTAAGCAATCCTCCCACCTCAGCCTCCCAAGTAGGGACCACAAGCATGTACCACCACACCTGGCTCATTTTTTAATTTTTTGTAGAGACAATTTCGCTCTATGTTGCCCAGGCTGGTCTTGAACTCCTAGCTTCAAGCAATCCTCCCTCCTTGGCTTCCCAAAGAGCTAGGATCACAAGTGTGAGCCACTGCACTCAGCCTTTGCTCCTAATGAGATAAGAGAAACTTGAGAGAGAACTTTTTATTTCTCCTTCCTTTGCCCTTCCATCTTCAAGACAAAATAAAAGAGTGAATATTATATTTCACAGGGATATGGAATTATTGCAGTTAAATTTGAGGTTGGTATTTAACATTCCAGTTTGTAATTTAAATTGATTTCTCTGTGCAGCTCAAGAAACAAAAGAGATTTTTGGAATGAATTCCAATGGAGTTCAATAACCAGCCATACTGGGAAGATTTTTTTTAAAGCCCCAAGTAAGAAGTAGTCCATACATACTGTTTTTGAGCTGTTCAGATGAATTTTTATGACTTCTCCTTTGTCTGGTAGATATTTGTTTTTCTATGTGGTATAAAGTGGATTAACTCAAGAGTTTTACACCCAGGAGCAGCTAAAGGATAATTTAACATTTGAATATACTGACGTCCTTAGGGCCACTTCTCTCCTTCCCACCACTGTGACAGCTCTACTTTTCATTTCCTCCTGTTGTGATTCTGGCCACATTCTCTCATCCCACCCTGAATACACGTGCACAATTTTGCCAACTCTAGATCATAGGAGCTGATCATATATCCTTGTAGCTCAGAAATGTTATGATAGCTTCCACAGAGGACCTCCTCAGCCCCGCTTTAGCCCCAAGATCAATTTACTCTTTAAGCCAAAAATCTCAGTTTATCAGGAGAATCATGCACCAGATACACTTTATAAAATGTACCTGGCTATCACATATATCTTACTTGAAGTGTGTCGTAGGGCCACATACATGTTGACAAGCTCTGTTTTCTTTCTCAACAGGTCATTAGTGTTTTCTGAAAAACTGGAGAGAGAAACAACCTCTCTTCCCACCCCTTTCCACCCATCTCTGTTCTCTAGGTCTACTTTGTCAGCTGAGTGCTGGCAGAGAATTGCTACTGGCTGTCTACACACATGGCAACCAGATCTGACCCATTTGTTTCTGTGCCTCTGAGATGGAGAGGAAGTAGGAGCTGTTCAAACTTAAGATTAGTTGCTTTGGTTCCCATTTCCAGTGTAAATTGGTTCATTTTTGTTTTCTTCTCTCACCCATTTTAGTTAGTGAACAGAAGGTCACACAATGAAGAAATTCATATGTCCTGAAATGGTATGTGTCTATGCAAATGTATGTATATTATATGTGTTGTTTAGGTAACTTAGAAAAAGCATACTTGAAAGATAAACCAGTAAGAACCTGGAACTGATGTCCTGTAACTTGTTTTCCTGTTGCATTAAACATTGACTACAATCACATACTTGTCAGTGGCCAACTGAATCCAAAAGCAAAACATGCATAGCGTAGGCTAATATAGTCCTTTCCCAGATTCCAGAGAACAGCTTGTGGTAGCTCTGTTTCATTAAAGGAAGGTTGGCTCTGTTGCAAGAATGGCTTGCTCATTCTGCTGATGAATTAGTTGTATTAATGTGCCAGAAACCAAACAACAATCTGGGGATGATTTCTATAAAACTTGGTGTTTCATTGAAATGTGATTAACACAACCAAGATTTTTTTTGCCCTTGCTACTGTGAAATAACTCAGAGTCAGAGATTGAGTTCATAAGGGCTAATCTTCTGTCCACATTTGAAGAAGTGTACCCATCGATTTTCCTTCCTTTGTGTATTAGTCTGTTTTGCATTGCTATAAAGAAATACCTGAAGATTGGGTAATTTATGAATAAAAGAGGTTTATTTTGGCTCACAGTTCTGCAGATTGTACAAGAAGCATAGTGCATACAGAAGCATAAAGCTAATGCTTCTATGACGGCCTCAGGAAGCTTACAATCATGACAGAAGGCAAAGGGGGTCACAGGTGTTTCACATGATGAGAGATGGAGCAATAGAGAGGGAGGGAGAGAGGTCCCAGACTTTTTAAACAACCAGCTCTCACGTGAACTAGCAGAGTGAGAACTTGCTCATCACCAAGGGGAGGGCACCAAGTCATTCATGAAGGATCCATCCCCATGACCCAAACACCAGGCTCCACCTCCAACACTGGTGATCACATTTCATTCCAGTTCAACACGAGAACTGGAAGGCATTAATATCCAAGCCATATCACTTTGGATACTAGTTTTTGAGAGAGCCATAAATAAGCCTCTTATTTTTTCAGTTTGAAGATTTGTTAGTGAGGATCAGAGTTTGGAATCTGCCACATCGGAGAGTAATCTAGGGATGCAGCATACTCAGGGATCAACAACTATGCACATTTTGTAACAAAATAGCTATAAGACAGATACTGACTTTTAAAGCTGTGCTGTGGCAAGTCAGAAGCTGTAAATATAGCCTTGTCTTTATACTTTGGGAATCAGTAGAGGATTGTGGTTAAATACTCACACATGGGCATCAGGATGACTCAGTTTTAACACTGCCTCTATCACTTTAGATTCTACTGGGAACTGAAGCTAGATGCTGGAGACTGCTCTATGTGTCAATTTCTCATCAACCAACCTCGCTAAGAAATTGAACAAGATAGTTTAACCCTTTTCCTGTTTAGAAAAAAAAAAGTGCGGCTCGCTGCCAGCACTCATTTAATTTTATATAAACATGCTCTTTGAGGCTGAAGCACATCTGACTGGTTTTCAATGTGAAAATAAAATATAAAAACTGTTCTTGGAGTTATTTCTAAACAGAACTAACAACAGAATTGTCTATTTTGGAAAAATCAGGTTCATCAAATGAATCTTTGGCCAACAACTGTTCGAGAATGATGCTAACATCCTGTGTAGGAATACTATGTTTTCTAGGATTTGACATTTTTAGCAATTTAGAATTACTGTATTTTGTATATGGAAATACCACTACTAAAAACAGAATGCTATAGCTGTAATCCCAGCACTCTGAGAGGCCAAGGCGGGCAGATCACTTGAGGTCAGGAGTTCGAGACCAGCCTGGCCAACATGGTGAAACCTCGTCTCTCCTGAAAATACAAACATTAGCCGGGTGCAGTGGCTCATGCCTGTAATCCCAGCACTTTGGGAGGCCAAGGCGGGTGGATCATTTGAGGTCAGGAGTTCGAGACCAGCCTGGCCAACATAGTGAAACTCTGTCTCTACTAAAAATACAAAAAATTAGCCGGCCTTGGTGGCGGGCACCTGTAATCCCAGCTACTCTGGAGGCTGAGGCACGAGAATCGTTTGAACCCGGGATACAAAGGTTGCAGTGAGCCAAGATCGCGCCACTGGGCAACAGAGTAAGACTCTGTCTCAAAACAAACAAACAAAAAAACGCAGAATGCTATAAATAGAATGATACGTTTTGTTTCCAAAGTTGATATACTAGAGTGATGTGAAAATAATAATAAAAGCAAGACATTTAGTGGCCAAGTTATCTCAGGGTAAATGCTGCTGCTCTTAGCACTGCTGGCAAGTATTCTCAGGGAAAAGGGGAAAGGGTTTTAAGTAAAGCTCCTAATTCAAAGTAAGTGCTCAACAAATGGTAGCTACTCCTACTAGCTGCCTAACTATTAAATGAATATAATAATTATACTTTAGGTGATAGTAAAGATTTTGCACTGAGTCAGAGGAAATAGTGAGAATTTATCTTATTTAAGTTAATGTTAATACACAAATTCATTTTCTCCATAATTCACACGCCTTATTCATTGCATTAGTAGATTGCATTTAAAAAAAAAAACACCACTTAGTGATCTGAAACAGCTGATGTACAGGAAGCTTTCTGAATCAAGCTGACTCAGAAGGTGGCAAAACAACTCAGTGTTTGGGTACAGAACATGATTTCTATTTTAAATATCTTAATCCTTTAGACTTCAATTTCTTTACCAGCCAGGATTTGAGATGGAAGGAGCAAGGAAATTCATCAAATTGCCCTTCCCTGATTCTCCATCAAGTGGTGGAGCCAGGGGTAAAAAGAAAAATTATTGATTCAGGTTGGGGCAAAAGTAATCCCGCTTTTTGGCATTACTTTTAATGTCAAAAAAACTGCGATTACTTTTGCCCCAACCTAACAGATAACCCCCAAATGTGTATTTAACTACTGTGCTATACTGCTTCCTACTTTAGGATAAAGACAGGCCTGTGCTAGAAGTTCCCAACCAGCAACACTCCAGAAGAGCAACATGGTACAGTGGTGAAAGGTGTGGCTTCTCAGAGCCTGCTGCCTGAGTAGGAATCCAGCTCTGCCACATGTGCTGCTGTGAAACCTTGGGGAAATCAATCTTTCTATGCCTGAGCTTCCTTATCCAGAAAAGGCGAATGGAAACAATACCTGCTTATAAGTTCACAGGAGGATTAAATGCCTTAATACATGTAAACTGCTTAGAATGGTGCCTGATTATAAGCGGTTGTTATCTACCTTATTGAGCATATGGAAAATATCCTAAGGTTTTAGGTTTTTTTCTTCATCTGTTTCTTATTAGATCTAAAGAAACTTGCCCATTTGCAACACATTTTTTTCTTTGTTTTAAAAATCTGGGGATGTACCTTTTATCTCATACATTGACTACTTCAAACACTGCTCATATATGTTTTGCTGGATTTTTTCTATTTCATAGGGATTTCCAGTGATTGAAGGAGATACTTCTAAATCAAGTTCTCTTTCCTTGAGGCCTATAAACGTTATTTATCTTTGGGGCAATGGTTCCAAAATCACTAAACTTAAAAAAAGAAAAAAGATTATAGGAACTGCTTTGTAAGCTGCAGAGAACTGTAAAATAGTAAGGCAAACTCTTACCCAGGGGAATTGCAGTTTATCGTGGAGCTAGGCCCAGCATTTCAGGCAAAAATTAAAGACAGTTAAAATTACCCCTGAAAATCCCTTAGAATACAGGACAGTTCTGTTTTTCAGTAAGTTCACGATAGTCACTTTTTTCTTCAGCGTTGGAAAAGATCACATTTCTTCCATTGAACACTTGATGATGTGATTGTCTTGTATGTAAGCATCTTTTGTATGAAAAAATATATACAAGATAAACCAAGCATTTTCTATATACCACCTCACTTACTCCTCATAATGACCTTATGAAGTATTATTATTATTATTATTTTGGAGACAGAGTCTCAATCTGTCGCCAGGTTGGAGTGCAGTGGCGCAATCTCGGCCCACTGCAACCTCCATCTCCTGGGTTCAAGGGATTCTCCTGCCTTAGCCTCCTGAGTAGCTGGGACTACAGGCACACGCCACCACACCCAGCTAATTTTTGTATTTTTAATAGAGACAGGGTTTCACCATGTTGGCCAGGATGGTCTCAATCTCCTGATCTCATGACCCGCCTACCTCAGCCTCCCAAAGTGCTGGGATTACAGGCGTGAGCCACCGTGCCCGGCCATGAAGTATTATTATTATTCCTCTTTTACCTTTTGAGAACTGAGGCAAAGTAAACTCCTTGCCAGTGATCACCAGCAGGCAAACTGTGGAGCAGAATCTTGTTTTCAATTCTCTTAGCCATCGAAGCCCCTACTTTCCCTCTACAGAGTGCTCCCGTGGCCTAGCATCACTGTTACATGGCATTGAGGGATACAAGTTGCCTTTTCCTCTGCTCAAGACTGCTTAGTATCTATTGGAGGAAACACTGAGTTCAGAGCTCCTCAACTTCAATTCAAGACAATACGAAGTAACTGGAGACAGTCCAGAGAAGACTAAGGAACTGATTTTTCTGAAAGAAGTCCCAAGAGGGATTCTGTTTAAGAGTGGAAAGATTTAGAGTGGAATAGAAGGCATTACTGGGTTTTAGGTCCATAAATAAGTGATGCAAGGAAGCTGAGGAAGAATCAGCGCTGGCAGCCTTCCCTGTTTGGTTGCAATCCTCCTTGAAGATGGGCTGGATGGGCGCCCTACAAAGACATCTTTCTATCTGGCGATTCTAGGAATCCACCCCCGGACATCACTAATAAATGTGGCAAAGTGAGAGAGATCAGATACACTCAGCTGATTCCTGGAAAGCCTGTATAAAGGGGGAACAGACATCACTGTCTTCCTCTCATTTAACGATGAGGAAATGAGACCCAGAGACACAATTCACAGGAAAAGTGACTGTTCAACAGGAATGTTTTCAGGCCAGGCAGCCCCAAAGGAGCTGCTTCACATGTGCAGGGTTCTAAGGACGCTACTGAGTGAGAGAGGATACCACTACCTACATGCCAAGTGTCCAGACCTCCCCTCCTGGCCTGGAGGAAGTGCAAGGAGGGTACTTAGTCACCCGAATCAGTGGGTTGGTGTGACGAGGGGGTTTGTCAGTTGTTTCTGATGGCTGGTGCCAGCTACCTGTGACCACCGGACAAGCCCATCTCCTCTATAGAAATAGGCTTGTGAAGGAGACCAATTACTCGAATTGCCTGGTCCATAATAAAGTCAGGATCCTTTCTTGTGGCCTTGCTCTCTCTAAAGAGTTCTTTGTCTTTCAATTGCTTTTATCGAATTATACATATAGTTCAAGATTAAAAAAGGAAAAAACAGAAGGCGTAAAAAGATAAATATCACTTCTAATATCAAAGATCATATATTTAATATATATAATTTTTCCTTAAGAAACTCATATATATAAAAGTCTATCATACAGATAATGGTAATAACAACAATAATGAAATAAACTATGTGCCAGTTGCTGTGCCAGTGCTTAATTTGCATCACCTTGCTTATAAAAGCCAACCTAGAGAGGAAAAGTCTGACACTTCCTCCAGGTCCAATCTAGTATGGCATCTTTAAGGGGTCAGACACTTTTTTTTTGCTTTTCTTGAAAAAAAAAAAGAAGCTAAATATCTAATGATGCTTAACATTTAAATCATCTTATCATCTTAATTATAGCCTCCGAGCTTGCGGTTAATATTAAAACCTAAGAAGAACCAATGCAAATTAACATGAGTGATAAGCCTCTGATCAGTAAGGCCCCTCTGGGCTCTAAGAATATGAAAATTCAAAAATTGCCCACCCCACTTAACCACCAGGCCAATGGTAAAATTAGCAGCCTGATCTCAGAACTGTTTCTAGAGCTTGTGTTTCAGCCACACTTTGTTTTGATGATCTTCTGTAAGATCTACTGTTCTTTTTAGTTCTGTAATTTTTAGTCTTGTAACTGTTGAGGGTTTTTGTCTTGTACCTGTTAAAGATGATACTGGTACAAATATTCTATAAACATTTATGAAAGTTATAACTTTAAAAAAGCCAACATGTCTAAACAAAAATGTTTTCAACTACAATTTCTTAATAGAATTGGGTTTGAAGCATACTATAATATGGAAAAATAATCAATAAAAATCTTAAAGTCCTTACAGAGGAATCCACCTTTTCATCTTCTTGTTTTCTCTTCACTTTTGTTGGTTTGTATTTCTATTTTTCAATGACTTCCCATTTCTCTACTAATTCTGAACATTAATTCTCCCCTCTAGAACTCATATATAATTTGTGATTCAAAAATCCCTTTAGGCTACTGAATTACTATTTTTTTTATTTTATTATTTAATATATTTTGAGACAGGATCTCGCTCTGTTGCCCAAGCTTAACTACAATGATGCAATCACAGCTCACTGCAGCCTCAACCTCCCAGGCTCAAGCCTCCCATCTCAGCCACCCAAGTAACTGGGACTACAGGCGCACACCACTGCACCCGACTAATTTTTGTGTGTTTTGTAGAGACACGGTTTTGCCGTGTTTCCTAGGCTGGTCTCAAACTTCTGAGTTCAAGCAAACCACCCACCTCAACCTCCCAGGGTGCCGGGATTGCAGACATGAGCCACTGGTGACCGGCCAGGCTACTAAATTTCAAAATGTGCTTTCTTAATGAAAACCTTAGCAACAAGCCAACTATTACTTATAAGGTAGAAAATTAGACATATTCCATTCACCACTCCCACATATTAAAGCAACTTCTACATCAGAGTGACTTCATATAGTAGTGTGCTTTACTGAACTGCATCTCAAAAGGTTTCCTATTCTCCTGACTAAATCTCCGGCTCAGGTCCTGCTGCCCTAAGGCCTGCTGGGCTCCTACCTACCTAAAAAACAATTGTCACTCTCAGTTCTGGAAGCAGCTCTGACAGCCTTGCCTCTGACGTGTGTGAAGAGGAGAGAAGCTCAAGGACTTTCTATGAGCAAGATTGCAGGAAGAGTAAGGAAGTGGATGGAGTCTTTACAGCAACAAGAAGTGCTTTGATCTATAGCTATGAAATGGACTTGATATTTTAATGAGGGAAAGAGTCAGCTTCTGAGACCAAAAAAGGAGGGGGGCAGATAGATGGACACTGAAAACAAAAGCAAAAGGGTTAGAAACAAATTTAGTCAGGAAGACACAAGACTGGTACATTGAATATGAAAAACATTGCAGAAAGAAATTAGAGAAGACCTAAATAAATGTTCATGTATTGGAAGACTTAAGATAGCAGTATTACCCAAAGTGTTTTACAGATCTTTATAATTCCTATTAAAATACTAATGACCCTTTTTAAGATGTGGAACAAATCATAACATTCATATGGATTGCAGGGGACCACAAATAGCCAAAACAATCTTGAAAAAGGAAAAAAAAGTTTGGAAGACTCATAATTCCTGATTTCAAAACTTACTAGAAAAAAAACAAAAAAATTACTAAGTAATCAAAACAGTGTGGTACTGGCATTAAGAATAGACATATAGGCTGGGCAATGCGGTGGCTCATGCCTTTAATACCAGCACTTTGGGAGCCTCAGGCGTATGGATCACCTGAGGTCAGGAGTTCAAGACCAGCCTGGCCAACATGGTGAAACCCCGTCTCTACTAAAAATACAAAAATTAGCCAGGCATGGTGGCACGTGCCTGTAATCCCAGCTACTCAGGAGGCTGAGGCAGGACAATCGCTTGGACCCAGGAGGCAGAGGTTGCAGTGAGCCAAGATCATGCCACCGCACTCCAGCCTGGGTGACAGAGTGAGACTGTGTCCCCCCCAAAAAAAAAAAGAATAGACATATAGATCAATATATGGAATAAAATTAAAATTGAGAGTCCAGAAATAACCCATATATCTATAGTCAGTTGATTTCAATAAGGGTGCCAATATCACTCCATAGGAAAAGAATAGACTTTTCAACAAATATTGCTGAGACAACTGGATATCTACGTGCAAAACAATGAAGTTGGGTATATATAAATATATAAATATAGATACAAAATGTATCCACAAGATATACACAAACTAACTCAAAATAGATCAATAAACTAAATATAATATTTTAAACCATAAACTTCTAAAACTCTTACAAAAAACATACGGATAAATCTTCATGACCTTGGATTTGGCGATGAATTATTAGATATGATCCCAAAAGAAAGTACAAGCAACAAAAGAAAAATAAATACATTAGAAATCAGCAAGATTAAAAAACTTTTGGGCATTATGGCCAGGTGCAGTGGCTCACGCCTGTAATCGTAGCACTTTGGAAGGCCAAGACGGGGGGATTGCCTCAGCTCAGGAGTTCAAGAACAGCCTGGGCAACACGGTGAAACCCCGTCTTTACTAAAATACAAAAAATCAGCTGGTGTGGTGGCATGCAACTGTAGTCCCAGCTAATCAGGAGGCTGAGGCAGGAGAACTGCTTCAACCCAGGAGGTGGAGGTTTTAGTGAGCCAAGATTGTGCCACTGCATTCCAGCCTGGGTGACAAAGTGAAACTCTGTCTCAAAAAACAAAACAAACAAAACAAAAAACTTTTGGATATCAAAGGACGCTATCAAGATAATGAAAAGACAACCCGCAGAAAGAGAGAGAACACTTGAAAGTTATATATCTTTTTTTTTTTTTTTTTTTTTTTTTGAGACAGAGTCTCACTTTGTTGCCCAGGCTGGAGTGAAATGGCATGATCTTGGTTCACTGCAAGCTCCGCTTCCTGGGTTCAAGCGATTCTCTTCCCTCAGCTGGGATTACAGGTGCCCGCCACCACGCCCAGCTAATTTTTGTATTTTTAGTAGAGATGGGGATCACCATGTTGGCCAGACTGGTCATGAACTCCTGACCTTGGGTGATCCTCCCACCTTGGCCTCCCAAAGTGCTGGTATTATAGGCGTGAGCCACCATCCCGGGCTGAAAGTCATATATCTGATAGAGGTTGTCTGGTATCCAAAATATACAAAGAACTCTTACAACTCTACAACAGAAAGACAAGCAACCCAACTGAAAAATTGGCAAAGGACTTAAACAGGCATTCCTCTAAAGATATGCAAATGCCCAACAATCACATGAAATGACATTCAACATCATGAGTCATTAGAGAGATGCAAATCAAAACAATGAGATACTACTTCACACCCACTAAAATAGCTATATTTTAAAAAAAGAAAATAATAAGTGTTGCCAAGAATGTGGAGAAATAAGAACACTCATACATTGTTAGTAGGACTGCAAAATGATACAGTTGTTATAGAAAACAGTTTGGTAGTTCCTTAAAAAAATAAACATGGAATTACCATATGACCCAGCAATTCTTCCCCTAGGTGTATAGCCAAAAGTATTCAAACAAAAACTTACACACAAATGTTAATAGCAGCACTATTCACAATAGTCAAATGGTGGAAATACCCAAATGTTCATCAACAGATAATGGATTAACAAACTATGGCATAATAAACAATGTAATATTATTTAGCCATAAAAAGGAAGAAGTTTCTACATGCTACAATGTGGATTAACCTCAAAAACATGATGCCAAGTGAAAGAAACCAGACATACAATGTCATATGTTGTATGATTCCATTTATATTAAATATCTAGAATAGGAAAATCCATAGAGACAAAAAGCAGGTCAGTGGTTCCCAGGGGAGAAAGGGGAATTGGAAAGTGAAGGCTTTATGTGTATGGAGTTTTCCTTTGGGGGGATGAAATGTTTTGAAGCTAGATAGAGGTGTTTGGTGCACAACACTCAATGTGCTAAATGTCACTGACTTGTACATTTTGAGATGGTTACTTTTATGTTATGGTTATTTTACATCAAATTTTTTTTTTAAAAGATGGTTGGCCGCTAATGTACAACCCACTGCAGTCGTTGGCAGTTATTTTATAAATGTATATTTGCTGACAGATATTTTCATAATCGTCATTATGAATCAGGTTATAAAATAAATTATAAATTAAATTTTAAAGATTATAAATGTTAAATTAAAACAAATTATAAATTTTTACAAAGCAAAAGAGCAAACCAAAGAAGAGAAAAAACTGAGAAAGAGAGGGAAGAGAGGCAGGAAACATGAGAGAAGAGAGAGAGAAGGAGGAGGAAGAAAAGGAAAATGCAAAACAAGAGAGGAGAACAGGAATATGAAAGAGAGTTAGAGCAAAAATTTTAAAGTTGGGTAATATCAGGTGTCACTGGGGGTTGTGAAGAAAGGAGAGTGCAGGAAGGAGCACTCTCCTACATACCTGGTAGGGATATAAATGGACACAGACACTCTGGAGCACGATTTGTCAGCAGCAAATAAAATGAAAATGAACATACTCAGAGCCCTACTTCTGAGCATATATTCTGGAGAAATCATCACATATGTGTCCAAGGAGCATGCACACAGCATTTGTTTGCTATATCAAATGCTAGAAATAGGCCCAGTGCGGTGGCTCATGCCTGTAATCTCAGCACTTTGGGAGGCCAAGGCGGGTGGATCACTTGAGGTCAGGAGTTCAAGACCAGGCTGGCCAACATGGTGAAACCCCATCTCTATTAAAAACACAAAAATTAGCCAGGTATGGTGGCAGGTGCCTATAATCCCAGTTACTTGGGAGGCTGAAGCAGGAGAATCGCTTAAACCCAGAAGGCAGAGGTTGCCGTGAGCCAAGATTGTACCACTACACTACTCCAGCCTCGGTGACACAATGAGACTCTGTCTCAAAAAAAAAAAAAAAAAACTACAAAAAACCTAAATAGTTAAGAGGATGGATGCACTGTGATATGTTTGTGAAAACAAGTAAAAATCTAAGCTGTTGGAACTTTAAAACATTTTGAGCCTTAAGGGAATCTGATTATGGGATCTGAGTCACATGTAAACAGGCAGCTATAAAGTAGGCAGCTGTGACCTTTTGTTTTTCTGATTAAGATTAGCCTTTGTCTTTACCTATGTTGTTTTGTAAAATGTTATAAATGACTAAAGGGTACCAGGGAAGACCCCTTCTCTCTTAACTGTTGATCTTCATTATAGAGTAACTTCCCTCTTTCCTCTCTCACACAGACTTCATGACTATCACATTGTCTAAGATGGAATGTTAAATACACTCTTTTAAATAGGAAAAGAAAACAAGCTGTATGGAAAAGAAAACAAATTGTAACTAATTAAATTGTTGTAAGTCATAAACCAGCCTTGTATAGAAAATGTTATAATCCTACTAAGTTTCTTTGTTTTCTGCTGGTATATGCAAGATCTTAACTTTGGAGCACTAACTCCATTCCTTTGGAGTCTGTGTTATCTGAATGGCATTCTCAGCTTTTCACTTGGAAAAATGCTTTTAAACTGGATTCTGATCCTTTCCATTATTTCAGGTAGACATACTAATAATATAATAGTATATAGTCATTTAAAAGAAGAATTTTATATATACTATATATGTGAAAAGATAAATGAACTTCAAGGTATTTTGTTGTCTGGAAAAGAAAGTTGGCAGATACAGTATAATGCCAAGCAATATATCTTAGTATATTGAATTATATTCATGTATTACTTATACAATAAAATGTATAATAACAAAAAATGAGGGATACAGAGAAAGAGAACTCTGCCATGATCAAGGCAAGAAAATACATGTGAAGGAGTAAGAAAGAGAAAAATCAGAATGCAGCAGGGCAGCAGTATTTAACACAAAATTTTCAAAGAGGGATCGCACTCTGTATATACTCTCAAAATTTGGGTCGGGGGGTGCATTTAGGAGTCCAGGCATGGATTAAGTAGATCCTCTGCTCAGGGTTTCACAAAACTGCAATTAAGGTGTCATTGGTTTGTGTTCTCATGTGGATGATTGACTGGGGAAAGATTTACTTCCAAGTTCACTTAGGCTGTTGACAGAATTCATTTCCTGGAGTTTGTAGGACTTCTTGCTGGCTGGCTATGGGCCGGAAGCTGCCTTTCAGCTCCTAGAGGCTGCCCATGGTTCCTCACCATGTGGACTTTCCAAGCATGGCCACTGCCTTCATCAGGCCAGACCGGACAGTCTCTAGAGAGAGTCTGTTCATAAGAGACAGTCTTTTATAATGTAATGTGGTCATGGGAGTGATATCCATCACCTTTGTTATATTTATTTTCAGAAGCAAGTCACAGGTCCCAACCCCTCTTAGGAGGAGGGGATCTAACACAGGTATGAACATGAACAGGTACTGGGAATCAGAAACTATTGGGGCCACTGAAGAATCTGTCACACAGGGATATCTTTGTTGCATTGAGACAGGAAAGCTATTTTAAGATGGTGTGGTGAAAAAGGATAAAAGCTCCTTACTCAAGCTCTAGCTTATCTAACTCTCAGTCAATAGGTAACAAAACACCCAAGAAGCTGTTAACTGCAAGCTCCTATTTCAGAGGGCTAGGGACTTCCCCAGATCCCCGCCTGTACAGTTAGACTTAAACTCCAACCTACATTTACCCCTTCCTCACTTTAATGCTAAAAATTACTCCTGGGGTGGAGATTTAAAATGCTAATGCTACATATGATGTATGAAAAAGCATATTGGGCCACTGTGCAAGCACTAGAAAAACTCCTCCTATAGGTGCCCTGATGTAACCCTCCCCTATAGAAAGACCCTATAAAACTGACCCACACACTATCCTCAGAGCAGTCCGTTCCTTTGCCTTTCTTGGTGCTGACTCCCTTGCGCACAAGCTGAATACACTTTCCTTTGCTGCTATGTTTGGTGATCTCTGTTAATCTCTATCATGGGAGATCATAAGAATCCAGGGCAACAGTAACAGCTTCTGAGTTTTTAAATTAAAAATAACAGTAATATAATCCTTAAATTTTTAAAATGTAGGACACTAAACAAGTAAAATCTAAATCCAGAGTACATCTGACCTCAAAGTTCATGGGCTTCTCACTTCCCTGGCCATAGTTTAAAGGTGTGTGTGTGTGTATATATATATATATACATATATATACACACACACACACAC
This sequence comes from Homo sapiens, assembly GCF_000001405.40. NCBI lineage: Eukaryota > Metazoa > Chordata > Mammalia > Primates > Hominidae > Homo > Homo sapiens. The sequence continues at coordinate 105,181,170 of NC_000006.12, read as the reverse complement.
ACACACACACACACACACACACTATGGACTACATCCAGTTCAAACTGGATTTCCAACATTTGAGTAAATCCCTGCAATGAAGAGAAAGAGCAAAGGCCTAGGAGTCAACTGGTTTCTAGCCATTTCTGGGGTGTAAGAATATGTGTATTTCTTGATCCTCAGTTCCAGCATCAATTAAAGGGAGTTAATTTTACCATCTATATTCACTGTTTTTGTGGTTACCCTGGGGCTCAAAAAAGACACTGATTGCTCAATAAATTCTTGTTCCTGGAGTCGCTGTTATCAATATGGTTATATAAAATGAAAGCGAACTAGAAGACAGGAGATGACATTCTTAAATTAGTGGCGTGTTTTACTGGTCGTCACCAACCCTCACATTTGTTTCATCACAAAAACAAAACAAAACTTTGCTAATTGCAAAGGAAGAAAAAATGCACCTGATCATTGCTTTAAAATTGTATGCATTTGGTTATTACTGATATGAGCTTTTTGTCATTTGTGTTTTTAAATTTTTTCCTTTTATGATTGTCTATGCCCTTTACTCATTTGCTTTTAGAGATGTTCATTGATTTGAATATAGATATTTTATTTTTCATGCAACAGTCCGTATTTATTGGTTGGGTGCGGTGGCTCACATCTGCAATCCTAAGCTTTAGGAGGCTGAGTCAGGAGGATGCCTGGGCCCAGGAGGTCGAGATTGCAGTGAGCCGTGATCACCACTGCACTCCAGCCTGGGTGACAGAGCGAGACACCATCTCTAAAAAAAAAAAAAATACTATATTTACCTCTCTCTCTCTCTCTCTCTGTCCAATACACCCTAATATTCCCGTCCCCACTATGGTGATTTACCTCTTCATTTTGTTTACGGTGTGTGTGGAGCGGGGGTGAGAGAGCAGGCGTGCAGTTGCCTTGGTTCAGCAGCCAGCCCATCGCTCCTGCCTAGTGTGACTGTGAATACTAGGTGTATGTTACAACCGGGAGCGGTGTACACTCGGGGAACCGCATCTTTGGAAACTTCGGTCCGTAGCGGCCGCTAGGATTCTCCGCAGCCCCGCACCCCGGTGGCCGAACCGCCTGCCCCGGCCCAGACGCAGCCGCCGCGCCCGCCCACCCGGCTGCGCCCCGGGGCGCGCGCCCGTGCCCGGCACCCGCCCGCGCCGCCGCGCCGCTCCGGAGCCCGCTGCGGTCACGCTGCGCCCGGCGCCGCAGGGTGGGCGGCGAGGCACTCACGAGGGGGACGCTGAGGGCTTCCGCGCGGGCCACCCGGGTCAAGCGCGCTCCGCCGGGAAACTTCTGCGGGCGCCGGGCTGAAGCTCCGGGCAGGGCTGGGAAGGAAAGGTAAGAAGGTGAGCCCGGGGGCGCTGCGTCCGCCGCCTTCCGGTGCTGTCCGCACCCTCGCACCTCGCGGCCGCTTCGGGCAACTTAGCGGGCGCGGCTTCTGCTGGGCCGCCGACCCCTGCGAGCGCTTGCGTCTCGCTGCCCCGCGCTGCCCGCGCCGCTCCCTTCCCGGCTCCGGTCAACTCCGCGCCCTGGGGTCCGGGGTCTGGGGTCCCGGCTGTGTCGCCGCTCACAGCTCGGAGGTCTAGGGGATCCTTTGCTGCGGTTCCTATCCGCGCCGACCCCTGAAGAACGCGAGTCGTATGCCCTAGAGGCTTCTGGGCGAATATTCCTCCCAGATCTTTTCCTGCAGGTCCTACTCTGGCCCCAGGCACCCTGGAGCCGAAATAAACAGGCCAGTTTTGCAAGGGAGAAAAGCCGTTCCTAGGGGCCCTTGTCAGTCCTGGGGAAGTCATGCCAGCGCCGGGAGTTTCCTTCCCCCCTACTCCCGCCCCCGGTCTGTAAGCAAAGGGCCTGACTGGTGTCAGTGCTCTCACACTGTTCTCACAGAGTTGGGGGTACAAAAAAGCTGCCTCATCAAAGGTCGCGCGGACCTGTTTTCTCCATTTGGGGATCCCCCTGCCAAAAAAGAAATTTGCCAACCCCTAAATTGTCTTATCACCATGTCGGTTACAGTGGTATAGTTTTGAGGGTCTGTATTTTAGGCAAAGATGAAAGGCACAACCAAAATACAGTAAGAGGGGCAGTGCCAAAAATTTAGCCAGAAGACATTTGCAGAAAGTGAAAAATTCTGTTTGTAAATAATAAATGGAAAAGTAGAATTAGAAGCCCACTTTTGGACGCAATTTGATTTACTAAACTTCGTTGCTTCCTGACTTTTCACTCTAATTCCGGTAGTTAGATATTTTGAATTTGCAAGCCTACAAACTGCAATTGAGTTTTATAGCAGCCTTAAAAAATTATTGTTGCCTGTTCATACTAAGTTTAGTGGCTATTTTTTTTCCTTCTTGTTTTTAATTCTACGGACTGTTGCATGAAAATATCCTCTTGTGAGAGTACAATAACTTGGCATTGTTCTTTGTGACAATAGAAAACCAAACAAGAACTACATGAGACAGAAAATATAAACAAAAAATTGGATCTCAGTTTCCATATTCGCAAAATGAAGAGCTCTGGCTGATCCCAGATTCCAGATATCTCTGAGGTTCTGTCCTGAAAAATCTGTGTGTGTGTGTGTGTGTGTGTGTGTGTGTGTGTGTGTGTGTGTGTCTTCAGGAGTTTGGGATACAAATATTAATTGAAATCTAAGATATTCTCTGTCCTCAAAATTTTATACATTTAAATGGGAAATATTTGATAGTTGAGTTTCTTTAATCATATCAGTCCCTCAAAATAGCTGAATCATGGTGCATCTTCTGCCTCTAAATGGTTACATTCTATGCTATTAAATAAAAATGTGTCATGGGAAACAAAAGTCCCATACTTTTCACCACAAGACTGACTAATACGGTTGACACACTAGAGCACTGATGCCTGCTTATTTTGAAACAGTCTCCAGGAAGAATTAAGAATGTTATGAAGCATTTGCTACAGTATGTGAGCATAACACATAAGCAACATGGCAGGCAAGAAATTTCAAAACTGCTTTGGAAATATCCATGATAGATCTGAAAGTCTGTAAACTGCAGTTGAGATCACATTTTGTAATTATGGTCATTGGTCAGTTGGGATTATGAGCTCCCTCGAGAGAATGTCCCTCCAATTAATAGAAGAGTATATCGAATCACCGATTCGATTGTTTTAAAGGAAGAGAGAAAATGTTTCTCCCTTTTATCTAAGTAGTTATAAGAAAAAGTCTTACAAGGAAAATTACATCAGGTGTTTTCTAAATTAAATAAATAACCGAAAGTTCCTGACTGAAATTACCTATAAAAATGCAGGGTCCTCCTCCAACCCAGAGAATCCAGGGATTGATTCACACAGACTTTTAGCGAGACTTTCTTACTTTGTGTTCTTCAACAGAATAATAACCTCCAGTGACTCTGGCACACTGAAATTGGCTAGGATGGGATCATGAAGGAAGGTGTTGTGGGGTAGTATTGGAAGGACAAGCAACTGGCTAAGCTTACAGAAGAATCTCCATCCCTCTGAGCTTCATCTTCCACTCTGAACAATGCTGACAATAGTATGTAGGTTTCAGAGTTGCTGTGACTCCTAAATGGATCTGTTTTAGGAATTAGTACCTGCACAGAGAAAGAGCACAGCTGATCTTGGTTCTTCCTGTCTTCTTTGGAAGGTGTTTGTTTCCTAGCTGAACAAATTGCAGCTGAACTGTAGATAACAGCTTTTGCTTTTAATTTCAAAATTCTGTGTGGCAAAATCTTGATAATTGTTGAATCTGGGTAACAGGTATATGGGAATTTGTTGTATACTATTTTCTCTATTTTTGTATGTGTTCAAAATTATCAGAAAAAAATTTAAGTGTGAATCTGAAAAAAAAACCCCACACTTTGAGTTATTTCTAGTCCAGGATTTCATTTTACATTGTCTGTTTCATTTTACATTGTATTTTTTAATTAGTGAATATTTAAATATAGAGAAATATAAATTATGTACTATATAGGGAGTGGATGGGCAGCGACTGGTCCTGGAGAACAATCCATGGCAGTCTTCAATTTTTTGTGTGGAATATTTTTTATTATGAAACAATCTAAAGAAAATATGACAGTGTTGATGGTTGTTAATTCTGGTTGTTGGGTTCATGGATTTTTTTAAATGTTTATATTTAAAATTTTTTTACATTGGTATAAAATCACCATATTGTTTCCCAAAATCATTATAAGAATACAAATAATGCAGCTGTTTTTAAAAAGGTAAAAATAGTTTCTATCCCACTATCAAGATATATTCATCTTTAACATGAAGTGAAAATCATTGCGTATGTCTTTCTATTTTTACACAAATAGGATATGTTGGTCGGGCTTGGTGGCTCACGCCTGTAATCCCAGCACTTTGGGAGGCTGAGGCGGGCGGATCACCTGAGGTCAGGAGTTTGAGACCAGCCTGGCCAACGTGGTGAAACCCCGTGTCTCTACTAAAAATACAAAAATTAGCCAGGCGTGGTTGCGTGCGCCTGCAGTCCCAGCTACTTGGGAGGCTGAGGCAGGAGAATTGTTTGGACCTGGGAGGCGGAGCTTGCAGTGAGCTGAGATCGCGCCACCGCACTCCAGCCTGGGTGACAGAGCAAGACTCTGTCTTAAAAAAAAAACGATATGTCAAAAGATTAAAAAGAAATGCTTTTATAAAAAATAGAATTGTTAAATAAGCAGGAGGCCATTAGCCTGAGTCTTTCTCCCTACTTTGAGTCCCTGTGTGAAAAACTAACTTTGTACATAAACGAACAGAAAACTAACTCAACAGTGTATTTTTTGTAATAGCCAGGTTTCAGCCAATCACAGGCGGCCAGCTCATCACATTATGCCCAAATAAAGCAGATGCAGAGCTGTAGCCAATCGAGTGATTTTGGTTTTTTACTTCTGTCATCAGTGTATAAAAACTGCAGCTCATGCTGCTGGATAGAGCTCTGTGAACCTCTTCTGGTTGTGAGTGCTGCCTGATTCGTGAGTTGTTTGTTGCTCAGGTAAACTGTTAAATTGAATTTATCTAAAGTTTTTCTTTTAACAGGATGATACTATATATGCTTTTTAAAATAAAAAAATTATATTTTAACAGAAGAAACTGTAGTGAAAGTGAAGGAATTGCTGAACTTGACATCAGTATTTCTTCATTCTTAGAGATAAACAAGTCTTCCAAACTAAGAGAAAAGTTTCTGAATACATCTTGAGATCAAGATTTTTTAAACATACATTAATTTAGACAGTCAGAGGCTCCCTGTTATAAAGGATGGAGCACTGGGCACTCTTACATTACCTATAGTTTCACTTCTACTCATATCCCAGTTTTTATTCTTTCTTTCTTTATTTATTTTTTGAGACAGAGTCTCACTCTGTCACCCCAGGCTGGAGTGCAGTGGTGCGATCTTAGCTCACTGCAACCTCCGCCTCCTGGATTCAAGCAATATCCCTGCCTCAGCCTCCCAAGTAGCTGGGATTACAGGCATGCACCACCATGCCCGGCTAATTTTTGTATTTTCAGTAGAGATGGGCTTTTACCATGTTGCCCAAGCTAGTGTCAAACTCCTGACCTCAGGTGATCCTCCCACCTCTCCTCCCAAAGTGCTGGGATTACAGGCATGAGCCACTGCGCCTGGCCTATTTTTTATTTTTTTAATTTTGGAGACAGGGTCGCATTGTGTCACCCAGGCTGGACTGTAGTGGCATGATCACAGCTCACGGCAACCTCAGCCTCCCAGGCTCAAGCAGTCCTCCCACCTCAGCCTCCCATGTAGCTGGGACTACAGGCATGCACCATGGCACCCAGCTTTTTTTTTTTTTTTTGGAGAGTTAGGGTCTCACTGTGTTACCCAGGCTGATCTCAAACTCCTAGGCTCAAGGCATCCTCCCACCTCAGCCTCCCAAAGTGCTGGGATGACAGGCATGAGCCACTATACCCAGCCCCAATTTTAAAAATATGTTTATATTGTGAGGATCTATAACATTTGCATTGTGTTTTGTAAACTTCATTTCAGATACAATTTTTTTTTTTTGAGATGGAGTCTTGCTCTGTTGCCCATGCTAGAGTGCAGTGGAGCATTGTTGGCTTACTGCAACCTCAGCCTCCCGGGTTCAAGTGATTCTCCTGCCTCAGCCTCCTGAGTAGCTGGGATTACAGGCGTGTGCCACCACGCCCGGCTCATTTTTGTATTTTTAGTAGAGATGGGGTTTCACCATGTTGCTCAGGCCAGTCTCGAATTCCTGACCTCGTGATCCACCAGCCTCAGCCTCCCAAAGTGCTGGGATTACAGGTGTGAGACACCACGCCTGGCCATTTCAGATATAATTTAGTCTTAGTTTTATAACTAAATGAAATCACGATGAATCACTGGTTCTTTTACCATGGCATCTCAAGTATCAACTTTTGATTCATCCTTTGATTGGCTAGATTTTGTCAGTGTGTCTGTTTGTTTCCAAGAAGGGCTCATTTCCTGTGTCTTTTTATGTTTGAAATGCCCATGTTTCTTTCCAGACAGTCCCTGACTCACAATGGTTTGACTTAACCATTTTTCAACTTTATAATGGTGCAGAGACAATACACAGTCAGTATGCTCAACTTTCGGTGTGGTTACACCCAAGTAAACACATCATCGTCATAAATTGAGAAACTGTAAGTCAAACGTGTGTTTTCAACTTACGATATTTTCAGCTTACCATGAGTTCATTGTACATTGGGGAGCATCTGTACTTGAATGACCATTTGGCTGGCTGTACCATTTTTGAGCCAGTTTCCTTACCTCCGGATTATATAGCCTTCGCTCCATTCACTGCTAGCATCTAATGTAGCTGTAGAGAAGTCTAAGTTTGGTTTCAAAATTTCTGGCTGGGCGCAGTGGCTCACGCCTGTAATTCTAGCACTTTGGAAGGTCAAGGCGGGCGGATCACTTGAAGTCAGGAGTTCAAGACCAGCCTGGCCAACATTGTAAAACCCCATCTCTACTAAAAATACAAAAAATTAGCCGGGTGTGGTAGCGCCTTTAATCCCAGTTACTTTCGAGGGTGAGGCAGGATAATCGCTTGAACCCGGGAGGCGGAGGTTGCAGTGAGCCAAGATTGTGCCATTGCACTCCAGCCTGGGCAACAAGAGCAAAACTCCATCTAAGAAAAAATTTCTTCCTTGCAATTGATTTGCTTTTTCTGCCCGGAGTCCTAAAGTATCCTTTATATTCCTGAAGTGTAGTAATTCAGGCTATATCCTTGTTAAGTTCTGTATCAATTTTTCATGGAACCTGGTGCATTCCTTCTATTTCTGTTCTTTCTATTGGAATAATCTGTTGTTCTTAATTTCAGGGTTTTTTTTTTTCCCATTATGAATGCTTTTTCTTTCCAATTTTGTAATTCTCTACTTCAAAGACACCAATTATTCTCACACTGTCTCATCTTTATTCTCCATAATGATTGTTATCTTGTTTTAATTTCTCCTGTTTTCTTCATTCACTGTACTTGTCAAAATGATTAAAATGTAACTGATTTATAAATGAAAGTGTAGCATGGTATAAACAGAAGCAGGTTAGATATGAGGATATTTGGATTCTAACTCGGCCAAGTCTTTCTTAAAGAGGTTTTCTTGCTTGAAAAATAGGAAAATAACTACCCCTTCCTCCTGCCCCCAGTATTTTTGGAGCTATGAAATAATATACATGTAGTAGTTCACACAGGTTCTGACACAGGGTTGCTACTCAACAGATGCTGGTTATTATTACTTACTCCTCCATTCAAGATGCAGGAGGGGTGGTGTTAGAATTCAAGTTCCAAACACATGTTACATTATAATTGTTCTGGAAGTCACAATGCATGAAGGAGAGCTAGTACCTTTTCCTCTATGTTATAAAGAAAATTTAACCTCCATGAGAAAAAGAGATAAACAGAAGCACTTTAAAACATTCTGTTTGGAATTTATTTTGTGGAATCTCAGCTTATTTTCTGTTGTTTGAGTTCATTTTCAAGTTTATATTAAATCTTGGTAATGCATGGAAACCCACCAACTAGTGGAGCATCCTTGATCAATACTTGGTCAGATATGAAAGGAAATTTAAGATAATGATTCTAATCTCATTAAGACTTTAGACTGTTTTAAAATGTAGCATTTCTTTAAAATTTAGTATGCAACAACTGACTTTTTTATTATACTTTAAGTTTTAGGGTACATGTGCACAACGTGCAGGTTTTTTACATATGTATACATGTGCCATGTTGGTGTGCTGCACCCATTGACTCGTCATTTAGCACTACGTATATCTCCTAATGCTATCCCTCCCCCCTCCCCCCACCCCACAACAGGCCCCAGTGTGTGATGTTCCCCTTCCCGTGTCCACGTGTTCTCATTGTTCAATTCCCACCTATGAGTGAGAACATGCGGTGTTTGGTTTTTTGTCCTTGCAATAGTTTGCTGAGAATGATGGTTTCCAGCTTCATCCATGTCCCTACAAAGGACATGAACTCATCCTTTTTTATGGCTGCATAGTATTCCATGGTGTATATGTGCTACATTTTCTTAATCCAGTCTCTCATTGTTGGACATTTGGGTTGGTTCCAAGTCTTTGCTATTGTGAATAGTGACGCAATAAACATATGTGTGCATGTGTCTTTATAGCAGCATGATTTATAATCCTTTGGGTATATACCCAGTAATGGGATGGCTAGGTCAAATGGTATTTCTAGTTCTAGATCCCTGAGGAATCGCCACACTGACTTCCACAATGGTTGAACTAGTTTACAGTCCCACCAACAGTGTAAAAGTGTTCCTATTTCTTCACATCCTCTCCACTGGACCTGTTGTTTCCTGACTTTTTAATGATTGCCATTCTAACTGGTGTGAGATGGTATCTCATTGTGGTTTTGATTTGCATTTATGTGATGGCCAGTGATGATGAGCATTTTTTCATGTGTTTTTTGGCTGCATAAATGTCTTCTTTTGAGAAGTGTCTGTTCATCTCCTTCGCCCACTTGTTGATGAGGTTGTTTGTTTTTTTCTTGTAAATTTGTTTTGAGTTCATTGTAGATTCTGGGTATTAGCCCTTTGTCAGATGAGTAGATTGCAAAAATTTTCTCCCATTTTGTAGGTTGCCTGTTCACTCTGATGGTAGTTTGTTTTGCTGTGCAGAAGTTCTTTAGTTTAATTAGATCCCATTTGTCAATTTTGGCTTTGCAACAACTGACTTTAAATGAGTTTTAATGGCTGGGCACAGTGGCTCACGCCTGTAATCCCAGCACTTTGGGAGGCCAAGATGGGAGGATTACTTGAGTCTGGGAGTTTAAGACCAGGCTGGGAAACACAAGGAGACTCCATCTCTAATATAATAAAATAAACGAAATAAGTGTTAGGTAGTTTATTTGTAGATAAGGTGTATTTTTAGTTAGTAATATTTAAAATAGATCACAGTTTTGAAAACTGGACTTAAATAGTGTTAACATTGGAATTTCACTAAAATGCAGGCTCCATGAGGACAGGTTTTTAATTAATAATAATAATTATTATTATTATTATTTGAGACAGAGTCTTTCTCTGTCGCTCAGGCTGGAGTGCAGTGGCGTGATCACAGCTCTCTGCAACCTTGACCTCCTGGGCTCAAGTGGTTCTCCTGCCTCAGCCTCCTGGGTAGCTGGGAATACAGGTGCATGCCACCATGCCCAACAAATTCTTTTAATTTTTTTGTAGAGCTGGGGTCTCACTTTGTTGCTCAGGCTGGTCTTAAACTCCTGTGATCAAGCAATCCTCCCACCTCGGCCTCCCAAAGTGCTGGGATTATAGGCATGAGCCACTGTACCTGGCCCTGAATTATTGCATATATTAATTCACAATATTTTTAAGGCCATTTGAGAGCTAATGATACAGTTAATTATGTTATAATGCATGTTTTGAAAGTAAGCATTATTCCAAAAAATTGACGTATTAGGGAACGATTTGGGCATAATACAACTTTCATGTTTGCTTACGCATGTTTTACCCAGAAAAAACAATGGGTGAATTCATTAAATTGCAACTAGCTGACCTAAGCCATGTAGGGATACACAAAATGCAAAATGCAAAATGCAAACACATACCTCTCAAACATCTACCAGCTATCTTGGTTTGCCATGTATTATTTTGAAAATTTACAGTTTGCTATCCTTTCACACTTGTGAACTTTCCTATATAAAAACATGCTCATTCTAGGATTTAAGGGCTGAGAAAGAGCACAGTTTTTATTCCTTCTTCCACCGCTTCACCATAACTCACAAATGGCAACCATTCCCATTCCACCTCCCTAGCAAGTTTTTGGCCTTTTTTTAATATCAAGTGCCATATTTGTGTATTTTTAACCATTTAAGATAGATAGATGTAACTGTGCTATTGTTTTTATTAAATTCCTATCTTTTAAAGAATGTGCCACTGATGAAGATTTTAAGTGTTATATCACTAACCCCATTTTCTTGTGAGCCCTGTGGTTGTTATTGCACAGTTTAGTATAGTGCAGTGACTGTTTAGGATCACATATGTTGTTGTGTTACAGTGGAATTGACTCTAGTTGATTAAAGTGGCGTAGAAGTGCTATTAAGTGTCATGTTGTTGAGACAATAAGCGTGATATCTACATCTGGCATTCTCTCTACTAAAAGAGTCCTAATGTGACTCCCCTGACCCAAATGTGTGGTCCACCTGGTTATTTAGCCAGAAAAAAAGAAAAGGCAGAGATTATGGCCAATTAACTATCATACATGATCTTGTTAGGGTTGTTTGCCAGGAAGTAACTTGAAAACTTGATCTAAACATAGGAAAAGTGAGTTCATTTTCTGCATATAGGTCACTTAGAGTAAAGGAAAGCAAAGGTGTCCCATTGATTCATATAAAGAAACGACTGCTTAATGTATCTAGTTTCTCTTGCATCTTTCATCAGGAATCTCTCTTCAGTAAACTTACTGCATGATGTCATAGCAGCTCATCAAAAGGGAATGGCTTCCTGCTTATGCCTTTAACCATTTCCAGGATATGGAGAAATCAGAAGAACTTGAGCAGAGCCTGTCAATTATTTAAAACCATCTAATGGCAAGCTTGAGAAGTAGAGACTTTACTGCTGCTTCTTAAAATTAAGGATTTTCACAACTATAGGGCTGAGTGACTCAACTGGTAGGACCTACCCTCCTATCCCTCTGTGCCTCAAAAAACTGTAGCTTCTTAAGAAGACATTTAAATTATTTAATCTAAACTGAAGAAAGAAAATAAGAATGTTGTTGATTTGTTTTGTTCCAGTAAGTCCAGATATTTATTGAAATTGTACATGTAGCAGGATATTTCGGTGGTAAAGAGAGCAGACACTGGCATCTGCCTGCCTGGGAGTGAATCTGGGCTATATCTTCGTGTTTCCCTAGGCAACCAACTTAACTTTCCTAATACCTCAATTTTCTTATCTTTAAAAACTGGACAATAAAACTATCTGCTCAGTAAATGCTAGATGCTAGTAGTAGCATATGAGGATCAAGAAGATGACAGCTGGATATTGCCTTCCCAATGCTGAAGTCATCTGGCCTTGGTGGCGTCACACAATTTGAAGAAATAGAGTTAATTCTTTTGAGTTTCTCTGGGCTGTATTTTGAGGGTCAATCTCTGAATATATGTAAAACATTAAGTATTTGCCCTATCTTTATGGCTCAATGTTACAAAGAACTGACTGATTTGAAGGTCAACCATGAAAACATGGTATTCTAGGAATTTTGGAGATTGGTATATCAATGTCATAACTATTCTGGAAGTTGCCCATGTGTTCAAATGCTTAACAGTATGGTGACTACCTGACTATGAAAGGAAAACCTCTTCAGTGACACTGGGAACCACAGTGAATTTAATGTAATTCCCAGGGTCTCTCATAGGGTCTTGTTTTCCAGGTTCTATCAAGGAATGATTCTCAGCTGATTTTCCTGATTTAAATCTAGCAAGGATTGAGTGTCTTCAGCTTCACAGATCTATATTCTAATTCTATTATAAAATATAGATTATTAATGAAAAGCCTCATATACAGTGAGCACTTATAACTGTTTATGTGTGTGTTTAGTTTTCTGTTGCTGTATAAAAAATGACTACAAACTTAGCATCTTAAAACAATAAATATTTGTTATCAGTTTTTGTGGATCAGGAGTCCAGGCACTGTTGAACTGGATCTTCTGCTCAGGACCTCCCAAGCCTGCAGTCAAGGTGTCAGACACACTGAGCTTCTTATTTGGAGTTTGGGGTCCTCTTCCAAGCTTCTCAGATGGTTCACAGAATACTGTTCCTTGAGGTTATAGGACTAAAGTCCCAGTTATCTTCTTTAAGCTCATAGAGGCTGCCTGCCGTTCCTTTCCTTGGAAACCCCACAGGCAGTTCACATATGGATGTTTGCCTTCTTCCAGTAGGAGCACATCAATCACTCTGACATCCAATCTCTCTCCAGTCCTATGATGGAGTCCTGTATAACTTAACATAATCATAAGAGTGACTATTCCACCACCATTTGCCATATAATGTTACCTAATCAAGGGAGCATCTATCCCATTCCATTCACAGGTTCTGCCCACACTGAAGGAGAGGGAATGATACAGGGCATGTATACCAGGAGGTCAGGAATGTTGAGAGCATCTTAGAATTCTGCCTACCACTGTATGTGATAAAATGAGAGATCAATCATGGGTAGAGATAAATGTGATGTTAGCTGAAACATGAGAACAGAAAAAAGTCCGGTGTAGCCTGTCGGCATGTTCTCTGATTTCTTCAAGTCTCAAGGAGACTCCAAGATCTCATTGATAAGGGGGATCAAAAGCATGCTCCAGCCTAAGAGATTAGTGGTACATGAAGAGTCTCCAAGTATTGTGTGAAAGCAAAGGCTGGTGTGAATATACTCTGGAATCCATATCAGAAGATGAAATGAGAAAATTAAACCATGTAATATAATTGTTTGGGAAAGGGGAACTGTCCTCAGGCAAAAGGAAAAAGGTGATACTTCCCTTGGTAGGATAAAGGAGCCAAGTGCTGTAGTGGGGTTGGCCACCCCTGTAGGCAGAAACCAGATGGTGACATCTATGCTTTGGGTAACATCTGACTGATGGCAGCATATGAATGTTGTAACCAATACCATTTACATTTCCATCAACACTCTGTTCTGAATCTTGGATAATTCTTCCACATTTATACACTTATGCATTATACATATGCAATGTTTGCATAGCATCATGCCAAGTCTTTTCATTTCTTCTCTCTGTTACTTGAGAGACTCTAGACCAGCACTGTCCAATAGAAATATAATGCAAGCCACATAAACAACATTTTTTTAAAGTAAGAACCAGTGAAGGCAGCTTTAATAATAGGTTTTACTTAACCCACTATTTCTAAAACACTGTCATTTCAATATGTAATCAATATAAACATTAATGACATATTCTTTACTTTTTTTTTTTTTTTTTTGAGGCTGAGTCTCGCTCTGTTGCCCAGGCTGGAGTACAGGGGCATGATCTCAGCTTATTGCAGCCTCTGCCTCCCAGGTTCAAGCAATTCTCCTGCCTCAGCCTCCCGAGTAGCTGGGATTATAGGCACCCACCATCACATCTGGCTAATTTTTGTATTTTTAGTAGAGACGGGGTCTCACCATGTTGGCCAGGCTGGTCTTGAACTCCTGGCCTCAAGTGATCCATCCTCCTCAGCCTCCCAAAGTGGTGGGATTACAGGCGTGAGCCACCATGCCCAGCCTATTCTTTACTTTTGTACAGTCTTCACAATCTATTGTGAACACTTTCATTTCTCCCTATGCTCTTTTTCAATAATCTTAACAACCCTAGTTTTTATTTAGCATTGACCTGTGTGATAGTAACTGCTAAATCTCTCTCCCTTTATCCTACCCCTTATCCTCTGCTGTAAATTCTGCTACTCAGAGCATCAGATTAAACATGGCTAAAACTGAGTTCCTTTTTCCTCTGACTTTTTCCCTAACTTCAAGATCTTGTATAACCCCAAAATGTCTTCAACCCTTCTTCGTTCCTCTGTTTCAATAGATCCTTTCACCTCTTCCTCATAGTCTAATACATGCTTCCCTTTTTTTTTTAATTCAACATCTAAACTGTTGATTCAGGAGCTTTCTGATTTATTAAGCCTTATCCCAAGCTTATTTCAAACACTGTTTTTCTACCTGTGCACTCTTGTCTTTATTAGTGAATGTTTACTAAAGACCACTTTGTGCTAGACAGAGGAAAATTTCAAATATATTTATATAAATATATATATACACACACACAATGCTCTATCAATAAAGCTGTTATTCTACACACACACACACACACACACACACAACCATCTATGTTCATTTTTTTAAATGCTTGAATATGTAACCCAACTGAAAAAATTAAAAAATTGTGATGCTTTAAAAAGGAAAAATATACATAATGGTCAGTATGACACAATCTATGATGGAGGCTATGTAGACAGATAATAAAGGCCATTAAAAACTCAGCTTACAAGGTGCACTTCAGGCCACCATGGTCAGGGAAGGCTGCTGCAAAATTTCCACAAGCTTCATCCCTCTTGGACTGATGAGTGTACGGAAGGAAAACGTCTTTTCACCGAGGTAAAGGATGGAAGTGAGAACACATGAAGAGGAAATGTACCTTTCTGGCTCTTTAAAAACAAGGATTAAAATCCAGATCCTTTATTCTGTGGAATGTTCTGGTGTCTCTTTTCCCTCCCCCACCCCCACCTGTCACCTCCTTCCTATCTCTTAGATTTGTTCGACACTTCTTAACCCTGGTTGAACATCAAAATCCCTGGGAAGTTTGTGAAAAAAATTCAGTGCCCCGGCGACAAAACAGGCCAGTTAAGTAACAGTCTCTGGAGCTGGGCCCCAGTCAAACACCTGGTGTTAAGACCTGCAGTCTTAATTCAGTTCTGCCACTCGGCTCTATATTTTGACCCATGTTTGGAATCATCTTCTACTCCACATCATACAGAGTCATGTCATTTTAGAGCTCTTATGATGTTGTCCAATTCTTTCATTTTACCAATGAGGAAACCAGTCTAAGGAGATGAAAATCACATAGCTATCTAGGGATACAGCTAAGACTAGAACCCTTCTCTTGGGTGGAATCTTAGTTCCATTATAAGCAATGTGACATTGAACAACTTAGTTTTTTGCTGAATTTAAATTTTCTTATGTGTAAAATGGAGATAATAGTACTTTCCTCCTGGGGTTGTTAAATGAGATAATTTTAAAAATATGCCTGGCACATAGTTGCTGGGTAAATGTACCACCTCAAGGACAAGTCAAAAAAACTAAGAAAATGATAATTTAGCTTAGGGAACACATGCCAAAGTTGAGAGCTGATCCCAATTAATGAGTAGAATATTGATGGAATTTTCAGTTTGTGGGTTGCTTAGCAACCAAAACTCACTCAATACCACTGACTACCCAAGTTGTTGTTTTTAATCAAAGCAATAAACTGTTCTTAAGGAGTTCAAGGTTGTGAACAGACAAAAGGATTCCCTTATGCATTTGGGGTTGTGCCAGGCATTTTGAAAAAGTGATGCCCCAGCTCCTCTGTGTTTTTGCACTTAAACATCTTGGACATTTGGAGCCCCCCAATTCTGTGCCCATAGATGACAGAAGATGTTACAATATCTGTTACATTGGATAGAGAGTGAGAAGGGAGAAGGCAGAGTGCTTGCACTTCTGTACCAATGTATTAAGCCAAACTTATTGAGTGCTAAGGCTCAGAAATACAAAAGCATTTGTCTTTGCCCCTGCTGCCCCTGAGAATTTCAGTCTAGGAGAGGAAACCAGTCAATATTGAATAATACAGCAAATTATTCATGAGCGGCTCTCTGTGTCTCCAGCAGTATTCTAAGAGTTACAGACTGAACAGTACAAGAACTTATAGGGTAAGTCTGAAATATCCATGGTTAGGATTTTTATTTTCTTGGCAAAGCAGCCCTGGAAGAATATCCCACTTGGGTTCCCCAAAACATTAATATTTGATTCACAGTCTTGAGAGCTGGCACTGAATGTTGGAGAGGGTCTAAAGAGGGGCGGACGGGAATTGGAGCTCCATGCCACCACCTGTTTTACCTGAAGCCAGAGACTCAACCAATCTGTGCCCTTCTTTTCTCATTTGTAAGCTGGACATGATGATTTAGATTCTGCCTCCCTCGTGGCAATGAGATAATAAATGCAGAAGTTCTGTTGCAATAAATGCAGTTTCTAGCTAATTTGCCAGCAGGTTTACTTTGCATTTCATTGAGCATCCTTGTATCTTCATTTACATTTCCTATTCCTTTATAACTCGTAATCTTAACAATTTAAAGAGAAAAAAACCCAGATGAGCTTGGAACAACTGTGTTTATTTGCACTTAAGTTTGTCTTCATCATTTGTAGCTCAGTGTGCTAACTTACTTTGCAGTGAAGATCAACTCTAGTGCTTAGGAAAGAAATCCATTGTGCCACTTTGGCATGTCAGCATTTATTTACGCAAAACATGACCTCAGGCTTACAGGCCTTTAAGGCAGACAGCTGGTTGATGAATCATGTTGGACATTCATATAGTGCTGCTGGCACATGTCAGAAGGACACTCCTGCTCATCACCTGCCCCTGTCAGTTCTTCCACTTCTAATAAAGCATATCTGTTTTGGTGACCAAATAAAAACACAAGTGAAGAAGGGCTGGGTGTGGAGTAATTTAATCAGGGCAAGTCAGCACGCTGCATTGAGCAGTACAGTATCAAGGATAAAAAGATGGTTTGGTAACAGCTGAATGAAACGAAGTAGATTAGTAAAGATGGAAGCACAGTTCCCCTTATAATCATAATGGGTCATGACCCTGGAATGCAGAAGCCCCAATATATCCTACAAATCAAGATTTTTAAGGAGACAGGATTCCCAGAAGTTCCCTTCTGAATTGCCACGAACGTTTTACATGGCCTTTCTCTATTAGCATCATTTTAACATTTCGCTGAGGATTATAAATTTTTAAGGAAGTTCAAACCAAAGTTCAGAGCTCCACTAGCAAATCTTTTTAAACTGGCTTTCGTGGGTGTGTTTGGTATCCTGAAGAATTGATTGATTTAAAATACCCTAGTTTTGAAACAGCAGGGAGACTGACATTTGCAGCCTGGTATTTTGCAGTTCTCACTACTCATTGTATTTGAACAATAATTTTTCTTTGTTGTAATACCCAGTAGAATAAAATTTTGTGCTTTGTTTAAAAGAGGAGAAATTGAACATGTTCAGGATGCTGGCCTGTCTTCAATTTCATCACCATCATCTCGTAGATTGATTGATGGGGAGAATAATTAGGGATATGCAGCATGTTTGAAATGTATTTGAAAACAAGCAAAAACAACAATATGACTATAAGTTGTAAGTCTAAGCTTTTTTTTTCTTTTTTTTTAAATGATTCACCTGGCAGTGTTCTTGAAGTCATTACTTACTGAGAAAAGAATCACTATCCAAGATGAAAAATCAGGAACTTCAACAACAGCTCCTTTATTTCCATTTCTACTTCTGTTGGTGATTACACTGTTCCATTTTTTACTCCAGCTAAGTCATTTTCACCTCTGTATTTTTTCTCCTATGGGGCAAGATCTGTGATATCTGATAGTTTATTAACAGGTGTGCTGGAAATAATCTATTTCAAAAATAAAACACTAAATATAGCACACAAGTTCAAGGCTTTTGAATGTTACCATGGTTTTAAAAAATCAATGTCATGAATGCTTTACACTGAAATCATTTATTGTTAGGAAACTGGGTGGCAAATGATACATATATCCTGTAGCTCTGTCATCATGGCTAATGCTCTCCTGACTCAGATTACATATTAGCATTTCCACCATATGGCTGAAAGGGTAGAGAATGTATGTGCAGAGGAACAGAGTTGGTAATATTTTTGACCATCTGATAAATAAATATGTAAGTAACAGGAATATTAATATTTATTTCATCATATGATGCAAGCTTTAACCTGAAATAACCACTAATACAACAAAGTAGTACATTTGTTTCTCAAATAATTTCAATCTAATTTATTAAATATTTCCATAGTCAATTAATGCTCTTAGAATGTGACTTCTAATTATGTTTCTTATGTTTATTGATATAGTAGGGTTCCTTATCATGCCAAATTTAAAAATCTTTCCTGAGAGGCCACACGATTGGACCCAGCATATGGGCATGAGCGCCAAAGTTCTGCTCTGCCAGTGACCACTGTGTGGCCTGGGATAAATTACCTGACCTCTCTAAGCCTCAAATTAATGTGTAAAGAGTGAATAATCTATTATCAGACAGTATCCCTCAAAGGGTGGGCCATGGAGGACCATGGATTAACACATCAGAATCACATGGGGAGCTTAAAATACAAACATCTGGGCCCCACCCGCAATGATTCTGGTTCATGTATCTGGAAGCAGTCCATGAATCTGCAAATATATATATGTATTAATACAGAGTCTTACTCTTTTCGCCTAGGCTGAAGTGCAGTGGTAAGATGATCTCGGCTCACTGAAGCCTGTCTCCCAAGTTCAAGTGATTCTTGTGCCTCAGCATCCTGAGTAGCTGGGATCCCAGGCGCACGCCACCACGCCTGGGTAATTTTTCTATTTTTAGTAGAGACAGGGTTTCGCCATGTTGGCCAGGCTGGTCTCGAACTTCTGGCCTCAAGTGATCCACCCACCTCAGCCTCCCAAAGGGCTGGGATTCCAGGCACACGCCACCTCGCCCGGCCCGCATTTTTAGTCACTGTCCCGAGTGATTGTGAGGTACACTGAATCACTCCCATAGAGACGAGATTAATATAGAGCACTTAGCTACCTTGAAAAATATGTAGCTAATTTTAATAAATATACTTTTTATACCATAGAAATTTAACACCCAACAGCATTTGTGCTTAAAATACTCTAACTTCATAGAAAATGGGAGGTCAGCTTGCTAAGTAATGCTGCTGATCATTAAATATACCCCACAATTCTCCTTTTTGTTTAATTAGATCCTTTATCTTTTTTTCTCTTGCATAGGAAATACCAAAATATTTGCAGACTGGATCCAAATCAGGAGCCCAGATGAACTTAAAGAAGCGAGCATGGGATTCTTAGTTTTTCAAGATCCGTACACACGAAGCCTTTAATCAGCATCAACTCCAGTGTCCGTTTTCTCTGGTTTTGTGAAGACTGCACAAAACTCTCATGATGGAGAACCAAAGGACTTAGTTACCTGTTTCAGTGTCATCTAAAGTCAACTGAAAAGTGAAGCAGGCAGTAATACAGCCATGGAAAGAAATTCAAGTTTATGGAAGAACCTAATAGATGAACACCCAGTCTGCACAACCTGGAAGCAAGAGGCCGAAGGAGCCATTTATCATCTTGCCAGTATTTTATTTGTAGTAGGTTTCATGGGTGGCAGTGGATTCTTCGGGCTCCTTTATGTCTTCAGTTTGCTGGGGTTGGGTTTTCTCTGTTCTGCTGTCTGGGCTTGGGTAGATGTCTGTGCAGCTGACATATTTTCCTGGAATTTTGTACTGTTTGTCATCTGCTTCATGCAATTTGTTCATATTGCATATCAAGTTCGCAGCATAACCTTTGCCCGAGAATTCCAAGTGTTGTACAGCTCCCTTTTCCAGCCCCTGGGGATCTCTTTGCCTGTCTTCAGAACGATTGCTTTGAGCTCTGAAGTGGTTACTTTGGAAAAGGAACACTGTTATGCCATGCAGGGGAAAACTTCCATTGATAAACTCTCCTTGCTTGTTTCAGGAAGGTTTGTACCTTTGGTGCTTGCATGTCTTTCCTCAAGTATTAGTTGTTTGTGTTTCTTTCCACTATATTTTTCCATCTCAGTATCACATAGTCCTGGGTGGCATTTAGCACCCTGAGGCTTGAGGAAGTCTTTGATACTTGAGTCACAGACATAGCCATTTAGAATATATGGCATTATTTACTTGAAGCAGAAAATAATCAAGAGCCTTAATATTTCATCTTAGAAATCAAATTACATAAAGTATGAATTTGTTTATGTGATATGATATTTGTTTCCTAATTACTGAAAGTCGAGAAGAGGATGATGTCAGCTTGAATTAATAGAATACTTATATTGGCGTGCAAAATATTTTAAAGACTCTTTGATAGGGCTTTCTTTTAAGTAACAGAAAACATTTAAATTTTATTATTATCTTTTTTTCTTCAGTAAATTCTAGCAATTGCCCATGAGAAGCAGGCTGGGGAGACACTTCAGGAACATATATAGAAATCTAAACTTTGAAAACAGGCCAGGTGCGGTGGCTAACACCTGTAATCCCAAAAACACCTGTAATCCCAGCACTTTTGGAGGCTGAGGCAGGATAATCACCTGAGGTCAGCAGTTCAAGACCAGCCTGGCCAACACTGTGAAACTCCCATCTGTACTGAAAAAATAGAAAAACAAAATTATCCAGGCATGGTGGCACATGCCAGTAGTCCCAGCTACTCGGGAGGCTGAGGCAGGAGAACTGCTTGAGCGTGGGAGGCGGAGGTTGCAGTGAGCTGAGATCGCGCCACTACACTTCAGCCTAAGCAACAGAACGAGACTCTATCTCAAAAATAAAATAAAATAAACTTTGAAAACAAAGTTTGGGAGAGGAAACAATAATGGGATTACTCATGGTTTTCAAAAAGTTAAAAATGTGGCTTACAGGCCAGGCGCGGTGGCTCACGCCTGTAATCCCAGCACTTTGGGAGGCCGAGGCTAGTGGGTCACTTGAGGTCAGGAGTTCGAGACCAGCCTGGCCAACATGTTGAAACCCTGTCTCTACTAAAAATACAAAAAACTTAGCTGGACATCGTAGTGCACGCTTGTAATCCCAGCTACTCAGGAGGCTGAGGCACAAGAATCGCTTGAACCTGGGAGGAGGAGGTTGCAGGGAGCCCAGATTGTGCCACTGCACTCCACGCTGGGCGACAGAGTGAGACTCTGTCAAAAAATAAATAAAAAATAAAAATTTGGTTTACAGAGGTATTTGCAGAACTCCTCTATGTTCTTAAATGTTTCCCTACTTAATTTAAAATCTGACAAAGTCCATTAAAATGTTTTATTGAAGTATAATATGCACACATAAATGGACATATATAAATGTACAACTTGATGAATTTTCTGATGAATTTCACTCAATATTCCAGAATCCTGACTGTATAAGGAACATGATAACATGAATCTTACAGGACATTATGTCACTTATTATAATGTATGAATTTAATATTTTGCCTTTCAAAATCATAAAGGGCAAGAGTCATCAGGGATCTGAAATACACTTCCTCTACCCCCCACCCCTCCCCAATTATGTGCTCTCTTTCTCCTTCCCTTATAAATGTTGTTCTTGTGTTTTGATAGGATCAGAGTGACAGTTGATGGCGAATTTCTGCATTACATTTTCCCCCTTCAGTTCCTGGATTCTCCTGAGTGGGATTCACTGAGACCCACAGAGGAAGGCATTTTTCAGGTAAGGGATACCAGAACACACAGTTAGCACTCCCTCTTTCAAACAGATGTTTGTTTAAAAATAAGTAAACAAATAAACAACAGTGGATAAGACAAGAATATTTTAAGACTTTGGAATGTACTTTGCAGCATACATGACTTTCCCAATTCTGCTGGACTCTTGATGATTAATGCCACTTTATAGGTCCAGCGATGAGAAGAACAGGTGCTACATATGACAGGAAGGAGGCTGTGATCAATACTTTAAGCTTTACTTTGCATAACTGCGTATTTAGGAATTAAAATATAATTGAGATTTGACTAAACACTGCTAATGCGACGTCTAGAAAACATCAAGAACAAAAAACTGCACTTACTAAAAAATAAATGATTTTTAAAATTTAAAATGCCAGTGGATTTCAGTTGTTTTACAGCAACAGAATGCTAAACTTACTGTCATTACTCTGCTGCCACGTCTGGCAGTTTTGAAAGATAATCATTTCAGCAGGTTTCATTTATTTTGTTACACAGTTTTCTAACAAATATATGTGTGTATGCAACAAACTCAAATATGTATGCAAATTAGGTATATAAATTCTGTTTTCTACTGCAGAAACTGCATTAGGGTTAAATGTCCACAGTCTTCAGAAGTGACTTGGAAATATTTCTGTAACATCAGCCAACTTTTTTTTTTTTTAAGATCAAGTAGTTCTCCCTTCAATAAAAGAAATGTAGATACTGGAACTTAGAAAAACAGACAGATTGAAGATGGCTAGAACATTGTGATTATTCATATTATAAATTACGTATGTAGTAACGAATTTTGTAGTTTCTATTTTTGCAATATATTGTAGGTCAGTGGGCTTTTTCAACCTAAAAAAAAGGCAGCACGTGAAATTAATTTAACAATTGGGGTACTAAAAATGTGGCAGAAGTTTTCTTGCTTCCACATCTGTTTATGTGTGGTCTTGTGTTTTTTAGGTAACCCTCACTGCAGAAACTGATTGTCGATATGTGTCTTGGAGGAGAAAGAAATTATATCTGCTCTTTGCTCAGCATCGCTACATCTCCCGCCTTTTTTCAGTGCTAATTGGCAGTGACATTGCAGATAAACTCTATGCCTTGAATGACAGGGTATATATAGGAAAAAGATATCACTATGATATTCGGCTACCCAACTTCTATCAAATGTCAACTCCAGAAATACGCAGATCACCCCTGACACAACATTTTCAGAATTCCAGACGATACTGTGATAAATGACATCAAAGTCTGAAATTTATAAGTATAAAAAAAGACTCTCTCTTCATCATTCCCCAGTGAAATAGCAAAATACAAAAAAAGAGCTCCCTAATGTTTTTATAAATCAAATTCAGAAGCGAGATGCCATTGCCAACTGTTTTATTCCTTTCAACAACTGCATTGTGAATAAACTTTACAAATTTTTCTTGTATTTCTCATTGTTATAATTGGGGAGGGGGTGGATAACTATGGGCAGTTTGCCCTTTTCTGCATCAAAACTGGGAGAATGAAATTCCACTTTCTCAATTCTTTTCTCACATTTACTCAAATGCATTGTCTTGCCCTATAGACTCAGGAGTTGCTTCTCAAGAAAGAGCCAGCAAGTATTCTCAGCCTGAGGGTGGGTTGCTACTGTCCACATAGGCATTTCCGGAATTCACTTTTTTGCTACAACCTCCAGTGAAAGCAATTATTTATTTTAAATGTGCAGTTACTTGATGCGACTAAAAAGTAGAATAAATGCAAGAGATAATAATATGTGAATCTTGAAGCCTATTTTATTGCTACAAATAAAATAACATTTAAAAAGAAGCATTTCCTGGAAAACAAAGCTGCCTGATCATTACTAAGTCAAAAGAGTACTCCTGAACCAATAGTAAAAATGTTGCACGGTGTTTCAGTTTCACGTGTTCAGCAGAAAGAGCTTTCAGTGGTGTGAATGGGCAGCGAGGGTTCACAGGGAATGCTCAGCCCACCGCACAAACACAAGGGTCTGCCTCACAGCGAGTGCTTCAGCTTTGTGAAGAGCTTAAGAAAGAACCCTAGTTGGAGATCTGATCCCTTCCTTTGGAAAACTGGTTTTCTGAAGATCACATGCAGACTATGTTCTTTGATACAGAGATACATTATCAAATATTTAACAAGTGTGTATTGAGCACCTTCTATGGCTGACATGGGCATGGGGATACATCAGGTAACAGATGGAGATCCCACCCCTCATAAAGCTTACATTCTGGGGATGCGGGAGACATAATAAAGTAAATCAGTAAATGTTTAGAAGGTGATAGTACCAAGGGGAGTGATAAATTAGAGAAGGTGGGTAAGAAAGGGCATTGCAATTTTAATAGGGTGGTCAAGGAAAGTATCCACAAAAAGGAATGTCTGAATGAAGACCTGAAAGAGGCAATGGAAGAATCCATGCAGATATCTGAGGGAAGAGCAATTTGGGCAAAGGGGACAGCAACTGAGCAGGCCCTTAGGCATGAACATGACTGGCCTGTTCCAGGAGCAGCTGGAAGGCTAGTTTGGCTGGCACAGAATGAACAGAAAGTAACCGTGGGCAGACTGGGTAAGGCCTAAATAAGTCATGGTAAGGACTTTGATTTTTTTCTAAGAGTGACCAGAAGCCATTGTAGGGTCTGAAGTAGAAGAGTGATATGATCTGCCCCATGGTTTAATAGGATCACTCTGGCTAGCCTGCTGAGAATAGACTAGGGGGAAGAGAGAAAAGAGTGGACTTGGAAAGTAAAATGAGGATTAAGAGTGAGATGCCTGCTAGACGCTGAAGTAGAGTAGACAGCTGGAGATATGAGCCTGGAGTTTCAAAGAAAAGTCTGCGCTGTAGAGACAGCTTTGGGAGTATTTAGCATATACATGGTATTTAAAGCCATGAGTCTCCATGAGATGGCCAAAAGAGTGAGTGTAGATTCAGAAGAAAAATGGTCTGAGGCTTACCTTGGAGCACTCCATTGTTAAGGGGACAAAGCGATGGGGGAAGAATCAGCAAAGGATCTGAGGAAGAGCAGCCAATGAGGTAGAAAGAAAATCAGGAGAGCCTGGGATCCTGGAAGCCAAGCAAAGAGAATTTCTGGGAGAAGGGAGTGATGAACTGTCTCAGATGTGGCTGAGAGGCCTGAGAATGAACCATCGGGTTAAGCAACATGGAAGTCACTGGGGAACTTAACAAGAGCAGTTTTGGTGGAGTGAGCAGGAACAAAAACTCGACTGAAGCAGGTTGAAGGAGAATGAGAGGCAAGAAGTTGGAACAGTAAGGGTAGGTAAGTTTTTCAAGGAGTTTTGATGTGAACTGAAATAGAAATGATCAGTAGCCTGGGCAGAAAGTGGGGTCAAGAGAGGGGGTTGTTATTGATTTTCAGATAAGATGGTGCATTTGCATGCAGATGGAAATAATCCATAAGTGAGGAGTGAACTGCGGGAGTGATGACCTTGAGCAGGTGATGGGATCCAGTGGCCTTAAAGAGAAATATGGACAATTCTTCATGAATGAAAAGAGAAGAGTATCTGTGAGAGTAGTTGCTGGCAAGTGGGAGATGTGGTGAGAGATTGTGAAAGTTCTCCAGTGATTTTCATTTTCTCGGTGACCTAGGAAGCAAAGTCAGCAAGGAGAACGGGAGAGGAAGTACTGGGGTTATGTAAAGGACGTTGCTTTTCCTGTATGTTAGCATCTACCATAAGTGGGACAATGTGACAAGATGTAAATCATTAGTCTGGATGAACTACTGAGCTATTCAAGTTTAGCATGAACTAAAGGAATCACTGGAATGGTTTCTTCTATTTCTTGGCCACACATTGCCATCATGGGCAGCTCTTCCAAGCAGACACGAAGGCAGCTGTCTGCCAGATGCAATCAAAGGCCTTCAGGAAGCACCCACTGGCTTGTCAGTGGGCTTTACAATGGCTCTGGGAGAAATTCATTTCTTGAATCTTTAAGACTTTGAGATATTTATAAAGTATTAAAATGCAGAGCATCCCAGGTAGAAGTCACATCTTAAGTTAGTACTACCAGGTAATAATTTTACAGGGATTAATTATCAGATAGCTTTCTAACCATTAAAGTCAGCAGAGAACAAAGCCACATAGAAATGGGATGTAGACTTTTGGCTCAACTCAGTGGCAGAGGGGACAAGATTTTATATGTAAGTTTCCCAGAAATCTATTTTTACTATAAGGAGAAAGGGGTACAAACATAATGGGATAAAGGGATACTGAAAGAGGAGGTAAAGGGATGCTTTGAAACTTCACAGTCTTCACTTCTGTATAGGGCTGGCACTGTTCCTTGGTGTTAACAGATATGCTATTATCCAATACCTAGGTTTGCACTCAGGTTTTCTCACTTTATTAAAAAAAAAAATCAAAAACCTACAGTGACTTTTAGGTAGCTGTATTGTATGTCTGGTTTGAAATGTCTAGCAAACCACATACTATCTCAAAATAATCAAACCAGATGGAAAGCAGAAATGACACATATCCTAGAAAAATACCTCTGACCTCTGTATCATAGTGCCCCTAAAATTTAATTTTTATTAAAAATTGGGCTCATTTTAGTCTTAGCCTAATTATTTCCATCCTTTGGTTCTCTTGTCATTGATAAGAGTGCACTAAGATGAGCAACAGCTTGTGTTCTTGTGCTAAAAATGCTTTATGGCTTTGTATACAAGATCTGGATATTCATAAATAAATGGACTCTTTGTTCAAAGAGTCTTAAGAATTTCAAGATGGAGATGGCAGAGCATTATGCCAAGTGCGGGGCTCTTGTAAGCCTGGAGCCCTTTGTGACTGCACAGGTCGCATGCCCAGGAAGCTGGCCCTAGCTGAGTTGTTCCTAGACTTTAAGAAATTGGGGTGACTGCCTTGTGATTTTCTGTCCTAATTTTCATGGTCAGGAGGGACTCTGAGAAGTAGTGAGTCCGGGAAAAGAGAGTGGCTTTGGCACAAAATGAGGCCGTAAACACCCCACACCCCAGTCGCCAAAGCAAGTCCCTGGAGGCTGCAGGCTTCTCTCTTGCATGGCCTTTCCTTTACCTGCATATCTGGAGGCTTCCCATCCCCATGGGGCTATTCCTCTGAACTTGATTTGACCCCTGTGCAAATATGAGAAAGGATCAGTGGGATTTGCCTTGGACTCTGCAGCCCCTAGGAACTCATGGTCTTGAGATTAGTCTACTGTAAAGAATAGTATGATGCTCTCTGAGCACTTACAGCTTGAAGAATTTTTCTCTCCTCTTCAACAGGGGAGCAGAAGGAAATTCATTTGCTCTCCGCTCATCTGGATAAGCTCTGGATGCCACATTGTTACACTGCTCAGACCCAGAAAGGCAGAATTAACAGGGCAGTTACAAAGTGAAATTTCCTCAGCTGACAAGAGCCATAAGAAAAACAAACTAGGCAGACAGTACATATTATTGTAAAAGCAATACGTTTACAATTTTATGTATGTGAGATGCTTGGTTTGACAAAAGCCATAAATATACATGCAGCATTGGATGGCACTTTCTAATCGGGTTCCATGTTCTTCCTATACTGCACATTGTTAGAGAAATTAAACTTCAGAAATGATGTGCCAATTTAGTATTACTTGTTAGTAAAAGACAGTTTTTATACAAGTTAAAGAGATCAATGGGTCCAATTAATTCCACTGTTTTTCTTCATTCTACTAAAATTTAACGCATACATATCAATCAAAAATACAAATAAGCATTAGTATGATATAGACCTATTATAATAAAATGCAGGTTTAATTTGATAGAACTGTGTATTATTTCAAGACCGGAACTCTCACAGCTGTGAAAAGATGCAGCAAGACTGAAACACTGGTTACTTTAACTCTTAGTCATCTCATCGTAAGTATTACCATGACTGTAATGCTGAATTGTACATTTGCATATAATATCAGCATGATTTGAACATAACTTCAAGTTTTATTGCTATGCTAAATTTGACTAGTTTTAAAACCTACTAGCTATTAAAGATTGGCAGGGAACTTTAAAACACTTTTCTCCCTAAGAACTGATAATTTGTGTCTTGAACTGTAATTGTCCCCTTTTTTCTTTTATTCCAATTCAAGCTTTAGTGATCTTAATAAGAGTAATTTTATTTTATTTATAAGATTCTAAAATATTTGTTTTTACATAATTTCATAGAATTTTAGCTCCACTTGATATAATATCAAGTGTCTCAGGCCATCAGAATTGAGATTACTACTCTTATTAAATGTAAATTTACCTCACAAATTATATAATTACAAAACAATGTCTTACATTTATTTAACACTTCATAGTTTATGAAGCACATGCCTACATGTGATTTCATTTGCTTGTTCCTTGGAAGGATCCCATTTTATGGATAAAAATCAGAAAGACTGAATCACAGTTAGTAAACAGTGGTGACACTCAGCTTAAGCCTAATTCTTCTAAATCAGTGTCCTTGCATTTTTCATGCTGCACTGACCATGTTCTTGACTGTGTTCCTGACTTGGAGAGTACTAAAATGTCCCCAGTCTGACTTGAAGGAAAATTCAATGCCAAAATGCTAGTTACACATCTTCCAAATCTGTTAGTGACAGCATGAGGAAAAATTATTCAAACATGAACCTTTCTTCTTTTGAATCATCAGCAGTAGCTTGAGCTCAAATGTGGTTTACAAGTAAAATGTGTCATTAAGTGTAACTCTATTTTAAATGGCTATAAGTTTACATAATGAAAGAACAAGGCCAAGTTTCTTTGATGCAGTTTAAATCAGTTTTTAAAGTTTTGGTTCTGTCCAATTTCATTCAGATATTATCACAGCTCAATTGAGGTCTCTCTCTAGGTATCCTAGAGAGAAGCCTTCATTATCTCAGCCCATCATGTTTTATGTGCCATCCACTCCTTCTTATAAGAAAATTAATTCAGTGCCCCTTGTAGTGCTACTTCTCTTTCTTCTCTCAGGTAGAATAAAACTTTATGTACAATGAAACGTTGTAAAAGCTGAAGTTTTTTCAAATAGCACCAGGTAAGGGTTCCAAGATGTGGAAGAAATTTTTGGTGTAATACAAGTGGGGTTTCTGAAGAACAGGATATTACTGCAGAATATAAGTTGGTTCCTTTGAGATAAAAGTTTAACCAATGCACAAGCACAATGTCCATCTTATGAGAAAAGGAATTCTACTCTGAAACTCTTCCACTAGTCTATATCTTCTTCACTGTTAGAGAACAATGCCTGGCACATGGTAGCTGCTTTGTAAATATTCATTGCATAGAAGGAAATTAATTGCATCTTTATTTTTGAGACAGAGTCTCACTCTGTCACCCAGGCTAGAGTACAGTGGTGCCATCTTGGCTCACTACAACCTCTGCCTCCTAGGCTCAAGCAATCTTCCCACCTCAGCCTCCCCAGGTGCTGGGATTACAGGCGTGAGCTGCCATGCCCAGCCAATTGCATCTATTTTTGTATTTGAATTTTAACATTGAATTCCCTTCTCAAGTTGATTTCAATTATGCAGTGCCACTAGTAGTTTCTCATGAAATAAAATGTAAGAACTATAATAATAGCATTTTTTTATGATATAGAATTATTATTTCCTTAAATGACTTTCAAAGTCACATTTTTTCTTGCTGATACTGTTGAAGTGAGTCTGAACAGCACTTGTTCAGGATGCACAGTTATTAGTCTTTAGGTTCCAAGATCATTTATTGAATTGAAAATCTACAAAATGATTTTTGCTTAGAGATTCTTTGTTGGGAATGTTAAAAGGTAAACTTAGGCAAAACAAAATTTTGAAGAGTTTATTTGGGCAGACAGCAATTCATGAATCAGGCAGCACTAGGCTACAAGTGGTTCAGAGCTTCACTGTAGGGGGACAGGCAAGAGAGAAACTTATAAGGTCCAGAAGCAAGACAAAGAAAATATACTTCAGTGGTTAGTGTGGAAAGTCCCTAGTTAGAGGCTGGTTGGCAATTTCTGATTGGTTAAGCTTAAGTTTTGTTTTACTGTTTACACTGGGCTTTGGTTTTTTTACATAGGAGCCCAAGGCACTGGAGCCACCTCAGCCTAATGGCCTCCCAATTAAATTTTCTTTTTTAACAGAAACATGTAATGGATTATCATGTCCCTCATAAGTGCAGTCAGCCCCCTGTATGTGAGGGTTCCACAGCCACAGATTCAACCAACCTTGGATCCAAAATAAAATGTAAGGCCTGTAATAATAGCATTTTTTTTCCTGCATGATGTAGAATTACTATTTCTTGGAAATAATAATTTGGAAAAAATTTAAAATAACAATACAACACTACAAATAATACAAATAAAAACAATATGGTATAACTATTTACATAGAATTTCCATTGTATTAGGTATTATAAGTAATCTAGAGATGGTTTAAAGTATATGGAAGGATGTTTGTATGCTATATGCAAATACTAGGCCATTTTATATCAAGGACTTGAGCATCCTCAGATTTTGGTATCTGAGGGGGTCCTAGAACCAATCCCCCACAATACCCAAGGATGACTATAATTCCATTTTAAATGATAAATTAAATAATATGGCTCTCACACCCTTTTCCCAGGGATGGCAGAAAACAAACATTTGATCCTGCCATTTAAGAGACATTTCTACAACCCACAGAATGGAAGAAAATATTTGCAAACTATTCATCTGACAAGGGATTAATAACCAGAATATATAAGGAACTTAAGCAACTCAATAGGAAAAAAATCAATCCAATTTAAAAACGAGCAAAAGATCTGAATAGACATTTCTCAAAAGAAGACATGCAAATAAATGGCTGGCAGGTATATGAAAAAATAGTCAACACCACTAATCATCAGAAAAATGCAGCTCAAAACTACAATGAGGTATCATCTCACCCCAGTTAAAATGGCCTTTACAAAAAAGGCAGGGAATAACAGATGCTGGTGAGGATGTGGAGAAAGGTTGGTGGGAATGCAAATTAGTACAGCCACTATGGAGAACAGTATGGTAGTTCCACAAAAAATTAAAAATAGAAGTAACATATGATCCAGCAATCCCACTGCTGGGTATACGTCCAGAAGAAAGGAAATCAGTATATCGAAGAGAATCTGCTCTCCCATGTTTACTGCAGCACTATTCACAATAGCGAAGATATGGAATCAACATAAGTGTCCATCAACAGATGAATGGATAAAGAAAATGTGGTATATAGACAAAATTTTCAGCCACAGAAAATAATGAAATACTGTCATTTGCAACGACATGGATGAAACTGGAGGACAATATTTTAAGTGAAATAAGCCAGGTACAGAGAGACAAATATTGCATGTTCTCACTCATTTGTGGGAGCTGAAAAAAAAACTGAATTCATGGAAATATAAAGTAGAATGATGGATACTAGATACTGAGAAGGGTAGTCGGTAAAGGGGATATGAAGTGGAATCATTAATGGATACAAAAATACAATTAGATAGAATGAATAAGATCTAGTATTCAGTAGCACAATAAATAGGGTGACTATAGTTAACAATAAATTATTGCATATTTTTAATAACCAAAAGAGTGGAATTATAATGTTCCCAATACAAAAAAATGATAAATGCTTGAGGTGACAGGTACTCCAATTACCCTGACTTGATCATTACACATTGTATGCCTGTATCAAAACGTCACATGTACCCCATAAATATATACAACTATTATGTACCCATAACAATTTTTAAATGTTTTAAAAAGATGTTTCTTTCCATTTTAGGCAGTTATTATATTTTATTTTTTAAATTGTATTTATTTTTGCAATGAGGTCTCACTCCATCACCCAGGCTGGAGTGCAGTGGCACGACCCGGCTCACTGCAGCCTAGAACTCCCAGGCTCAAGAGACCCTCCCACCTCAGCCTCCCCAGTAGCTGCAACTACCATGGTATGCGCCACTACACCCAGCTAATATTTTTTTAAGAGATGGGGGTCTCGCTATGTTGCCCAGGGTGATCTTGAACTCCTAATTCCTCCCTGGATCGAATGCAATGTTGCTTGGGTAGTTGGTCTCTGGGTATCTGGGCTGATGGCACCTAGAGTGTGGTTGGCTCTGCTGCTGCCTCTGACTTGGAGGCCTCTGCATTCTTCCCCTATTGCTACGGTCTGACCCCAAGCATTTCCCACCTATCAGACCACTCAGTGTTTCTGAATGAATGAATGAATTCTGAATGAATCTCATGGTTAAACCTTC
Source organism: Homo sapiens (assembly GCF_000001405.40). Classification (NCBI taxonomy): domain Eukaryota; kingdom Metazoa; phylum Chordata; class Mammalia; order Primates; family Hominidae; genus Homo; species Homo sapiens. The sequence continues at coordinate 105,149,512 of NC_000006.12, read as the reverse complement.
CCTCTGCTCCACCAGCTCTTTCCACTCCTTCCAAACGTATCTTTTTCAAGTTGTTCCTGTTCCATCATTAATCAGCTAGACAGGACAGGGGAGGAGAGGACGCTGGTGATGGGGAGTATGAGGGTGGGCTGTGGGGTGGGGTGTCACTGTCATGGTGAGACGTCACCATAATTCTAATAAAGTAATATGACCTGGTAGAATATTAAGTGTCACTTTGTTATTTATTCTATTAGAAAAATAATGTATTATAAACAAGTTAGAATAGAAAAAAGAAAAGACAATCATTCCACTATCCTAACCCAATTTCTATTAACATATTGGTATACATTTCTTCTACTGTTTTCCCCATTCATAATAATTTAAGTTGTAAAACATGATTTTTAAAAAGATTTACTGTTTGTTCTATTGGAGAATTTACCGAGTTCCAAATATATGTAAATCATGTGCTAAGCACCACGGAGATACGAAAGATAAATCAGATACACTTCTTATCCTCCAGAAACTTTTGACCTGGAGGGAGAAAAAGTCTTTTACATAAATATGTAAAAGGTAGCAAGTAATAAAGGCCATAACAGAGATAGAGAAAAATGGCTCTAGGGAATCACACATCTGTAGCGTCACCTTAAAACAGCTGGGAATCACATGCCAGCATGTTAAGTCATCAATAATGTAAGTACTGAATGCCAAGTCATTAATAGCAATATTTTATTTTTCCCATTCAACATCAATTTTCTAGGTATTACAAGTTTTATTTATTTATTAAACCAAGTCATTTGAAACCTTCAAAACGTGAAAAATTTCCTGATTCACACTGTAATACTCTATTGCTTTTAGATGCCATTTTCTGAGCTTATAATATATTCATACACTTCTACTCAGATGACTTAGTGTGGCTGAAAGATATTAAGAAATTCTGTGTTGTGGCATGCAGTAAAACTGCATAATAGTTCTGTATATCTCGTATAAACCCAAATCATCTTCTGTCAGAAACTGCTCTGTCCAAAGTACTTCTATTCTTCCCATACTCTAAAAAGAGATTCAATGGCTCTAAAATCTCTTTTTCAAAGCATGATCTTTTTGTTCTTTCAGGGGAATGTGTGAGGGTGCCCTATAGTTTTCAAACTAAATAGCATTTGCAATCACTTTGTGTGGTTCTAAATTATATCAAATATGTTTGATCTTGGATTAGAGAAATGTTTCATCATGTTTACCAATTTTTTATGCAAAATGCTAAAACTGCTGGATGTGGCTCATAAATATTTTATTAGGTTTTATATATGTATTAAACTAGAGAGGTGTCTTATTTTCATGAATTTATTACAACAATTTAAGTAGTACTAATAATACAAATTTGCATTTAAATAATTCTTTTCTCCTGGGAACTGAGTGCTTTTGCACATCAATTAACGCCGGATGGCAGCGTCATTATTCCCAACTTTTATTTTATTATTCCATCTTTATGATGTGCTGCTTTGGGTTTTTGTTTCTAGCCTTATGTCAAATTACTTGGCTGGCTATTATCAGGCCTCCTATTTGCCTCCCAAACCAGCCTTTTTGGAGGAGTAATTGTATAAAATGATACAGAACTCTATGTCACATAGTAGAAACTCTATGATAATTGAAAGTTCTGCTTTCACCAGATAAAGATTAGAAGTCCTTACATGGCTTCACTTTTTTTTTTTTTTTTTTTTTGAGACAGAGTCTCGCTTTGTCACCCAGGGTGGAGTGCAGTGGTAAGATCTCAGCTCACTGCAACCTCTGCCTCCTGGGTTCAGCAATTCTTCTGCCTCAGCCTCCTGAGTAGCTGGGATATAGGCGTCTGCCACCACACCTGGCTAATTTTTGTATTTTTAGTAGAGACTGGCTTTCACCATGTTGGCCAGGCTGGTCTTGAACTCCTGACCTCAGGTGATCCACCCGCCTTGGCCTCCCAAAGTGCTGGGATTACAGGTGTGAGCCACTGTACCCAGCCTATAGCTTCACTTTCAGTCAATCAAAATCTTATCTATACCACTAAATTACATACTATTAAAAATTGCCAAAAGTTATTTTTCTACCTTTAACAAGTTTTCCTTTCTAACCACTAAATACCTCATATAAAGAAGTTGTTTACACACTAAATAAAACAGTACCTTTAAAAGTGTTGTCCTCAGAGACTAAATGGTTGTCAGCATTTCTCTTCTCTGAAAGTGGACATGCTTGAGATTTATAGATGGGCTTTATAGGTCTGCAAATTCCTAGAAGTTCCCAACAGGGAAAGAACAAAAGACAAGAGAGGTTGTCACTATAGATGGCGCCAGACATTTGAATCTGCCCTTCTTGGGGTATCTACCTAGGCCCCTGATCCAGTTTTGTTTTGAAGATCCTATCTGGCCCAGAGATTGAATCCTTCTGGTTACAGGTTGAAGCTTCTTAGAGAATTGAGTGGAATTCAGGGTCACTTCTCTGATCCTCTTTTCATACTTACCTTTTTTATTTAAAACACGATTTTGTTATGCCTGCTTACTTACAATAATTTCCTTCTCTTTGAAACAATTTCCAAAAGGATTAGGAAACCCTATGAAATGCTTCATCTGTGGCCTTTGTTTGTTATAATTAATATTTAAAACAAATATTAACAAATGTAATTCTTCTCTTTCAGAAGAAAAGCTATGTGAAAAAGAATAGACAGAGGGAAGATCAGGCCTCTGGTTTCTGACAATATAGTTACTGTATGCACATTTCTGCCAACCCCAAGATGGTGAATTACTGTAACTTAGCTCTGCCAACTGCCCAGTTTATACAATCTAGACTGTTGCATATTTCATGAGTTTGCTTTTGAAGCCAGTATCTTTTTTTTTTGAGATGGAGTCTCGCTCTGTTGCCCAGGCTGAAGTGCAGTGGCACGATCTCAGCTCACTGCAAGCTCCGCCTCCTGAGTTCACACCATTTTCCTGCCTCAGCCTCCCGAGCAGCTGGGACTACAGGTGCCCGCCACCACGCCCAGATAATTTTTTTTATTTTTAGTAGAGACAGGGTTTCACAGTGTTAGCCAGGATGGTCTCGTTCTCCTGACCTTGTGATCTGCTAGCTATTCCAGGGAAATCCCAAACTACTGGAAATTTTAGCATGCATCAAATTCTTATAATGTATAAGCAAGTTTCATTTAAAATACCTTGTGTATTCTGTATTCCATCTATTTAAAACTGGCAAATATATAGAAAAATGAAACTACATTTTAGCTACTTCATGTGTTCATAGGATAGTTCAACTATTTCTTCAGACTAGGGAATTTTGGTGATTCAAATTCATTTCCATTAAACAATTGAACTAGAATTCAAATAATTTTTATGAATTGTGAACCATGTGCAGGGCACTATTAGGGGCATACAAGAGATATGCAATTATGCTACCAAGAACTAGATGCTAGGCATTTTAAAAAACATAATCTCTAAAAGTCAAAATCATCTTGGTAACTATGAGTTATTTTCCCAGTTTTATAGACAAGTAAATTGAGGCTCAGAAGAGATAATTATCTGAATACACATACAGCCTATTAAATGTAAAACCATTGTTCAAATCCAGCTGCTAATTCCAAAGCTACCACTCTTTGAACTGCCTTCATAATTCACTATCTTCTTAAAGTTCGGGGTCACTTTTTAAAATTTTGGTGTTGTGTGTGTGGGTTTTTGTTTTTGTTTTTTTTTTTAGACCGAGTCTCGCTCTGCCGCCAGGCTGGAATACAGTGGCGCAATCTCAGCTCACTGCAACCTCTGTCTCCCAGGTTCAAGCAATTCTCCTGCCTCAGCCTCCCGAGTAGCTGGGACTACAGGCATAAGCCATCATGCCCAACTAATTTTGTATTTTTAGTAGAGACAGGGTTTCACCATGTTGGCCAGGATGGTCTCAATCTCTTGACCTCGTGATCCACCCGCCTCGGCCTCCCAAAGTGCTGGGATTACAGATGTGAGCCACCGTGCCCAGCCGTGTGTGTGTTTTTTAAATTTTGTTTTGTTTGTTTGCTTGCTTTTTGAGACAGGGTCTTGCTCTGTCACCCTTGCTGGAGTGCAGTTATGTGATCACAGCTCACTACAGCCTCTACGTCCCAGGCTCAAGGGATCCTCCTGCCTCAGCTTCTGGAGTAGCTGAGACTACAGGCGCCAAGTCGCCATGATGGCCCATTTGTAGAGATAGGGTTTTGCCATGTTACCCAAGCTGGTCTCAAACTTTTGGGCTCAAGCAAACGGCCTGCCTCAGCCTCCTAAAGTGCTGGGGTCACAGGCATGAGCTACCACGCCCAGCCTGTGTGTCATTTCTTTTAGGAGCTGTGAAGCCTTTTGGTGAAAGTTTATTGTCCAATGATTAAACTGTTACATGACTTTAGGGAGCTTCTCCCTGAATTTAACATTAACAGTATCTGGACACTGCATTTTTTAGACGGCGGGACTTGCAAAACAATAATACAAAAGTTTAGGCCCTTTGCTTTGAGATGTTGTTTCCAGTTTTCCATCTAGCAAAAATATAGACCTGTTGAGTGCATAACCTGTTTGGTTATTTTGAACAAATTAAGTAATTGAATCAATTTATAAAGTAAAAAACACACCTATTAGAATGGCTAGAACTCCCCACCCCACCCTACAAAAAAATGATAGTATTAAATGTTAGTACAGATGTGAAGCAACAGGAACTGTCATTCATTGCTAGTGAGATTGCAAAATGGTGCAGCCACTTTGGAAGACAGTTTGGAAGTTTTCTTACAAACCTAAACATAGTCTTACCATATGATCCTAGGTATTTACCCAAATGAGTTGAAAATATGTGTACACAAAAAACTCCACACCAATGTTTATATATGTTTAGACATAATTTGCCAAAACTGGAAGAAACCAAGATGTCCTTAAAATGGTAAATGGATAAATGAACCGTGGTACATCCAGTAATAAAAAGATATGGGCTATTAAGACTCAAAAAGACATGAAGGTTACAATTGATACCACAGAAATAGAAAAGATCATAAGACACTACTATGAACAATTATATGGCCACAATTGGGTAACCTAAAAGAAATAAATAAACAACTAGAAACAGACAACCTACCAAAACTAAATCATAAGTAATAGAAAATCTGAACAGACCAACAATGGTGAGGAGAATGAATAGTAATAAAAAGACTCAACGAGAAAAGTAAAGGACCAAATGGCTTCACTAGTGAGTTCTACCAAATATTTAAAGCTTCAATCTTTAACTTTTAATTTAACGTCAGTCTTTCTCAAACTCTTCCAGAAAGCCGAAGAGGAGAGAACACTTCCAAACACGTTTTATGGGCCCAGAATTACCCTCATACCAAAGCCAGATAAGGACACCACAAGAAAAGAAAATTACAGGCCAATATCCTCAATGAACATAGATGCAAAAATCCTCGACAAAATACTAGCAAACTAAATTCAACAACACATTAAAGATTTCACACACCATGATCAAGGGGGATTTATCCCTGGGATGCAAGGATAGTTCAACATATACAAATAAATAAATATGATACACCACACTGACAGAGTGAAATACAAACACCATATGATGATCATCTCAGTATCTGTGGAAAAACGTTTGACAAAATTCAACATCCTTTCATGATAAAAACTCTCAAAAGGAATGTTCCGCAACACAATAAAGGCCATATATCACAAGCCCACAGCTAACATCATACTCAATGGTGAAGGCTGAAAGCTGACTGGGCATGGTGGCTCACACCTGTAATTCCAACACTTTGGGAAGCTGATGTGGGAAGATCACTTGAGGCCAGGAGTTTGAGACCAGCCTGGCCAACACAGTGAGCAGTGAGATCTGTCTCTAAAAAAATATGACAATTAGCGGGCTGTGGCAGCACACAGCTATAGTTGCAGTTACTCAGGAGGCTGAGAGAAGAGGATTACTTGAACCCAGAGTTCAAGGCCACAGTGAGCTATGATCATGCCACTGCATACTAGACTGGGCAATACAGCAAGACCTCGTCTCGAAAAAACAAAGAAAAAGAAAAAGGAAAAGCTGAAGTCAGGAACAAGACGAGAGTGTCTTGTCTTCTATTTAAGACAGTACTGAAAGTCTTCGCTGGGGCAGAAAAAGAAACAAAAGCCTTCCAAATCAGATAGGAAGAAGTAAAATTGTATATTTGCAGAAGACATGATCTTATATATAAAAACCCTGTATACTCCACCAAAAATTATTAGAACTAATAAGCACATTCAGTAAAATTAAAGGATATAATATCAACATGTGAAAACCAGTTGTATTTCTGTATATGAATAACAACCTACCTGAAATGAAGTAGCAATCTCATTGACAACAGCATCAAAACAATAAAATATTTAGCAATTCATTTAACCAAGAACATGAAAGACCTATACACTAAAAGTATAAAACATTGATGAAATAAATTGAGGAAGACACAAATAAATGAAAATATGTCCTACGTTCGTGGTTCGGAAGGATTAATATTGTTAAAATGTCTATACTACCAAGAGTAATCTATAAACTCAATGCATTTTCTATCAAAATTCCAATGGCATTTTTCACAAAAATAGAAAAAAAATCCTAAAATTCGCATGGAACTACAAAAGGCCCCAAATAGGCCAGGCGCTGTGGCTCACGCCTGTAATCCCTTCCAGCACTTTGGGAGGCCGAGGTGGGTGGATCACTTGCGGTCAGGAGTTCGAGACCAGCCTGGCCAACGTGGAGAAACCGCGTCTCTACTAAAAATACAAAACCTAGCCAGGCATGGTGGTGGGCACCTGTAATACCAGCTACTTGGGAGGCTAGGGCAGGAGAATCACTTCAACCCTGGAGGCAGAGTTTGCAGTGAGCGGAGACTGTGCCACTGCACTCCAGCCTAGCCAACACAGTGAGACTCCATCTCAAAAGAAACAAACAAACAAACAAACAAACAAAAACCCCAAATAGCCAAAGCAATCTTGAGAAAGAAGAACAAAGCTAGGGGCATCACATTTCCTGATTTCAAGCTGTATTACAAACCTGCAGTAATCAGAACAATGGTACCAGCATAAAATCACACGTCTAGACCAATGAAACAGAATAGCCCAGAAATGAGTCCATGTGTTTATGATCAAGTAATTTTTGATGACAGCACCAAAAATATACAATGGGGGAAAGATAGTATCTTTAATAAATTGTTTTGGGAAGACTGATTATTGGACCCTTATCTTATACCATTCACAAAAATTAACTCTGAATGGATTAAAGACTTAAATGAAACCATAAAACCACTAGAAGAAAATGTAAGAAAAAGTATTCTTGACATTGGTCTTGGCCATGACTTTTTGGATATGATACCAAAAGCAAAAACAAACAAGTGGGATTCCATCAAACTTAAAGGCTTCTGCACAGCAAAGGAAACAATCAACAAAATGAAAAGGCAACTTATGGAATGGGAGAAAATATTTGAAAACCATATCTCTGATAAGGGGTTAATATCCAAAATATGTAAGAAACTCATATAACTCAACAGCAATAAATAAATAAATAATAGGTAAAGGACCTCAATAGACATTTTTCCAAAGACATACAAATGGCTAACAGACACACGAAAAGGTGTTCACCATTACTATCATCAAGGAAATGCAAATCAAAACTACAATGAGATAATCACCTCACACCTGTTAGAATGGCTACTATCAAAAAGACAAGAGGTAACAAGTATTGGCCAGAATATGAAGAAAAAGGAGCCCCTGTGCATTGTTGGTGGGAGTGTACACTGGTATAGCCATTACGGAAAACAGTATGGAGGTTCCCTGAAAAATTAAAAATATAATTACCATATGATCCAGCAAGCCCAATTCTAGGTATATATTGAAGGAAATAAAATCAGTATCTCAAAGAGATGTCTGCACTCCCATGTTCATTGCAGCAATATTAACAACAGCTAAGACAGGGAAACAATGTAAGTGTCCACTGAGGAAGGAATGGATAAAGAAAATATGGCATATGTACACAGTGAAATATTATCCAGCCATAAAAGAAGGAAATTCTTTCATTTGTAACATGAATAAAAATGCAGGGCTTACACTAAGTGAAATAAGTCAGAAAGAGATAGACAAATGTTGTATGACCTCACTTATGCATGGAATCTAAAAAAGTTGAACTCACAGAAACAGAGAATACAGTTACCCGGGGCTGAAGGGTGGGAAAACCGGGGAGGTGGTCAAAGGGTACAAACTTCCAGTTATAAGATGAATAAGCTCTGGGGATCCAATGAATGGAGTAGTGACTCCAGTTAGCTATACTTTATTTTATAACTGAATTTGCTAAGAGAGTAGATCTTACATGTTCTCACTACACACATAAAAATGGTAACTATCTGAGGTGATGGATGTGTCAACTAATTTGATTGTGGTAATCATTTCACAATATATACATACATCACATTAAAAAAAGAAAAGGCATGGAAGAAACTTAATGCATACTGCTTAGTGAAAGAAGCCAATCTGAAAAGGCAATACATTATATAATGCCAACAATAGGATATTTTGGAAAAGGCAAAACTATGAAGACAGTAAAAAGATCAGTGGTTGCCAGGGGTGTGGGAGGAGGATAGACAGAGGGATGAAGAACTGCAGCACAGTATATTGAGATTGTTCTGTATGATACTGTAATGGTGGATACATGACATTATACATTTGGCAAAACCTGCAGAATCTACAACATGAAGAGTGAACTGTAAAGTAAACTACAGACCTTTGTTAATAATGATGGATCAGTTTGAGTTCTCCCTTTGTGACACACATACCACACTAATGCAAGGTGTTAATCATGAGGGAAACTATCTGCTCAGTCATCTGTAAACTTGAACTGCTCTTTAAAAAAGTCCATTAATTTTTTAAAAATCAAAAGAAATGTAAAAACAATCAGTGAGGATGGTTGTCAAACTGGTCAGTGAAAAAGTTAATGCAACAATTAGTGAGAGGAATGTGGGTTCAGAAACCAGTCGTGACCAGAACTGTCTGCTATGAGAATGTATCAGAAACTGCTATAGTCTCCATGCAATTAGTAATAACAGTTGAAATAAAGTCTACACTGATGTATACCATGGGCAGATTTGTAGATAAGGAATATAACGCTACTTACTGTTATGTGAGTACTTGTTTTTTTGTTTTTTGTTTAAGACAGAGTCTCACTCTATTGCCCAGGCTGGAGTGCAGTGGTGTGATCTCGGCTGATCGCAACCTCTGCCTCCCGGGTTCAAGCAATTCCTGTCCCTTAGCCTCCAGAGTAGCTGTATTACAGGCATGTACCACCACACCGGGCTAATTTTTGTATTTTTAGTAGAAATGGGGTTTCACCATGTTGGCTAGAACTCCTGACCTTAGGTGATCCGCCCACTTCAGCCTCCCAATATATGTGTACTTTTAAAACAAGTGACTCCCTCAGATCTTGTTTTATTTTCACAAAACTTATTCTATCTGAACTTTGAAGTCTCATTAAGGTTTTATCCAACTGGTAAAAGTAGACTAGGATGCCTATAGAGAAATAAAGGTAAAAATAATTATGTCAATCTAACACTAGCCAGAGTTTTTACAGAGGAGACAGACTGCCTTGTATTTTGTTATTCATGCTTCTTACCCTTTTCATTCTACACGTATGTGCAAATTAGCTCCTTGCTTCATATTAACTTTCAAAATAGCGCTCGGAAGCTTTCAATCTGACCTTTCTGTGGCCAGCAGGAGGAGACCAGGGAGCTTAAGGCATTCCCATATCCTGGGCTATGTGTTTAGAATTCTTGCTTTGAATTTTATAAAGCTACTATTCATACATCTGGGATAAGAAATTAAAATACAGTAAGATACTCATTATAAATAACGGTTTCAATCCTAGATGGGTTATAGTGAGGGGATTAGGTTTTTTCCAGTCTTCACTTCCTATAGAACACAGACTCAAAGAAAACACAGACTCTGTGAAAGGCTAGAACTCAAATCTTATGATAACTAATTCAGTGCTCTTTTCATAAAAATGTGCAATCTTTATAAGATCTACATGCCTTACAGGTATCCTATCCTGAAGGTAAGGAGTGGGTGTGTAATAGGTGACAATATATCTAAGTTACTTATAACACTGCCTGACACAAAGTATACTCTATGTGAGGCATCAGTAAGCTTCTTCTGTAGAGCCAGAGAGTAAACATTTTAGGCTTTGTGGGCCATAAGGTTTCTCTTGTAACTAATCAAAGCCGCACTGGCAGCATGAAAGCAGCCATAAAAATGAACGTGACTGGGTTCCAATAAAACTTTATGGACACTGAATTTGAATTTTATATAATGTTCACATATCATGAAATATTCTTCTTCTGATTTTTTCCAACCATAAAAAATGTAAAAATGGGTATACAAAAACAGGCAGTGGGCTGGGGTTTTGGGGGCATAGCTTGCTTTATATAATTAGTAGACATTATTATGATGTCTATAATATCTTTCTAGAAATTATTTTTAATGGTTGTTTAAACATAGAGTCTGTTTCTATGTTTTTTATTTTTAATGGCTGTTTAAACTGGTAGGAGAGGGGGGATTCAAACCCAGCTTGTGTGACATCAAGGCCCATGCTCTTTCATAAACAAGACTGTCTGGATGTTCTATAATTTACTTAGTCCCCTGTGGTTAGAATTTAGGCTATTTCCAATATTCATTATTATAACTCACCCTCCAGTGAACATCTGTGTAGTTAAGTCTTTACGCACACATGTATACCCACACCTTAAAATGTATTTAGTGGTAGCTATCAAAACAGCTGGTAGGGACGTGGGCACACCTGTAATCCCAGCTACTGGGGAGGCTGAGGCAGAAGAATCGCTTGAACCCGGGGGGCGGAGGTTGCAGTGCGCCCAGATCGCGCCATTGCACTCCAGCTTGGGCAACAAGAGTGAAACTCTGCCTCAAAAAAAAAAGGCTGGCAGAGCATCTAGAAAGAAACAGACTCTAAAGAAGTAATCTCAAAAAGTAATCTTTTATGGTTATAGGAAAGTTCAGACGTATTAGAAAAGGAGTTTTATAAATACAATATATATACATAGAACTTATGTCCCAAACACCATTTTAAGACCCTTATATATAATTACACCATTTAGTCCTCAAAACTATACTATGAAGTGCAGGTACAATTATCATAATTATCATCATCATCATCATCATCATCATCATTATCCCCATGTTCCAAAAAGGAAACTGAGGCACAGAAGGGCTAGGTAACTTCTCCAAGGTCACACAGTAAACTGGTAGGAGAGGGAGTATTCAAACCCGGCTTGTGTGACATCAAGGCCCATGCTCTTTCTTACTAGGCTGCACCATCTCTTCAACCAGAGACTTGTCCAGTGTGCACCTCCAGGTACTCTTTATAATGTACCTTCACACAATCGGTGGTGGTATTTTTTATATTGAGATCACATTTCACATGCATGAACGATCTCATAATCTAATAACTGATGCCAATTTTAACCAATAATGGGACACTTTTGGTGGAAACTGGGTACCCATCTAACCTTCCTCTATTGTCCTACAAGACAACTCCCAACAACGCCAATTCTTTATTAAGTTTCCTTGCTTTTCTTACCCAAAATAGTTGTCCAGTGAACAGTAAAAGTTGATCGGAGCATACTCTCATGTCTTATTTTCCAACGTATGGCCCAAATCTACATTCAGGTAGTGCTTTGCCTACGATGGAGGGCCTTGTACCGCCTGGGATTGCTAGTTTCGGTTAAGTACCCCTGTTTGAAAACAAAAACAGTGGCGCGTGTCAGAAGTCCCTCCCGCGCGGCCTCTTCCCCCTCTTCCTCCGCAGCAGGAGGCCTGACCCCCGCGTCCTGCACCCGTGTGGACCAAACGTTCAGCCTCCCCCGCCACAATCGGACGGGAACTCGCGCGCTTTCCGGGCTATTCCCTGTTTGTGCTGAGTTATGGGCGAATCTCCCAAAAAGGAGATATACGAGTGGGTCGTCCAACTTTGAGGGGAAACGAGGATTCTCTTTCTCATTTTCTCTCCTGATTTCTCTCCCTACCCGGACCGCACTTCTCGAATTATCCCCGTAAGGAGGAACGACGAATGCCGCCGGTCCCACGAGACTGCCGCCCCCCACTCATGCCCAAACAAGGATAGAATCTTGTAGCGAGGCGACAAGAAAATAAATAAGCGGGCGTTTCAAACCGAGTCCTCGGGTGTGCAGACCCGCAGCGGAGTCGCGGGAGCGAGGTGGGAAATCCTGGCCGCGGCGCCGGGCTCCGCCCGCCGGGGGGCGCGGGGCGGCGGGCGCATGCGCGTGCGCGGTGCGGCCCCAGCCCTGGCTGCCGCCGCCTGCCGCCGCCGTCGCGATGCCTATTTTAGTCAAAGCGGCTGCGGGCTTGGGGACCCGGCCCGGGCAGCGGAGCTTCCGGACCCGCCGACCCGCCGAGGAGCGCGCGTCGGGCTCCCGTCGAGCAGCTGAGCCCGTGTGCCCCGCGTCCCGCGCCCCGAAGCTGCCGCTCCGAACTTTGGTCGGCGCTGCCCAGGCTCCCCGCCAGGGACCAGCCGGGTAAGGATGGGAGGCGCAGCTGCAGCCGGCTTTCCCCCCGCGCCGGGTTGTGTGCGGCCTCGCGCTCCCCTGGCTAAATCGGGAAGCGAAAGTTGGATCTCAGCCCCTCGGGGAGCAACTTTGTCGGCCCTGGCGGCAGCTGCTTGTTCTACGCGCCCGGGCAGCCGGGGGCGCCGCCCTCTGTCCCTCCTCGCTGGCCGCGCCCTCGAGGGGCTCCCGGCCCTTGGAGGCCGCCCTTCTCCCCGGGTCTGGGCGCTGCGGCCACAGAGACCCTCAACGGTCAGCGGCCGCCGCTCAGGTCAGGCAGCCCCAGCGTCCCCGGGCCCTCGGCCCCACCGAGTGCCGGCTCCCGCGCTCTGCGGCGGCAAGCCCCTTGGTGAGCTCCGTCTCTGCTCTCTCCGCCGAGTCTCCGGGGTTCCTCCTCGCCCCCTGTAGGGCCGCCTCGAGCCGCGCAGAGCCTGCGTGCAGCCGGGCGCGCGGTGTCGCCCACTCCGTCCCCGCTCGGAGAGTAGGGTGGGCCACGGCGCTCACTCCTCACCCCCGCGTCCCGAGAGCGCCTGGCCGAGGAGGACCGTTGCCACGGACCCTCCTCCTTTAAGGAGCGAGGTCAGAGGGCCCCGGGAGAGCGCCGATGGCTGGGGACCCGAGGTCCGCGCCACCCACCCGCAACCTCCTTCCCCGAGCCTTTGGGAACGGGTTGTTGGCCAGACAAGTCCCAGAAACTGCCTGCTTTGAAGCATGAATAAGTGCGAAAAGACTCTTAGCAATGTAATGCCATTTGCCATTCGGGAGATGTGCGAAGATTCAGTTAGAATTACAGAATGAATTAACTCGACTAGCAAGACGCTCGTTTGCAGTTATCTTTTTCATTTTTTTAGTTTGGTAGAGGTTTAATGTTAGTTTCAGCATTTAGCTATTTAGCCCTACAATCACCTATTTGAAAAACGATAAACAAAACTTTACTAGTATAGGTAATTTAAGGACTTCAACTTTGATGATCTGATGAGGGAAAAATAATTTCTCTTGATTTAGTCAAAATTAATCTGAAAAGTTTACCAATTTAGCAGTCTAACCTTTCTCTTTCCACCTATTCTCTGTATAAGAATTGTTAAGTGTAAGCCACTTAACGATTAAGTGGTAATCAAAGTAAACTGATCTGATCAATATTTTCGACAATAGGTAACTGGCATTTCACAATAGACAATTATATAGATATATAGATACATATATCTATATATATCTCTCTCTCTCTTTAATAAGGTGTCGTGCGTCAAAACATGTTTAGGATGACCGTACCTTCTAAAAACTGCTAATAATATTTTCTGGTTCTTGGGTCATAATAGTAGTTTTCCTGTCATTTTTCTTGGACCAGAAATTGGTACTTTTAGTGTCACTTTAAGAACTTGTAAAAGCCTGATATTGAATTATAGTGGATTAATAGGCAATACAGGTGAAATTGGGTGAACTCGAGGGGCAACATGTATTGATTGATTGATTATGTAAATGTGTATTATAGAACCATAGGCTATTAAAGTTTTCCCTATTCCAAGGAAGAAACAGACCCGAGGAGCAGAAGTGGCTTTCCCTGGCTTATGTAGCACCCTGGTGGCTTGTGGTGTAGAACCTCACTCAACCTCAGGAAGGCTAGGCACTCCTCTGGCTTTATTACTGAGATCTGGGGAGACGGAACAGTGATTTCTGAAAGTGTTTATCAGGTTGACGTTCCTTCAGAGTGGCTTTCATCCCTGTCTCAGTGGCCTTCTCTACAGAGGCTAGGCCTTGGAAGTACATAGATGAATAAACATTGTCCCTGCCTCCTAGAGGACAAACAGGACAATGGGAGTGTAGGTACATTCTACAGTGCTGTCGAAATGATAGTTATTATTAACCTATGTAATGCTAGGGTAGGTGATGTTGGGTTATGAGTGATAGAGGATACCTCATATCATTCTCTGTCCTGCAGAAGTTACGAGATTCATTCTCGTTTGGCCTTGAAAAGCAAATTTTGTATAAATGGAGTTATTAAAATAATGATCTTCCCCCCCGCCATCCTGATAGGCTTATATATTTGCTGATTTCAGACATTTGGAAAATAGGTGAATTTTTGTTTCTTTCCTTTTTGTAGCAAATCAATATCTAAGTCAACTATTACTATTAATATTTATGAGCTATTTCAGAATTATGTAAAAAGATCTTCAGTTGACTTGATCATTTCATTCACAATTTGTAAATTGGTGTGCTTGTTTTTTATCATCTTTAAGCTGTGGAATTCTTTCACATTTGTCTGTTAACATCCTTTCAAAATACCCATTTTGTACCAATTAATTATTCTACTACCTAAAACCTTTAGTATGTTAAGAACAAGCAGTAGAAGAGTAAGATTAATTGCATGACCTTATTTTGAAAGAAATACATATTTCTAAATTTAAATGTATTTAGGGTCCCCATTTGGAATTTTGCTGAAACAGAATAATTCATATAATCTGTAAACCTACATAGTGTTTGGCAAGGACCAAATTTGTGCAATTAATAATAGAGTGTTTTTTAAGGACCGGAGACCGAAGACAGGTAACATAGGAAATGGTTTTATATAAGCATGTGTAAAATGTATATTCTTTAAATGTACTTGCTATGGATTTTCATATGTATAAGTAAACTGGAAGTTTACTACTTTTAAATTTGTGATATGCTACCAGGTAGAATTATTATGGGAAATAAAGTAGAGATTTAAATAAGACAATAAAAGTTTCATGTTGTATCTCTCTGTGTATATATAAATGTTTATATGGCTATATATTATTTGCATATATGATAATGTATTATGTATGTATGATACAGTGATTTAATGGTGGTATAAAAATAGAGCCTTCTAAATATCCTAAGCCTTCAAATAGATGTGAGGGTATTCATATTTTTTAAGTATTCAAATAATTAGTTTTCTAGTTATTTTTCCTGTGTTTGGATTCAGTCACCAGTGGGAATTTGATGGAAGACTAGACTAAATAACTTTGTAATTACCATGGTTTATGAACATTGGTGATTATCTTAAAGACTAATTCCCTCACTCCTCCCTTCCCTACAAGTGTTTATACGTATATATGTGCCTATGAGGGAATAGTTTTGCACTATGCTAAGTATTTTATGTATTTCATTTCATTTGATCATAAGGCAAATGAGGTATTATTACCATCTTTTAACAGGTAAGGAACTGAATACATTTAATATGTGACAGAGTTGGATTTGAATCTGGGTCTGTCTAATTCATAAGCACTAGAGAAGTCTATTTAATTCACAGAAATAATTTTGGTATAATACCTATGAAGGTAAAAAGATACAATTGCCATTTTTACGATTTTACTTTTGTTTACTTGTTTTTACAGGAATTTTCAAAATGAATTATACAGAGTCCAGCCCATTGAGAGAATCAACTGCCATAGGTTTTACACCTGAGTTAGAAAGTATCATACCTGTGCCTTCCAATAAGACCACTTGTGAAAACTGGAGAGAGATACATCATCTGGTTTTTCATGTAGCAAATATTTGTTTTGCAGTTGGGTTGGTTATTCCAACTACTCTTCACCTTCATATGATATTTCTTAGGGGAATGTTAACTCTAGGTAAGATACCTAACTGATACTTTATGTAACTTTTCTGTAACTGACATAAGATGGGCTTTACATTGAGAGCTTCAGAGTATTCTTTGTCAGGCCCATAGCAAGCCAAAAAATGTAAGTCTTTGTTAATGAATTAGCAGTATATCAATTAGCTTAGAGCATAGGCCTTCACATGCCATATCTCTCCCTTACTTACTTTGTTTATATGTGCTTTCATATGTTGTTTAGGTTTTCCAGATACCAGAACATTCATTCATGTGTAAGAGTATGAACTTTAAAGCCAAATTGTGTGATTCAAATCCTGGTTCTATTTCTTGTCAACTGTAACTTGGGCAAGTGATTTAATCTTTCTACTGCCTCAGTTTCCTCATGTATCAGATAAGGGTAAAAATAATACCACCTCCCAAAGTTGTTGTGAATTAAATGTGTGTCATATATATATTTAACTTGGAATATTGCCTGCCCATAGTAAGTACTGTATAGTTTTAACTATTATTACTTGAAAAGATATTTGCTGTGGGCAGTAAAGAAACATTGGGAACAAAAACAATTACCAGATACAGTAGTTCAAATAAAACAAATTTTTTTTGGTCCCAGTAACCCTGATGAAGCAAGTTAAATTGATTCACATCAGAACATTAAAACAATTGAATCTGTTATATTAGCCAGTGATTCTTGACAAATTATTCTCTATGTGATTATTTCCCTGATGGCCCATTTATTCAGGTGCATTTTTTAGCACCTGTGATGTGTCCAGACAAAGACTGAGGAAGGCCGTCTTCATCCTTGAGAAAGACACTCTTGTGGGGGCTGGTGGAGAAACAGATGGGCAATCCCAGTATGGCGTATCAGATGCTGGGATGCAGGTGTGCACCCATTATCCAGGGGGACACGGAGAAGGTGATAGGCTTAGTAGGAAGGCAGAGCAGGGTCCCGCTGAGGAGGTGACATGGGACCTGGATTTTGGAAGATGAGCAGGATTTATCTGAGTAAATGGGTATAGTATCCAAACAAAGAGCACAGAAGAGAAGGAAATTGAGCATATTGGGGTGAACGTAGAGTAGTGCATTGTGCTTAAAAATATAAATGGGCTGGACACAGTGGCTTACGCCTGTAATCCCAGCACTGTGGTAGGCCGAGGTGGGTGGATTACCTGAGGTCAGGAGTTCGAGACCAGCTTGGCCAACATGGTGAAACCTTGTGTCTACTAAAAGTACAAAAATTAGCCAGGCATGGTGGCAGGCACTTGTAATCCCAACTACTCGGGAGGCTGAGGCAGGAGAATTGCTTGAACCCCGGAGACAGAGGTTGCAGTGAGCCAAGATTGTGCCACTGCACTCCAACCTGGCGACAGAGCTAGACTCTGCCTCAAAAAAAAAAAAAAAAAAGTGATAAATGACAAGGAAAAAGAGGCTGGAAGGTTAGTAGAAGCTTGTGGGACCTCTGTGGCTGTGTGACCTGTGAGTAAGGTGAGGATTACAGCAGTAGGAACAGGGAGTTGAATGGAAAAAAAAATACCGTACCCTATAAAAAAGCAAACATCAATTATGAATTTTAAGACAGAGTTTTGGAGGTGGAATGAACCAAAGATATTATCAAATCTAACACTTTATTCTGTAAATGCAGAAAGAGAAATCTAGGCCAGGCATAGTGGCTAACGCCTGTAGTCCTAGCACTTTGAGAGGCTGAAGTGAGAGTATCTCTTGAAGCCAGGAGTTCAAAACCAGCCTGGGCAATGTAGTGAGACCTTCTGTCTACAAAACATTTAAAAATTATCTAGGCATGGTGGCATGCATCTGTGGTCCCAGCTATTTGGGAGACTGAGGTGGGAGGACGGCTTGAGCCTGGGATGTCGAGGCTGTTGCACTCCAGCCTGGGCGACAGAGCAAGACCCTGTCTCAAAAAAGAAAAAAAAATTTTAAAAAGTGAAACCTAGACAAGTAAAATGACCCATCCAAAATTAAGATGGAGAAAAAATGGCCAAACCAGGACTATAATTCAGGTCCTCCAGTTTTTCTCTATCCTCCCATTATATACCTTGTCTCCTTTAAATTAAAATATTTTAAATTGCTTCACTATTTGCTATGAAATATTACTTAAAGAATATTTAAATTTTTACATTTTGGGCTTTATTCAGGTGCATCAAATCATTCTTATGAAATAAAAAATTGCAAGTGAGTAACTTTTAAAGTGGGTGGTTAGCTTTTGTGAGTATGCGTGTGTCAATGATTTATATCTTCATGATAGTTTTATTTTAAATGTATATACTGTATTAACTCTCCTATCATAAAATTGATCAAAAGAAACTGGGGATATTTTATATAAGGTAAGAGAATCAATAAGAAAACACAGGAAGATTCTCAGAGATAAATGGATAATCACCAAGGGAAAATTCAGATGGCTAAAACATTTTGGTAAAATATGCAGGCTCACCAGTAATCATGGAAATGCAAAATAAAGTATACATAATTCCTCACTATCAAATTAGGAGTTTTCACATTTTATAATACAGTTATGCATCGTATAACGAAAGTGGTCCCATAATATAGTACCACATGTTCACCTTTTCCATGTTTAGATATATTTAGATATACAAATATTCACCATTGTGTTATAATTGCCTGCAGTATTCAATATTCAATACAGTAACAAGCTGTACTTTATTGGTTTATACCCTATAGTGTAGTAGACTATGCCATCTGGGTTTATGTACGTATAGTCTCTGATGTTCACACAGCAACAAAATCATCTAACGAAATGTTTCTCAGAATATATCCCTGTCATTAAGTGACACATGACTATACTGACAACTTGATATTAGCATTTCTAACTAGTAGGATTGCAAATTTGTACAAACCTTTTGGAAAACAATTCTTCAATATTGTAAAAAACTATAAATTTCATTCCCTAGATTCACCTTCAGGTAATCCAGACTAAGTAAACAATCACAAATACAGAAAAATTTGTATGTATAAAATTTTTTTTCCACTTGTCAAAAATTATACCCTCAAAATATTGTGTTTCCGGCAGTAGGGGGATGGTTAAATAAATTATGGTTTAATCAGCTGCAGTCTTTTAAAACTATGCTGGCAAAGAGTTTAATGAAATGGGAAAATCACTGGAATAAGTCAAAAAGGAGATTTTAAAATTGTATGTGTGCTAGGTTTGCCATCAGGTAAAACTGTATGAAAACTCTGTAAGGCAGAATTAAATTATTTGATATTTAATGGCTTTCTTAAAGTAGTAGAATTATGGATTTTTCCCCTTTAAAAATATTTTTAAACTTTGTATTTCCTATATATTTTTAATACAGATTTTATTCAACAAAGCATATATTTGGGGTTTTTTTGGTCACTGGACAAAAAACAAAATGAAACAACATGATATTTGGCTTAGGTAGTTCTAAAATGTGTTTGATTTACAGTAGTCCCCACATCCATGGATTCACTTTCTGTGGTCAACAACAGTCCAATAATATTAAATGGAAAATACCAAGAATAAACAATTCATACATTTTAAATTGCAAGACATTCTGAATAGTGCGATGAAATCTTGCAGTGTTTTGCTATATCCTGCCTGAGATGTGAATCATCCCTTTGTCCAACTTATCCCCACTATCTGTGTTACCCACCCAGTGATTGCTTATTAGCTGTCTTGGGTATCAGATCAATAAAACGTAGTGTTTATAGAGTTGTATACTATCCATGGTTTCAGGCGTTCACTGGGGGTCTTGCAAAGTATCACCTTCAGAAAAGGGAGGACTACTGTATATATAGAGGATATCAAATTTATTAAGCTCCCCACTTAGGCTCTTCTAGATTATCTAACGTGTTAACTTTGCTCTTCAACAGGATGTACCCTTTATATCGTCTGGGCCACTCTCTACCGATGTGCCTTGGATATAATGATCTGGAACTCTGTGTTCTTGGGTGTCAACATTTTGCATCTGTCGTATCTTTTATACAAGAAGAGACCGGTAATTATTAAAATTAATTAATAAGGAAGTGATTTTAAAGCTAAAACTTTGAAAGGTACTTTGTTCAGAGTTAAGAGTAAGTATCTAGCATATTTAGTCACTTTAATATAATTTCTCTGAAGTTTAGGCTTTCTGTTTACATTATGCCTGAAAGTGAAACATTTTAGTACCACGAAATTTGTTCTACAAATGAGTTTTTAAAACTTTAAAAATCATTAGCATATGAGAGAACATGAATAATATTTTCCTTTTTAAGTCATATTACTTGATTTTTTATATTGATATTCAGATGTTAACCTGGAAATATCATTGCCCAGTTATAAAATTACTTACTAATAGGCAACTTCTTAAACATTCTAATGATTTACAAATAGTTCATGCTATTTTTTAGTGTAATAACTGTATATTTTTCTAATGCCCAAAATATTCATCTAAGGAAGTCACCATATTTGGTGGGTTGCTACCAAAACACCAGTCTTTAACTTTTTCTTTTCAACTCTGATTTATCTTGTATTTGTTGATCATACCAAGAATAGAAAGAGTAGGAAAACAGCAGGGGTCCTAGAAATCACCCCATATATATCTACTGACTTTCCTAAGCACAAACAAACATTCAGTAAAGTAAAAGATATAATGCTTGCCTTAATCTTATGTTTGGGGCCAGATTTGCATGTAGAAAACTATCAGAAAACAAGATGATTCATAGAAGATTCTAATTTGAATGATGCAGATGATATATAATAGGCATTCAACTAGATTGTAACCTCATCTAAACATAGTGAGTCAGTCTGTGTTGTTTTACTGTAATATTCAGTTTTTTCCAGGTTATGCTATGTAATAAATCTCAATGATATATAACAGCAAATGGGCTTTTTTTCTCACCCACCTTGTATCTTGCCTCTGGCAGCTATGTGTCAGCTGTGATTCTATTCTATGCATCTCATTCATTTAAGGGTCTGTGCTGAAGCAGCAGGTTCTATTTGGACCATGCATTCTCATGGCAGAAGAAAAAGTACTGGAGAGCAAAAGAGAAACACCCAATGTCTCTTAAAACTTTTGCTCAAAAGGGACATATATTGTTTCTGTTCATATTTCATTGGCAAAAACAAGTGACATGGCCCAGTTTGATAATATGGGGCATGGGGTGGAGTAAGGGGATGTACAGTCCTCTTACAGAGGTTGGGAGCAGTGAATAATTGGAAACAATAATCTAACACACTTATTGTTGTATCCACTTTTCCTGTCAACCATTATTGGCACACAGTAGGTGCTCAAAAAAACCTTTGATGAGTAAATGCTTTCAAAGAGGAAAAGTATTAGGCAAGGTGCAGTGGCTCACGCCTGTAATCCCAACACTTCGGGAAGCCGAGGCGGGTGGGTCATCTGAGGTCAGGAGTTTAAGACCAGTCTGGCCAACATGGCGAAACCCTGTCTCTACTAAAAAATACAAAAATTAGCTGGCATGGTAGTGCACACCTGTAGTCCCAGCTACTCAGAGGCTGAGGCACAAGAATCGCTTGAACCCAGGAGGCGGAGGTTGCAGTGAGCCGAGATTGTGCCACTGTACTCCAGCCTGGGTGACAGAGCAACACTTTTGTCTCAAAAAAAAAAAAGAGAGGAAAAGAATTAAGAGGGCTTCATGAGGCTGGGCGCCATAGCTCATGCCTGTAATCCCAGCACTTTGGGAGGCCTAGGTTGGAAGATCTCTTGAGCCCAGGAGTTCGAGACCAGCCTGTGCAACATAGACCCTGTCTCTACAAAAAATTTAAAAATCAGCTGGATGCGGTAGCACACACCTGTAGTCCCAGCTTCTCGGGAGGATCACTGGAACCCAGGAGTTTGAGACTGCAGTGAGCTATGATCACACCACTGCACTCCAGCACAGGCAACAGAGCGAGCTCCATCTCCAAAAAATAAATACATAAAAAGGGCTTGATCTGAGAGTTACGGGATGAGCAGATCATGAATAAATCATATTAAATGCTCATTAATAGAGCTTTGGAGTAGAGGAGGTAGATAATGATTGCATTTTCTGAATGTCAGAACTTGCTGGAACCCCAAAATGTAAGGTTCAGAAGTTGCTGATATGATCATAGCACCAAATAGGTAAATCGCTTAGTGTCTGTGCTTTTGTTTCTTCTCATACTATAAATCTACTTTTTTGAAAAATATGAATGCTGGATTTTCCTCAAAATGAAACAGCAGGACAAGTAGGAGCACTGCAAATGCTATAGTGACATTGGTTGGAGCAGCTGTCATGATCTGGGTCTATAGGCTTCGTATAGTGCCTGCCAGAGATACAGTGCAGTATGGTTTTCCATCCACCCAATTAGTATGACTTCCAGAGACTAATGCTGGGCCCAAAGATGGGGCATGACCTGGGCTTTGGAGAATCTGACAACAGAAATGATTAAGCCATTTTGTTTTTCTCTTCCTCCAGTAGCCAGCCTTATTTGCCAGTGGGTTCTCCATTTTACAGAGTTCATTTTAGCTTACAATGAAACTTCTACACTAAAACTCTTTTACACCCTTTTATTTTTCCTTCACTTTACTTGAGAGTATATAAATGTGAAGCAGTGATTGCAGCTGTGCATATTTGTTTTTCTATATTGGTGCATTAAGTAATTACATGGAGATAAAATGCTTAATGTATGTGTTACCTTTGTAAATTTGTTTCCTCATTGATTCCTATTTTGTGTTTATTTTCTTGCTGCCATATTTAAAAGTTAGTAAATTTTTTGTGTGTGTGAAACAAAAGGTTTCACAGAAAAGGTTTTCTGTTATTTATAGAAGGTGCTAAGATTGGGAAGATGAATGTTGTGACAACATTGAAAACCTAAACAGTTGCATTATAGCTAATAGGAAGAGGTTATGATGAATAGTGCGGATCTTCCCCTTATGCTCTGAGTTCAGTTTAACTGCAAAAGTTTTTTGATTTTTTTTTTTTTTGAGACAGTGTTACTCTGTTGCCCAGGCTGGAGTGCAATGGTGCGATCATAGTTCACTGCAGTCTCAAACTTCTGGGCTCAAGTAATCCTCCCACCTCAGCCTCCCAAGTACCCAGGACTATAGGTACTAATTTTTTTTCTTTTTCTTTTTCTTTCTTTTCTTTTCTTTCTTTCTTTTTTTTATTTTTATTTTTATTTTTTTTTGATACCGAGTTTCGCTCTTGTTGCCCAAGCTAGAGTGCAATGGAGCAATCTCAGCTCACTGCAACCTCCACCTCCCGGGTTCAAGCAATTCACCAGCCTCAGCCTCCTGAGTAGCTGAGATTACAGGTGCATGCCACCACGCCCAGCTAATTTCTTGTACTTTTAGTAGAGATGGGGGTTTCACCATGTTGGTCAGGCTGGTCTCGAACTCCTGACCTCAGAAGATCCACCCGCCTCGGCCTTCCAAAGTGCTGGGATTACAGGCGTGACCACTGAAAGTGCTGGGATTACAGGCGTGACCACCGCACCTGACCTTTTTCTTTTTAATTAGAGATAGAGCCTCACTGTGTTACCCAGGCTGCTCTCAAACTCTTGGGCTCAAGTGCTCCTCCCACCTCAGCCTCCCAAAGTGCCAGAATTACAGGCATGAACCACCTCACATGACCTAACCATACCCTTTTAGCATCTGAAGTATAAACTTCTATCACCATTTCACTTGCTGTGTAAGATTCTATTGGCCTAAATACAGAAGGGTGATGGTATATATCAAAGATTTGTTAATTATCAAAACCATATTTAGACCACAGAAGTCAGTGTTTTGGGATTGCTGCTGCATTGGTGAAGCATCTAGTCATTGCTGCATTTCAGGTAAAGATTGAAAAGGAACTCAGTGGCATGTACCGGCGATTGTTTGAACCACTCCGTGTGCCTCCAGATTTGTTCAGAAGACTAACTGGACAGTTTTGCATGATCCAAACCTTGAAA
Organism: Homo sapiens; assembly: GCF_000001405.40. Lineage (NCBI taxonomy): Eukaryota > Metazoa > Chordata > Mammalia > Primates > Hominidae > Homo > Homo sapiens. Next base: position 105,125,461 of record NC_000006.12, on the reverse strand, counting down.
AAGGGCCAAACTTATGCTGCAGAGGATAAAACCTCAGTTGATGACCGTCTGAGTATTCTCTTGAAGGGAAAGTAAGTGTTCTGTGGAAATCAAAATTCCTAGTTTACCTTTAATCTTTTCATGGCCTCTGGGAAGGAAGTGAATGGGAGGAAATGTTGCCAATGAATGGAGAAAGCAGTCACAGAGTTTGTTGTTGGTGGAATTTTTTGCTACAACTATACTTTACAATGCTATAGAGCAACATGTTAAACCCAGGTTGAGTGTACTGCTCTGAATCTTGATGTCAGGATTTCAATTGCAAGTATTTTAACCATTTTTGACGTTTTATTAAAAATATGAGTCAAAATTGTAGTGGATTTAAATTAGACATTGAAATTCAAAAAGCTTATGCATGCTCCAGAGTTAATTTGTCTTGAATATCACAAAAATACAACTTCTAGGAATATCAGCCTTTTGGGGAGAGAGTCAGTCTCTGTTGTGCTGGCATTGTTATTAATAACACCTCTTTCCCTCTCAGAAGTGTGCCAGTTAGAGTTACAGATTATATGGTCACTTCTGTTAGAAGAGCAATAGTAACCACTAGACAGCATACCTCTGGCTCAATACTGGACACTGTTTTTTTCTTTTTCTAACGTTATTTTTTGAAATACTTGTGCCTCAAGAAGTGCTTTTAGTTATGTCCATCATCTCTGTGGAATTTTTAAAACTGTACTACAAAATAAAATCGCATAAGATGATAGCAGTTTTAAGGATTATCATGGTATTTGTGAAATATTGCTTTTATTAACATTAATTTCTGTTATCAGAATGAAGGTCTCCTATCGAGGACATTTTCTGCATAACATTTACCCCTGTGCCTTTATAGATTCTCCTGAATTTAGATCAACTCAGATGCACAAAGGTGAAAAATTCCAGGTATGTTTTCACATGATTTTTAAGGAGATTGAAACTAGTTTGCATCTCATTCAGAATCCAAAGGATATTAATAGAAACACTGCTATGAATTATTGGGGGGAAAAACAAGTTACCATAGGGCATATATAGTATTGTCTCTTTTTTTTTTTTTTTTTTTTTTTGTTTGAGACGGAGTCTTGCACTGTCGCCCAGGCTGGAGTGCAGTGGTGCAATCTCGGCTCACTGCAAGCTCCGCCTCCCAGGTTCACGCCATTCTCCTGCCTCAACCTCCTGAGTAGCTGGGACTACAGGTGCCTGCCACCACCCCCGGCTAATTTTTTGTATTTTTAGTAGCAACGGGGTTTCACCATGTTAGCCAGGATGGTCTCAATCTCTTCACCTCATGATCTGCCTGCCTCGGCCTCCCAAAGTGCTGGGATTACAGGCATGAGCCACCACGCCTGGCCTAAAAAATACTGTATATATGTACAGAAAATGTTATAGAAAGATATATTCTAATTTTGTCATAATGTTATTTCTAGACTGTGTTTGCTTTTTGAATTTTTTTTTGCTTATTTGAATTTTTATAATTTTTTCTATAGAAAACATCTTATGCTTTATTAGCGAAAAGGAAAATGTGAGCTGTAGATAATCAGTGTTCTTAAACCAAGTAATTGACATTTATTGAAGAAAACCAGAAAACTGGCTTTGCCTTAGGGAATTTATTTTGTTAATTCTTATGAATGAAATGTAATCACTAAACTCTTTTTACTTAATGAATATGTTTAAGGGGAAAGAACGAAGTTCTTCGTAATGGCAATAATTTGAACATGGACTACTTAGTGTGATTCCTTTTGTGTTAAAACAAATTGCTCCAGCCGGGCACGGTGGCTCACACCTGTAATTTTGGGAGGCTGAGGCAGGCAGATCACGAGGTCAGGAGATCGAGACCATCCTGGTTAACATGGTGAAACCCCGTCTCTACTAAAAATACAAACAATTAGCTGGGCGTGGTGGTGGGCACCTGTAGTCCCAGCTACTCGGGAGGCTGAGGCAGGAGAATGGCGTGAACCTGGGAGGCGGAGCTTGCAGTGAGCCAAGATCACGCCACTGCACTCCAGCCTGGGCAACAGAGCAAGACTCCGTCTCAAAAAAAAACAAACAACAACAAAAAACAAATTGCTCCATTATGTGACACTGTTCTGATTCTTTCTGTAAGTGTCCAGCCCTCCTATGTTATTCATTCACCTTGTTATTGGAAGGAAATTAACCAAGAAAATAAATGGGTGAGAGTTTCCTTTAGTCTCAGCCTCTGGATTAACAGCAGTAAGGTAATATCCTGAGAATGGGATTGCTTGTGGGCAAGAAGGTAAATCTATTTAGGTAAGAAATGGAAACGAAGAGGCTATTACTACCTGAGGGAGGAAGGAATGTTAGTGTTTCTTGATGACAGAATCTTATTTTAGAGTCTCATTTTGAGATGTTATACAATTTGGGATGCCACAAAATTGGAGATAAAAGAACACTTTTAGACATACAGTTTAGTTTTTATCATTTACGGTGGTTTCAATCCTGCCCTGCTCCCGCCCTTCCTGAATAACTGGCCTGAGTAATCATGCAGCTTGTTAGTTATGTGCATTTACTAAAAGGTTGCATATAGATTCACTGTTATGCAACATTCTTCCCAAGCTGGCTGGACTTACAATGCAGAAGGAGACAGCTAATGCTGTGTCCTGGCTCCTGTCTTTACACTCTCACCTTGTTGTGAGGGTCAGCTTTGATGTGAGATTTATGTTCTTAGTTTATCTTTAATCACCGCGATCTACAAACGTGCAGGGCCGCATCTTCTTTCTCTCCTTCTTTGCTGTGACCTTTTTACAGTTTCTTCTTCCAAAGCCCAACATTTATCTTTTGCCTGTATTTCTCTGTGTATAGTAGCAGGTGGTTTTGTGTGATAACTATCTCATATAATCCTGAAGAGACTGGGATTTGAGGATGGGGTGGGAATTGAACCTGCTTTGTTTCCAGAATCAAGTGGTTCCCAAGAGGCCAGAAATACTAATATACTATCTTTTCTGGACTTCAGATTGTATTTATAATTAAGTCAACAAAAAAGGAATTCCTACCACTAGCTACAGTTCTCTTTCTTCTTGGGGACTAGGGATTGGATTTTGGTAGTTGAGAATTATTCCCGGTAATTAGAAAGATTCCAAAAACATGACCAAAATTTTATAGTGCCATAGCTGGATGAAGAAAATGTGTTCAGCTTTTCCTAATGCCAGTCAGCTTTTCTCTGCATAGAGTCTCGTGTGGCATTTCCTGATTGGCCAGTAGATTAAAACTAGCATCATGAAGCCTGTGTCCTGTATAGCTGGAGCCATCAGAGTAAGCCCTTGGGAGAGACTGTACTTTGATTGTTTACAAAATGTTCCTGTTGGCAGATCCTCAAGAGTAATAAATAGCTGTTACACATCTGTGTAGGAGTATGTATATTGCCACTTACCTATGCAAGTTCCCAAATGAAAAATGTCACATTCTCCCAGAGCCAACTTCTCACTACCTGTGTCAGTGGCAGAGGACGCTTGATCATCAGCCATCAGGCTTCTCCACCCTCACACTTTTTACCTGCTAAGCTCATCTTTCCCTAACTCTGACCAGTTAAACATGTTCGATGAGGATCTACTTCCTTTGAGTTTCTCTTTCTTTAAATTCGTTCTGTGGTCAGGGTGCTCATGAATTGTACAGTACGATGAAAAGGAGGAAAGAGAAGGCAAGTGGACTCAATGACTGTCCCTTGAGATTGCATAGCAGGTGTTGCTCAGGTAAATATGTAGTAATTATCATGATAATAAGCATAGTGATAGAGCTGAGAAAACAGATTCTGAACTTACAGTTTGTTATCCCTAGGTACTTATAGTGATTTTGGTACTTATAGCCCAGAGTTGCTGTTTATAACTATTGATAGAATCTTGAGTAGTATTATTACAAAAGATGAAAGTAGGCCAGGCGCGGCCGCCCACACCTGTAATCCCGGCACTTTGGGAGGCTGAGGCGGGTGGATCACCTGAGGTCAGGAGTTTGAAACCAGCCTGGCCAACATGGTGAAACCTGGTGTCCACTAAAAATACAAAAATTAGCTGAGCATGGTGGCAGGTGCCTATAATCCCAGCTACTCAGGAGGCTGAGGCTGGAGAGAATCACTTGAACTCGGGAGGCGGAGGTTGCAGTGAGCCGAGATCACACCCCTGCACTCCAGCCTGGGCAACAGAATGAGACTCCATCTCAAAAAAAAAAAAAAAGATAAAAGTAGTGTTTTGTTTGGTTTCTTGTTCTTTATGTAGATGTTTTATATTAAGTGAGCTTTACTGTTTGCAAGCTTTTCTTTTGTATTCTATCTCATGCTGCTGCCTTCCCATAGCCAATAGCATGTCCTGGTGTTGCAAAGCCCAAAAATCAAAGTTTTATTGACTTCAAGGGGAGAGGGATGTCTTGCAGGCATATGTCCATGCTCTTGTAAAAGAAATGAACACTAAGTTTTAATGGTATTGAAAGAAAACATTATCTTAATATTAAGTAAATATTTTGGTGGAGCTGTGAAACAATTTCCTCTGCCACTTTTGAATCTGTGTTATTTTAGTGCTTAGGAGAACTCAATAAGCATCAGTGGAATAGACCACTTCTAGGATATTTTAGTGTTTGGTATATGAAATGCAGTATGATGCATGCAAAAAGTATTAAATTATTTCCTTAGGACAGTCAGCCAGTCCTATTGCCACACTGCGGTTTCTGATTCTAGCACATGTGGCAGATCCCTCAGAGACCTTTGTTTCCTACGGTGGAGCCCAGTGTCTTCTCTTTATGACAGGCTGTAGAATTGGTTTGGAATCTAAAGGGAGGAACTGATCCAGTACCTTGTGGTAATCACGGCAAACCTGTTTGCAAATGCTTAGTCTAATTCTCGACCTGAAAGATGTCCTTTTATGTATTCTGTTGCCGTATTTGCTTTTATTTCTTCAGTAAAATTCTTCACAAGGACTCAAGCATAGCACTACTGAAATGCCTAATAAGAAGTAAATTTATTTTATGGAAACTTTTAAAATTCTTATATTGCTTTATAAGATATTCTCATAAAAAATACACTTTGCTTGACTGTTGTGACAGGAAATCATTAAATAAACTGTCTATTTGGTAGAAATGAAACATTAGGAATCAAGTAAAATGACCTCAGTCAGCACTCTAACTACTGGCTTCCAACCAAATCCATGTTTTTTTTTTTTTTTTTTTTTTTTTTTTTTTTTTTTTTTTTTTTTGAGACGGAGTCTCGCTCTGTCGCCAGGCTGGAGTGCAGTGGCGGGATCTCGGCTCACTGCAAGCTCCGCCTCCCGGGTTCACGCCATTCTTCCGCCTCAGCCTCCCAAGTAGCTGGGACTACAGGCGCCCGCCACTACGCCCGGCTAATTTTTTGTATTTTTAGTAGAGACGGGGTTTCACCGTTTTAGCCGGGATGGTCTCGATCTCCTGACCTCGTGATCCGCCCGCCTCGGCCTCCCAAAGTGCTGGGATTACAGGCGTGAGCCACCGCGCCCGGCCCAAATCCATGTTTTTATGGGCCTGTAAGTTACTCATATGAACTAAGTACGGCTTATTATTTGAATACTATTATTTTATATTCAATAATAACTTAAACAGGTCGAAAGTAATTTTTTAACCATCAATAAAAAGTGAATTTGCTAAGGAAATTACAGTGTCATTGTAAAAGTTTCATTGCCTCAGTGGAAACTTGAGGTAATTCAGATGGCTGAAGAAAAGTTAACAGCCTTATGTATCATCTAAATATAATTTCTTCATCTCATAGATGATTTCCATCTCCTCTTTTAACTCCTTCACCCACTCTTTTCCAGAGTCCTGGGTGACATCTTTGCACAACGAAGGAACATCAGTCCTAACTGTCTTTAGCACTTAGGTGCATGGCTGGGCCCTCATGAGGACACCATGCTCACTTTTCTGTTATTACTCCAGGAATATTTTTCAGTTGCCTTCCATTTATGCACCCACCTCATACCGTCTGTGGGAATTCCCCAGGGTCAGTTTGCTTATACTCCTCTTCCTGTAAATCTTGCCATGTTTTTGATCCTACTTCTTTATTAGCAGCCTCCTCCACTAGAATGTAGGCTTCATGGCATGTGTTCAGCCTTTCTCTGTATGAGGGGCTCTTGATGGACTGCACAGCCAACCTTGTAGTCACTAGGCAGAAATACTTTCTATGAAATGGTATTGATGAGTATTGGGTGTATTGGGTAGATTTTGACCTGGTGGGAAAATAGATTTGGGCTGAAAGTCAAAAGTGCTCACTTTACCACTACTTTTTTTTTTTTTTTTTTTTGAGAGGGAGTCTCACTCTGTTACCCAGGCTAGAGTGCAGCGGCACGATCTCGGCTCACTGCAACCTCTGCCTCCCAGGTTCAAGGGATTCTTGTGCCTCAGCCTCCTGAATAGCTGGGATTACAGGCGCCTGCCACCATACCCAGCTAATTTTTTTTCTTTTAGTAGAGACAGGGTTTCACCATGTTGGCCCAGGCTGGTCTCGAGCTCCTGGCCTGAAGTGATCGGCCCATCTTAGCCTCCCAAGTAGCTGGGACTGTAGGCACATGCCAGTATGCCCGGCTAATTTTTGTGTGTTTTGTAGAGCCACTCTACCACTAATTAATATGTGTTTGTGAGTTTTTTGGTCCTTCTCATTTGGCATCTGAAAAATGGGGAAGAATATTACTTGTCTTATTTTAAACGGATTTTTGAGGATCCACTTACATGATAGATATGAAAGCACCTTAAAGTTTAAAAGTACATATACAAAGTGAGTGGCATTATGTGCTATTGTCACCCCCAGTCATTCTCGACCACTTTCCCCTGTTCTATAGTTGTCAAAACACTTACTGCCACCTGAAATTGTCATATTTCTTTATTAATTATCATCCTTCTCCACTAGAATGTAAGCTTCATGGGGCAAGCATCTTGTCTTTCTTATTTACCATTGTAACTTCATACCTTGAAGAGTATCTAGCATAAAGTACATGCATAGTAATGTATCGAAAGAATGAATGAAATTTAGTGTTTCATCAAGTCTTAGATGCTGATGCATTTCTTAAAAACAAATACGTTTGGTTTTGGAAATTCCTACTTTTGATATAATAAATAAACACAAGCTTTTTTTCCTAGGAATGTTGACACCACTTTTTAAAGTAGCCAGACATTCTTAATTTGCCAGCAATCAGATTTCAGCTTGTTGAAGTAAGGAGACAAGCTGGGTTTTTCATTTTCTGTCTTGGTAGATGTACATATCCCCTTGTCCTCTGAAATGTGTTTACTTTTGTGACAAAGGGGACAGAGCTTCTTTAGAAACATTTGCTCTGAGGCTCAGATAGGACTGGATGTCAGTTTAATGGACATTGGTTTTTGCCTACTGCGGTATTTGTGTTCATTTGTTTTGTTTTTGTTTTTGAGATGAGGTCTCGCGCTTGTCACCCAGGGGTCTCCTGCTGCCACTGTATGATCGAGTGTAGTGGTGTGATCATGGCTCGCTGCAACCTCGACCTTCCTGGGCTCAGGTGATCCTCCCACCTCAGCCTCCCAAGTAGCTGGGACTACAGGCACATGCCACCATGTCCATCTAATTTGTGTATGTTTTATAGAGCCAGGGTTTTGCCATGTTGTGTGTTCATTTGCTTAAGTCCTTCATACAACAGTCATGCATTAAGCACCACTCCATGTTGGAAGTCAGGCATTCAGACAGACGTGAAGATACACAATCCCTGCCTTCACAGTGCTTGGAACAGGCAGATGTGTCAGCTGATGAGCTTGGATTTAATGATAGGATTTAAGCCATAATGAAGCTTGCAGTTGTGTTAACTGATGGAAGTGTTAACATGGGAAGAAGGGCTTCCTGGCACTGAATGGTGAGGGCATGGCCCCTCACTCTGGCAAAGGGATTTATTTGAGGGATACTTGAGCTCTGTTTCGTGCAGTTATAGTACCTTTCTGCTTTCCTACATACAATACTGAAGGAAAGGGGGTATGATTTCCAGCTCTGAGCTAATTTGGGGATGTCTGTGAATATCTCTAATGGGCTACCCTGGATCTAACCTTGAAATGTGACACTCGAGAAACACCTATGACAGAAGGACCCTCACCAGCCGTATTCATCAGCAACAGCCGAGGGCCCTTGAAGTTTTCTCAGTCTTTAGTGTATATTTGCAGAGATGGATGGGCAGAAGGTCTTTCACAACTTGCCTCATGAATCTTAGTTCATCTGCTTGAAGCTGTATTTTTGAACTTCATTGTAATGTACAGGGTGTAAAGAAATATTTCATGTAAGTCATATGTCCAGTGGCATCCTCAGTTGAATACATGCTCCAGCAGCGGTATCAATACAGTGGCCATTCTTCTGTCACCAGACCTCACAAAACAAAACAACAAGGAAACACAGAGAATTTGCTTTTATTTAGTCTGCAGATTGCTTTTTTAAAAAACATAATTTTATACGTGTAGAAGCTTGTGTGCATTGAGTCTCCTTTTTTTTATAATTTGACAAATCATTGCTATGATAATGTCCACTAAATCATTCCTAGTTTTCTAAATCACTATAGTCATAATTCATATACATAGATGTACTTTATTCTTTGCATGCTTGTTTCTTTGGCAGGTCACCATTATTGCAGATGATAACTGCAGATTTTTATGCTGGTCAAGAGAAAGATTAACATACTTTCTGGAATCAGAACCTTTCTTGTATGAAATCTTTAGGTATCTTATTGGAAAAGACATCACAAATAAGCTCTACTCATTGAATGATCCCACCTTAAATGATAAAGTAAGTGTTCTCTGAGTTTATTTTGTTAAATAAATATGTATATGAGGTATATTTCACTTTATGAAATATGTTTTCCTGAATTTTTAGTAACTAGCCATATGTTAAATGTACTGGGGATACTTGTAATCTTGAGAGGAGAAAGTATTTTGTAATGATTAGATTTGCTGTTACTTAGTAAGGAGTCTACAATTGTCAGGGACTAGCATTTATGGTGATAAGGCACCCTCTTCATCAAGAGCATTTTAAGGAAGATGGTAAAGGAGTAAGAGGGGGTGGAGGATGGAGTAAGTTAGGGAGGACAGGGCAGCTGGAGGTTTGCAGACAGAGAAAGGCTGACAGACCCCAGCGATCAGGAAGTTGGCCTTTGAACCCTGCTGTCTTCCAGTCTTGCATATCTTCAGGTCAGGCGAGAAAGTGAAAGGAGAGGTGTAGAGCTGCATAGATCTTCAGCAATTTGCAATTTGATCTTAATTTTCCCGTATCTTTTTAGAAAGAAATTAAAATGATTACAAGAGAGAATTTTTAAAAACGTCGTTTCTGTGATAAGTACTGTTACCCAGTGACAATTGAGTATATGTGCCCTTTCAAAATCATCTTATCTGGACTGTTTATCAAATTAAGCTGGTGCTTATTTCAGTTAATTATTTAGCTTATTATAAATAGGCTACTAAGTATATTTGATTTTGTATAATATATTTATAGTAATAGCTAATAATAAAAATCATAGCTTATGTTTATTGGCCACCTAATATGTATCAGGTATTCTTTTTTTTAAATGCACTAACGTATTTCTAGGAAAAGTACATGCTGCTTAAATGGAATGTATGATTCAACTCCCATAATTCTCAGAAAGCTTAAAACTTTGCTTTGTAGAAAGCCAAAAAGCTGGAACATCAGCTCAGCCTCTGCACACAGATCTCCATGTTGGAAATGAGGAACAGTATAGCCAGCTCCAGTGACAGTGACGACGGCTTGCACCAGTTTCTTCGGGGTACCTCCAGCATGTCCTCTCTTCGTAAGTTATCCCAAAACTGATACTACTCCAGAGTTCTGATGGGTATCTCTGGACATAGACAAATGACAACTTTGATTAGAAAAATAACTTTGCAGGTAACTATTTGAAAGGCAACCTAAAGGTAACAATAAAAACAATCAAATTTTGTTTAGCATTTCCCCCATATTGCATATGAGCTAAAAGCCAACTTTAGAACTATTATTTCTGTTTCAGAAATTGAAATTGTTCACTGGTTTTGCCATATACTTTGCTTAAATAGTGGCTCACTGGCTGGGCATGGTGGCTTACGCCTGTAATCCCAGCACTTTGGGAGGCTGAGGCGGGCAGATCAGCACTTTGGGAGGCTGAGGCGGGCGGATCACGAGGTCAGGAGATCAAGACCATCCTGACTAATACGGTGAAACCCCGTCTCTACTAAAAATACAAAAAAAATTAGCCGGGCTTGGTGGCAGGCGCCTGTAGTCCTGGCTACTCGGGAGGCTGAGGCAGGAGAATGGCGTGAACCTGGGAGGCGGAGCTTGCAGTGAGTTGAGATCACGCCACTGCACTCCAGCCTGGGCGACAGAGCGAGACTCCGTCTCAAAAATAAAAAATAGTGGCTCACCAGAATACTCTAAGAGTCCACATGGTTTGATTTTTTTGCTTTGGTTTTGTTTGTTTTTGTTGCCATTTGGCTTTGTTACTTTCATGACTTTAGTTAGAGTGAAAGCCTAGACCCAGAAATGTTTTACTAAATGGTAGACAAATAAATGCTGGGTGTTCTGCTGCTGGCTGGTTATCTCAGTATGAGTGCCGTGAGTTAAAAAGTGACTGAGAAATGGATTATTCCCAAAGATGAAGGAGATCACTCAACACCCTTGTGAGCTACCTCATTCACACGCCTGCCAAGAGGCACATTTTCCGGTATTCTTCCATAGTTTAGATTGTTTCAAAACATTTTAAGTAACACAAATAACCCAGATGTTGAAAATTAGTAAGTAAAATGAGAAAAACTAAATTAAGAATTAAATACTTTAAGAATTATTCTAAGAATGATGGTATAAAAACTTTGAACAAATTCATATGAAATAGCAAAAAGGCAGACATTCTTCCATTGCATGAATTAAAAACTATTCATATTTCCAATTGTATTTTAAACCAAATTAACTTTTAAAAAATGCAAACACATTCAACAATTCTTTATGTAAATGATTTGTAACTTTGTATGCCTTTAGATAAATTATATTAGGGATTTTAAGTATTGCATAGTCAGGAGAGGCTGGAATTTACAAGGCCATATAATTGGTGTGTAGGAAAGAAAAAACTTTACTTCTTCCTTTTTAGGGTTGTTTTTTGGCTGGACCTGAGAATTAAATTGACATAAGATAGATTAACAAGAGAAAAGGATACAAATTTAATACAAGTTGTATGAGTTTGTGTTAAAAGCTCATACAGGTTTTACATGGCACAGAAGCTTTTGTAAGGAAATGAAGACCTAAAGAAGCAATTAAACAGTTTATAGTGAATTGGACAAAGAATAGTAAGTTATGAAAAGGCAACTAAATTGTGTTGGAAGACTTAAAGACGAGTTATTTTAATAAAGGCTTGTACAGAATTCTCTCTGCCTCGACATCTTGTCCTTGATGATAAGCATGTTGTTTTCCTTTTAATATTTTGGGAGATCACCTTTCATACAAGAATTTAATCTCCTGTTTTTTTTTGTTTGTTTTTGTTTTGTTTTTGTTTTTTTTGTGTGTGTGTGTGGCGGGGGGGATGGGAGTTGGTCTCACTTTGTCACCCAGACTGGAGTACATTGGTACAATTACAGATCACTGCAGCCTTAAACTCCTGGGCTCAAGAGAACCTTGTCTCTATAAAAAAAAAAAAAATGCCAGGCATCGTGGTGCAGGCCTGTAGTTCTAGCTACTCAATAGGCTGAGGCAGGAGGATCCCACCCGCCTCGGGTGCTGGGATTTCAGGCGTGAGCCACTGCACCTGGCCTGCATAGTAACTTTTTGAAGGTATTAACTAAAGCTCACATGAAGGTCGGGTGCTGCACTTCCCTACTCTTGGGGCTCAGCCAAAGGACTAGCTGCCATCTGGGTCACTGCCATTGTAACTGCAGAAGGAAGACAGTCGTGGCAGATTCACAAGATGGCTGGCTGTTAAAGCTCCTGCTCTAAAGGAGCAAGTACCACTTCCATGCATGTTCCCTGGGCCACAGAAGTCACTTGCCAGAACCAACATCAATGGATAGATCATTTAACCCTTCTGCAGGGACTGCTCAGGAAGGGCCTAGTGAGAAACAGCAGGTGGAAAGCTGGACTGTAACACAGTCTACTACAGCGGGTGTTAGGTCATTTTATAGATGAGGAAATTGGGAATATGAGATGCTTATTCACTTGCCCCTCTTCCATGGGGGCTGGTTCTGTGATACAAACCTAGGGATCCTATCTGATTCCAGAGCTCATGCTTGGCCAGGCACAGTGCCTCACACCTGTAATCTCAGCACTTTGGGAGGTTGAAGCTGGAGGATCGCTTGAGCCCAGGAGTTCAAGACCAGCCTGGGCAACATAATGAGACCCCATCTCTACAAAAAATTAAAAAAATTATCCAGGCATGGTGATACATGCCTGTGGTCCCATCTACTTGGGAGGCTGAGGTGAGAGGATTGCTTGAGCCGGGGAAGTCAAGGTTGCAGTGAGCCATGATAGAGCCACTGCACGGAAGCCTGGGTGATAGAGTGAGACCTGTATCAAAAAAAAAAGAAAAGAAAAACAAAAGCTCATGCTTGTAGACCAGATTACCTCTGTGTTTTTTTAAATGCAAGTAACAGTTGACTAGTGTTTTTCCATATACAGGTCACCTTCACATCTGTTCTTGCATTTGAACCGACAGCTATGTGAGCTAGGCACAGGAGCTGTTATTATTTGCCTCTTTGCAGATGAGTCCACCTAGAGTTGGTGAGAAGGTAGTGACTTGCCCCAAGCCACTTTTTCTCAACTCCCACCTACTTTTCTGGGGAAACCTGTCATCTCCTGATTCCTTCCTTGTGATCAAGTAGTGCTGCAGATAGGTTTTCATAGATTGGTTAATGTAATCCATTTCAATTAAAATTTTTGCCTTATTCTTATCACTGGATTACTAGGGTTCTACTTAGGAATGTGTGAAATTATCCAATGATAATCTCCAGTGTCATTTAGCTTTTAGTTAGATTACTTCAGAATTACAAGCAGTGTCACTCCATACCAAATTAAATATACCTTATGTATTTCCTTAAACCTTTTTACATTGTTCCACCTATTCATTAACCCAAATCTAGGTCGATTTAAACATTAACATGCATACGAATATTTATAATTATTTTTCGAATCACGATCTGAACAGCATGTGCACATCGCATTCAGCCACTACACCTCAGGGCTCCCTTTCCATCTCTCTCTGTCTCTCTGTCTCTGTGTGTGTGTTTCTGCATATGTTTTTGTTTTGGTTTTTTGGTTTGTCCTGTAGAACAACAGATTCTTAAATGTGCATATGAATCACCTGGAGATCTTATTAAAGATCCTGATGTAGCAGGCTGGGGTGGGGGTCTGGGAGTCCACAGGTCTAACCAGTGCCCAGGTGATACCAGTGTGGCTGGTCTGTGAACTACACTTTGAGTAGGAAAGCTGTAGAATTTCCCACCTTCTGGAATTTTGCTGAGTTCATCCCCATGGTGGTGATTATGGTGTTCTTGTCTTTCTCATCTGCCGGTAGTTGGGTGTAGAAGTTTGCATAAATTCTGGTAAAGGCACTACTTTAAAGATCTCAATCAGTAATGCGACAAATATACTTCATAACTTTACACAGCAAATGTTCAGTGAAACAGAAATACGGACAGAAAAAGGTGGAGGGAAACTAAGTGACCTGTTTTAATGGAATTGCTGCTGCTCCCATTTCTCATGTTGTACTCTGCTTTTATACATGCCACACAATGCTAAATCCACAGCAAGGTCTCTACTCCTTTCCACATAGATTCTGTATTCCCACTCCAAATTGTGGGAAGAAAGTGAAGTCATGAGACAGCCTGAGAAAAAGTCATTCTCTCTGTTTATTCAGTAGTTCATAATTCAGTTCATTTAACTCTTTCACTTTCCCATTGCTTCATTTACTGGGTTTCATGTTTGCAAACATGGAATATAGCGAGATAGGAAGAGAAGAAGGGACAAGATGTGTGAGAGGTGTGAGAACGCTTTAGTGCCAGTGTATGTAGGAAAGCTTTCTTCTCTTGGCTCCTGGACCAAGGTGTTGCTCGTCAGGGCACCTTGTTGTCATCTTTGTGCATCTTCTCTCCTTCTTAGCTCCCTTCATGTATAAAACATATGCATTCACACAGATGGATTGTATTGGCAATTCCATCACTAGTAAGTGCTGCCCAGCTCAGGCATTGCTATGGTAACAGGAAGACATATGTTTCCTTGAATGTTACAGAACTGTATTTTAGTTAATTGGGGTTAAATAACCTATCATTTGGATTTTTTTTTAAAATCACAAGACAATGTAGGCAATGCAATCAGTTGGAACTCATCTTTGAAAAAGCTTGTTAGTTTAAACCGTGTCTTTTTTCATGAAATAATAATTATGTTGTTTTTAAAAATGCTGTGAGATCTTTAGAGAGATGTTTCTTATTAAGATCTTTGTAAGTATTTTGTTTGTTATTAGTGTCAAGACAGTACTACACTGGCCAGGTACACTGGCTTACACCTATAATCCCAGCACTTTGGGAGGCCAAGGCAGGAGGATCTCTTGACCCCAGGAGTTCAAGACGAGCCTGGGCAACATAGCGAGACCCCCTCTCTACAAAAAATTTGTTTTAATTATCTGGAGGTGATGGCATGCGCCTGTGGTCCCAGCTACTTGGGAGGCTGAGCTAAGAGGACCACTTTAGCCTGGGAGATCTAGGCTGCAGTGAGCCATGGTCTTGCCACTGCACTCCAGCCTGGGTGAAAGCGTGAGACCCTGTCTAAAAGAAAAAAAAATGCTGTTGTGGACAGCCTACTAATGTCATATGACCTAGTTTTACAAATATTTAGTTAGCTTGCAGTCTGAAAAGACTACCAGTATGTCTGAGAGAAACTAATGAGTTTCTCTTGGTTCTCTTCTATATTTATTTACCTGGAAAGACGCAAAAAGCCATTATAGCATTCTTAGTTTCGAGGCTGGTTTCATGAAATAATCTGTTCAGCTCAATTTGTGTTTCATTCCCGTTGTGAGCAACCATAGACTTACAAACAATAAGCTTTACATGAATTGTACAGAGAGGTAGAAAGATGTGTGATTAGGCAGCAGGTTTCTGGGAGATGAGTCTGAACAATTCTCAGACCTACCAAGATGGCTAGAGAAAGCAATACCCTCATTTTATAGATGAGTAAAGTGTAGTTTAGGGAGATCAATGTGAGCATAAACTTGTTTGGGATATTCAGCTACTGCTGTAGCAGCTGACACATCCTGACCACTTTCAGCCAGGTTCTCATTTAATCCTCACAACCACCCTACGAGGTGGGTGTTTCATTTTCCATTTTTAGGCTTAGGAATATGACCATGTCTCCCCCAGCCAGTAGAGGCTGTGCTCTCTCATGCCAGTACCCTGCTCCTCGCCCCAGGAGGGGGCCTCTGTCCTCACACAGCATTTTCTTACCTGTAAAATCTTACCTGAAGGTATTTTATACAGTTGTACATTTTTAGTCTGTTAGTCAAAATTGTTTAAATTATCAAGTTAATATACATAGATATCACATGGTTAAAAAACCTTACAGTGAAAAAAAAAGAACTGACCCCCCTCCAAGCTAATTTTAGTCCTGCTCCCAAGGAACAGTCACTTTGAAACAGTTGTTAACCACAGTGCCAAATGATGTGCCGTTATTTATTGCTTTATACACTTAATCTTTTTTTTTTTTTTTTTTTGAGAAAGGGTCTCACTCTGTCATCCAGGCTAGAGTGCAGTGGCATGATCACAGCTCGCCGCATCTTCCGCCTCCCAGGCTCAAGATGTCCTCCCGCCTCCCAGGCTCAAGATGTCCTCCCGCCTCAGCCTTCTGAGTAGCTGGGACTATAGGTGTGTGCCACCATGGCTGGCTAATTTTTGTATTTTTTGTAGAGACCACGTCTTGCTATATTGTCCAGGCTGGTCTCAAATTCCTGGGCTCAAGTGATCTGTCCGTCTTGGCCTCCCAAAGTACTGGGATTATAGGCAAGTGACTACCTTCTCACCAACTCTAGGGGGACTTAGTAACCTTTATCTACTGACCTACGTAGATAGCTCACTTCTAACTTCCCCTCCACTTTCTGCTCAATATGATGAAGTCACTAGTTTTTGTTCTTTTATTGTTTAACTTTGTAACATTAAACAATACACCTAAATCTCCATTTCTTTTTCTTGCTGCACTAATTTTAAAGGTGAGGACATTAAGGGCTGGGCCCAGTGGCTCACTCCTATAGTCCCCGCACTTTGGGAGGCCAAGGCGGGCAAATCACTTAAGCCCAAGAGTTCAAGACCAGCCCAGCCAGCATGACAAAACTCTGTCTCTACAAAAAATACAAAAAATAGCAGGGCATGATGGCCTGCCTGTGCCTGTAATCCCAGTTACTCAAGAGGCTGAGGACACCTGAGCCCGAGGAGGTTGAGGTTGCAGTGAGTCAAGATCACGACACTGCATTCCAGCCTGGGCACAGAGTGAGACCCTGCTCAAAAAAAATAAATGTTTTAAAAGGTGAGGACATTAGCATCCCTACTTTCTTATTCTTCCCCTTCTACCTTCAAACTGTTGTGGGTCTCTTACTTTGAAACGGTCAAGTTATATGTTCTCTTTTATAACTGCAATTAGCCTTTGTCTATGAATTGTTTCACAAAGTCTAAGACAAATAAACAATGTTGAGATTATTGTGCTTTACGTAGAACCAAGTAGTGGGCAGTGCTTACATTTATTTCTGTTTCCAATGTCATGACTCTTGTTCTGTTCAAAGGAGACTGTTCTAAAAATCAAGTTCAAGTGGATTCTTCTTTCATATACAACATGAAAATCATGCCACGGTTTACTTTATGCCTTGACTCTCTTTTTTCCCCTAAAGTTGTTTCATTGCCTTGCTGTTGTGGGACACATCTTATTCACCATATCCCTGGGATCTTCAGGCTTCTTCCTCATTCTGTCTTTTAGGTGAAACCCATTTCATTTTTTCTTCAAGTCTCTGAGTGGTTGTCCTCTATTTGAACCCTGCCTTTTCATACTGCTTATTGTTTCTACGGGCATTTCTAGTTGCCTTCCTTTTTCCTTATCGTTGTCTTTTCTGTCCTTATATCCTTTCTCCCAGTTCTGTGTCCCATTTTTCCCAGAGACTTTCCTTACAGAGCCTGCCGTCCTCCAGCCTCATCCTGGATGGATTATTCTCTGAGCTGTTGCATGGCTGCCAGCCTGAATCCTGCCCTCACTCTTCTCCTGGGTTCATTCACCTTCTCCTCTACCCTGTATCTTCTTCTTTGTGAGCAGGAAGAGGCTGCGGGACTTTTGCTCCTCCTTGGCTGCTCACACCACACCTTGCGCGCTGTACAGCTCACGGCCCTGATGGTCCATCCGAGTAGTTAGGGACTGCTCTGAGAACGTGCTCTTGGGGCAGAGTAGACCTCATCACAGGAACCACTAAGCTACTTCAACCTCCGCATTTGCCCTAATTTTGTACGCTTTGCCTGAGTTCCTCAGTGCTGGTGCTGAGTGTATTAAAGGAAACATTCGGTGCACAAGCCAAAGCTACTCTTTAGTATTATTGTTCAGAAAGCTTCAATTCAAACTCAGTTTCCTCAATTAAAAAAAATCTTAGGATATAATAAGCAAAGACAGGAAAAGAATTCTTTCCAGGAAAAAAAAAGCCATTAAATCCTTCCACATTCCCATTCTTCAAAAATTGTACAATCTAATTAAATTTTAAACTCCTGTAGGTTTTTAATTACTTGCTAAAGCAGTTGGCCAGATGGTTAAACATAATAAAAATAATAACATTTTGAAAGAAATGGAGAAAACGTCATTAAAGTTAACAGGGGAGAAAAGAAAATCTTAGCACCTTATATTAGCTTACAGAAATGTTGCTCCTTTTTAAAAAGTGTATTTCTTAAGCAAGGATAAAAGTCACCTGACAGATTTCACATCGTGGTACTCCACTTATTTGAAGCTCAGATTTGAGGTAGTTTGTTCATCCTCTGGAACAGGCATGACCTTCACTCTGGATTTAAGAAAAACAAATATGTCTGTTTACTTTTACTTCCTAGGAGAGGCCTTCAGGCTCTCCTGTAATTAGAAGCACACTGAAATAGAAATAAGCTTAATAGGGACAGAATCTTACCTCATTTTTTCTTACCCTGTATGCCAGAGATTTGACTGATTGTCATGTAAGAGCTCCCTGGTTCATGTATGAAAAGGCCTCCTCTCATTATGTTAAGTGAAATAAACCAGGCACAGAAAGACAAACTTAACATGTTCTCACATATTTGTAGAAGTTAAAAACTAAAAGAACTGAACTCAAGGACAGAGAGAGTGGAAGGATGGTTATCAGAGGCTGGAAAGGGTAATGGGGGTGGGGGGAGGTAGAGGGGAAGTGGAGATGGTTAATGGATACAAAAAATAGGTAGAAAGAATGAATAAGACCTAGTATTTGCTAGCACAACAGGATGACTATAGTAAAAAATAATATACATTTTTAAAATAACTAAAAGAGTAAGTTGGATTGTTTGTAACACAAAGGATAAATGCTTGAGGTGATGGATAGCCTATTTACCCTGATATAATCATTTCACGTTGCATTCCTGTATCAAAGTATCTCATGTAACTCATAAATATATACATCCACTATGTACCCACAAATATTTTATACTAAAAAAAAGGTTTTTAAGGCCTTCTGTGGTTCTTTAACTCAAGACTCTGGAAGACAGAGAAGGATCTGCAGGGCAGCCCAAGCCCGCCCTCCATGGAGGTCAATGTTTTGTTTGCCCTTGCAGCCAGTGACCCTCAGGGACATGCAGTGGGTCTTAACAATGGGCTCCCCTCCTCCCTAACCAGCACCCAGCCCTGGCTGCCATCTGAACAGTTCTGCCCAGGAGAGACTCTGCTGGCCGTATCTGAATCCCCTTGTGGGAGCCCACGGTGTGGTCACCCCCTGCCATCTGGCAGGAGCAAAGGTGTCCACTGTTTCGCTCAGGACTCTCGCTGCTGTCCCAGTCTTCCGCATGTGCTCAGGGTCCTTGACTTGGAGTTTTTCTTTCTCACCCTCAGCACGGCAGCCTGGTGCTACAGTTCTCTTTCCCACCTGAACATACTGCGAGTGTGGCAGACACCCCAGAGCACAATTGTGCTCCACTGGCTGCACCTTCTCGATGCCTTGGTCCTTATGGAAGTCCTTTGTGCAGAGGACTTTTTTGCCACTTGGTGTAATATGAAACATCCCTCCAGCAACAGTAACTCTTGACGTAACTGTTTAACAGTTTCACACCTGTTAAGTCTGGGTTTCAGTTCAGTATGATACTGTTTATATACTTTTATAATAAAATGTATTAACTGGTAGGTGGAAGGTGATTATAGCTAACAGAAAAAAAATTACTACAGAAGTCTTTTCCTGATCACAATAAATACAACAGGATGGAGTTAACCACTCTGCCTCCCAACTGTAAAAATAGTTTTAATAGAAAACTAAGAATCAATTTTCTGGGAAATTTATGGATATGAAATTATTTGCCCCTCTACAATTGGCAATAAATGAAAAGTAAAGCATTCTACAGAGATCATGAACCTTACAGTAACCTCCTTGAAGAACAAAAGTGATTTGAAAAATCACTTAACTAAAGATAAGCTCTATTTCTTCCTCTCTCCTCTCATGTTCTCACATCTCTGGAAGATAGTTGGGCCTCTGGGCAAATTTCTGATATCTATCAGTACGTAAAATTAATGAAAAACCAGGCAAACCTGTAGAAGTTATTTATTAATGTTCAACTTGTGAAATGCAAGAGCATTCCCTTGAAATATAATATTCCCTCTTTTTCTTGTTCTTACTACAAATTGGTTTTGGATGTATTAGGGGTTCAAAGAAATAATTTCCAGCTATATAGGGATGGACTCTGAATCTTTCCATTGAACCAGTAAGTCTCCTGATGAGGCCAGAGAGCCCCATGTCTAGGGGCCAGGTGAGCCCCTCACTCCTCAAAGCTGGGCTTTCTGGTGGCCATGACAGTTGCAGATTCCGAGGCAGGGCAGGTGATCCTTTTGTCTTCCTGGATGTGAATGTTATACTTGGCCCTCAATGGTACAGAAGGCCAGGCTAACTGGGGCTGGTACAAAGAGTGGACACTCTCCGTGATTCTAATTCCAAGCGAGGGGTTGGCAGCCAGCTGGCACCAGGTAGTCCCTGGAAGTGACAGGTTGGGCTGTGCTCCTGTCTGCCAGTGTGTCTACCAAGGTGGAAAAAGAGCAACAAGGCAATGTTGTTATAAGGACAGGGAGTTGGGGGGGGATTGCAGATTCTCAGCCACAAAGCTTGAAATGAAAGTGAATCAAGAACTTTTGCAGAAAAATTCCATCTTTCCAGGCCCTTAGGACTCCCTGGTTTATCCTCCTAGGATGTGTTCTAAGTGGTTCACACCCTGGTAAGAAATAAGCTCATTCATGGCAGCCACCCCTCTCTGTTTTCTTTCACGGATGTCTTTGTTTTAGCTTCTGAATATACAGTAGAAATAATAGTACAGATGTGGTGAGGGTGAATTGCTCTGAAAAGTGCTTTGAGTTTCTGAGAAATAAAATAAGACAGCATGAAAGACTGGGTGTGATTCCTTTTTATTTCCCCAACATTTAACCCATTGTCCTAGCACCTTGTGGTCACTCCCTGATTCCTTTTACTGATTGGATGAAAACATTGTAGCAGGTGATGGTGCTATTAAGCCTATTGATATTCCTTTGAGAGAACGGTGTTCTTGTCCATGCCCTAAGCAGTGTCGA
This sequence comes from Homo sapiens, assembly GCF_000001405.40. Lineage (NCBI taxonomy): Eukaryota > Metazoa > Chordata > Mammalia > Primates > Hominidae > Homo > Homo sapiens. The sequence continues at coordinate 105,104,697 of NC_000006.12, read as the reverse complement.
ATCAATTCTACAAAAGTGATTTCCTTCAGGGGACATGCTACAAAGTAGAGTGATGACAGTCCCTTTTCCTAATGAGGTTTACTGGACCCTGAGGCCTGCCTGCGCTTGAGGAATGCTGGTGGTGCCCCACTGGGAGACCCGCCAGAAATTAAAGGTGATGTCCATGTCTTTTTCCCTCATCCTCAGGATCCTTTCTGAGGTTCCCTATGTGGCCTTTCAGAGGAGGGATTTTTTCATCACTGTGTACTTAAGGACATTATCAAGGTCCTGACTATGTGTGGAGTAATTCTGTGAGGCTGCAGGAGGAAAGAGGCCTTGGTTACAGCACTCAAGATGCCTGTTTTCTAATAAGGAAGAGATGCAAATGCTATAACCACAATGTTACACAGAATGTGGAAGGGCTGAAGTTATTGAGATGAAGAGGGTAGAATCTTCCCACAGGAGTCATGGAGGGTTACACATGAAGGAGGTGGAGTTTGAATCCTGCTTGAGGAAACAATGGGAATTTGGTGGTTAGAGATGGGAGTGGAGGAACCATTCCAAGTAGAGGGAAAAAAGGCAAGAGGAAAAGAGGAGGATGGGCTGGATTTGAAGAGCAGTGAGTTTGCAAGAGCTTGGACTGGAAGAGGGAGGGAGACCCAACTTGGAGAACCCTGGATGTCACCCTAAGGATTGTGAATCACTCTCATTATCCTTTTAATGTTATATAGTAAGTTCCATAGCTCTTCTTCTGCCCCAGCAAATATGGTGGGAGCAGAATAAATTCTTTCACAGAAAAGCTGAAAGCTCTTGGGAAGTTCTCACTTAACCATTTCCATTTGTGTTGAGTCCTCCCTTCATTTTCTCTCAGTGAAAAAAAATGCAAAGTATAGGTGAGAGAGTTGGGAGGGTCAGATACCATTGTGGCTCCAGAGTATAGATACCTGCCTCAATATAACTGTAGGATGTCCTTCCTGGTATGATAGATGAGCTTAAAAACTAGAAACCAGTTAGTCCTACTTCCTCAGACAGAATAAACTGGGTATGTTTCTGTTAAGCGTGTTACACAATTATGTCTATATACTATATATTATTGACTTGATTTAATGCTCTTAGACATGCCATCTTATTGTTTGTTCTGAGAGTTTTGTCTCATTGTAGATACTCAGCCTAAGTTAATATTTATGAGACCCAATGATAACTTAAGGCTAAAAATATGATGGAAACCAGGGCTTTTTTTTTTTTTTTTAAAGACAATTTTGCCACACTCAAGAGAGCTAAGATTGAGAAACACAAACCCACATTTGAGCACAAGGCCCATTTCCTTTATTGGCCATTCTTATGAGCAATGATGAATTTTAACAAATTTTCTCATTATTAAGTCCATAGCCTTCCAAAGACCATAGTAATTGATTTTTATGTTCTTACAAATATTTACAAAGTGGTTATTACATCCCAGGCACTGATCTAATAACTTTACAAATATCAAGTTGTTTTATCCTTATAACAACCATATGAAATAGGTGCTGTTCTTATTATTCCTATTTTACAGGTAAGGAAATTAAGGCACAAAGAAGTAACTTGTCCAAGGTCGCACAGATAGAATTCATTGCCATTTGAATAGACATTGAAGTAGAGGTTGTGTTTCGTGTGTTTGATGTCACCTGCATGGGAAAGGGGAAGAACTCGCCTGAGAACTTCCCATGCTGTGCCCTGTGCAGAATTGGGTTCTTGGACCATTTTATTAGATGCTTCTTTTCTACAGTTTATGTCAATAGTTGTCATTCAAGAGACTCAGTATTTTTGCTGTAAATGTCTGTAAGTGAACAATTTCCGTATATATACAGCGAGTATACATTAGCTGTACCACAGTCTAGCCCTGCATATTTTTTTATGTTAGAGGATGTGACTGGTGGTAGCATTTCCCCAGATGTACGGCAGTGACTGTACAGTTAATAAGAAATGACATTTAGTCACATGTTCTATAGGCCCAACACCCTGCTAAGTACATCCTATGCATTATTCTGTTTAATCCTCCTAACAATCCCATGGAGCAGATCCTAAGAATATCCCCTTTTTATAGATATGGAAACAGAGGCCTAGAAAGGTATAGTAATTGAGTGCAGGTTGCAGAGTAGGGATTTGAACTCTGGAACTGTTTGCTGAGCCTCTGGTCTTGACCACTCTGCATGCTCCCTCCCCCTGTGCCATACCAGGGGCCAGGAATGACCACTCGTTCATGGCTGAGTGCCAGGGCAAAGCCTTTGCCGCTGTCTCAGCCTCCCTCCAGGAGCAGCCGTGTGACATGCTCATAGCCCTTGGCCCTCCTTGCTGGTTGTGGCATTCTCCCTGTGCTGGCCAACCCAGCTGTCTGCTCCTGACTCCTGCCAGTGAATGACAGCTGATCTTGACAAACTTCTGTGGTCATCTTGTAGCAGATCTGCTTCATGTCTTAATAGATCCTCCACTCGCTTTTGCTGTGAGCATGTATTTAAAGAGCCAGGTTTCACCCGGTATCCCTCCACCATCAACCTTCTCCCCAGCTGAGTTCAGCATTTGTGGGCTGCCGGAATGCCACTCCACCCTGTGATTGGGTAGCGAAGATATGGGTGTGGGCAGAGCAGGTGGAAACCCGGACAACATGGATCCTGACAGTGATGGTGGTGACTGTAAGGAGGGGAGTTTATGCAGTCACGTTAGCTGCTCATTAGGCACCTTGAGAGGCCTTTTGATAATGACTTCTACTCTTACTTTTAGATAGTATTTTCTTCTACATCAAGCATGGTATCCATTATATGGTAGATGCTTGATAACCATTTGGTGAATGCATGAACCAGTGAGTGACTGAATGAATGAATTGCTGCCTGGTTCCTTTGATTAAATGGCATCCTAAAAGGCCCTGGGGTTGCCTTTTCTCCTGCTGCTGCCTGGGATTGCGTTTCCTCTACTTGGCTTGTCCCTCCTGAATGCCTGGCCTTTCTTCCTCTTCCCCTGTCTCCTTTGCGTGTAAGCCCAGTGGGTGGCTGGACTCCATGGTGGAGGCAAGAAATGTTTTAGGTGATATTACAGATGGTGATTAGGTTCCATAATTTTGGAATAGAAGTATTCTTTGGGGAAATTAGGAGTTAAATCAACTTTCAAGGGCTAATATGAGACTCAAGCCCCCATGTATGATATTAATGTAGGAACATGCGTTCTGAGTCCTAAGCAGACTGTGGGGCAAACCCCTGGGAACTGAATATATTTGAGAAGCTCAGATCATCCAAGCACATGCGGTGGAATCTGTCCCTCATCTGTGCTCCTGACTGAGAGTCTCTTCTTGACTTGGTTATTTTATTGAGATGCTGGATTGAAATAGAATGGTTTATGGAAATTGTGTTCTTGGTGCTGCTAGTGATAGATTCCTACAGTTTTATTTTCCAGTTGGAATTTATAATTGATATATCACACCAGGGTCTGGGTAGATTGTGCATTCAGTGGTTTTCCCTCCTGTATCTTTCCACAGATGTGTCATCCCCACACCAGCGAGCCTCTGCCAAGATGAAACCGATAGAAGAAGGAGCAGAAGATGATGATGACGTTTTTGAACCGGCATCTCCAAATACATTGAAAGTCCATCAGCTGCCTTGATCAGAGAGAGAATTCAGGTTACCAAGACGGAAGGTGTCTTGAAGAGATCCTGAAAAATACCAGCACTTTTTCATGGCTTTTAGGTTATTCTGCTTTAGTGCATCCAGACTGGTGGAGTCGGAGGGAGGAAGTGAGGAAGGGTCAAGGATGGAAGAGTTCTTTCACTTACCCTTTTTATTAGTCAGCTTTTAAAGTAATTGTTTTACTGAGCCTTCTGACTATGCCTTGTTCTCTTTTGAGATATATATTTTCACAGTCTTTTCTAGATATATTATTGTTTTAACTTAACAAATCTTAGCAATCTCTCAATGCCTTTTCACTTATTTTTTTCCAAGTTATGATTCTTTTTCCTCACAGTCTTTTTTGTTCCATAGCAATGAGGTTGTCCATTTGATAATTTTAACAAACAATGTAAGTTTAAAATTGAGGCTAAGGTAACATGAAAAAGCAGGGAATCTCAAACTTTATTCCATATATACACACACACACACACACACACACACACACATACATACATACATATATATATATATATACATATATATACATACACACATACATATAATTTTTTTTTTTTTTGAGATGGAGTTTCACTCTGTCGCCCAGGCTGGAGTGTAGTGGCACATTCTCAGCTCACTGCAAACTCCACCTCCTGGATTCACGCCACTCTCCTGCCTCAGCCTCCCGAGTAGCTGGGACTACAGGCACCTGCCACCGCGCCCAGCTAATTTTTTTGTATTTTTAGTAGAGATGGGGTTTCACTGTGTTAGCCAGGATGGTCTCGATCTCCTGACCTCGTGATCCGCCCACCTTGGCCTCCCAGAGTGCTGGGATTACAGGCGTGAGCCACCGCGCCCGGCCTATTCCATATTTTTTTAATGGGACATTTTAGAGAAAGGTGTGATTTGACTGGTTTTATTTTTCTCCCAGGCCAGAAGTATTACTCCACTAGATCACCTTACTTAATTGGGCACTGTGTGGATAACTTGATAATGAACAAAACTCTCAGATTTTACTCACATTACCCTTGTATTATGCCATTTATAAACTGCTCTGAAACCTGAAGCTGGAAAGATAACAGATGGGTTTCTGAGCACGGGGTTAACCTCCAGCTAAACTCAACTTCCTTGGGATTTGGAGTCACCATGTTGTGCACACTCTGGTGTGGGAAACACTTTATGTAGGGTGGGAGGACAGGGGAGTTAAATGGCTGGGCAGGTGCCACAGGATGAGGCCACTGAAAGATCTGCTTCATTCTTTGATCTGTATTCTGAAGTTCCAGATTGTTCATCTAGAGGCAGAGACATCTCTTTTAAAAAAGTGCCAGATGCCCCAGTGCCAGAGCTGCGAACGTGAACACAGTGGAAGGCAGAGGGTTTACTACAGGCCAGGCCATGGACACCCCACCCAGGTACTGCAGTGAGGGCCTTGATTCCAGAGCTCTTTTTCCTACTGAAATCATGGTTTAGTAAACAGTGGCATTTGGCTGGTGGGAAATGCGTAACTGGTCAGTGTGTCTGGCCAGCGTGGCTGTGGCACTTGGCCAGGACGCTCCGTTGAATGAAGCTCATTGATTGGCCATGCTGGTCATGTCTATTTTGCTTCATCCACTAGAACCAACTTTGAGTCAGTCTCCTGTTACGTTAAATGGCTAAGAAAAGTTCCAAATGAAGTTGTTCTCAGGTGAACTGAGCCAAAAGAAGCAACTCTTACCATGAGGTGATTTCTGTTAGAGGAGACATATAAATAAGCTCATCTAGGGTCACCTCATTTTCCTAAATATGTTTTTAAAGCAATTATTGTAGTAATTTCATTTGAGTTAAATTTACATGCTCGGTCACTCATTGAGAAAATTTACACAGACTCTGAATCCAGTTCCTGTCATCTTCAGATGTTGGTTTATTGACATCACAGTAAAAAGGCTACTGTCGACTGGACACAGTGGCTCACACATGTAATCACAGCACTTTGGGGGGCCAAGGTGGGTGGATTGCTTAAGCCCAGGAGTTCAAGACCAGCCTGGGCAACATGGCTAAACCCCATCTCTACAAAAAAAATTAGCTGGGTGTGGTGGTACATACCTGTAGTCCCAGCTACTCAGAAGGCTGAGGTGGGAGGTTCACTTGAACCTGGGAGGTTGAGGTTGCAGTGAGCACAGATCACACCACTGCACTCCAGCCTGGGCAACAGAGTGAGACCCTATTTCAAAAAAAGGCTGCTTTCACTGTACTGCTGCAGCAGTCTCTTCAGGTAGCTAAATTAGGAGCTTGTTTTGGAGAAATGAAGCAAAGGTGAATGACAGCCTAGGCTTGAAATTATAAAGCTCTCTCAGGTTGAACTCTCTCGTGCGCTCTCGCTCTCACTTTCGCCCTGTACCTGAGAGCACAGGTGTAACTGTGATGTCATAGTGCCGAGACTACTTTCCTTTAACCATTGGGGTTAAGTTGGGCAGCCCATTTAGTTTACACGCGCATAAGACTAATTTACAAAATCACTCTATACAGTCATTAGATGTAACATCCTTCCCTGAGTAGAAAGTAATGCATGTGTTTGGAGATTATTTTCTGTAATGCTGGGAACAAACCTGTTTTAAAAGCACACTGCTAAAAGTAGGTGATATAAGACCATTTGCTGTTTTTATTAAAGTATGTGTGTGTATCAGTGTCTCAATGTGAAGATTGTAACCTCAAGATTAGGAATCTTAAAAGAGCCACTTAGCCTGAATGGGAAACGTGAGACTATTTTTAAACACACACCTCTAAGGAAGAAGCCTCCCATATAGACTTGATCTCAAAGAAGCAGATAAGAAGACAGAAAAGTGTTTTAAGTGTAAGATCTCCTATGGAGTACTTTAAATTCATTTATACAAATGAATAAGTGTATCTTTGTATAATGCATAAATACATAGATAAAAACATGTTTGCTGCCAAAGTTCCCAATAAGATGCTTCCTGTGTTTTTTGGCCTTTACTTAGCTGAATGATCAAAGTTCAGAAAATGGTCTGCAAAAGTTACTCCATATACAACCCCAAATCTACTACTTTAAATGTAACATCAACTCAGTTGTATGAATCTGGAGTGTAATATTTATATTAGAATGTATATGTCATTTAAAATATTTTGAAAGCCCTCATAAATATTTATATTTACTAAACTAATAGCATAGACACTATATAAATCCGCAGTGATGCTTATATATCTTAAATTAGTAATAATGGGTGCTATATAATTATTTTCAGTTACTATCCCTGACACTCTGGAATCTTCTCCATTTCTCCCTATCACTCAATTTCATTTTAATCATTGGACACCTTTGCGTTTTGCTGCTAACAGTGTGTGTATGTCACCCTCTTTATATCTGGTTTTCCCACTTGTCTGAAGCTCTCCTGATCTTAGAACCTGGAGCTGCAGATTCCTCCATGTCAGCTCCCATCACGGCCCCAAAGACAGAGTCACTTGGTTGCTGAGTCACTTGGTTGCTGGAAAAATCTTTGGGGAAAGCTGGTATAAGCTACACACTGACCTGTCCCCAGTGTTTCCAGGTAATGACTTGGCACTCCAGAGAAAGTTTCATGCTGTTGCGTGTGGTGGCTCCAAGCCAAGCACCTGGCATGCAGGTCAGCCCTTCCCAGCGGGCGTGGCGTCGTCCTCTTCACAGATGCCACGTTGCAGCCCCAAGGCCTCACCATTTTGCGTTTTTTAGAAACCCATTTTCTTGGTCATTTATAAAGCTGCTTTATAGATATCTTTGATCCTGGCATGCCTTGGTTTCCTCTCCCTTCCCTCTTTCCAATCCTGGTTTCCTAACCTCCTCTTGTAGTAATTCTCAACTCAACTCAAAGTCCCAAGAATTTGGAATGGTAGGATGCTGTGCGGGGAGCTCGAGGCTGAGGCATAATCACTGCTTCGGTTCTGCTCATCAGGGGACACGCTCCCTTACTCATGGCAGCCATGTTTGATTGTCACAGAGCCCCCCGAATACTCTGTCTATAGTGACACACTGTAGGTGTCATAAATTTTAAGAAACCTGCTTTTAAGTACTATTTATAGGTTTTTCTGTTATACTTGCAACCTAGTTTTAAAATACATGAGGATTTTATGAAAGCTTTATACAGACATTTATAGGAAACTCATTCTTTGATTTTAGGTGCCATTTAAATTGATAACACTTACTTTATAAAAAGATGCTTTTTGTCTGGATAGAGCCTTATAGTTTAAAATATCTTCATATATTGCCATTTGATCAAATAAATTTCTTACTTAGAAAATGTGTGTATTTTTTATTTCATTCCTCTTACATATATCTAGCTTGTTCGAATGTCATGCCCAAAGGCCAAGGTTGTGGGGATGGGCCTGGTGCAGGCCATTGTATTCTGAGCAGACCAGCAGGGGCGGTGCTTGTGGGTCGGTCATACCTGACTTCAAAGGTCCTGCCATCTTGGCTGCTTTGACTGTGAAAAAAAAAAATGGCCAGAAGGCAGTGTAGACAGTGTTGACTAGATGCAGCAATGGAGAAGCCTTCAGAGTTTTATTGATGGGACTTAGTGGGCTTCAGCTTTTTTTCTATTGCATCTGAACATTCACTCCCTTCTAGTTTCCTAAGATTCAACAATATGAGGAGTCACATGAAGGAGTCAGAAAACCTCCCTGGATCTGTTCTGTGGTGGATGAGGGGGACAGTCTTTCTATTCTTTGAGAAACCCACGTTTTCTCCCATCAGCTGTCCTAGATATTGGAATGGAAACTTGACAGCCCATCTTTTGGCCTTGAGTGGCAAGTCCTTGGCATCTAACACACCCACCCTAGTCAGCCTCAATGATAGGCCCAAATGGAAGGAGCATCTTATACCATGAGAGGAATTAATTCTGTCACTCAACAGGCCATGGCATCTAGGCCTGATGTCTGGGTTTCCAGCCCTGAACTTCGTGCTGAGCCAGCTTTTGGTCAGCTTCCCCTTACCTAAGGCTGTGCTGTAAGAGCTGGGAGTTTCCAGTGATGTCCACTTGGGGGTTTTCTGTAGACAGACATGGCTACAGCCCACCAGAAGATAAAGCTGACAGGACTTGGCTATTTGTGGGAGCAGAACTGGTGGTGAGTGAGAGGAGCATGTCGGAGATTTCTGGCTTATGTTACTGCTGGTGATTCTCTGGCCAGGAACATCGCAGAGCGCCAGGTTTGAATGCAAAGCCTGAGTATGTTTTCTTCATGCTAAGTTCTAGGGGCCTTGAGAATAATGAAAAGATGTCAAGCAAGCAATTGGATAAGTCAGCCTGGAACTCAGTGAAGGGATCTGGGCTGAAGATACAGATTTCCAAGTTGGAGACGTCACTGTGAGTTCACCAGCTTCCTAATACATAAAGATTTTTCTAGTTAAGGTTTTTTCTTTTCCTCATCCCTCGCCCCCCCATGAATGAATGAATAATAATAAATGAGTGAATTTTTGATCTTTTATTTCGAAATGTGTTAACATTTGAAAGATCCGCATAAGTGAGCCAGTATTTTTTAAATGGTCAACACATGATGTTGTAAAGTCACACACATGGATATAAGATCTATTCCAAGCACAAGCTAGACCAGTGCAGCAGCACAAAACTGCCATTAACAGGGTTTTGGACTCCACACTGCAAACAACCTTTAAGAAAGATTGTTCCTTTTCCACTCCCACTGCTTCACTTGACTAACCTTAAAAAAAAGAAAAACGAAACTATTATAGAGTTTTCTGTAGTATCAAGAATAGCCACAGTTGGCCCAGCATGGTGGCTCACACCTGTAATCCCAACACTTTGGGGAGCCTAAGGTGGGTGGATCACTTAAGGCCAGGAATTCAAGACCAGGCAGGGCAACATGACAAAACCCCACCTCTACTAAAAGTACAAAAATTAGCCAGGTGTGGTGGCATGCGCCTGTAATCCCAGCTACTCAAGAGAATCTGTGGAACTCAGGAGACGGAAGCTGCAGTGAGCAGAGATCATGCCACTGCACTCCAGCCTGGGTGACAGAGCAAGACTCTGTCTCAAAAAAAAAAAAAAAAAATCCACAATTATCTCAAGATTATTAAAGTACTTAACTCTGTACTCCTCCCTTTTCCAAAATTTGTGTGAGGCTAGATTTTCTTCATATACTTCAACCAAAACGATATATGTTACAATCTACTGAATGCAGAGCAGATGTGAAAATCCAGCTCTTGTATTTAGCCACACCTCTAGAATTGCAAAAGCATAAAACAATGCCACTCTACACTTTTTTGTTTTATAAAATAGTAATTTTATAAATTTTATAAATAGAAAAACGTTCTTCATGTTAACATGTAATAAGTTATTATTTTTAAGCAGAATGATGAATTTCATCATTCTCTAAGTGCCTCTGTTTCTAGCCCCTGTGGCTCTCCCCTGGTTCCTGCAATAGAACCCCACCTTGTTTCTCCACCTCTGGCCTCACTTTTTCCAGTCGACCTTTGTGCTGCTATCAGAATAATCTGAAAATTTGCCAACAGAATTGAAAACCTTCTGATGGAGCTTCCTTTCCTGCAGAGAAAAGGCCGCACTCTCTGCACGGCCACCAAGGCCCTTCCCATACCCAGTCACCCGCACCCAGCCAAGACAGTGACTTCTCCATCCCCTGAACTCATCACACGTGAGCCCACCTCTGCCCAAAATGCCCGCACTTCTCCATCCAGCGGTACCCCCAGGGTAAACTCCCACACCTCTGTGGATCTGCTCTTCCCTCCTTTGCTGCCCTCTGTGGCCAAGAATTTATGCACACAATATGGCTGGTTGTATGGCAGCCAAGGCAGGGACGTTTGCTTAGGTCTCAATGTCTCTTCAGATCATCGTTGAATCTAGCAATGCTCTTTCACTTATCTATTTGAACCGTCAACAGTACTGTCAATGTGGGAGGGCAGGCCCTGTGTCCCCTTTTTAGAAGGGAGAGAAGGTGGGTACAGAGACGGTAAGTGACTGACCCAAGGTCACATTGTCGGCAGGTCCCAAACACATGTGGTCTGTTCACTTTCCTAGTTCTGCCTTACAACCCTGGTTAATTTTTTTTTTTTTTTTAGAGACAGGTTCTTGCTCTGTTGCCCAGGCTGGAGTGCAGTGGCACGATCACAGCTCATTGCAGCTTTGAACTTCTGGATTCAAGTGATCCTCCCAGATCAGCTTCTCCAATAGCTGGGACCACAAGGGTGCACCACCATGCCTGGCTAATTTTTTTTTTTTTTTTGGTAGAGATGGGATCTCACTATGCTTCTCAGGCTGTGTCTTCAACTCTGAGAAACCGACTTATTTTCTACTTATTCTACTCCTACTCTATGCTTAGGCCTTGTTCTCATTCCAGTTTTGGGCCATGTTCACAGTTCCCATGTCATCTATAGCAGCGTCCTCTTGGTTGCTCTACCACTGGGTCTTGGATTTTGTTTTGTGTTTTTTGTATTTTGTTTGTTTGTTTTTGAGACAGGCTCTTGCTCTGTTTTCCAGGCTGGAGTGCAGTGGTGCGATCTCAGCTTACTGTAGCCTCGACCTGCCAGGGTCCAGTGATCCTCCCACCTCGGCCTCCCGAGAAGCTGGGACTACAGGCGTGTGCCACTATGCCCCGCTAATTTTTGTATTTTTTGTTGAGATGGAGGTCTCACCATGTTCCCAGGCTGGTCTTGAACTCCTGAACTCAAGCGATCTGCCTGCCTTGGCCTCCCAAAGTGCTAGGATTATAAGTGTGAGCCACTGTGCCCAGCTGGATCCTGGATATTAAACACTACGTTAATATTTTCTTGCTATTCGCCAAGGACAAATATATCCCACTGACTTCCACGTTCTCCCAGCCTTCTTCTTCATCCTGTCATGAGAAAATTTACCTCTTTCCCACTTTTAGTTATGTCTTTCTGATTTTCTTCGTCTATTCGCTCGTCCCAGCTGCCTGTTAAATGCCATGGTGCTTATCATTGCTGGGCCAGTGCACAGGGCCTGCTCCCAGGAGGACAACTTGATTCAGGATTTTACCCTCTGACTCCTTGATTGGCAGGCCAACAGAACCAAAAGTGGTTTGAACTGAGCTAAATTATGTCACATCTGAGTCAATGGAGGTCCCACGACTGTAAAACAGCTCTTATAAAAGGGACCTTGGACAGGGAGGTGATGGTAGCCATTTAATTCTTGATATTTATCTGCAAATAATGAAAGCGTACTGAGCTGTTCACAACTGTTGGTGACTACATTATAATTATTCCATTTGTGTAGAGACTGGCTGAGGCAAGACCGCAGAAGGATCTCAGACAGGGAACAAACCTCAGGTTCAACCTCCCAGCAGGCCAGCTACACTGTGCAGAAAACAGAACTACAATTCACTCATCTGCTATGACATTACTTCTCTTAAAATTGTTTCTGTAGGCCGGGTGTGGTGGCTCACGCCTGTAATCTCAAGGAGGTGGCTTTGGGAGGCTGAGGCAGGGAGATCCCTTGAGCCCAGGAGTTCAAGACCAGCCTGGCCAACATGGCGAAATCCTGTCTCTACAAAAAAAATACAAAAATGAGCCAGGCGTGGTAGTGCATGCCTCTAATCTCAGCTACTTGGGAGGTTGGGGTGAGAGGATTACTTGAGCCTGGGAGGCGGAGCTTGCAGTGAGTCGAGATCATGCCACTGCACTCCAGTGCACTCTGGGCAACGGAGTGAGACCCCATCTCAAAAAAAAAAAAAAAAATCGCTTCTGTCGTCCTGGAGACCTAATTTTTTTCAACGTGCTTCCCACTACTTTTGTTGTTCTCACCTGATCTCTTCTAACTTTTCTTATTAGTGCTGATATGTTTTGTTAGTAAGAACAATTAGGTGTAATGGGAGATAGTGAGAACAGCATGTATTGAGTGCCTATTATTTACCAGAGGCTGCATTTAAAATACATGATTTAGTATTTTCACAACAATTCTGCAAGGTAGTTATTATGATCACCACTTTGCAGAGGAGGAAACTGAAGCTCAAATAGATTGAGTTTACCAAGACAATTCAAGTCACAAAGCCGGGACTTCCTCCTGGACCCCTCAGACTGAGGCCTGCCTGTCTGCAGCCCTCTTTCTCTCCCGTGCCCCTGGAGGTTGAGTGTGAGGCCACCAGTGTATCTGGTTCCCAGCTCCTTTCCTTAGGTTATCAAGGAGTTTTCATGCTAAAATAGAAAAAGGTAAGACTTTCTATTCTTTGTACATGTATTTATATAGAGGGGCATTTTCTTAGGAAAAAAAATTAAAATCTGACATTGGCCTTTAAAATGATTACCAATTCCTGTGAAAAAATGGGGTCCTAGTATATTTTGTCCCAAACTGATTTCTTATCTACATTGTTTACCTCCACTTGCCTCATAGATGGAAGCAGCTGAAAAGCACAGGCCTGAAAAAGGAGGCAGAGTCCTGTCCTGGACGTGGCTTGGAGGTGGGACAGAAGCGGTTCTGAGTGCCGGCTCTGACAGTGTGATCTTAGGCAAATTGTGAAGCCTGCAGAGCCACTGTGTCCTCACATGTACACTCGAACCTTTCCTAACACATAGCTTGCACCCAGTACATGTTTGTCCTCCTCTTTCCCTTTTTCCTTTGTCAAGTCGAATCCTTAAGCCTTCTGGAATCTTGGCAGCCACAGTCCTTGTAAAGAGCCTTGTAAAGGTCAGTGCCAGGACCCACAGGACGGACAGGGCAGGGGATTATTACCAAGGCTCCTTCTGCTTACAGCAGAAATGGCTGGAGGCATGGGCGGCCCACACTCTCAGCTGCAATCGCTCTGGACCTGTTTGCCTGGGGCAGAGAGAAGAGCCAATTCCAACTTAGACAAGTGGCTCCAGAAAGCACTGGGCAGAGAGGAGGCTGCAGAGACCTCTCTGAGGCAGCCAGTGGATGGAAAGCACTGGTGTAACAGTGAAACAAGAAAAGAACTAACACAACTAACTCCATTTGTTTAAAGGGCCTGTACCCATTCCTGCACGTAGCCTAGGATAATTTTAGAGAACTAAGATAAAACACAAAAACAGCAATCCTGTAGCTTTTGAAACCAGCTCTGGGAATAAAGGGGAAGTATATATATTTTAAAAAGCAAATCAACTATTTTGTTAAAGGTTTACAGGAGCATTGTGACCTGACCAAGGACAAGGAAGTTCTGAACCTCCTCAGACCCTTGCTAGCACTCAGACGTCTGTGATTATTGGTCACCTCTTGATCCAAAAAAGTTATGCTGAGGATAACTTTCTTTTTATTTTGAGACAGAGCCTCCCTCTGTTGTCCAGGCTGGAGTGCCGTGGCGCTATCACAGCTCACTGCAGCCTTGATCTCCTGGCTTCAAGCGATCCTACCACCTCAGCCTCCCAAGAAGCTGGGTATACAGGCACGCACCACCACGCCTGGCTAATTTTTGTATTTTTTGTAGAGATGAGGTTTTGCCATGTTGCCGGGGCAGGATGCTGCTGCTGCTGTTAAGGACCACATTTTGAGGTCCTCTTGACCACTTTGAGGTCTGATTGTTTGAGTCCACCCCCTGCCCCCATTGGGCAGATGAAAAACACAGCCAGGAAAATTGAACCCAAGAAAAACTAGAACCCACGTATTCTTGTTCACAGTCCAGTTAAAAGCAACTTGTATTTATTGGCTCCTGGCCAGTAGTTTTCAGACTTTTTATAAAACGGTCACTCAGGGAACCAGTTAAAAGTCTAGCTCCAAGAGCCCACCCTCACAGATACTGACACAATGCACCTGCCGGGACAGTGGGTTTAGCCTGGGCTGCACGTTGGGATTAAAGATTCTGATGCCATTCATCTGGGCATTGGGAGTCTTAAAAGCTCCCAGGTGATTCATATGGATAGGAAGGTTGAGAAACTCTGGTCTGGGGTGAGGTCCAGGAGCTTCCCTTGCACAAACATGCCAGGTGATTGGGTGGAACTCCTGGCAGGTCCAGGCTTCGCAGGCTAGTGCATTCATAGCCTTGCTTCCCACTGTAAGAAACACGGCCAGGCGCAGTGGCTCACGCCTGTAATCCCAACACTTTGGGAGGCCGCAGCAGGTGGATCACTTGAGTCAGGAGTTCCAGACCAGCCTGGCCAACATGGTGAAACTCCGTCTCTACTAAAAATACAAAAATTAGCCAGGCATGGTGCGCACCTATAATCCCAGCTACTCAGGAGGCCGAGGCAGGAGAATCACTTGAACCTGGGAGGTAGAGGTTGCAGCAGTGAGCTGAGATTGCACCATTGCACTCCAGCCTGGGCAACAAAACCAAAACTCTGTCAAAAAAAAAAAAAAGAAGAGGCCGGGTGCGGTGGCTCACTCCTGTAATCCCAGCACTTTGGGAGGCCAAGGTGGGCGGATCACGAAGTCAGGAGATTGAGACCATCCTGGGCAACATGGTGAAACCCCATCTCTACTAAAAATACAAAAATTAGCCGGGCATGGCGGCATGTACCTGTAATCCCAGCTACTTGGGAGGCTGAGGCAGGAGAATCGCTTGAACCCGGAAGGCGGAGGTTGCAGTGAGCCGAGATTGTGCCACTGCACTCCAGCCTGTGCAGCAGAGTAAGACTCTGTCTCAAAACAAAAAACAAACAAGACCAGAGAAACACAGTGGAGCAGGATGAGAGTGAGAGTGGGTTTGGAGAATGACTAGTAGAAATGGGTGGCATGGATGGAAACATTCAGACAGAAGCAAATGTGGGCAATCACATTGGTGTGTGATTTTGATCCTTTCAACTCTCCTACTCACTTCCTTGTCTTCTTGGCACTTCCTAAAGAGTCAGAAGGAAGCTTACTGCCTGGTTCTGGTGACTGGAAGAAGAGAATGATTCAAATCAGAATTCTGAGGTGTCTTTCCTAGCTAGCTCCAAGCCAGGTTATAGCCCAAGTAGTTAATGTAATCTCCCTGAACCCATCTGTAATATAGGAATATTGATATCTGCCATCTTAATCTTAGGAGGGTTTTGTGAGAATTAAATTTTAAAGCACCATGTCACCGATAAAGCACTATAAAAGTAAAAGCTATTATTACATTAATCAGTGATACATAAATGGAAGCTGAAGGTAAAAGATGTATTTCTTCATTAAATTATACCTGAAAACTCTTTTCAGAACTTGTATCTAGAGACACACATTTAAATCAAATACTTAGAATACCTGGGTGTGATATCAGCATTTTGACAAGATATTGTTTCTTCTCAAATAATGGAAGTATGGGCAGCCCTATTAAGATGTCTGAGTGAGAAGAGGAACATCAAAGTTTTCAGTAATAAAACCCCAATGAAGAAGTCTTGCATTTCTTTTTTTTTTTTTTTTTTTTTTTTTTTTTTTTTAGTGACAGTCTCACTGTGTCTCCCGGGCTGGAGTGCAGTGGTGTGATCAAAGGCACTACAGCATCGAACTCCTGGTCTCAAGCAATCCTCCTGCCTCAGCCTTCCAAGCAGCTGGAATTACTGACACAAGCCATCATGCCCAGCTAAGGTTTTGTAGAATCAGGCTGTATTCGTCCGTTTTCATGCTGTTGATAAAGACATACCTGAGACTGGACAATTTTACACAAGAAAGAGGTTTAGTGGATTCACAGTTCCACATGGTTGGGGAGGCCTCACAATCATGGTGGAAGATGAAAGGCATGTCTCCCATGGTGGCAGACAAGAGAAGGGAGCTCGTGCATGGAAACTCCCCTTTATGAAATGATCAGATTTCGTGAGAATTATTCACTATCATGAGAACAGCATGGGAAAGACCCAACCCCATGATTCAGTTATCTCCCACGGGGTCCCTCTCACAACACCTGGGAATTGTAAGAGCTACAATTCAAGATGAGATTTGGGTGGGGAAACAGCCAAACCACATCACAGGGTCTCACTATGTTAATCAGGCTGGTCTTGAACTCCTGGCCTCAAGAGATCCCTCTGGGTTGGCCTCCAAAACACTGGGATTAGAGGTGTGAGCCACCATGCTTGGGAGAAGTTTTATATTTCTTATAGCTTGAAAGGTGGGGGAGAAACATATGGGGTAATAATGCAGTATGATTATTTAATGTAATTGAATGTTTACAGTCCTGTGGTTTCTTATTACAAGAAGACTTTTAGAAATACTTTTTTCTAGACAAGTTACAAATACCTGATTATCTCTTCAGTATTGTGAGCTCTGTGTTGACAGCCCCTGTCTTCTGCATAAGAGCTCAAAAGGCATTACTTATAATTACACATTTTTTCAGTCAGAAATTTTCCTAGGTAAGTTTATCAATCATGTGGATATTCAGGTACTCAAAAGAGTATTATAGCTATGAGGGGATGTAAAAGAAAATCTGTTTCAGAGAGCAAGTGAAGAGTGCCCTCTGGTGGTGTCAAGCAACAACTGAACTGTATCATGTTCAATCTTTATTCAGAATTACTGAATTCCAGTTCTTCTACATTCTTAAAAGTCGGACTTTCACCTTAACCATAAGGAATTTTTACACTTCTAAAGGCCCACTGCACAGTGGAGTACATTATGACATACTTTTTAGATTGTGTTATTTAGGACATCTTTTACATAAGCCTTGAAGATAATTTTAGTAAGGACAGTGTTCCATTAAGAAATAATGTCTTACTAAAAAGAAACACTGCAGGTTGTCAATATGGTCCCTTTAAATGGGATCTCTTTTTAAATTATGTTTTAGTTTTTGTGGGTACATAGTAGGCGTATATATTTACAGGGTACATGAGATATTTTGGTACAGGCATGCAATGCGTAATAATCACATCATGGAAAATTGAGTATCCATCTAAATGGGATCTCTTGTATAATCTGACATTGACCCACAGTCTTTTATTACTTATTTTTGTTGTTGTTGTTTACTGATTCCATTCTAAAGGAACTCGTGGACTCTCCTCCAGCAGATTTTGGGAATAACCATCTAGGATGGTCAGGTATGATCCTAGATGGAGACAGACTATTGAACCAGATGCCAGTCCAGAGTCCCTTCCCACTGTTTGGTTTTATGTTACATTTTCCCCGGCAATAAGTTTCCCCATTAATGCTGTGCAGCCTCAACAAACAAAAGCCCACCTAAGGAAGTAGAGCGTGGACCGGGCACATCGTCAGAACACCACAGCAGGAGCTTCTCACACGGCAGCCCCTCCTCTGCATTTTCCAAGATTTTTACTGTGAGGAAATTATGATTGTAATTAGGTTTTTATTAATATAGTTTTAAGTGGATTTTTTGGGTCTGTTTGATTGCTTTTGGGCAGAAGCAGTTTAACAGGGGACTAGAAAAACTACTATCTGAACTAGTTAATGAAAGTTGTGGAGAATTAATTTCATGAAGAAATGAGAGAACTTGAAGAGCCAGTGTGGAGATTGATAACTATAAGGGCTCAATATGTGGCCCGATGATCTCAATGAAAGAGTGATAAATGACCACGCGCAGTGGCTCACATCTCTAATCCTAGCACTTTGGGAGGCTGAGGTGGGTGGACTGCCTGAGCCCAGGAGTTCAAGACCAGCCTGGGTAACATGGCAAAACGCTGTCTCTACTAAAAATACAAAACATTAGCTGGGTGTGGTGGCGCGCACCTAAAATCCCAGCTACTCAGGAGGCTGAGGCACAAGAATCACTTGAACCCGGGAGGCAGAGGTTGCAGTGAGCCGAGATCACACCACTGCACTCCAGCCTGGGTAACAGAGCGAGACTGCGTCAAAAAAAAAAAAAAAAAAAAAAAGAAAGAAAGAAAGAAAGTGATAAATAACACTTGAAATATCTGACATACTGGCAGTGAGGGAGAGGCCACACTTCTAGAAGGTAGAAAAGCAGTATGAAAGGACAGGTCAACAATATGTCTATTTGCACCAAGTCAAACAGAAATGTGGTTTGATTCTCAAGTGTGAAACAGTCTTTCCCTGGACTTTGACTTTGGGCATTGTCCTTACGTTAATAGGTGTGGGTCCAGCCTCTTCTTTCTTCTTGACAAAAGAAAACCAACCATGTGATTTGGGGTGTAAGCAAAACCTCCAAGGTTGGAGTTTGTGTTTTAAAGAACTTTTACAAACTGGAGCAGGCGGATATAGCTACAGATGCTGAGGAGCTCAGAAATTAAGTAGAAATGGAGACCCTTGACCTTCAGAAATAGCCCACATCTTCAAGAAATTTTGAGTAATTTTAGAAACAAAATACACTATAAATACAATAAACTATCCTATATTGTGTTAAGAAACATGCCTGCTATGCAGCCACAGAAACATTTACCATTTTCCAGGCAGTCCAAATTAATTCAGAAAGTGTGTGTGTGTGTGTGTGTGTGTGTGTGTGTGTGTGTGTGTGTGTGTGAGAGAGAGAGAGAGAGAGAGAGAGAGAGAGGATTAGAAAGGGCAACATACTGGTTTCTAAATTGAGGATGACAGAAATTACATTTGAGCAACTGTGAAAGTTTTAAGAATTTTCAATTATTTCTAGAAAGCAAAGCAAACAAGAAACCCCACAGAGTTTTTGAGGAATGTTTTACAAAAATAACAGGCAATCAGGAGCAGAATCGATCACAAAATGGTGGCTATCACACAGCACTGCTTTGATTTAGTAGCCTAGCAAGCAAAAGCTTCATACAAAGGTCCTTACAAAAGGCTTATAGACACAGACAGGGGTAGGAAACATAGTACTCTGTGTACAGAGAAGGACAGCCTGGGATTCTGGCTGGGTCGTCCTGTTATCCTAAATGTGACTTACAGCTATTCTTTATTTGGAAAAAAAAAAAAAAGCAGCATTAATTACATAAGCATATTGGACTATTTAATGATCAAATTATTCTATGTATAAACACTGGCCAGGCGTGGTGGTTCACATCTGTAATCCCAGCACTTTGGGAGGCCAAGGCAGGTGGATCGTCTGAAGTCAGGAGTTCAAGACCAGCCTGGCTAACATGGTGAAACCGTCTCTACTAAAAATACAAAATCAGCCGGATGCAGCGGCACATGCCTACAGTTCCAGCTGGAGAATTGCCTGAACCAGGGAGGTGGAGGTTGCAGTGAGCAGATTGCCCCACTGCTGCACTCCAGCCTGGCAACAGAGTGAGACTACATCTCAAAAAAAAAAAAAAAAAAATCACCCGCATGTGTATGTATCTCTGTGTGTGTGTGTGTGTGTGTGTGTGTGTGTGTGTGTGTGTGTAACCAGAAGAAAATTAATAAAAAAATGCTAATGGTTATTTCTAGGCGATGGGATTATGTATAATTTTTTCTTTTTTTAAGATTTTCAGCCAGGTGTGGTAGCTTGCACCTGCATTCTCAACACTTTGGGAGGCTGAGGTGGGATCCTTGAAGCCAGGAGTTAAAGACCAGCCTGGCTAACATAGTGAAACTCTGTCTCTACAAAAAATTCAAAAATTGGCCGGGCGGGGTGGTTCATACTTGTAATTCCAGCACTTTGGGAGGCCAAGGCAGAAGGATCAATTGAGCCCAGGAGTTCAAGACCAGCCTAGGCCACAAGATAGTAAATTTTTGTTTTGTGATTTTACCACCTCTACAAAAAATGCAAAAACGTAGCCAGGCATGGTGGTGTAGGCCTATAGTCCCAGCTACTTGGGAGGCTGAGCTGGGAGAATCACTTGAGCCTGGGGAGGTTGAGGCTGCAGTGAGCCATGGTTGAGCCGCTGCACTCCAGCTTGGGTGACAAAGCAAGACCCTGTCTCACAAAAAGAAAAAAAAATTCCATATACTAAATATAAATTAATAAAAGCTGTTATTGGTTACTTTCAGATGATGGGATTATGTGTATTTTTCTTTTAAGGTTTAAAGGTTTTCCATATTCTGTAAAGTACAAAAAGCCCTTCAAAGAAAAGTGAATCACACATGGTTGTACAAGAATGTGAATATACTTAATAATCAAAAATGGTTAAGGCTAGACATGGTGGCTTACACTTGTAATGCCAGCCCTTTGGGAGGCTAAGGAGGGAGGACTGCTTGAAGCCAGGAGTTCAAGACCAGCCTGGGCAGCAAAGCAGGACTCCATCTCTACAAAAAAAAAAAAAAAAAATTAGCTGGGCATGGTGCACATCTGTAGTCCAGCTACTCAAGTGGCTGAGGTGGGAGGATCGCTCAAGTCCAGGAATTTGAGCCCACAGTAAGCTACGATTGCACCACTGCACTCCAGCCTGGGCAACAGAATGAGACCTCATCTTTAAAAAAAAATGGTTAAGATAGTAAATTTTATGTTATGTGATTTTACCAGAATTTAAAATAAAATAAAAGTCATAACAGATCATCAAAAAAATAAATCATCCAGGTGAAGAGAGGAAAATAAGTTTGATTGTGGAACTGGCCAATTTAAAGAACTCAATAGTTTTACCAAATCGTTTGTTACAGTACATCAATACTGCATTCATGGTTTGATAAATCTACATTCGTATTTTAGATATTTGGTACTGATAAAATTTGCCCTTTTCAAATTCTTTATTAGAAAAAACTTGTAGAAAAATTCTAAAATGATTTCTTCAATAGGCTTTGAATATTTTGCTTCAGACCACTCTTCTGACTACATGAAGTATGTGTCTTTATTCACAAGCTTGCACAATCCCTGCTGGACAATTCTGAGTGATGGCAGCTCCCACCTTTCCTTCTTCCTTCACTTAGACTACATTTATTCAGCATCTGTATTGTTGGAGTAAGTTCCATGTTAATACTCACCACTGAGGATATGTTAATACCACTTAACTTATGCTCCAACTGATGTAAAACACTGCCTAAATGGCCTTTTATCCTTTCACTTAACTTAGTAAGAACACACATCATAAAAAATCTCCAAAACCCATCATAAATGCCAACGTTATATGTTTTATTTTTAATCAAGTAATTTTTTTAAACCTCAACATATCCATAATTGACAGAATAAGACATTAGGCATGAAATGAGAATATAAAACCCAGAGTGTACAGAAAGGCAAACAGTGCTTCAGTCCCTCCAGATGACTGCATGCGAGTGAAACGCATTCCAAACATCTACCCCTTTTTTGTCTTTTAAAAACATACAGTTCAAGTGTTTTTATTTTCACTTGTAAACAACATGAGTCAAAATGGACAATGAGGTAATCTAAATACTACACAGGATAATTTAAAAACACTAGATAAAACACCATTATTAAAGACATATAAAAATCAGGGTTCACTTTGGTCTCTAGTACGGTTAGTTGTTAATACCAAAAAGCAACACATACTAATTGAAGCCAGCTTGGTGGTAGGTGCCAGTGGTTGATAGATGTGATTCAAGAGGTAGTCAACACCATCATTTTCAAGCTGGTAACTCTCACAAGTGTTAAGCCACAGATGCATTAAATATCATAATACTTCTCACAGTACAGTACTTTACCATAACTTGCAGCTTTGTTCCAAATATAAAATTTAAAAATGAATCATAGGTCAACTTCTCACTCTAACTGAACAATTAAGACACAGATCATACAACCACCACATCTTAAAGAGGCTGTTGACAGCTATGTAAGACAGAGTTTGATGCTTTTAACAAGATGTTCTTCTCTAAAACAAATAAATCTCATTAAGACATCTAGAAAATTAAAGTCAGTGCAGCTGCACTTGTACATACTTTCCCAAATTTTATAACCAAAGGGGAAATACACATATATATTTTATGATAAACATTTCTTAGAGAAAACAGATAAATTAATTTAAATTAACTTTAAGACTTAATGAGATTTCCCATGTCCTGTATAATTCATCTTATAGTGAATGTTACAAAGTCTATTAACACTTATGGGCTCCTATTCACAAACTAAATACAACCAGCAGTAACTTGGGGCCGCACTGGTGCAAAATAAAACTGAGCCAGAATAAAAAAAGTATCGGCAATATTGGAGGTGGACTGATGCTAATAACATGACATTTCTTGATCTTTTTTCTTACATTGCACTCTAAACTTCCAAGTTATAAGCAGGTAAAAATCTTTCTAAATCTTTCAACTGCAAAAATACATCCAAGGCCTTCTAGTGAAGACTAGAAACCCAAGTATAAAAATGTTTTCATTATAGTCTGCCATGTAGCAAAAGATCAGCTTACAGGGCTAAGAGACTGGCAATGCATCTTGTTTAGGAATTACATTTGTGTTGACATGAGGGTGAGGTCAAGAGATAACTTAATTCACAGACCTGCTGCCCCACCATTAGTAATCCCTGCAAAGTGATGCTTCACACAGACCCTTTTCCCTCAATAGCTAGTAATGGCATTGCATGTTCATTCCTTGGCAAGCCAGTGCTAGTTAGTTATGTGCCTGGGGCTATAATGCTGCAATACGCTTGGCTTCAGGGCAGCACAGACAGTAAATGAAGGACATTGGCGTCTTTTAAACTCTTTGCCTAGCATGAATACCTGCATACACCAACCCCTCTCCCTGCTACCCCTTCCAACCTCCACCTCTGGGCAAAGTGGTGCTTCTAAGACTGCTTCCGTGTTCTGTTTTGCTTAAGTTGAACAGTGCCCATAATTCTTTAAACTAAATACATGATTATTTTAAGGAAATGTTTGGAGACTTTGCTAACTAAAACGAGATGCTTCATTATTCACAAGTGTTTGTCAGAAACATGCAGTTGTGAATTGCTATTTATAATACAGATAAAAAGGTTCTGTACCAGAGAATTATCAGCCACCTGTAAGGCTGGAACAGCATACATACAGGTGTGCTATGTATCAACTATGAGGTAGCCTTTTGCTGTAAACAGAGTAATATTTTACCTATGTAAATGAACAATGTGTTCACATCAGTGATATTCACATATGCACAGAGTTGAGGGAATCTGCTTTAGAGGAGTTTTCACATGAAATAAAAATAGGATAACTGATATCTGATATTCAAAAATTTTGATCTGTGTCAAACTCAGAGGTAGTTACTATCATCAGTACATAATACTTATATAAAGGTATAAGTTATTTGGTTTGTTTTGAGTAAGCAGGACTGTAGACTAGTCTGTAAAGAAACAACAAAAATATTACATGGTATGTTCCCTGAGCAAAGTTCTTTGTCCTGAGTATGTTATGTAATAGTGATAATATTCTCATATAAAAAATAAACCCCAACTTTCAACCATAAGATAGGTTTGGTATGTGCTCTTAGTTTAGTCTGGTAAGATGATGAAAAGGATTTCAAATTGCACCCATAAAGACCATAGTTCTCAAGTGTTTCTATTTTTTTTTACCATGATTTTAGCTCTGAATTTCTTTTTGTAAACAGGAAGTGTCCAATTTTGAAGTCCATAATTTCCTATTTCCATAAGGTGAAGGAACTTTGGTTTGAATTTTCAAAGTGACTTATCTATCATGTTTTGCATTTTTACTGTTAACCTGCTTATTATACCTGCTAAAAATTGAGCAACGCTTATCATGTTTTGCATTTTACTGTTAACTTGCTTATTATGCCTGCTAAAAATTAAGCAATGCCACTTTGATTTGTCTACATAATTTAAATAAGTTTGAAATCCTCACATAAGGCAAGGAAGTACTTCTCTACAGCTATATCACATTCAATATCGTCAAAGGTAAGCTTTGCATCACAGCACACCGATATTTCAGTGTATACCACGCAGATTCTCACAATCACTGTTGTGAAATTCAAGCTGAGTTGTAAAGGACTGGCAACCCAACCTGAGGCATTTTCGTCTTATGGTGGTTTGCTGAAACAGCAGCAACTATACACGTCTCCCATGACAGGACAGGCGGGAGAGGAAGTAGAAACTGTTCAGCAGAATATGTCTCATTTGAGTCATGCTATTTTTATTTAATTATCTGAGCTTACACCAACAGGCCCATACATTATAATTATAATGCTTAATCTTATTCCCAATATTAAGCACTATAATTAACTGGTACCTTCTTGCAGATGTTTCAGAAATTTGCCCATAACATCTAGAGCCAGGATGACCCCAAAATAATTTTTTTTTCCATGACCGAAACCTAACAGGACCAATACTATGGCCCCTAGCCAGTTTATCACTCTAACGAGAACCAACCTGAGAAGATTCTCCCTGGCACTGAATGTTCATCCTGTATCCACCATATAGGTTACTTCAGAATAAGCATTGAAGGTCACTTCCATAAGATCAAAGTTACTGTATAAAATACTTCTAGCTCTCTGGTGGGAGAGGTTTGGTACCTCTGCCCCAGGCTTGTCACTCTTGTTAACTGCCACTAAATGCTGCACTTTTTCGTATCATTTGCAGGTCATATATATTGGGCAACTGTGAACATCCACTTAATTTTAATTCTCAACCCCAGTATTTAATTCATTTCTTTGCTGCTTGTTTGTTTTAGAAACAAATTAGATAACTCTCCAGGAGGAATAAAAACCACCACCAAAAATATATGCCAAACAATTGGAGTTCTCTAAGGTCTTCAGTAGTAAATAAGGAGGGCTCCCTGCTCTAAGCAATGGGTAGAAGATTGAGTTAGCCAAGGGAAGCTGCTGTTGCCACACAATCCCTTACAACCCTCACAACATGGAAAAGGTTACAAGAAGCTGATATTAAAATACTACTGAAAACAAGCCACTAAGATGATCCTCCCCTTCATTTCTCTTAATAGGCATCTAATTTTACAATTAAACACAGAATTTAAAACAGTGAAATATCGGCCCAAATTACACATTCATTGTCTTTTCTGGAGTTATGTTATCCCAGAATCAAAAAAGCTTATGGCAGTCAGAGGCATATGAAGTTAAGGTACTGCCTTCAAAAAAGGGGGAAAAAAATTACTACTCCAGAGATTTCAAGAAAAAGAGGCAATCCCAAATTCGGGAGAACTGGATGTCTTAAAAACCTTTAGTACCCCATAATTGGCAGCTCTGAGATCTGAAGTATCCTTTGGTTCACACAAAAGGTAACAGTCGTGTTTTTAGTTTTATATAATATAAAAGAAGTGGTATTTCAAGAAAACTCCAGTGGGTTAAATTTAAAACTATCTATAATGCTTCACATGGGTTTTCAATTCTTGGAAATATCCAATTATATGAGAGAGGGTGTGTGCTTTGATCTATACACAAATATATAAAGACAAAGCCTCTTTATATATGTGTCTACATTCCTATATAAAAATCCTCATGTACACACACAGACTCAGGCTCTCTCCCTCTCACACATGCACATATTGACAGACATAGTATCTTATTCTCTGAATTAACATAAAACATGACACCCTGCTCAAATGTAATTTGCTTAGAGTGATTTGTCTGTTTAAAAAATTCACAGTTCCCCAATAGTAGTTAAAATCCCAGGTCAGCTACTGCTTGTGAAATACTGTTCCCCTATACTTGCATGAGGTAGACTTTGCAACCGGGTAAAGGAAAGAACATATGAAGAAGACCTGTTATGTCTTTTTCCTTTTTTGAACTGAAGGCCCCTTTTTGCTTTGCTCTTCTGGTGCTATAGATGACTTCGTGGAGGAAGCTTCTTGAGGTGACCTGCCTGACCGTTCTGAGATCTCTGCCCTAGCCTCCTGAGGAAACGGTGGTGATGTACAGCCATGCCCGCCTCCCACTTCTCGAGGGAGAGTTGAAGTGCATGGCTGGGATTCTGCTTCCTGTCTTCCCTGAGAACTCGCGGGTGGCTGTGCAACATTTTTATGTGGGCAGTTTGCCACCATGTGCATGATGCTCTGACAGTAATGGCACTTCTTTGGCTGAGGAGGTAGACTACATTCCTTAGCATGATGATCAAGGCCACCACAGTTGTAGCATCTACAAGGAAAAAAGATGAAAACATCTTAGAAGTAGGCAGCATGTATCCAAAAACACATTTTAAAATGTGAAAACACACAAACTACCAATGAGATAAGCTTATTTTAATGTGCCTTCTTAAAAGCATTTATCATTGTTTATACTGGTTACACTGTTGGTTCAAAGACTATCATCACCAAAATGTTCTGGTGAGGTTAAAAACTTAGTTGTGTGAGACACAACTAAACACAGTGAAAAACAAGAGTATTAAAACATGTAAGAATATTTAATCACTTCCATATAGAAAGGATTCCTTTAAATTTGACACTATCTGGTCATTTTAAAAGAACCATTAAGCCCACTAGAGGGCAGCGAATATTCAACAAAAAACAACAAGCCAGTTTTAAAAACAAGAGTGTAGAAATACAGCTGTTGGCATGATACAAAGTGGCAATTCACTCAGAAACTGGCAAAATTTTAGACCAAATTTAAAAGTTTAACACTTCTTTGAATGTTAATTATTTTGACTGTAGAAACCAGCTAAACTGGAAAAATTTTTTTCCTTTGTATAAAATTAAGTAATGCAGTGAAATTTGATATATAAGAAAGTCAGAGTCTAGTCAGAAAGTCAGGATGATATCTGGCAAATTACCAAGTAATTTTAGAGCAATAGAGTAAATGTCTGAATCAGAACAGTGCTAAAAAAAGAAAGCTTCTAAATACTTAGATTGAATTAATAAAGGTTCATGCTAGTTCAATGATGAGAAAAGTTAACTTTCTTTTCTTTTTTGTAAGAAATTAGCTTTCTTTTAGGGTGATCTCTTTTAAGTTAAAATAAATGGAAATCCGTCCATAATATGTGAATGCACACTGGGGACATGGCTTTGTATTAGATGTTTGAAAGTTCAGCTTTTAGCTTGGCAAGGAAAGCTAAGCAAGAAAATTTTTTCAGAGGTATATTTGTTCAATCAGATTTTCTTCTAAAATTTTATATTAAAAGTAACAAAAAAACCATTAGTGGAAGAAACTAAGAAAAATTTATATTTACCAAAGGTGTTAAATCTGATTTTAAATACAGAATTTGTTTAATGACTTGTCTCCAAATGAAATATTTTAAGAGCTTTCTATTTTATTTTCCAAATACATTTATGACTCCATAAATCTCATTTATGAAGCACAAAGAACAACAGGTTATATATATATATTTTTTGAGATGGAATCTCTCTCTGTTGCCCAGGCCAGAGTGCAGTGATCTCGGTTCACTGCAACCTCTGCCTCCCGGATTTGGGCGATTCTCCTGCCTCAGCCTCGGGAGTAGCTAGGATTACAGGCATGTGCCACCATGCCCGGCTAATTTTTGTATTTTTGGTAGAGACAGGGTTTCACCATGTTGGCCAGGCTGGTCTTGAACTCCTGACCTCAAGTGATCCGCCTGCCCCTTCCTCCCAAAGTGCTGGGATTACAGACGTGAGCCACTGCACCCAGCCAGGTTATAATGTTTTTAAAAAATAATAACAAAATGTTTTAACTAGCTGGGTGGCGGTGGCTCACGCTTGTAATCCCAGCACTTTGGGAGACCGAGACAGGCGGATTATGAGGTCAGGAGATCCAGACCATTCTGGCCAACATGGTGAAACTCTGCCTCTACTAAAAATACAAAAATTAGCTGGGCATGATGGCGCGCGCTTGTAGTCCCAAGCTACTCGGGAGGCTGAGGCAGAACTGCTTGAACCTGGGAGGCGGAGGTTGCAGTAAGCCGAGATTGCGCCACTGCACTCCAGCCTGGCGACAGAGTGAGACTCCATCTCCAACAACAACAACAAAAAAAGTGTTAACTGAGAAAATTGGCTTAAGTCCAGACTCACAACAAGAAGTGAATTATGATGACATATTTGTATGTGTGTGAGAACATCAAACTTAATAATTTATTCTACCTTATATTTCATAGACAAACTACTAAGGTACTAACAACCTACTAAGCAGTGTATATAGGATATTTAGTATTTTATCTCCTGGCATAAATTGAACAGTGAATTTTTTAATTGGCAAAAATTAGGGTAACTATTGCCTGCTTCTCCAGTTAGCAATATTACCTTATATACTTTAGAATAATGAATTTATAAGATGGGCTTTTATTCTTTGCAATGATTAACAAGTATTTATCTTAGGACAGACTGAATCATATTTTCAAAAAGAGAAAAAAAAACAAGAAATCACATGTTGTAGTTAAATTATTCATTGTATAATTACATATCTTAATAAAGTATTACAGTGCAGATTCAATATTGTTTCAGCCATATGTTCTAAGAGAGTGTAAGATTAAATAATAAAGTTTACTTGCTAATGCTTAAAATTCAGGTTCTCAAAATAACACTAAAAAATGACATATTTGAAAAATATAACCACATTACTTATAATAATATATTTTCCCACACAGTTCTCCTCTACAATAGATAAGTGAATTCTTAAATTAAAGTTGCCCATCTATAAAATATCTTCTTTTGAATTAAATTCACTTCCTTGAGGATAACTTCCACTCAGGAGCTCATTTTCAAAGAGACAGAAAATAGGTTAAAGGCTTCAGTAATAGGGCTGGCTCTCCTGCAGACACATCAATTTTATCAGTCACCGTGGTATGCACTGTGTTATCCAATTCAGGGAACCATTTTGCCCACTCATTGACCAGGAGCCTGATGTCAGTATTCTACTTTCACAAATGGGATCTTCAATTACCCTCTATCTGTGCATTTACCATTAGATTTGGGCTATAAAAGTTATTTTTAAGGATGCTATATAATTTTGGTTTCCTTACATTTTGATCTGCATAGTTAATTCACCCCCTTGGCTTTCCTGATATGTGCTATCATTAGGCCAGACTTTCTTCCACATTGAAAAGATTTGCATTTAGTGTCTATGTGCTTAGCCTTAAAAGGGGGAGGAGTGGTATTTATATTCTCTTCTATTTAATCATTCAGTGTCAATCACTCTTACTAAGAGTACAGATCACTCTCCATTATGAAACCCCTTCCTTCCCAAGGGACTGACACCAAAATAGAAATGTTCAGCTACCTTGCAGCTCACAAATTATACCACAACTATATACTCCATACAAGCTATACATGATTTTAGTCCCCTTTGTTCACCCTCCACACTGTTCCACATCAGTTTGCCTTTGTAGTTGGAATGAATTTTACATTGTGATGTGAGCATAAAAATATCATGTGTGTCCATTTTTAGCTATATGCTTAAGAAATATAAGGACATAGTCTCACACAAAAGACCATACAAAGAAAACTATACTCATACTTTATTATATATTCCCATAGTCCAACATAAAAAATAAAATTATTCATGCTAAGTACTTTATTAAATGCTGAACCAATGGCACAAAGGATATTTTCTCATGCATTACAAATAAGATAAAATAGGCCAAGTGCAGTGGCTCATGCCTGTAATCCCAGCACTTCTGGGAGGCTGAGGCGGACAGATCACTTGAGGTCAGGAGTTTGAGACCAGCCTGGCCAACATGGCAAAACCCTGTCTCTACTAAAAATACAAAAAATTAGCCAGGTGTGGCGGGGCACACCTGTAGTTCCAGCTACTCAGGAGGCTGGGGCAGGAGAATTGCTTGATCCAGGGAGGCAGAGGCTGCAGTGAGCCAAGATTGATTCACTGCATTCCAGCCTGGGCAACAGGGCTAGACTCTGTTTTAACAAACAAAGATAAAATAAACAAAAATGTTCAGTTTAATCTTAGACGGTTATCAAGTTCTTCATAAAATCATTTTATAAATACTGTAATTCTAATGAGCTAGCATATTCTACAAGTATTATTTCTTATTTAAGGAGCGTTTAAAGATAGAAGATAATTAACAATCAAATCAAAGTCAACATTTTTGAGACACTATCAAAATAAGATTTATAATTTCAGATTTTAAGGCCTGACGCGGTGGCTCACGCCTGTAATCCCAGCACTTTGGGAGGCCGAGGTGGGCAGATCACGAGGTCAGGAGATCGAGACCATCTTGGCTAACATGGTGAAACCCTGTCTCTGCTAAAAATAACAAAAAATTAGCCGGGCATGGTGGCGGGGGCCTGTAGTCCCAGCTACTTGGGAGGCTGAGGCAGGAGAATGGCGTGAACCCAGGAGGCGGAGTTTGCAGTGAGCTGAGATTGCACCACTGCACTCCAGCCTGGGCGACAGAGCGAGACTCTGTCTCAAAAAAAAGAAAAGATTTTAAATGAAAGAATGGCAACAATGGATAGAATAGAGGCACTTATGATGGTTAAATAAATAAAAACAAATTGTTTAGACCTTTAGAACTATTTAATTATATTCTGAAGTAATTACATGAGTTTTTAAAAATCAAGTCCAAACACCTACACTAGTTAATAAGTTAATCAAAACATACCCAAATTTCTGAGGATTTCATCAAAAAATGAAAACTAATTCAGAAATCAGAATTTAGATCTGCTATGACCATTAAAAATGTTTGCATTTTTTGATCCAAACAACTGAATAAGCAGATTATATTTTCAAATGATATCAGCAATAATGGAGCTGAGCACAGCGGACAACCACTAGGTTAAAATATAGACATTAATTTTTAAATAATATTCCAATGGTGTAAATGAAAATATTCATCAGTTATATATTCCCTCTCGATCCTGAGAGTGATGAAAAAAATTGGGAAGAGGGGCGATACCACAGAGGAAGATCCAGATTTGCTTGTCTAAAAGTATAATGGAAAAAAATGTATCTTAGGATTCTTCACAGTACTTGAACATTTTAAGTTAATAAGAATTTATATGTAAACTCAAATCCACATTCTGAGGGTCTGATGGGGGCATTAAGGATAATTTTGACAGTGATCTGTAAGCTTCTGAAGGGGAAGGAATTGTTGAAAGATAGTACGTAAAGCAGTATCAGGGACAGAGAAAAGAGTAGAGAAAGAAGTGCAAGCTTTGGGCAGGAAGAAGGTACGAATACAGAAAAGGAATTTCATAAAAATTCCTGGGAAAAACGGACTAAAAAAAGGATTAATAAAGTTTCCAAATGGGAGGCAGAGGGGCTAAAGAAAAGTCACAGATTGAAAAAAATTACAGGAACTAAACTGAAGGAAAAATAACTGATTCTTTGAAGAGATCATTTTAAACCTTGGTACAGTCCAACTAAAATCCAGAAATGATACTAATAACATTCCTCAGCTCTATTATTTTTTATTCTAGTATGTTTTAATACTTGTTATTTAATTAAAATTGTGTGCCAATCAACTGAACACATGGAAGTGCTGGATCACAGCCAGCTGGTGGTGGGGAGGTGGGTGGGCAGAAAGGTTATTAGAGAACCACAGAGAGCTGACAAGCAAAGGATCCAGAGCATATTGATGGAAGCAATCTGCCTACCCTGTACACCTCCTGAAGGTAAGAGGGGCAGATCCTGGAACCAACCTTCCTAAAGAAGGCCCCATTTTGTTCTGACTGATTCTACACAATCTAAATAAACATTTGGGTATTGTTTACTCACTCCACAGGACTAGCCCCAAAATACCAAGAGAGGAGTTAGGAAACTTTGATGAGTCACAGAACTAGTAAGTCTCTTTAATAGTGTACATGTCTTCTGACCTCTATCAACCTATACTTTAATGAATTAGTTTCTTTTATTTCATTCTTCTCATAACCAAATTCATAAGATTGTAAGCCAGTTAAACAATAACAATTTTAGTAAAGTTAATTTTTATTTAAGTATGTTTTCCATACTTAAATTTTTATATATTCTAAGTACAGTGGTAAAAACACTGAGTTTTCAAAAATAGTTAGTTGGTGATACTGATGATTTATGTTCTTTTAAAAAGTTTCCTAGATAATAAATACACATTTAACACCAGAAAAGTTTTCATTTGGATCTTCTGGAATATAGAAGCCAGCATCATGCCCCTCTGTTACCTTAATCATGCTAAAAACAAAATATTCTATATACAGAAGGACTAAACATACTTTTACTTTTAAGAGAATTAAAATGGTAATAACAGAAATAATAAACAGGTTCAATTCACTGAGAGCTTACTAAATTCTAGACACTGTGCTAAAGGTTTTTAATGTGTTATATAATTTAATCCACCCCCAAAGCCTATGAATTGGGAACTACAATATCTAAATTGTATTGATGAAGAAATTTAGAGATTATCTAGAAAGGAATTTTAATTGAAAGCAATTAAATTTCACTTCCATTTTGATTACATAAAAATGTTATACCCAACAATATTGATGTAATTTTATTATATGTAAGTCTAAAATATCTAGGATCTTGAATTTAAAACACTAATACACACACACACACACACACAGACACAAAAGAATTGAAGTAGACTTTTCCTGAGACTTTGTTACTGGGGAGGTCAGCGTGTTTCTTTGAGCATCCCATCTATAAAACAAAAGACTGGGAGTAGTCCAATCCAGATTCTTTACACTGCCAAGGCTGAATTTTCTTTTCATCTCTCCTATACTTTACATGTTGAAAAACTTGGTCTAAAAATTTGTGAATACTTTTTCTATTCTCTTTAATCATATGTTTAAGATTATAAATTGGAATTTTAAGCTGATATGCTATATAATCAGTGCTATCAAACTCACTCAATAAAATTCCAGTCAAAAGAGAGAAGATGGAAATTTTAGTTAGCCCATTAAATCACACTGCAGTATGAATGATTTATTTAGGCTCTGAAATATTGCAATCAGATTATATTGGTTGGAGTGAATGTAAATTGAGACTGCCTCTCTTGGAGGACAATTTGACAGCATATTGGAAAATATTAATACACATACTCTCTGACCTAGTAACTCTCACTCTAGGAATTTGCTCTACAGGAATATTCACTGATAAACACAATGATTCAGGTACTAAGATATTAACAACAGCATTGTCCATACTGGTAAAAAGTTAGAAAAATTAAATTATAATAATAATGCTAACAATAACTAATTGTTATTGTTAAGCTATAAACTTGTTAAAATGAAAAATAAATTAAAGCCACATATACCAAAAAACATTTTGCAGATAGTAGAATAATGAAATAATTTTTTAAAAATTGAGGTAAATTTATATGTATTGACATGCAAAGATCTCCAAGACAAATTGTTAAGTAAAAAAAGCAAACCACGGCATAATACATAAATACGGTATGATCGAATTTATGTTTCAAAGACATTAGACATGATTATAAGTAATTGTGTGCATTTTCAAATGCATGTAAAAACCGGCCGGGTGCAGTGGCTCATGCCTGTAATCTCAGCACTTTGGAAGGTCTAGGTGGCCGGATCACAAGGTCAGGAGGAGTTTGAGACCAGCCAGGCCAACACAGTGAAACTCCGTCTCTACTAAAAACACAAAACTTAGCCAGGCATGGTAGTGCGTGCCTATAATTTTAGCTACTCAGGAGGCTGAGGCAGGAGAATTGCTTGAACCCAGGAGGCAGAGGTTGCAGTGAGCTGAGATTGCACCACTGCATTCCAGCCTGGGTGACAGAGCAAGACTCCGTCAAATGAATGAATGAATGAATGAATGTAAAAACCACTGGGAGGGAAGACAGTGAATTGACAAATAAAGAGTGGTTACATCCAGGGAAAATAGTACGGTGAAAGGGCA